>NC_000006.12:135070790-136320790 GCF_000001405.40 Homo sapiens | reverse complement strand
CTTAGGAGTTCAAGACAAGCCTGGGCAATATGGCAAAACCCCATCTCTACTAAAAATAGAAAAATTAGCTGGGTGTGGTGGCATGCACCTGTAGTCCCAGCTACTTGGGGGGCTGAGGCGGGAGGATTGTTGGAACCCAGGAGGTCGAGGCTACAGTGAGCCGAGATCACACCACTGTACTCCAGCTGGGGTGACAAAGCGAGACCCTGTCTCAAAAAAAAAAAAAAAAGTATATATTATTTCTGCTCTTAATGGATATTTGTGTTGTTTCCAATTTGGGGTTATTGAAAATATTGCTGCTATACACATTCTTGAACACATGTGTTTGTGTACACACACATCTATATATTTATTTGAGAGACTGGATCTCACTCTGTTACCCACACCGGAGTGCAGTGATATGATCATAGCTCACTGCAGCCTTGAACTCCTGGGCTCAAGTGATCCTCCTGCCATCACTTTCTTAGTAGCAGTGTGTGCTACCATGCTGGCCAATTTTCTTTATTTTTTGTAGCAATGGTGTCTTGCTATGTTGCCCAAGTTGGTCTCAAACTCCTGATTTCAAGCGATCCTCTAGCCTTGGCCTCCCAAAGCACTGGACTTACAGGTGTGAGCCACCGGGCCCAATCAACTTACACATATCTTATATACCGGGAGTGGAACTGCTTGATGACAAGAATACAAATGTTCAAATTTAGTTGACAATGCCAAGGCATTTTCTAAGATATATTTACCAGTTTGTATTCTAACCAGCAGTGATGAGATGTCCTGTTATTCCACATTCCCATCCCAGTCTTATTAAACTTTTTAATTTTGGCCATTTCAGTGGGTCTACAGTGGCATCTCATTGCATTTCCTTGGTTACTGATGACATGGAGCACTTTTTTATTTTTAATTGGCCATTTGGATATTCATGCCTCTTGCTAATTTTTCTTGGTTTTCACCCCACTTTTTTTTTTTTTTTTTTGATATGTAACACATGGCCTTTACAATTTGGCCTTCCAACTTAGATTTCTTTCTTTTCTTTTCTTTTGAGATGGGGTCTTACTCTGTTGCCCAGGCTGGAGTGCAGTAATGTGATCATGACTCACTGCAGCCTCGACCTCCTAGACTCAAATAATCTTTCCACCTCAGCTTTCTGAGTAACTGGGACTACAGGCATGTGCCAGCATGCCTGGCTATTTTTTTTAAAAATTACTTTTTAGACACAGGGTCTTGTTATATCTTCCAGGCTGGCCTTGAACTCCCAGTCTCAAGTGATCCTCCTGCCTCAACCTCCCAAAGTGTTGTGATTACAGATATGAGCCGCTGCACCTGCCCCCAACTTAGATTTCATATAAACAAAATTACTCTGCTTTTCTGTCCTAAACAATAGTGTTGCAACAAACAAATCCCTTCCACAGCTTTTCACTAGGTACTTGAAACAGGATTCCTCTTTGGACATAAGTGGGAAAAAAAAAAAAACTCGATTCAAGCTGGGCGCAGTGGCTCACGCCTGTAATCCCAACATTTTGGGAGGCCGAGGCGGGTGGATCACCTGAGGTTGGGAGTTCGAGAACAGCCCAGCCAACATGGTGAAACCCTGTATCTACTAAAAATACAAAAAAATTAGCCAGGCGTGGTGGCGGGCACCAGTAATCCCAGCTACTCGGGAAGCTGAGGCAGGAGAATCACTTGAACCCCGGGAGGCAGAGGTTGCAGTAAGCTGAGATCACACCAATGCAATCCAGCCTGGGTGACAAGAGCGAGACTCCATCTCAAACAACAACAACAACAACAACAACAACAAAACTCCTCAATTCATGCCCTGGAAAAAATGTTAACCCCCAAAGTTCAAATTCTCATCAAGTTTCAGCGGATTTTCAACACTAGAAACAGATGACTTCACATTTCTACAGAAGTTTCAGTGTTGACCAAGACACATGTTTCTCATTAGACTTTATTTTAATAGTTCTCAAAATTCTGTGGCAGATTTTTTGCCAAGTCGTTTCCACTTATTTATTATTTTGAGACAGGGTCTTGCTCTGTCACCCAGGATGGATTGCAGTAGCACAATCATGGCTCACTGCAGCTTTGACTTCCCTGGGCTCAAGTGATTCTTCTGCCTCGGCCTCCTGAGTAGCTGGGACTACAAGCATGTGCTACCACACCTGACTAATTTTTATGTGTGTGTTTTATGTAGAGATGGGGTCTAGCTATGTTGCCCGGGATGGTTTCAAATTCCTGGGCTCAAGTGATCCGCCTACCTTGGCTTCCCAGAATGCTGGGATTACAGGTGTTAGCCACCATGCCCAACCTAAGTTGTTTCTATTTAAAAGGACTGATTTTAAAAACTAATAACTTAAAACTGACACACACACAAACACGCATACACACACACACATTGTGTGGTGTGTGGTCTACAAAATATTCTTTCTTTCTGAAGGTTTTACAGTGCATTTTTATCACTAACCAGTCTTTTACTATCAAGCTTAAATGGCCTATTGAGACAAACAGTTCTGAGACCATTCTTCCACCACTGATTAAGATTGGGGGCAGGTATGAGGGATACTATTCATTTAGCCTGCTGAGCTTTCCGGGCAGACTCAGTGACTTTGCCAGCTCTGGCAGGCTTCTTGGGCACTGCTTCGATGATACCCACAGCAACTGTGTGTCTCACATCATGAACAGCAAAACAACTCGGAGGAGAATAGTCAGAGAAGCTCTCAGCACACGTGAGCTTGCTAGGAACCACATCAGCGATGGCGCATTAGCTGAGTTCAAGAATTTGGGGCCATCTTCCAGCTTCTTACCAGAACAGCAATCAGTCTCCTTTAAGCTCAGCAAACCTGAGATCGTGCCACTGCACTCCAGCCTGGGTGACAGAGCAAGACTCTGTCTCAAAAAAAAAAAATGGTTTTTACTGTAGATTTTTGTAAATAGCCTTTATCAGATAAAGAAAATTCTTTTCTAGTTCCAGTCTCCTAAGAGTTTCTATGATGAATCGATGGTGCATTATTTTAAGAGCCTGGAAGACACAGGGCTTGTACTCATAAAGATCTATGAAAGTAAAACAGAGGCCTGTGTAAGTATGTGAAAGAAGGTAACTTTTTACTTTGTCCTTAGTTGAAAATGGAATAGACTATAGATCACAAAATATCTATTCTTTTTTTTAGAGACAGGGTCTCACGCTGTTGCCTAGGCTGGAGTGTAGTGGTGCAATCATAGCTCACTGCAACCTTGACTCCTGGGCTGCAGCTAGGACTACCAGTGTGCACCACCACACCCACCTTATTTGTAAATGTTTTGTAGAGGCGGGGTCTTTCTATGCTGCCCAGATTCAAAATATCTATTTAAACTGAACAAGTTGAACAAAAGAGACTCCAGGTACCAGTTATCTGTTTTCCTGTTATAAAAATGACATTAAAAAGAACATAGTGTTTTTTAAAGCCTTCAAACTACAATATCTTGATAGGATTTTGGTTGTTTTTATCCTGATATTAATTTCCAGTAATGAGAATGGTGAAAGGAAATTAGAAAGCTAACCATGGCAAACAACAACACTACCATGTCTCCAAATCTCCAGAAGGTGGAGGCAGTGAGCCACTGAGATTTCAGACCAACAGGTTTTTCTGCCTTCAAAGGCCAGTAACCAACCTGAGTTGTGCGGAGAAGTTGGCCTATCTAGCCATTTTATCCTCTTTCAATTATTTAACGTGTAGCGCTCCCAGGCAGAAATAGTCCTCACTAAAGCAGTGTTTTGTAAGGGTGCTTCTTCCCTGGTTTTGATCTCAGTGGTCTACAATGCTTGGATACGGTCCACTCCATCCATGTAAATATAACAATATCTGCCGGGCATGTTGGCTCACACTTGTAATCCCAGCACTTTGGGAGGCTGAGGCAGGTGGATCATGAGGTCAGGAGTTTGAGACCAGCCTGGCCAATATGGTGAAACCCCGTCTCTACTAAAGTTACAAAAATTAGCCGGGCGTGGTGGTGCGCGCCTCTAGTCCCAGCTACTCAGGAGGCTGAGGCAGAAGAATCACTTGAACCTGGGAGGCGGAGGTTGCAGTCAGCCGAGATCATGCCACTGCATTCCAGCCTGGGCGACAGAGTGAGACTCCGTCTCCAAAATAAATAAATAAATAAATAAATAAATAAAAATATCTGGAAGGGCTCTTCACTTTGGACGAATGGCAACAGGCTTTATTGGAAACAACTAACCTCACACCATTGAATGAGTGAGTAAACGTGTAAGTGTATTGCTATACAATTGCCTCAGTCTGCTCAGGCTGCCATTACAGAATGCTATGGACTGGGTGGTTTAAATAATAGAAATTTATTTTCTCACAGTTCTGGAGGCTGGGAAGGCCAAGATCAAGGTGCCAACTGATTCAGTTCCTGATGAGGGCTCTCTTCCGGGCTTGCAGATGGCCCCCTTCTCACTGTGTCCTCACATGTTAGAGAGTGAAAGACAGTAAGCGCTCTGTGTTGTTTCTTATAAGGGTACCAATCCCATCATTAGTGCCACACCCTCATGACCCCATCTAACCCTAATTACCTCTCAAAGGCCCCATCTCAAAATACCCTCACATCAGGGTTTGGGGCTTCAACTTATGAATTTGGAGAGGGGAGCATAAGTGTTCAGTCTATAAAACAACAACTAACTGAAAAGATGTATATTGGGTTGCTCAGGAAGGAGCTGGCAAAGCTCTTAGCTCTACTGAAGAGAATTGATGTATTTCTGGTCCAGTGGGGATTCTTTTCTTCCCTGATTCGCTGCTGTGCATCTATCTGAGCCTTTTTCTGTCCTCTGCCATCTGTCCTGAACCTGGAGAATTCCTTTATCAAGTTTCTTATCCCTTATAACAAAAAGTTTTTAATCTTCCTTCTACCTAGTCTCAGATATCACTTTAAAGTAGAATTTTAATCACACTGTGGCTAAGTGGGTTTACTTATTCCAGAAACTTTGCAAAATCCAAACCACCTACTTTTCTTGTTTTTCTTGGTCAATAACTTTTATAGCTGTTGTTATGGCTCATTTTTCACGGGCTATCAAAGTTCACTTAATTATAATCCTTGGTCATGACTCATTTTTTTTTTTTCAGATGGAGTCTCGCTATATGGCCCAGGCTGGAGTGCAGTGGCGTGATCTCAGCTTCACTGCAACCGCTGCCTCCTGGGTTCAAGTGATTCTCCTGCCTCAGCCTCCCAAGTAGCTAGGATTACAGGTATGTGCCACCACCCTCAGCTAATTTTTGTATTTTTAGTAGAGATAGGGGTTTCACCATGTTGGCCAGGCTGGTCTCGAACTCCTGGCCTCAACTGATCTGCTCACCTCGGCCTCCCAAAGTGCTGGAATTGCAGGTGTGAGCCACTGCGCCCGGCCAACTCACTCTTATCATTGGCTTATGAATGTCCATTTCTTCCCCTCTCTCTCTCCTCATCGTTGTATTATTATTATATAATAAGCAACCATGAATCCATCTCTCATTATAAACACTAAGACTTTGACAATATCTTACATTTACTTATGTTCTTTCCTCTTCTCTTTTCTTGCCTTCCTGAGGTACTACAATCCAAAGACCAGCATTCATCAATCTGTTGCTTTCTTTCTATGCAGTTTCTTCACTCAACTATATGAATTTCTAAAAAACATACTTTTCCATTTTATGAAAAGGATAGTATGCTTTATGTAAATATGCTGAGACTTTTTTAACTTCATATTGGTAAGATTCATCCATATTGTTGCATGTTGCTATATTTCATTCATTTTGGTTGCTTTATTCAAGACTGCAGTGAGCTGTGATAGTGCCACACCACTCCAGCCTGGGTGACAGAGACCCTGTCTCTAAAAAATAAATTTAAAAAATTCCCTGTATATGTTTTATGTATGTTTTGCTAGAATTTTTTTCTAGGCTCCTAATAGTCTCTGAAGTATTACAAATGAGGTCTTCTTTCTAATTTCAATCTCTAGTTGTTTGTTGCTGGTGTTTGGAAATGCAACTGTCTTGCTAATTTGCTAACCTTTCCTATTTCGAATATATCACCTGTAAATTCTTTTTTTTTTGGTGGGGGAGGGGAGTAAGGGTAGGATGGAGTCTTGCTCTGTTGCCCAGGCTGGAGTGCAGTGGCACCATCATAGCTCATTGTAGCCTCAAACTCCTGGGCTCAAGAGATCCTCCTACCTCAACCTCCCCAGTAGTTGGGACTACAGGCGTGAACCATCGCATTTGGTTAATTTTTAAGTTTTTTGTAGAGACGAGGTCTTGCTATGTTTCCCAGGTTTGTCTCAAACTCCAGGACTCAAGTGATCCTCCTTGATCCACCTGGATCCACCTCCAGGTCTCAAGTGATACTCTTGAAGTATTAGGGTTACAGGAGTGAGCCACCATACCTGGCCTATAAATTATCTTATTTGTTCTGTGTAAATAATAATGCCGTCTATAAATAAAATGGTTTATCTTTATGATTCTAATTTTTTATTGCTATTGAGGAGTGGTAAGAGTGAACATCTCGTTTCATTTTTGCTTTAAAGAAGATATTTCTGGTGTTTTCCCATACAGAATGATGTTTGCTTAAAAGCTTTTTATAGACATTTTTATGAGGTTAAGGAAACTGGCTATATTTTTGATTTGTTAAAAGTTTGTATTATGAATTTATATTGGATTTTATCAGCATAAACTTGAGATCATCACAAATCTTCTCTTTTCTTAATCTGCTATTATGGTGAATTATATCTATAGTTTTTCTGATATTAAACTAACATATGGATGCCTGAGATAAACCCAATTGGGCAAGGGTATCACCTTCCCTGTGCATTGTTGAATTTAATTTCCTTTTTTTTTAAGGATTCTTGAATCTACATTTATGAGTAAAATGAGCCTATAGCTTTTTACTCTGATAATGTCTTTTCCTGGTTTGGTAACAAAGTTATGCTAACCTTTAAAAAGGACTGGGATGTATTCCCCTTTATAGTACAGCAATAAATATGTATTTGTGTATTACATATATGTTACTTCCAGTGTTCATGTTGACAATATTGTTATCAATTTGATTCTTGTCCCATTGTCTGTGATATGCTCTACTAGAGAATAAAGGAGGAAGAGCCCCTTCTCTAAGTGCCATCTGTCAGCCTTGGGGGTTTGTCCCAAAGTGCGGGGAGGTGACTATTCCAGGTAGTCATTCTCCACCTGTTGTCCTCAGCTACCACCCCTTCAGAGTTTGTGCAGTCAACTGATTTTACTCCTGAGGACTGATTTTACTCCTGAAGCAGCAGTTGGAGTCACTACAGGTGCGAGGCAGGCATTGACTGCCCAAGAAAAAGGAGGAGGAAAAGCGATTGTTCTCTTGGGTTCTTCTCTCTTTCCCTTCTCTATTTTTTCTCCATGTATTTATTTATCCTCTCCTCTCTTTCTTTCTCACTTTCCCTGAAAAGTAAATGCCTTTTGGATGATAACAATCTTTTCCTGACTGTGGTCTATCAGGAAGCATGCCGCGTCTTCGAATCCTTTCAGGTTTTCTAAATGGAGCAATGCAAGGAGAATCCCCACCCAAGAGTGAGGGCAGGGGCAAGTTTCCTGACAGGCAGTCAGCTTTGTTTCACCATCTCCTCCTGGGTATCTCTGTTGAATCACCAATGCCACTTCCCTGTAGACTCTAGGGAAGCTTGACTCACCTACAGATACTGCACAAGTCCTTTAAATCTCTATTGTTATTAATTCCTTTTAATTTGTGTTTAGTCACTTTATTGGCTACTCCTACAATTTATAATAATAGTAATGATAATAGTAGTTGTGGAGGTAGTAGTACTAGTAATAGTGATAGTATTATCTCTATATTATTATTATTATTATTATTATTATTATTATTATTTTGAGACAGGGTCTTGCTCTGTTGCCCAGGCTGGAGTGCAGTGGTGCAGTCTCGGCTCACTGCAACCTCCGCCTCCTGGGTTCAAGCGATTTTCATGCCTCAGCCTCCCAAGTAGCTGGGATTACAGGTGCCTGCCACCATGCCCGGCTACTTTTTGTATTTTTAGAAGAGATGGGGTTTTACCATGTTGGCCAGGCTGGTCTCGAACGCCCACCTCAGTCTCCCGAAGTGCTGGGATTACAGGTGTGAGCCACTGTGCCAGGCTAGTATTACCCCTATATTATATTGAGGGGTTACTCTGTTCCAGACACTATACTAAGTGTTTTACATGGATTATTTAATTCACGTATATGTATGAATTTAGAACTTTTTGGATTTTAGTTAGGTAATATATTGCATATAATATATAGTATGGAACTCAATCAGCAGGGTCTAGGTAACAACTTGTAATCAAGTAAATGTGTATATCTGCAGTGAAATGTGTGACTATACTAAATTACATAGAGACTACAAGTAGCCTCAAATCATTTCAGATCAGGTCTGTGACCAAATGAATCCAGGTATGGTTGGGTTTTGGCACAAAAAGTCTTAGAAAGAAACTTGCAGTTTTTAGAGAATTTTTGATTTTGGATCCACAGGTAAGGAACTGTGGACCTACAGCATAATTATTTCACAGATGATACAATTAAGACCACAAAAGAGCAGTAAAGATCAGGTGGTAGTAGTAGTAATCAATCAAGGTTTTTTCCTTTCCATGTGTGTAACCAGTTGTTCAGCACCATTCGTTCAAAAAGACGTTCTTTTCCCCATTTAGTTGTCTTGGTCACTGTATCATCTCCAGGCTGTTTATTCTGTTCATTGATCTGTCTGTCCTCACACCAACAGCACACCGTCATAACTACTGTGGTTTACAGTGAAATCTGAAATCAGGTGGCAGCAGTATGTTTTTCTTTTTGTTTTGGCTCTTCTAGATTCACTGCATTTTCATATAAGTGTTCAAATCAACCTGAAAATTTCTATGAGAAATGTATTAGCTATTTTTGGATGATATGATGGTGTGCCTGGAAAACCCTAGAGAATTAATGATAAAATTAATTCAAACAATTGAACAGAGTAGCAGAATATAACAACAGTATGTAGAGATCAGTAACTTTCACATGCGCAGGCAGTAACCATCTAGAGATAGAATGACAGAGAAAATCCTCATTATAACAGCAACAAACAAGATAAAATATTAGGGATACATTTAATAAGAAATGTGCAAATCTATATGAGGAAAACTTTAAAACTCTGCTAAAAGAGACAGAATTAACTTTGACAAAAGAAAGGATATCTCATATTTTGATAGGATGGCTTACCATCATAAAGATGTCAGTTTTCCCTAAATTAATTAGTAAATTTAACTTAGTCTCCACCTCCACTTCAAATTCTAACTTTTTTTCATGAAGCTAGACAAGTTGATACTTAAATTCATATGCAAAATAAACATGTAATAACAGAGAACACTAGCTGGGAGCTGTGGCTCATGCCTGTAATCCCAGCACTTTGCGAGGCCGAGGCCGACAGATTGTCTGAGGTCAGGAGTTCGATAACAGTCTGGCCAACAAGATGAAACCCCATCTCTACTAAAAATACAAAAAAAATTAGCCGGGCATGGTGGCATGCACCTGTAATCCCAGCTACTCGGGAGGCTGAGGCAGGGGAATTGCTTGAACCAGGGAAGTGGAGGTTGCAGTGAGCCAAGATCGTGCCACTGCACTCCAGCCTGGGCGACAGAGCGAGACTCTGTCTCAAAAAAACAAAAACAAAAAAAACAAAAATCAAAAACCAAAAACAAAAACAGAGAACACTAAAAAAGAAAATCTATGAGAAGGGATGAGCCCACTAGCCCTCCCAGACTGAAAACACACTATAAAACCTTTATAATTAAAACTATATGGTACTGGCACGTGAATATGCAGGGACACCAGTGGAGTAAAATAGATAGTCTAGAAGAATACCCAAGCTTATATGAAACTTTAGTACTGTAAATGATAAAGGCACCATTTCAAGTCACTGGGACCAAGAAGGAATTTTAATAAATGGTGTTAAAACAACTGGTTAGGCCGGGTGCGACGGCTCACACCTGTAATCCCAGCACTTTGGGAGGCCGAGGTGGATGGATCACCTCAGGTCAGGAGTTTGAGACCAGCCTGACCAACAGGGAGAAACCCCCATCTCTACTAAAAATACAAAAAATTAGCCAGGCATGGTGGCACATGCCTGTAACCCCAGTTACTCAGGAGGCTGAAGCGGGAGAATCTCTTGAACCTGGGAGGTGGAGGCTGCAGTAAGCCGAGATGGAGCCACTGCACTCCAGCCTGGGCGACAAGAGCGAAACTCTGTCTCAAAAAAAAAAAAAAAAAAAAAAAAAAAAAATTAGCCAGGTGTGGTGGTGCATGCCTGTAATCCCAGCTACCCAGGAGGCTGAGGCAGGAGAAGTGCTTGAACTGGGAGGTGGAGGTTGCCGTGAGCTGAGATTGCACCATTGCTCTCCAGCCTGGGCAACAAGAGCAAAACTCTGTCTCAAAACAAACAAACAAACAAACTGGTTAACCATTTGGAAAAAGATAAAATTAATTTATATTTCACACATATAAGAATAAACTCCAAATGGATCAGAGATCTAAATGTAAAAAATGAAAAGATTTTTCATTTCATGGGTGTTATCTTTACCTTTGGTGTTGGGAAAGACTTTCTCACTGTGACTGAAAGTCCAGATGCAGTGAAAGAAAAACAGACAAACTTGATTACATAAAAATAAAAACTGGCCAGGTGCCATGACTCAGGCCTGTGATCCCAGCACTTTGGGAAGCTGAGGCAGGAGGATCACTTTTGCTACCCTGCAGTCCAGCATGGATGACAGAGTGAGAACCTTCCAGAAAGAAGAAAGACAGAAAGAAAATAAAAAAGAAAAAGAAAGAAAGAAAAGAAGAAAGAAAGAGAAAGAAGAAATAGAGAAAGAAAGAAGAGAAAGAGAGAGAGAAAGAAGAGAAAGAATAGAAAGAGAGAGAGAATGAAAGAGAGAAAGAATGAAAAGAAAGAGAGGGAGGGAGGGAGAGAGAAAGAGAGGAAAAAAAGAAAGGGTTGGGTGCAGTGGCTCACATCTGTAATCCCAACACTTTGGGAGGCCAAGGTGGGCAGATCGCTTGATCCCAGGAGTTCAAGACCAGCCTGGGCAATATGGTGAAACCTCGTCTCTACAAAAAATAAAAAATAAAAAAAAGAAGCCATTTGCATGGCAAAAATTCTGTAAGCAAAGTCAGGCTGATAAACTGGGAGGAAATATTTGCAATATATATCATAAAGGTCCAATATGCCTAATATATTAAAAACTTTTCTAGAAGTGAGAGAAAAAGACATAAAAAATATGAAGAGACAATCCATTAAAGGAAAGATATAACAACAGGCTGGGAATGGTGGCTCACGCCTGTAATCCCAACATTTTGGGTTGGCAAGGTGGACAGACTGCTTGAGTCCAGGAGTTCAAGAACAACTTGGGCAACATGGTGAAATTCCATCTCTACAAAAATTACAAAAATTAGCCAGGCATCGTGGTGCATGCCTGCAGTCCCAGCTACTCGGTGGGGGTGCTGAGGTAGGAGGATTGCTTGAGACCAGGAGATCCAAAAAAAAGATATAACAACAGTCCTTAAACATGTCACTTCTGTTTCTTTTCCTACTTCTCCTCCTCCTCTTCTTCCACCTCCTTTTCATCTTCCTTTTTTATTCATGGTCAGGAATGTCCAACTCACCTGGTCCTCTGCCATTGGTCCTGTGCCTTGCCTGGGGTGGTGAGAAGCTATATCCCTCTTCACTATAGATTTTGATGTAGAAAAGATAAATTAATCTGCCATTTCATAATGACTCTTTCAGCAAGAATTTCACTAGGGGCAAAAGTGGCCTCTGCAGAGAACCTCTATTACATTAAATTTTAGCAGAATTTAAAGTATTTTACATATTCAGTGGAGAGCTATGGGCTTACTGCAAAAACAAAAGAAAGTATAGAAACAGTTCTAGATTTGAAATTCTCTAGGAAGGCAATGATCTGGAATCTTCTACATCAACATTTTTCCATGTTGCTTATAAAAATGGTCAGTCTTAAAAGGTATGCTGTCTCTCTCTGTCCTTTTAAGAGACAGGGTCTTGCTCTGTTGCCCAGGCTAGAGTGCAGTGGCACAATCATAGCTGACAGTAACCTCCAACTCTTGGGCTTAAGCAATTCTCCCACCTCAGCCTCCCAAGTAGCTAGGACTACAGGTGTGTGCCACCTAATTTTTAAAATGTTTTGTAGAGATGGGGTCTTGCTATGTTGCCCAGGGTTGTCTTGAACTCCTGGCCTCAGTGATCCTCCTACCTCAGCCTCCCAAAGCACTGGGATTACAGGCATGAGCCACCGTGCCCAGCTGGTCTGCACTCTTAAAAATTATTTATCAAGTATTTTGAATATCTATCTACATAGTTTTAACATCAAAAACTAATGTGAAGCCTACCTACTTATGCTGCTGGCCCACAAATCCACCATAATAGTAGAAAACAAATGGCTGCAATACACGTTTTCAGAATATGCCAAGTTTTTGGAGCTCCTAGCATTTTCCACTTAGGAAGAATTCAAGCCCTAAGATATATGGAGCAGTAAAACAGACATCACTGAATGAAAGTTTAGTCTCAAAGACTATGTGTCAATGTGTGTTTGTAAGAGTACCTGTGTATGAAGTCCTGCATCTGTGTATGTGAAATGTAAGAAGTGGGCTGACCTACCAGACTTGATTTCAAAGCGGGGAGTGGGGGCAGAGGGGACTTGCAGATCTTTACTGTGGCTCGTTAGTGCCACAGGCCACTGCTTTTAAAAATATGTTGACTGTCAGTGGCTGAGAATGAGGAAAATGGGAAAGTCACTCGGAGATGGACAACAAATGAGCACCTAGTATGAAGTAGTAAGAAACCGTCAACTGAAGGTGCCAAGCAGAAGGCGGGGCCATTGTTGAAAAAAGGCAAAGAGGCACCTTAAAAATCAAATGTTTCTTTAAATAGAACTGGGATAATCAAAATTTCTCATCATTTTGGGAAAGTGAATGTTAAACGTAGTTTTGAAGTAAAAAGCAAAATAGGCAAGGAGAGGTAGATATTCTACTTCATTCTGATAAAAATTGGGGCATTTACTAGTGGGTAACAGTAGCTCACATAACTAAGGTCCTTGCATTGACCAAACAGCCCTAAAAATGGAGGGCCTGTGGTGACTTCCAAGCCCCAAAGGTTACAGTTGAGTGTAAGGCAGGGCCAGCATATTCTTTCTGCAAAAGGCCAGATAGTAAACATATCAGGCTTTTGCAGGCCATCTGTTCTCTATTACAGTTATTCAATTCTGCTGTTGTATGACAAAAGTAGACATGTGCTATACCTAAATGAATGAGCTTGGCTGTGTTCCAATAAAACTTTATTTACAAAAACAGGCTGCAGGCTAAATTTGGCTCCTGGGCTATAGTTTGCCCACCCCTGGTTTAAGGCAACATTTAGCCTAGACTTAACCTTATATGTGAATATTACTTTTTTTGGAATTTTCTTTTTTTTTGGGATGGAGTCTTGCTCTGTCACCCAGGCTGGAGTGCAGTGGCACGATCTTGGCTCACTGCAACCTCCACCTCCTGGGTTCAAGCAATTTTCCTGCCTCAGCCTCCCGAGTAGCTAGGATTACAGACATGCACCACCATGCACTGCTAATTTTTTGTTTCCTTTTTGAGACGGAGTCTTGCTCTGTTGCCCAGGATGGAGTACAGCGGCATGATCTTGGCTTACTGCAACCTCTGCCTCCCAGGTTCAAGCGAGTCTCTTGCCTCAGCCTCCCAAGTAGCTGGGATTACGGGCATGCACCACCATACCCAGATAATTTTTCTATTTTTAGTAAAGATGGGGTTTCACCATGCTGGCCAGACTGGTCTGGAACTCCCAACCTCCGGTGATCTGCCCTCCTCGGCCTCTCAAAGTACTGGGATTACAGGTATGAGCCACTGTGCCTTGCCTTTTTTGGAATTTTCAATATCCTTCACTTCATTCTAGTTCTAAAAATGTCTGATATCACAAGCATTATAACAAGCAGGCCATGCCTCCTTTCCAGAGTGCCCAGTCTACCTTGGGTTGTCACTAGATTTCAGAGCACATTATTCTCTGGGTAGTGGGAGGGGTTGAGCCCTTAAACAACAGAACTATTGAGTACTCAGTTGGCAAGGGCATTAAGGCAGTGCTCCATTTATTCCACTTACTTCACAGAGAACAAAGAGACATTGCTGTTGACAATGGTCAGTCAGAGGCAACTGTCTGCGGGCTGTTTGGTTTAGTTGGCTGTTGAATTTTCAACTTGAAGTGTGAGAGAGAGTGAGAAAGTCCTACCTGATCAGAAAGCAGAGCTGTCTTTCCAGGATGGAGTGCCACTTCACCTGTCTTCCCAGAATGAACTAAAATGACATTCTAAGCAGTGGGTTTTTACTGTAAAATCATTCCTAAAGCTGCATCAATTAGAATGAACTGGGATTTGCGACATTTAACTGCATGGGCAGGCAAAAACTTCTCACCTGCTCTTCAAGCCACATGCCTCAGGTCTTTGAGGGTTTCTGGTTTGCTTTATTCTCAATCTCCTCCCACTGGCCACCTAATCTCTTGCCCATAACTCCTTAACTCCTTTTCAAACTCTGCTACTTTTCAAACTCAGTGTGTGGCCCACACGCTGCCTCTGCCCCTCCTTACTGGAGAACTTGCTGGTATAGATGTTTGCTTATGACACTACCTCTAAACCTTGGTGGATGCTGGGAATGACTTTCCCCTTTCCATGCTTCACTGGCTCCAAAGGAAAGAGGGGAGGGCTGTGGTTCCATGCAGATGTTGGGAGGGGAGAGGAGGAAGAGGATGGCAGGTGCTCAGATTTCAGCTCAATTCTTTCCATCAGTGGAATCCTCAAGGCCTCCCCACCTCATGTTGCATAGGGACACACAACTGCCATTGCAAATATTGTTTCCATTTTTCAGATTCATCATATTCCTCCTGTTAAAACGACCATGATCCTGTCAAATAGCAGCCCTAGCCTATTGTGTGAAGGAACATTTGACTATTCTGCTTATTTACAATATAAGATCCATTTAATCAACCAAGAAATGGGTCTATTACAGTGGTTCTTAAACTTGAATGTACATTACAGTCACCTGGAAGGTTTGTTAGAACATGGAATGCTGGGCCTTATTCCAGAATTTCTGATTCAGTAGTTCTATGGCGGAGTCTGAGAACTTCTGTTGCTAACAAGTCCCCAGGTGATGCTGTTGCTGCAGCGTCATTTCCTCGAGGACCATTTCCTCGATTAGCATTACTGGGATGAACGGGAATACCCTTCCTCTCCTGGAAGAAGGAAGAAGGACTATCTCAGTTCAGCCTCTTGGTAGTAAGTCACTTTGAAAATGCTGTACAACTCATCAGTATGTTAAAACAACAGGCTTGAGTACCACTGTTATAAACCGTTTAGTGAAGGGAGGATACACATTATCAAATATACATATATACACATATATCACAGAGGCAAATACAATCACTTGGGCAGAATGCCAGCATTAGTATCTTTCCTGAGAGGCAATCAGATCTTTTTGAAGACCACCTCTTGAAAATCAAATATTTCCTTAAATAGAACTGGGAAATTCATTTGCTTAGTCCCTTATTTTTCCTGAAATATGCAATGACAAAGAGTGATGTTTCAATGAAATACAGATTATACCAGTTACTTGATGTGAGCCTGGGTTTCAACGAGATAATTTTCTATTATTTATCTGTCATAAGTGTATAATACTTCATTTCTTCAAATACCTCATTTATTCTTCAATAAATATTTGTTGATTGAAGAATGAATATTCAACATTATGAAAATGAATATAATCTTGTATAACACTGTCAACTAAGCAGGAAGAATGACATAGTCCCAGGAACCCCAAGTTGTTGAGGGCTGAATAACAAAGTAATAGGTGTTCAGAAAGAAGGGTGCAGTTGGGAGAGGTGTTACTTTGCCAAGGAGCTTCTGGCAGGGCCTCTATTGTGCCAGAATGTATAGCCAAAGGCTCAAATAGGGCCGAGCTCCAGCCTGCACTCTGCTCGCCTGCTCTTCGAGCCACAAGCCTAAGCGTGGGGATGCCTCAGCCTGAGGAAAGGGTAAGTTTGTCTCATCTTCTCAAAGACATCTGATGAGCTATTGGCAGCTCAACTTACCTGTGTCTTGATTTTTCCCTGGAGTCATCAGTCATGAGTCAGCCTGTGAACATTGGAAGGAGCAGAGGATAACTAGTTTTTTCACATGACATTGCATTTATGGAACCACACTGTGGATTTTCAAGTCTTTCTTGTCATTCCCCATGAGCAGAGGCCTAAGATCTTTTCTGAAAACTTTCTGTGAACATTGGGGGACAGCTTTACTTTGTAGATTCAGGGTCCTGGGAGGGCATAAAAAATTATCCCCATAGGAATCTTACCCTATTTAACAACTGAAGCCTGACATTCCAATTTAATTTAATATTTTTAGTCCAATTATGTTGAAATTAAAAAACTGTGAATGATTTTGCTGTTAGCACATTGCTTTTAGCATTCTGTTTATGTATGTCACAGAACTTAGTAAATATTACTGTACGGATTTACTTTGCTGAGCCATTTCCCTCAATATAAGATCTCTGGAAACAGGCTGACTGTCAGTTCAGGTTGATAGAATGAATTGCCATAGGCTGGGTGGCTTACAAACAAAATAAACATTTCTCACTGTTCTGGAGGCTGGAAAGTTGACATCGAGTGCCACCATAGTCCAGTTCTGGTGAGGGTCTTCTGGGTTGCAGGCTGACAACTTCTCCTTGTATCCTCAAGTGGCAGAAAGTCCAAGGAAGGGTAGTTTTGCCTCATCTTCTCAAAGACATCTGATGAGCTATTGGCAGCCCAACTTATCTGTGTCTTGATTTTTCTCCAGGAGTCATTAGTCATCAAGATAACTAATTTTTTCACACAACACCATTTATGTGGTTTCATAAATGCAGTGTTTTCTGCAGTGTTCTCTAGCGGGACAGAACTAATAGGATAGATGTATATATGAAGGGGAATTTATTAAGGAGAATTGACTCACAGGATCACAAGAGGAAGTCCCACAATAGGCCATCTGCAAGCTGAGGAACAAGGAAGCTGGTCTGAGTCCCAAAACCTTAAAAGCAGGGAAGCTGACAGTACAGCCTTCAGTCTGTGGCTGAAAGCCCAAGAGCCCCTGGCACACCACTGGTGTAAGTCCAAGAGTCCAAAAGCTGAAGAACTTGTAGTATGATGTTTGAGGGCAGGAAGCATCCAGCACGGGAGAAAGATGAAGGCCCGAAGACTCAGCAAGACGTCTCCTTCCACCTTCTTCTGCCTGCTTTTTCTAGCCTGGTTGGCAGCTGCTCAGATGGTGTCCATGCAGTTTGAGGGTGGGTCTGCCTCTCCCAGTCCCCTGACTCAAATGTTAATATCCCTTGGCAACACCCTCATAGACACACCCAGGAACAATACTTTACATCCTTTAATCCAATGAAGTTGACACTCATTAACCATCACAGTGCATTTTCAATAATTCTACCAAAAGCTAGGTAGTTCTCTGGGCTTTTCTTATAAGGGCACTAATACATTTATGAGTGCCCCACCCTTATGTCCTAATTACTACCCAGAGGCCCTGCCTCCAAATACCATCGCATTGAGATTAGGTTCTCAACATAGGAATTTTGGGGGCAACACAAACATTCAGTCCATTGCAGGGGTCTTGTCATATTTTTGGCAGTCTCTTTTTCCCCAGTACTTAGTACAGTCCCTGTTACACAGTAGACCCTCAGCAAATGTTTACTGAATAAAACAACAAGGATACTATCCTATTATTTGTTCTGTGACTTCAGGAAAATTAAGACTTTATGTTCATAATCTTACAAAATTTATTCATTCTTAAGGAAGACTGAAGAATAATTTGATTTCTGATATTTCTGATCTGGAGTCTAAATCCAAATCAGTTCTTTACATCTTCAGATCTACAAATATCATTTGGAATAAAAGTTCACAAAATTTTTTATGTCATCACCATCTGTTTCTTTAATTTGATTCCTTGTGTTTATTTTTCAAAAAACCCTAAGATTCTATTCTGGCAGATATTATTTTCATTGCTTTATTAACATTTTGGGCATTTGCTCTGGTACTATCAAAATAGGTCCTTGCGCCATATAGAGCAAATGACAGTTTACCCAGGACCATTTGCCAGTGTCTATTGCATCAAGATGTGTCCATGTTTATTGCAATAAATGTGATTAGAAATGTCTGCTACTCCTAGGTTAAGGATATTAAAAAGAGGTATGTCTCCTCCCTGATCTGTCCTCCTTTTGCCAGCTAGTACAAGGCAACAATGAGGCCACAGGAAGGGTTAATCTTTTTTTTTTTTTTTTTTTTTTTTTGAGATGGAATCTCACTCTGTCGCCCAGGCTGGAGTGCACTGGTACGATCTCAGCTCACTGCAACCTCCACCTCCCGAGTTCAAGCGATTCTTCTGCCTCAGCCTCCCGAGTAGCTGGGACTATAGGTGCATGCCACCACGCCCGACTAACTTTTGTATTTTTAGTAGAGATGGGGTTTCACCATATTGGCCAGGCTGGTCTCGAACTCCTGACCTTGTGATCCGCCCACCTCGGCCTCCCAAAGTGCTGGATTATATGCGTGAGCCACCGCACCTGGCCAGAAAGGGTTAATCTTATTTGTACCATGCATGGATTGTTTGGCACACTGAAGAATGCTCTGCATCCCTTCTCAGAATAACATTTTATTTATTATTTTTTAAATTTTAATTTTTATTGTTTTACAGACAGAGTCTCACTGTGTTTCTCAGGCTGGTCTCAAACTCCTGGTCTCAAGTAATCCTCCTGCCTCCGCCTCCTGCATGGTTGGGATTAGAGGCACAAGCCACCATGCCTGGCAAAATAATGTTTTAAAATGCATAAAACAAAATAATAGATTTATAAAGGAAACAAATTATAATGAATACAATTATAAAAACATTTAGAAAGTTAGTGATACAGGCTGGGCGCGGTGGCTCATGCCTGTAATCCCAGCACATTGGGAGGCCAAGGTGGGTGGATCACCTGAGGTCAGGAGTTTGGGACCAGCTTGGCCAACATGGCGAAACCTCGTCCCTACTAAAAATACAAAAAACATTAGCTGGGTGTGGTGGCGGGCGCCTGTAATCCTAGCTACTCAGGAGGCTGAGGTAGGGAGAATCACTTGAACCTGGGAGGCAAAGGCTGCAGTGAGCCAAGATTGTACTATTGCACTCCAGCCTGGGCAACAAGAGCCACACTCTCTCAAAAAAAAAAAAAAAAAAAAAAAAAGTAAGTTAGTGATACAATGATATATGTATACATTAGCTCTCTATTGATATATAATAAATTCTCTCCAACCTTAGTAGCTTAAAACATTTATTCTCTCACATTCCTGGGGGTCAGGAATCTGAGACCAGCTTAGCTGGGTGGTTGCGGCTCAGGGTATCTCACAAGGCTACAATCAAGATGCCAACTAAATAGGCAGTCATCTGGAGGCATTACCTGGGGAAAGGTCCACTTCCAAGCTCACTCAAATGGCTATTGGCAAGCTTCAGTTCTTTGTCATATTGACCTCTCCACAGACTCATGGAGTCACTCTCCACAACCTCTCAGTTATCTCAGGACATAGCAGTTCACTTCCCCTGTAGCAAGTGCTCGAAGAGAGGGTACAGAACATAGATTCAGTACACTTAATCTCAGAAATGACATCCCATCATTTCTGCCATATTCTGTTACTGGAAGGGGATTACACAAGGGTACGAATGCCAGGAAACCAGGATCACTGGGAGCTACCGTAAAGGTTAAGATAATATGCTTTTTAAAAAATACATTAAAGTAGAGGATCTAGAGGCGGGTATACAACTACTATAATTTTGAAAGCATTCCAAGTAGAAACAACTCTTTGAAAGATCTACAAAACAATTTTTTTTTTTTCTGCAACGGAGTCTCGCTGTGGCTCTGTTGCCCAGGCTGGAGTGCGGTGGTGCCATCTCAGCTCACTGCAAACTCTGCCTCCCGGGTTCAAGTGGTTCTTCTGCCTCAGCCTCCCGAGTAGCTGGGACTACAGGCATGCGCCACCACATCTGGCTAATTTTTGTATTTTTAGTAGAGACAGGATTTCACCATATTGGCCAGGCTGGTTTCCAACTCCTCACCTTGTGATCTGCCCGCCTTGGCCTCCCAAAGTGCTGGGATTACAGGCATGAGCCACCATGCCTGGCCTAACAGTAATGATTTTTTAAAAATCGGTGATTTTTATTTATTACAAAGTCATAAGTACTGGTAATACTTCTGTGGTTTTGCCTACATTCATAATTAAGGGAAATGATAAATTTCAGTTTGAAGTTAACAAGGATGTAATTTTTATTTATTTTTTTTTTTTTGAGACAGAGTCTCTTTCTGTTGCCCAGGCTGGCGTGCAGTGGCACGATCTCGGCTCACTGCAACCTCTGCCTCCTGGGTTCAAGTGATTCTCCTGCCTCAGCCTCCCGAGTAGTTGGGATTACAGGTGCCTGCCACCATTTCTGGCTATTTTTTAAATATTTTTAGTAGAGATGGAGTTTCACCATGTTGACCAGGCTGGTCTCAAATTCCTGACCTCAGGTAATCCGCCCGCCTTGTCCTGCCAAAGTGCGGGGATTGCAGGCGTGAGCCACCACGCCCGGCCCCAACAGGGATGTAATTTTTCCCATACAAATATAGCGACATCTCTGGGAGGTTGGGAGAGGTGTGAGGGATACAAGACTACATACTGGGTACAGTGTACACTGCTTGGGTGATGGGTGCACTAAAATCTCAGAATTCACCATTGAAGAATTCATCCATGTAACCAAAAACCACCGGTACCCAAAAAACTATTGAATTAAAAACAACAACAACAACAACAACAAATTATAGTGACAGGTCTGAATTCTATCCACGGATTCTTTGGGAATTGGTAGACCCCTGAGTTCTATCCATGGAGTCACAAGATGGCTTAGGGCCCTGAATCACTGCATGGAGAAAATACTTACCAACCTAATTCAACTGTCTTGGACTGTTTGAGAAAAAGCTTCTATTGCATGTAAGTCATTATGTATTCCGGAGTCTATTTGTTACCACAGCCTAGTTTATACTATCTTTGCCAATGTACATTTGCTAATTACTGTATTATTACTACTGTCTTCACTTTGTCCTTCAACATACATTTTTGAGTAAAATGTCAATTTCCCTTTGTGTTAAATTTCATATATGTATCTATTATTATAGAGCATCTCATACCACTAGCAAGTAATAAATTGTATTGAATATGTATCAAAGACATATGGAGACTAAATTATATTTTTCCAGGGACTTTTACTCTTTTTTTCTTCCAATTTTCAGTTTTATGCACCAGATGGTTGTCAGCTGGATCACTATGAATAAATTATAAATGGCCAATAACAATAAATATTTGTATAGTTCCTGCTCCTGAGCAATTTTTAAGCATGTGAATGAATTTGTTTTCAAACAGTAAGCATCTCATCATGGAGTGAATAGATCATCTCACATGCCATTGACAGAAATATCTCCCTGGAATATATAACAAAGAATGAATGTGTTTAGGAAAAGCTACTGGATGGGCTTGTGTGGGTAGAAATTAACCTCATTACAGTACAAAGTTAAGCTTAATAATGTAGATTAAAAAATAATGGCACAAATACTAGAAACACAAAGTCAGGTCTGTGCTTTCACTATACTCTCTAAAATGGAACTTAAGAAATCAGCCAGTGGTGCTTTTAACATAATTAGCCAGACCCTAATATGACAAATAGAACTTTGAAAAATAACTGTCTTGCAAAGGATTAAGCCATTTTTAGATCTATCTATCACAGTTGGTTGGAATTCAGTGTAAAGTTTCCTTTTAAATGGAAGCAAACAATTTTATATATGTTTTTCTCTTGTTGAACCAAGTACTCCCCTTCATTGCTCGACAGAAGATTCATGAAGCTAAAAGAGGACTATAGAGCACTCTAGGAAAAAAAAACCCCAAAATCCCACAAAAACAAATCTAAAAGATTCTCTCTGGAAGCAAATATTCTCCTAGCAGCAGTTTATAATTAGGCTTATCAAGATTGTGATTTAGTAATGGATATTTTATTATGTATATATGTATGTTTGTATTTTTTAGAGGTAGGTTCTCTCTCTGTCACCCAGGTTGGAGTACAGTGGCTCACACAGTTCAAATTCTGGGTGTAAGTAATCCTCCCTCTTCGGCTTCCTAAAGTGATGGGATTACAGGCATGAGACACCATACCCATCCTTATTCTTCTTGTTTATTAAATGAGAGCTTTTACGCTTGATTTGGAAGAACCACACACACACACACACACACACACACACACACACAAACTTGCTGGGCGAGGTGGCTCACGCTTGTAATCCCAGCACTTTGGGAGGCCGAGGTTGGCAAATCACCTGAGGTCAGGAATTTGAGAACAGCCCGGCCAACATGGTGAAACCCCGTCTCTACTAAAAATACAAAAATTTGCCAGGCGTGGTGGTGCATGCCTGTAATTCCAGCTACTTGGGGGGCAGAGGCAGGAGAATTGCTTGAACCTGGGAGGTGGAGGTTGCAGTGAGCTGAGATCGTGCCACTGCACTCCAGCCTGGGCAACAGAGCGAGACTCTGTCTCAAAAAACAAAAACAAGACCTCTCAGTTTTTAGGTCTTCATTATCTTACACAATTCAAATAAAATTCAATGGTCTACATTTTTAAAAGTTTTTTGATATTAATATTATGAAAGTAATTTTTATTGTAGAAATTTTAGAAAATACAGAAGAGCAAAGGAAGAAAATGTTTTAAAAATTGCCAGTGATGTGGCCATTCAATATATACACAGAACAGTATCATTTTGAGGTTGATTCTTCTGTTTCTACATAGATAGATAAATTTTTAAATGAGATTTTTAAAATGACTTATTTATTTATTTTTAGAGATAGTCTCCCTATGTCACCCAGGCTGGAGTGCAACTTCAAGGGACCCTAAGCCAGAACCACCCAAATAATCACTCTCAGATTTCTGATCCACAGGAGCTGTGAGATAGTAAACATTAAGCTGGTAAATTTGGGGTCATTCATTACGCAGCAGTAGACAACCAATACATTTGATTTCACTTATTTCCTACTTCATAGGCTGTTCTCAGTCTCCTTTATTGGCTCCGCCTCCTCTTTTAACAAATCTCTAAATGTTGGGATTCTTTAGGGTTCACTCCTAGGCTGTCTTCTCTTGTCTCCCTATATTTCTCATCCTGTGATTTTATCTTATTTTATTTTATTTTTTTTTAGAAAGGGTCTCGCTCTGTCACCCATGCTGGAGTGCAGTGGTGCAATCATGGCTCACTGCAGTCTCAACATCCTGGGCTCTAGAAATCCTCCTGCCTCAGCCTTCCAAGTAGATGGGACTACAGTTGTGCACCACCACACCCAACCAATTTTTAAACTTTTAATAGAGACGGGGTCTCCCTATGTTGCCCAGGCTGGTCTTGAAGTCCTAGGCTCAAGCCATTCTCCTGCCTTGGCATCCCAAATTGTTGGGATTACAGGTGTGAGCCAATGCGCCAAGCCTCATCCAATAATTCTAAATATAATCTTTTTGCTTTATCTCTTGGCTAGAACTCACCTCTGAACCACGGATGCACACATTTAACTTCATACCTTGCCTCTGTACTTAAAAGTTTCACACACATATCAAGCCTAATATATTCAAAATGGAATTCCTGATTTCCTTCCCTTTTCCCAATCTGTTTCATTCTTCCCTTCCCTATCATTCTCTCTAATCTTTCCAATTATTATAATGGTATCAGGCCGGGCGCTGTGGCTCACACCTGTAATCCCAGCACTTTGGGAGGCCGAGGCGGGTGGATCAAGAGGTCAAGACCATCCTGGCTAACATGGGGAAACCCAGTCTCTACTAAAAATACAAAAATTAGCCGGGCGTGGTGGTGCGCGCCTGTAGTCTCAGCTACTCGGGGGGCTGAGGCAGGAGAATCGCTTGAACCCGGGAAGCGGAGGTTGCAGTGAGCTGAGATCGTGCCACTGCACTCCAGCCTGGCGATAGTGGGAGACTCTGTCTCAAAAAAACCAAAAAAACAAAAAAACAGAAAAAAAAAATCACGGATCATTAGAGAAAAGCAAATAAAAACCACAATGAGATATCATCTCATACCAGTCAGAATGGCTACTCTTAAAAAGTCAAAAAAATACCAGATGCTGGCGAGGTTGTGAAGAAAAAGAAATTCGATATACTGTTGGTGAGAGTGTAAATTAGTTCAGCCATTGTGGAAGGCAGTGTGGTGATTCCTCAAAGATCTAAAAACAGAAATATTTGACCCAGGCAGGGCACAGTGGTTCACACCTGTAATCCCAGCACTCTGGGAGGCCGAGGTGGGTGGATCATGAGGTCAGGAGTTCAAGACCAATATGGTGAAACCCCATCTCTACTAAAAATACAAAAATTAGCCAGGCGTGGTGGTGCGCACCTATAGTCCCAGCTACTCAGGAGGCTGAGGCAGGAGAATCATTTGAACCTGGGAGGCAGAGATTGCAGTGAGCCGAGATCGCGCCACTGCACTCCAGCCTGGGCAACAGAGCGAGACTCCATCTCGAATATAAAAAAGAAAAAAAAAAAAAGAAATATTTGACCCAGCAATGCCATTACTGGGTATATACCCAAATAAATACAAATTGTTCTATTATAAAGAGAACATGCACACATATGTTCATTGCAGCACTAGTCACAGTAGCAAAGACATGGAATCAACCTAAATGTCCATCAGTGATGAACTGGATAAAGAAAATGTGGTACATATACACCACAGAATACTATGCAGCCATAAAAAAATAATGAGATCATGTCTTTTACAGGAACAGGGATGGAGCTGGAGGCCATTATCCCTAGCAAACTAACACAGCAACAGTAAACCAAATACATGTTCTCACTTATAAGTGGGAGCTAAATGATGAGAACACATACATGGACACGCTGAGGGGAAGAACACATGCTAGGGCCTTTAGGAAGGTGAGGGTGGGAGGAGGAAGAGGATGAGTAAAAACAACTAATGGGTACTAGGCTTAATACCTTGGTGATGAAATAACCTTTACAACAACCCCCCAGGATGCAAGTTTACCTGCGTAACAAATCTGCACTTGTACTCCTGAACTTAAAAGTTAAATAAATAAATAGATAAATAAGGTCTCCTTCTTTGATTTTCTATCACGTCCTGATTGATAGTACAATTTGTGTCTGCTTACGTGTGTTCTGTCTCCCTCACAGAGAGGCAGTCTACCTGGGAGCAGTGTCAGCGTTAGGCTTCATCACTGCTCCATCCTGAGCACCTGGCTCAGTACCTACAAATGGCACATGCTTCAGGCATATTTGCTGACTAAATAAACAAATGAATAAATGACGGGTGAAATCCCACTCATTTTTAAAATGCTAGTTCTTTCCCTCTTTCACCATAGGCACTTGCTCCCATGTAGATCTGATGTGAGAGTTACACCCTCTCTCTGCTGGATTTTGAGTTACAACAGAGAAGCAGCAACGATGTCTCATACTGCTTTGTAGTCTGTAACAGTGGTCTCCAACCTTTTTGGAACCAGGGACCGGTTTTGTGGAAGACAATTTTTTCATAGACTGAGGGCGGTAGGATGGTTTTAGGATGATTTAAGTGCATTACATTTATTGTGCATTTTATTTCTACTATTATTATGTTGTAATATATAATGAAATAATTATACAACTCACCATAATGTAGAATCAATGGGAGCCCTGAGCTTGTTTTCCTGCAACTAGATGATCACATGTTGGCATGATGGGAGACAGTGACAGATCATCAGACCTTAGATTCTCACAAGCAGCCTGCAACCTAGATCCCTTGCACTCGCAGTTCACAATAGGGTTCACGCTCCTATGAGTCTAAGGCCACCACTGATGTGACAGGAGGAAGAGCTCAGATGGTAATGCAAGTGATGGGGAGTGGCTGTAAATATACATGAAGCTTCGCTGGACTGATGTTCACCTCCTTCTGTGTGGACTGGTCTGGGAGTTGGAGACCCTTGGTCTGGTCTGTAATATCTAGAATATGACAGGTCTTCAATAAATCAGTGGTTCTAAAACTTTAGTGTGTATCCTTACCCCCACAGATTCTGCCTCAATAAATGTGTAATGAGACTCAGTTCTCTTAAACAACCTAGGTTATTCTCATGAGTTGGCTTCTGTTTTACACTTTAAGAAAACCGGCATTAGGGCTTGTCAATATCAACGGTGACTCCCTCTCCAGGCCAGGCTTAATTCTTAGTTCTTTTAAAATAAGCAATGAGGCTGAAATTTCAGCCTATCTCACTCCTACCTGCAATACTCTATGCTCTGTATTTCACTACTTTTAAATATCATCATTGGTTGCAGCCCTTTGCTTAGGTGATTTTAGCCTTCTGTGAGATAAATTGTCTGGGTAGAACTGAGCTTTCAGACTTTTCAGGGGGCAAACAGAGATATTTGTTGGCAACTGGATAACTGCTTTAAAAGAAGGAGTTGTTCTGTAACTCTTATAACCTCTCCTAAGGAAGAAATGATTTCTGGGTATGAATCCCATCATGATTCTGTTGCCCCATTTTAGGGGGGGTTCCCTCTTTGTTCTTCAATAGTTACATTAAACAGCAAGCTGGCATAATTTCTGGGCAAAGATTTCTTATGAAAACTTTGAAAGAATTTAATGTTCTATTTGTTTTTTCCATCTTTCTGAGAAAGATGCGCATTAATCTTGATAGAACTTAGAAACAATAGTTAACAGTCACATTTTGATATTTTTCTGTTTGTTTGTTTGAGACAGAGTCTCGCTCTGTTGCCCAGGCAGGAGTGCAGTGGCACAATCTTGGCTTACTGTGGCCTCCGCCTCCCAGGCTCAAGCAATCCTCCTAACTCAGCCTCCTGAGTAGCTGGGATTACAAGTGGGAACCACCACACTAGGTTAATATTTAAAATTTTCGGCTGGGCGCGGTGGCTCACGCTTGTAATCCCAGCACTTTGGGAGGCCGAGGCAGGTGGATCACGAGGTCAGGAGTTCAAGACCAGCCTGGCCAAGATGGTAAAACCCTGTCTCTACTAAAAATACAAAAATTAGCTGGGCATGGTGGTGCACGCCTGTAACCCCAGCTACTTGGGAGGCTGAGGCAGAGAACTGCTTGAACCTGGGAGGCGGAGATTGTAGTGAGCCGAGATCCCGCCACTGCACTCCAGCCTGGGCAACAGAGCAAGGCTCCGTCTCAAAAAGAAAAAAACCCAAAACCAAAAAACAACAACAAAAAAATCCAAATATTTAAATTTTTCGAACAGACAAGGTCTCACATATTGCCTAGGTTGGTCTCAAATTCTTGGCTCAAGTGATCCTCCTACCTCAGCCTCCCAAAGTGCTGGGATTATAGGTGTGAGCCACCATACCTGGCTCATTTTGATATTTCAATTTTTTTTCAAAATGGTGAGATGAATATTAAGGAACAACACTGTAAATACATAATTCTTAAATAATTTTGGTAATTTTAAACCAAAATAATTAAAATTGAAAAAATAAAATTAAAATATTTTAAATAAAATAAATAACTCTACATTCTTAGTATGTAAAAGGGGATAGAAAAATAAGGAAAATATCCTAGTCAATTTGTTCACCAGTAGGAATGAAATAGTCTAGACAAGGGGAACCATTTATTTCACTGGTACAGATCTAAAAAAATGCCAGATCATTTGGAAAACTGACCTCATAAATAGGACCTGCTTCTACTCAAAACTGTGACATGGAGTTCAGGGTTCTTAGCAAACAAAAGAAACCAATTCTGATTAACTCATCAGGAAAAGAAATTTACTGGAAGGATACCAGCTAGCTCAAAGAATCAATGAACATTTTATCACTTAAAATTAAAAAAAGAAATTAGCACAAAGCCTGTAGAGGGATATGCACAAATGGAGGCCATGCAGCAGGAACTACAGCCAAAGTCCGGCCCCATCAGCACTCTAGTTAGGGAATCTCTGTTGGTCACGTTTCCTCTGCTGCCTGCTTCCCACTACTACTGTTGGGTTCCCAATGCCAGTATTTTCAGGGAGTGGGAAGAGTGAGACTCCAAATACCACTTCAGCTTCAATTTCCCCAAATACGGAAATAGTTCAGATGTTCCATCTAAAAAGATAAACAAAACAAACCAAGCAAAACCAGTCAGGTCTTGGAGCTTGCCTTCCTGCTAGACTTCCAACCCCATCCTCATTCCTATCTTCTTATCTTTGTCCTTTTCACATATCCATTCTTCTCCATTTCTCTTTTTCCTTTTCTTGTCTCCATTTCTTTTTTCATTTTCTTTCTTTCTTTCTTTCTTTTTGAAATACAGTCTTGATCCGTCGCCTAGGCTGGAGTGCAGTGGTGTGATCTCGGCTTACTGCAACCGCCACCTGCCGGGTCCAAGCGATTCTCCTGCCTCAGCCTCCTAAGTAGCTGGGACTACAAGTGCCCACCACCAAGCCCGGCTAATTTTTGTATTTTTAGAAGAGACGGAGTTTCACCATATTGGCCAGGCAGGTCTCGAACTCCAGACCTCAAGTGATCCGCCCGTGTCGGCTTCCCAAAGTGCTGGGACTACAGGCGTGAGCCACAGCGTCTGGCCCATTTCTCTTTTTCAATTATCTTAAATTAAAATCAAACCAAAACAGAAGCAATATCTTTCAAGAAAGAGTTTTATAATCGTATTAACAATAACTTCTCCATGACCATAAATTAAAATTACCTTGCCGGGCGCGGTGGCTCACGCCTGTAATCCCAACACTTTGGGAGGCTGAGGCGGGCGCATCACTTGAGGCCGGGACTTTGGGACGAGCCTGGCCAACATGGTGAAACACTGTCTCTATTGAAAATACAAACATTAGCTAGGCTTGGTGGCGGGAGCCTGTAACCCCAGCTACCTGGGAGGCTGAGGCAGGAGACTTGCTTGAACCTGGGGGTGCGGAGGTTACAGTGAGCCGAGATCGCGCCACTGCACTCCAGCCTGGGCGACAGAGCGAGACTCTGTTTTTTTTTTTTTTTTAAAATTAAAATCAGCTTACTAATTTATCTCAGCATTCTCTTTGTACCTTTTTAGCAGTTTGGTCATTTGTTTACAACTTGTATTTCTTCTTGAGATAATGTTCTATTTTTCTGCAATGCTCATTTGTTAAATGGGCTCTTTTTTCCTCTGCTCTTTTCGGCGTTTGTATTTTAATAGGAAAAAAATTTATTACAAAGAATGAATCTGTAATGGTGGAATTTCAGGTTTTGAAAATAAGAATGTGCATAAAACATCTAAATTCAAGAACCTCCTACTTTGTAGATTGGGAAAGCATCACGTATCAAATGGATCTATTTCAAGGGAAGTCTGTATAACTTCCACTTACTAAAGGCTTTGTTCCAAAGGATCTCCTTTGTTACTACCTCATGTTATGTAAATAAAATCATAATCAGTTATATTGCCTCAAATAGATACTTCATTTTCAACACATGTGCAATAGAATTGCAGAGGGAGGTCGAAGATAATATCCTAGCCTGCAATTTGGGGTATTTTGAATAAATGAATAACAGCATGTATTGGGAGCGCCCCGACTCCCAATACATGCAGAATAGCAGACGTGTATTGAGCCCTTAGTTGTTTTTTTTTTAAATATAGTTCATTCACTCAACAAATATTTCTGAGAACCTGCGAATGCTTGGGACATCAGGGCACAACAAAAAGGCCAAGGATTTCTGTGTCCACATCCTGAGGTGGTAATGGGGTGAGGGACAGACTGTACAATAAAAAACCTACGATTCACTCCATGAAAATGTTGTCGTTTTTCTAGTTCAGCTGGTAAACTGGACTGTGAAGAAAGAATGCTCTAAGCACAGTGTTAAATTCACAACCAGGGCCCAATCCTAGTTTCGATTCACTCACTGACACCCTGGTTGCTAATTACAAGTCTGAAATCCATCAAGGTAGTTAACATCTCTAAACATCAAAGCAATAGCGGTTTTAGGCCCTAAGAAAGTGCAGCCCGGAGAAGTATTAATGCAAAATGTGCTACGGCTGTTATTTAAATTCTATTCAAATCGAATGTGGCTTGCCTATTTATAATCTGACTTATAATTCTGGACAACCAAGCTACGTTGGGCTGTGTTCCTCGGCTGCCACAAATCATCGTCACAGGCTGAAAGCTCAACTGCTTCGTGCTCTTTATTTTTTCATGCCTATGCCAACGTTGCCGATGTGGTAAAGCTGTCATCACGCCGCCAGAAGGGCGGCCTTCTTTGGCACGAGCAGCCTAAGAGGTTTCCGGCTGCTGCGGCTTGAGCTCCGATTTGATCAGACGCCACGAAAGGGATTTAGATCGTGGCCATTTTTCAACTAAGTGCGTCTGCCGAATTTAATAGCAAACCAAAAGCCACATTTTCTAATCTCCAGTTAGGCGTCCAAGAGGAAAAGTGGCGCTTGCTGGCTGAGGGAGCAGCGTGTCTGCAATTACAGCCACGTCTTGCCTCCTGGTCTTTTCCTCAGTGTGGGATTGTCTTTTTGTTTTTTGCCTGGTCTGAGCCGGCCCCACAGAAAGAACAGACCAGACGAGCTTACTGAGGTAAAACGCAGGGGCGGCGGTGAGGTCTAGGGGGTCTACTCAGAACGAGGCAGAGACACCAGCGAAAAGCGCCGTATGGCGAAGCTAACTCAGGCCTGACAAAACACCCACCCTACTCTACCGCCTCTCCGGCCAAGGCTGACGCTACGGGCCAGAGGGCGGAGCCGTCACATCTTCCCGCGAGACCAGCCACGCGACTTCCCAGAAGGCCGCAGGCAACATCTTAATAGCAGCCAGGAAGCCGGACCGGAGCGGAAGGGTGGGCGGGGCTTGCCCGCATATTTAGCGGCACCCGAGGCCACGCCCCAGATCGGAAGTGACGGAGACGTGCTAGCGCGTCGAAGGTAGCTCTATGGTTTTCCTCGCGTTCTTGAGTCGGGAAATGGCCGCTGTGTGGTTGCAACGGAGATAAATTCCCGGAACCGCGATTCGGCGTGTCAGGTAGGCCTCGCAATGTATTCAAGTTACTCCAGGGGCAGTGAAGACCGAGGACAGGCCATATTTTTGACTCTTTTGTGGGTGGTGTCGGGTTGGCGGCGAAAGGAGAACCAAGGAGACGTTGCGCCGTTATTTATGCGTTTTTTCGTTAGCTTCTCTCAGGTTTTCGAGGCACTACGGGCCGAAAAGGCCGGGCGGGGGCGCTGAGCAGTGCTAACGGCGGGCGCGCGCGTGTTTGCGAACCTGCCTGGAGACCCACAGCCCGCGCGGCCTCCCGTGCGCGTGCGCATATCTTCCTCTTCCACCCTTCCCCCATTTCTTCAGCCCGTACCTCTGCGCGCGCCCGACTGAACGCTCCGCGCACGCGCGCTCGTTCATTTTTCTCTCCCCCGCCTATGGCGCCGACGGCCGCTGGAGGTGCAACTTGTGTCCGCCTCTCATTGGCTGGGACTGCCACCTTTCTTCGTGGCCTGTGGGGTTTTGAGAAAATAACTGTGACCCGCAGCAAAGTGCGTTGAGTAGGTCTACCCCTTTTCGCGTGGTCTTTAAAACTGCCCTCCGGCTTCAGACCACCCGTCAGTTAATGCCTCGTTTTTGTGATGCTACTAGGTTTTAGTGCTCTGTTCTGCCTCTCGCTGCTGACCCTGGTTCTCTGGAGTTAATTTCGGTACCCGCGGCAACCTGCTGTTTTGAAGCGAGCGCGCGCTGTTGACTGGTGCTGGTTGCCTAGTTACGGTTCCCTAGCGAGAGGATTGGGTCTTAGCTGGTGGTTCTGAGCGTGGCCCTGCCCCATCCGGCTGAAAGTGCGGTTCTTCATGAGTACTAGCGAAGCCGAGTCTTTTCAAGTGATTCAGCCCATTTAGTCGTGTCAGAAATGTTGCAGCCACGATTGGTGGACAGCTGGTGTGAGAAATGGGTGGGAGTGGCGAATTGGACTTTGCCTTCATTTTAAATTCATGAGTTGGCTTGATTCGCTTTTAAGATTTATTTCTTCAGAATCAAGCTGAAGTACCAGCAGCTACTTTGCTACCTCAGACTTTTTTAAAAAGCATTTTAGAACTGGAAACAAATTAAGACTGAAGTTGAAAGCAAGTGTGGCTAACACTGACGAAAAAGATGAGCTACTTCAGACTTGTACCTCACTGCAACAGCCTCTTTTAAATTTTTTGGTGTTACAAAGCAAAACAAAATTTCTTGTTCCTCTTGTGAATTCTCATTTCAGTTCGACTTTAGTTGGAATGGTTAGGATACTGTTCAGGCAGTAAATAACCTTTACGTAGGAAAAACTGCTACAAGGCTTTTGTATTTTTGTTTGATCATGACCAATTCAGGATAGGTAATTTGATGGGAGGGAAAAAGTGGCCCCTCGGCGGGAGTTTGAGGCTGCTGTGAGCTGTGCTCGTCCCACTGCACTCCAGCGGGGGCAACAGAGCGAGACCTTGTCACTTAAAAAAGGTAGCTCATGGTAAACAACCTTGGAGCACCTTCTCTTAGTGATTTCATGTTTCAACCAGTACATTGTGGTGAATACTGAAATATCTTGTTTAATTCAGATAATTAAAATGGTGGCAAAGGAAGCTGTTTAGCCAGAGCCCTTCTTGACTTTGAGGAACAGTGGTAGTATAAGACTTGAAGACAGACGTGTAAAAAGTACTACTCACTGGTAGGCTCAGGTCTGGTTGATTGACTGATTCTTGAGACGGAATGTCGCTCTGTCGCCTAGGCAGGAGTGCAGTGGCCCAGTCTCGGCTCACTGCAGCCTCCGTCTCCGGGTCCAAGCGATTCTCCTGCCTCAGCCTCCCGAGTAGCTGGGACTACAGGCGCCCGCCACCACACCGGGCTAATTTTTGTATTTTTAGTAGAGACGGAGTTTCACAATATTGGTCTCGAACTCCTGACCTCAGGTGATCCACTCGCCTGGCCCACCCAAAGTGCTGGGATTACAGGGATGAGCCCCTGCGCCTGGCCTCGGTTGAATTTATTAAACAACTTTTGTGGGCAGCAAGCTGTACGAGGTTAACTATGTGATGAGAAGACTTAGAAATGGAGAAAAGTTTTATCAGTTCTACATAGGACTTAGTTTGGGAGTTTCTGGAAACTACGTTGGAAATCAGTAGTTGCACACTAGCTGAATTCAGCTGTGTAATTTACAGTGATTTGTTATTTACCAAATAAGTAGAAGAGGGAATTAAGAAGCTAAAATCTCTGGGTACTTGTTTGATATGAATTTGTTAATTGTTTATACTCAGGTAATAAGTGTTACCTCAGTCATAGCATTTAATATTTTATCTGACTGTCCCTAAGGCTGAAAACCAACGAATATACTAACACGAAGATAATACTAGATTATATTTGTGTAATATTTTAGAGTTTTCAAACACTTTAATTTTATTTATTTATTTTTTTGAGACAGAGACTCGCTCTGTAGCCCGGGCTGGAGTGCAGTGGCGCCATCTCGGCTCACTGCAACCTCCGCTTCCCTGGTTCAAGCGATTCTCGTATCTCAGCCTCCCAAGTAGCTGGGACTACAGGCGCCGGCCCGCCACCATGTCCTGCTAATTTTTTTTTTTTTTCTTGAGACACAGTCTTGCTCTGTCGCCAAGGCTGGTGTGCAGTGGCGTGATCTTGGCTGACTGCAACCTCTGCCTCCCAGGTTGAAGTGATTCTTGTGCTTCAGCCTCCCCAGTAGCTGGGATTACATGGGATTACAGGTGCACACCACAAAGGCCGGCTAGTTTTTCTGTTTTTGAGATGGAGTCTTGCTCTGTCACCCAGGCTGGAGTGCAGTGGCATGATCATGGCTCACTGCAACCTCCACCTCATGGGTTCAAGCGATTCTCCTGCCTCAGCCTCCAGAGTAACTGGGATTACAGGCGCCTGCCACCACGCCCGTCTAATTTTTATATTTTTAGTAGAGACGGGGTTTTGGCATGTTGGCCAGGCTGGTCTCGAACTCCTGACCTCGGGTGATCCGCCCGCCTCGCCCTCCCAAAGTGTTGGGATTACAGGTGTAAGCCACCGCACCCAGCCCATTTTATTAAGCATGTCTAGAAAGACTTCTAAATGATGCTGATTAATGCTGTATCAAAAATATTAGGTAACCTTACATGCAAGAATCATTTTAAGTAAACGTGGTTAGCTTGCAGAAAGGCTGCCTAAACAAGGGTTACCAATAATGATGGCTAATGCTAGATTGTATACCACGGGCCAAACATTAAACTAAGCTGTTTACATGCCTTACTTAGTTCATTTAACCCTGTACTTGTAAGGAAGTACCATTAGTAGTCTTTAAAACAACAACAACAAAAAAACACCTGCAGAATTTGAAGCTGACAGATGAAGGTAACTTGTTCAGTGTTGGGCAGCTAGTTAATGGCTGAGCCAGGAATTGAATCTAGACTACTGGAATAATAGTCATGGGCTATATTTTTAGGATTTGAAAAGATGGAAATAGCATTACTTTGTTTACAACAATCTGGGGACCAAACTCCTTGAGCCTGCTAAAATGAAGACTGGGATCAAGTATGCTTGAAATAGTAATCTTAAAGAATTCATTTTGGGTGGCTTTGTCTTGGGTATTTTGTTGAACCCAGTTACCTTGATCATTTTTTTTCTTTTTTTGAGACAGCCTCTCTCTTGCCCAGCCTGGAGTGCAGTGGTGCAATCTTGGCTCACTGCAACCTCCGCCTCCTGGGTTCAAGTGATTCTCCTGCCTCAGCCTCTGGAGTACCTTGGGACTATGGGCGTGCACCACCACGCCTGGCTGATTTTTGTATTTTTAGTAGAGACGGGGTTTCACCATGTTGGCCAGGCTGGTCTCAAACTCCTAACCTCAGGATCCGCTCACCTCGGCCTCCCAAAGTGCTGGGATTACAGGCGTGAGCCACCATTCCTGGCCTGATAAATTGTTTTCTAGCTGGTTTCTGATCACTTATGTTCTAGCTGGTCATTATGTATTATTTCATGAAAGATAGGCTCTGTTTAGATATTTAAGAACCTTATTTTTAAAAATAAAACCTGCTTTATTTTATCCTGTGTTCCTCATTGGTTGGTCTGTCAATTGGCTAAAGATACATATGGCAATTTATTCCTTATTTCTGTATACAAGTGGGAATCTATTAACAAATGATCTTGGTTGTAATAAAGGGAAGATTAATTTGGCATTTTCAGTTTTGTATTTGGGTTTTGGAAACATCAAGCACCTTTTAGGGTATTGAAGAGAGAGCACCGGATTTGGAGTCAGGAGATTTCAGTCAAATTTTGGATTAACCATTTACACTCCGACTGTGGGCACGAAAAACGGCAAACACATCTTTTGTTTTCTCCCCCAAACTTGTCCTCCCAGATGCTTGAATCTAAAACCTAGAATTTAAGGGCACTAGTGATTTTTCATTTTTCCTCACTCTCTGTACTTCACACCCCTAACAATCCATTAACAAGTCATTTTGACAAACCACATCTTGGATTTGCCTCTTTTTTTCATTGCTGTTTATTTTTTATATAGCAGCCATCTTAAAATGTAAATCAGATGAGTGACTCACCCAAGCAAAAACCCTGCAAGGGTTTCTCAACCGAGTAAAATCCTGATCCCTTTTGATGATCTACTAGATGCTATTTCATCTGGTCCATTCCTCCTCCTGCTGCCCTATTTCATACCCTCAACTCCTTGATCACGTTGTCTCAACCTTCTTATTGGTCTTTCTGTCCTGAATTTGCTAAGTTTGTGTCCTCTGCCTAGTATGGTCTTCCCTCTGTGAATCTTTGCAGTGTTCCCTGTCTTTAGGCCCAAATGTTACCTCCTTAAAGAGGGCCCAAGGATCCACCTAAGTAAGTAGTCCCCCTGCCCACCTCCTCTGCATGTTAACTTGTACTTTTCCCCCCCCTCCAATGTGGCACTTGCCACTATTTGATTTTTTCCTTGTTTTCTGTCTTCCCCTCTCTGAAAGCTTCAAGAGAGTAGGGAGCTTAAGTCTTAACTTAAAATGCTGTATTCCCAACGTTAGAATAGTAGTGCCTGGCATGTAAGGCACTTATCTCAAGTTATCTGGAAAGTTTAGGGTTCTCTGTATTTGAAAGATGGGATTAATATGTAGCTCATGAGATTATCAGGATCAAATATGACATTATTTTATTTACTTTAAGTCACCTAGCACAGTTCTTGGCACATGGTTGGTATTTAGATGTTTAGTTTACTATGATTTGTTGCTGATAACTGTTCTCGATTTGGTTTTTGGAAGGCAGGGACCACTTACATAGATACATTTCCTATAGTAATTAGCATTGTGCTTTGTATATAGACTTTCATTTTTTAAAAATTAGTTGAACTAATCAGTCTTTGATACTGACTTATTTATTGTGTGTTACATTTTGTGTATTATTTGAGTTATTGGTGTGGATACTTGAATATATTTATAGATTGTGAACAGGAATGTATATCCACTGGTCTAACAGCCTGTATTCCCTGTTCTGTCAGTTTTTTATATCTAGTGTTTATTTTCTTTGAACTTCAAAATACCATGACGGAGTAAAGAGATCTGGCAGTTGGGTCTTCTCTGGATATATATATATATATATATATATATATACACACACACACACATATATATGTATATATATATATAAATTAGCCTTTTGGAATTGTTTAGGGAAGTGTTAGCTAAAATGAGCCTTGTACCACTTCTAGGAGTGAATCAGTAGTAATGACTTTCCAGGTCAGAATAGTTTTATGACAGTACTCCAGTTTAGAAGATTGCCATTTTTTTCTCTGGCCACTTGGGGTTTTGATATTTTAAAAACTAAACTTATATGTCCTTTAGAAATCCTTTGTTTTTGTACCCAATCTTGCTTGGCTTTTTGACTTTGCTACTTTTTTAGTGTTTCCCTTAATAGGTTCCGATTCCTCCTTCCTAGGCTGAACCTCAAATCTCTCCCCAGTTGGAGGGCCATGGATATTTTAGGAGACGCTATTCTTGATTCACCAGTTTAATGTTACCATTTCTTCTTTGTATTTCCAGTCTCGTTTTATTTTTAAAATTGGATCTTGGTAAGAGTTACAGATTTCCATTTAAACTTGTTCATGAATTCTTTGAGTGCTGATGTATATTAATCTTGTATTCCTTAGTTTCTGTTCGCCTGGTGCTTTTGACTATCCTTTGCACATACTTGATGTGAATATACATAAAGCTAAACTTTTCAGTATTGGTAACTTGAATATTTTGTGCAAAGTTTATTTACAGATTAATGATAAATTATTTTAGGAAGAATATTGACTTTCAGTAGATAAAAGTTTCATTGCTGACTGTTCTTTTATTTGAATGTAGACGTATCAAGATGCTTTTAGGCACAGAATTTAAAGTTACTATGATGGCTGTTAACGTGGATTTAAAAATCAGTTTCACATGAAACTAAATTGTGTGAAAGGAAGTACCAAAAGAGAATAAGTAGCAGAGCATTAAACTCATATTTTAGATGTTATAAAGTAGAGCATTATGAAAATTAACTACAGATTACCTTTTTTTTTTTTTTTTTTTTTTTTTTGAGATGGGGTCGTGCTGTGTTGCCAAGGCTAGAGTGTGTTGCCAAGGCTAGTCACAGGTGTGATCACAGTGCATTGCAGTGTCAAACTCCTGGGCTCAAGTGATCCTTCTGCATCAGCCTCCCAAGTAGCTGGGACTACAGGCTTGTGCTACCTTGCCCCGCTACCAAGATGGCATTATGTTAGCTACGTTGGAATTTTCTGATGGAACGACATATCATATGTTTTTTAAGGCTCAAATTACTAAAATTAGAATTCAAGTAGTTAAAAAGATGCTGTCAGTTTCATGATACGCTACTGCATTGTGGTTTACAAAAAAGTTGAATTTTAAGCTTTTACGGTTAAAAGTTTCCTATTTCCTGAATTAGTTTTTCCTTCCCTGAAATTGTAAGTGCGTTTATTAGAGTTTATGGCAGTGCCCATTATATGCATTGTAAATAATGGTTATTTAATTTAACATAAATCACAATAATGGTTTTTTTGTCTTTGCTAGGAATTCGAATTTAGAGTTTAATTTCTCAGAGCATTCTCTCCAGGAAGAATTTTTACAGTATCTCAAAGACTTCACTTGACTTCTTGATCCTGCATAAAACCAAGGTAAAAGAGCATTCATTTTTCTAGTTTTCACTTTTGACTTTTTTGAGGAAATGTCACTACTGAATTGATGATTCAGATGGAGTGATTAAAAATGATGTGGTCCGAAGCTTTGTTTTTTGTTTATTTTGGTGGCTTGTATGAAGTAAGTCAGATGTTAAGTTAGTTTTAGGAAAAAGGTTCTTTTTCTGTCTTCTTCCAGGTTGTGCTCCTGCTTTTTCTATTTCTATAAACACATCTACTAAAAGACTCAGGACATACAAGATAGAAAGACTGCTACTTAACCCATTTCCCTAATGTAAACAAGAGGAGATTCATAACTTGTTTCTCTCTACTGTAGTGTTTAGGTAATTCAAATTGATTGCTAATGTGTTAGATGTATTAAGTGAATTAAGTTCATCAACTCATTAAGTCCACTACAAGTCTGTGAAGTAGGTACTGTTATTTTCTTCGTTTTACAGTTGAGGAACAGGCTCAGAGAGCTTAAGGAATTTGAATTCATGTAGTTTAAATGCAGAGACCATGTTCTTAGCTTTTTCCCTGTTTTTGCAGTAGAGCAGAAGATATCAATCCATTTCTTTTGGACTGCTAACTATTTGATAGGCATGCTTTCTTTCCGTTAGTTTTTGAAGTTTCAGGTGTAGCTTAAAGCAAAACGCAAACCTTTAAAAATGAACTTGCTGCTTTAAAAAATGTCCAGGTTCTGGGGAATGCATTCATTTTATAGTTATTTATTAAATACCTGTTGTGCTCGTGTGCCACAAGCCCAGCTACATCCTGGTGACTGAAAAAGCCTACAGAATTCCTGAATCCTTTAACAGAAATTACCATCCAAAAAGCCTCAAGAGCAAAGAACAGAGATTCTGGAGATACAGCACAACACAGCATCTGTAGCTCTTAGTAAAATAGTGTTTTATTTACTGATTAGTACAATGAAAAAGGATGTTGTCTTATTGCTGGACTGGATCTCCAAAATCATTTGCAGCTCTGGTTTCTTTTTATAGTGTGTCTGATTATCTCAGAGTGGGATAAAAATAAATATCTTGAAGTAAATTCGATCAGAATGAATGTAAATTACGTATTTATATTCTTTTAAAAACTTTGGGAGGGACAGAATTTTGAAATCAGATGCAAGAGAATGTCACAGTTCCCCGTGGCCAAGATTCCTTCCTTTACAGGCTGTAAATGTGGTTTTTGCCAATTTCATTATGTTGTCAAAACTACAGTTGCTAAACCAAATTTGTGTTCTACAAGGTGTCAGATCTCCTTATGTTAATGCTAAATTTATTTCTTATGTGTTGTGGAATTCTTACTTTGCCTTTTTGAACCCTGAACCTATGTTTTGTTTCTGTCTTTATGTATTTCTTGCTTACTTGGGATTGAGAAGAAGAGTGAGAGAAGACAAAGGTGGTAGTCTATTAGAGGATAGTTATGTTTTATTTTGAAATAAGCATTTATCTCAAACATCTTGAATTTGTTATTTATATTGCTTGATGAGGAACTATCCAAGTATTACCATTACTTCTTCTATAACTGAACTCATCTTAGTACCTCCAAATACTATTTTATTATACCGAACAAAGTCTAGGTAGGTAAAAAAGTGCCTTCAAAAATACTTGGTTGTAGGAGATACTATTTAAGTATTATGGGAATTGCAAGGTGTTAGAAGTTTAGTAAGTTGATTTTTATTGAAATGAATACTTTTTGAGTAAGTTAGTGTAAATTTGGAAATAGTTCTATGCAGCAAAAACAAGCTTGAGAGGCTAAGATATAATCTAATCATTGAAAAGTTGAAAATGTGACATTTGGGATATGCATGCAGTGATTTGCTATATGTGTATGTTTTTTCAATTAGTAGATCTTATAAATCAATTAGTTTTGACAGTTACTGATTTCTGTACCCAATGAGGTCTAATTATAGCATTGGATACCATGTAGTGTTTAGAAAAGTTAAACTACTGGTGCCCAAGTTTTTTTTTTCTTGTAGTTCTAATAAATCTTTCTTGAAGTAATCCCTCCAATTCTTTATCTTTTATTCTTTTTAAATCTTCTTAACAGAAAGCTTCAGGGTGAACTAGGCATTGTCACATAAGTCCACTTTATTCTGGAGTCATGAGTACTGAGAGCAGAGCCATGGCTCCAGCTGTTTAGAAACTTAGTGTCCTGTATTGTTCTAGGATACTATCTAGTACCACTCCAGACAGGATTGTGTATATGGAGTGGTCAGTTCAGTCTCATTTTCAAGGCCATAAAGCACTATGATAACAGCCTGGTAGGTTTATTTTTTGTTAGTATTGTGACACTTTATTTTATTTCAGTTGCCTTATCTGTAGTACCTTTATTATTTATCTTTCTTACAGGAGGGGTAGGCATTTGTATTGGGCGTGGAATAACACATAACATGCTGCTGCAGTCTCATTGCTTTTTCTGGCTTCTGCAGCTGCTGCCTTTTAGGATTGAGGCTCATAAGTGGGGCAGTCCGTAAAAATCTTCAGTTGTGTCTTTAATCGACAGTACCTGTCATGCAGGTGAAAACAGTTTTAGTCAGGGATAATTGACTTGTCTTCTGAATACTGATTTGAAAAGGATGGTGAATAATAGCCTTTGAGAAACTTGTAAAAATCAAATTTTATCTGAAAATAAGTAATAATGTAAAATTTTAAATATCATATTGTAATTTTAACCTTTTTTTGCCCTATCATTTGATTAGGAGAAAAGAAATGGGTCGCTCCAATTCTAGATCACATTCTTCAAGGTCAAAGTCTAGATCACAGTCTAGTTCTCGATCAAGATCAAGATCTCATTCTAGAAAGAAGCGATACAGGTGATTTAATGTGCTTTAAATTTTTAAAATAATTATATCAGTTAATACTTGTTGAATGAGTATCGTAAACACAGTGCTAAACCCCAAAATGTATTTTATTCTCAAAGAACCCTGTGAAATGGATCTATTGTTATCCTTATTGTAAGCGAGAAAATGAGAATGTCCAGGTAACAAGCTCTAGTAAATGGCAGAGCTTGGATTGAAATCCAGTTAGTCTGACTCCAGGTCTCAAATTTTACTGTATAATGTATGGTAGGTTTCTTTGTATTTGTCCACAATGTTAAGAGATGAATTGGGTAATGCAAGAATTTGACAGTAAACAATCTCTGCATATTGTTTTATAGTTTCTCATTTCTGACTGTGAATCTTTGAATTCTAACAAAATAATTTTTTTTGTTAAAAAAATTAACAACTCTGGTTATTTTTGTTAAAATAGTAATACATACTTAGCATAGAAAACAGAAACCAGAAGTTGAAAATACAAATGACCATAATACCATTAAGAATTAATAGTAGTTGATGCTCATTCTTTTTCCCCCACCAGGCTTAACTTTATATTATGTATGTATTTAATTAATAGTATCTCACTGATAGTTTTTTGTAATCTTTTCCCCCATTTAACTATATATTATGCCATGCCATTAAATATTCTTTTACAACATCAATTTAAGTGCTTGCCTAGAGGTACTACAATTTGCTAATATGTCCTAATGCATGTGATATATATAACACATGCGTGTGTGTGTGTGTGTGTGTGTGTGTGTGTGTTTTGTGCCTTCATTTGTAAGGTCTTTAAGGTATTCTCTCAGTATTTACCTTAGTGAGGCTTTTTGATTGGAAACCATTAACTTTTGTACAGATGAGTTTTTTAAAAAAGTGTATTTTTGCCTTTACTGTTTATTTACATGTTATATTCAACCAGAGTATTTAGAATGGTAGCATGGAATACTTTATTTTTCTTGCATTGATATTTATTTCATTTTTAGTTCTAGGTCTCGTTCCAGAACATATTCAAGGTCTCGTAGTAGAGATCGTATGTATTCTAGAGATTATCGTCGCGATTACAGAAATAATAGAGGAATGAGACGACCTTATGGGTACAGAGGAAGGGGTAGAGGGTATTATCAAGGAGGAGGAGGTAGATATCATCGAGGTGGTTATAGACCTGTCTGGAATAGAAGGCACTCTAGGAGTCCTAGACGAGGTCGTTCACGTTCCAGGAGTCCAAAAAGAAGATCCGTTTCTTCTCAAAGATCCAGAAGCAGATCTCGCCGGTCATATAGATCTTCTAGGTCTCCAAGATCATCCTCTTCTCGTTCTTCATCCCCATATAGCAAATCTCCTGTTTCTAAAAGACGAGGGTCTCAGGAAAAACAAACCAAAAAAGCTGAAGGGGAACCCCAAGAAGAGAGTCCGTTGAAAAGTAAATCACAGGAGGAACCGAAAGATACATTTGAACATGACCCATCTGAGTCTATCGATGAATTTAATAAGTCATCAGCCACATCCGGTGATATTTGGCCTGGCCTTTCAGCTTATGATAATAGTCCTAGATCACCCCATAGTCCTTCACCTATTGCTACACCACCTAGTCAGAGTTCATCTTGCTCTGATGCTCCCATGCTCAGTACAGTTCACTCTGCAAAAAATACTCCTTCTCAGCATTCACATTCCATTCAGCATAGTCCTGAAAGGTCTGGGTCTGGTTCTGTTGGAAATGGATCTAGTCGATACAGTCCTTCTCAGAATAGTCCAATTCATCACATCCCTTCACGAAGAAGTCCTGCAAAGACAATCGCACCACAGAATGCTCCAAGAGATGAGTCTAGGGGCCGTTCCTCGTTTTATCCTGATGGTGGAGATCAGGAAACTGCAAAGACTGGGAAGTTCTTAAAAAGGTAAAAACTAAAATACAGAATCTAGATTATAATATTGTTTTTGTTCTTTGAATTCTGTTTGGAATTATAAACGTAAAATTGTGATATGTATTTAACTAGCGGTTTTTACTCTTGACTTCCTTCATTTTAAGATAATTCCAAATTGTTTTTACTCTTATCTGGTGAACTTTGGAAGCTAAGTGTTTTAATAAAAATTAATTTATCCAGCTACTCAGGAGGCTGAGGCGGGAGGATCTCTTGAGCCCAGGAGTTCAAGGCTGTGGTGAGCTATGATTGCGCCTACTGCACTCCAGCCTGGGCGATAGAGCAAGACCCTGTCTCTTTAAAAAGAATTAAAAAAACCTAATTTCTATCCCTCCTCTTAATTTTACCATTTTCGGTCCAGAATTAAAAATACAGATGAGGAGAAGTTGAGTAGCTTAGAGCATAACTAAATGATATATGTTGCTAATAACTGTAAACCTTTTAGAAATTAAGTTTCTTAAAGCATTGAAGGCTTATTTTGTTCTTTTCACTATTAGAATGTGACCTACATAAATAATGCAGCTATATTGCATGTTCTTAGGTGGCATAAACAGTCTGGCTGTCAATATTTAATGATTTCAGCCTGACTATACAAAAGGTAATGGTATTTCTCACTGACTAATGACATTTGAAACAGATACATTGTTTAAATTCTGATTTCAAGTGTTGCTGAAAGTTGCTAACAGTGAAAATTGGTTGCTTCATGTATTGTGATTTGACTTAAAAGTGAGAAAATAGAGGAAACATGCTGTTTGTGGAATAGCACTGCACAATCTAGAATTTATGATTGAACTGATCATTAGTTTCTATGAAATAGTGCCAGAAATCATTATTTTTCTAGAGCAAGTTTATATGAACTGTTCTGTGATTTTCATAAAGTATTAAATTACTGCAGTGGTAATTAAATCCATTTGTGTGAACTCTTGTTTATATTAATAGATAATATCTGGAATTTTGGGGATAATTATCAATAGAATTCTAACAATGTATTATCTATTAGTGGTTCTTAGTTTCAAAAATTAAATTTAGGCAATCTCTAGAAGTTCGTGTTAGTGCAGAATTGTGGATTGTGACTAAATAGGACAGGTTTTTGTGATTGGCTTTGTGTTTTAAACTTCAGAAGTCAAATGTAAATTTATTTTAAAAGTCAGTACATAAGTTCTATATGGATGCTTTCAATGATTTTTAAAAGTGGAATCTGAAAAAGCACTTTTCAATAGGGTTATTTTCTCTCTTGCTGGTCCTGAGGGATTGGGCAACACATTTAAATATGGAAGCGATCTACAGTGAATGCAATCCAGAGTTACTATCCTCTTCTTTGCTTATTCGCAGGTTCACAGATGAAGAGTCTAGAGTATTCCTGCTTGATAGGGGTAATACCAGGGATAAAGAGGCTTCAAAAGAGAAAGGATCAGAGAAAGGGAGGGCAGAGGGAGAATGGGAAGATCAGGAAGCTCTAGATTACTTCAGTGATAAAGAGTCTGGAAAACAAAAGTTTAATGATTCAGAAGGGGATGACACAGAGGAGACAGAGGATTATAGACAGTTCAGGAAGTCAGTCCTCGCAGATCAGGGTAAAAGTTTTGCTACTGCATCTCACCGGAATACTGAGGAGGAAGGACTCAAGTACAAGTCCAAAGTTTCACTGAAAGGCAATAGAGAAAGTGATGGATTTAGAGAAGAAAAAAATTATAAACTTAAAGAGACTGGATATGTAGTGGAAAGGCCTAGCACTACAAAAGATAAGCACAAAGAAGAAGACAAAAATTCTGAAAGAATAACAGTAAAGAAAGAAACTCAGTCACCTGAGCAGGTAAAGTCTGAAAAGCTCAAAGACCTCTTTGATTACAGTCCCCCTCTACACAAGAATCTGGATGCACGAGAAAAGTCTACCTTCAGAGAGGAAAGCCCACTTAGGATCAAAATGATAGCGAGTGATTCTCACCGTCCTGAAGTCAAACTCAAAATGGCACCTGTTCCTCTTGATGATTCTAACAGGTAATTCCATATTGATGCCCAGTAAATAATCTGTGGGCAGTCAGTATTCCAGTTAATTATCTTAAACTTTCTGAACATACCATTTTTATATTTAAACCAATGGTATATTTTGTGTGTGTGTGTGTTATCAATATGTTCCAGACCTGCTTCCTTGACTAAAGACAGGCTGCTTGCTAGTACACTTGTCCATTCTGTCAAGAAGGAGCAAGAATTCCGATCCATCTTTGACCACATTAAGTTGCCACAGGCCAGCAAAAGCACTTCAGAGTCATTTATTCAACACATTGTGTCCTTGGTTCATCATGTTAAAGGTATGCTTAGTATGTTTAGTATCGTGAATTAAATTTCTCTTGCATGCAAATAAAAAAATGTGTAATTATGCTTAATAATTCATGTACCCCAGGGCTAGCAAATATACATCCAATATTATTAAAACTTGGAAAAGTAGTTTCATAGAAGAGAGTCCCTAGTCTTGCTAGCATTGAAACTTATGAAGATAGTTAATAAAAAGTAATTGAAATGCTGGAGAAACCATATGCTAAAAATCTGTATCATGGTAGAACATGATGTAGATTTGTTGAATGCTAAAAGTGTTTTTTAAGTATGTCATTGTAATGTACTTGAAGTGCAGAAGGCTTACAGATAGTCTTTCATTGCATGCCTATGGCTTGTGATAATCTTGGCATAGATTTATAACAAAGTCAGACAGTATTGTTATTGAATATTTCTAAGAATTTCTTTTCAACTTTTAAAGAAATCTGAAATGGTGGAAAAACACTTTTTTTGCGCTTAATTTTTTATACATAAAAATCTTAAAATGATAAAACAAGAAAATTTATCAGGATTTTTAAAGGAAAAACGTTCAAGAAATTTAGAAGTATATTATATAAATACTGATTACATGAATAGTGACTAATTAGGATAATGATGACACTTCTTTAGGTCCTAAAGATAAGGTTGTTTATTTCAACTAAAGTAATGATTTTTTTTTTTAAATTTTTACCAGTATGTAATTATAGTTGCAGAGTTACTAATAATTTTCAAAGATTTTCAAGTATGTCTTTTGGGCAGTTAGGTTAAGTTTTGTTTTTGTTGTTTTGTTTCTGTGTTTAAAAAGCAACTTACTATGAGACATATTCTTTCTCAGGAACTTCAAAGACTGTTGGCCTTTAAAATTAATCCCCTCCCCGCTTTTAAAAAATCTGTCGTTTGACATGAGAACAGCTCAATGTAATAGATGAAACTTGCCTCTAGCAGTTCTTTATGCAGTTGATACATCAGAACAGTGAATAGTTAGATGAATTTCTTTTGGGCTGTAATTATTTAAACACGGTAACAAGACAGTTTTGCTATTTGGCTCTGAGTAGGTTTGTGAACCAGTTTATGACCATATTACTGTGGTACATAAAATATGAAACATTCTTTTTTTTTTAATTTTTTAATCTTTTTTGGCCTAGCTCCACATTTTACAATTTATTACTGAATTTTGAGATCAGGTTTTGATAAATTTTTTCCTTTTTCTTTTTTCTTTTTTTTTTTTTAAAAGAACTGTAGTAATGTTTCATAATTGGTATTGTGCAACCGATCTGAACAGCTCTTACTTTATATAGAGCTGAAAATGCCCAGTGATGTTTTCTTTTTCATTGTAACTAGGTCCTGGAATATGTTTTGAAATGGCAAAATCCATGTTTCAAAGTAAAATAGCTGTTGAAAGATACAGGCAAAGTTGAATCTTCTGTCTTCCTGGCAAAAATGGCATAAAAACTGAGTTGCTAGCTCAAATTCCTGGGTTTCATGGAATTATGATTGAGGCACTACCCTTGTAGTGGCCGTTTCAAGTTTTAATGATTGGTTATGAGACATGTGCTGGATATTGGGCGGTAAGTTGACAACAGATGTATGTTGACCTGTTAAGCAGATAGCTTGCTTCATAATGTGACATTTCATAGCTCATGACTTTATACGTCTTTCTATTTTACATTTACAACATATCTTGAACTGGTTTTAAAAATAATCAGTATTGATATTACTAGTTTGAAAATTGTTTAAAGAGAGACAAAACAGCAATATCAAATTTGCTGTTGGGTTTGCCAAGATGCCAGATTTTTGGAGTAATTATTGAATGTTAATTGATTTAAAAATATTTTTCCAATTTGGGTGATAATATTCAGTGTTTTTATAAATCCATTTTTGTTGATATGGCAGCATATAGTCACTGATGAAATTTAATAGTTGACCCAAACAAGCTTTTTAGTTAACTCCATATTTTCCTGTTTTTTGTTTTCTGCAAATGATTACTTGAAGTAATGTCATTGGTTCATATTGGCAAGGTATTAGAGCATCCATAGATTATGTTCCTTTTTGTTCTGAGGAAGTAGTGTATTAATGAAGTGGAATTAGAGACTCTTGATTTAATCTATTAATTGCTCTTGGATTAGATGTAGTATTGACAGGGACCTGTGAGCAACTTTCGAAACACTCTCCTGTTGAGGTACAAGAAATTGAAAGGGTAGGAGTTCCTTGTAACACTTGATTCTCTTTTGCTAGGTTTCTTATTTTTATTTTCTTTTCACCTGCTACATGCCCTTCTGTCACAAACAAATCTCTCTTAAAGTAAAGTTAACTAATCGGACAGTATTTCTTCTAAATCAACAGAGCAATACTTCAAGTCAGCTGCAATGACCCTAAACGAGCGGTTCACTTCGTATCAGAAAGCCACTGAAGAACATAGTACTCGGCAAAAGAGCCCTGAAATACACAGGTATGTATCCTGCTGAACTGGCATATAAAAACGTTGTTTTGATAGGAAGACACTGTTAAAACAAGATTGTATTGGAAGTTTGTTTTTGTCATTGATACAAGTATTATTCCTCATTTATACTTTAAATAAATATATTTCAAAGTCTTGAAAATTCTATAATTCTTGATTTTCAGCTTAGTTGAAACTGGTTGTTAGAACTTGAAATATTAACTCTTATTACTTTGCAGTATGGAATTAAATAGTTATCAATTAGTTTGGTTTTTGGGAGGGGCAGTGGAGGCCTAGAGTTACCTTCGAATTTCTAGTGAAATAAATGTGAAATAAATGTTTGGTGAGAGAGAGAGAACGAAAGCATGAGCATTGAAGTCAGATAGTTGTGTTGAAATCCTGACTTTGTCTCTTCGTTGCATTGTGATGAACAACTTAATCTCTGGACGTAAGTTTTTTCATATACAAAATGTGGATAATCATGCCAGTTTTGCAGGGTGGCAGTGACAGTGATATTGGCTATGAAGTATCTGACTTGGTACTTTGTACACAGTTGGTGTGATTTTGGTGATGACTGCTAAAGAAGCACTGGGTAGTTGCAGCCAATACTGACTTAGAAAGGAAAGGTGCAGAATAAAACTAAAGGGGCACTGAATATCTAAAAATACTGAAGACAGGAGCAAATAATCCTATTCATGTGTGTTTGTTGATGCTTAAAATCATATCCAGTTTAATCAAAACACATTTTTTCTATTTTTGATGGCTAAAATAAGTTTGATGTTTTAAAGGCCAGACTTCACTTCTATATAAAAATATCTGGTTGGAGCATTTTAATTCATTCTTTGTGGGTATTTTTTCTTAATTGTGTATTATAAACTAAATTAATAGTCTTGGTGTGCTAAATTAGTTGATTGGGAGAGAAATAACTGTCTTAGGAAAATGGATAATCGTGTGGATGTTTTTGAACCAAAAAGTTAATAATATGACTAAAAATATATTTTATTTTACATTAAGGAGAATTGACATCTCACCAAGTACCCTGAGGAAGCATACCCGTTTAGCAGGGGAAGAGAGAGTTTTTAAAGAAGAAAATCAAAAGGTATGTTTTTGAATGTAATTTTTTTTCGTGTTAAGTTCAGCTTAGTTAATGATATTGTACCAAATATAGTTTCTCAAGGCAAAATGTCTATAGATATCTTCTACTTTTAATTCATAACTATATTATGGTAGTGTACATACTGTTTCTTCCTGGAAGAAATTAAGGTGACACTATACTAAGTGTCTTAAATTTAAACCAAGAGTGTTTTTTCAAAACACTAATGAAAGGAAAAAAAATAGTCCTAAGAAAAGTGTAAAGAATCAGTGGGTAGACAAAGGGAAATTATAAAATCAAAGATACAAATTAGAATTTTGAGATGAGATTCATTAGCCAGAGTAAATATTTCTCGATTTGTGTGTCTAAATTAATATCTCTAGGTTCTTCACAGATAACAAGAAGTAATCCCCATGCTACTGAGCATTTTTGATGTGGATTAAGAAATAAGCATTCTAAGAACTGGTTTACAAATGAACGTTTGGAACAAAGACTTGTCACTCTTGGAATGTTTGGGGATTGGGGGAATGTCTTTTAAACATGAGAGAGGAGCCTGTGAAAGATATTGAGGGGTCTTGGTGAGAATGGAATTCAGTGGTTAAGGGGTCTCCAATATACTCTTGACAATTCAAAATGACCTTTGCCAGGTAGACTAATCTATATCAGGCCATAAAATGTCTAGTAGTAGAAATGTGGGGAAAGGCAGAAAGGGAGCAACTGTTTTGAAGAGATTAGGGGACTTGGAAGTACTGCTTGGTTCCAATTCTGGCTGTCACTAAGTACTATCTACATGATATTTGGAAAATAACCTCTTGAACCTTGCTTTTCTAATTAGAAAAATGAGAATGCATCTGTTTTGCAGAGTTGTTGAATAATTGGGTTATTTTGAAAATAGGCACGTTTGTTACTAGAAGCTGTTATGGACAGTGGTAGTATACAAGTTTAATAGGGCATGCTATTAACTTACTAGATGTGGAATCTAGAGCTTACAAACAAGGTTTTTTTTTGTTCTGTTATTTTTTTTGTTTTTGTTTTGCATGGGGCGTATTGATGTTGAAAGAACAGATTCTGAGTAGTGAATACTTTTTTTGGTTTTTAACTTAAATAATATCTTGGGTTCAAAGTTGTTAATTTAGTTTTCCCAACAGTTTAGTCTGTCCTCGTGCTCTGACAGTGAGTATCTTCTCTCCTCATTACATAGACCAGATTTTGATCCAGAGGAGAAAAAGTAGAGATAATTGATGAATAGACAAGAGGATATGCCATTGGTTTTTATCCTCCTGTCTGGATGAATAACATGTTAATATGTAATTATGTATATATCGTTTGTAATTTACAAAGTAGTTTCATTTACATTATCTTGTTACTTGTGGACTTGGTAATACCTAGGTGAATAGGAAGGTTTTTTTGCTCTTGATTAGATTTTTTTCTTTGTGACTCTGGGAGCAAATAGGTGAGTAGTTGATATCATTTGGAGATACGTACTTTCAGTTTTATGAATGCTTATGAATATTATAGCCAGACTTCCCAGAGTAAATACTACTTATTGTTGAATACTAGCAAGGATGTCCACATTGCTTAGCATCTTACTGATGTATAATTTCTCTTCATTCCTAGATGCCTCTTTCCATCTTCCTAAATTATATAGTATTTGAAAAAGCAATGGAACAAGAAGGAGGTGAATTGTGACCCAGTTAAACTAATGTCCGTTGCAATACCTGAATTGAGAAAGGGCAGTATATGGCCCAAGATACTGAGTACAGGATTGCGAATATCTTTCTGGCTTTGTTTCTACCCTTGTTCAACCAATTGGTTTCATTAATAATATTTTACGTGCATGTTATGGAAATTATAGAATTCTTACTTCTGAAGTTTTTTTTTTTATTGGGTTGGTCAGATTATTTGGGAAGAGCTTGATCATAATGAGGCTTAAGTAATGAGAACCATTATGTTAGGATCTCTTTTATTTAGGTAGAAGGCTACATTACAACTACAGATTATAACATCTGTCATTGTTCAACTATTGAAAACAGCATTTGGAAGGATGAGGGATAATAAGGATGTGCTGAGTGGAAAAAATATTTGTATCATTTACTGTACAAAAATTTATTATAGATTGTTTTGGATAAAAACCTGCAAAATTCTCAAGATAATTAGCTTTTAATAATTTCCCCAGTCCCACTGCACTTTGTATACACAAATGTTTAGTAAAAATAGTCAAGTACATTTTTTAACAAAAACTAAGTGATAGTATCTTATATGATTCATTATTTTCTGATACTAAAATGCCAGTTTAGAAGCTGGCATAAAATTTAACTCTATAATATGTGTATATATATTTTTTCTATTTCTCCCCTGAAATCTGTATTTTATATCTGTCTTTTATAGGGAGATAAAAAATTAAGGTGTGACTCTGCTGACCTTCGGCATGACATTGATCGCCGTAGAAAAGAAAGAAGTAAAGAACGGGGAGATTCCAAGGGCTCCAGGGAATCCAGTGGATCAAGAAAGCAGGAAAAAACTCCAAAAGATTACAAGGAATACAAATCTTACAAAGATGACAGGTAATTGTTCAAACTGACTAAGATAGGTTTTAGCTTCTAATTAGCCTTTAATAATTGTCAGCTTAATTGCTTTCAATTTTGACTGTGTAATCGAATGTTTAAATTTAAACAATTAAAATTATTTGTTTTACAGCAAAAATGTATTTGTCTTTTACACGGCTTATGGTGGATGAGGACAAAAACTTTGGAATAGCAAGCTAACACTGAAAAAAAAAATGACAAATTAATGTGTCCTATTATCCAGGCTACATCAGGAGGTTGGACTTCAATGCAGTGCATTTCTAGAAACAGTTTGTGTAAGAACTTTGGTTCGTTATGCTTGATTCCGCACTTTTTCAACTCATAACACCCAGAGTACAAGAATTTTAAACTGATATCTAGTGGTTTAACATGGGAGAGATGGGGGGGAGGAAGGACTAGAAATAGCAATGTGTATTAGTCTTTCAAAATAATATTTCCTTGGAAACTGTTAGCAGTGGTAAGAGTTAACCACAGGTATGACCTTTTCGGGTGTTGCATTAAATCATGTAAATTTGATCATCATAGAGTCAAATAGGAACACAAAGTATTATAGATAATCTTTTTCCTTGCTATTCATTAGGTAAATGGTGGATTTTGTTTGTGTTATTAAATTTATGGCTGTTATTTGTAATGTCATATGCTTTTTATTTGCTATAATGGTACTATAGCCCAAACTATACCAACTATTTTCACCCAGGGTGTACAAACTGCAGTCATTTTGAAACTTGGCCTTAAGAACATCCTTACTTTTTCCTACTCTTCTCTTCCTTTCATTAAAGTAATAAAAGACATAACTTAATTTAAAAATACTAAAGAACTGAACCTTATTCTTGACCTTTACAGACTACTATTTTCTAACTGGCAGGCCCTAGCATGTTTTTCATTATTGATGTAAAACACATATTGAAGGAGAATGGAAACAGACTGTGTCAAAGTTTAACACCCAATTATTTTATTTACATAATTTTATTAGGGGATAGTGTTGTTGACTTGAAAAATATCTCTTCTGTTGTAAGATTCAGCAGGGTCTTTATCTTTTTAAAAGTATCACATTTTTTGTTTTCTTTATTTTGCAGTAAACATAAAAGAGAGCAAGATCATTCTCGATCTTCATCCTCTTCAGCATCACCTTCTTCTCCCAGTTCTCGAGAAGAAAAGGAGAGTAAGAAGGAAAGAGAAGAAGAATTTAAAACTCACCATGAAATGAAAGAATACTCAGGCTTTGCAGGAGTTAGCCGACCACGAGGAACCTTTGTAAGTGAAAAAATTATCTTTGATTGTTTGGTAGGAGTTTATCTTAGAGTACTGTACATAAGGAAGGTCATATACATGATTTAGAGATTGTTATGTGTGTCATTATTCCTAAAGTCAGAGATAGTATTGAAACATGAAGTGGTGTTTGAAGTGCTGTCTTCATTTAGAAATGCCATTTTGAGGTCTAGAAGCATCTGTATAAACTAGGTACTTTTCTTGACTTCGAGATCAATAACTGTACCTAGTCCTTAAAGACCAAGAGTCAAGGAAAGTTACTGATTTGTAATAACATTTCTTTAATCACTTAGTTTTTGAAAAGGTACCTTAACGCCTTAATAAAACCCCTGTATGTTCATCTCTGTATTACAGTTACATTCATTTTGCCTGCTTTCTTCAAATCCTTGCTTATATGGGTATCAATCATAGAAATCATATAAATATTTCACATAGCATATACATTATCCCCATGTTTCTGTAAGTCGTTATAATTATTAATATAATGACTTCCATGGTAGTGCATCTTCTTGCCTGTTTAATTTCAAGATTCACACTCCTACCTTGAGCGAGTATCTAGTTGGGTTTTGGTGGAGTTCATTTATTAGATAATTTGGGAAAGAGAAGAGCTTTGCTTGTATGGTGATAGGTATGGCTGAATACTTGGGGCTTCTATGATAATTCAAAGAAATTAGACAACTTTTGACTAGTAAAAAGGAAAAACAACTTGATTATTTAAAAATATTAGTTCAGTCCATGAAAGTACAGTATTCTAACACTTAGGTTGATCATTTCTTAACCTACTCAACTTTTAGTTGGCAGAAATTTTTTGCCTATGATATAAAATGGCCATCCTTTTCATCCTCAATGGCCATGAGATTTAGATAGGAAATTAGGGCATATGTTTTTTGTTACTGCAGTAAAATTAGAATTTGCATGTAACTAAATACCTTTTGATTGCATCACTAAACAACTTTGTTAATGTTAATCAGTTTCGAATTAGAGGCAGAGGAAGAGCCAGAGGAGTTTTTGCTGGGACAAATACTGGTCCAAACAACTCAAATACTACTTTTCAAAAGAGACCGAAGGAAGAGGAATGGGATCCAGAATATACCCCAAAGAGCAAGAAGTACTTCTTGGTGGGTGTTAGACATCTGTGTTTATTTGGTTTGCATTAATTTTCGAAGCATACTAGGTGAATAAATTTGAGTACAGATAACCACTACTATAAGAAGATTCACCGTTATGTGGGAAACCTTTTTTAAAATAATTACCCAGACGATTTGAAATTTTGAAAAATGTGGGTCCCTTTAGTCCTGTTCATACTTTCTTGATATTAAACATAGGCTGATCAGGGTAAGCAAAAAATATACCTGATTTGTTACCCACATTCAGAGAAAAACATTATATTATAGTTGAGCTTAATGTTTGTTTTATATCTGTCTATAAGACAGTGACAGTTGTAGAAACTTCACATTAAGATGTACCTTCCATTATCATAGCTATTTGTTTAAATGAAAAGGAGAATAATTTTTTCAAAGTACGTGTAATTAAGAATTTTAGGGAGGCTGTCAACTTTCATTGGAGAAAAAAGATGATGAAAAATTACATTACAGAAAAGTTGCTGCTAGATACACTAATTTGGTGCTTCCTGTGGTAGAGGTGCTTTTCCCTCTGAAATAGTTTTTCAAGGATGAAGCTAGAGGTGGTAGGTCCTGAAGGATTCTCTAGATAAGGATGGGCATTTTCTGCTGTTTGGCATGGGGAAAAGGGTCTCTCCTGCATTATAGAGGTGGACAAGAATATACCGAAACTATTACCAGAAGTATTCATTTTTTTGTCATGGCTTTTCAGAGAATTTATGCTTCAGAGACTAGTTCTGAAAACTAGTTCCTTCCATGGAGGAAGATTGTATTGGACTTGAGGAATTGTTGACTTTTTCAGTTGGCTTTTTATGAGTATATTTGAATAAACCTGAATGTCCATGACATACCTACTTAGAGGTTATAGCTATAGTTTGAAGTGGATCTCTATTTTGTCTGGAAAAACTATATATGTTTCAAAAATATATTTCCATTTGCCTCTTTTTTGGCATGTTAATGACCAAGAACCAAAAAAAAAAAGTTACAGAGTGCGTTATGCATAATGTTTTCTCAGTTTATGCTTCTTGAGTGTCTTGAATTGACATTCTGGAAAGTAAAAGGCATTTGATGTATAGAAAAATTTGAAAGATCCATCTACTTGGTTCAAGAATTTATGTATTAACAGACATGTTTATGCTAGGTACTAAGGATGGAAAGACAAGTAGGATGTGATTCTAATTTTTGACTTAGAGACTGCTAGTAGTAGAGAAACAAACATTCTAAATATATATGGTGGCTTTTCACTTTTCCCAAAGAAGAAATAGGTGGATTTCTGCAAAGGAGACAGTGATTAGGAGAGACTTTTGTAGAGGAACTTGACCTTAATCTTGAGGTTAAGAGGTAGGCAAGTGTACTGCACATAGCAGAAGGAGTGAAACAGCATGGTATAGATAACTCTAGTACTCAGATGGCTAGATGGTTGGTATAAGTGTGGGAAAATTGAGTACAAGGAGTCAGTGTGAAAGGTCTTAATACTTTTAAGAAAATAGAGTTTTAAGCAGAGTTTACAAAAATCATGGGTGTTAAAAGTTAAGCAATTTGAGAGAATATAGTGTCTGAACTAAGGGGCTAGATTTGAGAAAGTAACATTTATGGGGACTTGAATTCAGGGAGTTGGTAGTGAGAGGAAGGAATCTAAATCTGTAGGAAAGAAGCTCCTTTCAAAAGATTAAGTTCTGTTCTGAACAGGTTGAATTTGAAGTGCCTGGGAGAAATGGAGCTGTCCAGTGGATAGTTGGTAATTCAGATTTAGAGAAACAAAAAAATCTAAGTGCTCTAATTTTATAGGTCACCATTAAAGCTGTGTTAAGATCACAGAAGAGACGAGATAAAGACCAACATTTCAAAGGTGGGGTGAAAAGTGAGAGAGAGTAAAAATGCCAGAGAAGTAGACCAGGTATGATAGATAGGTCAGAAGGTTAAGAGGGAATGAGGGGTGAACAAATAGATAGTAATTGTTTAACACTTTTAACAATTTACAAATATTAAATTTAGGCCGTTTTTCTATGGCATTCTCTTGAGTCTGCTAACCCTTAACAAGTACATACTCATTTTGGGTTGGCGTTTACTTAGGCAGTAGTTTCATTAAGAACTGTCTTATTTTAAGAATTTAGCCACTTATAAGTAGCAGTAATATTTTTACATGTTGCTTTTCTGGGTTATATTTAAAAATCTTGGTCTCTATAAAACATAAACATTGATTTGCCACAGACTGATGATGCTCACTAGAATATCAAGCAAAATTACACACTTTTTCCTTATAAATTAGTTCCCAAAGTTAATTATTTTGGTTTTTACTTATGAGCCATTGAAATGGCAACTTTGGTTTTCACATGAATAGTTAAATTTAAAAGATTTTGTATCTTATATGTAAAGGAATGTTGAGGGAAAAGAAGGAAAAATATGATTCAGAAGAAAAGTCTAGAACTAGACATTCATTCCCTTAGGTTCTTTCAGAACAATTAACCAGTTTAAAAGAGTTTGCACATTTGGATGAAACATTAATACTTAGTAACTAACAGGCCAGGCACGGTGGCTCACACCTGTAATCCCAGCACTTTGGGAGGCTGAGACAGGTGGATCATGAGGTCAGGAGTTCAAGAACAGCCTGGCCAACATGTTGAAACCCTGTCTCTACAAAAAAAACGAAAATTAGCTGAGCGTGGTGGTGCGTGCCTGTAGTCCCAACTACTCGGGAGGCTGAGGCAGGAGAATCGCTTGAACCCAAGTGGTGGAGGTTGCAGTGAGCCAAGGTTGCGCCATTATACTCCAGCCTGTGTGACAGAGTGAGAATCTGTCTCAAACAAACAAAAAAGCTTAGTAATAATAGATAACATTTGTTAAGCATCATGTACTATGCTAGGTGCTGTTCTGAGTGTTCTGTATGTATGAATACTTAAAAAAGGCTTTTGAGTTGGGGCCATTATTCTATTTTTGTGGATGGAAAAAACTGAGGTACAAAGGTGGAGTAGCTTAAGCAGAGTTATGTGGCTAGTGCAATGGGGTCAGGATTTATGCATTGGGCTCCAGAGTCAGGGTTCTGAAAGTCTTGTTTGTACTATTTGTTGTCCAATACTGAGTTATAGTAATCTTTGTTGCATTCTTTTTGAATTTTCCTATCTCTAAGCTTTGTTTTATGCAAAGGTGTGGTAATGTTTTCAATAATAAAAATTCCAGGAAAGATACTAGTTTTAGTTAGAACCTGAAATTCTATGGAGGGGTGAGTGTGAAGAGTTGGAGCAAGTGGGAAAGTACTGAAGTAGGCAGATTCTCAGTGTTGAGTTGCTGTCTTCAAAGGAAGAGAAAATCGTTGGTGGGGAAGGGGGTTCAGGATTGGAGTTTTGGTTATTATTCCTTTGAAACGTGATCCTTGTATGGAGAAGAGAAGATGATTCAGAAGGTCTTGGTTTCTAATACAGACTCCTTTGTTAACATGTTCTTAGCTGTGTATAAATATCTAACTTCTGGCCCTTTTAAATCTGAGATAATTAAAAATTAAACATTTTAATAATGAGACTGAAATCTTCGATATAAAACTTGAGTATTAAGAATATGTTTAGCATCAAAAATCTCAATTAAGTAGCTGCCAGGATGCCCTACGAAAGGCACAGTTTAATTGTTTAGGTGCTGTTGTGTTTACCAAGTTTCAGATGATTGTATATTAAAAGCAATGGCTAGTTTAACCCTAGTGTCTAGCTTTGCTCTTGGCTTTTCTATTTCTGCTAACTCTTAGCTACCTGGTGTGGTAATCATATACTGCCACCAAGATATCTGGGAAATGTGTTTTATGGGTGATGGTCACAAGGGGTAGAAGAAAGGGCTAGCTCTGTGACCTTGGGCAAGTTACTTAATTTCTCAGTGCCTCAGTTTGTTTATTTCTAAAGTGAGGGCAGTAATACTATCTTAGAGGGTTGTTGTGAGGATTAGTTGAATAAATACATGTGAAGTGTTCAGAACAGGGCCAGATCCATATTACACACTATAGAAACATCATTTTTGCCACCATTTATTGAGTGCTTGCTTGTCAGACACTGGGCCGGGCACTTCCTGCTGATCTGTGTTCCCTCAAGGCACACATTATTAAAATGAAGTGAATTCTAGAGAGGTTGCCCAAAGTCACACAGTTTCTGATAAGATTTAAACCCATGCTTCTACTCCAAAACCTCTTCCCAGAATCCATGGTGTATTGTGTAAAAATCATAAAAAAACACAGCCTCTGGAGTTGGGTATGTTAATGTGATAAGGGAGCATGAAATTATGTAGTGGAGTGGGCATTATTTTTAGTGGCAGACTATTTTAAAGTAGTTTATTTTGGGTTTGTAATAAACTCTGCCGTATTTAAATTTACACTTTTGATAGTTCCAAAATTCATTCATTATAGAGTCATGTACACCTCTACCTAGTAATCTTTCAGTGGTTTGGTAAAGATAGATTATTAGCAGTTGGTAAGTTCTCTTTCATATGGTCTGTTAGTTACCCATATAATTGAACTTTTCAAGTCATGAAGGGGGTTAATCAGTTAAATGAATATATCCAAAGGCACAGTCTTATGTTTTGGAAAAAAAATACTCATATGCCATATTACGTAAAAAAAAGTTTTAGTGGCTTTTGGATGGTTGCTCACTACTGGTACTCTATAGATTACACAACATTTTGTTTGCATTATACCCCTTTTCTAATAAAGGGGCATTTTGCTTTATTTCCCATTTTTGTGGGTGACAAAGTTAATAAGTTAGCTGTTAATTAAATTACATACAGGACTCCCTTGGCCTTTTGTATGAATATAATACCCATCTCTACTCATCTACAAAGTCAAGTACTTTTCAGTTTTGCAGATTGTTTTGCTTAATAGAACAATTTCATAATTTGGGGATCATCTGTATTTGAATACAATTAATGGTTAAAGCTGGGATGTGATAACTGCAGTACTTTAGATTGATGAAGAACTGAGTGAGATGTTAATTCTAGGGACCGTGTCATGATTTACCATTGAAATTCTCTAGCCCAGAACATCGATATGTACTGTACATTGATCTAGATTTCAATCTCAGTAGATTTAAAATCTACTTTTATATGTAAAGTATAAAATTCATACCACCAGTTTCATTTTAGTGAATGTTATAATATTTTAATGATATTTTTATGACTTTCTGCTGCATCTTTATGACTAAGGTAATTTTGGGAAAAACTTAATTTTATCTCATTGCATTTGGTGTAATAATAAGTGGACTTGGATTGACATAATAAAAAAACAAAACTCAGGATTCTAAAAATCAGTGGTAATTTAGCAGTTGAGATCTTCCAAATGATTGTCTGGGTAACCTTCAGTGCTTGGGTTGCTAAGTAGTAAGATGTAGTTATTCTCTTGATGATGGAATGTATTTTTGTTGAAAAATTCAGTTTTACTGGTTTTGTTTTATTGTGTTTTAGAATATTACCAATCTCATATACCCAATCTTCAGAAGATTAATACTGTGATTTATGATTGGAGAAATGATCATCTTTACAAGAAACATTTCATTGACAATTGTTTTTAACCTTTCTGTAGCATGACGACAGAGATGATGGTGTGGATTATTGGGCCAAAAGAGGAAGAGGTCGTGGTACTTTTCAACGTGGCAGAGGGCGCTTTAACTTCAAAAAATCAGGTAGCAGTCCTAAATGGACTCATGACAAATACCAAGGGGATGGGATTGTTGAAGATGAAGAAGAGACCATGGAAAATAATGAAGAAAAGAAGGACAGACGCAAGGAAGAAAAGGTATAAAATTTCAACTTGTGATTCTGACAGATTTTTTTTGATATAGGTTTGGTGGGTGAATTATTTCATTTTTAGGAACAATTATTAATATGGTTCCTTTTCACTCTCCGCATCTTTTGTTAATCTTTAATTTTTTCTCTCTCTTTTAGGAATAATAAATATGAAGTAAGATTACAACAGAGCAGAACTTGCACCCACCATTTTTTTTACCTGATTTTTGTTTTCAAATAAGAATGTAAGCATTTTACTTAAATTTTACTGTTTGCAAGTAGTCTATAGAAATTTTGTTTTAAGTCTTCAAATATCTTGAGAAATAGTAGACTGTATGTTGAAAATTGTACTGAAATAAAGTAGAAAATTGTTACGTACCATATTTGTAACTATCAACTTTTAAAACTTTTAACGTTTTTGTTACATGCATTGTAATTCTGCTTTGTCTATAAGATATGGTCAAGTACAGCTCTGTGAAAGTTCTGATTCTCTTCCTTCCCTGTTTGTCAATGTTTTATTCTGAAGTAAACGTTAGCTCTACATATAAATCCTGGAACAGAAATTGTTTATAGAGACTACACTAATTATTTTAACTGTATACATCTGTTTAATTTGAACACACTACATCGTAGGGTGACTGATTTTTGAAGTATACCACAGACAAAAAGTTGTTACTATGGTAAACTAAGCTAGTTTAACACTTGAGCAAATGCTTAAGAAGGAATTAAAAAAAAAAAGCTTTGCCAATAGCTAAAAAGTACAAGCTATTAAAAATCAGATTGAAAAGTTTTGAGAAAATGTTATTTTTACTGAAAGCAAGCAGTGGCCTATAAAGAACATTCTTAGGAGCCTTTTCTATTTGCGTTCAAAACTGTGTGTTCTCTTTCTATTCCTATTTGATAGTTTGAGTCATGGTCTTAGATATTAGCTATTTGTGAGAGGAAACTGGTTTGTAACAATACTGCAAATAGAAACCCCATTTCTACTGAACATCCTAGTTTTAAACAGAAGAAAAACTGTAATCCTGGGGTTGGTATGTAGGAGGTCTATCCTGCAGAATAAGTTGATACATTAGTACCTGATTTCATATCTTACATATTTATTTGAGCTGAACATTAGTTTGTAGTGTAACTATTAGTAAAAATAGAGAAACACAGCATACTGTTCATTAATAGTATTTTAAAAAAATTGTTTTTCAAATGTCACCAATAAAAGTTTTGGCAGGAAGCTTGTTGCGGCATTGATCTAACCTTTTTCCCCCCCATTTCAGTTGCAGTTTTTGTAGAATGGCTTTTTCTTTTTCCTCTTAAGAGTTCTATTCTTCAGGTAGATAATTTTTCAAATGTGAATTATCTTTTGTGTCTATATTGATAGCTCTTAAAGGAGTGAAAATCTAAAATAGTAAATTTCAATGTTAAGTGTCTGCTTTATGGGCATATATAAAAGTAGACACATTTCATTTGTTAATTTAGTTGTGTGTGTGTGTTAAAAGGAGCTAATGCTTATTCTGTTAATGTAAACTTTTGAAGATCTTAAGTGTATTGCTCTTTCATCTTAAACACTTTCGAGGATTTGCAGTGCGTCTAGCACCTAGATTACAGCCAGGAACATTGGTTAAGAACTGTTGGAAACAAAACTAAAAGCAAACTCAACATATGTGATGTTTATGGCCCTCAGATCCTTAGTATTGTGTGATTTTCCCCCGTTAACATGTCTTTCTAAAATTGTCTATTAAAGCAGAGGAAATACCTGCCAAAGGAAGTATGTATTGCATTAATCAGGGCATAACTAATATTCTCCTGTTCAGAATAATACTTATTTACGTGTGAAAGCAACATGGATGTGATTCCCAACACAGAATTTTCATGACCCTTTTATTGTATACAAATAAATACCATAACAGTTACTTGGTTAGACATCAAATCTGTGTGCATGACTATGTGCTTATCCACTTAAGACAATAGGTAAAAGGGGATCTGAGAAATTATGTAATAGGGAGTGGGAATAAAACTACTTAATTCCTGTGGGCAGGTTATATTTTAAGTTCAAATGCATTGCTTTAACCTTTGGTTACTTTTATTCTGTTAAACAGAATTGAAGAAAGAGTATTATACCAGAGTGTAGTAGGCTAGGGTGATTGTAAGAACTCTGTAATAGAATGTCATTGTGGATGTTACCTTTTTCAGATCCAAGCATATAAAAAGCCTGTATATTTTTTAAAAACACATCTTAACTCCACGCTTTACGATATTATAAAAGTTGAATGGTTCCTCTTGGTAAGGATATTTGCTTACAAGTGCTAGGAAATAACTCACTGATACCTGCGTTAACATACTTTGTTTTGCCTAGAGAGGGGCAATAAAAATGAACCAAAGGATATTTCCAGAAAGGATTAAGAAAGCTGTTTAAGAAGGCCATGACTCTTTAGGTGTGTATGTGTACCTTTCAGCATCCTAGGAATTTTTATACTAAAAGCAAAATGTTTTTTCCAGTTAGTCTTCTTCAAGGAATTACTATTGTTCCTTTTGTCACAGGTAAAATCAGTGTTGGGAATTATAATTTGAGAAAAATATTACCCAGTAACATTGAATGTAGATGGCTAAACGATTCTTACTCAGTGTGATGTATAATGATGCAACAGGGACCCTTGTAAATTGTCATACGCCAATAAAATGTCACAAGTAATAACTGCTGTTGTTTGTTTACCTGTGTCTATTTCACACATCTTATTTCTGTGGCCTATTTTAGAATATCAGCGCATCTGTTAGGAAGATTACTGGTGTGGTAAGGCTTGATAAATGCTTTATAAACTCCCTCAAACCTTTCTTTACTGTTTTTTTGTTTTGTCTTGTTTTTGTTTTTGTTTTTGTTTTTGTTTTTGTTTTTGTTTTTCCCTTGTCTCCCCTGGGAAAATGGGAAATTTTACAGTTGGTAAATCTAAGCCAAAATTATTTTGAAATAAAGGAATTCTGGATGTCCAGTTTAGTCCTCGTTTTCTTACGTTAATCTGGGACCTTATCACCCATAATATGGTGATTACTTCTCTTTCTAAAAACATAGTAGCTAGTAAATAAGTAAAAAGAATTGTCTTTTCATTCACTTTAAGTAAGATGTGGTATAATTCTTACCATGTGCCATCCTGTCAGTTTTAACAAAGCATTTTCACAGAAATTTGTGTACTAAGACAAACTGACACATTTTGACTCATACAAATGGCAAATTAGTCCTTAAAAATTCTGTGAGAGAAATAACTCTGTGTGTACATACATATGCATGTAAAGTGTTGTGTAAGATCATTGGTAGCTTAATTATACTGGATAATTGTAATGTTATATACAAATTTCTTATATAAAAGTATGCTGCATTATTAACATTTGTTTAACTTTTCTTATTTTTCTTTTTCTGGGTTTCAACTGGAATCCCATTGGTGGGGATGTACCTTAAGTTTCCTTGTGGAATAATAGACTTTCACATCCAGAAAGAGAAGTTCAGAGGCCTTTCTCAATTTACAGAGTTGAAGAGGAAAGGCAAATGGAGGAATAAACTTCATTGTCATTGGGATTAATTTGGCTAGACTCAATCTCTTGAGCCTTAAAATGAGAAAGTAATATCCATTACATGTTTAGAGTTCTCAAATAGTTGATACTATTATTAAATGTTTCAAATTTTATTGGGGTAGATACTAAAAATTAGTACACTGTCCTAATGAAGTTTAAATGAACAAGTTTTACATTTCTTAGGATTCAGGAATATATGGAATCTAGTTGTATTTAATTGACTTGAGAGCCACAGAGATTGTGTTGATTTATGAGCTGGACTCCTATTGTTTTAGAAACATGCAGTAATGATTAACTTGTGTCAATGATGGTAATGAGACCAAACTTGTACATTTAATTAAGGGTACCAGTTCTTTTTATGTTACTAGACTATACCTTGGCCTTTAAAAATGAATCTCACTGATTAAAGAGAACAGGCATTATTAGGATAGCATTCCACCACAACTAGAAACATTCAAATAATGTGTCTTAATTGTAATCTGTATATAGGAAAATTTTTCCTATGGATATTTTTGGTGTTTTACCACAGTGAACTGATTTGTAGCACTTATGAAGTGCAGAAGGTAATATTCTTGAAAATAGAAAAAGGTTGGGTGAGCAGGCTTTAATGCCTTTCCCCCAAGAATATACATCGAATTTTTCTTAATCTTTTGGGGTTGGCCAGCTTCCAGATTTCATTAATAATGAGCTCTGCCTTTAATAAAAGTACATGATCATAGCTACACTGTATGTTTAGGTGGTGTGAAATGATTTATAATCACAGCTTGAACTGTGTTTGCTTGGTACTGTCATAGTGATTACAAATTTCATGGAATGCGAAGAGCAACAATAAATAAAAAATACCACTCACCCTCCAGAATAGTGGATTATTTGCTACCTTGAGTCCTTCACTATGGAAAATAATTTTTCAGTCTCATTTGTACTAGAAGGGAAAACTAAACTTTCTGTTGAGTTCTCAGGATACTTGTAAGGTGGCCGTGAAAAAGAATGTTAAATGCACTTTGAATTATTTATTTATTTATTTATTTATTTATTTATTTATTTATTGAGATGGAGTCTTACCCAGACTAGAGTGCAGTGGCTCGAGCTCGGCTCACTGCAACCTCCGCCTCCCAGGTGCAAGCGATTCTCCTACCTCAGCTTACTGAGTAGCTGGTATTACAGGTGTGCACCACCACACCCAGCTAATTTTTGTATTTTTAGTAGAGACGGGGTTTCACTATGTTGGCCAGGCTAGTCTAATTCTCGGCCTCCCAAAGTGCTGGGATTATAGGCGTGAGCCACTGTGCCTGGCCAGAATTTTTAAATTTTAATTTACTTCTCACATATCCAGCCTGCAGGTTTAATTTATTTTTTATTTTTTACCTTACCAAAAGATTTCCCCACTCCAGAATTGTTTTTGGAAGAAGTTGAATATCATTACCAAATGTACTTTAAAAAAAGATAGGCCTGTGTGTGGTGGCTCACGCCTGTAATTCCAGCACTTTGGGAGTCTGAGACGGACAGATCACCCGAGGTCAGGAGTTCGAGACCAGCCTGGCCAACATGGCGAAACCCCGCCTCTACTAAAAATACAAAAATTAGCTGGGCTGATGGCACTTGCCTGTAATCCCAGCTACTCGGGAGGTTTAGGCACCACAATCACTTGAACCTGGGAGGTGGAGGCTGCAGTGAGCGGAGATGATGCCACTGCACTCCAGCCTGGGTGACAGAGCTAGGCTCTGTCTCAAAAAAAAAAAGATTACAGTAATTAACTGATTAATGTCAGCATACTATTCAAATGGCTTGAAGATACAGACTTGTAGAGTAATACCACCTCAGCATATAACTGAGGAATCAGATTTTTGAGTAATCGTGTTCAGATACTGCAGTAAGGGGATTTGTCAGCTGGGAGAAATGACTTAAAACTTAATTTGTACTTTTAATTGGAAAATGGGATGTAAAAGTCATGAAAGTCTGATAGAACTTGGAGTGAAAAATCGATGGCTGCTTATTTAAAAGGAAAAAATTAACAGTTCCATTCATGACTTACTGGAAAACTAAAACACATTGTTTTTGGAGTCCTTTCTAGATTTCAAAGTATACTTCTTTCCCTTGATATAACCTTAAGATAATCTTCCATATTTATATAAACATGAATATTTGTCCTTTACAAAAGATAAGGTTCAGTTAACAGAACTGAGTTATATAAAATGATTCTGGAATCTTAGCTTTTAGTATGTAAAGCTCTAGTTGAGGTGTGGGGAGGTCAGAGAATTGGGGGAAAAATAGCATATGGCTTCTCATGTTACAGATTTAGCTGTCTGGCCCACTCAGGACAATATTACATCTTGATTTTGTTCTGTATTCTCAACTTGGGCAACACTTTAGGAAATAAGTATTTGGCTAGTCTGTCACTAAAGGAAAAAGATTCAGAGCTTGAATTGGCCAATAGTAGCTACATGAAAAAGGGAAATAAGGTATGCAATTTTCAGTGTCAAATGAAACCACTTCTGGGAAGCATAACTATTCCTGCTACCAAATATTGAGATACTTGTCCTTAGGTTTTCATTTAGATGTTGCTGTTCCTAGAATAAGTCTTCCTAGAATAGGAACAGGTTTTCAAATGAGTGTTTCTTGCAACATTTTTTTCTGGTGGCTGAGGGCATGATGCCAGAGTGTAACAGTAATAATAAGAGGCCTTAAAACCATCTTATCTGAATATGGTAGTGCTCCAGGTATTAGGAATATCTAGCAGAGTAATTGGATTAGGATGTATATTCTTAAAGCAACTGTTCACATGGATATAACTTGCAGTTTTAAAGTTCTATGTTTCACTAGTTAAGTATGAGCTAGGCACTAGAGCAGCAACAAGATAAGGCTCTGTCCTTTTCTCATTTTTATTCTTGCACTATAATATGTGAAAATATTTTCTTGCATTATATAATATATTCATAGGCTCTAGTTTTTGAATGAGCTAGCTCCAAATAATGGGGTATTAATATGCAAATCAGGATTCTTGTAATAACTCTTTGATACTTTTGAGGATCAAGTTCTCTGTCTCTCATTCAGAGTTCATCTATTTAGACTTGCCTCTTTCCTAAACACTGGGAAGCCTAAAAATTTTAGACACATGGTATGTTGACTTTTTTTAACATAATTTTTTGGTATCCTGGACAAATGTGAGTCCTGCACTGTGTTACACTGAGGGAATAAGTTGAAAATGAGATGTATTGATACAACAAAGCAGGTAAGGAGCAGATCCTTTATGGAGAAATTTCAAAAATAGTTCTCAAACAACACTGCCCAGTAATAAATTTCATATATATAACAGCAACAGTCTGTTTTGAATGTACCGTTTGCAGAAGCCCTGTGATAGTCTCAGTCGCCATTAAGGAAAAGGACAGCAGAACTAAAGTTAAAATACCCTAGTGGGTTGAAAAGTCAAGGTAAGTCCCACCTGGCTAAGTAATGTTTAGGAGTATCACTGCATAACCGAACAACACAATATCATAGTGTTAATCCTAAGTCATAAAAGATTAGTTGGAAATGTGTGGTTATATTTAATAAAAATTTTGATGAAAAAGCTTTAAGGTGTGACAGCTGTCTAAAGGGTTAAATATCCATCTGAGAAAATCTAATACCTCAGAATCCCCTGATAATGCCAACCCAGTGCTAAATTGTTTAAAGCTCATCAAGGAATATGACTGCCTTACATAAGAGGGATTTTAGACAAAAATGGATCATCTCCTGAGCTAATAAGAGTTTCTGGCATAAGGTATTATGTATAGTAGGATAAGGTGTAGGAGAAAAGTGTAAGTGATCAAACTAAACCTCTCAGTGCTAATTATTGTCTTTTTTTTTTTTTTTCGCGACAGAGTCTAGCTCTGTCGCCAGGCTGGAGTGCAGTGGCACAATCTTGGCTCACTGCAACCTCCACCTCCCGGGTTCAAGTGATTCTCCTGCCTCAGCCTCCCAAATAACTGGGACTACACGCGCTGGCCACCACGGCAGGCTAATTTTTATATTTTTAGTAGAGACGGTTTCACCGTGTTGGCTAGGATGGTCTTGATCTCTTGACCTCATGATCCACCCGCCTCAGCCTTCCTAAGTGCTGGGATTACAGGCGTGAGCCACTGCGCCCGGCCTAATTATTCATTTTCAATGTCGAACTTTCCTCACATTATTTTAAATACCACTTTTATTCAAAATTTCCAAGCTTACCATTATACAAAGTTCTCTTGCCATTTTAAACCATTTGAATATTCCAGATATTCCAAAGGATAAAAGATAACAACCTATTGTTTAAAAGGAAGTAGAAAGGCAATACAGATTTCAGATGAAGCCCTGAAAGTAATTGGAACAGCCATAAAGAGTTTTCATGGTGCTGTCATATTTCAGGTTAGTGTGAAACATGTTCTAGCACTTCAAATCCAGCATTTCACAGCTACTGTCTCTGGCTAAGTTTACAAAGGGGGGGGGAGGGAAGCAAAAATTAGTAAATAATAGTAAATAACATTGGTATGTGGAAGGAACAAGGATGGAAGTACTTTGTGAATGACAGGTTTTCAAACATTTTTATCTAGATGCTGGTAACTCTGAAATTTACCTCTTAAACTTCTCTCCTGAACTCCATTTTTTCTCTCCAACTCTTCCCTGGATAGTTCTGCTGGAACTTAAACACTCCAAACTGTCATCATCTGTACCCCATCCTACTGCAAACTTATGTTCTTTATCCATTAAGCTAGTTGGACATCCCTATAAAGTGTTCTGTCTTCTCTCCACTGCCGCCCCGCCGTCCCCCCTCAACCCCCAATAATAGATGCTCATCACTATCCCTAGCTGCTGCATTGGTCTCTTAGCTTGGACTCTACCCATAAATTTCATCTTTATATTGCCATCTCTGGGATGTTTTTCAAGTGCAAAATTACAGTCATTTTAAAACCAAAATTTACGCATTGATGTCTTCCTGTTGTCTGAACCTCAGTCATGATGAGCTGTAGGAACTCCCTATGTACTGTTTTTGGCCACTTTGCCTTATGCTACTCCTTGTTCACTTACCTATCTTAAGTCTTACACCCTAGCAAAAAATTTCCAATTCCTCTTTTTGCTCAGGGGCCACTGAATGCAGCACATACCTTTAGGCTAGTAATTCATTCCATTTACATGTCTCCACCAGAATAAAATTTTAGCATTTAGTATTGTGCATGGCATACATACTGTAGTTATGTAATAAATGGTCCTTGAGTGTGTATAAATGAAAGAATGATAATTGCGTATTTATAAAGGCTTGATTTAATTTTATGTCTGCTGCTGCTGCTTGAAACAAATACAATCTGGGCTGTCTTAAAAATTGCTGGGATTACAGGCGTGAGCCACCGCTCCCAGCCAAGATAGGTTCTTGATTGCTGTGTTCAAATCCTTAAAAGGCTTTGCTAGAGAAGAGACATGTTCAAATCACATAGGATCAGGAGACTGGTATTTGATACTTGTCCGATCTCCTCATTTTAACATGTTACATATTTAAAGGACAGAAATCAGAGTCAGTAGGTAAAAAATCTTAGGGACATAGACTTACTAGCTCAATATAGTGAGCTAATTCAATATAATGAGCTAATACTTGACAACTAGATACTTTAAAAAGTGTTAACATGCAGCTTGTGAATAGCAAGTTTTCTACCTGGATCAAACTGGGGGAGGGGAACACAGGAAAACTCCAGAAAGCAAGCCACTATATTTTTGAACACTACTCAGAGACAACAGAAAAGCTAGCTTTGTGATGTCAGAAAAGCTTTCTTGGACCCTATCTCATTCTAAGAGTTCAGGAAAATCTAATTTCGTGTAAAAATGAGCAATGGAAAAAGATGTCCAATCACATAAAATGTTTTTGTCAAAATGGAATTATGAATGCTTTAGTAAACTGGAAGAAATATCTCTGAAGAATTTAGAAGAAAGTTGTCAGCAAAGCATTTATGGATGTAGTATTTGACCTGGGTCCTCCTTGCTACTTAAATCAGTTGGAATATTAACCTATGTTAATAGTGCAGCTGGAAGAGTAGTGGTTCCGTTCTCATTCTGGAGGGATGTTTTCATTCTGGCCCTGTCTGTTTGCTGTTTGATAAGAGAGTGGGAAAGGGAGGGGGTTATAAAGTCGTGATTTATTCACAAGGGCAAAGGGAAGGACAAGGAACTTGAGAAAATTACTCCATCTAGGGTTTCTGATCCATCATCATCCTTGTTCTGCGCTCACTCAGCCGTATCCAGCTCTACTGGGCATATCACTATTATTGCTATCAATTGTTTTGCTAGTTGCTTAGTCCCAAATCATTATCATCTTTTCTGTCATTCCACATTTAGGTATTTTATTCAACAAATAGACTGAATGCCTATTATATACCAGACACTCTTCTAAAGCACTGGGGAAAGATAGAGCATGGATCAAAACAACTTCCTGTTCTCCTGGAGTCTACAATTTTGTTTGGTGGTAGTGGAAGCGTAACTAAATATATATGATAAGTGCTATAGAGAAAAGCAAATTAGGGTTAGAATGGAACGAGATGCCCCGCTGGCCTGTAAGCTCCAGGAGGACGAGGACCTGCCCTCTCATTAAGGTATTTTCCGTGCTTAGAATGGTGTCTGCTACGTAGTAGATATCTATTATTGGTTGAATGAATAAGTGATGTTGACCATAGATAAATTAGTTCAAAACTTAGATTTTCAAATTATGTCAGTAGCAGGCACACATCTTAAATTGTTATATCACTCCAGTGCACGTCTTGCTGAAATTCAGAAGAGGAAGCTATTTCGTATGAAGCCAATAACCTCAAATCAGAAATGAAAACTGGGATATCACCTGTCATATCACTTGCCATCCTCGGCTAAGCCAGGAGAGTGTCCGGCCCAATATTCGGTAGCCTGGATACGTAGGTGTATTTAGTGAACGAAAGAATGAATCCTAGCCACTGCAAAGCTGCAAAACCCTCGGGGGTAGTGCTTGGCTTCTGCCAGTTCCACAAGTATTTTAATATTAGCTGAACAAATGAAATGACCAAAAAATAAATCGCGATTTTGTGTCAGATGAACTTGGGAAGGCGGATGCGCTTAGGGTCCGGCTGTAGCGAGTAAGACACTCCCTGCGAAGAGTTCTGTGGGGTACGAACTCCGGACTGCGAGTCCAGCTCACGAGTTTGTACCTAAAACCTTGCCCTGCGGGAGCGACGCTGTCCTAACGCGACCTGCCCTGCCCGTCAGCTCCTATTGGCTGACTCTCGGAAGACCCGCCTCTTGAGAAGGAAAAGCAGTCGCTTCCCGAATTGCCTGACATCATGCAATGACCAATCAGAAGCAGCGATCTTCAGTTTTGCCCAATGAGGCTGGTTACGGGTCCTGGCCCGCGGAGTTTGATTTCGTCCTGGGATGCGGAAGTAGCAGTCCTGTCATGCGGAAGTAGCAGTCCGGTCCTAGGGACTAGCAGGTGGGTTGGTTGGGCGCAGGAGGACGGGGGCGCGCTTCCCATAACATTACCCTGGCTGAGCGTGAGGCTCCAGGGCTGGGCACCGGGTTGACCTCTTATTCCTCGCTGAGGGCATCGTTACCGCCTGTGGCTGCAAGCCGAGGCGCGCGGGTGGAAACTGGGTCGAGGTCTGGGTAGACGTCTGAGCGATCTGCACAAGGAGTGGCGCAGTCTGGAATTTGATTGAGGATTCCTAACGCCCTCCGCTTGATGTTCTGGTGATTCCCGGGGGCTCGGCTTCGGAGGAAGGTGAGCAAGGCTACCACGCTGTGTTTGGAGAGCACCAGGAAGCTTGTGACCAAAGCGAGGGACGCGATCCGGCTCTGGTCACGGCCTGTTACTAGATGGGTGACCAAGTCACGTCCCGTATCTGGAATTCATGCTTCTCATTTTAAAAGAGTGAGGAGGGATGGGCATTCCACATGGCTGGGGAGGCCTCACAATCATTGCTGAAGGCAAATGAGTAGCAAAGTCACATTTTACATGGTGGCAGGCAAGAGGGCTTGTGCAGGGGAACTCCTGTTGATAAAACCATCACATCTCATGAGACTTATTCACTACCACGAGCATAGTATGGGGGAAGCTGCCCCCATGATTCAGTTATCTTCACCTGGCCCCACCCTTGACACGTGAGGATATGTGTGTGAGAAGAGCTACTGTTTATTTTTTTAAAAACTGAGTCGTCCCTTGCCTGCTTTCAAGGGTTGGCTAAACTCACCCATCTGCTAAGAGTCTCAGCCCAAAGCTTTCAGGAAAGAGCGAGCTTCGCTGTGGCATGTAACTTGAAGCCTTGCCTACTAAGTAGATGTCCAGTTTGTTGATTGGTCTCTATTAACTAGGCTCAAACATCCTACGAGGTTTTAATGTAATCTAACCAATTAATTGAAATTTCCTTTACAACCCTCTCTTTCCCCCAGACTTCCCCTTCCTTTCTTTTTCTCTGACTTAAAAGAATGCTGGCTAGGAGAAATTAGTTGACTGTGTCGTGTATCAAGAGGACTTTTCCAGGTTATGTAGTACAATTTGGCATTTATTTGTCAAGAGTAACATTTTCTAAAATTTTCCCCAAAGGCACCAAGAAACTGATAATGTTCCTTTGAATTGGCTTCTGTATTTGCTTCATCAATGTCTCTCATACTGAATATCTTAAGAGAGATGCTGGAATATTTTGGCGTTCCTGTAGAACAGGTAAATGTCGTTTTGGATTGGAATGGATCTGTTGTATTTGTTCTTGGGTTTCATTTTGAAAATGACTTATATGTAATCATTTGATTTAAGGCAAAGTTGTTGCTTCTTTTTAGTTGGAACAAAGGTGAGTTTGTAATAGTATAGCTTTGATGATTTGAGTTAGAAGAGGGATAAGATTATTGAGAACATATTTACCTGATAGGACAAATGCCAACAGAAGATACAAAGGAAGCAAAATATAGACATGAGCTTCACAGAATTACATTTATTGCACAGATACATTAAAACTTCTATTCAAGGTAATTTATAAACAAGTTCAATATTTAAAGCTCAATAAATCCAGAATAAATCTAATGGAAAGAGGATGATTTAGGCCTGAGAATTATAAGCTGTATTAGTCTGTTCTCATGCTGCTAATAAAGACATACCGGAGACTGGGTAATTTATAAAGGAAAGAGGTTTAATTGACTCACAGTTCCACATGGCTGGGGAGGCCTCACAATCATTGCTGAAGGCAAATGAGTAGCAAAGTCACATTTTACATGGTGGCAGGCAAGAGAGCTTGTGCAGGGGAACTCCTGTTTATAAAACCATCACATCTCATGAGACTTATTCACTACCACGAGCATAGTATGGGAGAAGCTGCCCCCATGATTCAGTTATCTTCACCTGGCCCCACCCTTGACACGTGAGGATAATTACAATTCAAGGTGAGATTTGGGTGGGGACACAGCCAAACCATATCATAAGCAAATCAAATTTTATCTACTTGTTGAAAATCTGCTGTATCTAAGACAATATGCTTGTTTCTGCAGGTAATACAGAGGAGTAATACATGGTTGTATTCATAATGCTTAAAATATGAGGAATAAGAAACAATAAAGATAACTGTAATATGAGATTGTAAGGAAGACGGGTGGGGTGAATTAGAAGAAAGTAGTCAAGGATAATTTAAGATTTTTTTAAAGCAAAAGTAAGTTGAAGAATCATAGTACCATTATTATAAATGGGCATCTTAGTATGAGAAACTAGTTTGAATATGGAGATGAGGTGAGTCAGAGGTGATGTTAGAACATATAAGTAGAAATATCCTTCAGACAATTGGATATATATATGGTTTTAGTATGTAGGAAAGAAAAAGATTCAGTTTTGGGAGTTATCTGCTTTGTTTTGATATTTAAAGCCATGGACTTCGATAATGGCAAATGTCATTAGATGTGATTGAAACATTCTAAATATCAGTAATCGAGAGACTGAAGATAACAGCTGAACATTTGTTTATCACTATTAGGTTATTGGTGACCTTAAGAATTTCTGTAAGTGGAGAATGGGACTGTGTTGGAGTAGTTTGAAGAATATCAGGAAGGGAGGTGGGATCAGCAACCTTCTTTTGAAAAGTTTGCTTGTGAAAAGAAATTGAGAGAGGCCATCAGCCTGAAGGGGCCGCAGGATGGAATTTTTCTTTTTCTTTTAAAGTTAGAAGTAACTTCAGCATATTTGTCATCACTCTGGAAGAAACAGACAGGAAGAAATTTAAGATCCACATGAGAGAGGATTGAGCACCGCCTTTGAGAAGGTAGTTGGGCAAGGGATCTAATTAAATAAGTCTTGGAAAGGAGAGAGACTGTCCTGCCTTAAAGAACAGAATGAAAGTGAGAGAGAGTGAAAAGAGATTTTTTTTTTTTTTAAGATGGAGTCTTGCTCTGTTGCCCAGGCTGGAGTGCAGTGGTGCAATCTTGGCTCACTGCAACCTCTGCTCCGAGGTTCAAGTGATTCTCCTGCCCCAGCCTCCCGCGTAGCTGGGATTACAGGAGCCTGCCACCAATGCCCAACTGATTTTTATATTTTTAGTAGAGATGGGGTTTTACCACGTTGGCCAGGCTGGTCTTGAATTCCTAACCTCAAGTGATCCACCTGCCTTGGCCTTCCGAAGTGCTGGGATTACAGGCGTGAGCCCCTGCGCCTGGCCTGAAAAGAGATTTTGAATGGAGCTAAGTAAGAGAAGTGAAGTTGAGGTATGTCAAGTTGAAGTTCTCGGTTTTCTCAGTAAGAGCAGAGACAAGGTCACTTGCAGGTAATGAAGTGGTGGGATTTGAGAAGGGATTTCAGAGATTGGAGACTGCTCTGGGCAATGTGGTATAGAATGTAACATGTTATGAAGGGATTTCAGAATACCTGTGAGAACCCAGCTGAAGTCATCATGGAATTGTAGTTTTTCTAAATATTGTCGTTTTGTGATTTTTTTTTCCTAGCTAAGAGTAATTACAGTAGTGTATTCATTAGCAGTGTGGGAGCACATAATATCAAAAGAATGAACCATTTTTGAGTGGCATTGAACATATTACTGAAATAATTAACCAGAAAATCCATGCTTGGTAGGAAAATTAGTAAAGTCAAAATGTGGGTACTAGACCAGGAATAGAGGGAAGATGAAATAATAAGAATGGTGAAGATGGCCAGATGTGGTGGGTCGCCCCTGTAATCCCAACACTGTGGGAGGCTGAGGCAGGCATATCACTTGAGCTCAGGTTTTCAAGACCAGCTTGGGCAACATGATGAAACCTCGTCTCTATAAAAAATATAAAAATTAACCAGGCATGGTTGTGTGCACCTGTGGTCCCAGCTACTCCAGAGGCTGAGGTAGGAGGATTGCTTGAGCCTGGGAGGTGGAGGTTGCAGTGAACCCTGATCATGCCCTGCACTCCAGCCTGGGTGACAGAGTGAGACCCCATCTCAAAAAAAAAACCTCAAAAAGCAAACAACAACAACAACGAAAATGGTGAAGATGGCCAGGGGCAATGAAGGAATGAGAGGAAGGACAAGAGTTTATTAGGATGGAAACTGCCGAGCAAGATAGGAAGGTATCATTTAAATTAACTAAGAACTAACCCAACTCTTGGGTGACTGTATATGTCATAGGTAGCCGTCATGGTAGCAAAGCCTCTATGCCTGTTGTTCTTAGCAGGGGTACGCAGATGAATGGTCTGTAGAACACTTTAAATATAAATGCTCAATCCTCCAAATATTCTACTAGTAATAGGTCTGGGATCTATATCCTCTAGGCTGTGCAATCCAGTATGATAGCCACTGGCCACATGTCACTTTTAAGTACTCAAAATATCTGAATTGAGATCTTCTATAGGTGTAACCTATATAAGGGATTTTGAAGACTGAGTGTGAAAAAAATGTAAAATAATCTTAGCAATTTAAAAATATTATCGGTTGAGCATCACTCAAAACCTGAAATCTGAAATGCTCCAAAATCCCAAATGTCTTGAGTGCCAGCATGACACCACAATGGGAAAATTTTACACCTGACCTCACATGATGGGTCACAATCAAAACGCAGGTGCACAACCCACAGTTTATTTAGCCTGCTGTTGTTAGTTGTTGCTGTTGTTTAACAGCTGAGACCGGCGGTTTATTGGTTGTTTTAATGAGGATGCTAATAGGTGGCTACCTATATCAGTTGGGATCTTAGGAAAAATGTCCAATTTATTATATCACATCTTTTGGCTGGTGGGGGAGAGTGGTTCCTGTGGCAATGGTTTACACTAATTTGGGAAGCCCACACTAAAGGATGAAGTATTATTTGAGCTATAGTAGCACATTATTACTTCTAATGCCTTTTCAAGAGCTGACTGCCAGCAGATATATTTCACTTTATGTAAATAACTCTGAATTGTCTAGGACCTGATTTATTTATTCCCTTTTTTATTTCTCCTTTAAAGGAAATTACATAAGTATACTCCATATTACGTCGTTGCTTGATAATTTGAAATTGTCTATTTTTGGTTGGGCCAAAAAGATGGGATTTGTAGCTGGGGGAGGGGATGCAATTTTTTTGAACAAAGTTTCTCCCAAGGTATTGGACATTATCAGAAATAGAACAAAATGAATTGTGCTTTTTAAAAGATCTTCCTGGAATGTATATATGTTTACTACCATCTCTTTTTAAGACAAATACTCACAAAGTTCTATTCTTTGAAGAAAGGCTCTGCCATTCTATATTTCTTTTTAAAAATAAATGTTATTTTACAGGACTCCCTGTATTAAAAAAAAAATGCCACTGCGTCTTTTTTGTCTTTTTTACATCTCCTTTTTTCATACTTATATAAATATGCTTAATCAGAGTGCATTTTAATTCATACTTTATGTTTAAAATAGGTTTTGCTGATTTGGGAAAATAAAGACTATGGATCAACTAGGAGTATTGTTCGTATTATTGGGAAAATGCTTCCACTGGAACCTTGTCGAAGACCTAATTTTGAGGTAAGTCAGTCAACATAAATTGTTTAAGTACCAAGTACAAAATAATCCTAGGTACTCTTACAGGTATGGGGTAGAACAACAAAGGAAGAAACATTTCCTGCAAGCCAAAAACCTGTAGTTTACCCTTGGGAACAAGCCATTTCATATATGTTTTTGTGTTTTTGTTTATTTAAATACAATCATGCATCGTTTAATGATGGGGGGATACATTTTGAGAAAAGCGTTGTTTGGTGATTTTGTCATTGTGCAAACATCACAGAGTGTACTGGCACAAACCTAGATGGTATATGGCCTATTATGCACCCAGGCTATATGGTATGACCTGTTGCTTCTAGTCTGCAAACCTTTTCAGCATGTTACTTTACCGAATACTGTAGGCAGTTGTTACACAATGGTAAGTGTTTGTGTGTCTAAACATAGAAAAAGTATGGTAACAATGCAGTAAAAATTAGATAAAAAATGTTACGTCCGTATAGGGCACCTACCATGAATGGAAGATGGGAAGTTGCTCTGGGTGAGTCAGTGAGTGGTGAGTGAATTTGAAGGCCTAGGACATTACTGTACACTACTGTAGACTTTATAAACACTGTACACTTAGGCTACACTAAATTTATACAAAAACCCTTTCTTCAATAATACATTAACCTTAGCTTACTGTAACTTTTTTTATAAATGTTTTTATTTTGTAAAAATTTTTGACTCTTTTGTAATAATACTTATCTTAAAACACACATTGTACTGCTATACAAAATATTTTTATATCCTTATTCTATAAGCTTTTTATGATTTAAAAATTTTTAAATTTTTTATACTTTTAAAATTTTTTTGTTAAAACTAAGACACAAGCACACACGTTAGCCTAGGCCTACCCAGGGCAGAATCATCAATATCACTGCCTTCTACCTCCACATCTTGTCCTACTGGAAGGCCTTCAGTGGCAATAACATGCATGGAGCTCTCATCTCCTATAATAACAATACCTTCTCCTGGAATACCTCCTGAAGGACCTTCCTGAGGCTGTGGTATAGTTAACTTTTTTTTTTTTTTTTTAAGATAAGGTCTTGCTGTCGCCCAGGCTGAACGAAGTGGAGTCGCGTGATAACGGCTCACTGCAGCCTCAACCTCCTGGGCTCAAGTGATCCTCCCACCTCAGCCTCCTGAGTAGCTGGGACTACTTGGGAGGTGTGCACCACCACACCTGGCTGACTTTTTTTTGGTCTGGTAGAGACGGGATCTTGCTATGTTGCCCTGGCTGATCTTGAACTCCTGGCCTTAATTGATCCTCCTGCCTTGGCCTCCCAAAGTGCTGGGATTACAGGAATGCACCACCATGCCCAGCCAACTTTTCTTTTTAAGTAGAAGGAATACACTCTAAAATAATAATAAAAAGTATAATATAGTAAATACTAGGTGATAGGAATATTTCAGTTTCATCATAATCTTATGTGACCCCATGTATATGCAGTCCATGATCGACCTAAATGTTACGTGGTACATGTCTGTAATGACATTCACAGATGGGCAAGTGTGAACAATAACTGAAGAGCTTAATTTTATTTTGCATTTTGTGATAGATGAAATTAACCAGGGGAGAGAATATTGCTTAGTGCTTAGACTTCAGCATAACATTTTCCCCAGTGTTCTTTCGTGCTAACAGGTACATGTTTTTCTATTGAATATTCTTTTTATTTTTCTTTCTTTTGGATTGTTAACTAATTTAATACCATGGGGCATGTGTCTTCTCCTGACTCCCTGCAGAGCTCTGACTATTTTTTTCTTTTTTTACTTTAGTTGATCCCGCTCTTGAACTCTGTAGACTCTGATAATTGTGGATCTATGGTTCCATCTTTTGCTGATATTTTGTATGTGGCAAATGATGAAGAAGCCAGTTATCTCAGATTTCGGTAATTTTATATGCTTATCTTGGGAAGTGGGCTATAAACTGAATTCTTGCATGTGTCGAAGCTTGTTAAGATTGATTGAGCTTTTTTGTTTTGTTTATCTTCAAACTGTGCTGTGCCCTACTGTATCTTCTTAATAAAGAAGACTGGCTGCTTTTCATTTTTTTAGCCAGTTGTTTTTTTTTTAGTGCACATTTAAACCTAACACCAGGCCTAGGAGGGAGTGGTTATTAAAGGGATATTAGAATCATGTTTTTAGCCAAAACTTATATACTGTTTACTGTGCACCAGGCAATGATGTTAAATGTATTTCAAAATTTGGATGTGTTACTCCTAGGGAGTATTACTTTATATGTTAGTATATTCAGATACAGGCTCTAAGCACATTAAGTGTCAATTATTTAAGTATTCCGGCTGATTTTATTATGTATCAAACTGGCACCAATTTTCAAATAGTTAAAATAACATACATTTCACCCTAACATAATCCTGAATGTAAGGCTCTTTATTAACTTATATAGAACTTCTAAATAAATTAACTTACCTGCGTTTAAAGTTAATAAGTAGAACAATTGCAGGTAATTATTTTGGTTTTATAATCTAAAAGCAAAGTTTGTTTTGTTCATTCCCTGGTCACTGACTGGTCCTCCATTGGAGGCTATGTTCTGTTTATATTGGGAATACAAAGCTAAATAAGATATTTTCCTTGTCCTCAGTGGTGACTCTAGAAACAATCATGGGGGATAGAGAGTAGGTTTTTTTTTTTTTTTTTTTTTTTTTTTTTGAGACAGAGTCTTACTCTGTCGACCAGGCTGGAGTGCAATGGCACGATCTTGGCTCACCACAACCTCTGCCTCCCAGGCTCAAGTGATTCTCCTGCCTCAGCCTCCTGAGTAGCTGGGACTACAGGGGCACGTCATCACACCGGCGAATTTTTAAAAATATTTTTAGTAGAGACAGGGTTTCGCCATTTTGACCAGGCTGGTCTCGAACTCCTGGCCTCAGGTGATTCACTGCCTCAGCCCCCAAAGTGTTGGGATTACAGGTGTGAGCCACTGTGCCCGGCCTGAGAGTAGCTTTTATTTTGTTTTATTGTCTTTTGATTTTCACGTAGGAGTGTAAGAGTTTATACCTCTTTTGATTGGAAATATATCTTCCCTCCATTTCCTATTTTTTTTCACCCACAGAAATAGTATATGGAAAAATGAAGAAGAGAAAGTGGAAATTTTTCATCCTTTGCGACTAGTTCGGGATCCACTGTCACCTGCTGTAAGACAGAAAGAAACTGTGAAAAATGACCTGCCTGTAAATGAAGCTGCAATTAGAAAAATAGCTGCCCTTGAAAATGAGCTGACTTTTCTTCGCTCTCAGATTGCAGCAATTGTGGAAATGCAGGAACTGAAAAATAGTACAAATTCTAGTAAGTAACAGTAGGATTTTTGTTTCAGTTAGATGATACTCATGGTATAGCCTATACCAACCTGTACAGCATGATACTGTACTGAATATAGTACGTATAGTAGCATACAGGAACATCTAGTATTTAAGTGAGTACAATTCTGAATAAGTACCATGAAAACATTAAATGTACATAAAAGGATGTTGAATATACAAAATTATTATATCTGATGTTTATTCAGGATAAATTAAGACACATTTGTAGTGAGGGGATGGCTTTGATTTAAAGAAGAACTAGCTTTACTATACTAGAAGATTGTATTTTTGTATTAAAAAGTCTGTTGTCTTCTAAGTAAGCTTTTTTTTTTTTTTTTTGAGACGCAGTCTTGCTCTGTCGCCCAGGCTGGAGTGCAGTGGCACGATCTTGGCTCACTGCAAGCTCCACCTCCCGGGTTCACGCCATTCTCCTGCCTCAGCCTCTCGAGTAGCTGGGACTACAGGCGCCCGCCACCACGCTCGGCTAATTTTTTGTATTTTTAGTAGAGACGGGGTTTCACCGTGTTAGCCAGGATGGTCTCGATCTCCTGACCTCGTGATCTGCCCGCCTTGGCCTCCCAAAGTGCTGGGATTACAGGCGTGAGCCACCGCGCCCGGCCCTCAGTAAGCTTTTCTAACTCTTCATGAAAGCATTGGATATTAAAGAGGAAGAATGCATTGGTTTGAAAGAGGATATAGGTTTGAGGCATCATATGTTTATAGTTTTTAGTTATTGCTGCTACACTTCCACCAAGTTGAGGTGAGTCATGTTTTCCAGATGATTGTTTTATAAATTTATAGAGATACAACTTGCTTTAAACTTATGCACACACATACACACAACATGTATGTATGCGTGTATAAAATGTAAAGCAATCTAGGTACTGAATGCTTTTCACAACAGATTTGGCTGTAAAGGGCTGTGTGTAAATATAATTGCTAAAAATTTTTTAATACATATGTATATATACAAATGCATAAATACACATATAATTTAAGATATTTATACAGTGTATATTTATAACATTTACATATAAACACATTATATAATATACAATAACTTATATTTATACATAATAAATAAAATGATATATAACTATACACAGTTTTCTTAAGCAATCGTGTTTACCCACAGTCCTTTATGAGCAAATCTTAAAGTGGAAAAGTTAAATACTCAGTACCCATCTTAAGCTTTGCTTAGAAAATAATATGCTTATTTCTCCAATGTCATTATACAGTGAATACATCAATTTGTGTTTCTAACTACAAGTTGTTGATTTCTGTTTTAGCTTTTTTAAAATAGAGGATGAAGTTCAGAGTGTATGTGAATTACTGAAAAAACTCTTTTTTTTGTTTGTTTAAGATGCATTCTCCTCCCCGCTCTGCTCTTGGACCTACACTGAAAATTCCTAACTGGATTAAAAATGAATTCACAATTTGACTTGACTCTTAAATTACTAAGCAGATGGGATTGACACTCTTTCCTTGCTACCATATCGCTACTAGCATTACAGAAATTGCTCCTGTTTTGGTTCTAATTAGTGTTATTAATATATATTACGTTAGAGATAATTGTGCATGATTTTGTAATAAACCACTTTGTTTGTAGGTTCCTTTGGCTTGAGTGACGAGCGCATTAGTTTGGGTCAGCTGTCATCATCGCGGGCTGCCCATCTGAGTGTGGACCCAGATCAGCTTCCAGGTTCAGTGCTTTCTCCTCCTCCTCCTCCACCACTTCCTCCTCAGTTTTCATCTCTCCAGCCACCGTGTTTTCCTCCCGTACAACCAGGATCTAATAATATTTGTGACTCAGATAATCCAGCAACTGAAATGAGCAAACAGAACCCGGCTGCTAATAAGACCAATTATAGTCATCATTCAAAAAGCCAGAGAAATAAAGATATTCCAAACATGTTGGACGTTCTAAAGGATATGAATAAGGTTAAGCTTCGTGCAATTGAGCGGTATGTTGTTGTAATTTGAAAAGTGAACTGAAATTTTGTCAATTTTATGTTTAGAAAAATTATTATGTTTATGAAAATTAACATATATGTCTTTTTTCTTATTCTTCTTCACCCCTGAATACCTCTCCTAGAGATAATGACATTCAATTATTTTTGACTATTTCTTCTTCTAGTCTCTTATCACCATATTTTTGAAACAACATACTTATTTGCTATTTCTTGATATTTTAATTATGTTGACTTCCAATTGTAGGATATTAGGAATATATTTTCTTAGATACTCTACCCAGGACACACACACACATCTTGCCACGTCTTCCTGAAATAGTTAAACCACAATCTTTAGTTAAATGAGTATTCAGAATTAATATCCTTATTATAACAGTGAACATCCACAGTAAGCCATTTCTCATATTGTAACCCAGGCTGTAGGGCAGTGTTGAAATTACAGCTCACTGCAGCCTCGACCTCCTGGGCTCAAGTGATCCTCCCACCTCAGCTTCCTTAGTAGCTGGGACTATAGGCATGTGCCACCATGCCTGGCTAATTTTTGTATTTTTTTGTAGAGATGGGGTTTCGCCATGTTGCCCAGGCTGGTCTCTAACTCCTGAGCTCAAGCGATCTGCCCATGTTGGCCTCCCAAAGCGCTGGGATTACAGGTGTGAGCCACTGTGCCTGGCCCCATTTCATATATTTTGACTACATTTTATTTGTTGAATAATTTTTTTAGAGTTAATAATTGCCTCTCTGAGTTCCATGTGTGTGTGTGTGTGTGTGTGTGTGTGTGGTGAAAAAACATAATGAGCTCTATTCTGTTAACAAATTTTTATGTGTATAATACAGTATCGTTAAGCACAATGTTGTACAACAGATCTCTAGAGCTTTTTCATCTTGCATAACTGAAATTTTATACTCACTGAACAGTAATCATTTCCCTCTCCCCTCATCCCCTGGCAACTGCCATTCTTCTTTCTACTTCTATAGTTTGATTACTTTATTTTTTATTTTATCTTATTAAAAAAAATAGAGACAGGATTTCACTGTGTTGCCCAGGCTGGTCTTGAACTCGGCTCAAGTGATCCTCCTGCCTCGGTCTCTCAAAGTACTGGGATTACAGGCAAGAGCCACTGTGTCTGGCCCAGTTTGATTACTTTAGATGCCTCATATAAGTGAATCATGCAGCATTTATCTTTTTGTGACTGGCTTATTTCACTTAGCATGCTGTATATTGTATGTATATATCCCATTTCTTAATCCATTCATCTGTTGATAGACATTTAGTTTGCTTCCATGTCTTGTCTATTGTAAATAGCACTGCAATGAATGTGGGTGTGCAGATATCTCTTTGAGATGCTGATTTCACTTCTTTTGGATAAGTACCCAGAAGTGGGATTGCTGGATCATAGGGTAGTTCTATTTCTAATTTTTGGATGACCCTCCATTTAGTTCTTGGTGATTCTCCTCAAGGATCCCTCTGTGCCTGAAGGATTTCCTTCGCTTACCTCTTGAGCATTCTTGCCCCCTTTTTTCTATGCTGCATCACTGATTTCCTAAATGTCATATCTTCCTATAGCTTCCTGAGAAACATAAAGGGTAGATTAGTTTACTACTTTGCATGTCCAAAAATGTTCTTTTATTCTTTTTTTTTTTTAGATGGAGTCTGGCTCTGTCGCCCGGGCTGGAGTGCAGTGGCATGATCTTGGCTCACTGCAGCTTCTGCCTCCTGGGTCTTGGTTCAAGCAATTCTTTTGCTGCAGCCTCCCGAGTAGCTGGGATTACAGGCACGTGCCACCATGCCCAGCTAATTTTTGTAGTTTTAGTAGAGACAGGGTTTCACCATGTTGGCCAGGCTGGTCATGAACTCCTGACCTTGTGATCTGCCGGCCTCGGCCTCCCAAAGTGCTGGGATTACAGGTGTGAGCCACCACACCTGGCCCACATTTTTAATTTTTAAGAGCTGTTTCTTTTTCTTCAAATGCTTCTTGTTAAAATCTTTTTGGTTTTGTTGGTCTTATCCCACTGACAGTATTAAAAGTGTAGGTTTGTTTTAAGTTTCCTCTGTTCTTGAATTACTGTATTTTTTGTGAGTTTCTTTTTTCCTTTTAGCTTTGATCTCTATCTTTAGTTTTGTAGCCTTGGGTAAGCATCTGGTGATTCTTATTTAAAATGAGGCAAGGAAAAGCTGATCGCATGTTCTTTGTGTGAGGTGGGCTTATCAACTTGGGAGCTTCACAGTTTAGTGATTAGGGAGAGGACCATTTTGTTGGCCACACCCCAGAGCTGTATGTCTTTTCTTTTGGGCTACAGGATTTTCCTTAGAAAGTTCTTCATTCTCCCTTGTGGTCAGGAGGGATGGGGATTACACAGCGGGTGCAAGTCAGGTCATTGGAGAGCTGAGTGGGGAAAGAGGAGCAAGAGAGAAGTGTCTTATTTAGCACACGCCCTGTGTTCAGCAGGGCGCCCACGCCCCATGCTCTCACTTTCATCAGCTTTCCAGCTTCCGGCATCTGGTTGCAATTCTTATCTCCTGTCTCCCCTTCTAATCTCTTTGTCCTTGTGGATATATAGATCTTTTTCATTTCTTTACTGTCATTTTAGTAGGATTTCACAAGGGATTTGCCATGCTTACTTGGAAATCCCTCAGTGAGGTTTTCGGTGAGAAAATAGATATATTTTCTGTATGATAGTCCTGGGACAGATAAGTCAGTTCTGTTTTTAATGAGGTTGTGAGTTTGATCCTTGCAACGATGCAGAAGGGCTCATTTTAAGTGAAATCCTTGTGAAGAGGAAAGAGAAGGGAAACCAGTAACCACAGGAAGAGCATGAGGCAGCTTGTTGAGAAGAATCTCATGGCTGTAGGTGCATGCTTGGTCCCAACTAGATCTTGTACTTGTGTTGTCGGGCTTAGTATCAAGTGGCAACTCTGTGACTGTTACCATCACTGGAAAAACAACTAAAAGGCCAGTAGCCTCTGCCTCCTGTCCCCCTATTCTCTCCTGAGTTGCCTCTACAGCTAACTTTGTTTTGTACGTTGCTGAGGAATCAGATGAGCTCTCTCACCTCTTTACACCTACAGATTCCCCGTGCAGATTCTCTGCCTTCCATCTTGCTGTTGGGAGCCAAGTGTCATCATTCATGGCCAGGCTCTTCCTTTGGTTACTGGTTTCCCTTCTCTTTCCTCTTCACAAGGATTTCACTTAAAATGAGCCCTTCTGCATCACTGAGTCTTCCTTCTATACTTCATCCTTCTCCTCACACCTGAGTACTTCCCACCTTCAAAACACATGTACTCTCAGCCGTTGTTCTGTTGTTCTGCTCCCCTTTCTGATATGAATTCTTGAAGTCGTCTATAATTTGTTTCTGTCTATCGCTGCTGCCTTCTACCCATGAAAACTCCATTGAAAACTGCTTCACCAGTGACTCCATGTGGCTAAATCCACTGGTCTCTTAGCATTGCTCGTCTTAGTTGACCTCTTGGCAGCATTTGATACAGCCTATGGTCCCCACCTCCTTGGAGCACTTTCTTTTTTTTTTTGAGACGGAGTCTCGCTCTGTTGCCAGGCTGGAGTGCAGTGGCGTGATCTCGGCTCACTGCAACCTCTGCCTCCTGGATTCAAGTGATTCTCCTGCCTCGGCCTCCCGAGTAGCTGGGACTACAGGCATGTGCCACCATGCTCAGCTAATTTTTGTATTTTTAGTAGAGATAGGGTTTCACCGTATTGGCCAGGATGGTCTCGATCTCTTGACCGCATGATCCGACCACCTTGGCCTCCCAAAGTGCTGGGATTACAGGCATGAGCCACTGCGCCTAGCCTGGAGCACTTTCTTTACTTGGTTTCTGGGAAAGCATACCCCCAGGTTTCCTCTGACCTCATCAGCTATTCCTTCTTATTCCTTAAACTCTTCCCCCTGGGCCTGGTCTTTAAATGTTGAAATACCTGGTTCAGACCTCAGCCCCCTCTCTTCTCTGTCCATGCTGTTTCCTTTGGTGAGCTCACCTAGTCCTATGACTCTAAATACCAGCTGTATGCTTATGACTCAAACGTTTATTTTTCTAGCCCTGACCTCTCCTCTTGAGCCCAGATGCACATACTGAAATGCCTACTTGACATCTTTATTTGCCTGTCTCACAGGTATCTCGTTTCACAGGTCCAAAACAGGACTTTTCCTTCCTACCTGTTCTTTTCCGCCACCTTGAAAACCTGTTCTTTCCCACGTCTTTTGCATATTAGCAAATGGCAACACGATCACCCGGTTGCTTAAGATCTAGGAATCAGGCCAGGTGCGGTGGCTCACACCAGTAAACACAGCACTTTGAGAGGCTGAGGTGGGCAGATCACTCGAGGTCAGGAGTTCGAGACCAGCCTGGCCAACATGGTGAAACCCAGTCTCTACTAAAAATACAAAAATTACCCTGACATGATGGCGCACACCTGTAATCCCAGCTACTAGGAGGCTGAGGCAGGAGAATTAATTGTTTGAGCCCGGGAGGCGGAGGTTGCAGTGAGCCACTATACTCCAGCCTTGGTGACAAAGCGAGACTCCGTCTCAAAAAAACAAAAACAAATATCTAGGAATCATCCTTCATCTTTATTTTCCATTCTATCTCCCACCGTTCCCATCAGCACATAGCTCAATTCTGTGGACCTCTTGACCTCCACTGCCAACTCCCCAGGCTAAGCCCATTCTTATCTAGCTTAGACTTCCGCAGCAGCCTCCTCAGTGATCTGTTTTCATTCTTGCCTCCTTATTTATTCTGCAGATAGTGACCAGAAGTCAGATCAGGCCATTCTCCTGCTTCAGACTCTTCTGTGGGTTTCCGTTGTGCTTGAATCAGTTCTAGAGCCCTTGCTGTGTCCGTAGGCCCCTCCAGGAGCCAGCCCTCACTTCTCTCGCTGAGCTCCTCTCCTATGCCCCATGTTTGCCCACTGCACTCCAGCTGCAGTTGCTTTCTTTTTTCCGTTTCTCACACATGCCAAGCTCCTTCCTGATGCAGCCCCAGATGTTTACACTAAAACTGACCCCTTGTCATTTTCTTAAAGAGGATGTTGCTTCCTTAAAGAGGCTTTTTTTCTGATCATATCTAAAGTGCTTCTGTCCCTAATCACTATTACATTTCCCTATTTTTTATTTTTTAATTTAGTTTTTTTTTTTTTTTTTTGAGACAGGGTGTTGCTCTGTCACCCAGGCTGGAGTGTAGTGGTGCCATGACTTGCTGCAGGCTTGACCTCCTTGGCTCAAGTGATCCTCCTGCCTTAACCTCCCAAGTAGTTGCCTGGCTAATTTTTAAATTTTTTCTAGAGATGGGGTCTCGCTATGTTACCCAAGCTGCTCTCGAACTCCTGGGCTCAGGCAGTCCTCCCACCTTGGCCTCCTAAAGTGCTGGGATTATAGGCATGAGCTACCGTGCCCAGCCTCTGTTTTGTTTTATTCACAGCTCTTATTACCAGCCAAATGATCTTACTTGTATATTGATGATAATCTTGCTGTAAGAATTGGGAGCAGAATACTCCCAAAGCATAAAATGGAGTCGGATGTGGTAGTGGGCATTCAATGAAGATTAAATGAATGAACAACCAAACAAATGAACAATTTGCGTAATTTTTTTTTTTTTGGCATGAACTCTCGTCCTTTTAAAAGTTCTTATTTATTTGAATTTTCCTACCCATTAGGAAATTAGAAAATTACCATAATAAAGATCTTCAGCATAGTGACATCTGACAAATCTCAGGTCATAACAAGGTTATGGCAGAGTCTCAAGTCACATGGGTTCTTGGTTTTCTGATTCTTCATTCATTGTGCCTTCCTTATTTCATTGCGAAAATTTCTTGAAGATTAGATTATTTTCAATCTCTTGAAGACTAATTAAATTGTAAGATATGCTTGTATTCCTGCCATGTTTGTCAACAAGGAGCTAAAATTACATCCAAGTTTTAATAAATTCAATTTTTTTTTTTAAAAAATAGGTCACCTGGCGGTAGACCCATTCATAAGAGGAAAAGACAGAATTCACATTGGGATCCAGTTTCTTTAATATCTCATGCACTTAAACAGAAATTTGCATTTCAAGAAGATGATTCTTTTGAGAAAGAGAATAGATCTTGGGAATCTTCCCCATTTTCTAGTCCAGAAACTTCAAGGGTAAGCTACACTAATGTAAAATTAATTTTTCAGTTTTTCTCAGATGTGTTGTTTATGTTACAGCTTTGTGTTCAAGTTCTCTTGAAGTAATTGTGCAGAATGGGCTATATAATTGTTTATTGATGCTGCTAATGTTTCTGGGGTTTTTTTGTTGTTAATTTTATATGCTCATTTTCACTTTTAGCCTATCATGAGCTCTTTTGAAATAAAATACTTAATTTGAAAAATATTTGTGCATATGTTTATAATGACTTATCTTAGGTGCCAATTTGATGTTGCCATCTGCAGTATGAACTGGGTGTCTGACAGTTTGAGAGGGCCAGGGAAGAATGGTGCAATAGATTCCCCCTAACCATATGGAATGTGAATACGCCAAGATTTTTCTCTGTCAAATATACAGACTTTGGATATTTTGTTGAATATAATGTTAACTCTGCATGTAAAAAAGCAAATGGGATTATAGTTATCTTTAGTGACAGCACTTACTGGATGCCTAGGATGACAAACACTGGATTTTAAGCATTTGAGCCTTAAGATTACTCCTTACTTGAAGTCTCTTTTCTTAAATTTAGAAGTAATTCTAATTTTGGGGTGGTTTTCACATGTCTTAATTTAGTTGAGGTAGTATTAACACATAAGAATAAGCCTTGAGAATGACAGGAGTGTGGAAGAGGAACAGCATCTAAAGTCAGCTAGATAGCACTGAGGAAGGACAGACGTCAGCAGAGGAAGAGACTGGAAAACTCAGATGCATTGAGCCCTCCAAGAGTGTAACAGGGCCGGGCGTGGTCATCCCAGCACTTTGGGAGGCTGAGGTGGGCAGATCATGCATGAGGTCAGGAGTTCGAGACCAGCCTGACCAACACGGTGAAACCTCGTCTCTACTAAAAATACGAAAATTAGCCGGGTGTGGTGGCACGCATCTGTAATTAATTCCAGCTACTCAGGAGGCTGAGGCAGGAGAATTGGTTGAACCCGGGAGGTGGAGGTTGCAGTGAGCCAAGATTGTGCCACTGCAGTCCAGCCTGGCGACAGAGCTAGAGTCAGTCTCAAAAAAAACAAAAAAAGAAAAAGAGTGTAACAGAGTGGAGGGACTTGTCACACACACACATTGCCACTCCAGTGTGTGCAGCCTCTGTGCTCACCATTGTGTGTGTGTGTGTATATATCTGATGTTTAGCATGTTGACTTAGAAAATTATATTCTTTTAACTATTTAAGAAGACACTTTAGAACTATTACTATAAAAATGCAAGTGTGTCTAAAATAAATGTTTAATTTTAACATTTGTAGAGCAGTTTGTAACTTGCAAAGTACCTTTTTTACTCATCTCACTAGATCTTCACAGCAGCAATCCCTTTTCCCCCGAAAATGTGAGGGAAATGATCCCTGTAGTGCCTATAATCCCATATCTAAGGGGCAGAGCAGAGACTAGAACTTGGTTTCTTAAAATTTGAGGATGTTTGAAAATTTGAGGATGCATTTATGTAAGAAGTTCCCGTAGGTGGAACACACTGTTTCCCAGTGATAGTGGATAAACGAAGTGTTTCTAGGTTGTCATTTACTGCTTGCTATTAGTTCAGTGTCTCTTAGCACTTTTTCCAGCCAATTACAAGTATTTTAGATAATCTTCTTTTTTTTTTTTTTTTTTTTTTTACATAGTTTTTAGCACTTAATTTCAGGCTGGGCACATAGGGACTCAAATTTTAGTTGCCTAAGAGCTCAGTCTGTGCCGCTGAGAGTGTCTCGTTCACTTTTGTCCTTGGCTCTGAGCGTAGTACCTGATACATAGCCAAATAACTATGTATTATAGTAATAAATACGGTAAATAAATATTGTGAATGAAACCTCAGAGGGTCATCTGGCCTTTGTCTTGCCATTCTTTTTTTTTTTTGACATTAGAATAATTTCTGTGTTAAATATTTGCTTTATTTCAGTTTGGACATCACATTTCACAGTCAGAAGGACAGCGAACTAAAGAAGAAATGGTCAACACAAAAGCTGTTGACCAAGGTATCAGCAACACAAGCCTTCTAAACTCAAGGATTTAAACTCAACTTAAGGTTGAGCTTTAAACTTCCAAAACTTCTTCCTGGATGATAAATTATTCTTAGAAACTGATTTGGACTGTTAAAGGCTAAAAGTAGATGTATTTAAAGACTCTTCTTGACACATTTTGCCTACACTTGCTATGTAAATATGTATGCCTGTCATTTTTGTTTCCTTTGTTCCTTTTTACGTTTATACTCTGTTCTTCTGTACATAGAGCTTAAAATAAACATTCTTTTTGAACTTGCTTGTGTTTTGTAGCAACCAAAATTCATGTTTTCTCACCACATAGTCTGACCTTTTTTTGTTGTTGTTTTTTGTGAGGAATGCCATAGGTAGAGTTTCTTGGATAATAGAAATGAAACATAAGTTTGCAACAGATATTTTGTCCCTCTTCTCCCACATACTAATGTGATATGGAAATTTACATGTTTCCCTGGACCTTTCAGACTGTGTGCAACAGCCAGGGAGCTGAGGTCACCACTGGAATGGACTCAGCCCCACCCATTTTGCCAAGCTCTTCACTTTCAGCAAAGCCCAGGTTTCCTACAGTTTTCTTGTTGTTGTGGTAGAGAGTTGCTTGCCTAGCCCCAGCTAGGAGTGGCTGTGTGGCAGTTATGACCATGAAGAAAAGGGTTAGAATCACAGAGATGACATCACTGAGCTGTTGAACCAACATCAACAGCTCCAGTTAGGAGTGGCTGTGTGGCAGTTATGACCATGAAGAAAAGGGTTAGAATCACAGAGATGACATCACTGAGCTGTTGAACCAACATCAACAAGTCCTGTTTGCAGACTTCTTAAAGAAAGATATATGAGAAAAATATGCCCCGTGTGTTTTCTGTCACATGCAGCCAAAAGCATTTGTAATGATACAGCAAGTATAGTAGTGTAATTTTTTTTTTTTTTTTTTTTTTTTTTTAGAGATAAGGTCTCACTCTGTTGCTCAGGATGGGGTGAGTGGCTCAGTCATGGCTCACTGCAAGCTCAAATTCCTGGGTTCAAGCGCTCTTCCTCCCTCAGCCTCTGAAGTAGCTGGAATATAAGTGTGTACCACCATCCTGGCTAATTTGTAGAGACAGGGTCTCACGTTGCCTAGGCTGGTCTTGAACTCCTGGCCTCAAGTGATCCTCCTGCCTTGGCCTCCCAAAGTGCTAGGATTATAAGCATGAGTTGCTGCACCTGTCGTAGTGTAGTTTCAATGCCTGCCTGTTATTTGTTATTCCTTCTGTGATTTTTTTTTTTTTTTCTTGGAGACAGGGTCTTGCTCTGTTGCCCAGGCTGGAGTGCAGTGGTACAGTGATGGCTCACTGCAGCCTCCAATTCCTGGGCTTAAGTGATCCTCACACCTCAGCCTCCTGAGTAGCTGGGACTACAGGCACATGCCATCATGCCTGGCTACGTTTTGTATTTTTTGTAGAGACGGGGTTTCACCATGTTGCCCAGGCTAGTCTCAAATTCCTGGGTTTAAGTGATCCACCCACCTCAGCCTCCCAAAGTGGTGGGATTACTGGCATGAGCCACTGCACCCAGCCTGTGATTGTTTTTGACATTTCTTATCTAGCTACCAATAGTTTTTGTTCTTGCTGTTGTTCCTGCCCCTCTTAAACGTTTTCCCCACGCTGACTTTTCTCATTATCCTTGTAATAAGAGTTTGTTTTCTCTTGAAATAACTTTTTTTATTTCCCAAGTAGGTAGGCTTGCATTTTCAGTGTTCTAGTTTCCTTGTTCAAAAATGTGTAATCAACAATCCTTCAACAACCAGCAGGAATCTTTGGAAGATACTATCCTCTGCCAAGTGAAGTATATCATTTCTTGACAAACCCCAAGTTGGCTTTTTGGTGGGCTTTTTTGCTCTTCGTTAGAATGGATTTCCTGCCTTCCCAAAGCACATTTCAACACCAGTGATGCATTAGAATTGAGTTGACTTTATGCTTCCCTGTGTTTCGAAGTATAACTCCTGGTATCTGGGAGGACATGACCATATGCCCTAAAATCTGCAGTGGCCTAATTTTGGGCTCCCGGTAACTGTTGTGTTCACTTTAGAATTCTTGAGGATTGGGGATTCAGTTTAGGCCTTCCTCATGAGCCTATACATAAATGACCTCATGCCAAATGTTATAAAATTCAGATTTGATTACTTTAAAATTCGATGAAATTACTGTAAATGCTGCAGCTTTCTCTTGCAAGTTACGTTAATAGCTTCCTTTCCTGACTCTGAAACACTTCTCTTGCTTGCCCTGGAGAAGTCCCTTCTCCCACTTCCTCAAATGCCTTTGAGTGGGTTTCATTTCCCTCCAAACTGGGTGTTAGTTAGTGCCCTCAAACTAAGGTGTTTGAGCAAGGATGTTTCACAAAACATTCTAATAGTATTTTATATTTGGAAAAATTTTAAAAAGGGTTTTATAATATAGACTGCAAGAAGTTAATGTTCAAAATCTTGACTGGTTGATATGCAGATGGTAGTGGTTTTCAAAGCAGGGAGGGGAGACGTGACTACCTAGGAGTGTGTATCAAAATCTGGAGAGGACCCAGATTGGAAACAGTGGCATGGGCCCCCTGGGGATGGCGGATCAAAAGGTCATACTTTTATAATGACTATGTATTTGTGTTTTAATTATGAAATCTAAATAAAAATTTCCAACAGTCCATTAAGGTTCCTATAACAAAATACCGTAAACAGAGGGGCTTATAAACAACAGAAATTTATTTCTCACAGTTCTGGAGGCTGGGAAGCCCAAGATCAAGGTGCTGGCAGATTTGGTGTCTGGGGGTGGGCCTGCTTCCTGGTTCATAGAAGGCCTAGCCATCTTCTTGCTGTGTCTTCACGTAGCTGAAGGGGTGAGAGAGCTCTCTGGGGTTTTTTACAAGGGCACTAATCGCAATCACGAGGACTCCGCCCTCTTGACCTAATCATCTCCCAAAAGCCTCACCTCCTAAATACGATCACCTTGGGAGTTAGGATTTCAACGTGTGAATTTTGGGGGAACAGAAACGTTCCATCCATTGGAATTAGGTTTGGGGAGAAACAGCCATTTACACGGAGGATAATTTAGGTGGTAGCAATCGGGAAACAGCATTTTAAACAGGTTTTGCCAGATATAAAGCACACTCTCTTCTCAGATTGGAGAGGCTAAGTATACAATGGATTTATTTTAAATTGATCCTCTTCCCCTCAAAAAAACCAACCAACCAAACAAAAACAAACAAAAAACCCCACAAAACCCGAACAGGTCAAGAAGAGTGACGTGTGAGATTTTATATCAGAAAAGGGCTGTTGATTTGGTTTCTCTGGCAAGCAGGCTCTGAGTAGAGATGAATGTGCAGGACATCTCTCTGGGCGTGTCCTCAGGATAATACTCAGGTGAGGGGGCAGCTGGGCTGTGATGCAATCTCAGCAGGGCCTCAGCAGAACCCCAGGGGCTCTGGAGTGGTCCCCCATCACTCTGGGAGTGCTGAGTCTCTACACTTTCTCGTTGACTAAGTACTGGGGGGCTTGACCTTGAACAAAGCAACCTTCTTGAGCTGAGGGCAGTTTTCAGAGAGGGTTGTCAGAGGACAACCTCTGTTGAGGACAGAACATGGTGGTGCATCACAGTCCACTACAGGGGACGCGGATTCTAAAATTGTGGCAGAGCCGGACATAATAGCTTTGCCTTAAGTTCCAGAGCCTGTCTTGCATTGCAGTTAGCTTGAGTAGTACAAATTGTCCGGAATTTCCAGTACCTACTGCCTTGTTATCCTTTGACCAGACTAGTTCTTATATTTACCTTGTGGGAAATGCTTGCTTTTAAAAAATTGATGGTGGGGTTGGGTAGGAAAGCCTTCCTGTCTCTAAAGATCTATTCCTGTCAGCTCCCGAAGTGTCTGTGCCTGTGGCCTTGCTCGTGGGTCATTCCACGGTGACTTCTGCAGCTGCATGGGGAAAACTAGGGCTGGGAAAACTATGGCTGGTTGATCACAGCTTTGCCCTTTCCTCTTCCTGGAAATTCCTGTGTTTACAAGGACTCAGAGCATGAAGCAGTGATCGCATCATGGAAATGCATCGGGAGAACTGAGTTATCACTTCTCTGGGCCTCAAACTCCTCAACTGTAAAATGAGGAGGCCAAACGGAATGTGCTCCAAAGTCCAATGTACAACACTAACATTCTATGATTTACTTCTTCCAGTGAAAAAAGACACAATCACAGCTCAGCTGGGTTGCAGTTTCAGTTTTCTGCACTCTGTGTCCAATTTGGACACAGTGGGGAAGTGGTCTGTAGGTCCCAGAGAACTTCTGTTCCACTGTATTTAAGAATAAGCTGTAATTGACCTTTTAGGTGATAAAGCTCTCACTTTGGTTTTTTGTTTTTTGTTTGTTTTTGAGAAGGAGTAGTAGTTCTGTTCCTAGTGCTTGCCATGGAGGTATATCAGCACTATGCAATGCAGGCTATTGTTATCTTCATTCTACAGATGAGGAGCTAGGCATAGAGAGAGACTATCTCCACCCCAGTAGATAACCCAGGTTCTCACAGCTGATTAAGTGGCAGAGCTGGAATTTTCATTTTTTATTTTTCCCCTGAACCTGAGCCATTCTTCTGCCTCAACCTTCCAAGAAGCTGGGACTACAGGTGCGTGCCACTGTGCTGGGCTTTAAGAGCTGGGATTTGAACCCAAGCAGATGGGTTTTCCAACCCATGTTTTAAGCTCCTAGTCAACAGTTCTCATCTTATACATTTGTTTATCTATTTATTTTAGATTTTGCTGTGTCCTAGAAAGAATTTAAGGCAGTTTACAAGGATATGTATAGCACGGCAAAATAATGGAACAGGAAACTGAAAGAGGAAAAAGCCGTCAGGCTGCAGTTCTCCATATTTACCACGAGAGGACAGTATAACACCGAGAGCGCCCAGGCTGGTGGCCCCCTGCTAACCTGTTACTACGTTCAGATGAAATTATAGAAATTACGGAAAAAGCGAGGTTAGATTTAGTATTAATTGCAAAAGTAGCTTACATTTAAGGACACTAAGGAATTATAATACAGCTATATCCTTGTCAGGCCTGAGATTATTCACGTCATCAGGCCGATTCAACTGTTTTCCCAGCAAATAACATATTTTGTGAAATTCAATGATGAAAGCCAGGGATAGTATTGCTTAATTGTTAAATTTCAACACTGCAGTGGGATTCTCACAGGTTCTTTAGGTTAAGTACAACTATCGATTTCACTGCTACAAAACAGCCCAAGGCTTATTTTGAAAGACATGATTATAGTTTCTGCTTTTATAACTGGTAAAGATTGGTAAATTAGAGTGGTGGAATGTTTATTAGGTATATCATAACTAATACATGCAAATAAGGGCTTCCAAAGATATTATATTCGTTTAAAAGATCGTTTAAAATACTCGTTAAAAGACAAATGCCAAGGCAAATTATGCCAGGATGGCGCTTTGCAGACCAGAAGGTGAGTACTGCTTCTCGAGCATGGGAGACCACATTTGAAGTGGGATGAAGTGGTGGTGGTGTCTGCTGGATCCCCAAGTGTCGTGGGGGGGGACCTGGTGAGAGGTAATTGAGTCATGGGGGTGGGGTTTTCCCGTGCTGTTCTTGTGACAGTGAGTAAGTCTCATGTGATCTGCTGGTTTTATAAAGGGCAGTTTCCCTGCACCTACTCTCTTGCCTGCCACCATATAAGACATGCCTTTGCTCCTCCTTTGGCTTCCACCATGATTGTGAGGCCTCCCCAGCCATGTGGAACTGTGAGTCCATTAAACCTCTTCTTTTTTAAAATTTAATCTAATTTTATTTATTTATTTATCTATTTTATTTTACTTTAAGTTCCGGGATATATGTGCAGAAAGTGCAGGTTTGTCACATAGGTATACGTGTGCCATGGTGGTTTGCTGCACCTATGGACCCATCCTTTAAGTTCCCTCTTCTTTTTCCCCATCCCGCAACGGGCCCTGGTGTGTGTTGTTCTCCTACCTGTGTCCATGTGCTCTCATTGCTCAATTCCCAGTTACGAGTGAGAATATGTGGTGTTTGGATTTCTGTTCCTGTGTTAGTTTGCTGAGGATGATGACTTCTAGCTTCTTCCAAGCTCCTGCAAATGACATGATCTTATTCCTTTTTATGGCTGCATAGTATTCCATCGTGTATATGGACCACATTTTCTTTATTCAGTCCATCATTGATGGGCATTTGGGTTGGTTCCATGACTTTGCTATTGTAAATAGTGCTGCAATAAACATACATGTGCATGTGTTTTCATAGTAGAATGATTTATATTCCTTTGGGTATATACTCAGTAATGAGATTGCTGAGTCAAATGGTATTTCTGGTTCTAGATCCTTGAGGAATCACTGTACTGTCTTCCACAATGGTTGAACTAATTTACATTCCCACCAACAGTGTAAAAGCATTCCTGTTTCTCCACAGCCTCGCCAGCATCTGTTTCTTGACTTTTTAATAATCACCATGCTGACTGGCGTGAGATTGTTATTTCATTGTGGTTTTGATTTGCATTTCTCTAATGATCAGTGATGTTGAGCTTTCTTTCATATGTTTGTTGGCTGTGTAAATGTCTTCTTTTGAGAAGTGTCTGTTCATATCCTTTGCCCACTTTTTGATGGGGTTGTTTGATTTTTTTCTTGTAAATTTGTTGAAGTTCCTTATAAATTCTGACTATTAGATCTTTGTCAGATGGGTAGATTGCAAAAATTTTCTCCCATTCTGTAGGTTGCCTGTTCACTCTGATGATAGTTTCTTTTGCTCTGCAGAAGCTCTTCAGTTTAATTAGAAACCGTTTGTCAATTTTGGCTTTTGTTGCAATTGCTTTCAGCATTTTAGTCATGAAGTCTTTGCCCATGCCTATGTCCTGAATGGCATTGCCTAGGTTTTCTTCTAGGGTTTTTATGGTTTTGGGTTTTACATTTAAGTCTTTAATCCATCTTGAGTTAATTTTTGTATAAGGTATAAGGAAGGGGTCCAGTTTCAGTTTTCTGCATATGGCTAACCAGTTTTCCCAGCACCATTTATTGAGTAGGGAATCCTTTCCCCATTGCTTGTTTTTATCAAGTTTGTCGAAGATCAGATGGTTGGAGATGTGTGGTGTTATTTCTGAGGCCTCTGTTCTGTTCCATTGGTCTATATGTCTGTTTTGGGATGAGTACCATGCTGTTTTGGTTACTGTAGCCTTGTATACTTTGAAGGCAGGTAGCGTGATGCCTCTAGCTTTGTTCTTTTTGCTTAGGATTGTCTTGGGTATACAGGATCTTCTTTGATTCCATATGAAATTTAAAGTAGTTTTTTTTTTTTGTTTGTTTTTTGTTTTTTTGAGACGGAGTTTCGCCCTTGTTGCCCAAGCTAGAGTGGTGCAGTGGTGCGATCTTGGCTCACCTCAACCTCCACCTCCTGGGTTCAAGCAATTCTCCTGCCTCAGCCTCCCGAGTTACTGGGATTACAGGCATGTGCCACCATGCCTGGCTAATTTTGTATTTTTAGTAGAGATTGGGTTTCTCCATGTTGGTCAGGCTGGTCTGGAACTCCCGACTTCAGGTTATCTGCCTGCCTCGGCCTCCCAAAGTGCTGGGATTACAGGCGTGAGCTACCGCGCCTGGCCTAAAGTAGGTTTTTCTAATTCTGTGAAGAATGTCAATGGTAGTTTGATGGGAATAGCATTGAATCTATAAATTACTTCGGGCAGTATGGCCATTTTCACAATATTGATTCTTCCTATCCGTGAGGATAGAATTTTTTCCATTTGTGTCCTCTCTTATTTCCTTGAGCAGTGGTTTGGAAATAAGAGAGGACCTTGAAGAGGTCCTTCACATCCCTTGTAGCTGTATTCCTTGGTATTTTATTCTCTTTATAGCAATCGTGAATGGGAGTTCATTCATAATTTGGCTCTCTGCTTGCTTATTGTTGGTGTAAAGAAATGCTTGTGAGTTTTGGACATTGATTTTGTATCCTGAGGCTTTGCTGAAGTTGCTTATCAGCTTAAGGAGTTTTTGGGCTGAGATGATGGGGTTTTCTAAATATAAAATAATGTTGTCTGCAAACAGAGACAATTTGATTTCATCTTTCTTTTTTTTTTGAGATGGAGTCTCACTCTGTTGCCCAGGCTGGAGTGCAGTGGCGTGATCTCGGCTCACTGCAATCTCCGCCTCCTGGGTTCAAGCAATTCTCTGCCTCAGACTCTTGAGTAGCTGGGATTACAGGTGCCTGCCACCATGGCTGGCTAATTTTTTTGTATTTTAGGTAGAGACAGGGTTTCACCATCTTGTCAGGCTGTTCTTGAACTCCTGACCTCGTGATCCTCCTGCCACGGCCTCCCAAAGTGCTGAGATTACAGGCATGGGCCAACGTGCCCGGCCTGACTTCCTCTCTTCTTATCTGAGTACACTTTCTTTTTTTCTCTTGCCTGATTGCCCTGGGCAGAACTTCCAACACTATGTTGAATAGGAGTGGTGAGAGAGGGCATCCTTGTTTTGTACTGGTTTTCACAGGGAAAGCTTCCTGCTTTTGCCCATTCAATGTGATATTGGCTGTGGGTTTGTCATACATAGCTCTTATTATTTTGAGATATGTTCCATCAATACCTAGTTTATTGAGGGTTTTTAACATGAAGGGATGTTGAAGTTTATCAAAGGCCTTTTCTGCATCTATTGAGATAATCATGTGGTTTTTGTCTTCGGTTCTTTTTATGTGATGGATTACATTTATTGATTTGTGTATGTTGAACCAGCCTTGCATCCCAGGGATGAAGCCGGCTTGATCATGGTGGATAAGTTTTTTGATGTGCTGCTGGATTTGGTTTGTCAGTGTTTTATTGAGGATTTTTGCATCAGTGTTCATCAGGGATATTGGTCTGAAGTTTTCTTTGTGTGTGTGTGTGTGTGTGTCTCTGCCAGGTTTTGATATCAGGATGACGCTGACCTCATAAAATGAGTTAGGGAGGAGTCCCTTCTTTTCAATTGTTTGGAATAGTTTCAGAAGGAATGGTATTGTCTCCTCTTTGTGCCTCTGGTAGAATTTGGCTGTGGTCATGGGCTTTTTTTGGTTGGTAGGCTATTAATTACTACCTCAATTTCAGAACTTGTTATTGGTCTATTTAGGGACTCGACTTCTTCCTGGTTTAGTTTTGGGAGTGTATGTGTCCAGGAATTTATCCATCTCTTCTAGATTTTCTAGTTTATTTGTGTAGAGGTGTTTATAGTATTCTCTGATGGTAGTTTGTATTTCTGTGGGATCCGTGGTGATATCCTCTTTATCATTAAAACTCTTTTTCTTTATAAATTACTCAGTCTTGGGTGTGTCTTTATTAGCAGTGTGAGAACTAATACAACTCATTTTGAAGAATTTACTCATTTTTCAGAATTCCTGGTAAGAGTGTTGTCAGTAAATCAGTCATAAGACTTTAAAATAATCAACATATGTTGTGACCAATATTGCCTGGATAGGTGTTTGGATCCAAGATTTAAAGTTAGTTTTAACAGATGATAGAGTAAAATTTGAAGAAAGATGAAAATATTTTTGACTATTTAAGTTAAAAGCAGGTTGGTTTTGACAAAAGCCATTGAAGTAGTGTGTAAAAAATACATGTGTTTTCCTATATTCTTCAAGAAGTAATGTACGTGGGACTTTTATACCCATCTGTTATTTTCTACTTGAACTGAATATTATGATCAAATTCAGTCACTAAAAAAGCAGATGGAAGGTAAAATATCACTGATGTTAATTTCTCTTTCATTAATGGCACATGCCTGCCATCAGGAATCTGTCTGCCTAAATTGTTAATACTGGTGATAATCAGTTTGAAATGAATGAAAACATTTTGTTGAGTTCTGCTGATTTTTGACCATTTAATCTACCATATGCTGTGTTGAGCACTAGATTCATAGTGCTTAGGGCAAGTTTTTTCTGTAAGAATTCCAACTTTTGTTTCTTTCCACCTGATTTCAGATCTAGAGTTTTAGAAAAACATATTAAAATGATCTGTGCAAATCTACAACAAACTCAAACAAATCAGTAAGACAAAAGCAAACAATCCCATCCAAAAGTGGGCTAAGGACATGAATAGACAATTCTCAAAAGAAGATATACAAATGGCCAAGAAACATTTGAAAAAATGCTCAACATCACTAATGGTCAGGGAAATGCAAATCAAAACCACAATGCGATACCACCCTACTCCTGCAAGAATGACCATAATCAAAAAATCAAAAAACAATAGATGTTGGCATGGATGTGGTGAACAGGAAACACTTCTACACTGCTGGTCGAAATGTAAACTAGTACAGCCACTGTGGAAAGCATTGTGAAGATTCCTTGAAGAACTAAAAGTAGAACTACCATTTGCTACAACAATCCCACTACTGGATATCTAGCCAGAGAAAAAGAAGTCATTATTCGAAAAAGATACTTCCACACACATGTTTATAGCAGCACAATTCACAATTGCAAAATTGTGGGACAATCCAAATGCCCATCAATCAACAAATTGATAAAGAAACCATGATATATACATATATATCTATATATATGTGATAATCATATCACATATATATATATATATATAAAACCATATATATATATATATGGAATACTATGCAGCCATAAAAAGGAATGAATTAACAGCATTTGCAGTGACCTGGATGAGATTGAGGACTATTATTCTAAGTGATGTAACTCAGGAATGGAAAACCAAGCAGCATATATTCTCACTGATATGTGGGAGCTAAGCTATGAAGACTCAGAGGCATAAGCATGATACAATGGACTTTGCGGACTTGGGGAAAAGAGTGGGAAGGAGGCGAGGGTTAAAAGACTACAAATATGGTGCAGTGTATACTGCTCAGGAGATGGGTGCACCAAAATCTCACAAATCACCATTAAAAAACTTACTCATGTAACCAGATATTACCTGCACCCCAATAACTTATGGAAAAATAAAAATTAAATTAAATTAAAAAAGAATGATCTGTGCATTTTATTAGAGTTGCTCATCTCTTTTTCCTCTGTCTGAAGTCACAGGTAGAAGTTGGAGTGAGTAGAAAGAGCGTACTGAGCATGGGAGACTGGAGAGCTAGCCCCTGCAATGACCCTCATTTACTGAGTCACATTAGCCAAGTCTTTTAATGTCTTTTGGCCTCAATTTCCTTCTTTATACAATGCAGACTTTAGAAAAAAACCCTATGACTAAATACTTAGAGAATATAAAATGTGTGTATTTTTAAAAGATACATTACTTACCTAGGCTCCTTTATGGTAGCTGCACAAATGACTAAGTATGTCGACCTTATTTTGTAAAGTAAACAAATCCAAGATGTCATGTTTATTCTTTATTTTATTTTGAAGCCTGAAATATTTTCTCTTGCCCAATTAATTCATAGAACATCAATGATCCCTCAAGACAATGAACCATGAAACATTTCTATTTCAGCATTGTGCCTGAAAAAAAGTATAATTATACTTTTTTTTTTTTTTTTTTTAGAGAGAGGGTCTTGCTCTGTCACTCAGGCTGGAGTGCAGTGGTACAATCATGGCTCATTGCAGCCTTGAACTCCAGGACTCAACCAATCCTCCTGCCTTAGCCTTCTGCGTAGCTGGCACTACAGGTGTGCACCACTATGCCTGGCTAATTTATTATTTTTGTAGAGACAGGTCTTGCTCTTCTGACCAGGCTGGTCTCAAATTCCTGGCCTCAAGTGATCCTCCCATCTCAGCCTCCCAAAGTGTTGGGATTAGAGGTGGGAGCCACCATGCCTAGTCTTGGTTTGTTCTCTTTGATGGAAAATGAGGGGGAACATGAATTTCTGAATTTTGCTTTTATGAATTCATTGACACTGATCTGGTTTGGCTGTATCCCCACCCAAATCTCATCTTGAATTATAGTTCCCATAATGCCCACATGTCACGGGAGGGACCTGGTGGGAGGTAATTGAATCATGGGGTGGTTACCCTCATGCTGTTCTCATGATAATGAATGAATTCTCACAAGATCTGATGATTTTATAGGGGGCTTTTTCTCCCCTTTGCTGTCACTTCTCTCTCCTGCCACCCTGTGAAGAAGGAAGTGTTTACTTCCCCTTCCACCATGATTGTAAGTTACCTGAGGCCTCCCAGCCATGCAGAACAGTGGGTCAATTAAACCTCTTCGCTTTATAAATTACCCAGTCTCAGGTATGTCCTTATAGCAGTGTGAGAATGGACTAAGACAGACACTTACCATCACCATATACATACTTATGTGTGCAGGTGTAAGCTGTGTGTAGATAGAGAATTGTGTCTGCTTTATTCACAGGTGTGTCTCTGGCATTGAAACAAGGCCTGATTCCAAAATGCTTACTGTCTTCCAGGTACCATGCTAGAGAGAGAATAAAACACTTTTAAAGCTCACCCCAACTGCATCTCTTGCTTAGATTAGCTTATGATTATCACATGTTTTGCTAAAACCTTTCTTATTTGAGATATCACCAGTTGGTACAGGACCTAGTCAGTCTATTTTCTTATAATGTCCCCCTTCAAGACACTTAGCTAGTATATATTTTGAAGATGAAAAATAATCTTTACTTTGACTACGCATCATTTTTCAGAAGTCCCTTACTCTTTATAGAGATTTGTGGCATCCTTTCTGAAAATACTTAGTATTAAGACCTATGTAGTTCTTTTCTCTTTGACCTTGAGGAATGTAAGAATGCTGAATTTAAGTAAAAATGTTAAGATATTTCCTGAACATTTTAAAGACAAATTTATTCATATAATCATGCTAATTCCAACTATAAGGCACCAAGCTCAACATAAGCCTGGAATGAGATAAAGATTCCAAAACAAACACCTCTTCTCAAAACAAGCAAACAATACAATGCATGCAAATTTATGTTACAATTATATAGGTAACATTCATTCATAACAGGAGTGAATTCCATTGTACACAGAATAATTTAGAGGATGTTTGGAATAGTATATCCATTTGGGAAGATGCAGAGAAGTTTGTATCCAGAGAAGTTTCACCAGGATGGCGAAGGAGTCAGGATATCCTGTTTTATAAGGAGGAGTTAATGCAATTTGATGTATTTAATTTGGAAGAGGATACTGATGGGGAACATGGTAGTTCTCTTCACATGGAGGGGGACTGATTTTATGTGTTGCTCAAGATGGAAGCTCTAGGTTCATGGCTGGAAGTCAAAGGATGGTAGATAGAGGCTCAGAGTCAAGAGGGCCTTCTAAGACCAGGAGCTGTTCAGCCTGGAGTTGTATGCATTGTAAGGCCATGAGCTCCCTGCCATGGCCTCCCTTGGAGGTCCTTTCTGTCCAACAGCTCTAAATATGTGCTGGGTAGAGGAGATGGGCAGAATGATTGGGATTATGACTGTGGACCACTACCAGAGGGGCTTTGGCGATGACCTCATGGCTCTGTGACCTGGTTTAGATATTGAATTTCATTTAGAATATTCACTTACAATTGATTAACACCAATTTATTTATAGTAATAATAGTAAAGATAATGCACAGCAGTTTACCAATTAATATCATGAATATGCTTATATTCAATATGATGAAAAAGAAAGGTAAACTTAGAAAGAATATTTTTGCTGGGCACAGTGGCTCACGACTGTAATCCCAGCACTTTGGGAGGCCGAGGTGGGTGGATCACCTGAGGTCAGGAGTTCGAGACCAGCCTGGCCAACATGGTGAAACCCCCGTCTCTACTAAAAATACAAAAATTAGCCGGGTGTGGTGGCAGGTGCCTGCAATCCCAGTTACTCGGGAGGCTGAAGCAGGAGAATTGCTTGAACCCAGGAGGTGGAGGTTGTAGTGAGCTGAGATCCCACCACTGTACTCCAACCTGGGTCTAAAAAAAAAAAAAAGAATATTTTTACCTAGAAAAATAAAAAAACAAAGGGAAATATTCTGATTAAGGTGCGTGGAATTTTTAGGACGCTATCGCTGAGTTTTCCACTCAATTTAATTTGAAGCCTACTTTGTTGCTGCATTTTGAAAGGTGACTTCAAGGAAATAACATCGTCCCTTTTTTAAAGCAACAACCTCTCTTTTAAAGATATTTTATTTATTTATTTATTTATTTATTTATTTATTTATTTATTTATTTATTATTACTTCTAAGAGGCCTTAATTAAAGTAAAAGAGGAGTCAAATTAGCCTATTTTTCTTTAAGTTAGATTCTATTTATAAGTACATATGGGAATAAAATAAAAACAAGATGGTAATATATAGTTTTAAGTTTATTAACATTTGAATTTCTAATGTTATAAAATTATGTGGTATCCCAAAATTGTGTATTTTAGCCATCATATTTCTTGGGGATATTTTTCTGCATTTTCTGAAACAGGATAAGCTTTTTTGCCCCTGATAAAATAATGTTATAGAATGCTTTAAAATTCCAGCGGCCTTTCACATCCATGATCTCATTTAATGCTCAAGATAACCTCAAAAGCTGAATATTGGTACTGTTCCCATCTTATTCATGGAGATTCTGAGGCTTAGGAGGCGTAAGTGATGTGGAAAGTTGTGATCTGTTCAAGTATCAGGCTTGAGGCTCAGTGGTTCACTGTGAATCCTACATTCTGTGGGCGGAAGGATGAAGGAGGAACAGGAGTGGGGGAGAAGAGCAGAGGAGAAAGGATTGAACTGTGGTTTATAAAATACTGCATGCTCTTTGTTATCTACCTACTTAGCTATCACATGTGCTGTTTGAGGTAAGCAGCCTTATGACTGTCTAGTTATATACTCTACAGAACGAATATAATCGAGAAAGACCTGTTATTTCCGTTTTTGAGCCTTATTTTCTCCATCAGGATCAGCTATCTATTTGAGATGCATTGGTAGGGTAAGGTGTTTTCCAAAATGCTCCTTCCAGTCTGCCGGGGGCGGTGGCTCCCACCTGTAATCCCAGCACTTTGGAAGGCCGAGGTGAGTGGATCACCTGAGGTCAGGAGTTTGAGACCAGCCTGGCCAACATGGTGATACCCTGTCTCTACTAAAAATACAAAAATTAGCCTGGTGTGGTGGCACACACCTGTAATCCCAGCTACTCGGGAGGCTGAGGCAAGAGAATCATTAGAACCTGGGAGGCGGAGGTTGCAGTGAGCCAAGATTGCACCATTGCACTCCAGCCCGGGTGATAGAGTGAGACTCCGTCCTACGAGGAAATAAAAAATAACTCCTTCCTCCTCCTGCTGCCTATCCATCCCTCTCTCCTGCAGCTCATGCTGCTTTTTCACTTTTACCTGATCCCAGGAGTGAGGGGCTTGGACATGGTGGCAGAAAAAACCTAAGCACCCTGAGGATCTGATAAACGTGGAGGTTTCATTACTAATCTTTGCTGTCACTGTCTTCTGCAAGATTTCCAACTGCCTTTTAGAGCTGGAACATATTTGCTTCTTATTGCCTCTTTTTTTTTTTTTTTCTTGTGACAAGGTCTTACTCTGTCGCTCAGGCTGGAGTGCAGTGGTACGATCTCAGCTCACTCAGCCCTATCCCCACCTTTAGAAGAAATACTTATTCTAGCTGCTAAGAGAAGACAATTTTCTTCATATTATCGTGATTGTAATCACATGGAACATACAGTTTGGCATTCTGCTCTTTCACTGACATTGTAATCTAAACATGTCCCTTGTTGCTACATAGCTTCCCCAACTTTTAATGATGACATGATATTGCACTGAAGACATATCCTCTTATGTTCTTATCCATTTCCCCAATTTTTTTTTTTTTTTTTTTTTTTGAGATGGAGTCTCGCTCTGTCGCCCAGGCTGGAGTGCAGTGGTGCAATCTCGGCTCACTGCAACCTCCGCCTCTTGGGTTTAAGCCATTCCGCTGCCTCAGCCTCCTGAGTAGCTGGGATTACAGGCATATGCCACCATACCCAGCTAATTTTTGTATTCCATTTCCCAAATTGTTGGACACTTAGTTTTTTTTGTTTTACCTTTTCTAATTTTTTGCTTGTGACTGATTATTAATGAATATTTTATTTTTTGCTGGTTTATTCAAATTTTTCTTAAATTTATTTTTTGTATTTTTTTTGAGACAGGGTCTCACTTTGTTGCCCAGGCTGGAGTGCAGTGGTATGATCTCAGCTTGCTGCTGCCCTGACCTCCTGGGCTCAAGCCTGTCCTGTCACCTCAGCCTCCCAAGCAGCTGGGACTACAGGTACATGCCTGGCTAATTTTTTGTATTTTTTTGTAGGGAAGGGATTTTGTCATGCGGCCCAGGCTAGGAATTTTTAACTTGAAATTTTAGTCTTTCTTAAAAGGTATGCTTGGTTTACACATACATGTAAAATGCAAACACAACAAAGAGACTTATAAGTAAAAAGTACACCTTCCCACCCCCAGTTCTCCAGGTCTCCTCTTCAGAGGCAAATGCGGTCATCAGTTTCCCACAGGTCCTTCCAGAGATGGTCTGCGCAAACTCTGTGCGTGGATGTGTGCGCACCACTTTCTTTTTTATTGCTGCTGCATGGTAATTCATTGCGAGGCTATGGGGCTGCACGGCTTGCAGTACAAGTGCCCTGCTTCCACTTGGAGGAAAGGGCACAGTTTTCTTCCCATCACAGTGCTATCCACTGATGAAGCCACGTGCCTCCAGGGTTGCAGGGAGTGGAAGGGAGAAGCCAGCTTTATAGACTAGTATCCTGTGTGGCCACGTGGCAATGAATTTAACTAGTTATCTGTTGATGGAAATGCGGATTATTTTCTGTATGAACTATAACCATGCACCAACAAATAACTGCCTACATGCACATGTGTATCTTAAATTCCCAGAGGTGCAACCGTGGCTAGAATGTGTGCAGTTGCGCACATTCACACTGATGACGTTGATGGCAGGGCTGGCTGGGGATGCAGAGTTGCCTGCTTCGAGGTATTCAAGTAGAGGGGACTCTTCTAGGAGCCTTTGAATGACCATACAACATTGTCAGGCTCTGGACCCAGCTGGCCTGGTTTCATGGACCCTGACAATGATTTAACCCTTTGGTTCTCAACTTTTTTTTTAACGTAGAAACTGGAAAAAATAGTAGCTCTCACTGCATAGGGTCATTGTCAGTTAATACATGCAAAGCTCCTAAACAATGCCTTGGGAAGTGCTTAGTAAAGGTTACCTACTCTCCCCTCTTTCTCTTGCTCCTCTTCTTCATCATCATTACTGTATGCTTGGACTTCTGGATAGACTCTCTGAAAACCTCAATGAGGCCTCAGAAAGTTTCACATTTTAGGCCCTGCACCTCAGATCAGTGGGTTTCAGATGGAACTGACAGTTGTGGTCAGTTCTCACTTTGCTTCCCTGTATAACTTGCCACTGATTTGCTGCCAGAATTTGAGACCTCCTTGGACTTATGCTATTTATTTTCTCTAAAGGTGGAGTTCTTTACTGCCTCTTATGAAGACTGCAGCAATATGCATAGTTCCAGGTTTGTGTGTGTGTGTGTGTGTGTGTGTGTGTGTGTGTCTGCGGGGTTGGGGCATGGGGTGATTGCAGTTGCCTGCCCTGTCCTATGGAGAGCCCACAGCCAAGGTCCAGTTGCCAGGACCTTGCCAATGTACTGTGGCTGGCAAACAAGTGTTGGGAGGGAGGAGCAGGTGTCCCTTCTCACTGACTAATAGGCGGTGGCTCTAGACCCCACTTTCCATGTTCTAAAGGGGTTTTGGCAGCAATATTAACTCCCGAAGCTACTATATGAGTGCTGAATGTGTCAAAAATAGTGTGCCATTCCTTCTGAGCTTGAGAAAAATTTCTTTCCCTAAAGGCGATGACCATTTTCAGGGTTATAAGGAGAACATTTTCCATGTTATAAGGGCATTATTTGCAAATTAACACATCAGCATCGAGTCATGTAAATATAGTTCAATTAGCAGAAACGAGCCCCTGGAATCTGGTCCATGCTGTCCTCCACTTGGGAGACTGGTATGTTAGCTGAACCCTCCTTACAGCGCGGCTGCCAAGACTACTTGCTTGGGGCCCTGGATTTTTCCATGTATGTTTTGTTTATGTCACTGTCACCAAATCAGCATGTGTGTTTGAAGCAGTCAGATTTTCTAGAAGCTGTATACATATTATAGATAGCCTGTGAGTGTTCTGTGAAGTTAGAGAAGATACACAGAGCTGTCTTTGGCCAAAGGGGTTTATTTCAACAGCTCTAAATTTCTCTCCCTGTCTGAGCTCATGTCTGGCTCAGAAGATAGATTGTGCCCTTTCTGTAGGACTTTTGCTTTTTGTTTTTTCCTTTTTCTTTTATAAGGAATGGGAGGGTAGGAGCTCTGTCTTCTTTTTTCTGCATCTCTCTGAGATGTGTGTGAGACAGAGGCAATATCATGACATTTCCCAATCAATTATTTACACAAATTTTTCTGGGTAACACAAAGTTAACATGGCCTCCATGGGGGGGGGGGTCATTACATTTCCCAATATATTTCCCAGTGTCCTAACTAGGGTCATTTTTGTGGTTTGCTTTTGGTTTCACTAGTCTTTTCATGAATGTATGTATTTATTCCCATCGTGATACATATCTACAGTGCAACCTTAGAAATGTGTTCTTGTTTTAAGAGCGAACCAGATGTCAGAACCCTATGGTTTTCTTGGTTTGCTGTCTATCTGGTAGGCATCTGAATGACCATTAATCTGGGGCAGGAAAAAATTTTACATGAGAAAATGTAAAAGAACAGTGATTTTTCCTGGAAGTCTTAAAAATATTACAAAACAAGGCTTTCCCACTGAGTGAAGCTCATGGTCACTCCAGCCTGTGTCCACTTTGCTATTGATAATAAAGGGTTCTTTTAGGTAATAATGATAATAATAACTTATATTTATAAGCTCTTTACTGTTTATAAGTATTTTCATAAACGCAGCCTCGTTTGTCTTCTTAATTGCAGTATGAAGTTTTAGGTAGAACCATACAAATATGTGACACTTTTTGACTAAAAAAAGAGGCAACTTAAAAAGGTTCAACTAAATCATGGCGGGAGGTGAAGAAGGGGCAGGTGCTAATGACCAACTCCATCTCCATACTGCAACTCAGAGACTCCATCTCCATACTGCAACTCAGAGACTCCATCTCCATACTGCAACTCAGAGACTCCATCTCCATACTGCAACTCAGAGACTCCATCTCCATACTGCAACTCAGAGACTCCATCTCCATACTGCAACTCAGAGAGTTAAGTGACACACTGAAGGCTGCATGCATTGTCCTGTGACAGCGTGGTCTGAAAGCTGGGCCTTGCTTCTGATTCCAGAGCTTCTGCTCCTACACAGGGCTCCCAACCACTATGTTGGTTTGCTTGAGATCACCAGCATGAAGCTCCCAGGCTACGGGACTTCCGATTTGAAAATGGGGACAGACCTGGGCAAACTGGGATGAGTTGGTGACCCTGCCCACTTGCTGTCACCCCAAGGGATACCTGGTGACTGAGGTTGCCATCCTCTTCCAGGGTTCCCCATAGATCTGCTGCTTGCTGACTTGTCTTCTCCCACAAGGGCCTGGAGCTGTAGCCTTGCCAGGATGCCTCCTAATTCCGCACGCTTCCTTAATTTCTATTTCTGTAGGGTGAGCCTTAATTCAGAGAGGCCTCCTGTTATAGTGGAAGGAGAGCTGAACTAGAAATAAGAACTCAAGACCCAGCTCCATGTTTGACTCTCTGTGGGATCTTGGGCAAGTGATTTACTAATGTCGAGTTCCAGTTTCCTTGGTCACAAAATGAGGATAATAATTCCTACCCCATCTACATGACAGGGTCATTTTGAGGTGCCAGTGAAATAACGTAGGTGAAAAACAAACAGAAAAAAGCAAACATAAAGAAATATGAACTTATTTATCAGTTTGGAATAAACTTTCTGCATAATTAGATTGGAGGCACCTGTCTAAAGTTTCTAGCCTCAGTGTCTGGATTTGCCTTTTCACCTCTCAGGCCTTTTGTATTCACCAGGTGCCCTGGCAGCTCATCCTGCCCCGGTGAAGCTGTCATTGTTGTTTAAGGAAAGCTCAGCTCTACATCTTGTCCTGATACGGCATCAAAGTCCCCCTTTATTATTATGTGGCAACTTCTATAGTTGCCTAAATATCATTATTACTAACTTGGTCTGATTTTCTTTTCTTTTCTTTTTTTTTTTTTTGAGATGGAGTCTTGCTCTGTCACCCAGGCTGGATGGAGTTCAGTGGCTTGATCTTGGTTCACTGCAACCTCCGCCTTCCCCGTTCAAGTGATTCTCCTGCCTCAGCCTTCTGAGTAGCTGGGATTACAGGCGTGTGACACCATCATACCCGGCTAATTTTTGTATTTTTAGTAGACACGGGGTTTCGCCATGTTGCCCAGGCTGGTCTTGAATTCCTGTCCTCAGGTGATTCATCCACCTCAACCTCCCAAAGTGCTGGGAGTACAGGCGTGAGCCACCACGCCCGGCCAACTCAGGCTAATTTTCTTGATTATGTGATAATGCATTGTCTCTTTTACACAAATGTGTTCCTTCAATATGGACCTTCCTCACAGAGATTTAGGATTTCTTCTGCTTGGATATTTCGTCTGTTGTGCTACCCCATCCTCTGCCATGCTGGTCTGTGTTCTGGACTCTTAGATTTGCAGTCTGGCTGGATCACACCCCACGGCCCCCTCCTTCCACCAGCTGTGGAGACTTTCCATTCAATGAGGTCTCCCTGAAGATGGAGCATTCCAATTTTCCCCTTTCAGTGCTTGTATTACTATGGTAACAAAAATATTTTGATTGCTTTCTGTTTTCTTTATCTTTCAGTAGGCTTGCGGGCCAATTACATAGTCAACACCACTTCCCTCATGTTCTGACCACTCTAGGAGGACGTTTGCCCTTTGCCCTTAGTTAGGCATTCAAGATCCTATGTATTTGAACCTGTTGTAGCTTTTCAGCTGACCCTATAGTCCTGTTTATGATTACTTTCAGCTTCATCTTGTTGATGGACTCACCACCAGGTGAACACAATGGCAAGTTTTTGCCCTTACTTGTGGTAAGTCTACTTCCTACACTTTAGTGTAGATTTCTTCCTTCTCACTCACTGTCACTCTCATTTAGATGTTGATATGATTTGGCTGTGTCCCCAACCAAATCTCACCTTGAATTGTAATCCCTATAATTCCCACGTGTCAAGGGCAGGACCAGGTAGAGGTAATTGAATCATAGGGGCGGTTCCCCCCAAGCTGTTCTCGTGATAATGAGTAAGTCTCATGAGATCTGATGGTTTTATAAGTGCCTGGCGTTTCTCCTGTTTACACTTCTCTTTCCCGCTACCTTGTGAAGAAGGTGTTTGCTTCCCCTTCATCTTCCGCCATGATTGTAAATTTCCTGAGGCCTCCTCAGCCATAAGGAACTGTGAGTCAATTAAAACTTTTTTATTTTACAAATTAAATTACCCAGTCTTGGGTATGTCTTTATTAGCAGTGTGAGAACAGACTAACACAGATCCTCTCTCAAAATCAGTTCTAAGGCCCCCATCCTCTGCGAAGTCTTTTTTGACTTAGACCAAGGCAAGACGTTTCTCTTCTGTGAGGTCTTCATTGAATGTTATCCTGCATGTCTTGTCTCTCAACCAGATAGTACCCCCTGGAGGCAATGATTGTGTCCTGTTCTTAGTCTGCCAAACATTTCCTGGTGTGTGCTCACTTCCTCAGTGACACAGGCCCAAGGGCAGTCAAGTAATGCTTGCTTTATTCACTCAACAAACAGTTTAATAGCATTTTATAAAAATCCTTCTCACAACACATTTATAAAATCATAGTTTTTTTTCTTTTTTTTCTTTCTCTCTCTCTTTTTTTTTTTTTTTTTTTTTTGATAGAGACAGGGTTTCATCATGTTGCCCAGGCTGGTCTTGAACTCTTGGACTCAAGTGATCTTCCTCTTGGGCCGAGGCCCACCTCGGCCTCCCAAACTGCTAGGATTACAGGTTTGAGCCACCACACTCGGCCTTTTAAAAAATTAAATTTTTTAATTAATCATAGATATTTTTAAGTCTCCTCACATACTTTTCCTCATCAGTGCGAACCTTGCTTTCATTCTCACTACTCTGGAAACTTCTCTAGCTTCTAAAATGTAAAAACATCAACTTTAAGGAATAAAGCTCATAAAACCATTTACAGCCAGCCCATCTGGTTTCCATATATTAAATCATTTGCCCATGGGTTATTCATTCATTATTTTATTCAACAAACTTTTGTTAAGCACTGTGGTTTTAGGTGTTGAATTTAAAATAGCAAATGGATATTTTCAAGTTGCTCGAAGTCCAGTCGGAGAAACATACATATAATCAGTGATGAAGATACTAGGTAGGAAGTGCCCTGATAGAGGGCGCTATGATTGTCTAAAGGAGGATAGCCACATCAGACAGAGGTAGTTATTTGAATTGGAAAACTCAGAAAGGGTGGGTTGGAGGATGAGCATTCCCAGTGGAGGGAGCTTTTGTTGGAAGCCTCGTAGGTGGGAAATAGCAGGTGGGTTTGGAGACCTGCAGGTGTTTAGAATGATTGGAGCCTAAGACTGGGCGAATGGGGTGGCTGGCAAGAGGAGGGTGGGAAAGTGCATGAAGAGAAGGCTATAGAGATTGGCAGGGTTCAGATTATGAAGACTTAGGGTTCTAACCCAAGGAACTGGATTTCTGATGATATGGTTTGGCTCTGTGTCCCCACCTGAATCTCACCTTGAATTGTAATAATCCCCACATGTCTTGGGAGTGACCTGGTGGGAGGTAATTGAATCATGGGGGTAGGTTTTTCCCATGCTGTTCTCATAATAGTGAATAAGTTTCATGAGATCTGATGGTTTTATAAAAGGGAGTTCCCCTGCATACATTGCCTCTTGCCTTTGCTCTTCCTTCACCTTCCACCATGATTGTGAGGCCTCCCCGGTCATGTGGAACTGTGAGTGCATTAAACCTCTTTCCTTTATAAACTACCCGGTCTCAGGTATGTCTTTATTAGCGGCATAAGAATGGACTAATCCATCTGAAAAGCCACAAGGGGAATCATTAAATGACTGCAAAAAGGTTAATTACATTAGCATTTTAGAAAGACTCGCGTTGGCAGAATGAATTGTAATACAGTTAACTTTTGGACAACAGGGAGGTTGGGGTGCCACCCACACACAGTAAAAAATTCATGTATAATTTTTGACTCCCCAAAAGCTTAACTACTAATAGTCTACTGTTAAGTGGAAGCCTCACGGATAACCCTCACAGAGGGTCTCTCTCCGTTGCCCAGGTTGGAGTGCAATGGTGTGATCATAGCACACTTCAGCCTCAAACTCCTGGGCTCAAGTGATCCTCCTGCCTCGGCCTCCTGGGTAGCTAAAACTGCAGGTATGCACCACCATGCCTGGCTGATTTTTAAATTTTTTTGTAGAGAGGATCTTGCTATGTTGGTCAGGCTGGTCTTGAACTCCTGGACTCAAGCAATCCTTTAGTCTCAGCCTCCCAAAGCATTAGGATTATAGTTGTGAACCACTGCATCTAGCCCAAAATTATTCTTATGTTTTGATAAGATATTATAGTCCCCTTAGTGAACACATTTTAATTATTTGACTCAAGACTACAGACTCCCTGGTCCTTGAATCCCTTTGAGTTTGGTTTAGGAAATGGCTCTTTCTCATTCTCCCTTCCATAAATTGTGTTAAGTCTTTGATGGCGATCCTTCCTCTACATGTTATTTACGTGATTGGAAAATGAATAGTTACAACTTTGAGATGTCAGAGTTCTTATAAGAAAAATAGGCATTTATACTTACAGTCAACAATAATATAGTGTACACTTAAATATTTGTTGAGAGTAGATCTCATGTAAAGTGAGTCTTAATTTTGAAACTAAACTCTGGTTGAATTGGTCCTTGTTGTTGGTAGTAGAATATCATATTGCACTTTTGCTTCTAGAGAAGACTGCGTGATACACCCTGTCATTGTAGGAGGAAGAAGGCCTCTGCATATAACGTTAGCAGAGGATGTAGTTGCATTTGAAAATCTTCACTGAACCCTCTGGAATAATAAACAATAATTCCAGGAAGGCTTGGAAGCTTCAAAACACAAAGGTTAATTTCAGGGAAAAATTATTTTGTTTTTTAGCAAATTCTTGAATTCTAAGAATTGTCTCTTTCTTACATTAAGGGTTAATAAGAAATCACTGCATAAAGAGGATGCTGTCTAAGTGATCTCCTTTTCTTCATGCTCTCCATTGCTTTTGGGAGCCAACTCTGATCAGATGTAAGACAGCTTGAGTAGAACCTCTTTTTCTAGCTGTTTTCTGAGCCTCTTTTTCTTTCGCAACTGAGTGTGTCTGGGAACTGGGCATAGGACCTTGAACTTGGATTAAAATCTAGATGTTGCTTGATTTGTACCTTAACAAAGGGATTGCCTGGGTTTTCAATGTGTAATTGGAAGTGTTCATTAAAAATTATTTACCTTCACCACCTCCTCCTCCTCCATATGGATCTCCATAGCCTCTTCCACCACAGCCCTCTCTTCCACCATAATCTCCCCTGCCTTGGAAACCTCCTCTACCATCACCGCCTCGCCACTGCCCTTCTCCCCCTCCCCCACCACCTCCCTAACCTCCTCCACCACCCCCAGCCAACTCTTCCACCCCCACCCCCTCCTGTACCACCACCTCCACCACCTAGGTCCCCAACCACCATCGCTTTCTTGTCTCTTTTGTCAAGGGGGCATTTCTGGGGGTGGTGGTTTAATTTCATTCGGCTGGCCTTCCCTGTCAGGCACCCTTCCCATCAGCACCTTATTAATGGCACATGGGGTCTTCTCCCAGCTGGCGCCGCTACTTGTCCTAATGATCTTGGATAGCAGTGTTTGCTTCTTTACAGACACATTAGACATAGTGTTCTAAATGACATACTTGAATATTGTCTTTGAAATAAACACCATGTTAGACTCCATGGTGATATTCTTGAATTGGGTTACTATGTAAGAACATTGTTTTTTTACTATCAGTTGATCTCTCAGATGAAGTGATTTTTTCCAGATTCTGTGTAATCTTGAGCATGTTGTCTTTTTTAAAAACAAAAAAAGAACAAATTATTTTTTTAAATGTAAATATTACCATCGAACTTGGAAAATGGAAAGTATTTTATTGTCATGATTGAATTTAGATTGCTACCTGTATTTTGTTCAGATTTGAGTCATAGAAATGACCCCACCTGTAATGGATAGGAATATAGACCCTTGTCTCACCTGAAAAAAAAGATCACATACCTTTTAGTGCCCACTTCTGGTCTTTGCTGCCACCTTATCTTTTCCGTTATTGAAGAATGACCATTTGGTTAATTGAAGACAGATTTCTTTCCGTTTTTCAAACATACCAGGACTCTGTTTCATTCAGAAAACTGACATGTCTGATGGCCCTCCCTGTAACAGCAAGCTGCCTGGGCTCTCAGTTGACCTCTGGGGATGTAGTATGAAGGGAGATTGAAAAATGCTAGCTACAGATCCTTATTACCACCTGCAGATTGCACACAGAATCTCTAACCATAGCAATGCTGAGCTTGGAGTCCCAGAGGGAGAAGCAGAGCAGGTTGTGTGCCAGTATTTCCTGGTCATCACTGTTCCCTCAAAGAGCCTAGACTCATCGCCCACTCCCAGCCCGTGCTTTCTGGGTATGGTGTCCTTCACCACTCCCTGGGTACCTGAGTGGAAGTTACTTCATTCCCACAACCTCCCCAAGACCACCACAGTCAATCCAGACCAAAGGTCACTTCTTCCAACAGCTAAGAGTTTCCCCTTTCTTTTAAGGCTTGGAAGTACATCTGGCAGGGCTATGTGAATCCCTGAGAGCCTCCTCCCATCTGCAGGGGGGATGGTGGGACTAATTCTGTTGGCAGTCTAGTGGCCAGCTTAATCCACCCTAACTCGCATCCCTGTAACCCTTGTTTACCACCTAAGAAGAATGATTCCTTCACTTATCTTCTCCCACATTCTCATGCTCCATGATATTTGGATCCTACCATTTCCTGTCACAATCCTCCTTCCTGACACTTCTATTATTTTCCCTGGAACTCCCAAACCAGGATATAAACACTCTTACAACCACTGTATGCACTAGACATTCCTTTATCTGAAACTGTCCCCTGACAACATTGCCTTATGGAAGCCTCTCAAATGGAGGCTACTTATTACCAACTGTCCTTCATGTCAGTGTTGGGACATGGGATCAGCGTGTTACTGCCACTTCTAGACCATTAGTCCTCTACCCTCAGTGAGGACTCAAGCTGAGAACACGTCTCCCTTGGGGTTCTTGCCGTGGGTGCTACCACCTCATGTCTGCGGCATCATTTGACATTTCATTCTTTCCACTTCAGTTACTGGAGAAGCTCCAGGCTTCTTCTCACTTCAAGTCCTGCCAATACCCTGTGTGACTTCAGTAACCAAGTGGATAACTCACCTACCACCACGTACTTTTGATTCCTTAACTATAATAAACTTCTCCATACTCCTGAAGCTGTCTGCCCCCAAAGCTCCTGGACCTGTCTTCACATCAAACCACTTCACCTCTAAAATAATACATTCAGACCTTCCACAGCCTTGGACCACACAAGCCTAACCTTCCAGCTCTCTCTGGTTCTTTCTTCTCAGCATGTCTTCTAAGGCTCTTTCATCTCTTGATTCTGCCTTTATCCAACAGCTTCTCATCTTTACTGCCTTTTCTACTCAGCTTAAATTACAACTACAATCAACTCCCTTGCCTTGCTGCTCTACTTTGTTTCCTCTGGGAAAGATCCAAACCTTGGAAGAATCTGACTTCTACCTTCTCATCTTCATCCGGGGGCTGAGAGCTGCTGGAGATGCTGCAGGATGTTTAAGATGGTTGTGGCTATCAACTCCCGACTTCTAGCATTGGTGCTCTACGTGATCATGTGAAGTTTCTTCAGTGAACTCTCTCTGCTATGCTCTTTCTTTCTTGAGTCAACACTCTCTCATATACAGATATGCTATTGATTTCCTCCCTTTTTTTCTCCCACTTTTGGCCCCCTTCACTCCAGCAGATGCCTGTGCATTGTACTGGACCCAGAATGTAGAGGTCACCAGATGAGAATTCTGCAACTTTTGCCACAAAATGCATGAACATAATTGTGTCCCACATGGCGTCATCTCCTTCCCACCTATCACAATGGTGGTGAGTCGACCTCATCTCCAAAGCCTCCTGCTCTCTGAGTCCCATCCTTATCAGGAACTGGTGCACCTATCATTTTCTATACCTTTAACTTTTCCTTATTATCTGCACAATTACCTACATATCTCCCTTGAGCGCTAATTTTTTTTTCAGTTTCTTGATGTTTCTGGGAATATTTTTCATCCTCAGAAACACTTCAACTATTGTCCCTTGGTCAGGAACAGTTCTTCCCAGATTCCTCCCCTTGCCTCACTCTTTATTTATATCTTGACTTAGGCATCCCTTCCTCTGGGAGGGCTTCCTGACTTCTCTCATACCCTGTCATGTGGTTTCCCTTCTATGTGATCCCATCTGCTCCTACTTCTGTTATTTCACTAATTATGATTTGCTATTATGAATTCTCCCTAGTTGCTCACTTTATTGTAAGCACAGAGAAGACATTTATCATTGCATCCCCAACACCTAACACAAACTTGGTGCTTCATGTATATTTGTTGCACAAATAATGAATGAATGAATGAATGAATGAAAGTATCTGGGAAATCAATGATGAAATAGTGAAGAAGCTGAAAAGTAGAACAAGAATCATACTGTCATCTCCAGATGGCTGATGCCACTGGGATTTTAAAAAGTTGTTTTTTTTCCTGAGCCAGATCTGAATTAGTAAGGAAAAGATATGGAAGAGAGAAACAAAGATGTGTTTTGTTCCTCCTTCCATGAAACTTCTCCACACTTCCTCACTCTACCTCCAAATATGTAAAAACAACCACATCTCAAACCTGAAACGCTCTATCTCAATGCTGTCAATCAGGTGAAATCTGCAAGATATGATACACACACACAAAAACACACACACACACATGTAAACACACACAAATGCATGTAACACTGCTGAAGTCTGAATTGTTACCGGATTTTTATCAATGTTGATTTCCTGGTTGTAATATAGTTATTGTAATATAGTTATACAAGACGTTACCATGGGGAAAATTGGGTAAAGTGGATGAAGAGTTCACAGGATCTCTCTATTTCTTTCTTTCTTTCTTTCTTTTTTTTTTTTTTTTGAGATAGGGTCTCACTCTCTTGCCCCAGGCAGGAGTGCAGTGGTGTGAAACAGCTCCCTGCAGCCTCAACCTTTGGGCTCAAGTGATCCTCCCATCTCAGCCTCCCAAGTAGCTGGGACTACAGGTGTGTGCCACTACACCCAGCTAATTAAAAAAAAATTTAATAGAGATGAGGTCTTGCTATGTTGCCCAGGCTGGTCTCAAACTCCTAGCCTCAAGTGATCCTCCTGCCTCGGCCTCCTAAAGTATTGGGATTACAGGCATCAGCAGCTGTGCTCAGCTTCTCTATTTCTTTTATTTTCATTTTGACTACTTACCCCCAAGTTCCAACTCTGTATTATTTCTTACGAGAACATTTAAATCTACAATTATCTCCAAATAAAAAGTTAAAGAGTCTGACAGATGCGTATGGACTGTGTGTGTGTGTGTGTGTGTGTGTGTGTGTGTGTGTGTGTATGTGTGTATGTGTACCGGGGATGGGTAGGAGGTAAAGGTGAGTGAGTGAGGAGTGTCTGTAGGAGGTAAAGCATTGGGTGAGTGAGTGAGGAGTGAGGAGTGTCTAGGTGTCCTCAGCTGAATACTGCCCCCTATAGTTGCTGTCCATCCAGAACCTCAGAATATGACCTTACTTGGCAATAGTCTTTGCAGATGTAATTAGTTAAGATGAAGCCATATGGGATTAGGGTGGGCCCTAGTCCCTGGCTCGTGTCCATGTAAGAAGGGAAAACAGACCCATGGGGACGAAGGCCTGTGATGATGGAGGCAAAGGTTGGAGTTATGCTGCCACCACTCAAGGACCGGCATGGATTTCTGGTGAGCTCTGGGAGCTAGAAGAAGGAAGGAAGGACTCTTCCCTGGTAGCTTCAGAGAGCTCAGAGACCTGCTGATACCTTGATTTCAGACTTCTAGCCTCCAGAACTGTGAGAGAATACATTTTTGTATTTGAAGCCACTCTGGTAATCTGTTAGGGCAGCCCTAGAAAACTCATACTCAGTGAGTAATTTGATTCATCTTGGTTATTCTTCCTTAAATGCTTATTTTCCCTCACAGGATACGGAATCAATATAAGCTTTCTCCTCTTGTCAGTTCTCCTCCATGCCTCCTATCTTCGTTGACAGTCTCATTTGAGTTAGAGTAAGAGTTGAGTAATCTCTTGCTGCAAATGGAACATAGATGGCACCAGCGTTGTTTCTGGCCAATGCCTGCTGTTCACACGTGTCAATACAGTGCAAGGAACATATGACATCAGCTCTAATGCTCACTATAAATTGTAAACTAGGCAGTAATGCCGTTGTTTCTGAAATAAAATTAAGCCTCAGTGAACACTTCTTACAAGTCACCTGATTTATATGGACAAAGTTTGCCAATATCATTGACATCTGGTCAGAGCCTTTACCAATAATATGTACAAAAATGTTTAAGTGTTCCTAGAACACTTAGCTCTGACTATACCAAGAAGAAACAGTGATGTCTAGTTAATTGCTTCTGGTTTGCTTGCTAGCCCAAATGAAGCTTTATTGACATGTCACATACCTTTTAGATATTCAAGTCAGGTTACCCACCTCCCTCCACAATCTTAGGCCTTTCTCAATGACACTTGTACATACCCCAACTCTCAGCAGAATGAGGTCCTGGCACGCAGCCCTTGCACTGTGGCCTGCCCACCCTGTTGAAGTCTCTTCTCATCTTATCCTCCTCAGAGGCTGGCACTGGTACCTGGGGACTTCACAGTCTGTGCAGTGATCAGACAATCACTGTGGGGATAGGGCCTGTGCTTGGCTGCCTGACATTTCTGCAGGTTGGTGGTGGGGCTGAACATTCACTAAATCATACTTGAGAACTGGAAACCTACTACTAAAAAAACACGGAGGCTGGGCATGGTGGCTCGGGTCTGTAATCCCAGCACTTTAGGAGACTGAGGAGGGTGGATCACTTGAGGTCAAGAGTTTGAGACCAGCCTGGCTAACATGGTAAAACCTCGTCTCTACTAAAAATACAAAAATTAGCTGGGCATGGTGGCATGTGCCTGTAATCCTAATCCCAGCTACTCAGGAGGCTGAGGCATGGGAATCACTTGAACCCGGGAGGAGGAGGTTGCAGTGAGCCGAGATTGCACCACTGCACTCCAGCCTGGGCAACAGAACGAGACTCGGTCTCAAACAACAAAAAAGCCCACACTGATAAGAGAAAAAAAATCTCAAGCTTCCCGTTAGAGTTTAAGATAAAGCTCCAGATGCCAAAAGGTATTTTTTGATAAGCTATTTCTAAAATAACACATTTTTAATAACTAAAGTCAGTAGAGGCATCTCAGAAATATTTCAGAACGTTACATAACTCAAGTATTGAAAGATCAGAACTTTTTGTTGTCTCCATCTCAGTAAGGTTAATACTTGAAAACTGATAATTACAGAGTATAATTCTCACTTATGCTGTTCTATAACACTATAGGTCTTTTGTTTTCATGTAGAAGTTTTTTTTTTTCAAATGTGGACTGAGACAGATGTTTCTGAGAAAATGAATTCATTGAAATGTAAAGTCTGACTCTCCTGTTAAAAAAAAAAAAAGGCTCAAAGTAAATTATAGCAGTGGGAAGAAGGAAGAAATAAATAATCCCCAAAACTGATCATACATTTTGGTCCATTAGGCTTACTTTGCTGACAACTTAAAAAATGCACATATAATTGCTTACTGGGAAGAAGAGTAGGAGTAGGTTATGTGTAATCTGAAGTGCTTTTAACAAGGATAAAATAAGAGACTCATCTGCCATTCCCTGTTCTTTTTTAAAGATGAGCACTGGGATTTGTCTCTGTCTCCTCTTGGATTGTGCATTACAATAGATTCATATTTGTCCCGCAAAGGAAGCAATTTAGTGGTGTTTCTGTAGGTTTCTTTTCCAGTTGGATAGAGAAAAATCTAGAGATCTTTGGATATCAAGTCCTTCAGAGAAATTATTTCTACTGTCACCACTCAGAAGAGTATGCTCATAAACTGAGAGGAGAAAAAACTATTGTTTTCCCAAACTATGTTCTTCAAAACGCTAAAGGTCTACCAGATAGCAACTGTGGACCTGAAAAAACAGCATCTGCATTCAAATTATTGGGACATTCATTGTTACAATTGGAGTTTACTTGTTTGGATTTAAATGTTAACATAATCTGATATGATTTCCAATTTGTCAGTCAAAAATGTGTTCTTTCATTTAAGACGTATTTATTCAGTATGTCCTGTGCTACGCTATGGAGAATAGTTTTTTTGTTTGATTTTTGAGACGGAGTTTTGCTCTGTCACCCAGACTAGAATGCAGTGGTGTGGTCTCAGCTCACTGGAACCTCTGCCTCCTGGGTTCAAGCCATTCTCCTGCCTTAGCCTCCCAAGTAGCTGGGATTACAGGTGCCTACCACCACGCCTGGCTAATTTTTGTATTTTTAGTGGAGTTGGGGTTTCACCATCTTGGTCAGGCTGGTCTTGAACTCCTGACCTCATGATCCACCTGCCTCGGCCTCCCGAAGTACTTGGATTACAGGCATGAGCCACTGTGCCCAGCCAAGAGTAGTTTTTAAAAGGGTAGTTATCCCTGTTATCAAAGAGCTTACAAGTCAAGTCAAGAGGGGGATGAAGGGAGAAGATAATGGTTTTTGCTAATACTTAGTGCTTTCTCTGTGGCAGGCATCATTCAAAGGGCTTTCCATGCCTCAACTCTTAATCTTCAAAACCCTTATGAAATAGGTCATATTTTTATCACCATTTTACAGATGAAGAAACTGAGGCACAGAAAGTTTGAAAACTCTCCCAAGGTCAGATACCTACTAAGTGGTAAAGTCAAGCCACAAACTTGGGCAAGTTAACCACCATGCCAAATTATACCTCAAATTGGGCAGAACACATACACATACATCATTAATGACAATACAAAACAGCTAACAATCACTAATGATAAAATGATAGATCATCCTGGGTTGCAATAGTTAAGGAAGATTTTTGTGATAAGAAATCAAAACTAGATCCAGACAATGTCATCTGTATCACCTTGTTGAAGATGTCCATTAGCACTTGAGAGTTCTGGGAAGCAGACAGGAGCAACACCTACGCATTTAATCCGTTGTTTCTCAAAATTCTTTGACTATGAAGCCTTTTTTTTTTTTTCCAGGAAACGCTTAACAAACATCTTTGAGCAAAACTTATGTATTAATCCATTGTTTCTCAAAATTCGTTGACTATGAAGCCATTTTTTCCCCCAGAGAACACTTAACAAATATCTTTGAGCAAAACCTATGTCTTTAATTCATCGTTTCTCATAATTCTTTGGCTACGAATCCATTTTTTTTTTTCAGGGAACACTTAACAGACATCTTTGGGCACATACATTTTTATGCAATTTGGAAAATGTTAGTTTAGAATTGAGTTTTAAATTTAAAATTAAATTAAATTAAATTTTTGAGGCAAAGTCTTGTCACCCAGGCTGGAGTGCAGTGGCACAATCATAGATTACTGCAGCCTTGTACTCCTGGTCTGAAGCGATTCTCCCACCTCAGCCTCCCAAGTAGCTGGGACCGCCGCTGTGCTCCAGCATGCCTGGCTAATTTTCTAAAATGTTTAGTAGAGATGGGGTCTTCCTATGTTGCCCAGGGCCACCTACTTGCAGAGACTGCCTGGGAGTCTTCAGCCTCTATTGTCAGTGGCCAGAAAGGATCTGATGAAGAGGTGGCAAGGGAAAGGGCTACCAGGAACTCTGATGGATAGGAATTGTAGGATTTGAATGGACTTCATGAAAACTTGACAGGTTATCAAGTTTTGCTTATTTAACTAATGCTTCTGTCTAGCCAGGGTTGTATTCTTGTCAACTCCAGGAAAGTCTTAGATTAACCAGATGGACTAGTTCTCTCTCGCTGAGCTGAGGAATATTTACTTTAAAACCACAAGAAATAGTCCCTTATTTGTCCTTGGTCTTACCAGTGTATCCTTAGCACCTCTGGGTCACTGTCTTTTTTCTTGAATCACATTTTAAAATAGTTTTTTTGTCCATAATACAAGGATTATTTTTATGACCGACCTGGCCACCTGTAGATAGAGTCACTGTCAGTCTCTCTTAATGCAACTTGTTTTCATTTGCACAAAAATTGGCACAATCTATAGAAAGTGAAAGATGCATCCTAACTTCCACTTTGTAGATATTTTTTCCTTAAGTGATGTAGGAATTTACATGTTTTGAGTACTCCCTTTTTGCTAGAAATTATGCTATATATTTTATGTATGTTATTTACTTTCATCCTCATGACCACCCAGGAGGTTGATGTTACTATCATTTTATGCATGAGGAGATGGAGGCTCAGAGAGATTAAATAAATCGCCTAGGGTTAGGTAGTTAATGATAATGAGGGATTTAAATTCTGGTCTGACTCCAAAGCCCACATTTTTTTTTTTAATTACTTTTTACAGCAAGAGACAGGGGTCTTGCTGTGTTGCTCATGCTGGTCTTGAACTCTTGGCCTCAAGTGATCCTCCCACCTTGGCCTACCAAAGTGCTAAGATACAGGGGTAAGCCACTGTACCCAGTCCAAAGCCAACACTTTATGTATTATTTTTAAATTTTTTTTTGTAGAGATGGGGTCTAGGTTGCCCAGGCAGGTCTCAAATTCCTGGACTCAAGCAATCCTCTTGCGTCAGCCTCCCAAAGTGCTACAATTACAGATGTGAGCCACTGTGCCCTGACAATGCTTTTAAAACCCTACTGCACTGCTTCCTTAAAAGGAAAGAAAATACTAAAGATTATATCAGCACATTTAATATGAGAATTTGAATTTCAGGCAATGGAATCAATGATGCATCATTGCTTAGATGACTAAGACAAGCCAATCTTACATTTTCAAACCATTATCAGCTACAACTTAAACTTTTTTTTCTAATAATCTCTCTGGCTTAATTAGAAGTTTGACTTCCTAATGTGAAACCAACTCTTTACTGTGTTTTCTCCACTGTAAACTCTCCCCATTCTTATTCATGCAAGAACGGCTATTTGGCAAGTTGTTTGTAATTTAAGGGAGAACCTGTATCTATTGAGCATCTACCATGTACCAGCGAGCAGGCTTGATGCCTTTTTGTATGCCAACTCTTTTAATTGCCACAACAATACTATAAAAAATATTGTCTTGAAATAATTTTTTTTTTTTTTGAGACGGAGTCTTGCTCTGTTGCCCAGGCTAGAGTACAGTGGCGCAAACTTGGCTCACTGCAACCTCTGCCTCCCAGATTCAAGTGATTCTCCTGCCTCAGCCTCCCAAGTAGCTGGGATTACAGGAGCCCACCACCACGCCTGGCTAATTTTGTATTTTTAGTAGAGATGGGGTTTCGCCATTTTGGCCAGGCTGGTCTCGAACTCCTGACGCCATGATCCACCCCCCCACCTTGGCCTCCCAAAGTGCTGGGATTACAGGCATAAGACACCACACCCAGCTGTCTTGAAATAATTTTATAGCAGTTTTAGTAACTTCTGTCTAGTCAGAGGATAAGTTAGTGACAGAACTAGGATTGGGATCCATTTCTGTGTTGGAAGTGTATCTGCTTTCTATTGTGTTGTATGCCAGGAGGGAGCTTTAGCTGCATTTGAGCAATCATAGCTGTTCACAAATTCTCTAAGAAGTGTTCACAGGTAACACCAGTCTCTGGCACAAGTCTGAATGCTCCTGGAGGGACTGGGTCTTTTTAAATCCCAATATCTAGCACAATGTCTGGCACATAGTAGCTCCTCAATAAGTATTTCTTTAATTGAAATCTAAGTGCTCATGTAGGCTTGGCCTATTTGACAGTGTTTCAGCTAGGTTCCCGTGTACATTTGAAAGCCATGCCTGACCTTTACATGAAATACTAGTGGGGCATCTCTTTTGATATTAGCTTTGTGATATAGAACATCCACAAATGAAAAAGTAGCTTTGCATTCAAACATGGGAGTCATTAAGGAATCAGAGAGATTCTGAACACAGATCTTAATAAAATGAATATGGGAGAATACATAAAGATACAAGAAAACATTGGAAACATTGGCAGTGTTCTTCTTCTTCTCTATTTCCAGATGGATTTAGAATACCAGATTTAGAATAGAACAGTTCTGCCTGAACTGTTCTATTGTTCTTCATGGCCAGTAATCCTGAAATGTGAGACCATATTTTTCACAAATAATTCTTGCCCTGAGTTGGCTATGTTTTTACAACTTAAAACATTGTACCTCATTCTCATTCATATGAGTTTGACAAATATGAGTCAGAAAAATATCAGGACTCTGGGGAAATGTAAAGCTGAATGGTGGCCCTGTTTCCCTAACTTGGCACTAACGAGCAGGTGATACCTTCATGGACATGGGCGTTTCTGTAGCCCCCAAAGTGGAATGAGTCACGTGGGCCATGTTTGCATCTGTGTTCTTTCCTCGAATGTTTCCTCTCCTGAGCAGTGGGATCCTTTTATTGAATCCAATTCATTGACTGGTAACATGTTACCTGGTGAGAATTAGGATATTTTCATCTTGTGATATTTTAAAGAAATTATCTTTATTTTTATTTGTTCATCTAGACATGCCAATGGCTACTTAGGCCACATTTTGAGCAAAACTCACAAGGTAGTTCTTTTTTTTTTTTTTTTTTTTTTCAAACCTCACATGTGTATACAAAATGACACAGTTTAAAGGATTTGTTTAAAAGAACAAAGCATGAGAAATACAGTGAGATACAAGCTCATAACCAAACCTAAATAAGTAAGCAGATCTGATTCAACACGAGAAAAGATTACAAAACAAGACCTAGTTTTGTAGGAAGCACTATCTGAAGACAAAGTTGCAGGACACGCTGCAAGTCCCTTTGCGGGGAGCCATAAGCAGGGAGAAATAACCTGGTTTCTACTTAGCCTAGCAGGGAGTTATGGGTAGGTCAGGGTTTCCTAAATAAGGTCCTGACAATTCATCACTGTTATTAAAAGGAAGAGCAGATTTTTCCTATCAGGCCTGGCAGTGATATGTATTCTCTCTCTGTCTTAATTTAATCTTAACTTTACCGTCAGCTTACTACACACAGTCCTTTGATTCCTTTCTTCTCAAGCAATGAAAGAATTAAACCTGGCAAGTCAACTATTGATGGTCCATGGACAAGGAGAACAAGATTGTAAAGAAAAAATCTGTGGATGATCCAATAGCTGTGGGATTTTTTGTTTGTTTGTTTGAGACGGATTCTAGCTCTGTTGCCAGGCTGGAGTGCAGTGGTGCGATCTCAGTTCACTACAACTTCCACCTCCCAGGTTCAAGCGATTCTCCTGCCTCAGCTTCCTGAGTAGCTGGGATTGCAGGCACGCACTGCCATGCCCAGCTAATTTTTGTATTTTTAGTAGAGACGGGGTTTCACCATGTTGGCCAGAATGGTCTCGATCTCTTGAACTTGTGATCTGCCCAACTTGGCCTCCCAAAGTGCTAGGATTACAGGCGTGAGCCACCGCACCCCGCCAGTGTTTTAACTAGTAATTGGACTCCTATTGAAATATTGCAAGACAGCCACTAATAGCCAAGAAAAAAAGAGACATTTTCACATTCTTTTTCTTTTTACCAACAAATGAGGAACTCAAGAACTCCCCAGTTGAATGAGGGAGGCAGCTGCATCAAGTTTATGCCTCATTTTACTTCAGATTTTTATTGTACTAGTGGCTACATCATGGGCTTACCCATTGGATATTTGGTAGTTTTTTCTCTGTGAGCTCTTCTTCAAGACCTAATTGTAATGTAAACTATCAACTCAGAACTACTAAGAATACCTCCAATCTCATTTATTTAAATTATTATATAATTATAATTTAAACAAAGCCATTTTTTAGTCCCAAGAAACCCCATTAGCTAAAATAGTGTCTTCTTTCCTACCTCTACTTTTCTTGTCCCCAGCAATTGCCTTCCTTGATTTGACCTCATATACATTAAAAATAGACTGTTCAAAAGCCCTATGTGTACCATCAAACCAAAGTAAGACAGGTTTGGAAGTAGGAATACATCTGACATATTCTCTTTTGGAGCCTCACCAAGCTGAGAACTGCAGAATACTAAAGTGATAAAGGAAAATATATCAGTTCACAGTTTTACAGAAAAAAAAATACAAAGCTAGTGTTAACTTTCCACAACCTCCCTTCTTACCCACATCAATAATTTCAACTTACCATCCACCTATTTCATAAGATCTTCACACTTTCTTTAGCACCATCTGATAATCTCTCCTACTTCAATGAAAATACAACCAACTTTCCAAAATTTCCCCTGAACCTTAATTCTGCAAGCCTCAGTCTCCCTATAGGAACTTATTATAGGCCAATCAGTATTTCCTTTGCATGTTAGGAGAAAAATCTCTAAAACAGTTGCACTTAGGAAATAAGTGCTAGCTGTCATTCTATCAGCATGAGGATCAGGTTGATAGTGGCAGAAACAGTCATTCTCCCACTACCACATTGTTTAAAGTAAAAAGAAAGGGGCATCAACAATTTTCATCTAACATTAGTTACGCTGAAACTTCTAAAGAAAAGGTTCAATGCACAGCGTTTAGCAGCCTAGAGAAGAATGCTGTAACAAACTGATTTTACGGCCAGGTGTCTGAGAAAAAATGGCAACGAAATTCCAAGGTGACACTCCAAGCTAGAGACATAATTAACTACAATGACCTGCCAGGAAGGTAAAGTCTGTTATAAAACTGAAATATTTTCTTTACTTAAATAATATGAACTTCAGCTAAACAGTTGGGTAGTTGTTCACATGAGATTAAGGAAAAAGAAAAATCCAGTTACTATCGACACTAAAGAAATGCACACCAACCAAACACCAAAAGTACTTTGGTACTATAGCCATAATAGACAAATGTGTGGCATGGGAGCAGGGAATTCCCTGATGGTTAGATGACAGGGTCATAGAAGGTTTCTGAGACCTGCTATGTCTCCTGTGAGGCTGACGCACCGCCATGATCTGTAACAAGAGTCACATAAACACAAGCTTAGCAGCTGGCTTGTTAAAACATCGCTGTGTTGAAAAGTGACTGATTCAGGCTTGTTGAAGGGTCTCATTAATCTGAGGAAACGATGCTTGGTGCCATAGATTAAACACTATGGTCTCAAGCGGAATGCATGTGAAGTTTCCAAAATGTTTCCTCAAAGACTTTATTCAGTTTTGGTTTGTGACCTTAGCTGGAAAACATACAGATGAACATGGGAAGGCAGTTGAGAAAGACATCTATGAGGATTTAAGTTGGGCAGCTTTCAGAAGATGAAAGATGTTTAAAGTTAAGGCCTTTATCTGCAAACAATAGTATATTAATAAACTCTATACCATATTTACAAATGCATTCTCTTGTATTAAAACTAACAGTATTTTCACAGTGCCATTGTTTATACAGGTAGCAATCCCATAATACTCATGTATTTTGGCATGGGAATCAGTAGCGTTTGGTATTTACAGAAAATGTACATGGGTGAATATAAACATGTCACAGAATCCATAAAAGACAGATTGGCTAATGGTGCAAAGGAATGAACTGTACAGCACCTTCCCTTCGGATTGGATAGGAAACGTGGTTTCTTAAACTGCGAAGATGCCAAGTCTCTGCCCCAAAGTGGCATAATAAAGTCAATAGCAAAACAATGAACCCCCTGTTCAAGTTTGGGTACATTGAATGACCTTAGTCCAAAGTTGCAGATCCATTGTCTAGTGCATAAAATATAAAAGTTAAAAAGATTTATTATTTTTATAATAATATTATTATTAAAATAGAAGGTACTTTCTCTCACACTCTCATTTGTGCTCTTGCACTTAAGACCAATATCCTTGGCGTTGCAAATATGCTGGTGTTTCTGTCACGCAGATCAGCAGTCAGATAGCAAACGCTCAAACGCTCCGGACTTAGGAATTGCTGCCTGTTCCAGTGCGACCCGGAACAAGGCGGACACGGCAGGAGCACCTCATTCTTCCTCCTAGTCTTCTCCTGGAGCAGGGAGAGCCTGCCCGTGGGATCAGCTCCCACGTTACTGAATGGAGTTGCTCATTTCGGCAGCGAATGCTGAGGTGACAAATGGCTTCTGTACATTTGCGAAAAGGAGGGGAGGCAGGTAAGTGGGAGGAAGATGGCGTTCCAAAGAGCCCCAGGACAACACTCAGAAAGTGGCTGGGCTGCTGCGTGAGGGCCCCTCCACGCTGCTTCTGCCCTCTGGGGGCCCTGCCGGAGGAGAGCCGCGTCTAAGTTGGGCCGGCCCCTAGGGGCTGTCGCCTTCCTGCTCCTCGCTCTCAGTCCCTTGGCCTGCGTGGTCGTGGTCAGGCCCGCTGCCACTGCTGCCCCTGCTTCTGTGCTGCCTGGGCAACAGGCTCTTCCACTGGGCCTTGTTGTGTGCGAGGTGGCCCAGCATGTTCTCCGACAGGGTGCTGTTACCCGTGAAATGGGCCCATTCCCGGAAGAGCGGCTCCACGATGTAGCTCATGAAACCTAGAACAGGCAAGTCAAGGCTCAGCATCACAGCGTGGTGAAACCCGCTCCTTACTCCCTCCCGAGCATGACTGGGGACCCACCACGCCCGGCTAATTTTTGTATCTTTAGTAGAGATGGGGTTTCCCCATGTTGGCCAGGTTGGCCTTGAACTCCCGACCTCAAGTGATCCGCCCGCCTCGGCCTCCCAAAGTGCTGGGATTACGGGCCTGAGCCACTGTGCCCGGCCTTACTTAGGTTTTATTGTATTTCCTTGATGTGTACCAGTGAGGAGAAATGGCAAATGTTTTCAGCCTAATAAAAATTTCCAGCTCTGGGGCCAGAAGGGCAAGCAAGATAATGGTGGCTACCCTCAGCCTAGGAGCATAAGATGTGTCACTTTGGGCTTGTCCCTGAATGGCTTTGTGCCTCAGTTTCCTCACTTGCAAAAAGACGCTAAAGAGAATACTAAACTCGTAGGGTTGTTATGACAATTAAATGACTTAATGTATGTACAATGCTTAGAAAACTCTTGGCACATAGTAAACTCCCAGTGAATACTGGCTATTACTTGCAGAGGGAGAAAGACATATAAGTAAAAAAAAAAAAAAAAAAAAAAAAGTGTATGCTGGAGCTAAAGAAGGCAGGCGGAGAAGGGATGGAGAGGGCAAATGACACCAGAAAAGGACACCTCACGAATTTAGATCAGCTGCATAATTCATACCCTTACCCTGTGGGATATCTTTTTCAAGATGATCATTTTACAGTTCTGTCTTGCTTTCAGTTATGTTAAATAACTAAGTTTAAAGTTCACTCATTTTCAATACAGATTTTTACCTGTATGAAAGTCCAGCTTTAATGACTAGATAAGATTGTTTGATATGAGACTTCTTTGTTTGCATGTCTGTTCTCTTACATATTTAAGATTTGTTACTTTCTAATCGCGTTTTGCCGCGTTAATGTGCTTTTCATAATAAACATGACTTGTTTATTATGAAAAGATAGCTTTCAGTCTAAGAACTGTTGGAATCATCACAAACTTGGACTTATTTAGGTTTTGTTGTATTTCCTTGATGTGTAGCTGTGGGGAGAAAGGCAAATGTTTTTCAGCCTAACAAAAATTTCCAACACTAATCCTGTATGTTTACAGGCATGTGAATTACAAGGATAGGTTTGATTATCTTTCTGTTGGACAAACAGCAGACACTTGGCCTTTGAGAATGCCATAGAGATGGAAGAGGGATGCAGCAATACACACTGTTATTGTACATTTCTGCATTGTCTCATCTTATGTGAAATATGATTTAAAGATTGTGAGATCATAGTAGAGAACCTGAACTGGAGGGGGAAAGTTAAACCAGTGACTTGATGTCTGTATTTGGAATTTTGGTAAGGTTGTACAGGGTGTCAGCAGATGAGGATTTCACGTTTTGCTTGCTGTTCTTGAATTTTCTTTACCTCCTCCACAATCTCCATATTTAATTTCTAATATCATTCACCTTCAAAGAGATGAGATATTAGATATCTAAAAAGACGCTTTGCAAAATTATACTATTCTGAAGTTCAAAGTGTGAATATTTATCAAGTTTATCTCAGTATAAAAAAGTTAAATATCCAACATTTTAAAATCCAACTCGAAAAAAAGAAAAGCCTCATTTTCTTAAGTGACCCTGGCACTATATCTGTATTTATACTTTCAGATATAAAGACTTCTTATGCTAGGTAGGAAACTGATTTTAAAGTCTGAATAGACACCAAGAGGCAGTTTTTCAAATTAAGGAAGGCTTCCACATTATCAGATTTGGAAACCTGTTCCATCAGTGTGTTCTGCCAACCTCCCTTTTCTCAAGGGATGAGCTGACATTGCTGGGCTGTTGTCCTCCTGGAGGGATGGTGGGGTGACGGGGGGTTGCGGGGAGGAAGGGGGAGTAGGGAGGAATGGTAGCCTCAGAGTAGACAAGGATTGAAGGAAAACCTCTTTCTCTTTAGCCTTCTATAGATTTCACCAATTAGAGCTTCATTTGATTTAATACCTTTTTTTGTTTTAATTAATTAATTTTTTAACAGATGGGGTCTCACCCTGTCGCCCAGGCTGGAGTGCAGTAGCATGATCATGGCTCACTGCAGCCTTGACCCCTTGGGCTCAGGTGATCCTCCTGCCTCAGCCTTCTGAGTAGCTGGGACTACAGGCACATGCCACCACACCCAGCTAATTTTATTTTTTTGTATTTTTTGTGGAGATGGGGTTTTGCCTTGTTGTCCAGGCTGGTCTTGAATTCCTGGCCTCAAGGGATTTGCCCGCCTCAACCTCCCAAAGTGCTGGGATTATAGGCATGAGTCACCCCGCCTGGCTAATATCTTCCTTTTAAAATGTAGAATTTGGTAGAGAGAGGGAAGCGTGGAGTTGGGGAGGAGATATTAAGCCCTAGTTCCACTTGGGTAGATATAAATTACTTAAAAAGAAAAATCAGATCTAAGCCTGAGAGTAGATCTCAGAAAATTCTCATTTTGGATTGAGGCAGGAAAAACAGGGGAACATTTCAGTCAGAGAGGAATAAGGACAGAGGAAATAGCTGCATTACTGAAGACCCACTGGAAAAATTGTTGTCTTGGGGGCTAGAGCCTGTAGCATCCACCAAGTTCCATTTATCTCTTTGGATTTTTCTGGCTTAGCCTGATCTGTCCCTGCCACCCCACTTCCCAACCCTCAACCTCTACGAGCTGGCAGATGTGGAGCAAAGGCAGAGAAAGATCTATGTACTAAGGATTGTTTTATAATCACCTTCCCTTTCTCTTTATTATTGGTGTGCTGGTGTAGCATCCATAGGATTTCCCTATTCACTCAACCCCCAGCCCCTTTTTAAAAGAGGTATCTATGGTAACCACATTTTCCTGAGCTGAAAATCAGGACATATGATCTGACAAAATAAGTGTGTTCTCATGACAACAACAGGACAGAATCTCTGAAATCAGGTCTGTCTCACAAATCCAGGTTGTGTGCTGAACCACGTGAGTCCTTTTGTTTGGGGGGTTCAAAATGTCATTGACAGTTGCCTGGTAAATTTCTTTCCAGCTGGAGCTTAACACAGGGAGCCTCAGGATTAGGACTTTGGTTAGCATCTAATTTTGAATCACGTCTGCAGAACCTCCATGGCTAAGGCAATTGATAGGAGAGAATTGCCTCCCAGGAGGCTGAGGCTGCATTTCTGTTGCTGATATTCCCTTGCAAGCCACCCAGCAACTCTGTATTATCTTTTCTGGGTTGTATTTTTTCTATGCCACCATCCCCAGCTCCCAGCTTTGGGGTGGAGGAATTGGTTTGATTGTGAAAACTACATAACAATATTAAGGACAATTTGAAAAAAAAAAATGCTCAATAATCGAACATACCTATTTTAATAGTTGTATATTCCATTGAAATCTTTATAGCTAGATTTATTTTGTCCTTATTTCCTGAGGATGATTTTATGACTCCACTGTGGGACGGTGGATTAGATTTGACCTTCAGTGATATTATGTAATTCTAACTTACCCTGGTTTTCTTAATTTTCAGCTTATGTTTTCAGATACCCCCTTCCCTACCAATGTCAAAGCATTAAACTTTGAGCCTTGCAAAGGTCTGTAGCACTGTGAATGCGTTCAGCTGTCTGAAGTCTATAGGAACAGGTATAAAACATGAACTGGTACATGTCAGGGTCAGAGTTTATAAGGAAAAGAGTTAAAGTTCTGAGTTCGGATTCAATGGAAGGGAACTGCAAGGAAAAGAAAGACTTGCTTTAAAGGTGGGTGGACGTGATGGAGTGTCTTAAGGTGTGATAGAAAGTCTTACCGAAGCAAAAATATTTCCTCCGCTAAAGTGCCTAAAATTTCCACAGTTTGATTTGCTTCTTGGTCTAATGCATAACTTAATTAGATAAAGCAATAATTATTTTGGATGCATTGGCATCATACTTCAACAGTTTCCCACCAGTGACACTTGAAAGAGAGTGTGGTTTTAGGAGAATAACCTGAAAATAAGTTTTGAAGGAAGGACTAGTGAAACTGGGAATCCCAGGATGCGGCGGGATAGCATGGCTCACAAGCTCTAGGCCTAGAGATTGGGTTCTTGGGAGCGAGCATTAGGGATGAGGGGTAGCGACCCAGATTGGAAGGGTCCTAAAGGCAGATTCTGCTGATTCCCACCTTCAAGCCCTGCAGAGAGTATGAATAGTTGATTCCTGTTACTTTTCTTCTACTCTTTTTGGTTTTGATTCTATTCTAAACTACCAAATTAAAATAATACAAGTTAGTTAAGGGCCTATAACAAAGCTTCGATCCTAGGTTTCATAAGTTCTCAATAGATAATTAGCTAGTAGATTAGTCATGATTAAAGTATTAATTTGGACTCAGCCATTCAAAAGGATGTTGATTAAACCTCCAGTGCTGATCTTTTGAAAGCTGTGTTTAGATCTTTTCTTTGTCACTTTTGTGAGATGTGCCAAAGGTATTTATTTGGAATTAACACTGAATTCAACTCACCAATTTGTATACTAGGGATGGAATCTTTCTGTTGATTACAAAGAGGACTGATTTCCAGTTCAAATTTCTGTTCAAGTTCACCTAAGAAGAAAGAAAGAAAGAAAAAAACACATTGGTAATCTAGAACTTATAAAATGAGTATTAATAATTTTAATGACCTCGTCGGAAGAAGTTATTCTGGGAATTACTGTTTCCTGACTTGTTATCCCTTAGGGACCCTTCAGCACCGACTTGCTCTGCCTTACTTCAGTAGTTTCCGTAAAAATTTAAAATACCACAGTGCCAATGACCGTTCATAATGGCTTATTGCTAGTAGGTGTGCTCTGGGACTAGAATAAACTTTTGAACAAGACCTACAAAAACAAGAAAACAAATGAGAAATTTCCTCACATGAAATAAAAGTTATGGCTTTAAGTGACAGGTTAAGAAAACAGGTTTTGTCCTTCCTTCTCCCTCCTCTACTTTCACGCTGCCTGACCCTAGTCTTGTTTCACCTGAGGACAACCAGGAACAGTAAGTAGGTAGGAAATGAGGTAGAAGGACTAGAAAGATCTCATCTGAGTAGCACCTCACTCTGTAACCACAAAATTAATCAGAATCTCCCATTCTGATTCCTTAGAATTTTACCTAATGCAACTGAAGGTGAAAAAAAGTATAAAGGTCAGAATGGTATTTCTTTTTTTCTTTTTGAGACAGAGTCTCATTCTGTCACCCAGGCTTGAGTGCAGTGGCATGATCTTGGCTCACTGCAGCCTCAAACTCCTAGGCTCAAACAACCCTTCTGCTTTAGCCTCCCAAGTAGCTTGGACTACAGGCATGCACCACCATGCCCGGCTAATGTATATTTTTAAATTTTTATTTTTAGTAGAGATGAGGTCTCGCTATGTTGTCCAGACTAGTCTTAATCTTCTGAGCTCAAGCTATCCTCCTGCCTCCATCTTCCAAACTGTTGGGATTGCAGGTGTGAGCCTCTGCACCCAGCTCAAAATGTTTTTTTTTAATGCCTTGGTCAGCTATCAGGCTGGTGCAAATGTAATTGTGTTTTTTTTGCCCTTACTTTCCGTGGCAAAACCCACAATTACATTTGCACCAACCTAATAGAAGATCAAAGGAGAAATGTATTGTACAAAACTTTATTGAAATACTTCATCAGTCCTTCCTGAGCATAACAAATTGAGTAATTTTTGTGTTGGAAAAAACAATCTGGTTAATGAGTGGAAGGTTCAGTTATGAATCTACTCTGCTAAAGTAGAAGAGATAAAAACACAACATTTATATAGTGACTACCGTGTGCCAGGCACGTTCTAAGCATTTTACATATGTTAATAAAAAATTGTCATTGTTTTTTGTAAGAGGCAGGCTCTTACTCTGTCACCCAGGCTAGAGTGCAGTGGTGTCATCATAGCTCACTGCACCCTTGAACGCTTGAGCTCAAGGGATCCTCCTGCTTCAGCCTCCTGAGTAGCTGGGACTACAGGCATGTACCACCACTCTTGGCTAATATTGTTTTGTTCATTTTTTTTTTAAATAGAGATAGGATCTCTACGTTGCCTAGGCTGGTCTCAAACTCCTGGCTTCAAGCAATCCTCCTGCTTCAGCCTCCCAAAGCATTGGGATTACAGGTGTGAGCCCTCCTCCCAGGCATATGTTAATTAATTTAATCCAAATAACAACCTTATTATAATCCCCATTTTACAGATGAAGAAACTGAGACACAGGGAGGGTTAAATGCTGACCCAGTATGTTGCTAGTAGGTCACACCACTAGTAAAGTGGGGAGCCTGGATTCCAGCATAGGAAGTTTGGCTTCAAAGTGTCTGCACTTAACCATTGAGCTGAAGCCCTACAGAGGCTGCAGTTCTGTCATTTTAAGACTGTAGTCTGCCTCCTGGGGTCTCTTGTGCCTGGTAATCCTCAAGGCTGAAGTGAGGAAATCATTCGGGCTTAACCTGAGTGGTTCAGGGCAGTCTGGCCACCCTAACTCTTCAACTCCAGATGATCATAGCCTTCTGAGGGCAGGCCAGAACACCATATAATATTAAGACAAACTCTCCTACAGCCAGTTTCACTCCTCACCTCCGTAATTCTGTTAATAGTGATTTTTCAGTCAAGTGTGACACTTTGGAGGAGTTGTCTTTGACTTCTCCCTTCCCTTCACCCTCCATCTCATCTGAGCCTGGCTGGGGACCCTGCAAGGGTCCCTGCTTGTTTCTTCCTCTTAAATCTTGTTTCACATCCTGTTTCTCCCTCTTAGAAGAACTTTTTTTGCCCCCTTTCACTCTGCTTTAACCTGGTCTGGTGTGTTGATAATTTATTCTTAGTTGTTGCTTCTTAGCTAGTTTTCTTCCTCCAATTCTTCTTCCACTTCAACTGTATATATTGCCCTAAATGCACTTTCTGAGATAACTCCCATTGTCATGTTCTCTACTGTAGCCTGGTGCCCAGGGGCCTCCACAATCCTCTCGTTCTTATCTTCTATGAGACTGAGCTGGTCTACAAGGCAGGGTGCATCCCGGCCTCAGTGGTTTCCATTCCATTCTATCTAGACCAGCGCTCTCTAATGGGATTTGCTGCAATGATGGAGATGTTCTCTACGTTGCCCACTGTGGCAGCCCCTTGAAATATGATCAAGACTGAGGAACTCTATTTTTTATTTATTAACTTTTAATTTAAATTTAACCAGTCACATGTGTCTTGTTACCATATTGGAAAGTATAGAACAATGCACATCACTCAAAACTGAGCTCAGATTCTACCTTTCAAGGTACTGGATCTTCTCCTGTGACCACTATCATTAGAGGTTTTCCAATTAGATCATTTATTCATTCACTTATTCAACACGTTTATGTTTCAGACACTTTGCTAACCAATGTAGAGAATATAAAGGGGAAATTTGCATAGTTTCTTTCCTCTGGAAACTATACTAATTAGTACTTTGAGAGTACAAAGCATAGACTACCTGTAGTTCTTTGCATTCTTCATAATATCTCCAATGGGGCTTTGCACATAGGATAATCAGTTTTGTTGAGGATTAGACAAGGCTGGAAGCAGATGTTCAATAAAATGTTCTAGGAAACTAGGTTGAGATGATATCAATCTGTAGTTACAAGAGGACAAAGTCTAATTTTTTAAGGTTTTTTCGGGGAGAGGAGGGAGATATATGGTATTTGGAGTCCTAATCTCTGTTCTGAGAATGAAACAGTTTTTCTAATTCATGGGTTCTTGTTTTCCTTTCCCCCTGTGTCCTCAACCTTGATTTTAAGGGTTTTCCTTTGCTTAACATCATGAATCACATTAAAGGTACTTTGTCCAGGACAGTTAGTAGTCTGTGGAAGCCTGCCTGCCAGGAGCAGGCTGGAATGAGCTGAGATGAGTCCAAATCTTAAACTGAAAGATAAATCAAAATGACACAAGTCATCCTTATAGAATTAAAAAAATAATAATTCAGTAGGGAGGACAGGCAGTTTGGATGACCAGGGAATCTACTCTTTTTTTTTTCTTTTTCTTTTTTTTTTTTTTTTTGAGACAGAGTCTCGCTCTGTCACCCAGGCTGGAGTGCAGTGGCGTGACCTTGGCTCACTGCAAGCTCTGCCTCCCGGGTTCATGCCATTCTCCTGCCTCAGCCTCCCAAGTAACTGGGACTACAGGTGCCCGCCACCATGCCCGGCTAATTTTTTTTTGTATTTTTAGTAGAGACGGGGTTTCACCGTGTTAGCCGGGATGATCTCTATCTCCTGACCTCATGATCCGCCCGCCTTGGCCTCCCAAAGTCTTGGGATTACAGGCGTGAGCCACCATGCCCAGCCTATAATCTTCTCTTAAAACAAGCAGAATTTCTACTAGACCATAAGGCTATTAAATAAAAAGGACTAGATATACTTTCTATTCTTCCTCTGCCAGGAAACATGCCAGAGGAAGGTACATGGAAGCCTGCCTTTAGAGATCAGTGTTACAAATGTTCTAGGTTTTTCCATCTTATAATGCATGCATATATTACTAGGACAATAAGCAGTTTTGAGAAAAGGGTTTTTTTTTTTTTTTTTTTGGAGACGGAGTCTTGCTCTGTTGCCCAGGCTGGAGTGTAGTGGCACCATCTTGGCTCACTGCAACCTCCGCCTCCTGGGTTCAAGCAATTCTTTTGCTTCAGCCTCCCGAGTAGCTGGGACTACAGGTTGTGCCGCCACGCCCGGCTGATTTTTGTATTTTGATTAGAGACTGAGTTTCACCATTTGGCCAGGCTGGTTTCAAGTTCCTGACCTCAGGTGATCCACCTGCCTAAGCCTCCCAAAGTGCTGGGATTACAGGCATGAGCCACTGCACCAGGCCCAAGAAAAGAGATCTTATAGGTTACATTTCTTGGTTGATACCATTTACTGTACTTAGTTGACAACTTTGATTTACTGGCACTATGGGCCTTACTATCTACATAAGTGACATGGTCCTGCCCCAAGGTGCTCAGAATCCAAATAAGGTGCAAGATGAGAAAATAAAAGGTTTACACTGCAGTCGATGCTGACTTGTGTACTTTAATCATGCTGGGCATGATTGAGTCAAAACCAAGTGGGCTAGAGTAGACTCTTTCCTCTGTTTCATTGTTTGATTTGCAAGGACAGAGATCTTAGCCCCTCTCTCACTATGCTATTTCAATATTCAACATATCAAACAGTAAAGAAAATATTGATTATATCTAATTTAAAGCCCCCTAGCTCCAATTTCATCATGTTTCCTTTTGTCTTACCTTCCTTGGAGATTTTATTTAGGGGCAACTAGAGCTGAGATTTTGATTTCTAACCACTTTTACTCAATTCAAGTGAAATTATATACAGAATTGTAGGAGTTACATGAGCACTTTTATTCTGAGAGAAAGATACAGTGAGTAGAGACTTCTGGCCCCACATGAGCTCAATCAATTCTTCTGTCTTTGGGGCCATCACGATGTCATTGACACATCTTTCAATGGTGCCTTCTCCAAAAGGCTCACTGTTGCTATTTGACCTCCCCACAGAGCTGGTATGTGGGACACTTCAAGCTTTATTTGTTCTCAGCCTCTCAAACCTGATTCTGTCACTAGCATGAGGGCACTGTTGATGCCTGAACAAACATCCTGCACATTGAAACCCAGCCTGAAGAAACAAGGCTGTATTTAAAGGTTGATACCCCACCCAACATCAAGATCCTGCTTGCTAATTCATTGCTTTATTTCTGAATGAGGTTAATCTTTTAAAAATTATACCCTAATTCAGGGCCATTTGTCTTTTCACAGCAAAATCCTTCTACCTCACTGTTGAAACTATATTTGAAAGGAAGAACTCACTTTTTGGTCAGCTGTGTCCAATTTCATTATTTTTTTTTTTTTAAGAAAGCAAGGAGAAGGAATACAAAAGGAGTCTAAGTCCTTCTGTCAGAGTGGAAAACATTGACCTCAAATGACATTTAGCCTTTAGGCTGCACTCAGCTCATTAAAATGAAGGTCAAAGTCAAAATCAAACTATCCCACACATTCTTATATCCACAGAGGAGAGCCATTTATAATCAATGTCCCACTTTTGCTCATTTTTATTTTGCCTCATTACTACCTGTTTCTGTAGTAAGTCAATACGTCAATGTTATTTATTTTTAACTTTTTCCGAAAAAGGGTTGGATGAGTTCCAAGAGAGTAAAAGAGAAAGGTTAGGATAACAAGAGTTGATGAGAGAACAAATGTCATGATAGATCAGCCATTTCCTGTTTTATTAGGATAAATGCCTAAAAGAAGACAGGGCAATGAAATCTCAGCTGTTGGATCACTACTAACCTTGCCTGTAGAATTCTTCACAGACCCTTTCACTCCACTGCTTGCTCATCTCCCAGATTCTACAAGGATTGCAAATGTCAGCACACTTCAAGGCGATCTGAGAAATGACAGGGCGGGGAGAAATTGTGAGAGGATGTTCTTTCAGTTGCAAAAGCACCCCAAGCCAAAGAGGCTATCAAGCTGTTCAGTCTGCTCACAGTACCAGGCCCATATTTACAGAGTACCTCCCTGACATGCCTCTTCAGGAAACTGCACTTATTCACCATGATACAAAGCCTGCATTGAGAATGCTGGCTTTATAGCAGTGAGGAGAGAAGAGCCACAGTCCAAGGACATGGAGCTTGCTGGAAGAGACTTGGGTGGGCAGGCCAAGGAAAGCCATGGCCTGGCTCCTTCTGTAGCTCCACCTCCTGCATGCAGGGAGGTTGCATGGTCCCTGGCCAGGCTCAAGTGAGGTCATCTGGACCTCACTCTCACAGTAGCCACACTGACAAACCCCATACATCACTTAAATTATGTGTGTTGGCATTTATGTCTGCATGTGTAAGCTCAGACTGCCAGTCAGGGAATGAAGTCGTATCAAACCCAGGAATGCTTTGTTTGCACAGCTAAATTAGGGCCTTCTTGACTTGCCTCACACTGGTCTGGATCTGAGATGCCAGCTTTTTGTCAGTAATGATGACCCTATGAGGGTTACCTTGAATTCCCAGAGAAGCAGATTCTCTTTTAACCACCACCTGCTACCAAGAGACCAGCAGTGTCCATTGGTTTGACCCAATTCCTTGGCATCACAGAACAGATAGCAATGTTGGGGTCTGGAAGACCCTTGGATCATATCAACTTGCAAATTTAGTTGTTTATATTTATTTCCTGGTTAGTGGGGGTACCAGTACATGTTGAAGTAGAGGTAAGTGTCAGAGAAGCCTCCTCCAGCCTCTGCCTTAAGGAATGCATTTGAGTTAGCAAGGCTTTCTTTCGAAATGCAAGTGTTCAAGGCCAAATCTTTCAGCTATTCACAACTTGGCTTTAGTCACTCAAATCAGACACCTGGTTGATCCTTGTGGCATTCAGGGACTAGAAGCCTAGTTTGGAAAGAAATAAGGAAGGAGTCATAGTTCTACTGCTGGGAGTAGGGTATTTCCTGGCAAAGATGGAGCACTTTGGACAGCTACAAAGGGTAGCATGAAAGCCTGGAACAAAAAAGACTGCACCATTCAATCTCCAGGTGTAGCTCCATCTCATCTATCTAGATGAGTCTAGGTCCATTCACTATGTTTTTTTGCACCAAAAGAAAAGAAGGAAGACAAGAGAAAATGGAAGATCAAGAAAGAAGGTTCTGGTTTGGATACCAGGTCACATTTTTATTTGTGACATCCACTCTGCCCTGATGTAATTTGTCATGTCACAAATGGCTTCTTGCCGTGGAGTAAAACAGAAAGGAATGGACTTGATCCAATGTAATTCAATTCAGTTCAATTTTATTTTTTGCTGCCTAAAAATAAGACCAGATAAAAATGTTTAAGACTCAGATGAAAATAGAAGTTTAGGTAGTAAAAGGAAATAAAGCAGGTTAAATAGGTTTAAGGTAAAGGGAGGTCACTTGTTTTCCAATTTTTGTATGTACTATAGTTAATATAATATGCTTTTGTGTTTCAGAAACAGTCTTTTAAAATGTGTGGGTATTGCAGTAGCTGATTTTATACCAAGCCACCAAATGCGGTAGACCTTTACTGCATCCAGCGGGATTACTCTGTGATAAATCAGTTACTGAACAAGAAAAATGAGCTTTATCAACTTGTTGACCTAAAACCCAGATTTTGCTTAGTTGGGAACCACTTATAACTTTCATGCATTTCAAAGCCTTTACTAAAATAGGTCACTGCTCTAACTCATACCATCGGAGATAACTCCTTCTCAAATGTGCTAAAATTATTGATCATGGCCCTGAGTGGATTTTTGTTGTTGTTGTTTTGTGTTTTTTTAGAGACAGGATCTCACTCTGTCACCCAGGCTGGAGTGCAGTGGTGCAATCATAGCTCACTGTAGCCTTGAACTCATGGACTCAAGTGATCCCCATGCCTCAGCCTCCCAAGTAGCTGGGACTACAGATGTGAGCCACCACACCCAGCCCAGCTGAGTGTTTTCACTCAGCAAAAAGAATGGCTTTTATTGTTTCGTTTACCTGAAGCATAAAGTGCCTGTCCTGTGCATCCTCCAGTCTTAAGTCTTTATTGTGGAGGTGAGCTTTCAATCTGGTCAAAAATTCATTCTGCCTGTTGATGTCTGTTGCCAAGATCAAGGAGCCCAGCTGCTGTTCAATATCCTGTCTGCATCCACAAGAATGAAAGAGAAAAACACACACAAAGCAAATCCCTTTGATGAGGGTGATTGATTTTATCATCATCAGGTGGCTTGTAATCTAATTTCTGCCTTTGATTCTGTTTATTACACAATGTGCCAGTCCTTCACTGCCTGAGAGCAAGTCTCCCACCCACCAGTTGCGTCCTTGGACAGGAAGCATGCCAAGAACTGTATAAAGTGATTGAAACCTTGAAAAACAAAGTTGTGGTAGTGTAGACATTTCTATGGGTGAAAAAATCTGAAAGCCAAATAGAAATGCATGTTTTAGGGAGGACACAAAAGACTTGTAGAATCATGAGATTGGCGGTGTGTTTTTAGAGTTCAAACATGAAGATGTGCACGGAGAGAGAAAAGGGCATAACAATAGTAATAAAAATGAAGACAATAATAGTAAAGGGTACCATGGGATGGAAAGATCCATCAACGGAACACAATACATAGGCCAGGAAGAGATTCTGGAACTTCAAACACAAAAACTAATTAAGGCACTGTTACAAACCAGTGGGCAAGAGATATATTAGTCAACAAATGGTATAGAGAAAATGGGATATCTTAGAAAGGTAAAGCAAGTTGGAGCTTTCCCTCACATATAAAAAGTAATAAAGGAACAATCCATAAATATTTGTAAAATTTACCTTTAAAAATGAAATATATTTAAGTAGAATGCATAGGGAATACATACATAATTTAATGAATAAATAGAAAATGAACACCTTGTAACCACCACTCAGGTCAAGAACACTGCCTGCCAGTACCCCAGAGGTCATGTTGCCTGTCTCATCACATCCCCTTTCCTTTCAAGCCTGGAAGTAACCACTTTCTTGCTCTTTGTTTTAACAATTTTCTTGTTACTTATGATTTTACCACCTGTGAGTGCATCTATAAACCACGCAACTTAATTTTAACTGCTTTTGAACTTTAAGTTATATGGTATGTATCAGTGACTGACTTCTTTAGCTAAACATTATGTTTTTGAAATTCCTTCATGATGTGTAGGCTATAGTTGATCCTTTTTTGTTACAGTGTATGCCACTGTATAAAATTCCATTGATAATGAAATCCATTCCATTATCCATTCTACTTTTCATGGTCACTTGAGTTTTTTCTAGTGTTTGGCTACTATGAAAAAAGCCACAGTAAATATTCTTATATACCTCTAGTTACGCATGTGCAGAAGTCTCCCTGGGGTCTATATTTGGGAATGCAATAATTGGATGACAGGGTATGTTTATCTTCAATTTACTAGATAATGCCAATTATTTTCAAAATGATGGTATAAATTTTTGCTCCCAGCAGTAGCAGATGAGATTCTCATTGTTCTACATTCTTACCCTTTACATTTTTTGCTAGTTTGATGGGCATGTCATGCAACTCACTGTAGTTTTAATATGAATTTTGTTTACTAATGAGGCTAGACATATTTTCATGTCTTTATTGGCCATTTGTACTTCTTTTGTGAAGTTTCTACTCTAGTTTTTGTCTACTCTATTAAGTTGTCTTTTTCTTATTGTTTCTGAGGTTCTTTGCATATTTTAAATACTGGTCCTTTGTCAGCTACGTGTTGCAAATATTGTGTCTGTGGTTTGTCTTTTAGCTGTCTTTATGATGTCTATTGATGAAGTCTCAATTTTTATCATTTTAATTTTATTTTTAAATTTATAAATAGAGATGGGGGTTTCACTATGTTGACCAGGCTGGTCTCGAACTCCTGGCCTCAAGTGATCCTCCCATCTCCACCTCCCAAAGTGCTAGGATTACAGGCATGAACCACAGTGCCACCAGGAAGTCTTAATTTTTAATGTAGCTTAATCTATAAATCTTTTTATTTATGGCTAGTTTTTTTTTTCCTCTTTAAGAAACTTTTCCCAACTCTGATGAAAATTTCCCTACATCATATTCTAAAAGCTTTATAGTTTCACCACAAACATTTTTGTTTTTAAGCCATACTACATCTTTAATCCAGTTCTGAACATAAAAAATTATATAAAACAGAAAATTCACAAGAGAAATACAAAATATCTCAAAAAATAAAGTGATATTAAATATTCTTAGTATAGCAGAAAGCAAATTAAAACCACAATGTGATATTATTTCTCCCATTTTTATTGGTGAGGATTAAAAGTAACTGCTAAGTAATTTGCTGAATTATTGAAAGATTGTAATACCCAATGCTATCAATAGTACGAGAAAAATGGTTCCCCTCATTCTTTGTTAGGGAGTATAAATTAGTACAATGTTTCTGGAGGGTAATTTAGGAATTAGTGGAAAAAGCATTTGATGAACATAAATAATCTGACCAACAGTCCATCTACAAATTAACATTAACATGTTAGTAAAGATATAATTAGTAAAGATATGTTACAAGGATGCGTATTCTATTGTTATTTACAATAATGAAGCATTCCGTGGGGGAAAAAAATCACAAAAATTTATGAGATTAGTTAAATAAACCATGGTACATTCATATTGTGCAATTATGAAGTACAATGTACAGCTATAGTAATTGACATTGAAAAATGTCATCTTTTTAATGCTACAAACAAAATGCAAAGCATGTAAAGCATGATCTCTATGGTCACAGAAAATAAACTGAAAAGATCTATAATGGGATTATGGTTGATATTTTATTTATACTTCTCAAAATTATATGAATTCTTTGAAGATATGAATACTTACTGAATTTATAATTGGAAAATAAAATTATTTTAATTAGGTGAAATGTTTCATGAATCAAAAGGCAAACTAAAAACTTCAAGTAATATTTACCACATATAACAAATGGTTACTGTAGTTAATATACAAAGAGTTCTAACAAATGAATAACACTGATAGGAAAATAGGAAGAGACCAAATATAAAAATGTGTTCTCTAAAGAAATAGCAATGATCAGCAAATATACGAAAAATTTCAATCTTGGTTGTAAGTAAAGGATGCATACTAATTTAATGAAAACCACTTTACATATATATTTGTGTATATACATACATATATGTCAAATTTGCAAATATTTTAAAAAGATAAAAATAAACTCAATTTTGGTGATGGTACATTGGTACATTTTCTTACAATCCATCAGTTGGAATACAGGTAGATACAGCCTTTTAGAAGAACAACTGGATAATATACAAGAAACTTAAAAGTTCAGACCTTTCTGACCAATAATTTTTATCTACAAATACTTCCTGAGAAAACAGAGTATCAAAGTTTGGGATATTGGAAACCATTTGAATTCCAAATGAAAGGCAGTAGTGGTATACAATAATGCCATACGGCTGACAAAATCATTTTAATTTAACAGGTTTAATGATTTGGAAAAAAGTCTTTATTGTAAATAAAAAATTTCAGGACGTAAACTGTAAAATAAGTTCCCCAAATATAATCATATTTTGTTAAAATAAGTTTGTATTGAAAAAAGACTAAAAGAAAATAAACTAGCCAGGTTAACATGAACTATACCTGGATGGCAGGATTACTAGCAGTTTCAGTTTTCTCTTTCATATCAAGCTGAAACATATGAAAGTGCTAAAAGTCTCCTGTTTTTGGCCCTTAAAAAGAGCAACTTCACATAGTTCAAACTAACACTTTCCTGAATTTTCCTTACTTTCTACAATTAACCTGCCCTACTTTTAAAATCAGAAAAATGACATTAAAGCATTTACCTGTGATAGAAGGAATAATAATGATTATGATAATGGCTTTTGTAATAAAGTTTTCACATATATTATTGTATAACAATTATTCTTCTGGCAAAAACAATTTATAACACTGTGTTCCACAAAGACACATAAAAATATATTTTTCATTGGAATCCATAGATGTGAAATGAATATTTTAGGAAAGAAATATTGAGTAACAAACAGGATGAATGCAGGTACTGACCAGGAGAAGTCTGGTCACCCCAGAGTCCTTTCCCATTTCCCTTGCATTTTCTTCTTTCCTGTCCTCACTATTCTTCCTTTCCTTCTCCTTCTTTCTTCCTTGTCTCTCTCCTTACCTCCTCTTTTCTTCTTCTCACTTGATCTTTTGCTCTAGTTTTTAGTTCTTTTTGCATTTAATTCTTTCAATCTTTGCAATTTATTATTCTAGTAAGAGGCATAAGTTTTTATTCCATGCACGAGAACTGGTTTTATTTAGTTCCAGGGAGTAAAAATTTATCAGAACTGAAATTCCTCCTGCAAATTTCACATTCCTCTGGGTGCTAGGAAACAGCATGAGATCAAATCAGAGGGCCAGGAATCAATCCACAACCCAGAGTATACTGCTTGTTCAGTTGGGAGACAGCACTTGGTCCTTGACCTCAAGTTATGTGCTTGTCTTGAAGAAGGGTACAGCAATCTATGTACTCTTTTCACCTAGGTTTCTTGGGTTCTGCACGTGTTCATTAAACAGATCAGAATTAATGGTGGCCTTGGAAGACAGTATTAGCAGCTAACTTGGGGCCACCAGGAAAATGAAACAATGGCCTCAGATTTAGTGGGACTCAGCCTACATACCATGGCTATCAAATAGTGAACCAGAAAATGAGTGTCTCCCCTTCTGTTTAAAGTGCAAGAGACGTAAGGTAAATTAATTGGTGAAAAAAATGCTAGGGCCATTTCAATTACTTAGCAAAAGACATTTTAGAAAAGAATTTCTGACTTCTATTTTTGCTGAGACTAGCAATTACAAAATATACTTTTTTGAACTCTAGCTTTAGAATGCCTGGGTTCCTTCTTGATAAATATTTACTATTTGGAGCTACATGGAAGGACAATTTTGCTAAACTAAAGGTCGGGAATTTGGCAAAGTCGAGCACTGATACTGAAGCGTGTGAAAACTGAGAGCTGTTTATTATCCCTTTTCCTGACTGTAGGTCATTGACTCTGCAAGGCCCTTTCAAAGCACACAGAGAGATTTTGGTTTCTGGGTTGCTGTAACTGACACCAAATCTCCTCTGATAGACAGCTCAGTGCAGGCAGGAAGTACAGCCGGGGGGCTCTCTGCCATTCACGCAAAAGGTCCCAAGCCTGCCCTAGAGAAAGTGGCTTATCTTTACTGCATGCACATCAGTATGTTTCATCTCGGCAGCACTTACGTCATTTCCTTTGGCAAATGAGCAAGAAGCCTTGATTCTCGAAGCATGCCAATTGTAGATCGCCAGTGATGATTCTCCAGCACAGACATATTCTAGAAAGAAAGAAAATAAGAGTTATAAATGAGAGGGAAGCCAGATACTGATCTTTCATGCTGAACACAGCTCCACGGACGCTAGCATTTTCCCTCCAGTTTGTACTTGATGACCCAGAGGCAGACCAGGAAAAAAAAACCCAAAAGATAAAACAACCATGAGGTCTAGTCTCAAGGCTGTGATGATGATGGGAGAACAGCAGGGCCTGCGGCTCACCCTCTGCTGCAGGGTTGAATGAGGATCTATTTCCAGCATCATTCACTCCTGCCTCTGCCCCTCTTCCAATAGCTCAGTCAGGCCACGCTAAATGTAAGAAAGAAAGTGAAGCAGTGACAGCTTTCTACATACGGCTAGCCAGTTTTCCCAGCACCATTTATTAAATAGGGAATCCTTTCCCCATTGCTTGTTTTTCTCAGGTTTGTCAAAGATCAGATAGTTGTAGATATGTGGCGTTATTTCTGAGGGCTCTGTTCTGTTCCATTGATCTATATCTCTGTTTTGGTACCAGTACCATGCTGTTTTGGTTACTGTAGCCTTGTAGTATATTTTGAAGTCAGGTAGCATGATGCCTCCAGCTTTGTTCTTTTGGCTTAGGATTGACTTGGCAATGCGGGCTCTTTTTGGTTCGATATGAACTTTAAAGTAGTTTTTTCCAATTCTGTGAAGAAAGTCATTGGTAGTTTGATGGGGATGGCATTGAATCTATAAATTACCTTGGGCAGTATGGCCATTTTCATGATATTGATTCTTCCTACCCATGAGCATGGAATGTTCTTCCATTTGTTTGTATCCTCTTTTATTTCATTGAGCAGTGGTTTGTAGTTCTCCTTGAAGAGGTCCTTCACGTCCCTTGTAAGTTGGATTCCTAGGTATTTTATTCTCTTTGAAGCAATTGTGAATGGGAGTTCACTCAAGATTTGGCTCTCTGTTTGTCTGTTATTGGTGTATAAGAATGCTTGTGATTTTTCCCTTCCTTACACCTTATACAAAAATTAATTCAAGATGGATTAAAGACTTAAACGTTAGACCTAAAACCATAAAAACCCTAGAAGAAAACCTAGGCAATACCATTCAGGACATAGGCATGGGCAAGGACTTCATGTCTAAAACACCAAAAGCAATGGCAACAAAAGCCAAAATTGACAAATGGGATCTAATTAAACTAAAGAGCTTCTGCACAGCAAAAGAAACTACCATCAGAGTGAACAGGCAACCTACAAAATGGGAGAAAATTTTCAAAACCTACTCATCTGACAAAGGGCTAATATCCAGAATCTACAATGAACTCAAACAAATTTACAAGAAAAAAATAACCCCATTAAAAAGTGGGCGAAGGACATGAACAGACATGTCTCAAAGGAAGACATTTATGCAGCCAAAAAACACATGAATAAATGCTCACCATCACTGGCCATCAGAGAAATGCAAATCAAAACCACAGTGAGATACCATCTCACACCAGTTAGAATGGCAATCATTAAAAAGTCAGGAAACAACAGGTGCTGGAGAGGGTGTGGAGAAATAGGAACACTTTTACACTGTTGGTGGGACTGTAAACTAGTTCAACCCTTGTGGAAGTCAGTGTGGCGATTCCTCAAGGATCTAGAACTAGAAATACCATTTGACACAGCCATCCCATTACTGGGTATGTACCCAAAGGACTACAAATCATGCTGCTATAAAGACACATGCACACGTATGTTTATAGCAGCACTATTCACAATAGCAAAGACTTGGAACCAACCCAAATGTCCAACAATGATAGACTGGATTAAGAAAATGTGGCACATATACACCATGGAATACTATGCAGCCATAAAAAATGATGAGTTCATGTCCTTTGTAGGGACATGGGTGAAATTGGAAATCATCATTCTCAGTAAACTATCGCAAGAACAAAAAACCAAACACTGCATATTCTCACTCATAGGTGGGAATTGAACAATGAGAACACATGGACACAGGAAGGGGAACATCACACACCAGGGCCTGTTGTGGGGTCGGGGGAGGGGGGAGGGATAGCTTTAGGAGATATACCTAATGCTAAGTGACGAGTTAATGGGTGCAGCACACCAGCATGGCACATGTATACATATGTAACTAACCTGCACATTGTGCACATGTACCCTAAAACTTAAAGTATAATAATAATAAAAAAAAAGTGAAGCAGTGAAATAGGTAGTAATGGATACCATGTCACTATAGTCATAACATAATCCAAGATTATACTAGCAAACTGAATGGAGGCAAGCCTCACAATCTCTGGTCTAATCTACTGCACTGACCATCATTTCTCAACGCTGATAAGAACCTCCTAAGCCCAAACCACCAGGGTAGCTGGTGACACATTCAGACTCCTGAGTCGCAGTCATTATGGTTCTGATTTGATAGGCTTGTGGTAATAAATTCATATGTACACTAAGGTTTGAGAACCATTACCTTGCAGGCAGCTCTGCCGGTAATCTTTGTGACCAGCACCTTGGCATTTAGCTGATTAAATCTGTGAGTTGGAATCTACAATTGCTTCCTTGCTCAATTATCTTAACATTCCTGTCCTTGAGGGAACCTGTGTTATATTCAATCTCTCCCTTGACCTGTTATTTTGAATATGCTTTTTATCTGAACAATTAACCATTTAAATGATGAATATTTCTTATACTCAATTGTGTTTTGTTCTAATTAGGAAACATTATGTCTGTACCATTGACTTCATAGATACAGAATAGAACTCCTCTTGACCTCAGGCAATATTTTGTTTATTCAGTCTCCATTTGGTTTCAAGAGTAGTTATAATCTTACAAAACATATAAAAGGATAGTTGCTATGGTTTGAATGTCCCCTCCAAAACACACGTTGAAACTTAATCCACAATGTGACAGTATTGAGAGGTGGGGCCTTTAAGAGGTGATTGGATTGTGGAGTAATCTATTAATGGATTAATGGATTAATGGGTTATCATGGAAGATAAACTGGTAGCTTTATAAGAGAGGAAGAGAGAAGAGCTAACACTTGTGCATGCTCAGCCCCCTCTCTGATGCCATGAGATGCCTCAGGACTCCGTACAGAGTTTCCGCTAGTAAGAAGACTCTCACCAAGGTACAGCCCCCTCTATCTTGACTTTCATAGCTTCCATAACTGTAAGAAATAAATTTTGCTTCCTTGTAAATTACTCAGTTTCAGGTATTCTGTTATAAGCAACAGAAAATGGACTAAGACAATAACATTCAATAAAAAGTGAGAGACACTGTATAATTTCATGTGTATGAGGTACCTAGAGTAGCCACAGTCTTAGAGACAGAAAGTAGAATGGGTGGTTGCCAGGGACTAAGGGGAGGGAGGAACAGGGAATTATTGTTTAATGGGCACAGGGTTTAGTTTTACAAGATGAAAAGAGTTCTAGAGTTGGGTAGTGGTGATGATTGCACATTATGAATGTGCTTAATACCACTGAATTGTACACTTCAAAATGGTTAGGATGGTAAATTTTATATTACATGTATTTTACCACAATTAAACAAAAAGTAAGGGAAAAGAAGCAAGGAAAATAATTTGGTGACGAAATGGAGTCAGAAGTGCGGCTAAAAACCATCCCATTATATTATGCCCCTACTGTATCTGAGCCACCCATACGATGTTCAACTTTTTCAGCAAATGAGGAAGGAGAATCTCTTGTTAGTGACACAATCAATGCTCCATTAGGAAAACACAAGTCAGGAAAGCTGCAACTATTCTTGATTCTAAAACTATTCTTGATTCTAAAACCACACACTCATTTATCTCCAAGGCTTTGTTATGAGGTAAGTTTCATGAGGCTGACTGAGTCTCATATCCATCTTCTGTAGAGTCTGTCCTATTGCTATTCATTTCACTAATTGCCAAGGAGTCATTATTCTTTATTTACCACTTGACCATGTTTGAAGCAGTAATGAAATTTTGTTACTTTTATCAACTGGTCTATTATTTCCTTTTGGGCATGAGCTACACACAACAAAAGAGAAGGCTGATTGAAAATCACATGCTAGACTAATTTGTTTTGATTGAAAAGATTTAGGAGAGAAGAGTGATAGATTAGTGTGATGTAACAGATGTTCAATCCTGTGATGACATTTAATTCAGTCGCTCACGTGTTCACTTGCAAGACTAATTCAAGTAGATGTGGACATGAGTGCCCTCCCATGAGTTTTTCAAGGGCCAGAAAGCTGTAACAAGATCTAATGATAAATGACACCATATCCCCATGTAGTGGAACAAAAATGTCTGGAAGATGGCCTTAAGCATGGTGATGTATGCCAGCCTGACTTAACATCTTCATTAATAATCTTCCTGAAGACAGAATAAAAGGATACTTAGGAAATTTGCTGGTGAAACTGTATTTGGAGATGAGCACCAGGGAAATGCTAGAAAATTGGGTTAGCTTGGAAGCTGGTACAGATTAAAAGACAATAGAGTAGATGATTGCAAACACAGCCTTTGTGGAAGAGTCATTATGCATGAAAGCATGTTTTGGCCAGAACCGCGGTGGAAATAGGGGCACCATGGTGGATTCCAGAGACTAAGAAAAGAAGAACAGCATAGAGAGGAGAGACTAACATTTATCAAACACCAACTCTGTGCCAGGCACTTTCCATGCCCTCATCTAAATCTCACATACCCCTCCACTATTTTGATCATGAATTCATAGGTCATAAAAAACTCAGGTTTCTTAGGGAGGCCACAGAGCTAGTGAGTAGCTGAGGAAGGCCTCACTTATGCCTGCAGACTCAAACCTAAGCTCTGCATACAGCCCTTGCTGCCTCCCAAGAATTTTCTCTGTGCTACCACATCCAAGCATCAGAAGCCTGAAATTTACAAGCTGATAAATACCTGGAATTATACTGAATTTGCCAAAATTACCTATAGTTGTTGCTCAAAAAAAACTAAGGTTGATTGTTCTAATTAGATGTTAGTTTCTAAACCCACATTGGAATTCTTGCATTTACCTCTGAATCTGGTTCTATTGCTAAAAATCTTGTGGTTTGAATAATGATTGAGTAGATTTAGGTCGTCTTGGGGGAGAACTCATTGTTCACTCTCAACCCTCATCTGCAATCAGTGTCTGAATCCTTTTGGTTTTTCCTACATAGTGTCACTTGTGCCCAATCATTCCTTTCATAGAAGCCACCCTATTTCAGAGTTTTACCATCCTTTTTCATTGTTTTTCTTCAAGTCATCCTCCTTACAGCTGCCAGAATGTGACCTGTTTATTTGACAAAATTTTTTACATTCTCCCTAATCACTGGTTGAAACAAAAATATTTATCAATCACCCACTAATATGCCAGGTTCTGTGGTGTGCACTGGGGATCCAAGGATAAATAAGACAAAATCTCTGCTCTCAAGGAGCTTGCTGGCCTCTGGTATGATCATGCTATCCACCTGCCCCAGTTCCCTGTTCCAAACCCCACAACGGATCCCTGTAAGACAAATTAAGTCAAATTCCTTAGCTTGACGTTCAATGCTTTATGAAATTGTCCCAAATATCACTTTGTTCCTAAATGTTTGAGATAACTCAATACCTTTACCTCTCCTTTCCAACAAAGCTCTTATAGTCCAAATAAATATCATGTTAGCAAGACTATAACTTACATAAATATTAAATTATTAATATATGATGGTGTCCTTTCCTTTTGCTAACCCTAATACCTTCCAAGGTGGTTTATTATCTGCAAACACCTCTTTCTCTATGTTCACTTATCAAACCAGCCCCTGTCTTTCAAAGTTCACTTCAAATACTCCACAAGGCCATCTGCAATCATTCCAGGCAAAGGCAAATGTGCTTTCTTCTGAGTCTTATACTCATTTTGAATTTTTCTCTGGCATTCCGGAAGTCCTGTGTCCTATTAAACTCAGTCCCATTGATGTCTATTAGAGTTCTTTATCTTTTACTACATTATAAGCTAGGTATGAGTAGGCAGCCGACCTTGTTCCTTTTGTATCCACTCAAATCTATGCCTCACACAGAGTTTCTATAAATTTGCTAAGTAAGAGAACAAATTACTTGATTTCATTCAACAAATATATTGAGCACTTACTATGTTCTAGGCACTGTGATATGTGCTTGGAATACATCAGTGAACAAAACAGACAAGAAACTAGTGGTGGTAGAGATGGTATATTAGTCCGTTTTCATGCTACTGATAAAGACATACCCAAGACTGGGCAATTTACCAAAGAAAGAGGTTCAATGGACTTACAGTTCCACATGGCTGGGGAAGCCTTACAATCATGGTGGAAGGCAAGGAGGAGCAAGTCACATCTTACATGGATGGTAGCAGGTGAAGAGAGAGAGCTTGTGCAGGAAACCTCCCCTTTATGAAACCATCAGATCTTGTGAGACTTATTATCACAAGAAGGGCATGGGAAAGACCTGCCCCCATGATTCAGTTACCTCCCACTGTTCCCCCCCATGACACAGAATTTAAGATGAGATTTGGGTGGGGACACAGCCAAACCATATCAGATGGGGAGAGACAGGCAATAAACAATAAACATAATAAATACTTTCATGCTGGAAAGAGTTGGATAGCATGTTAGAAGATAGTAAATGCATGGAGAGAAGAGCAGAATAGTGGGCATCTGAGAGTCCCCACTTTCAGATATAGTCAGGGCTGGTAAGGTAGTCATGGGGAAATGTGAGATTTGAGCAAAAGCTTGAAGGCAGGAGGGAGTTAGTCATTCCTGCCTGGGGAAGAGCATTCTAAAGAGAACAGCTGGAGCAAAGGCCTCAAGGGAGGAGCTAACAGCTGTGAGGTCAATGCACAGCGAGAGAGGGGAAGTATGAAGACATGAAGTCAGTGAGGTCATGAGACACCAGACCAGGCACAGCCTTCTGGCAATTACAAACATTTTGGTTTTTACTTTGAGAGAAATAAGGAGCCACTGCAAGGGTTTGGGAGGAGTAAAATTATGACTTACATTGAAATAAGGCCACTTTTGGTGTATGTTGACAACAGACTTTGGTAGGGGTAAGGGGAGAAACAGGTTGAAATGGTTTGTATCTGTGTCCCCAGCCAAATCTCATGTTCAATTGTAATCCCCAATAGTGGAGGTGAGGCCTGGTGGGAGGGGATTGGATTATGAGTGTGGTTTCTCATGAATGATTTGGCACCATCCCCTTGATGCTGTTCTTGTGGTAGTGAGTTCTTATGAGATCTGCTTGTTTAAAAGTGTGTAGCACCTTGCCCTCACTCTCTCTCTTGCTCCTGCTCTAGCCGTGTGAGGTGCCTACTCTCTTTGCCATCTGCCATGACTGTAAATTTCCTAAGGTCTCCCCAGAAGCCAAGCAGATGCCAGCATCATGCTTCCTGTACATCTTGTGGAACAATAAGCCAATTAAACCTCTTTATAAATTATCCAGTTGCAGGTATTTCTTTATAGCAATGTGAGAAGGAACTAATATACAAGTGGAAGGCTGTTTGGGACAATAGCACTCATCCAGGTAAGAGGTGATGGAGATGTGGATGGGGGAGGTAGCATCAGAGGTGGTTGATTTCTGGGTCTGCAGGATGATTCCATTGTTTCTGGTATGAGCACAGAAGGATGGAGTGCCCATTAATCGTGACGGGAAAGCTGCAGTGGAGCAGGTGTAGAGTTCAGTGTGGGACATGTGGAGTTTGAGGTGCCATTAGACACATGGCAGCACAGTGGGGATATCAAATAACCTAAGCAGTAACAACAATAAAAGGAAAACACAATGGTCATGTAAGTGCTGTAGTAATTGGTGGGTTAGAGGAAGAATGTTACATAAAGGGAAGGATCACACCAAGTCATCATTTTGATGGCCTTAGGTTTAAGATTAAGCATCACGTATGACAGAGACTCCTGTTTGTTCATCCCATTTTTCTGATTTCCTTTCTTCCTTACTCACAGAACCTCAGTTTTTAAATGGGCTTATGGCTATTCAGAAGAAAGACAGCATTTCTCAGCCTCCTTTATAACTAGGTGGGATCATTTGATGAAGTTCTGATCTACTAAATGTTAGCAGAAGTGTTGCGTGGGATTTCCAGGAAGGTTGTTTAAACCAAAGGTGGAGTCATCTGAGAGAGGTTTCTTTTGCTTTTCCCCATTCTATCTTCTCACTGGAATGCAGCAGGAATGGTTTGACCTCCAGCAGATACCTTGGGTGAGGAGGACAAGTGCCCTACCAAGAGATGACAGATTGTAGAACTAAAAGAATCCTGGGTCTCTAATGTTTTGTGGAGCTATTGTGCCTTCCTTGGACTTCCAACTGCCCAACTTTTATGAAGGTTAGGAATAAACTTCTATCTTGTTTAAATCACAAATACACCAAGTTGATTTAAAGTTAATTTGTCTCCCATGTCATCCTGAAAGAGCTAATGAGAGAGGGCCTTTTCAATGTCTTGATTTATAATAAGGCTTGGTTTGGGCATAGGAAATGATAATAAAGGATTACATAACTCCAAAAAAGAGTGAGGAGAATCTCCTTAATAAAGTTGGAAACACACATACACACACACACGACCTTATCTACTTATTTCTGAGACAAATCATTGATCTGCTTGGAAAGCCTTTCTTGGTTCTCTCAACAGAACTGACAGCTTCCTCTTCCAGACCTTCTACACCCACAGGAAACTTCTATCCTAGTGTCTACAACACCTTATAACAACTTTGTTCACTGGCCTTGCTCCCACATGTCAGTGGTCTGCTCATTCAGTGAATTTTGAAAAACTATACTTTCCTCACACTTTTCAGAGTTGATATCTAAACTTTCAAAAATCATAAATATAAGTGGTTACAAAAGATGTAATGTCCAGTGTATTAGTGAATGTTGGTAGTTTAATATAAACTTACTATATCACTCTTCTGGGTATTAAATGTGTCTAAGGGAACCTAATAACAATGGCATTTAATGCCCATTCAGCACCCATTGAAAAAAATCCACATGAATAATTTAACTTATTATTTAAGTCAGAAATATTAAATTCTTTTCCCTCTAGAGTTTGTATTTTCATTCTATTTCTCTGTAGATTTTTATTTTAATGTAATATAATTTTATATGTGAAAATCTTTTATTGTCATCCTATCATATTTCTCTGCAATGAAAGTCTAAATTGAAATTTGATTTTAAAAAAATTTCCTAACATCAGGCTCTAAGTACTAAATACTTTTCCAGCTTGAGTTTATAGTATAATCCTTACCAGAAACTCATTGGTCAAAACACATGTTTATTGCAAATTTGGAAAGAATAATTATGCTCAAGAATAATAATTTATTGGCCGTGTGTCTGTTTATGAGATGGATGGGGGAGTTATCATATCTCAGTTACAGGAGACTTCCTTTAATATTTTTAATTGCTCTTGATATGGTTTGGCTGTGTCCCCATCCAAATCTCATCTTGAATTGTAGTTCCTATAATCCATACATGTGACAGGAGGGACCCGGTGAGAGGTAATTGAATCATGGTGGTGGTCCCCCAACCTGTTCTCATGATAGTGAGTGAGTTCTCATGAGATCTGATGGCTTTATAAGGGGCTTTATCCCCTTGGCTTGGCACTTCTCCTTCCTGCCACCATGTGAAGAAGGATGTGTTTGCCTCTCCTTCTGCTATGATGGTAAGTTTCCTGAGGCCTCCCCAGCACTGTAGAACTGTGAGTCAATTAAACCTCTTTCCTTTATAAATTACCCAGTCTGGGGTATGTCCTTATAGCAACATGAGAATGGACTAATACAGTACTGAGATTTGGGTGCTGCCATACAGATACCTGAAAATGTGGAAGTGACTTTGGAACTGGGGAACAGGCAGATGTTAGAACAGTTTGGAGGGCTCAGAAGAAGACAGGAAATGTGGGAAAGTTTGGAACTTCCTAGAGACTTGTTGTATGGCTTTGCCCAAAATGCTGATAGTGATATGGACAATAAAGTCTAGGCTTAGGTGCTCTCATATGGAGATGAAGAACTTGTTGGGAACTGGAATAAAAGTGACTCTTGCTATGCTTTAGCAAAGAGACTGGTGGCATTTTGCCCCTGTTCTAGAGATCAGTGGAACTTTGAACTTGAGAGAGATGATTTAGGGTATCTGATAGAAGAAATTCCTAAATGGCAAAGCATTCAAAGGGAAGCAGAGCAAAAAAGTTTGGAAAATGTGTAGGCTGATGATGTAATAGAAAAGAAAAACCCATTTTCTGGGGAGAAATTCAAGCCAGCTGCAGAAATTTGCATAAGTAACAAGCCAAATGTTAATCACCAAGACAATGGGGTAAATGTCTCCAAGGCATGTCTAAGACCTCCATGGCAGCCCGAACCATCACAGGCCTGGAGGCCTAGGGAGGTAAAAATGGTTTCCTGGGCCAGGGCCTAGGGCCCCCAGCTCTGTGCAGCCTTGGGACATGGCGCCCTGCATCCCAGCTGTTTCAGCTCCAGCCGTGGCTAAAAGGGGCCAAAGTGTAGCTCAGGCCATTGCTTCAGAAGGTGCAACCCCAAGCCTTAGTGACTTCCACATGGTGTTGAGTTTGTGGGTGCACAGAAGTCAAGAATTGAGGTTTGAGAACCTCCACCTAGATTTCAAAGGATGTACAGAAATGCCTGTATGTCCAGGCATGAGTTTCTGTAGGGGCAGAACCCTCATGGAAAACCTCTGCTAGGGCAGTGCAGAAGAGAAATGTAGGATTGGAGCTCCCACACAGAGTCCCCACTGGTACACTGTCTAGTGGAGCTGTGAGAAGAGGGCCACTGTCTTCCAGACCCCAGAATGGTAGATCCACCTATAGCTTGCACCTGTGTACCTGGAAAAGCCACAGACACTCAATGCCATCCCATGAAAGCAGCTGGGAAGGGGGTTGTACCCTGCAAGGCCACAGGAATGGAGCTGCCCAAGGCATGGGAGCCCAGCATCAGGTGTGACCTAGATGTGAGACACAGAGTCAAAGGAGATCATTTTGGAACTTGAAGGTTTAATGACTGCCCTATTGGATTTTGGACTTGCATGGGGCCTGTAACCCTTTTGTTTTGGCCAATTTCTCCCATTTGGAATGGGTGTATTTACCCAATGCCTGTGACCCCATTGTATCTAGGAAGTAACTAACTTGCTTTTATTTTACAGGCTCCTAGGTAAAAGGGACTTGCTTTATCTCAGATGAGACTATGGACTTGGACTTTTGGGTTAATGCTGGAATGAGTTAAAACTTTGGGGAATGTTGGAAAGGCATGACTGTGTTTTGAAATGTGAGGACATGAGATTTGGGAGGGGCTGGGGGCAGAATGATATGTGGCTGTGTTCCTATCCAATTCTCAACTTGAATTGTAGTTCCCATAAGCCCTACATGTGATGGGAGGGGCCTGATGGGAGGTAACTGAATCATGGGGGTGGTCCCCCATGCTGTTCTCATGATAGTGCATGAGTTCTCATTACATCTGATGGTTTTATAAGGGTTTTTTTTCCCTTTTGCTCAGCACTTCTCCTTCCTGTCACCATGTGAAGAAGGACGTGTTTGCTTCCCCTTCTGCTATGATTGTAAGCTTCCTGAGGCCTCCCCAGCCCTGCAGAACTGTGAGTCAATTAAACCTCTCTCCTTTTTAAATTACCCAGTCTCAGATGTGTCCTTATAGCAGCGTTGAGTATGGACTAATATAGTTGCTTGCTATTTTTATACCTAGGTCAGTATGAAATATAACTTAGAATGAGTCAGACATGTGTCTGTCTTTTGTAAAGTGGAAACAGGGTGACTGTGAAAGTTAAGTGGAAAAGTGGAACTGGCTTCACTGCCCCGCAAGCACATTCCAGGCAAGTCAGTTTAAGGACCTAAAAATGGATTCTGTTAACACTATTTATGCCTGTGTACCCCTTGGAAAGTCTTCACATATCCCCATGGGCACACATACCCTGTGTGAAAACTGTGGCCCTACGTGACTGCTATTGAGGGCAGGGAGCGTATTGTATTCATCTTTGTGCCATGGTATGGGGCACAGTGCCACTTAAATAGGTAAATATTTGTTGAATGGGTACTGAGTAATTGATACCCCAAACCCCAAAGTTCAGTAGCTACAAAAGTTAAAAGAACTGTTAAAAGAAAAAGAGTCCTATTTGAATTTTTGGTCAATATCTGATAGAAGCCAGATTTAGGATCTTGTGTAGTGAAATCCTTAGACTTAGGTAAAATCCAAAGAAATTTTAAAATTATTACTGCAATGGGTTCCCTCCCACTACTCATTTGCAGACAACCAAGATTAGGTAAAGGACTCAAGAAATAACATGTATCAGCTTGCATTTGTCAATTCCAAGATGCAATGAGAAGATCATTCCAAGAATTTTTAATCATTGCTACTCCTTCTGCATGGTGTACTCTCTGTGTATTCTTAGTAAGACTGCAATAATAAGCAGGAGAAGCTATTAAATATTCCCTGGACATCAGAACTGTTCTCGGTATTGAGGATATCACAGTGAATGAGTTAGGTGACCAAAAATGTACTATCTGTCTGGGAAGTGGACATCTAATCAGGCAATAGCGATTCGAGTGACACATACTGTGATAAGGGAAGTAAGAGAGTACTGGAAAATCTCATAGGAGGGGCTTGTAAGATGGATTTTTAGAGAAAAAGAAGACTTTCAGGAGGGAAATATGTCCAAATTTAGATCAAAAGGATGAGCAAGTAAGAGAGGAATTAGAGAGTACAGACAACATACTCTATTGTATATTATATTTGAGTAAAATATACCATGGAATACTACATTTTATTCAAATAGGCAGAAGGAAGAGCATGGGTGTGAAGATCTGTAAGCAAGAGGGATACTTTATATCTTTATCTTGTTTTGTTTTTATCTATGAATTATCACTTTCTAATAGAGGACATATTTTACTTATTTTCTGTTTCCCTTAGAAAAAAGCAGACTTTTTTATTTGTTTTGTTCATCTTCTATACTCCTGCACCTAGCATGTATTCAGCACTCCGTATGTATCTGCTGAATGGATAAAGAATTGAGTGATATGTTTGGGAAACTGGAAGTTCAGCCTCAATGCATAGAAGCCTGGGAGGGGAATGGTGGGAAGTGAGGCTGGAAGGACTGGCAGGGGTCAGATCAGAACGGGGATGGTAAATTGTGTTAAGTCATTTGGACTCAATCCTGAGGCATGGTAGGGTTTTAAGCAGGAATCGATGTGGTCAGATTTGAGTTTCAGGAAACTCTTTCTGTCTTCATAGTGGAAAAAGGGCTGAAACCAGGCAAGGCTGAGAGTAGGTGGATGAGAGGATGATGCTGGTGTGCCCTGAACCTAGGGGAGAGGCAAAGGGTGGCGAGCAGGCTTGCATACACTGGGGTTTCTTAGTGACTTGCCAGAGATAAGAATGCTGTATCCTCCCTAGCAAAAAGCAGCTCTACTCCTACAGACTCATCTTTCACAGAGGCTCAGTGACTCGTATCAACCAAAGGTAGACTGAGAAAAAGAAGAAAAGCATCAGAAATGGTCATGGAGATCTAAACATGTGGTGAGAGGATACCATTTAATATCCTTTGAAACCCTAACCGGTTCTAGAATACCACATCAGGTACTATGTCTGTCTATCTTTAAGAAGTATCGGTTCAGTAATTTCACATTATCCTGATGACAATGTGTTCTAGTGGCTCAAACCCTTCCTACTTGCAGTTTTAAGAGTAATCTTCATCTTAAAGTTGAAGGAGTAAGCATCTACCTTTGTGACAACAAAACCTATTAGAACTTTAATTTGAAAAAAACAAAACCCTTCCAACTTCTAAGGCAAAACCTTCGTTTCCCTTTGTGCCTGAATTATCAAGTATTTTTCACCCTAAAAACAAAACAATCCCTTTGTTTGCTAATAGCACACCTGGTCTTTAATACACCACCAACACAGGTTTTCAAATTAAGTCAAGAGGGTATTTGGCAAACAGAATCTGGCAGAGCAGAGTTGCTATCATACAAGGCAGATTTAAACTGTTTTTTTCCTCTATTTGTTGGACACTTTCTTTGATTAAAATACTTCAAATGATGATGATAAACTGAATCTGGGGTACCAGGAACCAGAGTTAATTGAACATTTTAAATCCGGAGGATACAGAAAGAAAAACAACAGGAACATTGTCTGTGTTTTCATTTTTAATTGCTCATGAAACAAGGTGCAAGACTTTAGGAGATAATGGAGGCTGCTGAGTTCTTCCCTAACAAGCCAATGGTCTCCTTGGTAACACTATGAGAGCCCCAGCCTAGGAGGTCTCAGTGGAATAGAAGCTCCTTGAGCCCTAAACAAGACCTTGGCCCTTGAAGAAACGATAGCACTGCCTTGTTTAATGCCTGTTTGAAGATGTCTTTCTCTTGTTTGTTCTGCATCTGCCTAAGATAGCTGAGAGAAGGGAGCGGGGATGCCAATTGCTGTCTGCAGGGAAGGCTGGGGTTCAGATTGGGGATGGCAGAAACTTTATGGAACAGAAAGTCAAATTTGAGGCTCCTTTTATAATTTTAGCACTACTTTCCAAAAACACCTTTCATACTGTAGAAATTGTGAGCTTATGTTAGTCTTTGCAGATGTTTGTTTGAGGACGGGGTGGGGTCATAGGACCACGTGGAAGGAATATTCCTCCTGGCTGGGTCAACTTCATGTTTGTGATTCAGACTCATTAAGAATAACAAGTGGTTCAAAATGCTGACCCCCCTCTAAGTGCTTGTGATAAATGACTAAGAAAGCTGATTATAAACTTCTGCAAGACATTATAGAGTGTAATAAATGTTTATGGGACAATTTTTTAAAGTCATTATTTTAAGGATGCTGTGTCATGAGTAAATGATAGAGTCCATGTTGTTGGACTCTATTGAAAGGAGTTGAATTTAAAATTGAACTGAAAGTTATTCCTTTACAATTTATAATCACCAACGTTGTATGTAACTTAATGCTTACTTTGCACAGTTGCTAAGCCCACCATTAAATTTGTATGTGTGGGGTTGGAGGGTGAAGGAACAGAAAGTAAATTCTTGGTTCTATTTCTCACATGCTGTTTTTCCTCCCAGTCCACCCTGGACACCTGGACTGCTTCCAGTCTGATGAGAGAGGTGCCAAGTAGAAGTGCCTTCAGTGCCTTCATATTGAACTTGGTTGGCAGTTCAGCGAGTGAGTCCGGCCCAGAGAACAGACCATGGGAGGGAGCCCTCTGACCTGGCCTTCACTCCAGCTGCCCTGCTCTCTCTTTATCTCAGGGTAGAATAACAGGCTGGATGTTATGCAATGATCCTCTTATTTATTAGAACTAAAAGAGCACAGCCAACAGAAGGAGGGAGAGGAAGCCCTCTTCCATTTTATCTCATTTATAGTAAGTCTGGATTGTGGCAAAGTCACGCACAGGGTGTTCCCCAAGCCACATAATTCCTGGCACATCCTCTCTACGGTATTCTTGTTGACCAAATGTGCATGTGCGCATGCATAATTTTTGTGCGTATATGTACATATATTTTTTTCATTCATTACCATGGTTCTTAACATTTTCAGAATCTGCAACTTATTTTAAAATTTGATAAGAGTAACTTATAGACCCTCTCCCTAGGAAAATGTGCATGCAAACATCCTATGAAAATTTGCAAATAGCTCCCTGAAAGCCCATTTGTGTCTCAGCAAACGGGCCCTTGAGAGGCTAAAAGGCTACATTTCCAAAGATTTTTAAATACCATGTGTCGTTAATGGGTTTGCTCAGCTTATATATTATGTAACGTGATTTTTTCCTTTGATACTGAAAACTTGAAGATTTCTGCCAGTTCCTCATCTATAACTTAATGCAGAGTAAAGATTTCTTGATCCAGGTCATGTCCTGTACAACTAATCTGAAGTTACTACAAAAGAGAGCGTATGCACTGAATCATGATATGCACAACACACTGATCAGAGACGGAGCTGTAGATGGCAGGACCATACTCAGCTAAAGGCCACCGGACATTCCATTTTCAGTTATTCTGGAGTTGTGGAATTTAATCCCAAAAGTACATCAGCTCATCCTGACTCTAATGCCCTCTTTTCATCTCAGCTATTAATGTTACTCACACTTTAAGGCCCAGTTTATAGCATTCTTTTTCTATGTTCTTTTTTTTCCCGCTGCAACTATCTGCAGAATCAGTTTCTCCTTCCCCCATCTTCCCATCACATTTGTTTGTAGCTAAATACTTTAAAGTATCTATCAAGCCTCTCACACTTTAGATCACTTATCTTTTCTTTCCTTTGCTTTTTCTTTGAGACGGAGTCTCCCTCTGTTGCCCAGGCTGGAGTGCAGTGGCGCCATCTTGGCTCACTTCAACCTCTGCCTCCAGGGTTCAAGTGATTCTCCTGTCTCAGCCTCCCAAGTAGCTGGGATTACAAGCATGTGCCACGATGCCCAGCTAATTTTTGTATTTTTAGTAGAGACGGGGTTTCACCGTGTTGGCCAGGCTGTCCAACTACTGACCTCAAGTGATCCGCCTGCCTCAGCCTCCCAAAGTGCTGAGATTACAGGTGTGAACCACTGCACCAGGCCTCGATCACTTTCTAGAACCCTCTTGTCTGCCTTACTACAATAGGAGCATTGTAGGAGAGCTGTTAGTTTCTGGTACACGGTAGGTGATCAATATGAATTTCAGAGGCAGGATGCATAGTTCTTAGGCACTTTGGCTCTGGAAACCAAAAAGTTGAGTTCTAATTCCAGTTCTATTAATTATCTGTTTATTTTCAGGAAAAACACTTAAATTTCCCAAGTATCAATTCTTCTTTCTGTGGAAAATAGGTATGATAATAGTACTCACCTCACTGGGCTATTGTGAAGATTAATAATATACTACATCAAAGGCATTTGGCACAGTGTTTGGGTCATAGTAAGTGTTGAATAAAGGTTAGTTAAACAGTTTGTTGAACTGAACTTTTTAAAAGAAATTTTTTTCATCTTTTTGATGTTCCTTAGTATAGTTAATAGTGATGGTATATAGCCAAAAATAAAGGGATCACAATTTTTTGACAAAATTGAAGTTTCCTATTATTTTCAAGTCCTTTTAAACAATTTTTATTTTCAGTATTGACAAGCACCAATTTGGCTAAGAAAAGTTTCAGCTTTTTTTCTAGCCAGCTATAGGACACTGAAGATATCTGTATGGTACTATGTGATATTGCTTTGCCTTCAACTTTGTCCCTAAATCTTAAAAGACATGGATCTATAGCCTCCAAGAGATCCTAAGACCAGTTGAACAGGTGACTGATATAGGTAGTATCCTGAATGTGGTCCCTAGACCTATACCCCAATTTCTCCCTAGTCATAATCAAAGAGATCCTTCTCGGTCGGGCATGGTAGCTCATGCCTGTAGTCCCAGGTGGCTCATGCCAGTAATCCTAGTGTTTTGGTAGGCTGAGGTGGGATGATCACTTGAGGCCAGGAGTTCGAGACTAGCCTGGGCAACATAGTGAGACCTTGTCCCTATGAAAAACAGAATTAGTCAGGTGTGGCGGCACGTGCCTGTAGTCTGAGCTACTAGGGAGGCTGAGGTGGAGGGATTGTTTGAGCTCAGGAATTCCAGGCTGCAGTGAGCTATGATTGCACTATTGCACTCCAGCCTGGGTGAGAAAGCAAGACCCTGTTTCTGAAAACACACACACACACACACACACACACACACACACACACACTTGGATCATTCTCTCTTCTCTTTCCTTACAGGGACAAGGCCAGAGAATTAGAGAATAAATTTACTGATGGGAAAAGAAAAACAGCGGCTCACTTTATTCTAGTAAGGTCTTTGGATACAAAGAACAGCACAAGTATTTACTCTTTAGAGATTTTAAAAAACAATTGTATCGACATGAGCTAATTCCTCAAACCTCTTTCAAACTGGGATTAAGTTTGCTTGGATTTTGCTCATTTTGAGCATCTGAGTTTGAACAAATTTTTGAGGGCAGAGATTGTGTTTCATTCGTCTTTGAACTTCTAGGACCCTAAAACAAGGCTTTCTCCATGGGCAAGATTCAGGCTTGAGCACCGGGCCTAAGGCGATTGACCATACTGTGGCTGGCTCCAGGTTGGGCTCCCTTACCTGATATAGGTTTGCAAGATGGTGGTTAGTTTTTATCAAAAATGGCTGGTTCACCCCTGGGTGGTCCACATCGTGTGCTGCTGCAGCCAGCAGTCCAAGCATGATGTCCAGAGGCGTGAGGAAGCTGGCAAGCTGTTAAAAAAACAAATTGGGAGATTGATTGGTGTATTTTCACAAATAGGCTCATAATCATTTTGGCTAAATCAAACACAATGAATCATCATGGCATTGTTTAAGCCTATCAGCCAGACCTTTACCCTTTGAAGCATTAAATGAGGTGATAGTCACATGAAATCACAGGCAAAAAGGAAAGGACTGTGTGGAAAATATTGGGTAAACTCAAATTGTGTAGATTATTCTGGTATCCCCTTCTTCCTATTCCACTCTGTTTTGTTTTGTTGTTGTGATGGCATTGCTGGTTGGCAACAGTGCTGTTGGGTGGATAGGTAGAAGACAGGGCCTGAAATCAGCCTTGCTCCTAGAGAAATGTGTAAATGAAGAAAAAAGTTGGTCACATGATGGACCTACTTAAAAATCATTTGTGTATTTCAACTGTCTAATATATCTTTGCCACTTTGAAAGAAGTGGGCCGACTTGCAAGATCTGCATTTTTTTCAATGTGTAATAAATAGTGGGAGAATGTATGAGAATCTGTGATTTTCTGGTTAGCTAGGAAAATAAGCAGAGACACGGGAATCCAATACTAACTTTAAAAATACAACTGTATGACATAGTACAATGTTTAGACTACTTGGAAATTAAAAAACAGAGCCATTAATGTCCTTGGGATATGTTGCAGGGATGAGGCACCCACCCAGCTTTGCCCTGAGAGTGCCTGTTTGACATCTGAATATTTAGTTGTTGCTGTCAAAGCATCCGCATATGTAGGGGGATGTTAAAAACAGATTGAACTCAACAGTCTTAGAATATAATTTTCCAGAAACCTTAAGAAAACTCATCCTGTACCTTGTACCAACAGACTTTCAGTCTAAGGACTGCCTGAATGTTGAGTATTGAGCATTATTACAATGTTTTTAATTTTTAACTTTGGGTTGGTTTATTGCATCAGAACATGCTTGCTAAGAGGTCTTTGACATTCACAAGTTTTCTTGGGCCCTGAATCGGGATATCCAGTTGGTTCAGTAGGAAATAGAACATCAGACTTGAGGAGCTTTGATTCCATTTGTTGATCAAAACTCATGCAGTAGGAGACTTTTCCCAACAAAGTTCAATGCTGGTGCTGTTTGTGGCAAAGATCTAAGGCACGGAGCTAGTTCTATGGACTGTTGAAGGTATCTAAGATGTAGATTGCCATAGAGAGGAAGTTTTTTTTTTTTTTTTTGTCCAAATACAGCCTCAAAAATATACAAAATATGAAAGAAAACCTCAGATGAGTCTCATCCTTTTTCGTGAACATTGTAAGATTTTCAGAGCTGATACTGGAACCTTAATATCAATAATTTGTGTTCACATTGTTAATGACACATAACATAGTTACTCAGATATGTTGGGTAACTTGGGCCTAGCAGGTAGTTTCCTTGGCATTTCCAGGTGGCTGAGGAGGCAGCTGGGTCTTGTCTTACCTTTGGCTCTTTCAGGTAGCAGTGCATGGCCTGGGTGACGTCGGCTGCGTGAACAGCATTGTGATACGGGTTTTGGCTGTGGTAATCTTCTTGAACCATGACTGGGAGGTAAACAGATAACTCAATCAACTAAAACCCAAATAGGAGTGGTATACTAGCTTAGACTTACTGTGGGTGCTTTTTGCTTAAAAATATCAGTGCCTCCAAAATGTGCAGCATAGAGATGCTTTAAAAATAAACGTGGTTTGCAAGCTTGGCAGTTCTGCTAGGCTGTTTTTAGCAGAGAGCAGAGATGGACAGCAGAGGGGAGAAAGGCCAAAAGGATTTGTGAAGCGTTGGGATTTCTCACCTCCTTCATAAATCCCCCCTTTCTGACATTCATAAAGGCTGTCATTCATAGGAAAAATAAATATGTAGGAAAAGCACAACTTTATCTCACACTATAGTTTAATTGAGTTTCTGCTGTTTATAAATAATATGCCACAAATGAGGTTTCCTTCAAAGAGCCCAAGTAGCATCAGAATACTGATATCCAAAGACTGGTTTAACACTTGAATAACAAATACCAATGAAAGCAAATCCGGGCCTCTTAGGGCAGAGATTCAGGGTATTGCCTTGATCCAACTGTGGACTTCTTGGATTTATTTCTACCTTATTCAAGTTAGAGTATCATCTTTCATGCTCCTGCAGTCTAATGTAAGGCTTAGAGTACTCTTGGAACCAAGTAGAGACACAGGCAAGGCGATTTTGGTTTGCTTTTTATGGAAGACGCTAACCTGCTTCAGCTCATAACCAAGGCGATGCTTAGGATGCAATATATTCAGTGTGTATAGACTGTCCTGATTTGCAAGTGTGGCCAGATTCTCTCAGCCCATTGCTATGAATCTGGCTCTGGATTACAGTGTTAATTCTGTTGTCAAGTCTTTGTATTCTTTATATATTTTCTGGGTAGATACACGTGTCCAAAGTATCTATATCTGTATCTCCCTTTTCAGACAAATCAAAATTATTTGGCCCTATGCATGGCCATTTCTTTGCTCAATCAATTGAAATACAATCAGCTTGAGGTTATTTGGATTTCTGGAAATTAGCCATGTTGTGGCTGGTTTCAAATATTTCTGTTGTGTTGCACATACTTTTTATTCAGCAGGTATATTTGACAATTATATTTAAACCCTCTATCACTTTAATGTCTGTATTGGGCAAGTTACTTAACTGCAAGTTCCCTCAGTTTCCTCCTCTGTAAAATGGGGATAGCAATAGCTCTGAGCTCAAAGTGGAGTAAGGATTAAATGTGTTTATTAATATATGCAGGTCCTTGGAAGAGCTTCCAGCAGATGTAAGCACCATAGAAACCTGGTTGTGGCTCCCATTATTATTGTCACGCCTGTTATTTTCTTCTGATGGCATTAAGTCAGCCTCCAAAATCAAAGTACAGCCATGTGGCAAGTCAAAAAGAAGCCAGAAACATGTAAATGGCAGAGGAAAGTCATTTGGTGATTAGAAATGTCCCCTGAAAAATTCACTGGCAGATAAATAAGAATATGCACACATTTAAATAAGAACTGAGGCTGCCTTTTGATACAGAGTAATGATGGAGTTCAGTGGAAAGATGGTGGACTCCCAAGTCGACAGAGCTAGGCTTGGGCTCATATTCTGCCACTTACTAGCTGTTGGCCTTGGGCAAGTAATGAAACCTCTTTGTACCTCTCCTAAACTATGGGACAAATGGTGATAATAATATCCTACTTGCAGATTTGTTTAAATGGTTAGAAATAACTTGCCAAAAGTACTCTGCTCATAGTGGGCACTACATAAATGGTAGTTATTATTATTTTTTAAAAAGCCTATTGAAAATTTTCAACAACTCATGTCCTGATTAAAATTATTTGAGGCGCATGCTGCTGGAGGTTTGTTAATATGTCAGCAGACCAGTATCTTCTTTGAAAACGGTATGTTCCTGATGGTTTTCTTTATATATAATTTATTATAAACATAACTACACTTGACCCTTGAGAACATGGGTTTAAACCACGTGAGTCCACTTGTACTCAGATTCTTTCTGCCTTGGCCACCCTGAGACAGGAAGACCAACCCCTCCTCTTCCTCTTCTTCCTCAGCCTACTCAGTGTGAAGATGACAAGGATGAAGAGCTTTATGATGATCCACATCCACTTGATGAATAGGAAATACATTTTCTCTTCCCTGTCATTTATTTATTTATTTATTTATTTTTAAGACAGAGTCTTGCACTGTCGCCCAGGCTGGAGTGCAGTGGCGCAATCTCGGCTCACTGCAACCTCCACCTCCCGGGTTCAAGTGATTCTCCCTGCCTCAGCCTCCCAAGTAGCTGGGATTACAGGCACCTGCCAACAAGCCTGGCTAATTTTTTTTTTGTATTTTTAGTAGAGACAGGGTTTCACTGTGCTGGCCAGGCTGGTCTCGAACTCCTGACCTTGTGATACGCCCGCCTCCCAAAGTGCTAGGATTCCCTGTAATTTTTAAAAGAACATTTTCTTTTCTCTATCTTACTTTATTATAAGAATACAATACATAATACAAAGAACATAAAAAGTATGTGTTAATTAACTGTTTATTATTGGTAAGGCTTCCAGTCAACAGTAGTAAGCTATTAGTAGTTAGGTTTTTGAGAGTCAAAAGCTATACACAGATTTTTTGACTACACAGGGGGTTAGCACCCCTAACCCCCAAGTTGTTTGGGATCAACTGTAATCAAGTAAACAATTTTTAAATGATTTAGGATGAACAAGCCATATTTTAAAAGTAAGATGAGACCATTTAAGATTAATTGGAGGTATGCATCTATCATCCTATGGATCTTACCACTTTATATTAAAGAGTATTATGCATTGCCATTATTCAAGAGAATGGGGCTAGAAATGTGAAAAAAAGGACTTACCTAAAAATCGGTGTAAGGTCACCATATCTAACTTGAAATGGTGAATGAGTCCATGGGTATTGAAGAGGTGGCACAACAGTGTTACCAGGCTGTTTCCTGCAGGAAAACAGTCACTTCCTTTAACTAATTTTGATCACCACTAAAATATCAAGATTGACAATAAGACCTAAAGTCTCTGTAATAAAGTTTCTGTGATAGAATATTTTTTCCCCTTTAGAAGTGAAATTATTCAAGGATAGAGCATATTATTACTATGATCTGATCCTAGGTTTTTTCTTATTGTACAAGTAAAATTAGCTCAGACCTTCTCCCTTCACCAAAGACAATGAAGACATTAAGAGTTAGAAAGAATCTGCCTACTGAGGTGTCAGGGATACATACACATACACACACACACACATGTGTATATGTGTATTTTTTTAAAGACAGAGCTTATGGCCACTTGAAATGTTCCTTAAGTCACTTCCAATTGACTATTCCATTTACAGGTGTATCTAAACCACCATATTGCTTGATAGTCACAGCCTATTCTTCTTCCTATGGAAAATCACTCAAGAGGAGATCTGACTATGAGCTATTTTAGAATTCAAGTCAGCAGAGATGCAAAATTGAAGCTGTAATGACTTGTAAGCATTCAAGAAATACTGTTTATTTAGGAATAATGATTTTGAATTTTAAAAGCACAGACAATGAGGCCAATGGAACAGAATAGAGAACCCAGAAATAAATTCATGCTTCTGCAGCCAACTAATGTTTGACAAAGGCACCAAAAACACATTGGGGAAAGGATAGTCTCTTCAATAAATGGTGCTGGGAAAGTGGGATATCCACATGCAGAAGAATTAAATTAGACCCTCATCTCTCACCATATACAAAAATCAACACTAAATGAATTTAAGACTTACACATGAGACCTGAAACTATGAAACTACTGGAAGAAAACATACAGGAAATGAAATCAGTTAGGTGGAAATACAATTTATTTCCCCCTGTCGATTTTGCGGCTACTTATAAATCAATTTCAGCATTTCTTAGATATGTGTGGTATATACTTCATATACTTGTGAGGCTCTTTGACTTCTCCTTTGAACTAGTTGTAGCATCTTACTGGATCTCTAATTAATTGAGTTAAAGAAAATCTCTGTCATGTGGTCATTTCATATGTCTATGAGGGTCATGATTATATTCTCTTTTAAACAAATACCATTGAACAAGTTCTTTTGTTCACAGGTAACTTAGTTTACCAGTACCCGTTTCTCAGTTGATTTGAACAAAATGACATGCAAAATTATGGGATTCTTCTCTCCATGATCTAGTTTTCTTTCCACACTGTAAAGGTCCATTTCGTGGTCTTAGGCTATATTTCTCTCAACTGCATATTGTTTGCCAAGTAATAGAATGATGAGAAAACCATATATAATGACTTAAAAGAGACCTATCAACATCAGCATTAAATGTGATGTCTTTCATTGGCTCTCAAAGCTCATCAGCATTTGTTTAATGGCCAGATAAAAATATAATAGGTTTTTTATTATTTTCTTAAGGAAGGTCTTTATAGGCACAAAAACTTAAGAAGTGACACCAGTGAAGATGTTTGCTTTTCCCTTTGGCTGCAGCCTAAGCTTTTATATTCTTTCCTCGGCAATTGTTTTCTTCTGATGATGTCAAACACATTTGAGCAATACCCGCAACAGGGCAGATTTAGCTCACTTAATAAAACTGCATAAGCACCCTGCCCTGTAAAAGTCAGGGCTGATCAGATGTGCTTTTGTTTCTAGTTTTCATCAACTAACAATGAACTCCTTACTTCTGGATGTGGCCAAAATATTCTGCAAGAAAAGAATCTAATCTGTGGTTTCTAAATTCCTCTGGGATGATCAAGGTCACAAGGAAACTGTCCTAAGATTCTAAGGTCAAATTCAGTCCTTATTTTTCATCTGAGTTGATTTTCCCTTACCCCGGTCCTTCTTCAGTAGCTGTAGGTTTATGAAAATGGGGAAAGAAGGAAAAAGGAATAGCAGTGTTTAAAAATAAATTTTGTTTTTCATGAAATTAATCCCACTTTATGGTGTATATTTTAGTGAGAATTCTTTTGGGTAACTTACCATTTGTCAAGCGATCAAACAAGAAAATGTCAAAATCCCACATTCCCACTTTGGAGAGCATATGCTGAAAAGGCAAACAAAAAACAGCACGCAAATGAATCACACTGGAGACTCAAACATTTACTTTGGGATATAGTGGATTAAACAATTAAAAAGTTGAAAATCCTAGCATACTACCATCTAGTGCAAATGAATGGTTTCCCTATGTCCTACAATAAAATCCAAATGCCTCAGCGTGACACAAAAAGACCGTCACAACACGTCAGAAAAATGAAGGGATATTAGGTTATTTTTGAGGTTTAGATTGCGTGAGACTTTTACCTAACTCACACAATATTAAAGACAGCCCTAGGACTTGGCCTGTGATAGCTGGACTTCCAGCCCTCTGTCCTTTCCACATCTCACACCACCTTTCTTGAGAGGTGGCTGCTTAGAGGAGAGACACCGCCAAGAGTGCTCTGTCAGTGACATTCCAGGGCTGGGGAAGTTAAGGCTTGTTCTCCTCTCAACAAACAAGCAAACATTCAAAAATTTCCCAATCTCAGACCTTAAGCTGTTAGGAATGATTTTTTTATCCTTTTGGAGGCCTAATATTGGGAATTAGCTCTTTTGACATTACTTGCTGTTCATTTTCTAACGGCATATATTAGTTGCCTGCCTGCCTGCCTGCCTGCCTGCCTTCCTTCCTTCCCTCCCTCCCTCCCACCCTCCTCTCTCCCTTTCCTTTCCTTCTTTTTCCTTTCCTTCTTTCTTTCCTTTCCTTCTTTCTTTTCTTTTCTTTCCTTCTTTCTTTTTGAGACCTGGTCTCACTCTGTACCCCAGGCTGGAGTACAGTAGCATCATCATACCTCACTGCAGCCTCAACCTCCTGAGCTTAAGCAATCCTGCTGCCTCAGCCTCTCAAAGTACTGGGATTTACAGGCATGAGGCACTGTGCTTTGCCAGTGGTATATATTTCATAATAGTATATAAATAGTATAATATCACTTAGCATGCAAGCTGTAAAATCTATCTTCGACTTCTGTTTAAACTGGGGCATTTATTGCTGAAATTTAAATTCCTTTGGCAGTTTGGGGTAGACATAACCTGAACACTTTTTTCAGATGGTCACACATTAATTTCCACCCTCAGTCAGATCAATGTATTACTAAAGTAATTGTAGAGTTATTAAAATTTATTCAAATGAATTAAAAATTATGAAAAGGAAAATGCAGTGCATCAATAGCCTAAAGTAGAATTAAGAGTTGATAGTGATTGGGTTATTTTTAGTGTAGCTGTTACGATGAGCTAATTTAATAAATTAAAAAAATTAGTTATTCCCTCATTAGTAATCTGCCAGTCCAAAATTTTGCTTTACTTAGTATCGTGCAAATATGTTTTGTACCTTTATAAAAATGAAAATGGCTAGTATGTGTTAGGCATGGGTATATTCAGCACATAAACATGGTTTACTTCGTGCACCTCATAAGGGGGATGTTTCTGTTAATTTCATTTTCTATTAGAGGAACAAGTCCAGATGTATGGAATAATGAGCTCAGGGTCACAGAGCTCCTCAGAGGCAGAGTAGGACTCCAACACCAGTGCTATCAGCTGAGGCACATGCTCTTGGCCACTGGCCTGCTGTGAGGAGATGGGGCAGTCAGCTTACCCTTGCTTGTCCAAGGTAGTCTTCATCCAGCAGGTGCAGAGGGGCTTGTGGTATAATTCCACGAAGCAGCCTTGATGCATGGAAGTATCTTTGAAAGCTTAATAGTCTTTTCACCTTTTTCTTGGTGCCAATCTCCCCTGAGTATGTTGTACCTGTGGAAAGTCATCAAGTCAAGAAATTTATATATTTAAAAGAGAGCCAATTTTCTCCACTCTGTAAAAATAAATGCATTAAAAGAAGAGAAATTTAAAAGATGCTTTCTATACTTTTAAAAATATGGTCTATTGAACTCTACATTTGAAATGTTTCATGAACATACCTGATATTTGTTTTTTTTTTAATTTTTACTTATTTATTTTTTGAGACTGGGTCTCACACTGTCATCCAGTCTGGAGTGCAGTGGTGCAATCTTGGCTCACTTCAACCTCTGCCTCCTGGGCTCAAGCGATCCTCCCGCCTCACCCTCCTGAGTAGATGCTACTACAGGCATGTGCCACCATGCCTAGCTAATATTTATATTTTTTGTGGAGACAAGTTTTTGCCATGTTGCCCAGGCTCGTCTTGAGCCTCCCAAAGTGCTGGGATTATAGGAGAGAGCCACTGCACCCGGCCTAACTAGTATTTCTTATATATTACATTTACTAAAATGTCAAGGTGTTTCAGAATGTAATTTTGGAAGGCCATGAAATATATGAATTAAGAATTTCATTTTCTTGTTAATGATGCTGGTATGCTAAGTGAAATTCACACACTTCTGCCTGCATTTGAAATGAGCAGTTATTCTTTTTCTACTACAGCAGAATTGAGACTCAAACATTTAGGCCAAGTTCTCATCCCACACTGTTACTTGTATGATGAATTTTTCCACCTGAATTAGGAGGGTTGTAAATACACCAGTTTACACATGAGGAAATGGTTTCTAATATTCCAGGAACATAATTGGCAAAGGAATCAATAATCTTGCACAAAAAGTGACCTGGATGCCCCTGAGAAGAAGCAGAGAGTGTTTACTTTCTAATGGTGTATTCTCTCTTACTGGTTGCCATAAAAATCTAATCTTGCCAGTAGAGATATTTTAATACTCATTTCACATGTGCCTTTCAAAACTTGAGTGTTGACATCACAGTGATTGTCCAGAAATACCCCAAACACATTATTTGAATGTCTGTCAAGATATTTCTTATCTCAGCTGAAATTATATGAATCACTCTAAGGCCACATTAGTGACGTCTGCTGCCAATTTTGAATGTAGAGTCAGTTTAACAGTCTAGTAGGAAATGTACGGCTCATATGTAAAGTAATTTGGGCTTCTGTCCTACCTTCTCCCATCTCCCCCTTTCCTCTGTGGAACTCAAAAATCACAACAGATGGCAGAGGCAGAGGAAACAATGGGTGCTCCCTGATGGCAGTGAGTGACCAAAATCAGTTTGTTATTTAGGCTGCATTATGCTTGCAAAGGCATAATTCAAGGGCAGGCTATAGGTGGACCAGGTCTGGAGTGGTTCAGTTTTACACATGTTGTATTTAGACATCTATCAGAGATTCAGGTGAAGGTGCTAAGTAGAAATAAATGGATATAAAATCCAGAGCTTGAGGGAGAAGACTGGGCTTGAGATAAAAACTTGAAAGTTGTCAGATGACATTACCTAGGGAGTAAGTATAGATACAGATGAGAAAAGGATCAAAAAGTCCTGAGTTCTAGACTCTACCTTGACTTTAGATGGGTTTAGAGAAAAGTAGGGAAAATTAAAGAGGACTGGGAAGTATTCCATAAGGACAGAGGAAAGCCAAGAGAGCATCATTTCCTAGAAGCTTCATGAAGATTGTATTGCTGGGAGGAAGATGCGATCATTAAAATTAAATGCTGCTAATGGGTCAGGTACCATGAAGACTGAGAGTTGGCCATGAACTATTCACAGTACTTGAGCACATTGTATTGTGTGCCTAGAAGCAGCAACACTCTAGAAGTGCCTAGAAGTAGCAACGAGCACTTCTAGCACCCAGATTCTGGTTTTTAAATATGACTTTTTGCTAATAGGAACCAGATTTATCTTGGTGAAATGGCCAATTCTAGGGCAGGGATGGAAAATGTATCAGATGAACTGTAGCACCTTGTTATACTAGAGAATAAGGGGGAGCTCAAAAAATGATGGAATCATTTAAAAATGACAGAAGTGACAACATCAAGGGATCTCTCTGAGAAAATACGGGAAATTTGAGTCTCAAAATGAATAACGAAAGAATGGATTGTAAACCATTGGCTGAAGTAAGAACCAATGAGTTCATACAGGTGATAAGGTAAATAAGTAAATAAATAAGGAAAAGTGAAATCTCTTCCTTGTAGAATGTGCCAACTGATAAATGTAGAAGAAATAATAGAGCTGGAAAATTACCATTTTGCAGCCGATATGGTAATGACTGATTCAGGCCAGAATCATTAATGGATACTAAAATTATTAAATGAAAGTTTAAAAAGCAATGGGGTAATTACCCAATATCAAAGCATTTACCCACAGAAGACTTATTAATTGGAGAAGAAAAAAATGGGTAGTTTTTAGTGGAAAAATGTGGAGGGGGCATCATCTTCCCTAAGTAACCCTAGTTAATGCCACCAGAAACTGACATCATGCTCTTCCTAATGTAATGCACTGAGGATACAACCTCACACATATTGTGTTCCTGCCCCAAATGCACATCTGATTCTAATAAAGAGGAAACATTAGAAAAAATTGTTGAAGGACACTTCACAAAACAATCAGCCTGTGCTCTCTTAAAAAATGTCAATATCATGAAAGACAAAGACAGCCTTAGGTATTGTTTCATAATAATGAATACCAGAGACAGTGCACTAAATGCAATGCATGACCCTTAACTGGATTCTGTATCAGAAAAAATGTCATAAATGACATTATTAGCACAATTTTGGATATGGATTTATGCATGAGACAGTATTTATAAATATTTTAATACTCATTTCACATGTGCCTTTCAAAACTTGAATGTTGACATCACAGTGATTGTCCAGAAATACCCCAAACACATTATTTGAATGTCTGATAATTGAAGTGTGGTTACAAAAGAATGCCTTCATTCTTAGAAAATACATGCTGAAATATTTAGTGATAAAGTAGCATATGTACAATAAAGTGTTAAGCAAAAATGTGTGCAGTAAGGCAAAGATTGCAAAATATAACAAATGGTGCATATAGAGAAAGAGTATATGAGTATTCTTGCAGATTTTTGATAAATTGAAGTTATTTTATGATAAAAAATTTAAGAAGAGAAAAAATGTGAAGAAGAAGTTTGAAACAATATCAAGTGTAGACCACTCTTTTAAGGAGTTTTGCTACATAGGAAAGTAAAGAAATGTAGTGATAGCTCTATATAGAATGAAATCAATTATTCAATAAATAAATTATTCCTATGTTACGTATAAGGAAAATCTAAAAGAAAATATAGATGATCTTTTCCTTTTTTTCATATTCTTTAAAATTCCCCCATCTCAAAATACTAAAAGAAAATGTCTTATGTAGCTGAGAGTATACCTATATTTATATAATAAACTCAGAAGCAAGTAAAATAGCCCTGAATGATGGAAATATGCCACAAATGTAGCAAATTGAAATGATGGATTACTTCTTAAACTTCCCTTTAGTTTTCCAAGTAGTGTAGTACTTTAGGAAGATTCATAGTTAAGATAATGACATTGAAATTAAGTGACATATCCTAAGTGTAGATGATAGGAAATAATGGTTACTATTCACTAACTTTGACTAAAATATTACTAAACTAATGATGCCATGAGCTGGAGATATTAAGTTTAGATCTGTTTTTATCTTTACAACAAAGAAGAAAACAGCATGATTCCTTACCTATTTTTCTTCACCTAGAGTCAAATGAATAATAGTAACATTAGTTCAGCAACATGACAGAATGCAGACCTCTTTGGATCTTTATTTAAATTTTTGATATATTGTTTCTCATGACTTTTTTTGGTTTTAATTTTGATTTTTAAAAATATTACATTAAGATATGATACACTGTGATCACCAAGTTATTTGGTATTCCCCTAAATTTTAAGTAAGGCTAGTGCCTCATTCCCCTGACTCTAGCCTGTCTTGCATTTTTTTTTTAAATAAAAAAAATATAATAGACATGGGGGTATCACTGTGTTGCCAGGGCTGATGATCCTGGGCTTAAGTGATCCTCCTGCCTAGGCCTACCATAAATACTGGGATTATAAGTGTGAGCTACCATATTGGGCCAGTCTTTGAAACATAAACTCAGATGGTGTTTAAAAAACCCCAGTAATTAAATACTTTACAGACAAGCAAATGCTGAGAGATTTTGTCACCACCAGGCCTGCCCTAAAAGAGCTCCTGAAGGAAGCACTAAACATGGAAAGGAACAACCAGTACCAGCCACTGCAAAAACATGCCAAATTGTAAAGATCATTGAGGGTAGGAAGAAACTGCATCAACTAACGGGCAAAATAACCAGCTAACATCATAATGACAGGATCAAATTCACACATAACAATATTAACCTTAAATGTAAATAGGCTAAATGCTCCAATTAAAAGACACAGACTGGCAAATTGGATAAAGAGTCAAGACCTATCAGTGTGCTGTATTCAGGAAACCCATTCATGTGCAGAGACACACATAGGCTCAAAATAAAGGGATGGAGGAAGATCTACCAAGAAAATGGAAAACAAAAAAAGGCAGGGGTTGCAATCCTAGTCTCTGATAAAAAAGACTTTAAACCAGCAAAGATCAAAAGAGACAAAGAAAGCCATTACATAATGGTAAAGGGATCAATTCAACAAGAAGAGCTAACTATCCTAAATATATATGCACCCAATACAGGAGCACCCAGATTCATAAAGCAAGTCCTTAGTGACCTACAAAGAGACTTAGGCTCCCACACAATAATAATGGGAGACTTTAACACCCCACTGTCAACATTAGATCAGCGAGACAGAAAGTTAACAAGGATATCCAGGAACTGAACTCAGCTCTGCACCAAGAGGACCTAATAGACATCTACAGAACTCTCCACCCCAAATCAACAGAATATACATTCTTCTCAGCACCACACCACACCTATTCCAAAATTCACCACATACTTGGAAGTAAAGCACTCCTCAGCAAATGTAAAAGAACAGAAATTATAACAAACTGTCTCTCAGACCACAGTGCAATCAAACTAGAACTCAGGATTAAGAAACTCACTCCAAACTGCTCAACTACATGGAAACTGAACAACCTGCTCCTGAATGACTACTGGGTACATAACGAAATGAAGGCAGAAATAAAGATGTTCTTTGAAACCAGTGAGAACAAAGACACAACATACCAGAATCTCTGGGACACAGTCAAAGCAGTGTGTAGAGGGAAATTTATAGCACTAAATGCCCACAAGAGAAAGCAGGAAAGATCTAAAACTGATACCCTAACATCACAATTAAAAGAACTAGAGAAGCAAGAGCAAACACACGCAAAAGCTAGCAGAAGGCAAGAAATAACTAAGATCAGAGCAGAACTGAAGGAAACAGATACAAAAAACCCTTCAAAAAATCAATGAATCCAGAAGCTGGTTTTTTGAAAAGATCAACAAAATTGATAGACTGCTCGCAAGACGAATAAGAGAGAAGAATCAAATAGACGCAATCAAAAAATGATAAAGGGGATATCAGCACCGATCCCACAGAAATACAAACTACCATCAGAGAATACTAAACACCTGTACGCAAATAAACTAGAAAATCTAGAAGAAATGGATAAATTCCTCGACACATACACCCTCTCAAGACTAAACCAGGAAGAAGTTGAATCTCTGAATAGACCAATAACAGGATCTGAAATTGAGGCAATAATTAATAGCTTACAAACCAAAAAAAGTCCAGGACCAGATGGATTCACAGCCAAATTCTACCACAGGTACAAGGAGGAGCTGGTACCATTCCTTCTGAAACTATTCCAATCAATAGAAAAAGAGGGAATCCTCCCTAACTCATTTTATGAGGCCAGCATCATCCTGATACCAAAGCCTGGCAGAGACACAACAAAAAAGGAGAATTTTAGACCAATATTCCTGATGAACATCAATGCAAGTATCCTCAATAAAATACTGGCAAACCCAATCCAGCAGCACATCAAAAAGCTTATCCACCATGATCAAGTGGGCTTCATCCCTGGGATGCAAGGCTGGTTCAACATACGCAAATCAATAAAGGTAATCCAGCATATAAACAGAACCAAAGACAAAAACTACATGATTATCTCAATAGACGCAGAAAAGGCCTTTGACAAAATTCAACAACCCTTCATGCTAAAAACTCTCAATAAATTAGGTACTGATGGGACGTATCTCAAAATAATAAGAGCTATCTATGACAAACCCACAGCTAATATCATACTGAATGGGCAAAAACTGGAAGCATTCCCTTTGAAAACTGGCACAATACAGGGATGCCCTCTCTCACCACTCCTATTCAACATAGTGTTGGAAGTTCTGGCCAGGACAATCAGGCAGGAGAAGGAAATAAAGGGTATTCAATCAGGAAAAGAGGAAGTCAAATTGTCCCTGTTTGCAGACGACATGATTGTATATCTAGAAAACCCCATTGTCTCAGCCCAAAGTCTCCTTAAGCTGATAGGCAACTTCAGCAAAGTCTCAGGATACAAAATCAATGAGCAAAAATCACAAGCATTCTTATACACCAATAACAGACAAACAGCCAAATCATGAGTGAACTCCCATTCACAATTGCTTCAAAGAGAACAAAATACCTAGGAATCCAACTTACAAGGGATGTGAAGGACCTCTTCAAGGAGAACTACAAACCACTGCTCAATGAAATAAAAGAGGATACAAACAATGGAAGAACATTCCATGCTCAAGGGTAGGAGGAATCAATATCGTGAAAATGGCCATACTGCCAAGGTAATTTATAGATTCAATGCCATTGCCATCAAGCTACCAATGACTTTCTTCATAGAATTGGAAAAAACTACTTTAAAGTTCATATGGAACCAAAAAAGAGCCTGCATTACCAAGTCAATCCTAAGCCAAAAGAACAAAGCTGGAGGCATCATGCTACCTGACTTCAAACTATACTGCAAGGCTACAGTAACCAAAACAGCATGGTACTGGTACCAAAACAGAGATACAGACCAATGGAACAGAACAGAGCCCTCAGAAATAATGCTGCGTATCTACAACTCTCTGGTCTTTGACAAACCTGACAAAAACAAGAAATGGGGAAACGATTCCCTATTTAATAAATGCTACTGGGAAAACTGGCTAGCCATATGTAGAAAGCTGAAACTGGATCCCTTCCTTACACCTTATACAAAAATCAATTCAAGATGGATTAAAGACTTAAATGTTAGACCTAAAACCATAAAAACCCTAGAAGAAAACCTAGGCATTACCATTCAGGACATAGGCATGGGCAAGAACTTCATGTCTAAAACACCAAAAGCAATGGCAACAAAAGCCAAAATTGACCAATGGGATCTAATTAAACTAAAGAGCTTCTGCACAACAAAAGAAACTACCATCAGAGTGAACAGGCAACCTACAGAATGGGAGAAAATTTTTGCAATCTACTCATCTGACAAAGGGCTAATATCCAGAATCTACAATGAACTCCAACAAATTTACAAGAAAAAAACAAACAACCCCATCAACAAGTGGGCGAAGGATATGAACAGACACTTCTCAAAAGAAGACATTTATGCAGCCAAAAGACACGTGAAAAAATGCTCGTCATCACTGGCCATCAGAGAAATGCAAATCAAAACCACAATGAGATACCATCTCACACCAGTTAGAATGGCGATAGTTAAAAAGTCAGGAAACAACAGGTACTGGAGAGGATGTGGAGAAATAGGAACACTTTTACACTGTTGGTGGGACTGTAAACTAGTTCAACCATTGTGGAAGTCAGTGTGGCGATTCCTCAAGGATCTAGAACTAGAAATACCATTTGACCCAGCCATCCCATTACCGGGTATATACCCAAAGGATTATAAATCATGCTGCTCTAAAGACACATGCACACGTATGTTTACTGAGGCACTATTCACAATAGCAAAGACTTGGAACCAACCCAAATGTCCAACAATGATAGACTGGATTAAGAAAATGTGGCACATATACACCACGGAATACTATGCAGCCATAAAAAGTGATGAGTTCATGTCCTTTGTAGGGACATGGATGAAGCTGGAAACCATCATTCTCAGCAAACTATTGCAAGGACAAAAGACCAAACACTGCATGTTCTCACTCATAGGTGGGAATTGAACAATGAGAACACATGGACACAGGAGGGCGAACATCACACACTGGGGCCTGTTGTGGCGTCGGGGGAAGGGGGAGGGATAGCATTAGGAGATATGCCTAATGTTAAATGATGAGTTAATGGGTGCAGCACACCAACATGGCACATGTATACATATGTAACAAACCTGCACATCGTGCACATGTACCCTAAAACTTAAAGTATAATAAAAAACAACAAAAAAATCCAGTAATTAAATAAAGCTAGCCAACAAATCTTTTCATAGTTAATTTTCTATGATGCCTTGTAGGTTAAAACATGTAGCATATAATGTCTTTCCCCCTAAAAATGTTCAAAGTTTTTGAATGAATTGGTCATCATGATGTGTATTCTTTATTTGTGTACTTTCAAACCTGCCCTCTCAGATGGGCAAGTAGATATCTGACAAGTTGCAGTGTTAACTGGTGGCCAATATTTTCTAAAATAGCAAGGCAGGCCATGACTACTCCGTTTAACTTCTATCTGGGTTATCCTTTAATTAACAAGCAAATGATTCAGAACCAATGCTACATAGCCATTTGCGAAAACAATAGCACTTAACTTTCTTATTTGAGGACATACATAAAGCTAACCAGAAAAAAAATCCTCAAGGTAGCTTTCTAAAGGGGAAGAACGTGCAACAATCCAAGAAAAAATAAGTTTATTTAAACTAACATTAATAACTTATCGAGTGTTATTTAGGGAGCAATTTGTGTTTTGTGAGATAAAGAAAAACGAAGATATAAGAAGCTGAAGATGGGAGGAAAAAAATTCATATAACAATCTGAATAAAGCACCCTCTGTATAATAGTACAAGGTCCTGGTTTTTGAAGTATTTAAATGTGTTAATCAATTATTGATAAAGATCTGATATATTTGTTTCCAAAAGGACTCCCAGTGCATAGCTACCATATTTACTTTGATAATGTATTGATATGTATTTCTGGGTAGAAACGTAAATGATTAGCTAAGCTAAATCTTACAGATAGCTCGCTAAATTCCTCTTGTAAAAATCTGGGGAATGTTAACAGTGTGCCTGGTAATAAAATGCTAGGTTTATTTAAGACCCTTATACAATTTTACAAATCATTACTTAAAGGCATTTACAGTTATCCTAATGCACCTTTGTTTGGATTTTATTGTTTTATGGTTTCCAAATTCTCATTTGGAATAGTTATAAAAAGGTGTTCCAGAATGTTTCATTGCCTAATCCATGTGAGCATTGACCCGAACTGTGAAATTCATTTTCTTTTCACTTTTCTTTTGTAAATATCACAGATATCTACATATTAACACATTTTTGCACTACTTTGGTGCTAATTTTAGGAATACAAAGTTTGTATTGGCACTGCTGGTACAGTAATTGTTAAATTTTACAAGTTGGGGTTGGCTTAAATGCAAAAATATGTTAATAAAAATTATTTTCATTTTTGAGTACCTTCTTTATGGAATAGTCTCTGTATAGGGGCTGATTAATTTTGGTACCAGGAGAAACCTTAAATCTAGAATAAATATCTGAGATTTAAGAAAGCTGTAAATATATCCATATTATAAGGCTGTTTCTGTCAACTGTATATCTGGTTCCCTGAAATAGGTCTATGTCAACTGTTTCCAGAAGTCGAGTAGTGACTAACTGGTGCAGAAGTAGCTAGGGTGATACTGAGAACAAAGAAAGCCTTTGTGTTTAAGTGAGCAGAGCTGACTGTTAAGCACCCGTGGAGATCCAACTACATAAACCTAATATTAGCACTTTCGAGCATCAGTCCAACTGAACCTCTTAATAATGTGTTATTAAGCCCTACTTTGATAATTATTGAGCTAGTAATTCTAATAAAATTTCTTGCTTGGTTAGTGGCTATTCATAGGCTTTGTTTATCTTCCTTTTATAGGAATTTTTTTTTTAAGTGACAGTCTTGCTATGCTGCCCAGGCTGGAGTGTGGTGGCTGTTCACAGGTGTGCAATCATAGTGTACTACAACCTCAAACTCCTGCCCTAAAAACAGTCCTCCTGCCTCAGCCTCCAGGGTAGCTGGGATTATACATATGTACCACTACACCCAACTGTTACAGGATTTTTCATATGTCTTGTACTACAGTTATTGGTGAACAACTATTACACCCCAAAGTCAGAAACCATTTAATCAGCCTTTCTGACCCCTGGTATCTAGTGTATAATAATCTTACATGTAATGGAAACAGTAAAAAATTTGTTGATTAAATTGGAATAAATTCTCTTCATTTACAGAAATATCACTGTTAAATGCTCTTTTTGAACAATAAGCCAATTTGTTAAGTGGAGATGCTAAAACTTATACATACACATTGTAATCATTTTCTGAGTCAACCTCAAAATGGAGTTCCAGGGTCCAGGCCCTCTTGCCACTGCCACTGTCCTTTGCTTTTTTTTTTTTTCATTATTTATTTTATTTTCACTTCTTATAATTGTTTTATTTTTAATTTTTGTGGGTACATAGTAGGTATATACATATTTATGGGGTACATGAGGTGTTTTGATAACGGGCATGCAATGTGTAATATGACATCATGGAAAATGGGGTATCCATACCTTCAACCATTCATCCTTTCTGTTACAAAGAATCCAGTTATACTCTTTTAGTTATTTTTTCAATGTACAATTATTATTGACCCTAGTCACCCTCTTTGTCCTTTGCTTGTTTTGACTTTTGCTGTAACACTCAGTTGTGCCTCGTGTGGTTGCAAAGTTCACTCTTATTCACATATCTGACTTTCTTATTATGCTGTAAGGTTTTGGAGACCAGATTTCTGTTAAATTTTCTTTGAATTTCCACAAAGTCCTGCAGGTTGTAGGTGTGAAATACATGTTGATGGAATTAAATTACTTTCCTGATGTGTGTGCTCTCATCTAAGTTCAAGAATGCGGAACTCTGGAGAAAGCAGGGTGAAATTCTAGTTTTCAATATGCAGCTTTAAAAAACAGGAGAAACTGTTAATTAGTTTGACAGTGTCCTGAAGCAGAAGTAGCAGATTTACAGCACAGCTCTTTCACTCTTTCACACATTCTACTAGTTCAGGGTTCAGGATCCCTGTAAAATTAAAAGGTTAGTGTTGTCTAGGATGACAGTTTTCTTGAAAGCATACATGAGGATTTTAAGATTGAAGTAACCTAGCCTAAGATGCAGTTGCCCTGTAAAAATAATTTTTATATAGACTACTTTAAGAAATTAAAAAAATTTAAAGAGGTTGTGTGTAGAAAACAATATTGAGTCATTTCCAGAACTTACAGTACGGACTTTGACGAGGTGCTAAGGATGTCATTCTCTGGATGAGACCAGTGCTCCCTTCAATGTATTAAACACTTCGATTCACTTTCACGTGCTTTTAGCAAATTTAATAACTTAGACTTGGTTGTAATGACTTCAGTATTCAAATCATCCCTTTCACAGTTTAGCATCTCTAGACATTAAAGTTTCATTTATTCATAAAATAGCTGCCAGAAAACCTTTTAAAATAAAATACTATGACTCCCCCAGTCTTTCAGAAATCACCAGTGGTCATAAGAGGCCATATTTGTTTATTTCTTACTGTGTCTATTCTCAGTGGTCAGAAAATGATGGGTAGAAACTGATGACAACCAAATATATTATTTGGCCCTTAACATCATCAAGTGTGGAGATTTCCTCACATGGGTGGACATATTTTTAAGACAAAGTCATTATAAATGACTTTGAAATTCTGAGCAATTTAAGATAAAAACAAATTTCTTAACATTTAGGGCATTTGCTAGGCTTAGTTTTTAATAGAAAAGAAGATGAGTTGTAACTATTAGAAAACAAAAACACATACAACAAAACATCTACAACAATAATAAAACCACCAAAAAGAGGAAAAAAGTAAGAAAGGGAGAAAAAACCTAAACCAAAATAAAGCAAACCATCATCTTAAAATTTAATTTGAAGTTGGAAAATCTGTTTGAGCTTAAAGGAACTCAAAAGTTATTTTAAGTTCTCCAAACTCAGGTCTTGAATAGAATGTATTAAAGCCTTATGTCATTAGCTCTTCTGTGTACAAAAAATACTCACGACTTCTTGATGGCTGTCACTAGAAGAAGAGCTTTGTTTCAACATTGCCACCAAGTGGGAGGAGCAGGGGGAGGAATAGGAAAGTCTTCTTTAAGGCAGAGTGAAATTGTTTCTCTCACTCTCCTTTTTAACATGCTTATTTTTTTTTTCAATTGCCATTTTTCCTTTATGTTCTTGACAGTGAAGGGAAAACCAACATGGCTGATTTGAGTCATGGAATAGAATGAGCTCCTTCCTAGCTGACTGTCTGCACCCCTGCTGCATCGCTTGTAGGTGTTCAAGAGGAGCAAATGCTTGTCTCCTTAACCATGCAACACACGGATTTTTGGCAAAATCTGCTGGTTTTAGTCAATTTTTTTTTTTTTTTTTTTTTTTGCCTACCATAAACTCCATCCCAACGAATGGGTTGAATCTCTGACATCCGGGGTTCAGGGTTGGTTGGAAAACTATTGTTTCCTTTTTGTAAGGAGGGGAAAAAAGGCTTTAAAAGTAAGCTCTTAAGCTTCTCTGGGCAATCGAAACGTTTTTCAAAATCCCAGTTTGAATGAAATTTAAATGAATTAGTAAGAAGCAGATCAAGTTTCCTCAGTCCTAAAGAAGAAATACATGCCAGGCGCAATGTGGTTTTATTGAACCCTCCGCTTCTCAGAGTTTGAAATGTTACAGCAAATCCAGAGTTTTGAGGGCAACGGTTTGTGGTGAGCAAATTGAAGTGACCAAACTTTGAGTTGATTCTAAGTCTCCAGAGGTTAAAAACTGCTGCATTAACTCTGTAGTTCTCAGCATACATTTAAAGCAAGTGTGGTCTTTTATCTGGGAGATATGTTTGGACTGTCAAATTTGACTGCAAAAGTTCCAGATGTGTGCCATAACGTACTACAACTGCTTCTCTCCTTTCAGTGTCTCTGCTAGTTTACTCCCTGTCCCAGGATATTGGATTAACCCCTCTGAGGGCCTTTAGTCATCCCTTTCAATCTATCTCACCTACCACCAACGGATTCGTTCCTCAGGCACAACTCCTACCATGTCAGCCCCCTGCTCCAAGTCCTTCAATGGCCCCCACAATGTCTCCTTAATTTATATTATTTATTCTGACATTCGTGGCCCTCCACAATATGAGGCCAACTTACTTTTCCATTTTTATCTCCCAAAAGTACCCTGCAGATAAACAGATCTCTGCTTTTGCTGTTTTTATGCCACATCCCCCAGAGTTTTCTGTTTCTATCTGGATTCCCACATTCCTTCTCAATTGAATATTCTCCCCACCTGTTGAAATGCCATCTGTCCTTCGGCAGCCCACCTCAAGTATTTCCTCCTGGGCTCCTGGTCAGAGGCATTCAGCTCTCCTCCTAGTATTGCAGTAACTTAGCTCACTTGCTATGTGGCAGATGCTGCACGCTGCTGTAAACCCTGTTAGGCTAGGACCATGTCTTACCTATTATTATTATGGTGCCTAGCTTACCGAAAAGGTGTTTACTGAAAGAAGGAATGAAGGAATGAGATGACTATTTATTGAAGTGTAAGCTGTTCTTCTGTCTATTGTAGTACATTATCTGGCTCATGATAGGTGCTACCATGTAATTGTTGAATTGAAGTAATTGTCCAGAACAAGCAAGATTCACTCATCTAACACATCAGATAACAGGGATGATCCCCTGTGTAGAAGAACTTGAACCTCTATTTCTTTTCTGAATTTGTTGGATTTTCCTAAATGATTATAAGTGCATCTTTAGAATGATGGTAGATTAGTACTAACTTTACTCATTGGTAGAGGCCTAGATAGAAACTTTGATCTCTAAAAACTTCCAGAAAGAAAACCTTTATGCTTTTTTTTTTTGGCAGCCCCTTCTTGTTTTATTATTATTAATATTATTATTATTATACTTTAAGTTTTAGGGTACATGTGCACAATGTGCAGGTTAGTTACATATGTATACATGTGCCATGCTGCTTTATGCTTTATGCTTTAGAAAGGGAAAGCACTGGAAGCTAATTCCTTTTTCTTTATAGGTTACAAAGGCTGCTTGAATTATATTTCACTGGAGTGGATTCTGTGATTTAATTATGTGTTTTTTATATGTGGTTGGAATATAACTCTTTAAGTGTAAATATCCTTAGTTCCTCAGAGAACTTGAGAAATTTACCTGTGCATTGAGATTTCTCTCTTAGTGCCCACGGCGCTCTATGGATTGTAGTGGCACCTTAGGACTAATCATGTCTGTATTCTTGGTGCAGGACACTCTTAAGGAAGCAGGTTTCATTAAGACATTAACAGGGCATGGAAAGCTATATATTTTCACATTGAACTAGTTCAGAGAGAAGAAAGAATTGTTTTAGATGACTACTGCAGTGTCCACCTGCATGTCTGAATGGATCCCAAAGACATATCTCATGTATTTCATCTAGAACAAACACACTGGGTCTCCTATTCCATGTATTCAATCCATACGAGGCTAGGGTTTGCAGCTGGGGTGATGGAATCAAAATATTGAGCACCTACTAGGTAATTTACATTTGTGATCCAATTGATTTTCATAAAAGTAGGTATTGTGAAGTTGATATTAAAATAGGTACATCTTACAGATGAAGAAATGAGTTTGGAAAGGTTTAATAATTTACCCAAAGTCATGCAATGGATAAGTAACAGAGCAGGGATGGAACCTGGGTCTTTCTGACCTTGAAGATGATGCTCTGCTCATTATATCCTGCTCTTTACAGGAAAGGGCAAAGAGTGGAGACATAAGGCAGTCTAGCAGAGGACCCTATTTTCTCTGGGGTATAGGGATCCAAAATGATGTATCAGCACCCAAAGGATTTAAAGTTTTGGTACTTTAAAAAAAAGGTATAGTAAAGTAGCCAAACTCATAGATGCAGAAAGTAGAATGGTGGTTGCTAGGGGCTGGGGGAAGTGGAAATGGGAAATCACTGTTCAAGGGGTATGGAGTTTCAGTCATGCAAGATGAAAAAATTGTAGAGGTCGGCTGTACAACATTGTACTTACAGTTAACAAGACTGTACTATATACTTAAAAATTTGCTAAGATGGTAGATCTCATATTATGAGTTATTTACCACATAAAAAGTATAGTAAAACAAAACCAATAAGAGGACATTTCTTATTCATTCTTTCTAACCGTGTAATTCATAAATACGAGTGTTTAAAAATCAATAAAGTTGTAAAGGCTGAAAATTAAACTTGGTATCAGTGAACAAGAGAGTGAGAAATACTGTAATGCTAATAGTGAAAGACAACTTGTAAAATAACTAGAAAACACCTAGAGAAATAACTTCATAGCAAAGGTTGGAAGCGATTCTATGTATGTGTGACTTTCCTATTTCTCTCACTAAATGTACAAATGAAGTATTAAGGAATAAATAATCACTTGTGGGTTTTAAAATTGAAAACACATGTCTCACTTGACACTGACTTAATGTGATTTGATTATTATGTTATTATACAAAGAAATTCACAGACATTGGTTAGTGCCCCCAGCTTTGGAAAAGACAAATATTTTTGTTGTGTACATAGAGTGGAGCAGCAGCTTGTGGGGAAGGGAAAGAGTGGGAGTTACTTGGGCAAACAGGCGGCTCAAAAAAAAAAAAAAAAAAAAAAAAACCTGCCAGGATGCACAGGGATGCATACAGGCCTTGTGTTTAACCCTTTGGAGCCAAGCCTTATAGTCTCCTGAAATTTTACCTGAAGGGACATCTGTTGATAGAGTCATGGTGTCAGGGCATAATCCAAAACCTTTCCTTGCTGCTTAACATGGCCCATGGGCATTGTTTTCTTCTTACCTTCCCTCTAGAAAACACATATGTCTTTTATGTGTTTTCTAAATATCTCTACCTACATTGATAATTTTGCATAATGTTTTAATTAGGAATGGCTATAATATATAATATTTTTTGGTAGTTGTCAAATGAACTGGAAGCAGGTGAGGAATGAATTGGCTATTTGTTTTTTGTAGTCTGATGAACACTGGGAAGCCTCCACCAATAAATATCCATTGAACACCTGCTCTGTGCAAGGCATTGTGGTACCTGAATATACAGAATGGATATGGTTTGGCTGTGTCCTCACCCAAATCTCATCTTGAATTGTAGCTCCCATAATTCCCACATGTTGTGGGAGGGACCCGGTGGGAGATAATTGAATCATGGGGTGGTTTTCCCCATACTGTTCTCATGGTAATAAATAAGTCTCATGAGATCTGATGGTCTGATAAGGGGGAACCCCTTTCACTTGGCTCTCACTTCTCTTTTGCCACTGCCATGTAAGACATGCCTTTCATCTCCCACCATGATTGTGAGGTCTCCCCAGCCATGTAGAACTGAGTCCATTAAACCTCTTTTTCTTTATAAATTACCCAGTCTCGGGTATGTCTTTATCAGTAGCATGAAAACGGACTCATACAAGAAGATTTAAGTGAGTGTTTCTGTCCTCAACTACCCAGAGGAAGGTGATGGGATTGGCTCTTTATCCCCTTCACTACTTATGTTTCCACTTCAGCTGTGGCAGGTAAGGAAGGTTTTAGTATAAAAGTGCCTAGAAATTAAAATACTGTATAAAGCAAAAAATATGAGCAAGAAAAAGAAAGATCATTTGTCTAGCGGGTGCTCTGCTCTCAAGAAAGTGATGCTCTACTTTGCCGCTCACACTTGATGGAGTCAGAAGCCTTTCTTTCCACATGGCATAGAGGCAAGATGGCACCTGGTATATATGTAGGGGGTGTGGTCAGGTAGAGAGGTGAGGAGACAGAGCAGTAGAAAAGGAATGAGGAAGGGAGATCAAGAGAGAAGAGACATTCAAGCACCCATCGGAGGAGGTTTCTGTACCAGTGAAAGGTAGTCTGAGAGGAAATGTAAGAAGTTTTTGGCGCCACCCTCTGAATCCCATATGGGCTTGAGAGTTGCGCTCTATGAGACTGTATCCTTTCTGGTAATGGACTGGGTCCTGCACACCCTTCCAGATGAGGTAAAGCATCATGGCAGGGATGGAGTGGTCGGTCAGAAAAATGTTTTTATTCTTACGACTATGGAAACTATAGAGCTCTGAGAACAAGCTTACATACACCTATATTGGAAAAAATATGAATATACACATACCGTGCTAAAGCCACAGAGAAACCCACTCAGGTGGGACCTGTGGAGATGCAACTGGCAGGGGATGAAAGTGAGGGGGCATAGAAATGCACAAAAAAGGATGTGCACTGTTGGCACTGAGGTTTCTCTTGCCTTCTCTCATCCTAGGTTAACACTGGATTGCTCAGAATGAAGAGTTTAATTGCTGTGTCTGAAGGAGGGGACAGAGAGAAGCAGAAGGTGGAGACCTAGCATTTTAGAATAAATTTAGCTGAGTACTTTTAGAATGGCCAAAGAGAAGAACTATCCTCGATTGTCTCAACAGCTCACCCTTCCCTTCCTTTCCTTCCCCTTCTCCAAACATTAACTGAGGGTTTACTTTGGCTCAGACACTGGGCTGGGTGCTGATGATGCAAAGATGAGGAAGTTACAGCTTCTGCTCCTGGAGAGTTTCCTGTCAAGAGCGGGAGCTCACTCCTGTCCTTCCATAGCAGCAAGAGCCAAAAACAGTGGCCTTCGGGTGGGGAGTGGGGAGGGGTGTGGTTGGAGGAAATCTCTGCCCTCTCCTGGGACTTCCAGCTGCCCTTCTAGTGGGCAAGTAGTGTGGCTGGATAACTAAGCAGTGCCCTCATGGGGTTGGGACCTCCAGGAGCAGCTATGGTGCCATGACAGTATTCTCCATTCTCTCTGGTATATGTCTCATCTCCACATAGATGAGACTTAGCACCATCCTATTGCTGTACACGGAGTCTCTGCTACAGGTGCTGACAAGCTAGGCAGAGCCTGCAGACTGTGATGAAATGGAATAAGAAACTATTTCTGAGAAAAGGATACTTGGCCTAGAATGAGGTTCAAGGATTGGTTCTTCCACTTATCAGTCTTTTAGGTAAAAGATTGAAATGAATCTACATGGTATATGCCCAATACAGATTGGTAGAGTGTGTAAGGACAGCTCCAGTCAGAATGCAAATATCACTCAGAAAGAGTTAATGAATCAATGAATGCCTTAGCTTGAATTAGTTTGCAATTAGGTAGGCAATGCTGGATGGATAAGTTCTGATGGAAGGGGGCAGAAGGAACAGTCTAAAGCTTGGGGTTCTATCTCAGAAGGGAAGTCATGGGGTGGTGGCTTTGGGGGGAGCAGAAAGGTGGGACAAAGGGACAGAGAGAGGAGAAAGAAGGTGATTGGGTGGAAAGTCTTCCTAGTCTTTTCCCCATGGTGGCTAGTGTTTTGTGCTGGGCTCCAAAGCAACCCCACCCTAATTATATTCAGCAAAGCAGTTCTTCAGCCATATATGCGTTATCATATTTACTTGTCTTTCTCACCCACTAAACTGTTAGTTCCTTGAGGGCAGGGCCTATGCCTTATTTACCTATAATCCCTAGTGCTTAGCTCAATGGTGTGAGTAAGGAAGGGGTAAAAGTCAAAGGAAAACTTAATCCACTTGGTAATTTTGCCCAGGGGTGGGGGGGTCCCAGTTCTCACAACAAAATAACCAGAGCTAATAATACCTATCATTATTCCAGGTTTATAAGCAGAGAAAGAGAGTACCAAAAGATTAAGACACTCAGTAAAACACGTGTAACAAGTAGAAGAACAGGCATTCAAACAGTTCCCATGCTTCTCATTAACTGATATTGTTTCTTTGTCTCATGCATTAGAATTAATTTAAAAAATTAGATTCCATCTTGAGCTGAGGCAACTGTTTTGAGCTTTCCATCTTTGCAAATAAAGCCCTGTGGGCTATTGTTGATTGTCAGCTTTCTGTTAAGGGGAATGATGTCAAAGCATCACTCTGGTAAATTGAATAGGGCATACTTGATTTGCACACGGGTGCTAAGCTAGCTTTCCCAATGAGTGGAAATAAGTGTCTTTCTCAAAATGCCAGGCCCTAGCTCTTGGTAAAAAGCAAGACCTGCCCGACATTTTCAGTGTCCTAGAGAACACCCCTCTCAGTAATGACAAGTGGCAGTCTGCCCTCTTGATGACCTGATTGGGTTGACAGATTTCACACTGTTTAAGAATGAGGAGTGAGGAGTGTGCTATTTGGAGCCCATCCAGAATCATTCTTCAAAGTGTCAGAAAGATCACAGCAGAGCAAAAAGTTCAGAAGTTAAGCTAAGTTTAAGGTCTTTCATCCTGGAAAGTTTTCATTAATGTGTTTTTTTCTCTTTTGCGTTCACCCCAGTGAATGCTGCAGTTGCAAATTTCTCAGCATGACTTGGTCAAAACCCCCTCAACATTATGCCAAGAATCTGCTTTTAAAACTGTGCTGTTAAAATTTGCAGCCCTGAGAGGCTTAATTTTTAAAGTATCTGGTTTTCAGTAACCAGATTTCTAATTATATCGAATTTCAGACTTTTCAGGAGCCCCTAACTCTTGAGTGTTTTTCTTAAGAGCAACCAAACTTTCTGAAATTTATTTTAACAATATTTATTTTTACCAACTTTAAGCCAAAAGAGAAACTTTGTGGTTAATAACAAGCCATAAACAATAACACTTCTGTAATAATAGTAGAATATTACTGATAATAGCCTTAGAAGCCATCATCTCTTACGTTTAAGACACTTTGGAACCAAAAGCTATCACTGATAAATAAAAAGCCCAAAGGGACTTAATGACTACATGTCAGATAGTAATGGATAGCTTAAAATAAAAATAAATCCTTGAGTGCTATTGGGATTTATGAGTTCAATGTGGGAGGCATTACCTCCTAGGAGGCATTGGGGAAATGTTGGGGGGGCATTCTTGGCTGTCAAATGATAGAAATGGCCAGAACAGAATTTAATGGAAGGGAGCCAGGGATGTGGGATGTCGCAAAGTATATGGGGCTCTTCTACACAACAGAGGATTGTCCTGTATCACCTTCAATTTTTCAATGGCTGGTCAGGTATTCATATGGGTGAAAAGCCTGTTTATAATGATCTGAACCTAGAACCTAACCCCATTTCTCTGATAGGTAAGCTCAAAGTTTTGTTTTCTTTAAAATCATTAATTTTTGTGGGTACATAGTAGGTATGTATATATTCATGGAGATCACAAAGTATTCTTTTGTATAATTTTTAAAAAAATTTTTATTTCCATAGGTTATTGGGGAACAGGTGGTATTTGGTTACATGAGTAATTTCTTTAGTGGCGATTTGGGAGATTTTGGCACCCATCTCCTGAGCAGTATACATTGAACTCAATTTGTAATCTTTTATCCCTCAACCTCTTCCCATCCTTTCCCCGAGTCCCCAGAGTCCACTGTGGCATTCTTACGCCTTTGCATCCTCATAGCTTAGCTCTCACTTATGAGTGAGAACATACGATGTTTGGTTTTCCATTCCTGAGTAACTTCACTTAGAATAATTGCCTCCAATCCCATCCAGTTTGCTGCAAATGCCATTAATTCATTCCTTTTTATGGCTGAGTGGTATTCCATCATTTATATATACCACAGTTTCTTTATCCATTCATCAATTGATGGGCATTTGGGTTGGTTCCACATTTTTGCAGTTGCAAATGGTGCTACTATAAACATACACGTGCAAGTATCTTTTTCATATAATAACTTCTTTTCCTCTGGGTAGATACCCAGGAGTGGGATTGCTGGATCAAATGGTCATTCTACTTTTAGTTCTTTAAGGAATCTCCACACTGTTTTCCATAGTGGTTGTTCTCTTGTACAGTTTTAATACAAGTATTCCCTTTTCAGAAATGTAACTACTATGCAAACTAAGGAAAGAATGTTGTTTTTGGGGGGTTGTGGGTGAGAGGAGGGAGTGGTGGACATGACTTTCCCAGAAGTTGTTCGCCTTCTTAGGAAATTACCAGTGGCAAGACTGCTTATGATAGTTGACTGCATTTCCAACATAATACACCTGTATCGATCTGCACTGGACTGTCACATTCACAGGGATTCTGCATGTGGGTGCAATATAGACCATATCCGTAGGCCTTCAAGGGTGATTATGCCCAAGTATTTACTTATTGAAAACATTATTTGTCATAAGTTGCTTTTCTTGTATTTCTTGTGTATTAAAAGCTAGGGCCTTATTATGATTTTTTTTTAACTTATGAGAATAAGTAGGCTGTAGATTTCCTTTCAAGAGGGTAAAGGATCTATCAAGGTAGTAAAGATTATAAAATGTGCTATAAAAAGGAGGCATTGGGTCTGAGAGGGTTAGAAGTCTTTCTGCTGGGTAAAAACGCCCCGGGAAGGCTGTTGTGTAATGGGTTCCTGTCTGAAGCCTGGGAACACCTTTACAAGAAGAATGGAGTATTTGCTCTGAGTCTCACTGCTCCAAGTAGAAACTAAGGTCAGAGTTTCCTCAATTTCAGTCATGCTCTTGCCTTTAGTAGGGTTTTTACCATATCTGCCTATACCACTACTTACATAATATCTTTTTTAAAAAATCAAATAAATTCATTTTTACCTATATATATATATGTATTCTTTATTTATTTATTTTTTTTAGGGACAGGATCTTTGCCCTGTCTCCAGGTTGGAGTGCACTGGAGCAATTGTATCATAGCTCACTGTAGCCTTGACCTCCTGGATTTAAGTGATCTTCCCACCTCAGCCTCCTGAGTAGCTGGAACTACATGTGTGCACCACCATGCCTGACTAATTTTTTAATTTTTTTAAGAGATGTCTTTTCCCAGGCTGATCTCAAACTCCTGCCCTCAAGCGATCCTCCTGCCTTGGCCTCCCACAGTGCTAATTCACGAGTGTGAGTGACCATGCCCGGGCCCTTACTTACATATAACTTATATAAAATTAGTATCAATAAAAAACAGATTTGACGTGCTAATTACATTTTCTCTAGTACATGTTAAAATATACATGTAACGATTATAGTAAAAGATAAAAGGTTGTTTCTGTAACAAAAATATCGCCTGTGTTCCCATACCACGCTTTGGGAAATGGTGCTATAAAGGATTAAAGATTTGGAAAATATGACTTAAGGATAAAGGATGATCTAGTCACACCCTATAATTTTCTTTGTTTAGAAAAGACAAATTCTCCTTTTACTAAAATCCTCAATATTGTACTTTAAATATTTGTTTTATCACAAATACAAATAATTTGATATGTATGTAATATCACACCCATTCCACATATTGATAATCTTCACAAATATGCTGTTTGCTAAACTCTTCTTGGAAAAACTTCACACAATAGGGCAAACTCTCCAGCTGCTGTTGTCAGCATGTTATATATAATTTAACTTTAGTAAAAATAAAATACGCCATCCATAGCAACAAGTCATTTTGAATAAATGCCTTCAATATTTATTAATTCAACAAATATCTGTCAAGATCCTGCTATGTGAAAAAAAGCATTGTTCTGGGGACTAGGATATAGCAATGAACAAAATAAAGTCCTTTTCCTTGTGGAACTTATATTTTATTCACATAATATGAAAAGGGAGCTAATTTGATTTCCATTAGTCCTAAGAAGGAAATAGCTGAGGGCACAGCATTACTCTCCATATGGACTAGATGACTGAAACTTGGCCTCAGGGGATGTGGACACTTGATACTGTCATTTGACATTGTTTTATATAGCAAAGTGATTTTAATGTTCTTTCATTTGCATAGCTTTTCTAACAATATACTATTTTGTCGATGCTTTGCTTATATTTCTCAGTCCCATTTAAAATTGGGTTGCACAATTTTTTAAAAAATATTTTTCATCTTTTTAAAATTTTTATTGCTGTCATTTTTCTTCCCAGTGTATAAAATTGCACTCCACAATTTGGGCAGAATTTTAAAATTTTTAAATTCTTCCACCTAAGTTTTTATTTTTTATATATAATTTAAATTGCCCTGAATTCACCTTTGAGTCATACTTTTTCAATTTTCATGCCATTAATATTACTGATAAATGGTTACCAGGGCCTCTTAATTAGTATTTAAAGGAGTATAAGTATTCATTTTCTTAACCTTCTCTACTTAAGACACTTAAAAACTCATAACAAAGGGTGATTTAAGATGGTGAGAACTGTTCAATAGAAAGTTCAAAAATAAGAGACTCACTCTTGTCATAAGACTATGGTGACATGTCTTAATTTCTAGAGAGTGGGTGTTTCTTATACATCCAGCTATTAATGTTAGATAAAATTAATCTATTGTATTACTCTATTAGTCATTTCCAAACAGCTGAAATAAAAACCCACTGATTTATTTTCAAAATCTCAGGTGGTACCACTGGCCTTAATTGGTTCAGCAAATGGAAATTGCAACAATAAGAAAGCTAAACTCTTCACAAAGATTGTTTTGAAGTTCCAGTTAATAATTGCTGTTTAAATTAATTGACTCTGAAACATTCTAAGATTCTGAGAAGTCATGAGTCACTGGGGAAGAGTTAAGTTATGCCTCAAATAGCTTTTGTGTTAGGAGTTTTTGATTATGCTATAATTCTTTCAAAACAGGTTATCCTTGTTTGGCAATTCCCAGCGAAGAGACCATTTGACCAACTAGAACTTGCTTGTCCTTTAATATATTAGGCAGCACTTATCTTTGAAGACATTTCCTTCTGAGATGTTATAATCTATTTGCCTGTAAAAATGATTTTCTATGTGAACGTTGAGATAGTTTGGCAGTGATATGAAGAACACTGTTGACATTTTGGAGACCTAATATTTCCTCTAAAAGAATAATTATTGTTATAATCAAGAGGCATAATTGTGATAGAGAAAATAAGAGGTCTTTTACTTTATAGAGTTGGTATCTTCCAGCTCATCACAGCCTTGAACTCCTGGGCTCAAATGCTCCCACATCAGCCCCCCGAGTAGCTAGGACTACAGGCACGCGTCATCACACACCCAGCTAATTGTTTTATTTTTATTTTTTGTAGAGATAGAGTCTTGCTATGTTGCCCAGACTGGTTTTGAACTCCTGGCCTCAAGTGATCCTCTTGCTTCAGCCTCCCAAAGTGCGGGATTAGCCACCGCACCTAGATGGAGAAGAGGCCTTTCAAATGAAAGAACTTTGTTCACTTTCCACTGTAAGAGCTAAGCAATTAGAAGAGCGCCTGACACATAGGTGCTCAGTAAATACGAATGGAGTGAATAAATGAATGAATAAGAATATCCCAGCAGTCTTAGTGTGTCTGGAGGCTTGCCTGAAGAGCATCCATCTCAGCAGGGAGGGTGATGGGAGCTGCCTGCAGAGAGATACAGAGGATGATCTCTAGAGTCTTCCATGAAGCTTTGCAACCTGACTATGCTCCCATACAGCTACTGAACCTCTCTACTTCCTTAGTGCTTCTGTTGCCCCTTGTGTCACTTGAGGATAATAATTTACAGAATCTACACATTTTTGAGAGGAATAAATAATGTTATACATATAAAGTGCTTAGCACATAGAACACTTTCAATAGATACCAGCTAATTTTAGAATTCCAATATACAATTATAGATTGTACACCAATAATGGATTGAGATCCTGGGCTTTCCAGGCAACAATTTTGAAATATAATTGAATACTGAGATGAGTTTTTGAGGTTTTTATAAAGCATATTGTAAAAGCACTCTTGATCTTAGGCATAGAAGGTTGGGTTAGGGGATTGAAGAGGGAATGTGTTTTCACTGTATACCCAGGAAAAACTGACTCTTTCTTTGTAACTTAGTTTTAATATTAAGCAGGAGCAACCACTTGCTATATAAGATATGAGGGAAAGAAAATGCGTTTGTCTATACTCACAAGCCCTAAGTGAAATCTCCATTTAAAAAAGATTAAATTATAGCTGGGCGTGGTGGCTCACGCCTGTAATCCCAGCACTTTGGGAGGCCGAGACAGGCGGATCATGGGGTCAGGAGATCCAGACCATCCTGGCTAACACGGTGAAACCCCATCTCTACTAAAAATACAAAAAATTAGCCGGGCGTGGTGGTGGGCGCCTGGAGTCCCAGCTACTCAGGAGGCTGAGGCAGGAGAGTGGCGTGAACCCGGGAGGCGGAGCTTGCAGTGAGCCAAGATCACACCACTGCGCTCCAGCCTGGGTGACACAGCAAGACTCCGTCTCAAAAAAAAAAAAGATTATAAATTGGCATTCAAGACCATCACTGGTCTGGTTCTAACCAACCCTTAACATTTAGTAAGGGTTTCAGCCTAATTTTACATCAATTCTGATTACCGTCCCTCCAACTATGCAATACCCTTTCAGCACTACACATTCACCGCAGAATCTGAGGTGCTCACCCTTTAAACGTATTCAGCATTTTCCCATACCTGGTCTTTTTTTGAATGCACTTTAAAAAAACTTCTACTTACAAAAATCCAGTCATTGTCCAAATGCCAATGCCAACCTTTCCACAAGGTCCTTCACTAGAATGTCCAGTGCTTTCTCCATTAGAACCTCGTGACACTTGCCAATTTAGCTGGTGTTCTAGTGAGTTCTGTATCAGCCCTTTCCCAAAATGTTTTGTTCATCCTTTATTTCTTTTAGCACTTATGGCCTGGTACACAGTAGTTGCTCAATAAATGTGAATAGTGTAATCTAGTTTACCCTTTCTCCTTTTTTTAAAAAGGGATGATCTTAGGTCTTCCAAGGAGGACTTTCTAAAAATACATTTTTAGCTTTCTGGTCTTTTCCAAGAATTCTCTCCAAAACAGAAAATAAAGCTAATGTGGTAGAACATGAAATGAAAGAATGGGAAAAGAAGATGGGAGATGGGGAATTCTTTTCCTTACACATAAAGAATTGTCGAAAAATGGTAGGTAGGAGAGGGAAGGGGATACTGGGCTTCTACTTGCCTAATTTCTTGGCATCTCTTGGGAGAAAAGATTAGCATTATAGGATCCAGAATCACAGGAAAGCAAGGAGGGGACATCTCCCAACCCCTGCCTAGAAGTGAACTAGCTGCAGTCACAGCTGGCTTCAGGTGATGAGTGACCAGTAGTGGATGATCATGTGGATGGGGTGGGTGTGCCAGGGCCCAGACACCGAGGGACAGGGAAAACTTGTTTCCACTGCTAGACCTTCCTTATAGATGATATTACCCACAGAGCACAAATGAGTTCAGGAAGGAGAGGGGAGTCAGACACAAGGTTATAATTTTTCTTGTTTTTCAGTGTGCATTGCTAAGGGAGATGTGGACATGTAGGGGAGGGTGGGAATAGTGGTAGGCTTGTCTATACTAGCCCAAACTGAGGAGGGGAAAGCTGAAAACAATGGTAAAGACTTAGATGACCAAGGCTGAGCCAGGCGACCACACTGCTGATGGAATTTCCCTGTGATGCTTTTGATGACATTGACTGCTGGTGGCCAGGTGGAGCACAGAACTATCTCTCTGGGCTATACTGACATATAGTGCCACAAAAGCAAGACCACCAAGCTCTGGTGGCCCCTCGGGCTGCCCCATCTCTACTGTTCTCTACCTGGCTTGCTACTTCATGGAGAAACGAGAAGTTGTTAGATGGGAAATTCCTTACTTTTCTGCTATGAAACCTACCAAACCCCCTGCGTTGCATCCCTTCTTTCCTTCTTCCCACCTGCTGTTAGGAGAGTTGCCTCCTTTTCTCAGGCCAGTCATCCCCTCCCATCTTCTCAGGACACTTTATTCTCAGTTATGATTTTTCTGGTCTATTCCATGGTTCTTTCTCAACTAGATCCTTCTCACCATGATTTCAGCTTGCTTCAATGTCTTGTGAAAAACAAAACAAAACAACCTTCCCTAGCCTCACTTTTCCAGCCATCAGTCTCTCTACCAATTTATTAACAACCACATGTTGGAAAGCAATGCTGCAGGCATTGTAGGGGGAGCTCAGTAAATACCTGTCAGAAAAAAGATAAAACTATAGAATGGAAAACTGAAAAGGGTTAATAGGCCATTCTCTACTTCACTATAAGTCAAGTACTTTATATTGTTATGTGTCCTATGCCCTTCTTAAATGGGAATACTAATATCTGTAATAATAAAATAATTGATACCATGGCAGGTATTACACTAGCACTCTAAGCACGCTTACTCACTACTTCCCACAATAACCCATGAGATGTGCACTTGTGAATCGTCTTTTCTAGCCCGGAGGAATCAGAGGACCAGGGGTCAGTAGATCAAAGTCCTGTAGCAACTGCTACTGGAATCTAAACCCAGGCAGCCGGCTCTGGAGCCAACACCAACCACCTTCAAGGGGAATCCTGGTGTTTTATTTTCTCTTTTTGCAAGTGGTAAAAGTTATTTTATATCTTGAAGGTAAGGCTTATATAAGGAAGCCTTATATGGTTGAGTGGAAAGACAGAATGTAAGAAGAGCCCAACCCTGGTTAACTCTTTCATAGCTTTGCTTGAATCACTTGGCCTGTTTTTTGTTTTTGTTTGCTTATAAAATGAAAAACTGGGCTCAATGATTTTTTGAGTGTCTTCATTTAAAAGCTTTGCAAAGTCTAAAGTGCTGTTCAAATGTGAATAAGAACTTTGATTTTGTGCTCTTTGGAATAAATTTCACTTTAAAATGACAAGCAAAGTAGCTTACATAGCTTTTGAGAAACACCCAACTTCACAATTTCCAACCAATTTTCCAATTTAGGCCTGTTAAATAATGTTTTCTGGCCTATGGCTGCAATTTCATTTTCTGCATCTTGATATTCCTTTGGAAGAAAAATAAAGGTTCTTTTTCTGGCGGACATTGAAATTTTTAAAAATAAAATCTCATTTTTTTCTGATTATAAAAGGAATACATGCTTCCAGTAGGAAAAAAATAGAAAACCAGAAGAACAATAATCATCTAGAAAGAACCCTTGTTCGGATTTTGGCATATTTTAATAAACATAACTGAGATCTTCTTTTTGGATATAGACTTTTCTATTCTGCTTTTTATCTAATATGTTATAAACATTTTGAGAAATTGTTTCTTTCAGCGATTCATGGTTTGCACGACAGGAAATAACCAACTCCCCCTTGAGAAAAATTAAAGCAACTGGTGGCAGCTACAAATCTGACTTTAATTTGTCACAATAGCGATTCCATTTCCTTCTTCTTTGGGGGCAGCTTACAAGTATCCTCAGTTGTCACCACCACGCCCTTTTCTTTCTTATCAAAGAACACAAGGTCAGGCGATGAAATGTGCAGTCTGTCATTTGGCGTCTTCCACCAGAGTGGCAGGAATATTAGAAAATACAGTAGAAATATTGCAAAATCTGATTTTTTAGATGTTTAATCTCATATTTTCTCATTCAGTTATAGGAATATTTGTTCAATGATACTGAAGTCATTTAATACCAAAAGGAAATAATCTAAATGTACTATAAAAAGAAAATTTTCATAATTTATAAAAAATATTTAAAAGGAATAATTGGCATATATATGTTCATTGTAAAAGGAGTATACTGCATCATATATTGCCTTTGAATATTAAAATTCATATATAAAAAGGATTATACTTTACTATGGTTAAAAGCTTGTGCTCTGCGATTATATATTTGGGGTTTAAATTCTGGCTTACAAGCTGGGTGACCTTGGTTGAGTTATTTCTCCTCTTTCAGTCTCAGTTTCCTCATCTGTAATAGTAGTGGCTACTTTATAGGGTGTTTATGGGGATTAAATGAGTCTAACTGTGCAAAGCATAGATATAATTTGTATGCCATAATTGACATATATAGTGGTTCCCAAATATTCCTGGAAGGCCCAGAGCCAGGCTTGTTGCTTCAGGTTGCCTGAGGCTGTTTTGAAAATATCCTGGGCTCTACCTCCAGAAATTCAGGTTCAATGACTTCGCAGTTACAATGTGATAATGCTTTCTGGGAGATGTAGTGGGAGTGCAGAGAGAATGATGAGTTCACTCCTTTGGGAGGATTGAAGAAGGCTTCACAAAGGACATAATGATGGGGCCAGGGCTTGAAGGGTGAACAGATGCTTCCTAGGAGAAGAGGTGGCTGGAGAGGGATGTACTCAGCAGAGAGAGAAGGGACATCCAAAACTCAACTGTATTTATTATGGACCTATTATAAGCAAGGCAGGCTTCTGGACACATTTATCTCATTTACTCCTCACCACAACCCAATCAAATTAAAATCTTGCATGTATGTGAACATTAAGTAGTTTGGGCATCTTTTTCAAGCTCACAGTATAAGTAGGATTCAAACCCAGGTCTAACTTCAAAGCTCATGGTCTTTCTGTGGGCTCCTCTATTGATGATGACTTAGTGAGCTTGGAGCTCTGGGTGGGGCAACCATGGTAGAAGAGGCAGAGAGGCAGCCGTGGTTTGGTTGTGAAGGGACTCATTTTTATTTTTAGTATTCACAGCAATCCTCCTGTGCTTCCAGGCTTCCAAGAGACCTATAGCCTGGGGACCTTGCCTAAGAGGGGTGCACACCTGGCCTTGTACATCCTGTGCCTGGGGTTAAGCACCTCTCAGACTAGAGCTGTTATGGTGGCTGTTGTTAGATATAGTGGCATTGGCCACCTTCTTCTTGGGACTTTCCTCCATAACTTCTGCCCTTCTTCCCCAGCTTACTTAAAAGTAATAAAGGACCCAGATGCCCCAAGGCAATTTGGTCTGCTAGTTAGAAAGAAAAAAAGGTCTTTTTGATCTTGTGTGTGAACCCTGAGATCTCAGTTTGAAAACATACAAAAGATATTAAGGATGGGGCCATGTTCTGGTTTTTCATACATACAGTAGAATGGGGACCACAGTGAATCCCTTAGATATTCTGAAACGTTGAAGGTGGGATGGCAATGAAAAAAATAGCCCTGCATTTGGTTTATTAATGAGGTCACAGAGATAGGCTCTGCCTGTTTCTGGGTAGGAGGTTGAATTTAATTTTATTGAACAAACAAGTCATTTTAGCTCAGTGACTCATAGGTAACTTCAGTAAAAAAAACTTAATTTACTTCTGCTTCCCTCTATATTTTAATGTCTCCAGAAATCCAAAGAAGCCACTATGCTGAAAATACTTTGAGTGGGTTAGAGTTTCGCTCAAGGAAGTGCTGTAGTAGAAAATGGCCATTTCTCTGTGCTGTGTTCAGGTGAGTTAGCAAATCCGCTGGGATCTGACACAAGTCACTTTTGTACTCAATAGAATCCATCATGAGGGAGTGAGGTGGTGCCTGAACTCTTATGTCTAAATAGTTTCTCACAGAGAAAAATTTAGAGTTTCTCACTAAAGGAAACTAATTTCTTTGTGGGATTTCTCATGGACAGTCTTGTAATGCTTTTCAAAATCAAGCTTATTATAAACTAAAAATACAGGGGCCCCTGAACAAAAGTAGTTGGTTGACTTCATGACGCCTGTTCTGGCCAGATGGCTCATGAATGATTATGATTCCCAAGTGGAATTCCCAAAATAGACCTCTCCTCTGCACTTTAGTCCATTATTTCTAGCTTTCTTCCGGACATTTCCACTCGATTCTCCTGCAAACTCAACCTGTCCCAGTGGAGCTTACCATCTTTCCCCTAACTCATCCTCTAACTTTTCTGACTGTTGATCTCAGCTCCAATTTTTCAGATGGCCAGACCAACTCTGGCTCTCCCAATATTCAGTATCCTCCAGTTTTATGTCTTCTTTTATATGAAATCTGTGGATTTACACTATCATCTCTACAGCCATCACAGTCTGCAGCCTGATTACATTTCTTTGGATTCATTGAAACTGTGTCTCCTACATATGGATGTTAGTTAATTTTCTCAAACAGTGTTTTATACGGTTCACCTTTTTTGCAAAATTCTCTAGAGATCCTCTTCTTAATGAGACAAGTTTGAATTCTTTATCTTGGCATTCCAAGCCTTTCTCTCTAGTTAATGAACTTTATTTGCTACTTTTTGGACCTTCTTCCTACTTAATGACGTTATGTCCTCATATGTAGGTCAGTCTCCCTTATAGGCAACTCCTTAATCAGTCAACACTGTCTTATCTTTCAGTGTTTAGCACAAGACCATAAAGCCTTCTTCTGCTCAGGTTACTTCAGTAATCTCTGCCTTCTCTTGTCTCTGATTATTGTTACTTATTTTAGAATTAGATCATTTACTTTGTTGTATGGTACTTGGTGTAATGTTTATTTTCCTTGTCTATGTAATGAGATTGTTTGCTCTTTGAGGGTAGCAGAATATCTCATAGTTTCCTTTCTAGCCCTCAGAATTTTCTGCCCAGATATAGCATATAGCAGGTTTCTCCCCCATCTCCCCGGTCCTTGTTGACTTAAAAGGAATTGTTCAGATATTTTTGTTTGGTGTCTCTGGTAGACCCCAGTCCCACTGCTGTCTGAGACAGAAGGTAGCCATCATACAAAAGGCTATCTCAGTCCTGTGGCGGTTGGTGTGGCTCAGAGCACCTGGGTTTCATGGCCTTCTTGGCATAGAGTAGGTGCTGTTTGTTGACTGAATAAATGAATGAAAACCCAGAGGAAGTACTGGACTCCCTAACTCAATTTTCTATTTTTCATCCTTCAGATAAAAAGTAATCCATTAAATGATGTCAGACAGGTTAACAGAAGGCAATGGCTGTTTTCACTTTTAGATGTAGAAGGTGAAAATGGTTTCTTTTTGAATATGTTTTTTCTCAGACATATGTTGTATAATTTTTCCTGACTTCTCTGCTTGGATCCCACTAGAATACTTTGTCTTTCAATAACACTTTTATCTAGTTGAGCAAACTTGTTGACAATGTTTTCCTGGTTTCTTAAGTCTTAAAGCGTATTTTATAATGGCCCTAATAGTTGACCTTAGCATACAGCCCTCTTTTATTTCACTGTTGCTTCCATAATCTGCTTGTGTTTTAACTTCTCCCAGGAAGACTTCCTTAATTTCCAAGACAGAGTTAATTATTCCCTTCTCGAACTCCTCTGAATCCCGTAGATGCATATATTTCTCATATTATGTATGCTGTTATTATACAGGCATGTATTATTTGGTGTATCACACCACATCAAAATGTATTTGTAAATAAATTGTAGATACAGTAGCTTATGCTACTGTAAATCCCTCAAGGGCAGTGGCCATGTCTCATTCATCTTTGTATCTCCAGCACTGGTACAATGCCTACCATAGGAGGTGCTCCGTCGAGGGGTAGTAATAGGGAGAGTCGGGACATCGCCAACTCTGTCTTCTGCAAGCTAGTGGGCATTTCAGTGGTTAACCATCCTGCTGCCCTGGCACTTCCGCAGCTGAAGTGCTGGGAGCTTGCAGCCAGAAGCCCTGAGTGCACCATCATGGAGCAAGATCCAGCTGAGCCAGAAAGCACCACTACCACAGCCAGTGCCTTGCCTTTCTTCTAGAGGAAGGTAAATATTGAACTTTGAAATTGTAGGGTGTTACCTTGGCACTCACAAGTGTGAGGAGAAGTCTGAACAAGTCCCAGCGGACACCTCCCTTCTCCGCTTGGGGAACACAGGGCTGGGGGTGGGATAGCATCTTCTCAGCATGACTGAATTCAAATCATCCAATGACATTTTAGTTCAGATTCTTTGCATTTTGTGTAGTTCTTATAGGTGACAGGAAAAGGTATCTGTAAGGTTACTAAAAGGCTGTAACTGTCTGCCAAGAATTCTCTCATAGGAAATGGAGTCTGGAAGGAAACTGTCCCTCCATCTTTAAGATGGGGCTATCACTTAGGGCCAGATGATTTCCAGCATACTGAGTGGCTTTTGTTCAACAGTCCTTCATCGAGAGTGTGTTTTATATGTCAAAGAGAGTGTGTTTTATATGTCAAAGAAAGAATGGCTGCAGGGTATAATATGTTTTAGATGGCAGCTTTAAAAAAATATTTGAGTCTCTGGGTCACTTCTTCATAGAAAGGTTAAAAAATATATATGTTTGTATATATTGGTTCCATTTGGGAAATAATAAGTAAAGGGAAATATTTTTGTAGCTCTACTAAAATGACCTCATGCTTGTGCAGTTAAGATGACCCTGACAGGAGAGTCAAGTCTGAAGGAATAGAGCTTTAAAGATCAAGATTAGCAAATTAACAGTCAGGAAAAGCCAAATAGCCAATTAACCTACTACTGCAAAGCCCAGGGGCTGGTCTGGAGCTCTGGGTTCTCTGTAGCAGTGGATACTTGGTGCCCTAAAACCTCAGGCTGAAGCTGTTTCTTTTCCTCAAGCTCCACAGTCCCTGAGCACGTTTTCTTTGTATGTCACTTCCTCTGCTGAGCCGGTGTGGAAATCACTTTGTGTTGCTCTGAGATGGTTGCCACGGGAACATCTCAACCTAGTCATTATCTACTCAGGCTGCTGATTATATTAAATCAGGAGACAGAGCTGTAGACGGGGCTGCTGGAGCCGCCTGCTCTGCAGAAGGTTGTAATTGCTTCTGCAACTCTCCCCTCTGGGTCCACAAGTCTCAGAACACTCTTCTCTACATTTTTTCCTCCTTTGTTTCCCCCCTACAAACAGAATTAGTAAATGAAATAAATCTATAGGAAATCGACATTGGGAGAATACAGCCGTTACTTTTCCGTCCCTCCAGTTCTCTGTGTTAGGACATCATCTGGAATAAAAACAATTTTCCCCCTTTTCTCTCTGTTCTGGCTCTCTATGCTTAGGTGTAAAGATAACAGTCTTTAAAGATCTATCTTTCCTATGTCCCACACAAACAGTGCTGAGGCCACAGTTTCCTGCTATTTATCCAGAGAAGCTTCAAGAAGTTCATAGAGATGACTCTCTTCTAAATTGTGTAAAATAGAAACAGGGAACGAAATTAGCTTTTAATGAGTGTTATGTATTTCTATTGATCTAGATGAATCTCTTATGAAAATGATTTTCTAATCTTTATTCCTGGAATGCATATGATATGGTATTATTATTTTTAACAAAATTGTACATATTTATGGTATACAACATATTTCAAGATCTATATGTATATATACACACACACATTGTGGAATGGCTAAGTAAAGCTAAATAACTTATGCATTACCTCACGTACTTATTTTTTGTGATGAGATCATTTAAAACCTACTCTGTTAGCAATTTTCAAATATACGTTTGTTATTAACTATAGTCACAATATTATACAATAGATCTTTTAAGCTTATTCCTGCATGTGATCTTTGAGAAACATTAAATTTAAATACTCTTTTTTGGGAAAACCTATATAAGCAGTTGGCCTTGTAATTTAGTGTCCAAATCAGGACACTCTGGGAATGAAAAATGGCACTATTAATAAATACTCCTGAACAACAGGTGCAAACTAGGACTATGCCAGGCAAACCAAGAGTCACCTTATATGCAGAAAACAGGTACATGAAATTGGTAGTACTGTGTTTCCCTCTGCCCCAAACATGTGCTTCCCCTCCCCGCAAAAATAATCTCTTCCAGAAGAATGTGCAAGTAGAAATTATAATTTTAAATTGGAATTTAAAATCTGCATCAATAACAGAGGTTCCCTCTCTGTTTATTCTTCTGTTCATAAAAATTTAGTCAATGTGAGTCCATTCTTGAAAGTAAAGTGATGGCAGTGGAAACTGAACAGAAAAAAAAAAAGACATTAACAAAGATAAACACACTGGACTGAATGTGCTTGTGGCTTTGTCAAAAAGCTCTCTTAAATCTGTTTAAAAAAATCTAAGTTAAGGATTGGCAACCTTGTTCTGTAAAGGGCCATAGGGTGAGTATTTTGGGGTTTGTGGGGGGCGGTTTGTAGACCACACGGTTTCTGTGCAACTACTTTGCCACTGTTTCAGTGACAGCAGTCATAGATGTCATATAAACAAATGGGCATAGCAATATCCCAGTAAAATTTTATTTACCAAAACAGGCAGGAGGAGGGGACAGATTTGGTGTGTGGACAGTCATTTGTCCACTTCTGTTCTAGTTATCCATTTTAACGCCTAGAAACTTTGTTCTGGTTGAAGACAAGTAATTTTAGATTTTAATTCTGATGTCCTCTGCCCTCCTGTGACAAACTGGGGCTGTGACTAATGGGACCAATGGGGAAATGCATGGGCCTCACTATTTAGTATACATTTCTGCTCTTGCGTGCTCCAGTGATTCAATGCATATACTGAGGTGGGTGGGGGAGGGACACCCACCCAGCGACACTTTGGAAAGGGGATGGCAGTTGTGTGGGTTTCACTAACATTTTGGAAGGAAGGCTGCAGGGATGCAGAGCTGGGGAGTGACAGCTATGGTGATTTGGTTTTTCCTATAAATGGTTTAAAAAAATCCTAGATTAGATTTTACTGTGGGAGAGAGAACAAAACTGCAAGCACCCAAGGAAAATGAAGTTTGGGGTCTGTGCCCACACTGGGAAAAACTTGACTCAAAATTAAGGTAAGTGATCTAAAGAATCACTTTAAACTAGTTCAGCTCTTACAGTGTAGAATAAGAATGAGCTGGTAAAAAGAAAAGTTCTACGAGAAAATCCCCAAATGTCCCAAGATGTTTCCCTTTAGGCATAAAGCACACACTAACAACTCAGGCAAACCACAACAAGGACGTGAATGATATTAAAGAGAATTAAATAGACAGTATATGAAGTAGTAGGAGATATGCCATATATACCTTATGTGACTGTGCATAACACAGATGTTCATACATCTCTGCTCCATGGTGACAAGCTGTTGTAATTGCAAACTAAGTTAGGAACCGTGGAGGGCGACCACAGTAATGTTATCTGTTCTAGTTTCAACTCACCAATGGGGTCTTTGGTGCATTATACCAAGAGGTAAATCGTATCACAAAGGAAAATCTTAGAGGCCTTCATTCCTACCCGTGTTGTTCAGTTAAACACAGGGGATGATTTACATTCATAGTTATTTAATATAATGTTTTCGAGGAGACCCTTTAATAATTGGTCAGTTAACTATAGTTAGTAAATGATCAATAGCAATTGATTGTCTTTAGGATCTGATAGTCTATTTAGGGATAAAGAGAAGACTGTCTTTAGGATCTTATAGTCTTTTTGGGGTGTCTTTGATACATTAAAAAAACTGGAGACCACCTATAAAGGAAAATATGCTAAAGGAAAATTAATATTGCATCTGCAATATGTTACAGAGTAAGAGACATGGGTGAAAGAGTTATCCGGAATGGAATGCTGAGGAGACCCTAAAGGGAATTTCCGGGTGGATGGCCAGCACTGTCACTCGATGAGTGGAGGATTGTGAGTACCAGGTGGGGTGAAATGGGGGTAGAGGGGCAGGCAGCATCCAGGGCCAGGGAAATGAGGCTGGGGTTGAGCCCAGGTGCTCAGAAGTCCTGGAGGATCTCCAGCAAAGGGAAGACAGGATAGCAGCTGCTGGCAGATGATCTCTTACGTGGTGAACAATATGACACTGAATTATTATCTGCAATGAGTTTCTCTTTAAATGTTATTTATTTTTGCAGTTGTTTTTCAGATTACAAAAGTAAAAGAGGCAAATTGTAAAAAAAAAAAAAAAAAAAAATGTTGCAGAATCCTATGATGTAGATAATTAAATATTCCACTGTCCCACCTGCAAACATAACCACCATTAGCAGTAAAGTTGCTTATTAACACTGGGATTAAGGTTTTAAAATAATGAAACTTTGGAATTATAAACAGAAATATCCCCTTATTTTCCTAATTCCTTTGTGGTTCATATTAGAAACCATGAACTAACACTCATCTACTATTGAAAAGAGGCCTTTCGGTTGTTTTCTCCCTCCGACTTTCAAAATGGGATGCCGTTGGAGCGTTCTGGTCTATATGAAACAGTGAAATGGAACCCCTTGCTCATCCTTGTCCTGCTTGGAGAAACCACATGCCTAGGACCTGGAAATCCACTCAGTCTAGAGACTGTCAAAGGTGTAACTTCCGTGGGTAGCTGGAACAGCCCATTCAGGGTATAAGGAAAGGTCAGAGAGACCAATAGAGCTCCCGCAGGCTGTATCCCATATTGCATTGGTCTAATGGCTCAATTCGGTCTTCCAAAAAGCATTTTTGAGGGTCTGGGTAGGGAAGGTTATCTCTAGTGTGGAAAGAATTACTCCAAGTCTCTGTGTCCCTGAAAGTGCTAAAAAAAACAGACATTGCACATTGATATGGGAGATTAACAAGCCAGGAGAAATACAAACATGCCACCTACTATTGGCCTCTCAAGGATCGAAGGATCAGAAATAACAGGTTCTAATTTCTCCTAGTAATTTCCAGGGGTTGAAGTAAATCAAATTGCCTCTTTAGCTGAGCTTATTTATGTCAAAGGAAAGTAATATTCTTTGGGTATAATCTAGCACTTTGAAATTTATAGATGGGAAGTGATATGAGAACCAAACACTGAAAACCTTGGAGCAAATTGTGAAATTTATCCACTTGCTCTTCCACCTCCCCCACAAGTCTACAGTGAAGGATGATTATGATCGTTATAAGGCATGAAATCTGGAGGGATGACTGGTCACTGGTTTGGGTTTGCAAAGAAACCTAAGATTAAGAAAATTGTGGACCAAAGGTTGAGCAAAACTACTGATGAGGAGCAGTTTAGGGAGGGGAAGGTAGAAGTCAATGAACTTGTAAGATTCAAGGGAGAAAGCAGCAAGTGCTTTGGATTTTGCCCTGGTGAAGAGTTTTACCAGGAAGGCAAGAATAGACCTCAAGGATTTATATTAGACAAAGAAGTGAGAATTCCATAACAGGTAGGTTACTAAGGGCAACTGTAGAAGAGGTTTCCCTGTGGGGTTTTAAAAACAAAATGGAATCTCACCTAGTCTAGCTCTGGCTGAAGGTAGAGAGAATGTGCTGGAAAATGAAAATAGTAGCTTCCCTGTATAGGGCATCACAGTTTTTGAGACTTACACTTTTTATACAAAAAATTTTATTCTTTTTGAGACATGCTGGAAGGCAGTGGTGCAATCCTGGCTCACTGCAGCCTTGACCTCCTGGGATCAAGCTATTCTCTCACCTCAGCCCCCAATTAAGTAGCTGGGACTACAGGCTGTGCCACCATACCCAGCTAATTTTTTGATTTTTTGTAGAGATAAGGTCTCACTCTGTTGCCCAACTCCTGGGCTGAAGCAATCCTCCCACCTTGGCCTCCCGAAGTGCTGGGATTACAGGCGTGAGCCACCATGCCTGGCCAGAGATTTATACTTTTAAAGCTGACCTGATCTCATTTGACCCTCAGTGGAGCTCTGAGAGGCAGTGCAGGGCCAGAATTACTTCACTTGTGAGGAAACTCAAAGACAAAGGGTTAAGTTCTAGTTGGCAGAAGAGAGATTCAGGAAGGAAGGCAGACCCCAGAAGGTTTCGAAGTTCAGAGGGAAATGAGGATTTTTTTTTTTCTTTTTGAAGAAAACGTTTGTTCCTTTCCAGGTACACTTGATTACTCACTGTTAAGTAGGCGGAAGTCAATGAATGGGTAGGAGCCACGGCGTTCAGCACGAACCCCCGTCTGACCCCTTAGTCGTATATCTCCTAGAAAACAGAAAATCCAAACAAAGGCTTGAAAACATTGCCACGTGCATTCACTTTTCCCCTGTAAATCCTCAATGAAACCAACCCCAGATGTCAGGAGAAAAATGGTTCCCATTCACCATACTGAAGAGTGCTATGTGGAAAGGAATATTTAATACTGAGTGTAATGAGGTTGGCAATACACTAACAAGGAACACAGGTCTCTTGTATGTGCTTAGAAGATGGGTCTGTGAAAATCACAGCAACTTACAAATTTCCATAAAAAGACAAAAGTCTTTTTATGCTTCCCAGGGCCACAGAGACAAAGACTCTGAATCCAGAAAGACAAATGGGTGTTGCATTGTAGCTTTCGTTCTTAAAAGTGTTAATCACCCAGACTATAATTTTTCTTTGTTCCAACACAATTGTTTTCTGACTGGCATCCACCTTTCTTTTTTCCAGATTGTATCATTAATGTGCTTTAGAATCGGCTCACAGGCTAGCCTTGCTCCAGGCACTTGGCCACTCTTGCACACAGGACAGTCTGTCGAGTTTCTAGTACTTATTTATTTGTAGGTTCCCTTTATATGTATATATATATTTCTTTCTTTTTTTTTTTTTTTTTTGACATGGAGTCTCGCTTTGTTGCCAGGTTGGAGTGCAGTGGCACGATCTTGGCTCACTGCAACCTCTGACTCCCGAGTTCAAGCGATTCTCCTGCCTTAGCCTCCCGAGTAGCTGGGACTACAGGCACACGCCACTATGCCTAGCTAATTTTTGTATTTTTAGTAGAGACAGGGTATCACCATGTTGGCCAGGATGGTCTTGATCTTTTGACCTTGTGATCCACCCACCTCGGCCTCCCAAAGTTCTGGGATTACAGGCATGAGCCACCACGCCTGGCTGGTTTCCTTTAATATTTAATATCTGTGTTCGTTTTCCTTTTTAGTATGTGTCCTGCCTTTCTCATCAGGGGAGGTAATGGAGTAGAGTGGAAAGAGCATGGACTTTAGAACACGGTAGGCCTTGGAGAAATCTGGCCCAGACGCTTGCTACTTGTGTGATCTTGGCAGATTTATTTCTCTGAGCCTCAGACGCCTCATTTATAAAATAAAGTTAAGACCCACTTCGAAGTGTCCTTGTCAGAGAAGCTAAAATAATACTCACTGCCTGGCAATAAATGCTGGTTTGCTTCCTTCTAAACTCCTGCAAAGCAGGGATCATGCATATCATGTTATTTACATTTCTCCATAATAGCACTTTGAATGCTGTCTGGTACTTAGTGGATTCTAAGTGAATGTTCTCTGTTGACAAGAGTAGAAATAAAGACCAAATTCACCAGTTATTATATATAATATGGAATCAGAGGAGAGGTAGAAATATGTGAGACATAATGTATCTCTGGAAGAACTGAATCAGGGAAGGTTTCAATTCCAGTAGTAATGGGTACACTCCCATAAATCACCTTTTTCCCGAAGTAAGGTGGCACTGGGGCCCCAGCCTGGGAGCTGAAAGGAAGAACAGTCCTCTCTCCTTCCTTTCCTAATTCCTGGAGGAACTCAGGGCCTGGGTGAGATCCCCATCAGCTGCAACTCATGCAACTGATATGCTTAAAATGTCCCTCATAGATGGGCCTTGAGTGTACTTGGGGTTGTAAAGTGCAAGCCATGAGCTCTTGGGCTGTTCTCTGCTTTGAATTTTACATTGGTGCCTTCTTCAATGCTTTGTATAATGTGATATTACATTGCCATATTGATATGAAAGAATATTGTAATTTATGGATAAATGTTATAAACCAAAGTGAGAGGAAGAGGAATAGATGGAAAAGTACTTTTATAGGTCTGAATATAAACTTACATCAATGAGGGTAAAGCTGTTAGCTTTAAAAAAAATGTACTTATGTACTTTAATATGGGGTGGCTGGTCAATAAAGGAAAGCTACCAAGAAAAGTTGAAGTGTTTTTCTCTCCTCGGCAGTTGTCTTGAACACCCTATGTTTACAAAGCACTTTCACAACATGACAGTATATTTATCTTCTTGTTTTTTCTCATTGGACCTTCATAATAACCCTGTGAGGAGAGACACCTTTATTCTCTTTACTTTATAAGTAAGAAAATAGAGGCTCAGAGAAGAATGGTTGTGAAGGACTACTATTCGCTCTGTAGTCCCAGTTAAGGGCACAAGCCCCTTAAAGTCCTGATATAGTAAATATTTATGGACTTTAATTGAGCTGCCTAAGTTTATGGTGCTTTCAGCTTATAGTCAGTGGGGTAGCACTTAAATCTAGGCTGTTAGACTTCATAGGAAGAGCTCTTTCTACAATACCGTTGTTTTCTAACCTTATGATTAGAAACACACACCTTAGGGAGTGTGTAGACCTGGTTTTTAAAATGAAAAAAGAAATGAAAATCTTAGATCCTCACATAAAAGTAGTTGTAGTTTTAATATCAATTGAGAAAATACAGCATGTTAAAATGATAGACTCACTGACTTTAAATAAATTTATGTTTTATAATGGTAAGAAGGGAGACATATACAGTAAAAATGATGCATGGAGGAGACTGTATAGATTTTATCTACAAAGCTGGCTGGGCTTGTGGATTTGTTGACCTGTTGCTGTAATCTCATGGGCTCCTTCCAGCACTTTCACGCTCACCTTTTGGAAATCACTTCTCCATTAGTATTTTCTTCTCAGTATTACCAAAGAGGAACTGTATAGATTTTATCTACAAAGCTGGCTGGGCTTGTGGATTTGTTGACCTGTTGCTGTAATCTCATGGGCTCCTTCCAGCACTTTCACGCTCACCTTTTGGAAATCACTGTGTAATATTGATGAAGTTTTTAATGCCTGTGACAGGATTTCTTCCTGGTCTTCACCTGACAATCTAGGGCAGCGGAGGCCCATTATTACGTAAAGTTTTAGATTTAGGGAAACTGAGGAAGAGTACCCTGTGGCCAAATGGATGAAGGGAGGGCAATACACTGGGAACTTGGGGGCTCCTGTACTGACAGGACGAACATTTTGCCATCTTGGGTAACCCTGGATGAATCAGTAATCACTCTGAAGTCCAGTTGTCTAATATTTAAATTGCATAAATCATAGCAATTTTATCTACATCACAGAGTTGTTGTAAGGAAATTATAAGGTATGTGAAAATAATATGGTAGATAACATTCATTGAATACTTATACTGTGCTGAGGATTTTACATGTATTATCTCACATCATCAACCCAACAACCCAAAGTAGCTGTTATTATTATTATTTGACAGCTTTACAGATGAGGAAGCAAAGCTAATGGAAATTTGATAATTTGTTCAGACTCATAGAGCTAGTAAGTGCAGAGCTTATGCTTAAACTCAGAACCGACTTGAAACCTCATGTTCTTAACCACTTTCCTATATTATCAAGATGAAAAATTGGTTAAACAGGTCAGCATTAACTTTTTCTTACGTAATGTATGCTTTGATTGCTGTTTGCTGATAAACCAAATGTACAGTCATGATGATTTGTGGAAAAAGAATACCAGGAGAATCCCACTCCCTTGATGAGTTCACGGTTCAATCAAAGAGCATTTCAGTGGAAATGGGCTGTACAAGCAAGACAACCAAATCCTGTCCTGGATCAACAAGGAATCTATTACTTTTAAGTAAGAAAGCAATTATTAAAAATATTCTTCAGCAGAACTGAAATTAGCTGGCAACAAATTTTCACACTGCACCCTACTTTGGGAAGAAGAGACAAGTAACAATGGAGCTAGGTGAGAGCAAAGATACCTAAACAAGCAAACAAACCCAAACAAATCGGCAATAACAACAAATAAGGAAACCATACCTGGAAGATTCCATTTCAGTGCTGACACTGTCCATAACTACACTGCACTTTGAGAAGCTGATTCCTCATAAACCTAACAATGCCCCTTTGGTGTAGTAAATAATCATTTTCAAAAGGATGAAATCATGTTAAGAATACCAGTAAGGCAGGAGGCAGGACAATTGTAAGTATGCTAACAATGCATCTGAGAAATTTCACAACATGAAAACAGTTCAATACAAACACACCAGACATTCCCAATCTGAAGCATTCTATTTAATGGAAGCGCTCATGTAGTAAGATTTATGTGTTAATGGTATATTTCTAATATAGAAAGTTTTCTTTCCTTCTCCCTGCTTTAAGGAGCCTGTTCTGATATTAAATTGCTTTAATACGCTGGTGGGAAGAGAGAATTAATTCAGTAACAACAGTCCTCAGAGGAGCAGAGGCTACTGGGCTGTTTTCTGAGGGACAGAACAAGCGGTGTCCTGCCTAGCTGCTTTTCCTGGCCCAGGGTCTCAGGCAATCATCTATTTACCTAAGGCCTTATATCCAAGCTAAACAATTATTTTGACTATTCATTGAGTCCTTGTTTAACTTAAGCAACTTGTTTTTTTTCTTCTGGCATATGAAAGGTGCTGTGGAAGCTGGTAGGAAGCGTTGACAGCCTAGAGTCATGTCCCCAGTCTGTTCTTATTGTGTTCCAAAAGGAAACAAACAGCAGGGGCATTCTGATTTTGAAAGGCTGCTGCTTTTTTTTGCCCCTTCAGGCTGACAACATCACATGTCATCCCCTGTACTGAAGGCTGCAAACAGGCTCAGAGCTGAGCTGAATTGCCCCAGGAGCCACGACCTGACCTGACGACAGCCCCTCACCCTCCCTGAGGACAGGGCTCCGGAATGGACCTCTTGCTTACTTGGCCTCTCACGCTGCCTCTGGTTAATAAAAGCTTGTGCTAGGAAGCAGATGTCTATGTAGCCTCTTATGTAACTGGCAAAGAGGGTGGAGACTCTGACAGCGATGACAACTTACAGTGGCTGAAACACAGGCCATGTGACAAGAACCAGACTCTGGCCCCTGTCGTGGTATGTCAAGGTCATTTCAGGGTGAGGAAAAGGTGTCAGGGACAGAGCAGTAGCTACTGGGCTTCCATGGCATCTGAGATGAATGAAGAAGATAGTGACGTTCTTGGTATAAACAGGTTGCACGGAATATGGGATAGAGATTCATAGCAGGGGCATCACTAAGGAACCAGGAAGATGAGATAGTGCTGGTATCAGAAAGGTGAAGCCGCAAAGCAGCCCAAATATGGTGGGAAAGAAGCAGCTCTCATGAAAGGTATTCCTCTGAGCTTGCTGAGCACATTACTAATTCATGTCACTGCCACCACTTGCAAAATAAAGACAGAGAAAATCCAGATCCCAAATCTCAGACAACTTTCACCATACTGCACATCTCAGCTAGAAGCTTTGTTTATTTCAGCTGACTACTCTCCAAATTAACTAAGTGAACGATTTCTCCTAAGATGTTTATCTGGCCTAAAAGAGAGGAGGAAGGTTGTGCAATTTAATCACTCCATAGATTTATGGGATAGCACAAGCAGCCAGTTCAGATAACTTAGGCAGAGATTATTGTTCCGAGTACCATGATCTTACAGGAGGGAGCCAAGATGGCTGATTAGACCCAAATTTCCCCTGTGGGCGTTCAATCTTCCACTTTCTTGAGTGACACTGGGCCTGCCTGGTCATCAAGGACTATGTGCTGAACTGGCTAAGTAGGAGGCTTCCTGTCCATTGTTCTGTTTCACTAGCTGTGTGTTCCTGGGCTGTCGGTGAGAGAGCTTTGTATGTAGGAAAGAGGCAAACCAGGAGTTAGTCGTCCAGAAACCACATTTTTCGCAAAAGGAATGAAACACAATTTTCTTTGCATGTGAAAAAAGTTCTTTCTTCTCTTCTTAAAAATCTTGATTTGCATATAAAAATCAGAGAAAAGGGAAATTTCACTAAGTTAGAGTCGCCAAACAATACTGCATCACCTTGCATCTTTAGCTTAGAATGATGACTTTCTGACAAATGTGCATTTTGGAACTTGAATGCTGAAAAGTGAATATGTAAATAGTAGTGTGTTTGTTTTCTAAAGAAGGTAAGGCAGGTTTTAGACTAGTGTCAACAAGAGCTATCCTCATTTTTGAGCTTGATAGTTTTTCAGAGGGAAAATGAGAAAAAAGTAAGCTTCAATCACCAGGAACATAGGAGTCTCATAAAAAAAGATACTGAACAAGAAGCAGTGGGAATGCCCAAGGAGAATTTCAAAAGCTGTAAAAGACCTTAAAAGAACACAAAGACATGTCTTTTTATAAAGGTTGGGTAGAAGGAGAACAACTTGAGGAGTCAACTTGGGGACTATGAAATCTGGGTCTGCCTTCAGTAATGAAAACACGGATGGGTGTAAGATTACGCATCATTCACGTATTTCTGGGATAATACTTTTAATCTCCAGAATTTCCACCAAGCAAAGTTCGTTGTTTTTTAGAAATGCATTATATATAAATTGCTTAGCACAGTGCCTGGCACATAGTTGGTATTCAAAAACCAGTAGCTATTGTTCTTACTTAGTTACCATTCTTCCGATGGATATTCTGTGTTCCTTCCCAAACCCCCACCCACCCCCTACCAGCTCCTTAATTGTTGGTATTTTTAGGAGGATTTTCTAAATGTCAGGATCTGTTTGAAGGGCTTTATGTGTATGAGCACCTTTAGTCCTTGTGACAAGCCCCAGGCATAGGTGTGTGTATCATCCCCACTGTCCTGAGGAGCACAGAGAGCTTATAAAGTGACTAAATTGGGATTCCAGGTGCCCTCGGGAGCCCTTGCTCTCTAAAGCACTCCTGCACGTGGCCAGCATCTCCATTCTCCACAACAGAGACCAGGAACAACTACGCATGATGTACTTCATAGGTCCCTTCAGTCTTCCCAGGCCATGTTTCTTCTCTCTCTGCTGGACATGACAGGGTTAATAAAAGTGAGCACCAAAACTATGTCCTGAGGAAAACCGAACATTTATCCTGGTGTTTCTTCACAGCAACATTATAAGCCCAGGACAACAGGTGTGCTGTGGACCACAGCTCGGGACCCATGAACCCCTAGTGGTGCAGGTTAGACTACAGGAAGATGTAGACTCCACTGGAGTGTGTAGGTATCTTGCAGTTTGGTAGAACATTTAGGTATGGGAGTCAGCAAAGGGGCCAGTTTTTGGGCAGGCTGAGGGGATCCTAAACTAATTCAGTTCATTTCAACAAATGCTTATGCAAAACATTACACAAAATGTTGAAAAGTAGGCGAAGACAGAAATAGAAACTACCATTGGAGAATACTACAAACACTTCTACACAAATAAACTAGAAAACCTGGAAGAAATGGATAGATTCCTGGACACATACACCCTCCCAAGACTAAAGCAGGAAGAAGTTGAATCTCTGAATAGACCAATAACAGGTTCTGAAATTGAGGCAATAATGAATAGCCTACCAACCAAAAAAAGTCCAGGACCAGATGAATTCACAGCCGAATTCTACCAGAGGTACAAAGAGGAGCTGGCAACATTCATTCTGAAACTATTCCAATCAATAGAAAAAGAGGAAATGCTCTCTAACTCATTTTATGAGGCCAGCATCATCCTGATAGCAAAGCCTGGCAGAGACACAACAAAAAAAGAGAATTTTGGACCAATATCCCTGATGAACATTGATGCAAAAATCCTAAATAAAATACTGGCAAATCAAATCCAGCAGCACATCAAAAAGCTTATCCACCACGATCAAGTCGACTTCATTCCTGGGATGCAAGGCTGGTTCAACTTACGCAAATCAATAAATGTAATCCATTACATCAACAGAACCAACAACAAAAACCACATGATTATCTCAATAGATGCAGAAAAGGCCTTAGACAAAATTCAGCCTTTCATGCTAAAAACTCTCAATAAACTATGTATTGATGGAACACATCTCAAAATAATAAGAGCTGTTTATGACAATCCCTCAGCCAATATCATACTGAATGGGCAAACCTGGAAGCATTCCCTTTGAAAACCAGCACAAGACAAGGATGCCCTCTCTCACCACTCCTATTCAATATAGTATTGGAAGTTCTGGCCAGGGCAATCAGGCAAGAGAAAGAAATAAAGGTATTCTATTAGGAAAAGAGGAAGTCAAATTGTCTCTGTTTGCAGATGACATGATAGCATATTTAGAAAACCCCACAGTCTCAGCCCAAAATCTCCTTAAGCTGATAAGCAACTTCAGCAAAGTCTCAGGATACAAAATCAATGTGCAAAAATCACAAGCATTCCATACACCACTAACAGACAAACAGAGAACTAAATCATGAACTCCCATTCACAATTACTACAAAGAGAATAAAATACCCAGGAATCCAACTTACAAGGGATGTGAAGGACCTCTTCAAGGAGAATTACAAACCACTGCTCAACGAAATAAAAGAGGACACAAATAAATGGAAAAACATTCCATGCTCATGGATAGGAAGAATCAATATCGTGAAAATGGCCATACTGCCCAAAGTAATTTATAGATTCAATGCTATCCCCATCAAGCTACCACTGACTTTCTTCACAGAATTGGAAAAAATTACTTCAATTTCATATGGAACCAACAAGGAGCCTGCATAGCCAAGACAATCCTAAGCAAAGAGAACAAAGCTGGGGGCATCACGTTACCTGACTGCAAACTATACTACAAGGCTACAGTAACCAAAACGGCATGGTACTGGTACTAAAACAGATATATAGACCAATGGAACAGAACAGAGGCCTCAGAAATAACACCACACATCTACAACCATCTGATCTTTGACAAACCTGACAAAAACAAGCAATTGGGAAAGGATTCCCTATTTAATAAATAGTGCTGGGAAAACTGGCTAGCCATATGTAGAAAGCTGAAACTGGATCCCTTCCTTATACCTTATACAAAAATTAACTCAAAATGGATTAAAGACTTAAATGTAAGACCTGAAACCACAAAAACCCTAGAGGAAAACCTAGGCAATACCATTTAGGACACATGCATGGGCAAAGACTTCATGACTAAAACACCAAAAGCAATGGCAAAAAAAGCCAAAATACACAAATGGGATCTAATTAAACTAAAGAGCTTCTGCACAGCAAAAGAAACTATCATCAGGGTGAACAGGCAACCTACAGAATGGGAGAAAATTTTTGCAATCTATCCATCTAACAAAGGGCTAATATCCAGAATCTACAAAGAACTTAAACAAATTTACAAGAAAAAAAACAACCCCATCAAAAAGTGGACAAAGGATATGAACAGACACTTCTCAAAAGAAGACATTTATGCAGCCAACAGACATATGAAAAAATGCTCATCATCACTGGTCATCAGAGAAATGCAAATCAAAACCACAATGAGATACCATCTCATGCCAGTTAGAATGGCAATCATTAAAAAGTCAGGAAACAACAGATGCTGGAGAGGATGTGGAGAAATAGGAATGCTTTTACACTGTTGGTGGGAATGTAAACTAGTTCAACCATTGTGGAGGACAGTGTGGCGATTCCTCAAGGATCTAGAACTAGAAATACCATTTGACCCATCAATCCCATTACTGGGTATATACCCAAAGGATTATAAATCATGCTGCTATAAAGACACATGCACAGGTATGTTAATTGCAGCACTATTCACAATAGCAAAGACTTGGAACCAACCCAAATGTCCATCAATAACAGACTGGATAAAGAAAATGTGGCACATTTATGCCATGGAATACTATGTAGCCATAAAAAAGGATAAGTTCATGTACTTTGCAGGGACATGGATGAAGCTGGAAACCATCATTCTCAGCAAAATATCACAAGGACAGAAAACCATACACTGCATGTTCTCACTCATAACTGGGAGTTAAATGATGAGAACACATGGACACAGGGAGGGGAACATCACACACTGAGGCCTGTTGGGGGGTGGGGGGCTGGGGAAGGGATAGTGTTAGGAGAAATACCTAATGTAAATGACGAGTTAATGGGTGCAGCAAACCAACATGGTACGTGTATAACTATGTAACAAACCTGCACGTTGTGCTCATGTACCCTAGAACTTTAAGAATAATAAAAAAAAAAAAGAAAAGTAGGTGAGGAAAAGGGAAATGCAAAGGTTCATAAGATGTCCTCTTGGCACTCAGATAATTAACAATCCAGAAGACAGTCACATAAGTGAGTCGATATGGTATAAGCTAGGAGAAGTCTCACTTGTAATGATACTGAAATATTTGGGTTTGGGTTCCTCTCTCAGAAGCATTGTGAGGCTTTATGATTTTTATATGGATAAGTAACTTGGAAATATCTGGGTTTAAATGGCTCCCTAGCAATCCCATAAAGTGTTCTTATTAGAATTGAAAGAAAATCATTTACTGTTAAATTTTAAAACTAAATATAATTTTTACATTTAAAAGTCCTTCTTCTAGATTGATGATCAAAGATTTACTTAGACTCTTACACTGTGTCTCCAGTAAGCAGATTTCTCTGAGTATAGGCCAACAATTTAAATTAATAATGCTCTTTTCAGAAACTAATGTTATTAGGAAAAGATATTCTTCTGATCTGATGAGTGTACTACCTCTCCATTTTGAGTGTCCATTTTCTTTGTAGTCTACTCTCTCTTCTTCCTTTCCTTTCTTTGCCTTCTTCCTCTCTCTCCTTCCCCACTTCTCTTCCTGTATATGTGTGTGTGTGTATATATATACATATATTTCCCCCCCCCCCCCCAGGAACTAAAGAGAGTTATATTGTGTTATAAAAGTAACAATGTTCTTCTTCACTTTGCCAGGGAGGTTGCTGTGAGGTTCCCTTAAGGGGTGATGTTTGATCTGAGAGCTGGTAAATGAACAGGAGTTAATTTAAGGTGAACATATGTTGTCTTGTCTGGCATAATTAGTTATAGTGCCACCTTCACACTCAAAAGTATTCTGCTTTAGAACATACCTTGCATGGTCACCCTGAGTGCAGGAATCTAGGCTGTGGGGGCATATTCAGAGGACTTGTGGCAGGAGGATGGCTTATCGGAGAGATCATAACAAAGCCAAGTGTGACATAGCAAGGAGAACAAGGTCGGCGGGATGAGACACGGTGCAAAATGAGGCTGGAGAAGTGTTAGTACTTTGTAGGATAGGCTCTAAAAGATGACTTTAACAGACTTAGGATGATTAAAGAAAAGACTTAGGATGACTTAAGAGAATTCCTGAGAGAATTAGAAAGTCATGAAATGATTTTAATAGAAGGATAATGTGTTCAGATTTGTGTATTAAAAACAACTTTGGGTGCAGTATGGAGAAAGGAATGGAAGGGTAAAGAATGACTAGGTAGGAAATCATTTTAAGAGTCCAGGTGAGAAAAGATGGTAGTTTGTAGGGTGCTGATGCTGGGAGAGGGAAGTGAATAGGTTTTAGAGATGTGTAGGAGGTAAAACTGACATGGTAAGAAATTTCATATGAGGGCTGAGGGAGAGGTAAGTATCAAGGATCATTCCTAGATTTCTGGTTTGCATAACTGGATGACTGATTGTGCTAGTCACAGAAAAAGGGAATTCTAGAAGGACCCAGTTTGTGGAAAGAAATACATGCCCTCAAGAGATTTCAAAGCAAAAATGTCAAGTAACCAGTTGGACATACGGGTCTGGGGCTTAGGGGGAATTTCTGGGATGGAGATACAAATTTATAAATCAAATAAAACTATGGGTCATCATGAAGTTGCCTAGGAAATGAGCGAGAAGTGAATAGGGTCTAGCATCCAGCCTTGAGTATCTGTAACATTTAATCACTTGTTGGAGGAGGAGGAGTCTGTAAAGGAGAAGTGGGAGTCAGAGATAGGAGGAAAACCAGAATTGTGTCATGGAAGAGAGTGCTTCAAGAGCAAGGGAGAGGTTTCCAGATGGATTTTGTGGAAGAAGCACAACTGAAATGGTGATTGAACAAAGTCCATTGGATTTAGTTGAGTGACTGAAGTGAGTGAGTGAGAGAGAGACACAGAGAGAGAGAGAGAGAAGCATAGTCCTTTGGGCATCACATGGAATTGGGGAACAAGGAAGGTTTTATTAAGGAGCTGATACTTAAATGGATCTTGAATGATAAGTAAAATTTCAAAAAGCAGCACTTTATTGTATTGGCTTGCAATTGGTCAACTATGATCACTGAAATGACATTCTTAGAAAATTATGCTGATCTTAAGAATAATAGTAATTTCTAAAAATATTATTAATAATAAAATATAATTTGAAAACTGAGGCTAGAATAGTTTATGTCATGAAAATACCTGTAAATTTTTGCAAAATACAGTGATAACCTGTCTAACCACTTCCTATCTTTAAATATACTCCAAGAAAAAAAGTACAATGAAAAACACTGCCAAAAAAAAAAAAAAAAAGCATTCATTGGGAAGGAAAAGATGGGCACATTGATGAGAATAAATATAACTAGTAAGATAAAATACCAAGTAGATCCCAATATCATGGATAATTTCTTGTTTTTTTGAACTTTGAATAATTTGAGAGAAGCATTTTTATGTATTGTTTGTTTTTATGTGCTTCTGAACTTCCTGATTCTGGCCGGGAACAAGGACAAACTTGCCAAATACTGCAAGAAAAGATGTTGCTGATCACGGATAGGAAATACTCCAAGTCCCAGGAGATAGTCTGTTCTTAGGAGACTTCCACACCAAGTCTGCTGACCAGAGAAGGACCAGTCAACCACCACACTCTCCGCTGGAGCCCACTCAGCACCAGGAAGTATTTGGGAGTTCTTCATTCCAGACATCTGTGCCAACATGGCACTTGGGATTCTTTTAAACTCCAAGTGTTGTTCATTTTTTGTTTGTTTTTCAGGAAGGAAACAGATGGAAAAACCTAGACTTGGTAGGGAAGTGATTGAATTGATTATATTATACCCATGTTATAGAATGCAGTTATTAAACACAGTAACATATATTTCTATAGTAATAGCAAGCATTTATTGAACCTTGAGTGTGTGCTAGGTAATAGTTTAAAATACTTTTCTTGAATTAACTCATGTGATCGTCTCAGCTCCCTTAGATCAGTGCTATTATCAATATCATCCTCTGAGAGACAAAGCTGTTAAATTACTTTGCCCAGATGACATGGCCAGTGAGTATGGAGACAGACCGGAAATTAAGGTGACTAGCTCCACAGCCTGTGCCCTTAACTAATGTGGTGCAATCTCTGTTTAAAGATGTCTTGAGCTGACAGCCATGATCTATTGTTAAGGGAGGATGAGTATTATTAATACATAGTATTTTGAAATCGTATCACAAAGAAGTCAATGGCATGAAAAGTGATCCATTCCCTCTGTGACCTTGGTAAGTCCTACCCATTCTGGGCCTCATCCGATCCTCTGTTTCTTTAAGTAGGGATCTGCTCTGTATACCTCACAGAGGGTATGAATCAATGAAATCACATGGGTAAAACTGGATAAAACTGCTTTGCCAATCACTTTGTAATAAAATTTTATTTTTAAGAGTATTCTTATTGATATTACCATATAAATATAGAACATATGTATTACATAAATTTGATATTGCATATTATACTTTATATATCATATAAATCATATTATTGATACTGTTATAAAAATCTAGGTCAGTGTTAAAGTGTGTTTAAAGGGAAGAACATTATTTGATAAGCAATTAAACATTATGTGAATTAAAGGGTGTTATCAAATTTGGGAAACATGCAGGTTTATCAAAATTAATTTTTTTAATTGTAGAATTTCTCAGACGCTTCAGTATGTTAATGTGTACTGAATAGCCAAGAAAGTGAGATCATATAGCATTTCTCAAATACATTCATCTATGAAACGTGTTTTCCAAGTTTCTGCTGAGATGACTGTTTTGGGGAAAATAATTAGGTAGATACTGCTGTATGTGGAGCGTGTGTGTGTAAAATACTTAGAGATCCCCTAGCTCCATTCTCTGGTATCATCACCCTTTGCATCCTTGTCTGCATGACTAGGTCTATACCTGTGGTTCTAATTTCTTTTTTGGACTGTAGACCAACTGGATGTTTATTCATTTATTCCACAAACATGTTTTTGTTTGCCTACTATGTGCCAGGCTCTGTTCTAGATTCTCGGAATATAGCAGTGAACAAAACAGATAAAACGTGCCTGCCCCTGTGGGACTGAGATTCTAGTGGGGAAGACAGACAATAAACAAAGTCAATAAGTAAATTGCCCTCTATAGGGAAATAATGTAAGTGCTATGGGGAGAAATAAGCAGGGAAGGGATGAGGGAGTGCTGGGTGGACTCCACTGTGCAGGGGTGGGGTAGGTCTGCAGTTTCAACAGGGCAGGACCTCAGAAGGCCACACTGAGGTGACATGGAGCAAAGACTTGAATGAAATGTGGGAGAAGCCAAGAGACTATCTGGGAGGAGCATTTCAGGCTCAGGGAACAGCAAATCCAGGACAACAAGGAACATGCCTGGTACTTTCTGGAAACAGCAAGGGGGCCAACATGGTGGAGCAGGGAGAGTGAGGTGCAGGAGTGTGAGGGGATGAGGGCAAGGAGTTAACAAGTGTGAAGAAGGTGGTAGTAGGTCTGAACACGTTCCTCTAAAATTCATGTTGAAACTTAATCTCCAATAGGTGATATTAAGAACTGAGGCCTTTTGGGAAGTGATTAAGTCTTGAGGGCTCTGCCCTCCGTGAATGGAACTATAAAAAAGGTTGAAGGGAGCTGGCTTGCCCCTTGCACCACAAGAGGACACATAGAAGGTGCTGTCTTATGAGGCAGAGAGCATGCCCTCCCCAGACAGAGAACCTGTTGGCACCTTGATCTTGGACTTCCCAGCCTCTAGAACCACAGGTAAGAAATTTCTCTTGTTTATGAATTACCCAGTCTAAGGTATTTGGCTATAGCAGTCTGAAGGGACTAGACTAAGAAAGGAGGAGAGTGGCAGATAGTTTAGAGACTTAGAGTGAAACAGAAGACAGGAGAATTTTGAATGAGAAAGTGACATGATCTAAGGTTTTTCAAGGATTGCACTGGCTGCTCTGTTGAGAGCAGACTGTTGGGGCACTTTATACATTAAATAGATCCCCAAACAAATGTTTTATCTTTCCCTGTAAACCAGGTCCTGCATTGCATTTCCCATTCCACTTGTGGCAAGTCCTGTTACTGTGCCCCCTTCTCTCTCTGCTCATGGCTCCCAGAGATGGCTTTCTCACTCAGTGGTGTAGACACTCTCCTAGGGCCTATGTGTTCATGGGCCTCTCTGGAAAAGGGAACTAAGCCACCATAAATATTCTCCTGGTTGCACAGAGAAGGCAGAAAATGGATCATGGCACATGGCCATGGGTCTGTTCATTCACACAAGTTTACCATCGATTTTATAAGTATATAACATACAAATACATGTATTTTAGGGAGAGGTGTATTTTGGAGTACTTTATCCATAAAATTAATTAAGCTGGACTGTGCTAGATACATCCTTGGAAGAAAGACCTTGCAGCATATATTCTTGAAATTTGGAAAGGACTATTTGGGAAGCATATAAAATTCAGACAACATTGCCCATGGGCGAAATAGTCCCTGAAACCTGCCCTTCTGTGACTGGGCCTCACTAACTCACGATAGGATTGACTGGGTCATATATTAATTTGCCAAGTCAGACCTCCACTGTGCATTAAACATACCCCTGACAAGCAGCATCGTTTGTTTTCACAGCCATCATACTGGGTAATTAAACTGAAGTGGAGATACTTTACAGAGATCATTTGATGTGTTTTTTCCCAGCTTGACTGAGGTATAATTGACAGATGAAAATTATATCTGTTTATGGTATACGACATGATGTTTTGATGAATGTATACCTTGTGAAATGATTACCACCATGAAGCTAATAAATGCATCCATCACCTCACATAGAAATCTTGTGTGTGTGTTTGTGTGTTGAGAACATTTAGGGTCTACTCTTTTAGTAATATTCAAGTATACAGTACCTCATTATTGACTATAGTCACCATTCTGTACAGTAGAGTTCCTGAATTTATTTATCCTGTCTGAGACTTTGTACCCCTTGAGCAACATCTCCCCATTTCACTCTGAGTTTTGTTTTGTTTTGTTTTGTTTTTGAGACAGTCTCGCTCTTGTTGTCCAGGCTGGAGTGCAGTGGCACGATCTCAGCTCACTGCAACCTCCGCCTCCTGGGATCAAGCGATTCTCCTGCCTCAGCCTCCCGAGTAGCTGGGACTACAGGTGCCCACCACCACGCCCAGCTAATTTTTGTGTTTTTGGTAGAGTTGTGGTTTCACCATGTTGGCCAGGCTGGTCTCGAACTCCTGAACTCAGGTGATCCACCTGCCTCAGCTTCCCAAAGTGCTGGGATTACAGGCATGAGCCATCGTACCCGGCCTTCACTCTCAGTTTTTAAAAAACTGAATCTGCCATTTCTTCCTATTTGAAAATTTAGACAATTTTTGCCTTTTTCCAGTTTTCTGACACTTTTCTCACTCTTCATAATTCCACTAGATTATTGACAGGAGTTTTGCAAACATATCTGCAAATATCCCTTTTTTGTGATAATTGAACCCAGAGAAGTAGTTCTTCATGTCCAAACCCAATTACATGATTTTAATGTTTGAATTTGAGAATTGGAACTGAAAAACTATTACATATATACTGAAAAATTATTTTGGAGATGGTAAACAGCAATGTCCATTCTTAGTCAATCTTCATTGAATACCTATTCTAAGTCTGTTATACTCATGTATTATTATATTGGAGATTACTATGACTGTGAGCAATATAAAGTAATGACAGTAATTTTTATGCTACAGGATGATAATCGGGGACAATTTCTTTTAGTACGAATTGCTTAGTTTCTCATAAGTGATATGCTACTGCTTATGGCTTTACTCCTATATGTATAATTGTAACTGTTGAATGGATTTATGTGTAGTATATAATGTCTTCTACATAGAGCACAAACTTGATACTCTGTATTGCTTTTTACTTCAAACATTCAAGATTCTACCATCTGTATCTTTCCATGGCTCCCACACATTAAAAAAAAAATATTTGATTCCCAGTCTTGGCTGTCCCAGGCCTGCCTGGCCACCCAGGAGGCTGAGGGAATTGAATATTTCAGCACACTGGAGATTCATTCACAGCACATTGGTTGCAAAATTCTAAGCTACACAATTAAGACAATACTACCTGCAAATAAACCTCAAGCATCGCTTATCCTATGTTTGATTTTTTAGAACATATACTTCTTGAGGTTAACACACTTCATAGAATCAATGTTCAGAGAATCTTACTACTCATCAACAGCAGTTAAGTAAGGTGAGGTGTGGGTCATGGAAACTTTATAGTAAGAGTTAGTAGAAAAAGGGAACCGTTATTTAAAACAAATGTTTATATTTCTCTGGTCTGACATGCAGCGACTTAGAAAAAGATAAGCTTTTGCCCACCTTTAACCTTCTAATCACAGGATTCTGCAGTTGTTAACTTGTTATCAGAACATTTTCTTTACTTTTTTTCATTATATTTGAAACTGGCCAGGAATTTCCCCCTCAGCCCAGTATGGGAGGAAAAAAGAAATTAGGCTAACATTCTACTCTCCTTCATAACCATCTGTGATCAGTTGTTTTCAATTAGATATTCTGATTTAATTGGGCAGGAGTGAATCTGGGCATATTTTTTACAGTTTCCCTAGTGACTTCAATGGGGAGATGTTGAGAACCACTGATGGCTATCTCACTTTGTAACCGAACCCACATGTTAAAGGTCTCACCCAAAGCACAAAATAGAGAGGACACATGAGGCAAAAGCAAATAGGGCAGAAAGCAAATATTTATAATATGCATCATCTTTGGTCATTTGTGAATTGTGTCCTGTTGGAATTTGGACACTTTGGCTAGGGGAATGGATTAGCATTGCTCTGGTGTGTTAGGGGAGGCTCTGTGAAATGAATTGACTTGTAGAGTATTTTGAAATGAAAAATGTAGTGATTGATAGAGTATGAACTTCTTAGAGGTTGGCATAAAGAAATAGGTGGTACAGTGGTTTGTTTGGTGAGAGATAATTTGGGAGGCAGAGGAGTGGGAGACAGAGACAGGGAGGTTAGGGCATCTGTGGTGAAAACTTCTTGGCCCTCCTAGGAGACTTGGTTGTTTAACAAAACCCAAGGCACTCTGCATATAACCTGGTTCAAACTAAGAGGGTAACTGGCACACTTTTCTTGAATTGCCCAAACCAGAGCTGAGAAAGGACTTTGACAACAATGTGTACTCACACTCAAAGCAAAATAACAAAAATAATAAAATGTACTACTGTTGAAAAATATTTATCGATGACATTAAGAGCACAATAAGATGTATGTTCATTTCATATTATTTACTACAGGGAAGGCGCAATGCAAGTTCTGAAAAAGAAAAAACCAGGTCATGATGCAAAGCCTATTTTAATAGCATCTGGGAAGCCATTTCATATCCCAACAATCCCTTCAACTAAAAGCACAAATTCTCTAAATTCCTAAATGAGAAACTTTACATTTGTAGTGTTCCTTTGATAATAACTGATCACCAACTTTATGGAAGACATCCTCCTGGGTCTTTTCTGGACCTTTTAGCATGGCTTTCTCCCCAGATCGTGATGCTCCACAGTTCAGCCTTTCTCATAGCCACGTGAAGGAACCCAAGCTACCCCACCCAATGGAAGAAGATGATCCCTGATTGTATCTCTGATGATAAAAAAGAACAGTCGCTTGTGAGTCATTCAAGGCTAACACTAATACAGCACTTTTTGAGTTACTGAAAAAAAACCCACAACAATCTAATTTGGTGTCTTTCGGTATCTCAGAGGGCCTACACAATCGCTAGTAATCACCGTGTGTATCACTAAGATAGATGCTTTGGAAAGACAGATGGCTATAGGAAAGATTACATTCCTGTGGTGGGGCAGAATATGGTAGCTCCTACAAAATAGCTAAAAGTGCCTTCTCTGAACACTAGACACAGAAAATAAGGAAGGAGAAAAAGACACACACAAAGAAGTGAATATTTAAAATGTAAGTTTTTGAGGGCAAGAGTTCTGCCTAATTATGACCAATAACTGGCATAAATTTGAAATTTTCAAAAATATTTTGCCATTTTACTTTATCCAAGTGTATGTTTTTCCACTTGGGAATATGCCCTATATAAAGATGCATAAAATGTTCACTTTGGCAAACTCATTTCCATTCATTTCTTGTTTTTCAACATTCGGAAAATCTACAACAGTGTCAATATAACATTCTGATTATGTTTTTCAACTTTCCCATTCATTTACTTGGTTTTATGCAAAAATAATATTCAAAAGATGGCCCCAAAGAAAATACGCTGAGTACCAGGGTCATCAAATGAACAATTGCATCTTTCTCTGAGATGGGAGCTGGAGAAATGGACCAAATTGCAGGAGGTAGAAGCACTTGTTTGTAGTCTTCTCTTTTCTCCATTTTTAATAGCATGGAACCATTTATTTATTGACTGCTTGAAATAAATTCAAATAGAAGAACTTTGTAAATGCTGTAGTCTCTGGAATGACCTACCTGGTGCCAATCTTTTTTGTTATTTATGAGAGGGCCTCACAGAGCTTGAAAGTCTCCTCTTTTTATCCAGAGGTTAGTGTTGTTATGAGCTAAAGCCCTTTTGTCTAGAAGAGGCTCTGAACAATAATTCACAAGCTCACAGTTCTCCTAGGACTGAGGTGGGACCTTATCATGTCTCACATTTAAGTGGGCTTCAAATGTAATAGAAAATGAGGTACTGAAGTTCTCTGAAGAGTTTTTCTTGTGTTTTGCGGTTTCTAGGTGAGAAAGAATATCTGATAGTTCCCCGTGTTTCTTTTTTTTTTTGGCGGGGGAAAGGCATACAGGCTGGGGATGGGAACCTGAGGAAGAGGATCCACTTCTGGAGTATTTATTGCTCCTTCAATTTACTTGGCTTCCCCCTCCACCCCCTGCCAAATTTTATTACCTCACATTTTAAAATGACAGCTTTATTGAGATATAATTTACATACCACACAATTCACTCATTTAAAGTGTACGATTCAATGGCTTTTACTATATTCCCAGAATACGTGCAACCATCACCACAGTCAATTTTAGAGCATTTTCATCACTATAAAAAGGAACCCTGTACCTTTCAGTTGTCACTTTCCTATCCCCCCAGCCTACTGTCCTTAGTCCTAAGCCCTAAGCAACTGCTATTCTACCTTCTATCTCCACAGATTTCCCGTTTCTGGACATATCCATAAATGCAAACAATACAATATATGGTCTTTTGTCCACTTGACTTCTAATCCTATTCTGCCTTATGATATTGGTGGTAATGCTGTCTTCAAAAGTTTGAAGACTTTTAATGTGTCCCTGCTTTTTCTCCTTCTAGGCCTGTGTTCTCCTGGATTCAGGGGCATCCAGCTTAGTGCATCACTTACAGCACACCTTCAATGAGTGTTTGTAAATTTATGAACTAATTGTTGATGTTCTGCAGAAGTTGTCTATAATATTTCCGTAAGGGATATCCCACAGCTCCACTCCCCCCTTGTGGGGCTGCCTCTTCTCTTTCTCTGCCCGCCCCCGGTATAGTAATATTATAACCTGCTACAACTCAGATCTTTATTTCCTGTGCTGAGTTCTGATGACATCAATCTCCATCTGCTCCTAGCTCCATCCTGTGCAATGTTTCAGGAATGCTCCTTAGCCGCAGTCTACTTACTAGGTTTAAAGATGTCCCTGGTAAAAGAAACACTCAGAGTGACATTGAACTTTAGTCTTGTAGCACTGGTATACTGCCGATGGGATGGATGGTCCCACAGATTTGCCACTGATTGTCCACTCTTCCTTACGTGATTTAGAGAAAAAGGCTTTCTCCCACTGGTATTGACTTGTTGAAACCATGGATAATATATATTTTTTTGCTTATTTATTTTATTTATTTAAATTTCCAAGATAGATAGTTCTAAGAGCAAGAATGTTCCCAATTTCAACTAGAACATAACTCTGCTTGCCACATGGCTACGTTGCATTACAACCCCTAAACCAGAATGCGAGAACAACACTGCCCTCAAAGTAGGACTATGTATATACATATATTTCTCAAACTAGGAATATGTAGATATGAGGTGTATTCTTTTTCACCTTCCTTCTAGAGAAGCCGATGCTGTTTAATTAGAAAGCTTTGCATGCCTTAGCATACTGAAAAGTAGGAGGATGAAGTTACTGCTTTCTAATTGCTTATCTAGGTTAATGATTTTAGGTCTCAAAAACCTGTTTATAGAAAGCCAAAGTGAAAGTTAACTAGGCCACATTTTTATGGTATTAACTTAATTTCCAAGTCAGAATAAATTTTGGGGGAAAATGTCTCTTGCTCTTCTTACTTTGTGATAATAAAATTTAGGGAACAACTTTTTTTTTCTTTCTTTGCTTGGAAGTAAAAAAGTTTCTTAGGGATATATATTTTTAATTTTTTATTCTTATATTTTTCTTATGTCTGTCATTGTGCAGGTATTTTGAGGTACTATTTTTTATTAGCCAAAACTTCTGGTTCCCAGATAGAGAGCTTTAGAAAATGGACTGGTCCATATCAGATGGTGAATTAGTCACCCTCTGAAATTCACTTGGATGTGTTCATGTTTGCTCCATTAATCGACGTAAGATGCCCAGCCGTGCCACAATCAACAATTAAACCATAAAATTATTTGTTATAACAATGTAAAGTGAAAGAGAAAGATGTTTCTCTCCTCAGTATACTGTCTTTCTCATTCTAACCAACCTATGAAGGAAGAATGGGTAGATAAAGAATAGTATACAAGTAACGGCAGATAGAACTTTGACACATAAAAACAACAAGGGCCCTTTTCTAGTTGGCTTGTGAAGGCGCTCTCTCCCCCAGAATCTGGCGCACGATGCCCACAGTTTGTGTGGTGATTGGCACGTTCTGGTGCCAATGGGAATAACAGCTGGCTTCTCAATATTCTTCCGAAGCAGCTGCTCCGTCTATCTTGGCACCGTACACACACTGCTTTACTTACTGACATTCTCAAGCTGTTGCTGAATGTCTCTAATAACAGTATTTTCCATTTTATGTTTTTTCTTCTGAGTAAAATGTCTGCATCATTAATCCTTAGCCAAAGGAGATGTAACTAAAATTCACCCTCAGAGAAAATGCACGCTCATAGTCAGATTGGTGTCGAGGTTTTTGAAAATTATTTTGGATGTGTTGATGGGGGAAAGAGAAACTGGATTCCCACATATACCACTATTGGGATGTTTGTCTTTTTGAAAAGTTTTAGTATGGGGCCAAAGTGGCTTAAGAGTAGGAGAGTGAAGGAAAAACAGCAGATAGAATAAGGGAATATTTAAAAACCATTAACAAGGGGGTTCCCTCATTCAGCTTGGAGCCCCCCTCCCTCTGTCTCTGTACAGGGGGAGCCTCTTCCTTCTTTCTTGCCTATTTTCCACTCCTTAAATCCCCCCCACCCCAAAAAATAAAATAAATAAAAGCCATTAAGAAAAGCATTAGATACTGAATGGACAAGTAGCTTCACAATGGAACTGGAAAGGGATACTGATATAAGAGTAGATGCAAAAGAAAAGTTATCAACTGCTCAGGATGACACTGAGTACTAGAATATTCGCCAAGCACAGGAGTTATAACTCCAGTTACCCAGACACGCAATCCAACTACAGAAAACAGAATAATGGAAAGAATTCTCCTTTGACAAAGAGGCATTTTGGTGGGAACTATTAGAAAGTACTGCAGAATAACTATCTGTTGGACAAAGGTTAAAAATACCTATGCAAGAAAGAAGCACAGCCTGGAGAAATTGTAAAACTTGGCCAATAAAGCAAAACCGTAAGAGTATGATGGGCAAACATTCTAAGGATGAGTAATCCAAAGAAAGAACCCACAAAGCTCAGTGCTTAATAATGACCCTAAGATGTAATGAATTGTAAAATACTGCTTGAGCCTGAAGTGTTTGTTGTTGGCCTGTGCTCCTCAGTCACACTCTCATCTCCCTGTGGCCTAGTCAGTTACGGTACCACGGAGCCAGGGATTAATGTGGGGGCAATAACTTCCCGGTATTGGAAGTGGAGCTGTCCTGGACAATGGGTGAGAGCTTCGTAAATTCCTTGCACTTTTCAGTATTGACTTTTCTTTCCACTACTTTGCCTCCACTCTTTGCCTTCAGTGCTGCATCCCCAGATAGCCAGCAACCTACTGATGAAAGTCAAGATTTCCATATCTGCCTGTGGATGTTAACTGATTCCATCAACCAAAAGTCAGCCAGGCACAGAGCTGTTTCTCTGAACACTCAGCCCCCTCCGGCACATTAGAATAGCAAGACAAACTGGGCTACCAGGCTTAAAAGTTTTGCCTTTGCTTTTCACAAATCCCCACACATTTCAAAACAGATTAATACCAGGACAGCACTTTGGCATAAAGATGCAAAGTCAAGACACAAAATAGAATATCCTGACTCATTTTCTATGTGAAGTTTCTAGCAAAAACATATATATATATTTTCCCCTGCCTTGAGCATTGAGTGATTCGGCAGGAAACATTGGTAGACCCATTTTTCTTTTCCTGTCTCAGAACTGGGAAGTGAAGTCAGACTGTGCAATAAAATGCTGATGACAAAAAGATCCTGTAACTCTGGTGAGCCAGTTACCACTTTAAGACCCTCTTAAATGTATCTAATACAATAGCACATTTTGGAAAAGTTCGGTGAGGCTCGACTAGGATGGGAAAAACCCTGGAACGTTCATCCCAGAGTGTGCCTGCTCCATTCCACCCAGCTCTCCTGCAAGTGGCAGATGCCCCAGGGGCCAGCCATCGGCTAGGAGTCGAGACCTAGAGGGAAAGAGGGGTGAAGGGGATAGGTGGAGGAGATGGGTGTTTTGAAGAAAAAAAAGAGGTCATGGAGAATTTCTGGAGTGATTTTTTTTCACCACCTTGAAATTGAAATGAAATGAACCCCCTGCAAATTATTTGGAACCAATTCCATTCTGAGACTTGATTTACTAAAGCACAATAAAAAGGTATCCTTAAAGGGAGAACATAAAGATAAGTACCTTTTAGATGCCTTGATCTAAGATAAGATTCCCTTATCCAGTTCAAATACAGTAGGATTCCAACAATTATGAGATGGCATCTGGCAATTTGCCTTTTACACCTAATACTTATAATAAGAACACTATACTTACAAAATGTTTCACAACTACCTGTATTAGCTAAGCCATAATTGACCCTTCTGACGGAGACTGCTAGTGTTTATCTTGAATCACAGAAACACAAAGTTTTTCCCAACTATGTGGCATATTAATCATTGAGGTAATAGTGTTGATCTATTTTTACTGCTACTGGGCTGTGTAAAATTTCCCTTCCCTACTCTTTTCTTTCCTTCCTTTCATCCCCTTCCCTTTCTAGAGATTCTATTCCTAGAGTCCAAGCTGAATATATATTTCTGGCACAGTTCTGCAGATATTTCAGATGAAAGCAGATTTCAGTTTGCATTAACTAGTAATTTTCCAAGGTATCAATTGATTAGAGATGGCATAAATTTGGCCATCCTGTGTCAGGGAAAGCTACTCGGTTGCATGGAGGTTTATCTAACTTTAGCGAATTGGGATATTTGGGTTTGGAACCCTATCTCAGAGGGTTGTGGGGCTTCTTGATTTCATATGGATAAATAATTTGGAGAGTTAGGGATTGAAATGATCGAAATGATTTCCTATAGACCTTACACAATGTCCCAGTTGGTAGTTAGTTGAAAGAGGAATATTTAATTTTGAAGTCAAAATTGTTACATAGAAAAGTCCTTTGCATGTAGAACTTTAATTGAAGGATGACTCACTCTTACATCAAGTCTTTATAAGCAAATTTCAGTGAGTACAGGCAAACAATTTAAATTTACAACAATGCTAATTTCAGAAATCATTTGTTGCTGATATTAGGGAGCTATGTCTCTTGTATCTGATGAGCTTATGGCTTTCTGAAAAAAAAGAAAAATATCAATGTGGGAGGAGAGAGAGAGAGGGGAAGAAGGAGCAGAGAGAGGAGGCCCCAAAGAAAATGGTTAGTGAAGGAGAGCCAATCATAATTCAGCTGTTCCAAGCCAACCAAAGCATCTGGTTTCTTTAATTTAGTACACTTCATACTAAAAGGCCAGTTTGTTTACACTGTATATTTTAAGTTATTCAAAATATCTTTTCCAAACCATTGGGTTTGCAACTTCAGGGGAGGCTTTCAAATGTGGCTGGGAAGTATCCCCAGGTCAGTATCACATGGCATGAATAATATGGAAAAGAGAAAAGCTACAGACATTTTAAGGGTAGTTAGCATGCCATTTCAGACACTTCTGTTACGTCTTTCTGAGAGAATTGAAAATGCCCCAATTCACCCTCTAAAATGAGTAGAAAAGCCATTTTTTTTCTATACAGGTGGGCATAGATGCAAGTAGTCATGCGCACATGCTCAGGTACTTGAGGAGGTCTCCAAAGGCAGCCCCATACTATGTTCCAGGAATACCACCTATATTTTAACTGAAACAGTGAACTGAGAATGCACAAAGGTATCAAATCCAAGAAGAACTTATTTGGAACCCTTCTGGAAGGAATATCAGGGTTCCACCCTCAGTCTTCCGACTGTTCTCTCACAGACCCTCTCTCAGTGAGTTCATCACTGATAGGCCTCAGTTATCAATTCTAAGTGACAGCTAAGCAGGGGCCTTCTAACACTGTCCTCCAAGCCACCTTTCTCACCCAGACTCCAGTCCTGGATTTCCAAATATTTCAAAATACTTTTACCTGGCTGTCCCACTGTCACCTGGATGTCTAAAACAGAATTCAACCTTTTAAACCAATTCCTCTTCAATCTTTATATTTATGTAATTGATGCCATCCTTTTCCTGGTCAAAAGAGGTGGACATCTGGGAGTTAATTTCAACTATTTTTTTCTCGTCTCACATCGCCCTCTGTTGTAGAAAACAAGTCTTTTACTGTTTGTTTTCCAACATTCTTTAAATTTGAAATTTGTATCTTCTTTCCACTCCCATTGCTCTCACTTCATTTGATACTTGAATTACCCAATAACTTCCGGTATGATTTTCCTGTATGTGAGATTGAAAAGCATATACCTAAAGGCAAATATCAGAAACACTCCTGAATGTTGTAAGTAAACAGAAGGGACTTTGCTCTACCTAGAAGAGACCCATACAAGAAAACTCATTCATAGCCGAGGCATTTGGCAAGCTATTACACTCACAATGCAACTGCAAGGCAGGTTCTTACCCATTTATCTTTTTTGTGGTCCAGGCTAACTGCATGACTGGCCCTCAGCTGAACATCACAGCCTTTCCCATGTCTGTTAATATTTGGCAAATCTCGCTGTCCTCTCCAGATGATTAGGTGATCAGATTATTAATCTTACTCTTAAGGTCAGATAAAATAACAGAAGTTTAGAGAGAGACAGGTTTGCTCCCATTTCTCCAGTCTCTCCAACAGGGACTGTTTGACCTCCTCAAGTGCCGTAACTGCAGCAACGTATGGAGCAACAGCGACAGCAATGCCCAATGGGAGAGGCAACTGAAAAACAGGAGGCAACAGCTCCATGGTGAGAGGTTGGTCATGAGCACCTAAGGCCTGTGTGTGACACCTCTGTGGCCTGTGTAATTCCCATTGACATCAATTCCACATTACGGATGCGTCAGGACCACAGGAAACAACCTTACATTGCTTCACAAAGTTACTCTCGCTCAAAGCCGTAAATAAATGCTTCTCAGAGTGTGGGCCTCCCACCAGTAGTACTAGAAATTGCACTAATAGAAAGGCAAATTCATGGGCCCTACCCTGACTGACTCAGTGAGTCATGAACTTTGGGGACAGGGCTCAGGAAGCTGTAGTTTGACCACCTCTCCAAGTTATTCCTATTTACGCTCTAGTTTGAGGACCACTGCTGAAATGTATGATCATAACCAGGTGTAAGCAAACAAACAAATAAAAACATAAATGTACAAAGAATATGGACTAATGAAGAAGTTTGAATGTGGGTTCTATCTCTTCTTGTATTTGCAGTGCTCAGCACAGAATAAATCCCAGTAAACACTGTTGACTAAATAACTGAAAGGGTCTCATTTAGGTTGATGCCAAAATTCAAATTATTTTACCTAGTGAATGATATCTTAGATTTCTTTGCCTATCTGTTTGTTTTGAAAGAGTCAGCAAAGTCTAGAAAACAGAACACTAATGCGAGAGGCAAGGCTTTCTAGAATAATGAGAATCAGTTGTGAGGCTCATAGGAAAGTTTGTCCTCTTTTTCCTGTCTTAGGAATGTTTGTGTGTATGTCAGAGGCCAGAGTAGATATTCTGTTAATAACCACCATCCCCCCAACAAACAAATCTTAAAATACTAGTTTATGTTTTAATCACTCAATTGCCCTTAGAAGCCACTGTAGTCTCCCTCTATTTATCCATTTGGTCATCAGATCTTGAAAATTTTGCCTCAATATTTATTGGATTCCTCTCATTGGGTCCTTTCTAGATCTTCAGTAGTCCCCTAGTTTCTCCCCGAGGCACTGTTGTCACATCTACAATGGTGTTTCTCTCTCCTCATGTGTGTTCACTTTCAGTCCATCTCCCAAAATCATACTGCAGTAATCTCTCTGAAATGATGACCCTCTCCCATCATTCCATGTTAAAAACCCTTCTATGACTGTATCACCTTCAGGGTGAAATAAAGGGCCTCTCCTCATCTGACTCTGTCCAATTCTCCAGCCTTATTTCTTGCCACTATGCTGTGCCAACCTCATTGATTTGTTTGTCCCTCCACAAACATTATGCTGGGATATTTCTATCTACCTTCACTGTGTGGCTAATTTAGAGCTATGTTTCAAGACTCAGTTCAAGTATCTTCTCCTGAAGGAAGCTTTCCCAGACCACATTCCCCTCGCCCCTTTTGCAATGGGTGCCCTTCCTCCATGCAGCTCTCCATCCTAGCATTCATCGCCATATCTTGCTTCTCTTTTTCCTTAGAGCTCCTTAAGGACAGGAGCCATTTCTTATTAATGCTTGTCAACATAGCACTTGGCTCTGTCCCTAGTACACAGCAGCTGCTCAATTAATGTTTATTGAGCAAATAAATGAACGAATTGAAAATAAAACCAGTAGTTCTTCCAAAGTCTGCCCCTTAGGATAGAGAGTGGATAGATCTCCATGTCGAATGGGTATCTACTGAACAAAAATGGCTCATAAGCAGAGATATGACAGTTTACAACAAGTGAGAAATGATTCCACATCTTCCTACGAACTTCAGACTGAACCATTTTGGGGACCCACAGAAATTGAAAATCTCTTCTCATGCTGTTAGTTTCTTTTTCTCATATTTCCACATTCCTCCTAGGACTGGAGGAAGACGTGCTGAAAGGAAACCTCTGAAGGGCATTGTTGAGAAAGTTAAAGTTTAAGTGGAAGAAGGAAGAATAAGAAATTGTGAGAATGTTTGTTCTCATTGCCAAACTTTCAGCCTCCAGGGATTTAAAGCTGGGGGTAGGGGACTTGTGTGAGTTTGGAGAGCCTGTAACTTTAGGTGCTTATTCAAATTGAACATAAATTCTAAGAAATTGGAAGTTTATCTTCTCAAATTATTGGAACGAGCTTGGAATTTAATTTTGCATCCTGTTCTCTAGAGACACAGGGAACCCAAAAGGGGGAGAGGGTTATTTATTTGCTCAGCTTGAGAGCTTAACACTGGACACATGGAGGTTTTTTTCTTCATTTATTTTTTCCCCTCTCCTCGTGATAGCGTAAGATCTAGAGGAACTGCAGGTGGGTGGTTGGTTTGGATCCAGTTCCCAGACCTTGTTGCTCTTTAATTGTCCTTGTTTTATTTATTTTCTGATATTTGGAGTGATTTTCCCAGGCTGACGTAGGATGGGTCCCAATCTACAAAGGAGGATCCACCCTCAAACTCTCACACTCATTCTCAGTGAGCAAGAGCTGTCATGTCCCAAGGAAGCTCAGGGTTAAGGGGAGTGTCATTCTGGTCACCAGAATAGCTGGAAGCCATACCCTTTGAGAAGTCACTGGAAACAGTGGGAAAGTCTTTTTTTTTTTTTTTTTTTTGTCTTCCTAATCCAAATGGCTGGTCTCTTCAGTTGCGACTTCCGGCTGCTAAAGTTGGGATTTAGCCCTATAGAATGTTGGCCACAGTCAAAGATAAAAGTGCTTGGAAAACTCAGGTGTATAAATAAAACCTCAGTCTTTAAGTGGTCTGTGTGTAAAGAACACCTGGTTCCAACTCAGCACTGTCCAGCAGAACTTTCTGTGATGATGAAACCATTCTGTATTGTCTAATACAGTAGCCACCAGCCATATGTTACTCTGGAGCCATTGAAATGTTATTAGTGCACCTCAGGAACTGAATTTTAAATTTTATTCAATTTTTGTTAATTCAAGTTTAGCCACACATGACTAGGGCTACTGTATGGAACAACACAGTTTGAAGGTACAGTCTTAATGTGTAAAATAGATATATTAAGCCTATAAAGTGACGGTTTTTCAAACGGAGAACAAAGCCAGAGTACTGCCATGCTTGATGGAAGTTTATCTCATTGTTTAAGGGTACAGGGGGTCACTGACTTAGGAAGGTTTGATTTACAGTTTTTTGACTTTATGATGATGTGAAAGTGATATATATTCAATACACTCCTCAATTTACAATGGGCTTACACCCAGATAAACCCATTGTAAGTTGAAGATTTCAACTTAGAATGGATTATTGGGAATGCAGTGGCATCATAAATTGAGGAGCATCTGTATATAATTCTCCAGGTTGGACAACAGTATGAGGGGTATAACCCCAATTTTATAATCCCATTATAAAATTGCATGTGTGGCCATACAGAGCTGTCTGGAAAGATATTAATAAAATAGAGTTTCCCTGGGTGACAGAATTTGGGCTACTTTTTATTTAGACTTTTCTGGTTTATTTAAAATACTTGTAATAAGTGCATATAGATTTTTTTAAATTATAAGGCTATTTTATGAGTGTATAGTGCATATCTTTCAACATTATTAAGTTTAAAATGTATATGTACTTTCTAAATATAAATTCTACCCCTTATGACCTACACCACCCCAAATAAGGATATTTAGGAGACGGCAGGTTTTTTGCACATAAAGATGTGTACCTTCTGCTAATCAAAAAATCCAAAGAGCTTTTTTCCTCTCTTTTGTCTCTTTTACATAATACCTTTTTTTTTTTCAGGATTTTTAAACATTTTCACCACCATGTGCAATCTAATATACCTTTTTGGTATCATTTTTCTGGAACTAGTATGCTAGATATTGAAGTCTACTTTAACATGGAGGTTTTTAAAGGAATTAACTAGACAGAGACTAGAATGGATCTAGCAGGAGTAGAAGGGGAAGAAGGCAATGTCTGATCATCAAAATTGTCAGATAGGCACTTTTGCCCTTTAAGTCAAATGGGTTGTGAAGGCTGAATGGTCTTAGTTAAATGTTGGAAAGTCACTCCAAGAATACGAGTATTCATCAAATACCTATCCAAAGATGAGTGTAGCTCACATTCAGCTCTCATTGACATGGGAATTCTTTTTCCTGACGAATGAGTCCTTTGAACACTGCCTTTTTCAGTGGAAAGCCCTATCTTCCTTGTAGCTGACTCACAACTCTTTGCCCAGTATTTCTGCAGAAGAGGGCCATGTGTCAGTGCTAAGATGTCAGCCTCATGTGATCTTTCTTTCCTCGATTTATCACTTGGCATCCTGGCACACTCAGCTCACATGTGGCTTGGCGCTAGATTTACATTCAACTGAACTGAACATTCCCTCCAGCAGCTAACCTCAATTCACCCTGGGATGAGATTAGAATCAGGAAGCCTGGCCAGGTTTGAATCAGCAGTGGTGACTCCATAGAATTTCAAATGATCATGGAAACAAATATGCATCTACATGAGCTGGATTGGGCTTCCAAACATATTCACATTCGTTACCAAGTTGCTCAGCTTTTCCATAAACAACAAAAGAAACTATGTCATACATTTGAAAAATTAAAATCCAGGGTTGATAGAACCCTTTTAACACATATTAGTGCAGGAATATTATACAATACCATAATAATTTTAAAAATTTACATTTGTAAAATTCTGCCTTTTGGAAGACCTTGAAGCCTTTAAGATTAATATTCATTAAGAATACCTTTGCATTTTAAAATACATGCTGAAGTATGTGCTTCACATGGGTTAATTAACCTTATATTTGAAATTTAATTTTAGTTTTTATCTAAGTAATACTGTACATAGTTTAAAAAGCCAACTAACACTCTAAGGCTTACAATGATCCAAAACATTTCCCTTTTTTCACCACCTTTCCCTACACCCACAACTTCCCAATCATTCCAATTTAGGGTTAAATCACATTCATTATTATAGTCTTCATAATTCACAGCTAAGCCACCTTGGATACTATGTTTACATTTTCTTTATTTATTGAAAAAAACCACACATCTTTATGTTTTTAGCTTGCTCACTCTTCTGTGTGTTTGAAATAATGGTAAAATACAATAATATTGTCAAGCACAGTGGATCGGAGATTTTTCTTCTCAGGACTATTCTGCTTATAGGTCTACTTCCTATAGCTATTTGTCATTGTCCTCCTGGTCCTTCTCTTTTCTTCTCTCCTGTGCTAGATGCTCTCTCTTCCTATCCCTCCCTCTCTTCCCACCCCCACCTCCCACTTCTCTGTTTATATCCTGATTTTGGTGGAACACATCCTCCAGGCTCCCTGGCACAGGGTACATAAGAAGAAAGAAATTGACATCTTGCATACCCGCATATGGTGTATTCTTACCTTCACTTATTGTCAGGGGTCGAGAGAGACATTTTGTTCAGGGACCCCTGAACAAATGTCAATAACCTTAGTTTTTTTCCCTGGGTGACCACTTTCCATGGAGAAAGGCTTTAGGTGCTGTCGTTTAGTACACATCTTTGCCTTCATTCCCATGACCTTAGAATAGTGCATCATTCCTTCCCCAGGTGTTCCCATTGCCATTGTCCAGAATAGCATACTTTCAACATTATGGAGTGCATTATTAAGTTCAGAAGCTCCCTGACTCAGCCTCCTCAGAGAATACATCTTAGTCTTCTGCCAGGGTGAAAGGGACTATCTGATTGGATGTGTGGGGTGGGGGAAGAGATCTGGGCGTCTAACTGCAACTCATAAAGACTTCGAACCAATTCTTTTATTTTGAGCATTCTCCCAGTTCTCTTGTTTCCTGTCTTTACATTTCCTTGCTGCCTTCAATTCCTGAGGCTTTCTAAGTTTTGGGGGCACACATTAGCTTATTTTTATTTTTTTGAGACAGAGTTTTGCTCTGTTGCCCAGCCTAGAGTGTAATGGCGCAATCTTGGCTCACTGCAACCTCCGCCTCCTGGGTTCAAGCAATTCTCCTGCCTCAGCCTCCCAAGTAGCTGGGATTACAGACAACTGCCATGATGCTTGGCTAATTTTTGTATTTTTAGTAGAGACGGGGTTTCACCAAGTTGGCCAGGCTGGTCTCGAACTCCTGACCTCTCAAGTGATCCACCTGCATTGGCCTCCCAAAGTGCTGGGATTACAGGCATGAGCCACCATGCCCGGCTGCATCAGTTTATTTTGGTTAGGCTTCTCTCTTCTGCAGGCACTTAGTGGTACCAAGAAGTAAATATAACTCAGTCACTATACATCTATCCACTTTCCATCCTCCCATTGTACCTCTGGCTGATTGACGTTTCCTTTTCCACTCTTTATTCTTGTGAGTTCATTCATTTTTTACTGTTATTCTATCAAAGGCTTTGGGGTAAGCAGGTATATTCAACCTACCACATTTATCTGCCGTATAAAAAATGGAGACAAAACATGTCATCCCTGCAAAGATGTAGAAGTCAAGTCACAGAAAATGAGATACATAATCAAGATCCTAGGTAAAGGAGTAATGTCGTTAGGGCTAGATTTTGCTTTCTGTGCCTTGACTAGCCGTACCTCCTCTTGAGGCATTGTTCTGTAAGGACTTGTTATGTAACCCAGGTCGTTCTTCTTAGCAGTGAGTACCCTTTTCAGGGATCACTCAAATAAGAGGGACTCCAAGAAGAAGGAAAGAATAAAAGGGAAGGGGAAACAAGGGAGAAGAGATGGCCATGAAACAGTATGCATTGAAGGCACTCTGAATTGCAATATGCAACCACACTTCACCCAGAACTAAGTTTTTAAATGATAAAGCAGTGCCAGGGCAAATTAGAGCACACAAACCCCCTACAGCTGAGGTAGACAATGGGACAGCTAGGATCCTTGGTATCAAGTGTGGGAGACTGAGGAGCATCATATTCCTGAGTGTGTTCCAGCGATTGTGCTATTTCTACAACATCTCATTCATTACGTACAAAGAGAAGTCATCAACAGCTCCAAGGAATACAGTTCAGCATGTTTTCCTTTTTGTGAGAATCTGCAGTGGGTTGGGGACGCTTTGCCTAGCACTTTGAAATCTTAGTACATTAGTAATAATTTATATAGTATTAGAGCTGTCAGAGAACATCAAGATAATTTTCAGATGCCCCTTTTTCCTTTAATGCTTTGAAATATTTGAGTCTACAATTGTCTGAAATATGCTCTTGCTATGTCAGAAGGAAAGCACCCAAGAGAAGACAGTAGGTAAAGCACCCAGAAAGACAGACTGAGACGGTGGCTTGAGAACACTTTATTCATTAACAAAAATCTTGATTAATTTTGTGAATTTGTTTCAGAAGTTTTTCCTTACTAGAGGAAACAATTGAATGATCTTGCATAGAGAAAAGAAATCCAGATTCCCTTAAATTATTTTTTGTACCATATGATGCAGAAATTTCACTTCTAGGTATATATTCAGAAGAAAAGAAATCAGTATATTGAAAAGCTCCCTGCACTCCCATGTGCACAGCAGCACTATTCACAACAGCCAAGATACGGAAGCAACTTAAGAGTTCACCAGCAGATGAATGGATAAAGAAAATGTGGGACACATACACAATGGAGTACTATTCAGCCATAAAAAAGAATGAGATCCAGTCATTTGCAACAATATGGATTCACTCGGAGGTCGTTAGATTAAATGAAGTAAGCTAGGCACAGAAAGATCAACTTTATATATTCTCACCTATTTGTCAGTGCTAAAAATGAAGCAATTGAGCTCATGGAGATAGGGAGTAGAATGATGGTTACCAAATGCTGGGAAGTGTAGTGGGAAGGAGGAATGGTTAATTGGTACAAAAATATAATTAGATAGAGTGAATAAGATCTAGTATTTGATAGCACAATAGGGTGACTTCAGTCAACAAAATTTATCACACATTTAAAAATAACTTAAAAAGTATAATTGGATTGCTTGTAACACAAAGAAAGAAATAAATGCTTGATGTGATAGATATCCCATTTACCTTGATGCGATTATGATGCATTGTATGCCTGTATCAAAATATCTCATGTACCCATAAATATATACCCTTACTATGTGCCCACAAAAATTAAAAATTAAAAAACCCTTAAACAACAAAAAAACCCCAAATCCCCCCCGCCTTTTTTTTTTTTTGAGACAAGGTCTCTCTGTCACCCAGGATAGAGTGCAGTGGTGCGATCTTGGCTCACTGCAACATCCACCTCCTGGGTTCAAATGATTCTTTTACCTCAGGTAATTCTTTTACCCAAGTAGCTGGGATTACAGGTGTGTGCCACCGTGCCCAGTTCATTTTTTTGTATTTTTAGTACAGACAGGGTTTCACCATGTTGGCCAGGCTGGCCAAATTCCTTTTTGTCATAGGAACGAGATAGGCATAAATTCTCCACGAAGGAATTATTTCTATTGGAAAGAATATGGGAACTAAATTTTTTTATTTGCTTCAGATATGGGACTTTTGGTGAAATTTCAGTTTTCTGCGCATTGTACTTTCACAACAAGTTTTTAGAAATCACGCTGAAATTCTCAACTGAGAGATACGTATCATGATCAACCTTTGCCACTTATACTCTGATACATGTGGTGGTGTATTTCCAGATTTTTACTATGTGTGGCTGTAAAAATGCTGTTATGGGCTAGAGTGTGTCCCCTGCCAAATTCGTATGTTAAAATCCTAACCCAAGCACCTCAGAATGTGACCTATATGGAGATGGGGTCTTTTAAAAGGCAGTTAAGTTAGATGAGGCCACTGGAGTAGGCCCTAATCCATTATGACTAGTGCACTTGTATGAAGAGAAAATTAGGACACAGGCCCAGAGGGAAGACCATAGAAGTGACATCTACAAGCCGAGGGGAGAGGCCTCAGAAGAAACCAACTCCACAGATGCCTTGATCCTGGACTTTCAGCCTGTAAGACTGTGAGAAAATCAGTTTCTGTTGTTTAAGCCATTGAGTTTATGGTGCTGTGTTATGACAGCCTTAGCTGATTAAGACATATGCCCGTAATTTTATGACTCAGTAAAGAAAATATTCACTTTTACTTAATTAACCCAATCATGTTCTTTACACACAAAGAAGGAGTCTTTCAGATCTGTTACCCCAGGACCTGTCACAATGCATGGCGTACGGAGGCACTCTGTGCACACGTTGAGTTTATGGACTGTCCCTGAATGTCATTCAGATGGAGGACTTTGCTTGTGGCCCTAGTTGTGTGATATGAACAGACTTCAGCATGGCCATCCCTGCCGACGCCACCATCTCAGATATTCCATCAATGCTCCTTAGCCCCGAGAGCAGGCCAAAAAGACAAAGAACATGGTCTCCAAGCGGCCCAGCCCCAAGCAACACAACTCCCTGGGGTTTCTCCAAAAAGAGAAGGGTGCGTTGAGTGGCTCTTAGCTGTTCCTACCAGGATATACAGGTGAGCCAAGAAAAACCACATGGCTAGCTTTATCAGGAGCTGCTGACAGGCCTGAAAGATCCAAAACGGACACCTGACCCATGTGACTGTTGTCAGAACACTATCCACCATGGCAACCAGGCCAGTTTCCATCGCACATGTGTCCCGCAGCTCCACCGAAAAGGATCAAGAAAGTCAGGATTCTAAATACCAACAGCATCACTCTGTCAAAACCACCCTTGCAACCTTTCTCAGAAAAGGAAATGTAATGACAAGATGAAAGTTAGCCAGAACGGCCATGTCCAGAAAAGCTCTCAGTAGTACAGCCATCTGTCCGAAATACTCTAACCTACAAGGTGGCCACGGTCTCTTCAGAGGGTCATGGAGCTCTGCAAAGCTTGTCTTAAAACTGATTAAGGTAAAATAGTTATTAGAAGACATCTTTTTCTTTCTTAAGATCAATAGAAAAATAAACAGGGCTGGGCAAGGTGGCTTACACCCAGAATCCCAGCACTTTAGTAGGCCAGGGCAGGAGGATCGCTTGAGCCCAGGAGTTCAAGAGCAGCCTGGGCAACACAGCAAGAACTCATCTCTACTTAAAAAACAAAATTAAAGTATCAGCTATGCCATGAGCTATCTAACCAGGTGCCCCTCTCCCACCATTTCCTCTCCCTGTACCCTGTTTAGGTCCTTCACAGAACTTAGGACAATTTCGATTTGTCTTTCTCTCTCCTCGCCTCCCCGCCTATTTATTTTCTGTTTTCCCCATTAAGGGCAGGAACTGTGTTTATTGTATTTGCCATTATATATTCAAGACAAATTATGATGCCTGCTACATAATAAATGCTCAATAAATATTTGTAGAATGACTGACTGAATGAAAAAAATGTTAAAGGGGACTGAGGGAAGAAGCTAAAATATATTTAGTTTTTGTGCTGTGTACCTTTTAAGGCACTGTTGTAGGGTCACCTCATTTAATTCTTAAAACATAATAGATGCTTAATAAATATTTTTAGAATGACTAACTGAAGGAAAAAAATGTTAATGGAAACCAAGGAAAAAAGCTAAAATACATTTACTTGTTACTGCACTGTGTACCTTGTTAGGCATTGTTATATGATCATGTCATTTAATCCTTAAAACATTAGAATGCTGCACTCATTTATTAATTTATTGAGTGGAATCTTGCTCAGTTGCCCAGGCTGGAGTGCAGTGGTGTGATCATAGCTCAGTGAAGCCTCGAACTTTTGGCCTCAAGCGATCCTCCCACCTTAGCCTCCCTAGTAGCTGGGACTACAGGCATGCACCACTACACTTGGCTAGAGTGATATAATTTTAACATAATTTTTCCAGTAAGAAAACTGACATCCAGAGAAGTTTATAATTTCTTGGTGTTTCTGTAATGGTGAAATGAACTATCTCTCTGTTGCCTTTCTAGCACTTTGAAAATAAAATTCTCAATACTTCAGAATTAAACTTATGTATACACACGTGTGTGTGTGTTTCCAGTTTACTTTTCCTCTTGTCCAACCTTTCTGATATGTTAGTGATTCTGAACTTTGTGCAATGCTGAGGTGAAGGCTGAGGTTGGCTACAGAGACGATGGCAGCTGAGCTACAAGGCAGTCTCTGTAATTTTGTTTTCACTGGTTATTTTCAATATATTTATTAGGTTGTTAAACTGAACCATCTTGACTGGCCCCAGCCAAGTTTCTTACAGTGGAAATGGCACATTAACTATGCAGCTGTCATGAGAGAAGTCAGTACTCTTAGGTGAGTGCCTGTAACTGAAATACAGATGGGCAAGTCAAGAGTGGGTCGAAGGTTCAACATGCTCTTTTCCAAACCTCTCTGGTTTGGAAATCTAACTCGAAACCTCCTGGAGTCAAGGCTTCTGATGAGATTCCTGGAGCTTCTTGGTCCAGGCGTGGGTTTGGAATACTTGGGAAAGGGCCGACCACAGGGATCTCAGGGCTCCTCATGCTGGCTCTGTTTGGAAGTGTTGAGCTGCATGAAAAGTAGGGCACTTGATGGGGTGGTGGAGATTTTTCAAAACCTCAACAGGAATTTCAATTGTTCATTTGGACAAGAGTTTGGGTTTGGTTCCTACGTAAGCCCAAGTAGTTTGTTTTATACTGACTTTAGATTTTTTTGATTCAAATCTTTGCTGTTATTATCACGTAAGAAAATCAATCTATTATGGTATTTTAGTTTGGTCATAATAAAAAAGTCAATATGTTGCAAATTATTAACAATACATTTAAAGAATGCCATTCTAAATGAGAGTGTGTTTTCTAGTATCTTAACGTATTAAAAAATTTTCAATGTTTTTTAAATTAAATGAATTAAATCATGAAAGAAGGACTAAAATGCTATTCTATCTGGATCAATGCCATTAACTAACCTTTTAAAATAAAAAAAGCAGATTAGAGAACACTTAATATTTTTTCAACAATATTGTTATTCATGAGACTTGATTATGCTAATATTATTTGAGAATGACATATTATAGTCATATAAAATGTGAAAAATATAGGCCTGAAAGCAAATTGGATGGGTATTTATAAAGATTAATAAATATTCTAACTGGATATCATTGTGAAATTATAAATAATTTGCCTTAATATCATTGACAGATTCTAACCCAAAAGAATTCAAATATATTGGATTTCCTCTCCTGTTCAATTGGAATTCAAGGACTTAATCCACTTTTAATTACACTGTTCCTGTTGTTGCATCAAAAGGTATGTTTATCAACTGGTTTTGAGTTTAAGTAGCTGTTTCTTAAAATTCATTTTAAATCTTCTGTTTTTTTTTTTTTATATAGGCTTTCATACTTTAAGATACAGTGCAGCTGAATACAGTTGAATATAGTTGAGTTGAGCTATTCAACTGATCAGTTCCCTGCAACTTAATATGTATGCTGAGAAAGAGTTGACTCTTGGGGGAATTTCTAATTTTTTGATATTTATCAGTTTAATATACTTAAAGTTTTGGGGTCTTTTGTGCTCATTTGAATTCAGATTTCTGTTTGCATAACACTTTAATGATGACTCGGATTAGAGATAGTTTCATTGATCAATAGACAGAAAAAGAGATTTGCCATCTTTTAAACTGATTCTTTAAGCACTTCATTTACCATTCTGAATTTTTTAACATTAATTTTTGTGATATTTTTACCAAGGCAATTCATCTCTGCTCTATTTTCTGATGAAGATATTGTGATTTTAACAGTAATTTAAAACAAACAAAAATTGAAGATAATTTTTCACACTTTATAACTGTATATTATAGAACTAAGTGTTTAAAAAAGCTGAAAATGACTCATTTAAAAGACCTAGTTTGTTTTAATTGGCTAGATATTAATTTCAAAAATTTAAAATAGGCAATAACTGTATTCTTGAATGCCTTAAAAACTCTGCACATTTATATAATCAAATGCTTTTTAAAGAATATTAGCCTTGCTTTTCTGAGACAGTTTTGAACTGTACAATTTCAAGGACTGAATTGAAGGGGAAACCATTAGGACTTGTTGATGGAGGATGCATTCACTACTGATTATTTTCTAATTCCTCCATGGATTTGATCAGTGTAGCCTCACATGTACATATTTACTTATGCACGTGCTTGTGAATGGTTTAAAGATGATTCACTGCATGCTGAGAGTGTTTTCTCCTCATGATTTGTCCCCGCTTGCTTACTGCTTCCAGCTCCTCAGCCTTTAAAGCAAAAGCACATTTTAAAGTTATTTCAAAATTATTTCTTTCTCCTTTGCTATGGGCAGTGTAAACCCTAAATAAAATTCTAAGCCCCCCAACCAACTGAATTGATCCCTCCTCTGGGCCAAGGGCATTCTAACGTAAACCTGAAACACTAGTTCAGGCTATGAGGGGAAGGGGTGGTTGGACATGCCTCATTATACCTTCCTCCCTTAGGAATTCAGGCACAGGTGACCAGCACTGACATTAAAACAGAGACCTTAAGACTGACAAAACAGATGCTTTGTCGCAATAAGATACTAACATGAGATAGCAGGCCCTGAAAGAAATCGAAGTATTTTACCCCAAAACAGATTGCTTTGACATATATTTGACCCATTCTATGTATTTTTTCTGATCCAGGAGAGAATCAACTAAAGAGTCTGGCACCTTTTAAAGTGTGATTAAGAAACATTTACAATCGATTCTCTCTGAAGCCTGCTACCCAGAGGCTTCATCTGTGTAATAAGAATCTTGAAGGCCGGGCACGGTGGCTCACGCCTGTAATCCCAGCACTTTGGGAGGCCGAGGCGGGTGGATCACAAGGTCAAGAGATTGAGACCATTCTGGCTAACACAGTGAAACCCCGTCTCTACTAAAAACACAAAAAAATTAGCCGGGCGTGGTGGCGGGCGCCTGTAGTCCCAGCTACTCTTGAGGCTGAGGCAGGAGAATGGTGTGAACCCGGGAGGCGGAGCTTGCAGTCAGCCGAGATCGCGCCACTGCACTCCAGCCTGGGAGACAGAGCGAGACTCCGTCTCAAAAAAAAAAAAAAAAAAAAAAAAAGGAATCTTGGTCTCCACAACCCCTTCTCTTAACCCAGGCACTCCCTTCTATTGATTCCAGGTCTTTAGATTTTTCAACCAATTGCCTATCAGAAAATCTTTGAATCCACTAATGACCTGGCACGCCGCCCCCACTCCCAGCCCCAACTCTCCTAGTTGTCTTGCCTTTCCGGACAGAACCAATGTACATCTTTCATGTACTGTTGGATGTCTTATGTTAAAATGCTCAAAACCAAGCTGTAGCCTGACCACCTTGGGCACATGTTCTCAGGCCCTCCTGGGCCTGTGTCACGGGCCGTTGGTCACTCATATTTGGCTCGGACTAACTCTCTTCAAATATTTTACAGAGTCTTAACTCTTTTTCGTCGACAGCAGCTAACAATTGAACTGTTTGGGGGATTAAAACATGAATCACAAACATTCCTTTCAGGTGGCATTTCATTTTTTTCTTCTGAAGGAAATCAAGAACCAGAAATTCAGTTTCTTCTAAATTAATTAGATCATTGTTTGCTGCTTTTCCTCTTCCTGACCTTCTCTTTTCATTGATTCTGGAAGGGAAGTGTGTGTTCCACTCATCTCAAAGGAATGCTTGCAATTTGGCGGTAGATTATGCAAACTCCAATTAGCGATCCACAAGGTGTTGAAAAAACAAGGCCTGATGTGTGGGAAATACTGGCAGCTCACTTCCAGCACTTGAAAAACACCTTCCTTGCTTAGATGTGAAGCCACATCTATATCAACATTAAATGCTGGTCAAAAATCACACTTAGAATAGTTGAAATAGAATACAAAACCAAAGCAAACCAAAAAAGTTAAAAAGAAGAAGTCAAACACTTTAATTCTAGTTATGCTTCCGGCATAGAAGTCCCTAGATATTGCTAGTCAAGTCTTAATTAGAATGTCCTATGTAGTTTTAGGTTTTATGTTAAATTCTAACACATTTCATGCCTTCATTTCAATTAAAAATATTTACACTGGGCTTTGGGTATACAGGTCTTCATAAAGTCTAGTAGGGATTTGAAAGTGGGCAATGGAAATCAGCAAAGGCAGATGATTAGGGCTGAGAAACAGAAATAAATTCAATAAAGTCTCACTTAGAATTGGGATTATTTGGTTTGGAGAAAAATGGGTAAATTGTTCCTTTGAAGATGCTTTAAGCTGAAAATTTTACATGCATGCCTCATCTTATTATCTAGAACATTTCTGTGAATGAAGGAGAAAGATACATTCCCAATGTGTGGAGGAATTCCTACAGAGAAAAAACATGGTTGTTGTGTTGGGTGCAATGGCTCACACCTGTAATTCCAGCATTTTGGGAAGCTGAGGTGGGAGGATTGCTTGAAGTAAGGAATTTGAGACCTGGGCAACATAGCAAGACCCTATCTCTATAAAAAATATTAAATTAGCTGGGTGTGGTCGCATACACCTGTGGTTCCATCTACTTGGGAGGCTGAGATGGGAGGATCACTTGCGGCCAGGAGTTCTAGGCTGCAGTGAGCTACCATCTATTGTGCCACTGTGCTCCAGCCTGGGTGACACAGTGAGGCCTCATTTCAAAAAAAAAAAAAAAAAGGTTATGGTTATCCAAAGGAATACTCAGGGAGTCATTGATAAGGATGTAACCAGTATTCATATTTCCCTAGCTTCAGCTTTGTGCTCTGTCTCTCCATTTCTTCTGCTTTTGTTCTTCGGTTGCTAAGTGATATTCAACTTTTTTTCTTTTTAAAGAGTATTTATCATGAGACTTTGTGTAACAGGATATATTGCATACCTGAAGGTTTTTTAAAAATCCTAAAAAGGATTTTTAGTAAAAACTTTAAATATCTGTTTTCATAACTGGTTTGCACCTGCATAGCGAAAGGGCTGAACATCTATTCTTTTGCAGTTGCCCAGGCTATGCCTATTTCATTAACTTATTCAAAGATCCAAAGTGCCACATTCATGTTCTCTAAGGGCTTTGAATCTCTCATATTTGTGGGTGCTATAATAAGAAAATGATGGCTTTGTAAAGGAGCATCAATAACGTTTCATTTCTGTTCAGTATTTGGTTCGGAGTCATCCCACCTCTCCTATCTACTCTGAGACCATGCATCTTGCCTTCTAAAAGGACCAAACCAAACCCAAACAGCAAACATGGAATCCAAGGTGCACATCTGCTCTAAGGGTTATTGAGTCATCCTGGGGGAGTCAGTCACATTTCCCAGCATTAAGTATAATATTATGGGCAAGGCCTTTGTGCTGTTGTGCAATGGAAACAGGAATTGCTGTATTGCCTCGCAGGTAGAAGAGTCTTTCCTTCTGAACTGCTATTAAGTCAGACTGGCTAAAAATAAGGAAAGAGCCACATATAGACATGCCTGGATAAAACTTAAAACAAACAAACAAAAAAAGCCTTTATGGAAATCACTGGATTGTGAACTTTGAGGAAGCCATTGGCAGTGGTGTGTAAAATTGGTGACCTTGTTGTAAACCACCAGTTAGAACTCTGAAGATCACAGGGGGAAATACTATTTTCACATTGTTACTAAGAACTGATAAAAAATAAAGAGCATATCTTAGTGGTTAAAATCTGAAATATTAACTGTTCCATAATAGCTGCTATTCTAGAAATCTGATCTTTCTGAAATTTATGCCTAATCAGACTTTGAAAAATCCAGAATAAACTAAACTATTTAGATGAAAACGTTACATGATCACCATGTAATAGAATCTGAGACACTGAACTCTATAATTTAATATTAATTGATATACGGTTGTATACCCTGAATTTCTTGTTTGCTGTTGGGTTTGGTTTGGTTTTTTTGGAAAGCAACATGTATGGCTTCAGGGTATATGGAAGGGGTGAGCCGATTTTAAGCAGAATCCTACAATGCTTCTGAAATTGAAGTTAAAGCAGCAATATTCCTGGCACCCTGGGATTCAATTAGATGCTTTGTGATGCCTTCTCACTCCCTGGCTACAGAGTATACCATTAACTACAATAGAAGTTTATGAAATAGCCAAATCAAGCCCAAAGTCTCTTTTTAAATTAGCAAGACACTCATAATCATTAGTATGACTTCTCAGATGAGGAAAAAAGATGACAATTTCAGTTTTTTTATATTATTCTAGCCCTGTGATTTAGCCTCAAAGGTGGTTTTGTGAAGCAAACGTCTAATTTGATAAGCTGATTTGTAAATAATTGTATAGGAGAAATGGTTAATAACATAATTTTATGGCATCTTCAAAGCAAACTGAGAAAACCCTACAAGCAAACTGAGAAATACGAGCTGTAGTATTTTGTTTCCAGGTAGCTGCTGTCAAGTCCTGCTAGTCCCAGAGAGGTTCAAGTAGATGTCTCTTCCTTGACTTTTAGGCATATATGAAATTGTGCTCTGGCAATGATTAGATATAAATGCATTTGCACACATAGACAAATGCCACCCTCGTAAACCTACAAATTGTTGGACTCTGTTACTTGCATTTGTTTATTCATTCATTCACAATGAATATTTATTGAGCATCTCTATCAAGTGCCAGGCATAGAGCAGTAACAAATACTGTTTCTGCTCTTGGGGGGCTTACAGTGTTTTGAGAGGAAGGCAGAAATGAAACATAATTATGAATGTCATGAAGGAGAATGAAGGGTAGGTGCCTAACTTCCTAATCGGGACATCAGGAAAGGCCCTCCAGAAAGAGTGACAATTAAGCTAAAGACAACGAAAACCATGCTTTATGGGCCACGGGAATTGACTTGCTTTCAGAAGGAAGGGAAATGGATGGAGCTGATTGTCTTACCTCTGTTGTAAAGTTCTTGGTGAAGGTTCCGAAGATGAAGGTGGAGAAAACAAAAAGAGACAGCTGAGAGAGGGGTCAGAACCAGGCAAGGGGACGAATGAGAGTGAACCTGAGACACTCAAGCTTTAAGGAGAGGAACTGTCTCCATGAAGGCCCCACATTTGAGAACACTGGGTAACAGCCTAAGTGGTCTCCTACGGATTCCTTCTTTTGAGCAGCTTGTTCCTAGCCTGGCATTCAATGAACTTGCCACCAACAGAGAAGCAGGTGGGTAGCTTTTGCATTTAAGAGATTAAAAAACTGAAGTTTTTATTTTTGCCTACTGTTTGGTAATTTTTGGCTCCTTGTGCACAGAGAGAAAATAATCGTAAGTAATTTGGCTTGTTTTTCTTCTCTCAAAGCATTTGTTTGGCCTGTTTGTGCTTTTCCTTTATAGCTGTAATGTTAATACAGCTGCACTCTCAGAGAAATTTTAAATACTAATAGTCTTCCATTGCACGCTAAAACAAATCCCAGAGTAAAAAGCTGTTCAATTAAGAAGTTGTGAATATTTTCATAGTTTTATCACATGTTAATAAAATCCAAAGCCAGATGATACTCCACACATTGCATTAAAAAGAATTATATTTTTCAGTCAACATTATTAATTATGTAGTAAAAAAAAAACTTTAATGAGAAGCTACCTTGGACTGGACAAATGGGTGTTGGAGGGGAATTTATTATGTTAGCCAGGAAGATATGGAATATTGAAAAATAACTATAGCATAAGCTAGAAGGTGCTATGGGTGACGGGGTAGGGCTGATTCTTGAAGGATAAGGGAATTTGGAAATGAGAGGGTTGGATATGAGGTTTTGAATGTCTAGGGAGGACAATTTTGAGTAAACGTTCAGAGGCAGAAGTAACAGTGAATATGAGAAACACGAACTGTGCGGTTTTGTTGGTGTGCAGGGAAAGTGAGGCGGAGAAGTGGAAAGTAGGGGCGGGGCTGCCTTATGGCCTGCCCTGGATGCTAAGTTAGCTGGGAGCCACGGGAAGATTTCCCAGAGAATAGCATAAGCAGAGCTGTGCCTTGGAAAGAGTAACTTGTATTAAGATGGGTTCATCTTTAAGCCATGCTGAAAGCAGGGAACACAGGTAGGGGACTACTGCAGTAGTCTAGGTGCAAAATGAGGAGGTCCTGACTTACCAAGGTGGTGGAAGAAATGGTCAGAAGGATACGGATGGGAAAAATATTAATGAGTATACATAGTTCCTTTGATTTTTGTGAGATATTTGTGGTTTACTTTTAACCTCAAGATATCCCATTGTGGTTTTAAAATGGTATGTATCTAAGGGCTTTATCAGCCACTGAGCCAGAGTCTCCATGGGTCTGGTTAATCAGATGCTGTTCATTAAAGTAACTCCACATGCTCTTCCAGGTCACTGCCTACAATTTTGCAAGCCTTGCGATAATATTTACCCATATTTACTTGAGACTCAGATTCACATATTGCTATTTTAGAACCTTGTTTTTTGTAGGCAGGGTCGCTAATACTAGTCTAATTTTACAGAAAAGCCTGATCAAAGTTATACTAGCAAATATTCAATTAAAGGTTCTCATCACTATTTATTGTTGTCTCTCAATCTGTCTCAGTTTTGAAGATTCAAACCCATACTAATATCTTGAGAATCTAGAATGACAGCAGAAAATCTAAACATGGGTCAGTGTTAACAGTCTCTGCTCTCCTTGCTTCCTCTTCCTGTCTACTCTGCTCCACAAGAATCTGAGATGGGCTAGAATCAACTGCTAGATTCTAGTGCATGCCTAGAGCAATCTCAGCCTTCAGTTCAATCTGGGGCCTTGGAAACTACTCCAGATTCACTCCAGAGAGCAATTTGGTCTTTTAGGTCAGGTCACAGGCGAACTGGGCATTGGAGCTGGAAAGGATGAGGTGGTGAGAGGAAGGGATCTTTCAGGACCCTAGAGCTGCTCTTCTCGTGCCTGTAATGATCTTCTTCCATCTTGTTTACTTGGTACCTCAGTGATCCTGACATCTGTCCTGACATTTTGATGCTTCTTTTTCCCTATCCACAAGTAAGATAAAAGGGTACAAACTTTCAGCTGTAAGATGAATATATTCTGGAGACTGAATGTACAGCATGGTGGCTATAGTTAATAATAATGCATTATGTCACCTGTACTCCCAAAACTATTGAAATAACAATAAATTTAAAAAATGTATTCTATACTTGGAATTCTCTAAGAGCTTAGATCTTAAATATTCCTACCACCACCCACCACCACACAAACACAAAAAGGTAACTATGTGAGGTGATGGATATATTAATTAGCTTCATTGTGGTAATTATTTCATAATGTATACATATATTAAAACATCATGTTGTCTACTTTAAACATATACAATTTTTATTTGTCAATTATATCTCAATAAAGGTGGAAAAAATTTTTAAAAAAGGATAATAGTACTGTATTTACCTTATGAGGATGGCGTGAGGATTGCCTGCAAAGCTTTAGAACATGGTTTAGTTCACAACCACTCCAGTATACCCTTAGAGGTGGTTAGGCCTCCATGCATTGGCGATCCCACAGAGCTTTGCTCGGCTCTATCACAGTAAGCATCACATGCTATTTTACTGTTTCAATTTCTGTCTTATCCCTAGATCGCACGCTCCATAAGGACTGGCACAGTAATGCTAATATCCCATGTTTGAGTTCTGGCAATGTACCAGGAATTGTACTAACTTAAAAATGAGAGGACTGAGGTCTGAGAGGTTAGTTTGCCAAAAATCACATATGTAGCAAGAGCCAGATCAAGATTCAGCACTGGGTATAGAGTTGCATTCTCAATCTCCACTTGCACTATCTTAGTCTTTGTAATCCCTCTATCCCCTCACTTCGAACTGTCACTGCCCTACCCAACATGGTACTATGCCCAGCATTGATTCAATGCTTATTTAGTACTTGACGAATGGGTTTGATGGCTTCTACTCTATGAGTGGTTGAGTTTGGACACATATGACCTCTGCAGGGTACTAAGTAGCTGAAGGCAGTGAGAGGTATTGTTGTCCCAATTTTTACATCTGAATTTCATGTTTGGCAGGCAATACTGCCCTTATTTCTTATATGGGGGTGGGAGAGAGGAAGAGGAATCATTAAAAGTTAATTGCCCAAGAATTCCTGATCCAGACTTGTCCTTTGACCTCTTCACCCACAACAAATCTCCTTGAACTGTGCCAAATTTCTTTGATTCTTTTCTTTGTGAGTATTCAAATCTATATTTAATTTTAAAGAAAGTGTTTAATTCATCAATAAGAATTCCAAACTATGTATCTAGTCAACTAAATGTAACGGTGTGAATATTTTGTTAAGAATTGGACAAGTGAAGACAATATATCAGCCAGATGAGAGGAGAAAGAATTCAAACACATACACACAGAAACACACACACATGCAGAACTTTTTATGATCTCTGACGCCTGCAAACAATGCCATTGACACTAATATTGATTCATTTGAAAATAAAACTGTTTGCTGTGCTACTAGATAATAACAATTTATTTTAAAGTAACATAAAAGAGGGTGCCAGCCAACTTCATAGTATTTGCCTTATTCATTTACCTTCATGCATTCAGTAAATAATTATTGAGCATCTATTACACAACAGTCACTATGCATGGCACAATGTTCCAGAAAATAGTATGACAATTCTCCTACTGATGCCTTCACTGAGAGAGCAGCCAATACAACTCCAAGGACTTCTTTTTTAAAAAGAAGTGGAATATATCAAATGAAGCAAATGAAGTGAAAAGAACTCTAGGCTTAGAATCAGGAGGAGAGGATTAGAATCTCAGCTTGGTCACATAGTGATATAACCTTGAATTTACTCAGCACAGACAGTGGCAGATACTGTACAAAGCCTTCTTATTTAGGTTTTTACTAGCTATGTGATCTGGGACAAGTCATTTATGTGACTTGAGCCTCAATTTCCCATTTGTAAAGTGGAGTACTAATTCTGTGTCTACCTCACAGGGTTGTTATAAGAATTAAGGAGCTAATCTAAATAAATGATTTTTGTACATCCTAAATTGCTGTCTCATGAAAGTTATTATAATAACTATTGTTTATATTACCACAATTTAGATTTTCTTGTAATTTACACCTTTTCTCTGATTTATGGCATTTTTACTCAGCTAATAAAATGATTTTAGGTTCTTACTTACATACTTCTCATGCATACTACTGTTTATACATTTGAATTTTAATATAATGTTTCCTTAAAGTGGGCAGAAAAGAAGAAAGGGCAGAGGAGACAACTGGAAGAGAAAGTACAAGGAGAGGAAAAAATAACAAATCAAATGGGAGCCAAAAGAATCACTCCCTTTCCCCATAAGGTCAGGAACAGGGTGAAGGTCTGGGATTATGACCTAGATTTAGAAATCATCCTTATTCAGGAAAAATGCTCTGCAAAATAATGATTAGCTAAAGAAGAAGGAGGGATATATTAGCTATTCATTTTTATAAACTAGATTTAAAATAATTATCCATTTTCATTCTGATATATGTGTCTTCCAATTTTTCAAGATTAACATTCCACATTAGAATACATGGGTTTGAATTTTACTTAGTTCTTCATGCCTGGTTCCTCAATTCCAAACTGGGTTGAAAATTCTCAAAGGGAAGGGCTGTAATTGGTATGTCTTCCTATCCCTCTCCAAGCTTGGCAGAGTTCAGGTGGATCAGGAATGATTAATTTATGGCAAATACTTCCTATAAAGTGATGTTCAATGTTCCAACCACCACCTTCACTATTTTCTTAATTAAGGTGTAGGATGATTAGCCTTTTACTTATGGAAGCAATCCATTTATTTCAACTGTGAGGAGGTAAGAGTTAAAATTTTGAATGTGAAGTAGTCATGAAAACTGAGCAGCATGATTTTGGGGAGATTAATCGAGTAGACTTTGGGATAGTATTCAAGCAGCTACTACGTTCTTGGAGTTTGCATAATTAAAACTTATAAATTTATGCCTAGCATCTAGGCTTTTCCCGCTCAACTGCAGCAAAGCCACCACCCCTCCTTGCCAAAGTTGTCATTCTGAGCTTAAATCAAATGCGGGCTCTGTTTCAAGCGACTGTGCCTTCCTGGCAGGGTTCCACCACAGCTCAGATCTCCACAGCATCCAGTTTGTCTGGCTGTGGTGCACAGAGAAGGAAAGTTTACATCGGCATAGCAAGTAGGAAGATTGCCTTTTGATTCTCCATCCAGGGATTTGATTAATTTTGTATAATTGCATTGAGGAATTATTAAGCAATTGGGGTCAGAGATGAAGTCTGCATTCATTCTTCCATCTTTTCTCTGCCTCAGAAACAAGTCACTCAACCCATTTATGCCTAGTGTTCCATTATTGGAAGACTAACCTTGTGGGAGTTATTTATATCCTATTGCTCAAGGTCATCACCAAGGTCTGATTTTTTACAAAAATAAATTGCAATCTCTGGCATAAATGGGTTAACTCCTAAACTGTAAAGTTGCTGTTAGTTAGACCACCCCTGGCCCAAAGCACAGGTCAACTTGACCTGTCAACACACTTCATGCCAAACAACTGTTCAGACTGACTCATTCATAATTCATGCATCTAAAAAGACATAATCATGGATTATGTGTATTTAAGTTGCTGACTCTCTAATCCTATTTCTGCTATTTCCATAGCAGAACCTAAAAGGCTTACTTTCTATTAAACTATTCGTTATATAAATCACTTTTTTCCCCCCAAATCAGTGTCCTCAATGGTTGAGTAGTTATTTAAAGTAAATGACTTTGGTTCTAGTAGTCATTTAGTTCTAGTAAATGGACATGGTATACTATTTTTCCCCCTGAATTCTGTAAAATACCACCCATTAAAATCTCTCTTCCTCATCCCCTCTCTTACATTTTCCCCAAATCCACATGTTTGACAGCACAGAAGGATACCAGTTAACATGTGTGTTGATAAAAGATGAGGTTTATAAGCCTCCTGAATCTACCATTGCTTAAAACATTGGAATATCATAAACTAGGGCTGCTAATGAATAGTACATCCAAAACTCAGATAATTCTTACTAGTCTTATTACCTTAAAAGTAATTAACCAGGTATTCTTTTTTCTTAATTCCCTTTGGTTATTGTTTCTGCTTTGCTACTGAATTCCCAGGAAATAGACACTGGAGGTGGGATGGGGACATAGTTTTTGTCCAGTGAGCATGCTGGGAATTCTGAATATTTTCAGCCTCCTTTGGACATTTGTGGGTGAGCAGATGTTACATGTTTTCAGGGTGTCCTTTATTTCCAATTGAAGATTATCCAAACTCTGAAATCTCATGAGGATATCTAATGGTTTTTCTTGAACATAACTGGAAGACCTTGACCCCTGCCAATTTCATTAGGAGATAAACTATTACTGTATGTTGATCTCTTTACAAAACCCCTGATTTTTGAGTTCCCCCCTATCTGGTGCTTTGGAAAGATCTGCCACTTGTCAAGAGTGATCAGTCTTGATTCCTAAAAAGCAGTGGTTGGAATTCTAATGGCAATGTGTTATAGATTGTCTTTTTGCATTATTAAATTGTGAGCAGAGGCGGGCGCAGTGCCTCATGCCTGTAATCCCAGCACTTTTAAAGGTCGAGGCAGAAGGATTACCTGAGGTCAGGAGTTCGAGACCAGCCTGGAAAACATGGTGAAACCCCGTCTCTACTAAAAATAAAAAAATTAGTCAGGCGAGGTGGTGCACGCCTGTGACCCCAGCTACTTGGGAGGCTGAGGCAGGAGAATTGCTTGAACCTGGGAGGTGGAGGTCGCCGTGAGCTGAGATGGCACCACTGCACTCCAGCCTGGGTGACAGAACAAGACTCCGTCTCAAACAAAAAACTGTGAGCAGATATCATCCCAACAAAATGGTGATCTAGAATCTAGATTCAAGTAAAAGCTTTGTGATGACATGGGTTTTTGACTTAAGTGGCCATTCATACCATGAATAATTGACAACTCAAAAATCAGAACACAAACTTCTCCTTTTAACTAAGGATTTAGTTGACAACCAAATACTGGCAAATTCAACATTGTGTGTACAAAATTACTTTTGCATGTAATTTGACACAACCAAATTTTAAACTCTGCATCTCCACCCTAAACCATTCAGAACATTTTGGTAATTGTATGATTAGAGGTATTAGGCTTTCATTGTATACTTTGATGTATAATGGGTGAGAGTTTGATTAAAAAATAGAAGGATACTTTCAAGATTTACCATGGGAATTGCAAATATAATTAAGCCAAAAGTCTGTTCTATGACTTTTCTTTCCACTATTTATCACTCAGAGTAATGAACCATGGATGAGGGAATGTGAATTGAGTTAGTGCTTCCTGATCTTCAAGGATAAGATAAAAAGGCAACTTAATATTTCTGGGTAATCAGTAGAAATGAGAATAGTGTGGGATAATAACCATTAGCATGTACATCACTTAGCTTATTATGTACCAGCAGTGTGCTAGTTCTTTGTGTGGATTAACTGATTTAACCTTCACAATCGCACCACAATGCAGTTTCTTTGGTTATTTCCATCTTACAAATGAGAAAACCGAGGTCCAAAGACTTTAGTAAAGATACAGGGCCATTGGGCTCCAGAGCTCATCTTTTAACCATGATAATGAATTAAAGAGAAGTATGCCTAATGATAGGGCCAAAGGGGAGGGGCTTAGGGAAATAGAAGGCTATTAATTTTTCATAAGATTAACAAAAAAGAATACAAACCAGAACCACAAACATAAAAAAGATGGAGTCGGCCAAGCGCGGTGGCTCACGCCTGTAATCCCAGCACTTTGGGAGGCCGAGGCAGGTGGATCACCTGAAGTCTGGAGTTTGAGACCAGCCTGGCCAACATGGCAAAACCCCGTCTCTACTAAAAATACAAAAATTAGCTGGGTGTGGTGGCAGGTGCCTGTAATCCCAGCTATTTGGGAGGCTGTGGCAGGAGAATCGATTGAACCCAGGAGGCGGAGGTTGCAGTGAGCCAAGATCACGCCATTGCACTCCAGCCTGGGCAACAAGGGCAAAACTCTTGTCAAAAAAAAAAAAAAAAAAAAAAAAAAAAAAAAAAAAAGGATTCTATCTGCAAAGGAGCTCAGAATTGAAGGCTTACTGAAAAGTGTGCCTCTAACTAACTTTTCAGCTTTGTAGGGCAATTGCCAAAAAGCAAGAACTGCAGAAAGAACTTGACAGTTTTTAAGATGGCCCACGAAGCCTTTAAAACACATTAATATAATTAGAAGTCATATCACCGTTATAAATAAACAGTTCACCTGTGTATGCACATATCTTGGCTGGCCCTTAATTAAAGCTTGGTTTCCAATGAAGGGACAAAGTTATTCAACATGGTTAGTGTGGGGAAGACTGAAGACGTATAGCAACTGTCGACCTTGACCTTGGTGAGCTGTCAGGAATAGGAGCAGCTCACCTCTAAGAAGTTAAGACACACAATACAGAACATGTCTTTCTAGTGCCATCCAGATTCCTCCTCCTCCTTCTACGTTTCCCCTCATTCTCTGTGCCACCTCTGGCATTATCTAGCTCCCGTCTTCTTTTTCCTTTCTGAACTCCATTGTTCTTTTAAAAAGCCGGTGTTACTTTGGAAATTATACTTTCTGGAATCTTTTAGTCTTCCCCTCTTCTCCTTCCTTATCTTGCAGGATCATTGTCCAGTGTCTTACTAATACAAAGAAAGAAGCTTGTTCTTTGTACAAAGGAGCAAGAACCTTGTTTCGTTTCTGCTGTTAATCTGGTTCCTTTAGACCCCGCCCCCTTGCCCATGCCACATGGGCAGCCCTCCTCTGTAAGTTTCTTTGGAAGTGGTCTCAGAAACAATGTCTGGACTGCAGATCTAGGTACACTTAGCACCCAGCTGCTCCTCACTTTTGTACTGAATAGGAATGGATCCACTTGTTTTCATATTTACTGTGCTGCTTTCAGTGTAATATTTATCTTTTAATCTAAACATGCACATTCTTTCCAGTCTTTCTGGATCTTTGGGAAATACTAAAAGGATTTTCACTGAGAAGAATGTTGGGCAAAGTGTGTGAAATGGGTTCAAATAAAATGAAAAATGTATTCAGATATTTACTCTGAACTTTTAACACAACTTGAATTTTTGAGTGTCTCCATCTACATGTGTTCCTACACTGAGGGACTACCAATGAAGTAAAAGACTCAGTGCTGGTACTCAAGGTAGAGAGCAAAAAGTTTTATTAAAAAGTAGAAGTAAAGAATACTTTCAAGGTTTACTACTGGAAAGGCAAATCCACATGTTTTACAGCACAGAAGTTAGAGTACATCATCTCCCTGCCCTTCTCACTCCCCACACATAAAACATGTTCTGCTAATTCCATCATGGGCATATCTACCATTATAACCTTTAAAATGGAAAGAGAAAAATTAAGAAGCAGTGCTCCCTTTTAGATAGCAGAAATGATTTTAGATTGGCCTTTGGTCTGTGCCAGACATTTGGCTCTAATTCTATACACATATGTAGAGATGAGCCACCTGGACAGTTTTACAGACCCTCACAATGAAAGACAGTTCCACAGTGATATGGTTTGGCTCTCACCTTGAATTGTAATAGTCCCTATGTGTTTTGGGAGGGACCTGGTGGGAGGTAATTGAATCATGGGGGCAGGTATTTCCTGTGTTCTTCTCGTGATAGTGAATAAGTATCATGGGATCTGATGGTTTTATAAAGGGTAGTTCCCCTGCACACACTCTCTTTGCCTGCCATCATGTAAGATGTCCCTTTGCTTTTCCTTCATCTTCCACCACGATTGTGAGGCCTCCCTAGCCATGTGAAAATGTGAGTCCATCCTCTTCAAGGAGAACTACAAACCACTGCTCAAGGAAATAAAAGAAGATACAAACAAATGGAAGAACATTCCATGCTCATGGGTAGGAAGAATCAATATCGTGAAAATGGCCATACTGCCCAAGGTAATTTATAGATTCAATGCCATCCGCATCGAGCTACCAATGACTTTCTTCACAGAATTGGAAAAAACTACTTTAAAGTTCATATGGAACCAAAAAAGGGCTCGCATTGCCAAGTCAATCCTAAGCCAAAAGAACAAAGCTGGAGGCATCATGCTACCTGACTTCAAACTATACTACAAGTCTACAGTAACCAAAACAGCATGATACTGGTACCAAAACAGAGATATAGACCAATGAAACAGAACAGAGTCCTCAGCAATAATGCCACATATCTACAACTATCTGATCTTTGACAAACCTGACAAAAACAAGAAATGGGGAAACGATTCCCTATTTAATAAATGGTGCTGGGAAAACTGGCTAGCCATATGTAGAAAGCTGAAACTGGATCCCTTCCTTACACCTTATACAAAAATTAATTCAAGATGGATTAAAGACTTAAATGTTAGACCTAAAACCATAAAAACCCTAGAAGAAACCTAGGCAATACCATTCAGGACATAAGCATGGGCAAGAACTTCATGTCTAAAACACCAAAAGCAATGGCAACAAAAGCCAAAATTGACAAATGGGATCTAATTAAACTAAAGAGCTTCTGCACAGCAAAAGAAACTACCATCAGAGTGAACAGGCAACCTACAGAATGGGAGAAAATTTCTGCAATCTACTCATCTGACAAAAGGCTAATATCCAGAATCTACAATGAACTCCAACAAATTTACAAGAAAAAAACAACGCCATCAAAAAGTGGGCAAAGGATATGAACAGACACTTCTCAAAAGAAGACATTTGTGCAGCCAAAAAACACATGAAAAAATGCTCATCATCACTGGCCATCAGAGAAATGCAAATCAAAACCACAATGAGATACCATCTCACACCAGTTAGAATGGCAATCATTAAAAAGTCAGGAAACAACAGGTGCTGGAGAGGATGTGGAGAAATAGGAACACTTTTACAATGTTGGTGGGACTGTAAACTAGCTTAACCATTGTGGAAGTCAGTGTGGTGATTCCTCAGGGATCTAGAACTAGAATTACCATTTGACCCAGACATCCCATTATTGGGTATATACCCAAAGGATTATAAATCATGCTGCTCTAAAGACACATGCACACATATGTTTATTGTGGCACTATTCACAATAGCAAAGACTTGGAACCAACCCAAATGTCCAGCAATGATAGACTGGATTAAGAAAATGTGGCACATATACACCATGGAATACTATGCAGCCATAAAAAATGATGAGTTCATGTCCTTTTTAGGGACATGGATGAAGCTGGAAACCATCATTCTCAGCAAACTATTGCAAGGACAAAAAACCAAACACCGCATGTTCTAACTCATGGGTGGGAATTGAACAATAAGAACACATGGACACAGGAAGGGGAACATCACACACCGGGCCTGTTGTGGGGTGGGGGGAGGGGGGAGGGATAGCATTAAGAGATATACCTAATGCTAAATGATGAGTTAATGGGTGCAGCACACCAACGTGGCACATGTATACATATGTAACAAACCTGCACATTGTGCACATGTACCCTAAAACTTGAAGTATAACTTTTTTAAAAAAATGTGAGTCCATTAAACCTCTTTCCTTTATAAATTACCCAGTCTCAAGTATGTCTTTATTAGCATAGAGACCATTCAGTGGAGCCAATGGGATAGGACCCAGCTTGTGCCTTGGGACAGGTCTGACATAAGGGATCAAGAATATGTCCGCAACTGGGGGGAATGAGGATGGAAGAGTGTAGTCATATGAGGGAAGTGCCAGGTTAGAAACCAGGTAGAAGACTCAGGATCCACCTATGAGTTAGTTAGAGCACCTTACCAATGTGTATATAATTGAAGTGAAATGCCTGGCACAGACCAAAGGCAAATACAAAAACACTTCTGCTATCTAAAAGGAAGCATTGCTTCTTAATTTTTCTCTTTCCATTTTAAAGACTATAATGGCAGGTATGCCCATGATGGGATTAGCAGCATGTGTTCGGCATGCTGTGGGTGGGGGGGGGCTGTACCCTAACTTTATACACCCACAAGAACTGAGCTCTGGGTGGAGACTTGCACTTTTCCCACATGGCTGCACTCTTCCATGGGGAGCCAATGGGATGGGCCCCAGTTGGAACTCCTCAGTTCTTTATGGAACTGTCTTTCACTACAAGAGCCTGCAAAACTCTCCCCAGCTGGTTCACCTCTTCCCATTTACTTCAACTCTTCAGGAGGACATTCTCCAGTACCAGACTGACAGTCCTCATCAAAAACTGCTCCACATACCCGAAGCCAGGAAAAATATCTTTCTTCCCAGCAAATCTTCCTGGAGATAATGAATGTAGTAATCATTTTTGCTTCCCCTTTGCCCTGTCTGCTAGGAAGTTCTGATCCCAGTTTTGCTCAACTGCTTTGCGTAACTCTTCTCTTTCCTCCTACTTTTTATATATGGCTTTATCTCTCATCCTGACAGAATGGTTTTATGTGCTTGTGTACTTACATTTTATTGTAAGCTTCATATAAGCTTACAAGTCTTTTTGGAAATAGGTAGATATTGTGCAAAGAAGTTTTTATCCTCAGCCTTTTTTTTTTTTACTTTAAATGTACATGTAATGTAATATCTATTTAAATCTTTATTTAAACTCCTACTTCATCCCTCTGAACAGCCCATACATGTGCCTCTGCTTATTATATAATGGTCAAGTTCCATGGTCCTGGTTCTGAAGTTAGGAAAATGTCTCGAAGGGGAGTGTATTCCTCATTATCATTTATATCTAACCAGCCCGTAAGTATATTGTTGTGGTGGGCAATGGAGGTGGTGGTAGCGAACGAAAGGTGGAAATAATGAAGAATGAAGGAGTTACTAAATACTTTGGATATGGTAAGAAATCTTTTAGCATATTATCAAAGACATTACATGGCCGTAGATGAGTTGCCCAGACTGGAAAAGTTAAACTTCAGGAAGCAAACTCCCTTTGAGATGAACCAGGCTTGGTTTTCCTTTGTTTTATTAACACTCGGCCCCATCCAGGGTTTACAATGCATCCAGCAAGCTGAATTGGTTACGGGACCAATTTAGAAGCTCTGTGTAATGTCTTTGAACACCTTAATGTTGACATAAAATCCATAATTCACAATTTCAGGATATGCTTCTTGCAGGGAAGAGAGGAGAGCCTCCTCGCAGGGGCTAAACAATGCGAGAGTTCAAAAGGGTTGAAGATGCACTGTGGGTATTTGGACTGGCACTCAAGAACTCGCGGATGCTCGCGATTGCTTATCTGACTTATCTAAACTGCTGACGTCAAAAGAATTAGGCTAGAAATCTTATGATTACAGCTTTTCTTGTGATCTTTTCTGGTATTTCCTGTTTCCTGTGAGGCCAAATATACTTCGAGAGAGGGTTATTTTATGGCATTTCACTGTTTCTGCCTCAGCTAGATCTAAAGGTACAGAGAGCATGGAGTAAAAATAATTAAGAATAACATCAGAAATCTCTGCCCGCCCCCACTCCCCTCACTCACTGTCATTTCTTTATAAGAAACAAAAAAAATTTCTGCAATGGTTCAGAGTAGGATCTTATTTTTAATGGAACAAGGTCTATTGCTGATTTAAAAGAAGAAGCCACTTCAATTGTATTTCTAACTATTGACTTATTTGGGTAGTCATAAACAGACAGGCTCTGAACGGCATTAGCAGGCAGCCTGGGAAGCGTCTGAGAGGAGGAGGAAGAGGAGGAGGAGGAGGAGAAAGTTTCAGAGGATAAAGGAGGAAAAATGGTCATCAAAGATTACACTGTTCCTTCGGGGCTACAAACACCTTATAGAAGCAGGAAAGAAAAACAAATGGTGGGAGTTAGGCCTGTCCAGTTTATAAAATCTTGCCTAAATGTAGCTAAATCTTCAACTTGCTTTCTGAGTACAGGCCCTGAATCATGGTCACCACTACTTTTGCAAAGAGAGCCTGAGGAACTGAAAGGCTGATCCTCAGTAGCTTATGGGCACATGTACCACAGACCCAAGCCACAATAGCCACTTACACTGGCCCTGCTTGAAATTCTACCTCCAGGCAACAATGCAGAAGGCAGCAGAACTCCTGAAAAGGACCACAGTAACATTTTATTTATAATGGTTAAGCAACTACCAGCTACCACCTCTATCTATCTCTCTTACATATAACTTTGTTAATTCACAATCCTGGTGAAATTCTCACCTTTGGCATTTTTTTTTTTTAATTTTCTGGTGAACGTCTATCTCTTTAGTACATTGCAGGCAATGTAGATGGGAAAATTCACAGAGAGGGCTTGGGACTCTCCTAGACAATTTCTAATCTAAGTTTGGAAACAAGAAAAATGTGTGTATACATATCACATGTAGGTTTACATGTAAACATCTAACTCTTGCTCATGGAAAGATGGACACTACACACTTATATAGTGCCATCACGCATCACGGAGACGTTAAGTATTTGGGAGTGAAAAGGACAGAAAATTGGATTTAGAGAGATTATCATGTTAGAGAAGCCTCGGCTGGAGTTGAGCGGCTTCAGGGTTAGACCATGACCAGCAGCGTGGCTGAGTCAATGGCATGGCTGGATGTCAAGGGACCTCGAGTTGGCCCTTGTGCAGTCAATAACTAGCTCTGTGCCCCACATATGTTGTGTAACTTCTGTGGAGTCTCAGCTTTCTCACCATAAAAAAAAATGCAGTGATTTAACTAGATCCTCTCAAAGACCCATTTTCATTAAAAAATTCAAGTGAAAGTACCCTTTACTGTTCCATTTAAAGATTTTCAATGGTTCTACAAGAGTTAAGATTTCTTGTCCATATGCAGTCTCGTCCCACTAATGTCTTTTTCTGTTTCCCACTCTTCTTCACTCCTAATGCTGTGCCAAGCCAATTTGACTAATCTCCATTCTCAATCATTTCCTGTGCTTCTTTGCCTTGTACCTATGTTCACGTTTATTCCCTCACCAAATTTCTCACATCTTGTTGAGATCTTAACCATCCTAAAGTCATAGCTGTAATGATCAGTCCATCACAGAACCTTCCTGGGTCAACCAACAAAGAGTCAGTTAATGCCCAATCCTCATGGAGTACTGATCACACTTGGTTTGTTTTTGAGGATGTAACTTTAACACACTACATTATAAGATACATAAAAAACCATATTTTTCTTATATGTTTTCTCATCCATCCAGTGGCATCTAGTGTGGGAAGAACTGTTTGCTTAGAAAAACATGGAGGGCCAGTGTGGTGGCTCACAACTGTAATCCCAGCACTTTGGGAGGCAGAGGCAGGAGGATCCCCTGAGGCCAGGAACTCAAGACCAGCCTGGGCAACGTAGCAAGACCATGTCTCTACAAAAATAAAAAAATTAGCTGGGTGTGGTGGTGTGCATCCATAGTCCCAGCTACTTGGGAGGCAGAGGAGGAAGGATTGCTTGAGCCTAGGAGTTCAAGGCTGCAGTGAGCTGTGATTGAGCCACTGCACTCCAGCCTGGGTGACAGAGCAAGACCTCATTTCAAAAACAAACAAACAAACAAAACAGGCAATCTAAGTACTGGAAGAAATGTGAGTTGGCGATGTAAGAAGGATAGACTGTTCTGAGACTATGGCGACAACCTGTGTTCTGCATTTGGGGAAGAGATGAACATGACTGGAACAGCATGTCTAGATGGAAGGCTATATAAATCCTTCATGATAGGATGATACCATGTGTCAAGGGCTTTGGCTTGATTATTTCTATATTATTTCTTGTGGCTCTGTGTAAAATACTATAGCACTTGGGAAATTTGGTTTGTAAGTTGAAGAGAAAATATTCAGCATCTCAAAATTTTCAACATCTTACAAATATGGTCAATGAATGCCACTATGGTTATACATATTCGTTAGTATGCTCACCCTAACTCCACCTCTTCACCAGCCACTGTTGCTAGAATGATCTTTCTAAAATGTAAAATTTATCATATCACTTCCCACTAAAATTGTCTGAAGTTTTCTTATCCCTATAGGATAAACTCCTCAGAAAGACAGATGAGGCCAATGGCAACCTGACCCCCAGCCTATCTTTCTAGTCTTATCCTAGCCCTCCCCTGATTCATTTTATACCCCATAACTTGGCCTTCCCTGGAATTTGTTGCATTTGGTCCTGTGTTGAGTGTAATGGCACAATCTCGGCTCACTGCAACCTCTACCTCCTGGGTTCGAGGATTCTCCTGCCTCAGCCTCCCGAGTAGCTGGGTTACAGGCACCCACCACCACGCCTCTAATTTTTGTATTTTTAGTAGAGACAGAGTTTCACCATGTTGGCCAGGCTGGTCTTGAACTCCTGACCTCAGGTGATCCACCTGCCTCGGCCTCCCAAAGTGCTGATGTTATAGCCGTGAGCCACCGCGCCCAGCCCATCATCTCCTTTCTTGACACCTCCTTTACCACCATCATACAGGCAGAATTAATCACTGTCTTATGTGTTGGCAATTGGCACAGACTTTGTGTATGCACATTTAGTATATTATATATCACATCTATCTATCTGTCTGTCTGTCTGTCTGTCTATCTATCTATCCATCCACCCATCCATCCATCTACCTCAACATTCTTGGTTCATGAATATTTATTTTCTAAGGAATGAAGAAACTATGTGGCACATGATAGGCACCAAACAAACTTAGTTGAATAAACACTTTTGATTCTTCCTCTACGTTCCCATAGAGTATTATTTCCACTTTATTGTAAAGCATATGCCATTCTGCCTTGATATCAGTGAGTTGTTTCTGTATCTGTCTCTTCTAATAGGTCATAATATCCTTTATTCTGTCCCAGACAGAAAGCACAATGCTATGCACTGAGTAAAGAAAACTAGAAATTTGAATTTTTCATTTCCCTTTCTGAATATCTTAAATAAATAACCAGTAAATAGAAGTCTCAATTTCTTCTATTTCTAAGTTGGAAATAACACCTATTTGGTTGATGCTTACTGTTTAGCATAAGAAGTTCAGTATTTGTATGTAACATTGAAACATCATTTTCCATTTTGTGACCTCCTAGTATGTTTCTAACAATTTTTGGAGGATTTGAGACATTTTCAAAAATTTTTCAAAACAAAATTTGTTTTAGTCCAATTTTGTCTATTTACATTCCCTCCCCACTTTCTTTCTAGGGGATGAGGGCCAAAGAAAGGAGGAGAAGAGCTCTCAGAATTTCCAATTAGCACATTTAAGCAGTGAAAATGTATCAGACCTGACCAGAATACAATACATTGTATGATTAGGACCACAATTCCAATTAGTGGCAGATACAAAAGCTCAGCTCTCAATGTGAAAACCAACCAGAAAGGTGAGATTTGTACACATCTTTTTTCATGTATTACAGTCATTTGGTCAAACTTTTCAGTGTCAACATTTTGAGATGGTTGTGGAAATGTATGTGTTTAAGAGAGAGACAGAGAAAGAGTGGTAGTAGAGAGGGTAGAAGAATCAGGTCTAGCTGATGCTTCTAGTTACATGGGAATGTAACTCAGACAAATCATGTTGAATACGCAATGCTCAAGGATAGGGCCTAGCACATAGTAACTTAACCAGTGTGTGATAGAGATAATGTTTTTTGATGTATGTCCGTGGGCCATTTTCTTTTGTTTTGCACTCTCTTGTGCATATCCTCTGCTTCCACCCCTCTAGAGGCATACGTGGAAGATCATTTGGAATATTATAGCAAGAATGAGAAGAAAAGAAGGGAGCTGATATTCATTGTTTGGCCTTCAGAGTAACAGGTTTTCGGGTTTTGTTTTGTGTGTGAGTTTGCAGAAGGACAATAATCTTAACAGCTTGTCTTTGTGGAAAGATGAAAGGATTTTCTTTATTCTTTTATTAGATCCCTTTAATATATTAAGAGGTGGGTCTATAGATATGGGCACATTGAGGCTTCCTTCTGCTGGGAGGAAAGAGGATATGGCACAGGGTAAGGTCATGTCAAAGAGACAGTTGCAAAGTCTACTCCTGATACCCTGGGGAATTGCAGGGAAGCGTCACAGGCAGAGCCCAGTGGCACATGAACATACATTTGCTTCTCCCTCTGAGGTTGGCACCTCTCAGGCGTGTGCAGGAGAAACATTGGATAGGTATGTGGGAACCCAAGGCACATATTCACCCAGATGCCAACTTGGAGAGGAGCAAAGAGTGGCAAGGTATTTATTCAAAAGAAGTAATCGAGAAGAGACTGACCACCATGGTGCTAATTAACAAGTTTAAATTTCCCTATTCCCCATCAGGGTGGGCTCAAGAGGATAATTTTCTTGGTTGAAGAAGAGACTCAGGCTACGTTTCATCACATATTTGAGTGCGCAAACTTGAAATCTCTGTTACAAATGTTTTAAACAGTGACTGTTTCCTTCTCACTTCTGTATGTATTTTTTTATTACACTTCTTATATTTGAATGTTTCTTTGTAGTGACCTTACCTGACTTCCTTTTCCTGGGTGCTCTAGGCCTGCCTGTCTGCCTGTCCCTTCTTCTTTTCTTTTTAAATTATTTTCTTCAGCAAACTATCGACTTCTTTGAATGAACGACTGTCACAGATCCTCTAAATGTAATGTCCTGCAGGTTTTCTGAAGTGCTTGTCACTTACGTTTATAGATTTGTGTGAAATGTTTGGGTGTCATCCAAAAAGATTTGGAGAAGGAAGCAAGAAAGACAATCTTTCTTTAGCTTTGGCTTTAATTCCAGAGGTTAAGAAGCATTAAAATTCTAATTATTGCATGATATGTGTCTTATTACCCTTAGTTATTTAATTTTCCTTTTCGATACCTTTACGGAAGATTTACGTTCATTCCCATCATAGCTCTAGCTGTGATTTTATTTTACAATTTTCTGGCTCCTGTACCTTTCAATTTCTACTACCACATTCATGCAACTGCGACTCGGTCTCTCTTGAAATTTGTCCTTCTTTTCTCTCTAGTGATTCTATTTTTCTGTAGTAAGCTTGGCCCCTTGGACCCAAGGCTTTCCACAACTAAACCCTGCTTTGTCTTTGTCAGCCATGCCTTCCAACTGCATACAAGGCTGACAAGTTTTCTCCTGTCACTCATGATGAGAATTGTGACCTACTCACTGGAGTACCCCTCAGCATTTGTGTTACAGCAGATGAAGTAACAAAATGCTCAGGACAGCGACTTGGTTTATAAGCTCTAAAATATATGTCCTGTGGATTTTTTAGGTAAGAAGAAGTGCTTAGAAGAAGGGGCCTCTAATAATTTTATAATTTCAGGAAATTTAAGACAAGTTCAAAGATACAAAACTCATTTCTTGGGGTGGTCTTTTGGCATTTTAGAGATTGAAGTCAATTCCAAAGAGAAATGTATGGAAAGGCAGACAGGGATAAACAGGAAAATGAAGTATAAAGTTCACACTGTGTGTATATCAAGACTACAGCATTGCATTAAATCACAAATTCCGTGAGCTCTGCTTACTATTTCTGATATGATGAGATGTACCTAGTATGTATTATCAAGAGTACTGAAAATTAAAGAGTGGAAAAAATCAGATAGAAGACAGTACACAGTTTCAGTTACTTTCGTGAGTTAAAAAAAAAAAAACTTGAAACTTTCGGGCTTTTCACAATAAAGCTACTAATTTTTTTTTTTGGAATTGGTCTGATGCAAAAGTCAATGCTTTTCTGTCCAGTTGAACCAGCCTTGTTTAATTTTTTTTTTTAAAGGGAAAGAAAAGAAAAAAGAAACTGTTTGCAGAGAACGAGCAGAGATCTTGGGAATACCATCCTCCATTGAGAGCCAGCCCCTCAAAAGCTCATTCGTAGGGCTGGGTAAACACACACCTTTTGCACTCTATTTTTGAAATTATGTTCAGGAGTCTACAGACTGTTATCTGTAGAAGAAGCCACTTTTGAAATTTTAGTTTATGTAAAGTGTTCCAAAATGCATGAACAGAGTAATTATTTTAAAAGTCTATAAATGCATGCATTTGCTCTAAAATTTTGTAATTATCAGTAGATTACAAGTTCTCTATAGGAAGAGAGAGCTGTCTCATATTAGTTTTGCACTTATACCTTTTTTAATAGTTCTGAACTTCACTCTTGTGTATTCTTTTATTTTAAAAGCTATAATGACTAATCCTGATCTTCTGCTGGAATATGTTTAAATAGGATTCCATTAAAAACAAGAGCTAGAATTCATGTTTCTTGAGTAATCTGTCCCTAAAAAGATGTTCATTCATGCATCTGATGGCAATTTGTAAGCTATTTTATTCCTTCTGATAATTTTATTTTTTCACATATCAAAATGTATTGAGTGGCTGACATGCAACAGATCTTAGGGAAAACATGAAAAAAACAGAATGTTCTCCAGACTCTCAAAGAGCTGGAATCTAGAAGGAGAGGAAGAAATGTACACTAATTGTAACAAAATTAAGTGATTTGCCTGTTAAATAAATACAAAGAAAGTTCTGTGGAACTTCAGAAGAGAAAGGCATATTTTCCTTCAGTAATCTCAGGAGGGATTCATGAAGGGGCTAGCATACGAGCGGGATATTAAGTAAGGAATGGGATAAATTAGGGACATGGAGCAAAGTCATTTTAAGCATTGAGAACAATGAGCAGAAAACAAGTAGGATGCTGTGGGAGGTTTGTCTTGTCTGGGTGGAATATGAGTACTCAGAGGGCAATAATGACAAATAAGACTGGAAAAATGAGTTCGTGCCAGATGGAGAACTTTGAATGCAGGAGGAAAGAATCTGGATTTTCTCTGTAGACACTAGAGAATTATTAAAGGATTTTGAAGAAGGGTTGAGACATATCTTGATTTTTCTTTTAACACTGTTGATCTAAATCACAGAATAGAATGACAATGGATAGAGAGAGTTGAAGGCTATTGCAAGATTATAGACAAAACAACATGAGATTTGACCAAGGGCCATGCAACTGAACAGAGAAAAGATAATGAATGAGAGAAGTTGTTGAGAAAAATAACACCAACACCAGTAATTATGAGAGTATACATTTACTGAGAGTGTGGTGGAACTTAGGTTCTATTCTAGGCACTTTTTTTTTTTTTTTTTTTTGCTATTATGTCATTTAATCCCGACAACAACCTTAAGCAAAGGTGCTATTATTAATTCTCTTTTTACATAAGAAGAAACTGAGGCACCGAGAGGTGAAGTACCCACCCAGGGTCACACAGTTCAGTAATGGAGATGCAGAATTTAAAACTTTTAAGATCTCAACATTGCAACCACACTCTGGCACCCTTAGCCTCTCTTATGGACTTAGAACTAGTGGGAATTGGGGAGCTGGAGTTAGCAGTTTTGAACCTTTCATGAGTCATTCATGAAAATAAGTCAGGTGAAGGAGAAGGTTTAGTTCAAAGTGAGATGATGTACTCCAGTATTGACTCAATTTGCATTCACATTTAAGAGATGCTTTAAATTATTAATGATTATTATCCAGCATCACTACAGAGTGAAAACAGGCTGCTAAAAGCAGTAGTTTTAGAAAAATATTATGAATTAATACTTATCTGCCATTGAGACTAATTGATTCCTTGCTCAAAGCAATTTGTCCTGCTTTGAATGAAATCATTAGAACCAATGAGTATTTGAAAGTGTGTATAAATTTTTACAAGTGTTTTTGAATTTTACCAGTTTTACAGCCAGTAGTTTGAGTTGACAGGTTTAAACTAACAAGTGCTTGTTTTCACACTGTAGTTGTAGACAGAGCTCTGATTCATAAATCCACAATTGTTCTTTCATTAAGCTTTTGATTCATCTCTGAGTCCCTGGTGCCTAGCACAGTGCCTGGTATACACTAAGCATCCCATAAATGCTTCTTGATTATAATGATCGAAATGTTCATTCTTCAACATATTTGATTTATATTGTGCTTGATACTTGAGACATTTTGAAATAGTAGTTTAAATGTTAATTTGAATTGTAGAGTACTGGAATCAGAGAATGGTTCTGGAGATTTTCTTCTCTGAAATAATTTGATATTCAGGTCTGAGCATAAAGAAAATTTCTGATTTTGTATTCTCCTTGAAAGGCAGGAGACGTTACAATGGCTATGGGGAAGATGAGTTTCTTTCTTTGAGCGATTTGTGTGTATTTATATTTTCCTAGAACCAAAGCTTATTGAAATGGGAACGAGCTTAATAAATAAGTAAACTATAATGCAAAATTTAGACCAGAGACACCGAAATGAAAGGTAAGTTTCCCAGTTGCAGAGTTTGCGGTTATTTGGTTGAATTCCAAAATCTAATTATTTATTCAACTAAGAACAAGTCCTGCTAAGGGATATCTAGTCTTAAACAGGTTGCTGACTAGAATTATAATTAGCATCATATTTGTCCTCACAGCATCTGAGAAGCTACTTAATTATTTTCTATCCTCATCCTTCTCCCCACTCCCCACATGGGTGCATGCTGTCACTGCAATGGTGTAAGCTGACTTTCTATTGATAACAGTTGGGGATCTTTCCTTGGATATTTGCAGTATTTGAAGCTTGGATATAAGACTAAAGCCCACAGAATAAGTAGAAAATGTATACGAGACACAATCCTTTGACTTGTTCTGCATGGTAATACTATTTTTCTGGTTTGACCAAGGTTTATATCACATCATGAGTTCTCATTTTGCCCCATCTACATGTAATCAATAAAGCCATGTCTTGGTTTAAATTTAAATTTCTATTACCCAGCATGTACCCTGACCACATGAGTTCTGTGGACCAGAGTTGGGCAATCGAAATGCTGGTCTGGTTCTGATACAGTTTCAGTGTGTGATCCCGGATGCCTTATTGAGTCTCTCTGAACTATTTACCTCATCTCCAAAATACAGGGGTTAACTAGATAATTAGATAATTCCTTTGTTTGCTTCATAAAGGGAAAAAGATGTGAGTATTAACACAATTAAATAATTGGGTACAGTTCAAAGAACAGAGTTGACACTTGGACCTCAAGCATGCTGATAACTTCCAGAGCCCCTTGCTAGGGTGAACAGTGCCTTGGCCAATGCCCAGCTTTGGGGGCACTCCCAGATGCACAGATCTAACATGTGAAGGTGACAAGCTCCTCTTCCTTCCTTCTATCATCTCCCATTCCCTCCTACAGTCTATTGCTTTGGACAGCCACCCAACAGTCGGCAGAGCATGCCAGTCTGAAGATGGTGGAAGACGTTTCTATGTATCACCTTCTCTCTGGCACTCCCCCACTTTCTCCAGGGGACTGTTCTTTCCATTCCATACTCCTAATTCAGCGTATTTCACCTTAAAATCTCTCACGAACACATATTTATGTTCCCATATTTTTTTTATTCTCTCCTTTTATTACCTTAGCCAAATCTCAGAACATTTTTCTACTTCACTTGTGAGAAACAAAGTTCCAGTCTTGTTGAAGAAGGGTGCGTAAAAATAATGATGCCCTTTGCTAAGGAAAAGAAACACTGGGACTTTTAAGGTTCCATTAAACACATTAAGAGCCAATGACACCATCTTTAAAGTCCTCTAAAGTAACTGTTGGTTCGATTCAGAATTTCTGCAATTTCATGGTTTAAAAAAAGTTAAATCAATTCATTACCACAAGCAGTCAAAATATACACAGAATGTTATAACATTTAATTTTCCTGTTTTTAGTTACTAGCACAGCAAAAATATGTGTGCTATAAATGTAAAATGTTAAGTAACTACAGGTAAAGATAGCAAAGAGGAGGGAATAGATTACCACTGGGGGAGACGGGAGGCCGCTGGAGATCAGGAAAGGCATTTTAAAGAGAGAGATGCTTGACCTGGGCTTTGTTGTTTGAATAGAAAATTTTCAGTTGACTGAGCCAAGGAAGAAACATTTCAAGCATAAAGCAAGGCTCACCTGATGCATAGTCAGTTGCTTAAAAGGATTATGAAAGTATAAATTGAGGAGACTGAGGCAAGGATGAAATGACAGAGAGAGAGAGCGAGGGAGCACCGTGTCTTGCTGTTTTTTGAAGAGCTGTCTATCATAAACCTCTGCCTCTGTGCAGGAACTGAAAACAGCTTAAATCACCACTTTCTAAAAACAAACAAAAAAATGCCAGAAGTTTTGAAATAGTCTGTAAGTGTTCCTGAGGGCCCCATTGTTGTGCTGCTGTGGTGAAAATGATGCAGCTGAAGACACCTGATGCTCAGAGGAAATGCAGCATCAGGAATAGGATGAGTAAGGAAGAAGGTAAGAGACAGTTTGGAAAGTGAAGCCACTCATCTTTGGGGTTGCATCCTATGACCTGCTGCTGCATAGATGGATGATGATGAAAAGGTTTTATGCCCATTCCAGTAAGGATGAGCCCTCATCTCCCTGAGAGTGAGGAGGCACAGGAGGAAGAACAGGAGGCAAACACACATCCTTTGGAAAGGTGTTATAAAGCCTGTCTCCACACAGGCAGGCAACCTCAACAGCAGACCAGGGTGCAGCTTCCCTGGGAATCCAAGTGGCTTCAGAGACAGTTTCCACTGAATGTGAGGCAGTGGTAGAGAGGTATAGTAAGACTCAACAAGCTCTGCTTCATCATGTCCAGAAAAGTGTGCCTTTTAAGTAATAAGAAGCTACAGGAGTTCTGCTTTTTCTCCAGAGTATTGCTTTTTCAGGAATTAGATGTTCACTAATATAGAACATAAATAATAATGTACACCTATCTCCACAGACATGCTAACAACTATTGAATTAGATAGTTTTATCAAAGGGTGCAGTTTGTAATATGAATTTTAATCATTTAATTGACTGAAACAAACCTAAAGTGCTAAGAGTTGAAGTGTCAGAGTAAAATTTTCTGCCCAGGTGGGTTTTTCCATTTTTCTTACCCTACTCACATGCAACACTGGTTTAGCGTTACCTCATTTCATCTGACCAAGACCCATCTCCCTGGGCATCCTTCTCCCAATTGCCACATAAACCTCAGTTTTATTCGTTTCCCTCACTTTCCTATGTACTCAAGGACTCATTGTTTACTGGAGACCAACCCTGTTTTTTTCTCCCTTTTAAATCTTTTCTTTTCCCAGAGTATTAACTTCTTAATAATATTCTTTACAGATTATTAAGTCATAACTTAAAAAAAGTTCCTGGCATAAATCATTAAAATCAAAACTAGCCAGATTTTTATTTCCTACTCTGTTTCCACGAGAAAGGGAGAGGTAATTTTTGATGTATCTTTTCCATCTACCCCATCCCTCACCGCCAATGGCACGCCAGGATTCCACTGCATAGGCCTAGCCAAGACTTCAGATGCATAAACACACACTCATGTTCTTTCTTCTGAAGTGAACCCACCACTTTCCAAATATCTAGCAACATATTCCTCAAAGAAAGAGAGTGCCCTGTAGTCAGCTGTGGCTTTCTTAGTTTACGAAGCCCCTTGGGATCCTTCCCAGGCATGCTGGGTGTCTTGGTGGTGGTTGTATCCACTGTCAGAAACACAGTGAAGTTCTCCACAACCGTCCCAAACACAGCACATTCTTATGACAAGACAAAGTCCCTGGGAATCATTATTTCCACATTTGTGAGTGAGTTGATATCAATAAAGGTGTTTATATTGCTGACATTTGCCAAAGGGGAAACCAAGTCAAGAAAGTTTACCAACTTGCCCAGGACATAAAAAGCTTGCATGCCAAACTCAGTGCTGGGAACATAATACATGCTGTAAATGGCATAGTTAAAAATTGGAAAATGTATTTTACTTTATAGAAAGAATGATAAAAAGCCACCCAAGGAGAATATTCTCCTAGGGATATCTCTAACTTGTTGACAAGAAATGTTAGAGTCAGGATGGCCATTAAAGAGCATCCAATTCCACCCCCTCCTTGGTGGGGACTGAAACTCAGGAAATTTGGCTTGTGCAAGCCCAAAGGGCAAGCATTTGTCAAGCTGAGTCCAGGACCCAGGTTTCTTGATTTCCAGTCAAATGCTCCTCCTACTAAATCACTCTTAATTTCAAGATGCATTTCTATCATACAGCAGACATTTGGAAGTCACAGCCCTCAGACCTGATGCTACACAGTTCATTTTCCTCCCTATGGCTTGGACTCTACAAAGAAAGGGAGTTAGTTATCAGACTTGGTCCTGTGACCTATTACACCCCATGGTCAATTTACCTGGAAAGCTGCGGAGAGCATCTTCATTGTCCAGAATGCCTCTCTGTTTGGTCGCCTGCAGCTCACTTTTGGATTTCCAAACCAGCTTTACCATCCTGATCATCTCTGGCAAGTCCCAGGGCAGCGGCCCCTGCTGGCACCCCGGCCGGCTTCCCGGGGAGGAGGGCAGCACACCTTCTGGGCCTGTCCACCTCCTGCCTAGCTCTGCTGGGTGGAAATATCGCTCTAGCACAGGCATTCTGTCTTGTGCCCCAGAAGAGGAGGTAGTGGTGGTGGTGGTGCTGCTGCTGCTGCTGCTGTTGCTGCTGCTGCTGTTTCTGCTTCTGCTGCTGCTGCTGCTGCTACCACAGGGGAAATTCTTCCCAGGCAGGGAAAAGCGAACCCCCGTAAGATCCTCTCCAGCTTCGGAAAGACAAGCCTCCTCCAGCCTGGCACAACCTCCCTGTCTCTTCAGGCCCTCCACAAACACTGCCGACGAGAGCGATTCACTTCCCTAGGTTTCTCTCTGGTGAGAAACTGTTACTGTACTCCTTCCTTAGAGATAGAATGCATTTTTTTTCCCCTCCTCTCTCTGGCACTGAGTTCACAGCACTTAATTAATCCCAGGCTACAGCTGGAACGACAGCAGGGAGAAAAAAAAAAGCCATCGAGGTTCTAGCATTTGCTTTTCCTCTTCTTTCTTCTGATTTATTTGTTCTCAATTCTCTTTTGGTGCTTGTCAAAGTTTGTTGACTCTTAGCTCTTTGTCGGCTTAGCTCTTAAGGACTTCAGGCAAAGAAGCGGGGCTTCCCCTTTGCTAACCTCACAGAGGGGCTCCCCCCTTGCTGGAGGCCAGTTATCTGGAGGTGTCAGGTGAGGAGTCACCCCTGTGGTACAGGCTCAGGCCTGCAAGCCCCAAGGAGTTCTCAAAAAAACAGAGGAAGCTGAGAGTCTGCAGAGCCAATCTGCAGCTGCTTCTCTCTGGAGGGCCTGATGGGGGTTGGGGGGCACCTTGCCCAGTCACCAAGACCAGTGCTGGGATGGGCTTGGTTGATCCTCAGTGCCTCAGTTTGATCACTCTCGCTCCTTCTCCACATCCCTCCCCCTTGTGTCATTTGGTTCTCGGCAAACCTATCTGGGTTATGACCTATTAGTCAAATCCCTTCATAACCTCAGCTGCCCTTCAGCTGGAAGGGAAATAACATTGAATCACATTCCACAGTTAACTCCGAAAGATGCGAATTCGGGAAGCATCAAGATCCTCATGCGTATGGGCAGTGGCCTGCATAGCCTGGATATGTGGCTCAGGCTCATTCAAAACCCATTTTCAAAGGAACAAGCATTTTAAAGGATGTTCACAGGGGACATAAATGGCAATGAAAGAAAGAAAAGAATGTTAACAATTCACCTTCTGGAGGGAGAGCACTGTTGATTTATTATGTGGGCCACTGACTACTGTGTCCCCGACCTGAGAGTGGTTGAATCGAGGGCAACATCAACTGTGGGCCATGCCTCTTGTTCCTAGTCTCAGAGATGGAGGCGCTAACCCTGAAAGTAAGAACCAATTCAACAAAAGGCGATGCCCCCTGTAGCTTATGTGAAAGGCCTTGGACAGAAACGAAAGTAGGGTAGTTTTGTATTTGGCACTTTTGCCAGCAAATTGGGTTTGTAGGAACAATTTGAACTTGCACATTCAAGTGAATAGCCCCTGTTTTCTTGGAGAACATTGTAACAATCCCATCTTCCTCTCTTCACGTCTCCACATTGCAAAGTGCTTTATTTTGCTTGGCATGCCATTTTGCTGGTGTATAATCTGTTGCTTCTGCTCTACATTCCTTTCAAGGCTGGTTTATCACACAATTATTTGATATTTCTTCATGGGAGAGAGGAGGAAACTTGGGGAAGAGGAGAAAGATCGTTGTAGAGTGTGTTTTATTTTCATTACTCCCACCTCATTTCTTTTTAAAGTTGAAACCAGCAAAGACAACTGTAATTTTATTGTTGTTTTATTATTTCTCTAAATCCATGGTTAATAAGTTTAGTTTTCCATACTGGATTAAGTGAATTTTCTTTTTTCTGGATGGAAAAGCATACTGGCAAACCTACTCTCCTTCCTAACAGGTGAAGAAGGGGCAAGAGGGTATAAAACAATAATAAAGACATTGAAGACACTGCTTTTGGTGAATTTTGTTATGAAAATATTGATCTAGCAGCTCTTTCTATAACAACCAGATATACATACAACACAATTAGGGAATAATCAGCGGTCTACTTGATTAGAAAGATGTGCCCTTCCTTTTTCCCTCTCTGATAAGAGATGAAAGGATTTCACCATCAGTTCAACACTTCCACCACTTTGACAGCCCGTCCAGTCCTTATCTTACCCTTCCATCAGGCTGGGGGCATCAAGACTCTCTAGGATTGAGATGATTTTATTTAATAATCACATGTAGACTGTTTGCTTTATTATCATATTTCCTGAATAATGTCTTAAACTCACTCCTCAGTCACAAACTTCCTTGACATAACAACTGAAGAGTTTCCTAAGTGTTTGACTATTTTTATTTTTGTTCAGTTATTTTGCAATAGTACTTAGCATCAGGATATCCTGACCCTTGGAACAAAGGGGTTAAGAACAAAGAAAACAAATATGTGATATCATATATCACATACACTAATGTACTAAGAACACAACACTTCATTGTTCATTTCTTCAAGAATGACTTTTTAAAAAAAATCCAAGGATATACATTTCCATTGTATCCTCTGTACTATTTTATCTAGTTCCTTGTAAAAATATCTTAGAGAAATTACAAAATGTTGGATCACTGAGCACGAATACTTCCTAGTGGAGATGAGTCAGGGCCAAGCCATCACCATTTCACATTTTCATTCCCAAGGAGGAACCTACTTCATTTGAAGGTTTGAAACCTGGAAATATTTGCACAATTTAAAAAAAGTTCCCCCAATATGGGATTATTTTCATCCTGGAGTATAAGGGCAAAAATACCACAAGAAAGGTCATTCTCATGGTATTTCTGGCTCACATAGAAACAGGAAGTACAGGAAATCTTGCGAGAAAGCTTGGCTCGGAAATTTTTGGCTCAACTGCAGGTTCAAGAGATTGGGACAAACTGATGCGAGGCTAGTACTTGCTGGACTAAAACCTCTCTACCATGTGAATTATCTGAAAGGTGGTTTTGTTACATTTCGTAGCTAACATCTCATAGGCTGGGATCTCTTTTGTTTTTCAGATAGTTACTTTAGAAGAACATGCCTGTAAACCTATAATTTTCACTACTCAGTGGACATCATTCATCTTGATATGGTATCTGCAGCCAGAAGTTTGGATCACTGAGGGTGGGGAAAGGGTGGGGTTGTTATGTGATCAAAGGAATCATGGAACAGAGAAGACCCATCTAGGTAACTTGTGAGGATTCTTACACATGTTAATATCAGTAATTAATGGGTTGCAGACAGGACATTTTAAGATAGATTTTCAAAATAACCAAGTTCTTTTTCAGGCATTGTGAATCAACCCAAAATAATGAGAACTAACAAAGTCAAAACAGCTTGTTCCAATGGACAATGGACACCTACTTGTATCAAAAAGACTTTGCTGTTCCTGGAAGTACTGTTACTTGTTGAGGGTGTGATGGCTTCATGGCTTCGAGGTTACTTTGAGGAGCTGGGGTGCCGGCTGTGCGGGCCCTGAGGGCCCAGGGTCCCTGAGGGGTGGTTGAAGTGCACTCCAATGCATCTGGAGGTGATGTTCTTACTGACAATGAGCAGGTGACTGGGTTGGAGAGGGATATCATGATGGCTGCACGGAAGGGACTGGACCCATATAATATACTACCCCCAAAGGCAGCTTCAGGTACCAAAGAGGACCTTAATTTAGCCCCCCTCCTTCACCAGCAGTGGGCAGCATCTGTGAAGAGAATAGTGCCATCATCTGGTTTTGGCTGGACAAAGGTGAGCCCCGGTGATGCCCTGACTGGAAACTATTACAAGCTGCCCCACCAGTGGGCCCACTGAGCCCCTGCACTAAGTTACTCAAAATGTGCTAAAAAGTTTCTTCTTTTTAATAAAAACTAGCCATTGCATTGGCTCCTTCTTCCAAAAACTAAAAATAAAAAGACTTTGCTTTGTGGTTGGAGCTATAAAAGAATTGATAACCCCGATACTAAAGTATACAACCAAGAAAAGTGTCAAATATATAGTTGATTTAGAACCTGGATTATGTTGAAGAATTTTTGGTGTTCTGAGGGCTATGTAAAAATCTTGTAGACTATGGGTGCTCCAGTCACTAGGCAGATAAGCATTTATTATACATGATTTGTAAAATAAGGCATTTATAATGTTAAATATTTCTAACAATTCTAGAGAATGTACCTTTCAAAAAAATGGAAACTTAGAAACATATATCCCTTGTCATTTTCTTTCACTTTGAATCTATTAATAGATTCTTACAAAACAAAAAGTTTAATAAAAATTTTCTCACTCAGATATTTTGGAATTGTTTTATACCCTTATTGACCCTTATCTGTGGCCTATCTTTTGGAAAAAAATGCAAACTATGGAGGGAGTTTATTTATTTTGTCCTGAACTTTCCTCTCCATCAGTTCAAGTATGGATGTGTAAACACACACACACACACACATGCACACACACGACCACTCTGCTTTTACAAATGCAATTCAAAAAAAAAATTCAAAATGAGCAGGGAAGTAAAAACAGGTCTTTCAACTTGGTTCTATACAGTCCAAGTAGAAGAACTGCAAACAATTTAGGAGACATAGAAATGTGATAACTCTGGCCTTAGCTAATCTCAAGAAATAATGCCAGCAAGTAGGAAAAACGACTTAGTCTACAGACCGACCCTACAAGGCAGCACATATTTCCATTGTCATGGGGAAAGGGGGAAAGCATGTGGGGAGAGATGAGGAAAGACAGGTGGGGCGAAGTAGGAGGAGTGTCTAAACCATACCCAATCATTCTCTTGTTCACTCTGCAAATGAATATTAACTGTGGGAGCAACAGCAGAAGGGAAGACCTTCTGTGCTAGCCTTTGGGTCCTTTTTCAGGTACTGGGGACCTGCCCGGCCTCTTGTGCCCTAATTCTGGTTTTCAGTGTGAGTGACCTCTCCCTCCTTTACTTATTCAATTATTTTTGTATGTTTTAAGAGAGAAACTAGGATTTCAGCTAACATCACACTCTATCCTGTTAGCTGTTAAAGATCTTAACTAATGCTAAGTTTACTGTCTCTGTGAATTTTCCAAAAAAATGGGTCCAGTGAGACAAAAGGTTGAGAACAACATGGCAGGAAGACTTGATTTTCTCTACTCAGCTCCTGCCTGCTGATGAATACAGCCTCCTATTCTGTCCCACTACTGAACATCTGATACTTCGGTGTGTGCCCCTGGCACCCTCTGACTATAGCCTTTCTAGGATTTCAGGACTTATTTCTGATTGTGAAAGGTCACAGTGGTGGTAGAGTACACTTTTCAGAATTTCACATTCGAGTCTGTCAACTTCTTAGAAAACAGCTACAACAAGGAAATCTCTAAAGTCACTCTCTAAGACTACTTATCTGAGAGTTACAAAAACTGGGTTTTGATCTATACTCACCACTGAGCTTTGCCCCAAATTTGGGGCCTTATCTATAAATGGGTATGATGGCAACTTTTTATCCATCACACTGGGATCTTGAAAGGATTAAATAAGACTAGAATGTCAGTTATTTTTAAACTGTAATGTGCTATAAAAATTTAATATTGTTATTTTTAAGCTATATGATATCACAGTTGACAAGTTCATTAAACACAAATTTTGGCTATCCTTCCCTGGGATATGTTAGAAAGCTGGAAAGTCAAGCCCTTCAACCCTTGAAGTAGGTCTCACTTCGGAAATTTGGGTTCCCCAGCGAGAATGCAGGAGTAAAGGAAATCAAAGGCAGGGCTGTTGGATATAGGGTACTGGGGAGTGACCTGTGGCAGAAGACAGTAAGAGATTTGATGGTAGCAAGGTTCTTAAGGTAGGCCTGGTGAAAGTATGAATGAGAATAGACAGATACAGAACAATGTATGTGGCTCATAAGATAAATATTCTTTGTAAGTGCATTTTGGAGGGATAAAAGCCCAGGAATCATGTCTAGGGTCTCATCCTGCATGATCTTTACCATGTATTATTTAGTGCCCTAGTTAATGCTGTATAGGTTCTCTTAATAGGGAATTTTGTTTTTAGTCCAAAGTGACTAAACACAAAATGTGTTTGATGTTCATGAGCTGTGCAGCTTTGTGTCATATGCTGTGGTAGTGAACATGTATCTTCAGGCCCCCTACTGGCCTCATTTCCCTAGACAAACTGATGAGGGCCTCAGTGTTTTGTTTGGAGTCTTTATTTCTCAAACATTTTTATAACTTTGATTGCTCCTAACTGATCTCTGTTTAATTTGTAAGTGTGCTTAAAAGAAATGTAGTGTGCAGAATCAAATGTGATATTTAAAAAGTGGCCTGTACAAAGTCTGAAATATGTTAATTTTTTAAAATAAGTGAGATGCATAAATTTTGAACGCTCTCAAGAATTTGACCAGGTTAAGAAGATCTCAGGGAGAGTGGAGGAGAGATTATCCAGACATACTCAAAAAACTGCTGGAAAATGCCTGAGTGAGGGTTCTTTCCTCTTAATCTAATAAAAATAAACTAGACCACTAATAAGATATAGAAAGATTTTTTATATAAATGACATAACAAAAGGAAAGTGAGAAAATGATGAGGAATCAAGCCTTCTTTTTTTTTTTTTTTTTTTGAGACGGAGTCTCGCTCTGTCGCCCAGGCTGGAGTGCAGTGGCGGGATCTCGGCTCACTGCAAGCTCCGCCTCCCGGGTTCACGCCATTCTCCTGCCTCAGCCTCCCAAGTAGCTGGGACTACAGGCGCCCGCCACTACGCCCGGCTAATTTTTTGTATTTTTAGTAGAGACGGGGTTTCACCGTTTTAGCCGGGATGGTCTCGATCTCCTGACCTCGTGATCCGCCCGCCTCGGCCTCCCAAAGTGCTGGGATTACAGGCGTGAGCCACCGCGCCCGGCCCCTCCTGGTAATTATGAATTACATAGAACAGCTATGCCAAATGGTATCTCCTAGAGGCTATTCTAGATCAAGGCTTCTCAAATATTAATGTGCATTTGAATAACCTGGGGATTCCATTAAAATGCAGATTTCTGATTCCAGAAGTCTGGCCGGGACCTGAGACTCTGCATTTTTAACAGGTTTCCTGGGGATGTCAAGGTTGTTGGTCATGACCACACTCTGAATAGCAAGGCTAGAGTATAACCATGTGGCAAGGATTTTATGCCTGTTCCATATTAGTTATTTATGAAAGAAAATGCAGCAACCATCCCAGTCTTTCCAGATACACCTATTAGGACTTCTAAAAACAATCATGCTGGCGCAGGCCAAATACTCTCAATGGAAAGAAGCAACCAGAACTGCTATGTAAGAACAAAGGCTGTATCTGGGGACATTGAACCATAGCTTGTTAATTTTCTTTTATTCTTTTTTTCCCCTTATGGGTTAACTTTAAAGATAAGGTTGACTATCAACTATAAGCCCATGCAATAAATATATGTGATAGAATCTTAAAGAATTTCATAAACAAATACTATTTTTGACAGTCTTTTCTCATCAAATGTCAAATGCAATTTAGTTAGGCCAGTTTCTCCATGACTCCTTCTTTCCAGCATTTTGTTGCACCCCTCCTGCTATTTTCAGAATGGTTGGAATACAGGCAAGGCTCTGAGTCTTTGATCTCCATCATCAGGGATACTTTCAGCAAGACCTGCTCTTTCATTTGGTTTATTAAAGATTTATGTAAAGTAGTCTTTCCATGAAGCCTGGTAATCTTTCCCACTGTGATATTCCAGGCATGAGTGAATGGTGACCAGATGATTCCTCAAAGAGATAAAGATGGAAAAAAAAGGAAGCAGGCATTCATGGTGCTGTAGCCAGTGGCTAATGGTGCTGCTGATTCAGAGAAATCTACAGCAATGTCAGTCTCAGCGAAACACACACACACAACACATGCACACACACACATGCACACACAGCACAAAAGTTGAATCAAGTAAACTTTGCAATAGGCTGCATTCTTTAACAGGTTTCACCTGGAATTCATGCGCCCTAGGCACAGTATTTATGGGAAAATGATGCCAGAAGCAAGAGACATGTGAAATCAGCTGGAAGACCAGGGTAACTAAGAGCATGGGTCTAGAACATTACCAGATTTCTATGATTAAAAATATGTACAGTTAACTAAACAAGAACGCTTAGAATAAATGAAAGCATCTGCTGGTAATTGGAAACACAGTTCACTGTGTTATTTTTTCCATTGTCTTTCCTGATTCTTTCTAAGGCTAAGTGCTTTGCTATGGTTATGAACACCAATATTTCCTGATATATATAATCCAGGGGAGTAACTAAATAATGAGAAAGTTGGAAGATATTGCATTAAAAACTAGTATACAGAGTGTTTTATTATTTCTGGTAATTTTAGGAGTTGTTTTCCCCGGTAATGGCAGGAGAATTTAGAGTGAAAATTAAAGGAGTGGCCATTTAACATGTAGTATGTATACAACACATTCTTTGCATGGTACAGTACAGGGATTCCTACTGGACCCTTTTTGTTTGATATGCAGTGTTGCTAGAAGAATTATTGCACCATAATCAAGGGAAAAAAGCCCAGCACACTAGAATATTTGACAACTTTGACATGTGTCTAAGATCTTTATTATCAAAAGATTCTCTAAGAATTTCACTTTGGTAATTTTTTTTCATCCCACATTGAAATTTTAACTACATTTTTCTCCTTCTATTTTGAAAATTACTTTAAAATGATTGCATATCTTTCTATTTATAGGATATGCATACTAACTGATCCTGCTCTATTTGCTTATTTGGACCTCTGGGTCTATCTACTCTTTGTCCTCCATGATCTTCCTGGACCTATTTTGTGGTCTGCTGATAAGATTTCTTGTATTCTGTGTTTTCTGAGACATCTTTGCATTTGACGTTAACATTCTTTTGTCCACTTAGGTGCAAGGTAACATACATCTGTCTTTGACTTGCATATGTTCACATACCTTGCTGATTTTATGTTTGTGCGTCTCAATTAGAATATCAAGAGTCAACTTCAAGCCACAGATAACTGGGCTTTTAATAAATGCCTTTTAAATGCTGTTATTACTTTTTTTTTCCTGCTTTCAAACTTTGAGGAGGCAATTGATGAGGCTACTATTAAATTGTGTTTTTCAAGTCTCTCGTTAATCATTGAAAACTTCAGTTAAGTCTTATTTACCTTTAAAAGTTATGATATTCTGGATTGAACATAATTTATAATCATGTCATTTTCAAACATGTAACATGAAAAGTAATGGCAATATTAATACTAATTTGATGCAAAGATAATTATTACTTATAAAACTAGTTCAAATCCCTTTCTTGGGCATTCAGCACTTTCAAAAATAGGCTCCCACTCACCTAGTCCTGTAAACACATTCAAACTTACATTGAATATGCAAAATTTCTGTGGAAGTCATATTGTTGCACAAACATGTCAGATGCATCTGACATTATGTATAGTAGGCAGAATAATGGCCTTCCAAAGGTGCCCACATCCTAGTCCTCGGAACCTGTGAATATGTTAGGTTACATGGCAAAGGAGATTAAGGTAGTAGATGAAGTTAAGGTTGCTAATCAGCCATCATTAAAATACAGAGAATATCTGGATTATCTGGATGAGACCAAAATAATTTCACAAGTGTCCTTACATGTGGAAGAGGGAGGCAGAAGAGTCAGCGTCAGAGTGATGTGATGTGAGAAAGATTCAGCTAGCTGGTCATTGGTGACTTTGAAGATGGAAAGGGGCCTTGGGCCAAGGAATGGGAGGAGGCTCTCAAAGATAAAAAAGGCAGGAAAACAGATTATCCCTTAGAGCCTCCAGAAAGAAATACAGACCTGTAGACACCTTGACTTTACCTCCAGAACTGTAAGATAATGAATTTGTGTTGTTTTAAGCCCCTAAATTTGTGGTGATTTGTTATAACAGCAATAGGAAACAAATATATTATGTTACTGCTCACGTGGTCCTTCTTCTTGGGAAAGATTTTTCCACTTCTCTAATCCAAATAAAATTCCATGTTTTTTCATGAAGTCTTTGTGCCCCACCTTAAAGCTGACTCTTCTATTTAAACAAAGCAGGACCTCTTATCCATTTTGGTCATCTGGGATGTAACTTCACTTACGTCACTACTTGCCTTTGATGCTCTGGCCTGTCTTTATTTTGGATTGCAGAGGCTGTTGAACCATACTTCTTAACTTAACGTCTCAGTGCTGCGCCCTTAATTCATTCATTAATTCATTTAACATGCATTTATTGAGTGGTGAATTGTGCCTGCCCTACGCTAAGTGCTTGATATACAAAAACATGCTCCCTTCTCTTAAAATTGTTTACAAGTTTGGTGGAGAGACAGACACATATACAACTAACTATAAAGCATGGTGAACTACAGTGCTGTAATATAAATATAGATGCAATATATCCAAATTAGTTTTTGTTATTAAAAATGACAGGCTGGGCGTGGTGGCTCACACTTGTAATCCCAGCACTTTGGGAGGCTGAGGCAGCTGGATCACCTGAGGTCAGGAGTTCAAGACCAGCCTGGGTAACATGGTGAAACCCCATCTCTACTAAAAATATAAAAATTAGCCAGGCATGGTGGTGCGTGCCTGCAGTCCCATCTACTCAGGAGGCTGAGGCAGGAGAATTGCTTGAAGCCGGGAGGTGGAGGTTGCAGTGAGCCAAGATAGCACCACTGTACTCCAGCCTGGGCGACAGAGCAAGACTCTGTCTCAAAATAAATAAATAAATAAATATTAAAAAATGATAACCAATTTTTTTCATTCTTTTTTTATGTCTTGACAACTAAAACAGTGTCTTAGAAATTTTTACTTCACACTTTAAAAAATAGAAATTATATAGTATAGAATTTGTTCATAGCTAGGAAAACATGGGTGGTTAATTATGTTTTTGCTGATTATTTTTTATTTGATAGAATTTTTAAAGGCTTAGCTCTAATGATTGTCAGACTTCAAGAACATTCTTACTACTTTCCTCAGGTGAGTTGTTACTGTGTTCCTAGCAAACTGGGAGCTTAAGAAAAGTGTTTTATTACCACAAAGCAAAGAAAGAGGAATCACATAATGTGAGAGTTTAAAGGGACTTCAGAGATAGACTATTTCCATTAGATCACATCTTAAGTTAGCTTGGGCTGCTATAACAAAGTGCCATAGACTGGATGGCTTCGACAACAGAAGTTCATTTCTCACAGTTCCAGAGGCTGGGAAGTTTGAGGTTGGGGCACCAGCATGGTCAGATTCTGGTGAGGGCCCTCTTCCTAGCTACCAGGTGGTTGCCTTCCTGCTGTATCCTCACATGGTGGGGAGAGGGAGAGAAAGCAAGCTCTCTGGTGTCTCTTTCTATAAAGGTGCTAATCCAATTACGAAGGCTCTACCATTATATCCATATTACTTCCCATAGGTCCCACCTCCAAATACCATCACATTGGGAGTTAGGGTATCAACACATATGAATTTTGAAGGGACACATTCAGTGAATAGCAGATTATTTTCTAATTTTGCTAATAATGAAGCATGATCCAGAAAACAGAAGCTTCAGATTCCCACAGACCTGAGCCCAAGCACTTCCTTTGAATGCTTATGTACCAGATACAGCACTAAGCATTTCATATGCAATTCCTTATTGAATCCTGACAAGAATCCCCCAAAAGGTAGGCATTATCATGATCTCCTATGAAAGTAATTTGTTCAGGGTGCAGATACTATCAGGCTTTAGAAGGGTGATAAGCACACCTTCTTAGCACTCTGCTGTACTGCCTGTGTGGTTGGGATATTGTATAAAGCAGTAGAAACTCTGCTTGATTTACAGCTTATCATCATATCTGGCTGCTAAACATTTAAGTCCGATGAATTGAAGAAAAGGAAGAATAATTACCACACCCCAGCACCTTTTTCTATAGCTGTTCTTCATGGCAGGATTACATCTCATATTTCTCAAGCCAAAGTCACATCTTCACTGCCACCTGGGTCATGACTGTGACCAGCAGGGTGGATTTTAGATCTTTGCCACAACCTTTATCAAAAAAATGCTGAAAAAAGTCTTCATCTCTCATCGTGACCAGAGAGGAAGAACATGTTGCACGTGGTTCACATGAACATTTTAAAAAATTAAAGGAACATCTGATCTCCCTTCAGTAATGGGGTGGTTTCTTCAAATCAGATGCTAAACCACTAAGGTAACTTTATTTCTTACGAAAAGGGGCTAGCAATGGAGGGTTATCAGAGTAGTCTTTACCTTGTTATGTAAACAAAATTGCAGCAGCAACTCCGCTGTCTCTGACCTCGATTCTTGGGTCTGAAGAACCAGAGAATGATGATGTGACATTGGTGAATGGAGCTCACAGATCTACCCAAGACATTGGACAGCTATTTTCCTTTTGGAGCCATTTAGCAAGGCTGCTTACAATATCACAGTGCCAGCTGCATCTGTGCTTTCTAAACAGCTTGGCCAGAAATGGAAAAGAAAAAAAAAAGAGCTTTAAATGTTTCTGAGTGTTGAGGAAATGACTTGGGTCACTTTCTGCATGGACAACAGATATTCAAGTCTGGCCCTAGGCTGATTTCTGTCCTGGGGTAGTAGATGCAGAGATGAAGCTGAAGACAGACTTGTGTCTGGTGGATCAGGCATCTCTTCTATTTCCATGTGGTAAATCTGGTTACCTAGTCATGTGTATTTATAGTTCTACTAGGGCAATGTAAACCTAAAAATTCCATATCACCCTTATATAGCTCCTTCTTTTCAAAGGTGTTGCAGAGTGATAGAAAGGCTAGGTTCCCGTGTAATATCCCTAAGGGAAGGAAAGTCTAAACCCTCAGGCAAATCATTCTGACATTTAGGATCTTCAACTACTTTTTGCATTCCTCGTTTCTGTCCCTAATAATAATTTATTAATAAGCCCATGTACTTATTTGAATAAGTATCTAATAGTAGATACTCTAAATCTTTGACCTACTAAACCTAGTGAAGTCCAATGATTCCATTTGTTTTTCTACACTTCTGAAACACATTATAATCAATGCATTTTATTTTATTTAGCATTTTACATGGAAATTTGGTATATTCTGTATTGCATTTTTAAGATATTATAAGAGTGCAGGTATTCATTTCTTTGATATCTTCCTTAAAGCACCGCCCAAAGTGGTCTAAATCACAGTGCATGCTGAATTAGCACTATTGTTTCTATGGTAAAAATATGGAGAGAGTTCCGTGTGGGATTGCCACAGCATTTTTGGGAAACCTCAGAAGGGATATTTGGTGTTGCAAAATCAAGTACTCTTTTTTGACCTAAACCATATTCTGGTTTTCTTGAAATTATTGAAGGGTTAGAACTTTTCCCCCATTAACATGGTTGGTAAAGTCACGTTTTCCCCCAAGAGCACAAACGTGCAAATAAAACAGATTGGTCGTAGAAAACAGATTGGTCATAGAAATCAGCTTGTGGTTTCAGAAATTTACCCAGTTGTTGCAACTTTCTTATCTCTAACCTGTTGGTCAAACCTCCCACTTCCATCTTCCAGTTGGCATTTCTTGGGGGCTTTTTCTCTAGAACCTTTGGAGGCAGAGTTTTTCAGAAACAAAATACAACAAAACAAAACTGCTTTTATTCTCGAATTGAACTAGGGTGTTGCATAATATTAGACTGAGTTCTTAGGACAACTGAGAGGATGAAATGCAAGCATACATGACAAGCATCTCTAACAAGGCCAGGCACAAAGTAGGCATTCCATGAAATCCAGCCACTAACATCACCTCCAAAGTATCTGCTCCCTTCTCTGTGGAGCTGGCATTGGTAACCCCTTCAGTCTTAGGTGCCATCAGTGGAACCAGCAGCCATGAGACAAGGGTGATAGAAAAAGGGAAACACATAGTAAAGGTAAAAAGAAAGGAAAAATAAAGGATATATGTTTGGTGGGAAGTGGTCAGGAGATGAAAGAAAAAGATGATAAAGGTAACATAAAAACTAAAGAGGAAAAAAAAGTGCAGATTTCCGCTAGCAATGATGCTAAAGGTGAATTCTAGCCCCTGGAGGCGATCGGCTGCTGGGCCCTTTACCTCACTATTGATCTGCTGCCATTTCTTTTCCTTATGTTTCAACTTTTAACATGTGTTTCAGTTCATCTGCAAAATTCTCCGGATCCATTTCTATAAAACATGGATGAACATTATTTTTTTCTAGTGTGATCTAAATATATAGCCATCAACAGTGAATATCCAATTAGTTTCTCCCTAAATCTCTAGAAACCCATTATAACAGAATTATTCCTAGAGGAGGTTTTTTTTTAAATGTCATCCTTTCCTAGATCACCATCAAAGGATGTGGTTACTGAATTATCAAGGGCTTTCTTGGTAAGGCATTGTCACCTGTAAGTCAATCCTTAATGGCATTGCAAAAAGCCTGCTCCTGGTTGCTAAATAGATAATGCTCTCTGGGAAGCTCCTTACCTTTTCAGGCCTTAAGAACATCATTTTGGGCACGAAAGTAGTGATTTTCTTCTTTTAGGTCTTTGTGGCCTAAAAAACTAAAGCAACTCCCGAAAGTCTTACATATATAGATATATCTATTTATATCTATATTGATATCTATATCTGTATCTATCTATTTCTATAGCTATAGATATTTATTTTTTTGCCATGAGGCTCCTATAATGAAGTTTCCTGTAAGAGTGATGGCTGACTTTGGCACTGAAAGAGACTGTAGAGACTGATAGAGTCAAAAAATAGCTAGCTTTCTTCCTCACTTTCAGAAAATCAGGATGGAGAAAGAAAGATGCTCTGCTCGAAGGGCAGAAGGGAGCCATCATTATGGAGTCACTCTGAATTATCTGCTCCTCAGCCTCTCTGTTGAGGAGTGAAGAAAGAGTGTGATACAGTTAATGTGATATGGGACTGGGGACAACTTCAGAGATTTGGTGGCCCCTTTGCTACATGAAAGCTTTAGATAAAATGATCCAAGGTACTGGCTTCTTTTCAGGGTCCTGCCTGGTTAGTAAAGGCAAGATTCCAGCTTGGGGTTGTAGAATGTCTCTGGGCTTGTCACACCTTGTCTATGTCCTGCTCGTCCTGGGATCTTCTGCACTAAGAGATGAGCCTGGGCCAAGAGTGATGTTACTGCTATAACTATTAATCAGAGCAGGTTATTCATTGGTGCAGTAAATACTCACTTAAGGAATAAGTGACTGTGTACCCAAGTGGCCTCATGGGCATCTAAAATTACTTTGGGAAACAGGTGGGGTCTCACAGTGCCTGATGGAGACTCAGCCAGTGTGGAACTGCACTAACAAATAGATAATTGGGAAAAAGGGTTTTAGAGTCCCTTGGCAGAGGGGTAAAATGGAAGAGTGAGCTGGTTTTTTTTTTCTGAGACCCTTCTGTTTCTCTCTCTCCCTTTCTTCCTCTTTCTGGTTTCCATCTCTAATCTCGAAGACTTAATAGAAACATTGCTTTGTAGTTTCTCCCACCCTCTCAGCCAGTGCTTCCTGGCAAGGTAAGTGAATCTGATCCAGAAGGAGCTGGGTCCCACCCTTCCAAGACCATGGGCTAACTCTGGAAGAAGGGATACCATTTTGTGCACAGACACAAACAGCTGCTGTACAAAGCTCCTTGCCTGCACTTCTGGGGCAGGGCCAGCCTTCTGATAGCTGAAGGGCAATGGCTCCCACTTGCACAGTGAGTATCACTGCAAACTGTCAGGACAGTGGGAAAAAAGGAATCAATCTGGCTCTTCAGGCACAAAGATGAGAAAAATCAATGGTAGAGCTCAAAGGATGGAACTGCTGGGTGCAAAAGGTTACTACACATTAACATATCAACCTCCACAGAAGCAATAATAAATAGGTGCCCCCAAATGGAAAAAAGATGAGGTCCTTGACCCTAGATGACAAATATTTATCAGGCGAATTCTGAGCACAAGAATTTATTCTCCTTGTACTTGGGGATGTTAAAGGCAGGCAAATGAATTTAACATCATTAAGCATCCAACACTAAGCACCGTCTGTGGGCCAGTCATGGTCTAAGCATGTAACAAAGTTTTGAACAAGTCAGACTTCACATATTAGTGAGAATTAGGAAGTAAACACGTTGAAAAGCACACAAAAACATTAACCAGAAAATTCTCAAACAAAAATTTAATTAATAATTAACAAAATAGTGGCTAAGAAACTAATTTAATTGTATGGTCAAAAGGGAGCTCTTGAAGTAAGTGACGTTTCAGCTGAAAATTAAGGACAACAAGAAGGCAACCAGGCAGAGATTTGGCGGAAGAGGACTTGAGGCAGAAAAAGCAACCCTTGGGAAGACCCAAAAGCAAGAACTAGCTGCTATGTCTAAAGAAACAAAGAAGGCCAGTGACAAACAAAGGAAGGCAGTGACAGAGACTCAGTGACCAAGGGAAAAGGTGGCATGAGATGAGATTCCAGGCCAGACAATGCTGGGCTATGTAGATTAGAGAATGATCTTGGATGTCTCTCCAAGTGTGATGACAAGCCATTACAAGGTTTTCAGAAGAAGAGTGATGTGATCTAATATATAATAGTTTTCATAAGACCACACTGGTAGCTCTGTGGAGAAGAAATTGCATAGGAACAAGAATAGAAGCAGAAATTAATCAGGAGGCTAATACAATTCAAGAAAGAAGAAATGATGTATTGGCTAGGGTGGTAGCTGTGAGACTGAAGGAAAAATAAACAGTTTCAGGATTTTTTTTTTTTTTTGAGACAGAGTTTTGCTCTTGTCACCCAGACTGGAGTGCAGTGGTGCAATCTCAGCTCACTGCAACCTCCGCCTCCTGGGTTCAAGCAATTCTCCAGCCTCAGCCCCCCAAGTAGCTGGGATTACAGGCATGCACCACCACGCCCAGACAGTTTTGTATTTTTAGTAGAGATGGGGTCTCATCATGTTGGCCAGGCTGGTCTCGAACTCCCGACCTCAGGTGATCCACCTGCCTCAGCCTCCCAAAGTGCTGGGATTACAGGCGTGAGCCACTGCACCCAGCTAGGAAATATTTTGCAGGTAGGATTTTTAGAACAAACACATGGATCGGCATGTGAAGGAAAAAGAGCAGCGGCTCTTGTGTTATTTGCTGGGATAGTAAGAAATATACTTAGATATATTTAATCAGGCATTTGATTGGATATTTTAAGTTTGGAATGATGAGATACCTAAGTTGATGTCAAGTAGGTAGTCTGAGTATAGAGTACAGGGGAAAAGCCAGTCCTTGGTTATGAATTTGGAAAATTACTGGCATACAGAAGGTATTTAAACATAAGAAAACAAAACATTGTGCCAGATCAATCTTATCTCATCCACCCTAAATCAACCCTTAGGAAACTAGGTACAGTAGGTGCCAAGGAAAAATAGATCAGAAAGACGTAGCTCTTGCACTTGTAGGAACTAGTAATAGAGGGAGAGGCAGGCCATAATACTATTGTTATCATGCAATGGTAAAATGCATTATTACTATTGCACAATACTATTGTTATAATGCAATGGTAAAATGGAGGTAGGCATAAATATAAAGAAAGCTATGTTATAGAACAAGTACTTATGCCCAAAAGTGTCTGGGACAGCAGAGACAAGAGGTGACCTGAAAGATAATTATTTCACTAGAATAATTTTCGGTGAGTCCCTTGCTCTTAATATAGGTGCTTATTTAGAGACCATAGCAAACAGATGGAGTTTGTTGTAGAAGTGTTATATGGACAACAGAAAATTCAATCTTCAATGGCTTGTTTGATCTTGGCCAGTGCAATAACTGCTCTGGGACATGGCATGCTCCTCTGTGAAAAGAGAGGCTTGAATTTAATCAGCAGTCTCCTGTCTCAGAGAGATGGTATGGTAAGAAAGGAGATCCATAAGAATATATTTTTCAATATATTTAAAGGCTATATTATATTATCATGCATATTTCAATGTATTAAGTGGTATAACATATGCGTATGTAAATATTTATAAATGTATATGCAGATACACACATATATAAAAAGGCTAGTAGAAATGAAATCTTTAGCTTTAATAAGATTATGCAGATTGCCAAAAAAGTCAAATTCTTTAATTATATCAAGTCAGCCGGAAGGTGGAGCAAGATGGCAGAATGGGGCTCTCTAGTGATTGTCTCCCTCGTCCACGAGAAACATCCATTTGAACAACTATCCACACACAGAAATACCTTCACAAGAGCTAAGAAAACCAGGCATGAGGTCACAGTACCTGGTTATGGCACAATAAGAAGAGACACACTGAAGAGGGTAATTATATCAACTCAGTGAAGTGATATTGTTATGCCTTACCAAGCAGAATCTCTGATTGGGTGAAAAAACAGGAAAAACAAAATAATTACAGTTGACCCTTGAATAACATAGGTTCGAACTGCATAGGTCCACTTATAAGTAGATTTTCTTCTGTCTCTTCTTGCTACCCTGAGACAACAAATTTCCCCCTTCCTCTTCCTCCCTCTCCTCAGCCTACTCAACTTGAAGATGACAAAGATGAAAACCTTTATGATGATCCACTTCCACATAATGTATAGTAAATATGTTTTCTCTTCCTTATGATTTTCTTAATAACACTTTCCTTTCTCTACTTACTTTATTGTAAGAATACAGTAAATGATACATAAAACACACAAAATACATGTTACTTGACTATTGATGCTATCAGTAAGGCTTCTGGTCAAAATAGGCTATTAGTAGTTAAGATTTGGGGGACTCAAAAGTTATACACAGATTTTCCACTATGCAGAGGCTGGTTCTCCTAACCCCCTCATTATTCAAGGATCAACTGTATTGCCAAGTTAATGCAGTTCTGTAGACAAAATATTTCAAACCATGGAGTATATAGGGGACAAAATGACAAAAAGCATATTTGGTAGTGCCTGTTTTGTGTATCTGTGGCTTGCATATTTACAGTGTCGATGCCAGCCCTGATAGGTATGCTTTGACAGTTTGATGGCCTTTTCTTTTTCCTTCTTTTTTTTTCAGCTGTACTAGCTGTTCAACTTCTTTATTAGTTATTTTCATTACTTATAAAGTTAAAATTACATATATTCAATGAATTAATTTCAATGAATTAACTTATATGAAATAATGCAATTCTTGCAAAGCACCCTGTAATTTACTACAAGAAAACTGGCTAACGGCCCTTAAGTTTATTAATCTTGCTTGGTTGAACAATTTATTCCCAAAGAATCATTTATTAATCTCAGAGGAAGATCAATTTTAATAAGTACTTTGCATTTCTGCAGTATTTACTTCCAGGATTATATGTTAAATAAGCCACTTAGTAATTTGCATATTGTCTCTATGAAATCAGTACAAGCAGAGACTGCCTTTTAATAAAATAGAGTCTGAGCTGGGTGGGTGGCCATGAGACATTTCTGGGCTTAGTCGGGGAGAGAGGGAAGGGGGAAGCCCAGTCATACACTGCTGAACATGGGAGATGCTTGGCCACAAAAATCAGTTAAAACACAGGCTAAGCCCATATTTAGGAGATCAGTGAAGCAAGATCACCAAAGTTTCTTGAAATAAGGATTTGGCTTTTGACACACACACAAACACACACACGTATATGTATAGATATGTATATATGTATAAATAATATATAAATATATTTAACAAAAGGCAAATTGTACACGTATTTATTATCTTTCCATAAATGTGGAAATAAATATATTTAAAAAACATAAAAACTTTGTTGGACCTCTTAACGGTAATTTAAGAGTTTGTATTATTTTGTTTTGAGTTACTTGTGGTGAGGAGGCACCATGTTCTTTTCACTGCTTAGACTGTTCCAAGATTTTCCTTTAACTTTGAATGTCACGATGGCCCAGACACATGCCAAGTGTTGGCCTTCTTTTCCTGACTAAGTTGGGTTCAGGATTGTTTGTGATGTTGAGGAGTTGATCTCATTTTGAATCGGGTTAGCTCTAATGCTCAGGTGTTAAGTTTACTGAATCATATTTCTGTATCTATCCAAGACCATCCAGGAAGTCAACTCAAAAAGGAAAATCAGTCTGTCTTTCAGGTGCAGTGTGGTTTTGCCTGACTCTTAATTTATGGGCTGCCCAAAGATGAGACAGGTCTCTGGGGATAGGGCTGTATCTCTCTGACTGATTTTGGATTTAGTGATCTGCTACTTGGGACTGAAGGTATTCTGCCTCGATCCTGCCAATCGTTCCATCCTGCCAATCATGCTGAAATTGGGATTCCTGTGAGATTCAAATGATTTGTCCCAAGATGCATGGAAACTATAGATAAAATCCAAAAGACAGCTATGACTTTTTAAATCCCAAATTACTGTTTGACGCTATTGAAATTTTCCCTGGCTACCTTATCCACTACCATCATAGTCCCCAACTTCCCAGGGCTATGGAACTGATGTTGTAAGTAAATGTAAGTTGAAATATAACATTAGTCAACAATGCTTCATGTAGGAATGCTTAGGGTATGTGTGTATGTTTGTGTATTTCCAGAAGAATGTGTTAATTTCCTTCTTGATCATATTTAGATTAAAATTCTCTTAAAATTTATATTGAAAATTGCTGACTCCTTAAGCCAAGCAAGAACCCATTTCCTATGCTAATTAGAGATGCTTGAATGATTCATTGTATGCCTAACATAACACCCATCTTTGGTGTAACTTCAGTCACCCAATTCAAAAAGTTATATATGATAGAAAAAAGACCAACAAATCCAGAGTTTAAAGTTTACGTGGTTAAGTTTTCAGGTTTGCCATCATTCTCAGCAAACTATTGCAAGGACAAAAACCAAACACCGCATGTTCTTACTCATAGGTGGGAATTGAACAATGAGAACACATGGACACAAGAAGGGGAACATCACACACCGGGGCCTGTCGTGGGGTGGGGGGAGGGGGAGGGATAGCATTAGGAGATATACCTAATGTAAATGACGAGTTAATGGATGCAACACAGCAACATGGCATATGTATACATATGTAACAAACCTGCACGTTGTGCACATGTACCCTAGAACTTAAAGTATAATAATAAAAAAAAGTTTTCAGGTTTGCTGAAAAAATTAGTTTTATCACTAGTTTTATTTCGCTAGTAGTTTCAATAGAAGAGGTGTTTTATTTAAGTGATTCTTCTCTTTCACTAATACTTCCTATTTAAGTTACTGAACTTAAAAAATAATATTTGGATGAAATTTCTAGTTCTATGAATGTGTAATATACTCCTGTTTAATAATCTAAATGACCTTATGATGATATCAATTACTGTACTTCAAGGACTATTTGAGGGTTTCAGGCTATTTGCTGCTATGCTAAATGGCTCCAGGCTACTACGGCTTTCAAAGCTTTTGTGTCAGCATTTGGCAGGTTTTCAGGTCACTTCTACTGTTTTCAAGGCAATTGACTGTAGCAACTGTCCCTACCTTCAATTCAACTGCTTTGAATCTTCCAGAAGCTGCAAAGGCAGATAACCAAGCTGGTTAACAGTGTCTTTGACTGCATTATTCTTGTAAATAAATAGGCTTAGAGTTAATTTCTAAACATAGCTGAGAAATTAAATTAGGTGTATCTAAGAGAATTTCCCTTAGAATGTGCAGATGAGTAGAACAGCCATTTTTTTTTTCTCCCAGAAGTCCTTCTGCCTTTCCAGTTCTGTTGCAGGTGGTTGAACTTGTCCGAGGCCTGCCCACCCCATACTTAGGGAGAGGTGTGGCATGCTGCAGCAGTGAGACCAGGAGCTCCGGAGCAGATCTCAGCTGGAATTCTGGCTCCGTCATAGTCCTGCTGTGCAACATTGGGCTAGTTACTTTGCCTCCCAAGACTTAGTTTTGACAACTGGAAAATGAGAATGAAAATAAAACCTCTCCAGAGTTGTAGCGAGGATAAAGTGAGGTGTGTGATACAACAATAGCTAATATTTATCGAGCGCTTATTAGGTGCCAGGTACGTAGTTAGCACTCATATAAACATTAGGTCCTTCAGACGTACCTGGCTTTGTGCCCTTACTAGTTGAACTTCACACAATCAGTCTGCTGAAGTCCACACACAATATTCAAATGCCATAGAAAAGAAGGTAGAAGAGAATGAATCAGAAAGAACCTACCATGTACAGATACTAGGTTGGACATTTTCCTTGTATCATCTAATCATCTCAGCAATGCTTCGAAATAGGACCTATTATCCTTATTGCACAGATGAGAAAAATAAAGACCCAGATAGGTTGTTTTTATACTTTCCTACGTATTAGAGGGAGCCGTGAGATGAATAGAACAAATTTAGCACAATTGAGAAACTCAATCCTGTAAGAGTAAATTATAACACTAACATTAACAATCTAGTTAATTCCTTGTTTAGTAAATCATCAAAGAAGTTTTTCTTTTATAGAGTTAAAATAATGAAGTGAAAAACATCATCTTTTCCATACATTAAAAATAAAGATATCAAATTCATTTTATTCTGTTTGACATAGATGTTCTCGTAGATCCTTGCATGAGTTAAAGGCTAAATTACTTTTTTTCAATCATAATACATACTGAGGCTTGTTTTTGCTGCCAAAACTGTTCTTTGGTTTAGAAAATTTCCCCTAGGTCATTTAGAAGTATTCCCAGAAAAGATGAAAATGCCAAAAACCTGGTCAAATTTTTTTTCAAGTATTGCACCAAGAATGGAAGGAATCCGGGAATCAAGAATGTATATTTATCTGGTTGCAAGGAGAAGAGGGGTTATCTGAATGCCAGCGACTCAGTGTTTGTCACTTTCATAGTTGACAATTTCCCCCTCGTTCTCTTGCTAACTTCATGTATTGTGTGGTCAATTTTCCAACCTTTCTCTTATTTTAAATATTACTTATTCTCAGGCGGAAAAGCCTCTTGAGAAAAATTTCTTTTTGGGCTCCACCTTTTCAAAGGAAAGTGCAAATTAGTTGTAGCAAATTTGTAATTCTATTTCCATCTTTAAAAAGAGATATTATTCAGGCATTGGTCTGCTCTGTCACCTTGAATCAGAAAATGGCTCCATCTGGTTTATTTAGTTTTTGATAGCTCACACTTCAAAGAAAGGCAAGGGTTATATCCGCTGACAATTGTGTAAGCCTGCGCAAGCAAAAATAAAATTCTCCCCCGACCCCCGCAGTGATCAGTATGTATATCCTGAAGCAGGAGAAAGCTGATGACGTCTGTTGTGGTTTGCTGACTCCCAGCAGGCTTCATTCTGCAGGCTTGACTCAGGAAAAAGAATCCCACCAGCTTCAAGTGAATTCTGCCCAAGTAAAGATTACTAATACAAATATCATGGAATTGGCTCTGGTGCTGCTTTTGGGCTTAAAATTCTGTGTGCGTGTCTGTGTGCTTGCACACGTACACGCACACGCATATATGTGTATTTTAACTTCAACATCGATATTCAACGTAATTTTTCAGAATTCCTTGCAGCTCTCATAGGGTATTTAAGCTTTCAGGCAAAGTTCTGGCAGCAGCTCCTCACATGCAATCGGCCAGACGTTCCACTGATATCTGTGTGGACTCTCCAAGGTCAGATTCAGTTCTGAATTGATGGAAAAATAACAGAGGGCCAATGTGTTTTACGCATTGTCATTTCAAAGAGATGAGGCTTTGAATAGAGGTACAAATCACCAATATTTCATTTTATGTGTAATTTTTACTCTACCTACTTTCAAAAGAACCCCAGTTCTGTTTCTACCCCGGCCTTGGTTATGCAACTGCTGTCTGCTTTGGCTGCCCCCTCTGCAATATAGGGATAATAATACTGCCACCTATGTCATGTCATAGAGGTGCTTTAAAACTAATGAATAGAGAACTACAGGAGCCTCTAGCTCTTTGAAATATAACCAGCTTACAGCTTGCAAGCTATTTTCAACAGGGCTAAAAGTTCACACACTAGATATGTTAATAGTTCTACAAAAACTTGCAAATAAGAGTGTGTTCATAAATTAAATAATTCAAATTAACTTTAAAATGAGTGGAATATATATCATGTGTATACATGCACACAGAAACAGGAAATGCATATAAATTGTTGAAATATTTGTTAAAAAATATCTTCATAGAAAAACTTAGAAAATTATATCACAAATACCCTGTACAAGTTAATATTGACAAAGATTATCACCTTAGTGGTATTGTGAGTGATTTTATTTTCATTGATATAGCTTTCCTCTATATTTCAAGTTTCCTAAAATGAACATGTCATTCTTGCAAAATTATGAAAATAATCTCAATAAATATCTTTTAAAAAACTAACTTGAAAGGGGGAAATTACTCAGGTAAAATTTAAATGGGGCTTTTAAGGAAAAATTCCTTTGAATTCTAAAAGAACAAGTTTGGGGTGAGACATAAATGAATTGGTCAAATTTAGTGCCAGTCCTAGAATACTTGGGTTTGAACTTAGTTTACAACAGGAAGAACCGCTCAGAGAAAACCTATCATTTAAGAAAATATTTAGTCCTTGCCCAGACCTAAAGTTTTCATATTTATCCACAAGTTTGTACAGTATGTCAGGAAGCAGTTACTTCTAGCCTTGTCTCTTCAATGTAGCACACTACTGTCAATAAATTTAATGCACACGAAAAGTACAAAAGGAAGATTCTGGCAGTCAAGTTAACCCTACTGCCCATTATTCCTGACATGCTGGATTGCTTCGAGTTCTTCTCATCTGCTGAAAGCCCTATCAACTCCAGGTTTTCTCATGTCCTGTTCCACCTTCCTGGAACACTCCTTCACCAGGCTAATTCCTACACGTATCTTAGGTATGAGTTTGCTCTTATGTTCCAGAAATCACATCTTGGTCCCCAAGGCCAAGTTCAACGGCCTCCCATGTGCTACTGTGGCCACCCCACATTCATTCCTAACAGCATGCTTATCTTGTCCACCACCTCTGGCCTGAAAGTCACTTGAGAGCGGAGATCCCTGTGCCTGGCACATAGTTTAGTGTGACACTTTGGATCAGGACTGCTGTGACTTCTCTCAGTTCCATAACTATTCCAGTCTACAGGATTTGGAAAGAAAGAGGAACACCTTTGTCTTGGCCATTGTCAGCATGCCTGTGTTTTTCTTCCACAAAAGAACTGGTGAAAAGAAGGAGAAACTTTAAAGATTTATTATGAGGAAATTTTGATTTAGCTTATTGCATAACTTATTTAGTAAAATTTGTTATTCATAAAAAAATACCTTGGCCTGTCTTAGAGAAGTGACTACATACACATAGGAATTTTAAAATAAAAAAGATGAAAAAAGTTTTTTTTCCCCTCTGACTATTGTAATTCTCAAAGGCAAACACTTGTGTTAGTTCTACACATGTTACATCAAAGATAACATGATTTCTCCTTCTTCTTTGAAAAATACCCTGCATCTGTAAACCATTAGCTTTCGTCTGGTGGTCTTGTTATATTGGATGAAATCCTTGAATGTTTCATGTCTCCATTTTTCTAACTGTAGAATGGGGCTAATTCTGCTCTCCACAGTGAAAGATAACAGAAAAAAGTTCATGTTTGAATACAGATGTTTGCTATTAATTAAAAGGGGGGAAATTACTTTCATATTAGAGTTTATTGTCAGAACACTCTCTTTAACTAGAGGAATTATATTCTTCTTTTCCTTATATGTTTGACTACCTCTTTCTGTATGTAGGCTTTAACACTTCCCTTCCTCATTTCTCAGCTAAAATGACTGAGCTGCTGAAAACCTTGCTGCTCTCCTGTTCTCCTGATAGTGAGGGAGTTCTCAGGAGATCTGGTTGTTTGGTAAGTGTCTGACATTTCCCCTGCTCACTCTTTCTCCTGCTGCCATGTAAGAGAATGGATTCTATAAGCACTCACAGGGAAATAGAAAAGACATTAAACACATATTCCTCGTTCCTTAACTTTTCCATATCATGACTGCAACTATTTGTGAATGGTTGTATTAGTAAAATGAGTAAGTTAGGACAAAGGAAGCAGTGACTTAAGCCAGTCCAGCTCCATAACTCTAGGCTGAGTCAGCATGTCCATTTTTTGCAGGAATCTTGATTTCTCCTCTTACCCAGACATTGCTGATAAAGAGTAGGATCTAAAATTCACAGTGTGGGGGCCAGAAACAGATCAAGAGAGAGCAAACCAGCAGAGACACCTCAAGAAAGGGAGCCTAGGAAGAAGGGAGCCTGGAGGCCTAATTTTGCTGTGAGTGGTTCCTCCTGAGCATTCAAAGGGTGGGAAGGGAGCTTGTAGGCAGGGGCTGGGAAGGGAGTGGGTGCTCTGTCTGGGGAGGGGTGCTGAGAGACAGGAGGGAAGCAGCATAGTTTGAGCCAGGGCAAGTAGAACAAGGAAGTTAAAGGGGTTGTTCAGGAGCCTTTTTGTATATTTCACTTGTAATTACATTGCCACAAATGTGTTCTTGACTTAGAATCGATCTTCTACCTCGTGAGAAAGACATAAACAAAACAAAGATCCTCAAGTTTCACCCAGGGGAGATGTACAAACTATATTCTAAATCATTATCATTTTCCAAGAACTCCAAGTCCCCAAATCCAATAAAACTTATACTCTGAAACTTCTCCTTTTTTTTTGTTTTAAGTAAAAATCTGACCACAGATACCTGCACATCCTATGATTCCAAGTGCAGCCACTCTGGAATGTCAGCGATGAGGCTCTAATTGAAGCTGTTTCATCAGGTTAGCAACTATGCATAGTGCCTGCCCCATGTTAGTTCAGGCACTTAGAAATATACACATACTGGGATGCTTCCCTGCACTGATTAGTCCACATTAAACCTCTGGTTAGCCAACACCGACAAGTTTGGGTAAAATGTGAGAACATTACTTAAGAGGCCAAGATCCACATTTGGACACAAGTATATTGCAATCATGCAAAAGAGATATTCCAAGGCCAGGCAGCCCAAGTAACCATTCATAATAAGAGATCTGTTTAAAAATGAAAATTATATTTTCTATAACTTTGGCTATATGATCCAATAGATTCTATAATGTTTCAAATAATGATAAATGGGCTCAAGATGACCTAAAGTCAGTCTTACTCTGCAAAGAAAGATGCTCCACGTTTTATATTCACTTGAGAAGGGAGGTGACTAAATCTTGGGAACCTTTGAGTATTGCCATTTGGATAAGAGAGCAGCCTGATACCCTGCTCTCTTGATACCCTGATACCCTGATCTCTGCTATAAAGAAAGGGAAAGGAAAATAAAGTCTTTTGAGGTTTGTTTTGTTTTGTTTTGTTTTTTTGATGGGGAGAAAGGGGGAGTTAGAAGTGAAAACCCATTATTAAGAATCTCTTTTTTCATCCAACATCTGAAAAAGTAAAACAAACAAATGAACCCCAGCTTGTGTCTATGTCTGAGGTGTGAGTAAAATGTAAATCTCCAAGGCTGAGGGTCTTGGTAATGTCAACAGTTGACTAGAGAGCATGTAATTTCCCACACGGCATGAAGTATAATCCCAGGTGAATGAACCTCCCTTGCAGTAATTCTGGGAGCACCCGGTGCAGCCTTTCAACAGCCCATCAGAACTCAGACTTATTTCTCTGTCCTGACCTTGTTCTAACCCTGGAACCAGGACTATGGTTCTTTTTCCTTAATCTCTAATTTTGACCTCTGATATGGTTTGGCTCTGTGTTCCCACCCAAATCTCATGTCAAATTGTAATCCCCATGTGTCAAGGGAGGGACCCAGTGGTTGCAGTGAGCTGAGATCACGCCATTGCACTCCAGCCTTGGTGACAGAGCGAGACTCTGTCTCACAGAAAAAGAAAAAAACAAGCAAAAATACATCTAAAAGGGGAGCAAACCCTGTTTCTACTAAAAATGCAAAAATTAGCCAGGTGTTGTTGCATGTGCTTGTAATCCCAGCTACTCGGGAAGCTGAGGCAGGAGAATCGCTTGAACCCAGGAGGTGGAGGTTGCAGTGAGCCGAGACTGCACCACTGCACTCCAGCCTGAGTAACAGGAGTGAAACTCCGTCTCAAAAAACAAAACCAAAAAAAAAAAAAAAAAAAAGAAGGGAATAATGGGATGACATCCAATGCCTAGCCATACCCCCTGCAGGTTAGAATTCCTAAAACCTGGTATAGATTGTTTCGAAGTATTGGCTTTAAACAGCAAACACCAAACATAGTCTCAGACCACAGCGCAATAAGAATAGAATACAATAAAAAAAATTGCTCAAAACCATGCAATTACATGGAAATTAAACAACATGCTCTTGAATGACTTTTGGATAAGTAAGAGAGAATCAAGAAGTTCTTTGAAACAAATGAGAACAAAGATATGACATGGCAATGTTTCAGAGGGAAATTCATACCACTAAATGCCCACATAGAAAAGTTAGAAAGATCTCAAATTAACAACCTAATACCACAACTGAAAGAATTAGAGAAGCAAGAACAAATCAACCCCAAAGCTAGCAGAAGACAAGTAATCGAAATCAGAGCTGAGCTGAAAGTAGTCAAGGAATGAAAAACCATTCAAAAGATCAGTGATTCCAGGAGTTAGTTTTTTGAAAATATTAATGATAGGCCGCTAGCTAGACTAATGAAGAAGAAAAGAGAGATGACACAAATAAACACAATTTATTCAGTTAGGAAAAGAAGAAGTCAAATTGTCCCTGTTTGCAGATGACATGATTGTATATCTAGAAAACCCCATCGTCTTAGCCCAAAATCTCCTTAAGCTGATAGGCAACTTCAGCAAAGTCTCAGGATACAAAATCAATGTGCAAAAATCACAAGCATTCTTATACATCAATAACAGACAAACGGAGCCAAATCATGAGTGAATGCCCATTCACAATTGCTTCAAAGAGAATAAAATACCTAGGAATCCAACTTACAAGGGATGTGAAGGACCTCTTCAAGGAGAACTACAAACCACTGCTCAAGGAAATAAAAGAGGATACAGACAAATGGAAGAACATTCCATGCTCATGAGTAGGAAGAATCAATATCGTGAAAATGGCCATACTGCCCAAGGTAATTTATAGATTCAATGCCATCCCCATCAAGCTACCAATGACTTTCTTCACAGAATTAGAAAAAACTACTTTAAAGTTCATATGGAACCAAAAAAGAGCCCACATCGCCAAGTCAATCCTAAGCCAAAAGAACAAAGCTGGAGGCATCATGCTACCTGACTTCAAACTATACTACAAGGCTACAGTAACCAAAACAGCATGGTACTGGTACCAAAACAGAGATATAGACCAATGGAACAGAACAGAGCCCTCAGAAATAATGCCACATATCTACAACCATCTGATCTTTGACAAACCTGAAAAAAACAAGAACTGGGGAAAGGATTCCCTATTTAATAAATGGTGCTGGGAAAACTGGCTAGCCATATGTAGAAAGCTGAAACTGGATCCCTTCCTTACACCTTATATAAAAATTAATTCAAGATGGATTAAAGACTTAAATGTTAGACCTAAAACCATAAAAACCCTAGAAGAAAACCTAGGCAATACCATTAAGGGCATAGGCATGGGCAAGGACTTCATGTCTAAAACACCAAAAGCAATGGCAACAAAAGCCAAAATTGACAAATGGGATCTAATTAAACTAAAGAGCTTCTGCACAGCAAAAGAAACTACCATCAGAGTGAACAGGCAACCTACAGAATGGGAGAAAATTTTTGCAATCTACTCATCTGACAAAGGGCTAATATCCAGAATCTACAATGAACTCCAACAAATTTACAAGAAACAAACAAACAACCCCATCGAAAAGTGGGCGAAGGACGTGAACAGACACTTCTCAAAAGAAGACATTTATGCAGCCAAAAGACACATGAAAAAATGCTCATCCTCACTGGCCATCAGAGAAATGGAAATCAAAACCACAATGAGATACCATCTCACACTAGTTAGAATGGCAATCATTAAAAAGTCAGGAAACAACAGGTGCTGGAGAGGATGTGGAGAAATAGGAACACTTTTACACTGTTGGTGGGACTCTACACTAGTTCAACCATTGTGGACGTCAGTGTGGCGATTCCTCAGGGATCTAGAACTAGAAATACCATTTGACCCAGCAATCCCATTACTGGGTATATACCCAAAGGATTATAAGACATGCTGCTATAAAGACACATGCACATGTATGTTTATTGCGGCACTATTCACAATAGCAAAGACTTGGAACCAACCCAAATGTCCAACAATGATAGACTGGATTAAGAAAATGTGGCACATATACACCATGGAATACTATGCAGCCGTAAAAAATGATGAGTTCATGTCCTTTGTAGGGACATGGATGAAGCTGGAAACCATCATTCTCAGCAAACTATTGCAACGACAAAAAACCAAACACTGCACGTTCTCACTCATAGGTGGGAATTGAACAATGAGAACACATGGACACAGGAAGGGGAACATCACACTCTGGGGCCTGTTGTGGGGTGGGGGGATGGGGGAGGGATAGCATTAGGAGATATACCTAATGTTAAATGACGAGTTACTGGGTGCAGCACACCAACATGGCACATGTATACATATGTAACTAACCTGCACGTCATGCACATGTACCCTACAACTTAAAGTATAATAAAAAAAAAAGAAGAAATGACAAAGAGGATGCTACCATTGACCTCACAGAAATAAAAATAACCATCAGAAACTACTATGAACACCTCTATGCACACAAACTAGAAAACCCAGAAGAGATGAATAAATTGCTGGACATATACACCCTCCCAAGACTGAACCAGGAAGAAATTGATTTTCTTTTTTTTTTTTTTCACCAAGAAAGGGACATTTATTGAGTACCTCATATGACACAGTGCTAAAAGTCTGATCTTCCACACAGACTTGTCAGCTACATGTCATCCTCATTTTACACAAAGGGGAACTAAGATTAGGAGAGATTAAGTAACTTATTGAGGGTGTCACAACTAGTTCCTTCCTGTATGTTATACCAATAATAAACTGGGAAGAAATTGAGGAGGAGGGACTCTTCCCTAACTCATTCTATGAGGCCCATTTCATCCTGATACCAAAACCTGACAAAGGCACAACAAAAAAAGAAAACGTCAGGCCAATATCCTTGATGAACACTGACGTAAAAATCCTCAACAAAATAGTTCAAACTGAATCCAGCAGCACATCAAAAGGCTAATCCATCATAATCAAGTAGGCTTCATCTCCAGGATGCAAAGTTTGTTCAACATATACAAATCCATAAATGTGATGCATTACATAAACAGAAGTAAAGACAAAAGCCACATGACTATCTCAATAGATGCAGAAAAGGCTTTTGATAAAATCCAACATCCCTTTATGTTAAAAACTCCCAATAAACTATGTATTGAAGGAACATGCCTTAATATAATTAGAACCATCTATGACAGACCGTCAGCCAATATTACACTGAATAGGGAAAAGCTGGAATCATTCCTCTTGAAAACTGACAGAAGACAAGAATGCCCTCTTTCTCTACTTCTATTCAACATAGTATTGAAAGTCCTGGCCATAGCAATCAGGCAAGAGAAAGAAATAAGGCATCTAAATTGGAAAAGAGGAAGTCAAACTGTCCCTGTTTGCAGACAACATGATTCTCTATCTAGGAAAACCCATAGTCTCAGCCCAAAAGCTCCTTCAGCTGATAAACAACTTCAGCAAAATCTCAGGATACAAAATCAATGTAGAAAAATCACCAGCTTTTCTATACACTAACAATAGCTAAGCTGAGAGCCAAATTAGGAAGGCAATCCCATTCACAATTGCCACAAAGAGAATAAAATACCCAGGAATACAGCTAACAGGGGAGATAAAATATCTCTACAATGGGAATTACAAAACACTGCTCAAAGAAACTAGATATGACAAACAAATGGAAAAACATCCCATTCTCATGGATAGGAAGAATCAATATCATTGAAATGGCCATGCTTCCCAAAGAAATTTACAAATTCAATATTATTTCTATCAAACTACAAATGACATTCTTCACAGAACCAGAAAAAATGATTTAAAAATTCATATGGAACCAAAAAAGAGCCCAGATAGCCAAGACAATCCATTTTCTTTTATTCTTATTATTATACTTTAAGTTTTAGGGTACATGTGCACAATGTACAGGTTAGTTACATATGTATACATGTGTCATGCTGGTGTGCTGCACCCATTAACTCGTCATTTAGCATTAGGTATATCTCCTAATGCTATCCCTCCCCCCTCCCCCCACCCCACAACAGGCCCCAGAGTGTGATGTTCCCCTTCCTGTGTCCATATGTTCTCATTGTTCAATTCCCACCTATGAGTGAGAACATGCAGTGTTTGGTTTTTTGTCCTTGTGATAGTTTACTGAGAATGATGATTTCCAATTTCATCCATGTCCCTACAAAGGACATGATCTCATCATTTTTTATGGCTGCATAGTATTCCATGGTGTATATGTGCCACATTTTCTTAATCCAGTCTATCATTGTTGGACATTTGGGTTGGTTCCAAGTCTTTGCTATTGTGAATAGTGCCGCAATAAACATACACGTGCATGTGTCTTTATAGCAGTATGATTTATAGTCCTTTGGGTATATACTCAGTAATGGGATGGCTGTGTCAAATGGTATTTCTAGTTCTAGATCCCTGAGGAATCGCCACACTGACTTCCACAATGGTTGAACTAGTTTAGAGTCCCACCAACAGTGTAAAAGTGTTCCTATTTCTCCACATCCTCTCCAGCACCTGTTGTTTCCTGACTTTTTAATGATTGCCATTCTAACTGGTGTGAGACAGTATCTCATTGTGGTTTTGATTTGCATTTCTCTGATGGCCAGTGAAGGTGAGCATTTTTTCATGTGTTTTTTGGCTGCACAAATGTCTTCTTTTGAGAAGTGTCTGTTCGTGTCCTTCACCCACTTTTCAATGGGGTTGTTTGTCTTTTTCTTGTAAATTTGTTGGAGTTCATTGTAGATTCTGGATATTAGCCCTTTGTCAGATGAGTAGGTTGTGAAAATTTTCTCCCATTTTGTAGGTTGCCTGTTCACTCTGATGGTAGTTTCTTTTGCTGTGCAGAAGCTCTTTAGTTTAATGAGATCCCATTTGTCAATTTTGGCTTTTGTTGCCATTGCTTTTGGTGTTTTAGACATGAAGTCCTTGCCCATGCCTATGTCCTGAATGGTAATGCCTAGGTTTTCTTCTACGGTTTTTACGGTTTTAGGTCTAACATTTAAGTCTTTAATCCATTTTGAATTAATTTTTGTATAAGGTGTAAGGAAGGGATCCAGTTTCAGCTTTCTACATATGGCTAGCCAGTTTTCCCAGCACCATTTATTAAATAGGGAATCCTTTACCCATTGCTTGTTTTTCTCAGGTTTGTCAAAGATCAGATAGTTGTAGATATGCAGCGTTATTTCTGAGAGCTCTGTTCTGTTCCATTGATCTATATCTCTGTATTGGTACCAGTACCATGCTGTTTTGGTTACTGTAGCCTTGTAGTATAGTTTGAAGTCAGGTAGCGTGATGCCTCCAGCTTTGTTCTTTTGGCTTAGGATTGACTTGGCGATGTGGGCTCTTTTTTGGTTCCATATGAACTTTAAAGTAGTTTTTTCTAATTCTGTGAAGAAAGTCATTGGTAGCTTGATGGGGATGGCATTGAATCTATAAATTACCTTGGGCAGTATGGCCATTTTCACGATATTGATTCTTCCTACCCATGAACATGGAATGTTCTTCCACTTGTTTGTATCCTCTTTTATTTCCTTGAGCAGTGGTTTGTAGTTCTCCTTGAAGAGGTCCTTCACATCCCTTGTAAGTTGGATTCCTAGGTATTTTATTCTCTTTGAAGCAATTGTGAATGGGAGTTCACTCATGATTTGGCTCTCTGTTTGTCTGTTATTGGTGTATAAGAATGCTTGTGATTTTTGTACATTGATTTTGTATCCTGAGACTTTGCTGAAGTTGCTTATCAGCTTAAGGAGATTTCGAGCTGAGACAATGGGGTTTTCTAGATATACAATCATGTCATCTGCAAACAGGGACAATTTGACTTCCTCTTTTCCTAATTGAATACCCTTTATTTCCTTCTCCTGCCTAATTGCCCTGGCCAGAACTTCCAACACTATGTTAAATAGGAGTGGTAAGAGAGGGCATCCCTGTCTTGTGCCCGTTTTCAAAGGGAATGCTTCCAGTTTTTGCCCATTCAGTATGATATTAGCTGTGGGTTTGTCATAGATAGCTCTTACTATTTTGAGATATGTCCCATCAATACCTAATTTATTGAGAGTTTTTAGCATGAAGGGTTGTTGAATTTTGTCAAAGGCCTTTTCTGCATCTATTGAGATAATCATGTGATTTTTGTCTTTGGTTCTGTTTATATGCTGGATTACATTTATTGATTTGTGTATATTGAACCAGCCTTGCATCCCAGGGATGAAGCCCACTTGATCATGGTGGATAAGCTTTTTGATGTGCTGCTGGATTCGGTTTGCCAGTATTTTATTGAGGATTTTTGCATCAATGTTCATCAAGGATATTGGTCTAAAATTCTCTTTTTTGGTTGTGTCTCTGCCCTGCTTTGGTATCAGGATGATGCTGGCCTTATAAAATGAGTTAGGGAAGATTCCCTCTTTTTCTATTGATTGGAATAGTTTCAGAAGGAATGGTACCAGTTCCTCCTTGTACCTCTGGTAGAATTCGGCTGTGAATCCATCTGGTCCTGGACTATTTTTTGTTGGTAAGCTATTGATTATTGCCACAATTTCAGAGCCTGTTATTGGTCTATTCAGAGATTCAACCTCTTCCTGGTTTAGTCTTGGGAGGGTGTATGTGTCCAGGAATTTATCCATTTCTTCTAGATTTTCTAGTTTATTTGCATAGAGGTGTTTGTAGTATTCTCTGATGGTAGTTTGTACTTCTGTGGGATCGGTGGTGATATCCCCTTTATCATTTTTTATTGCGTCTATTTGATTCTTTTCTCTTTTCTTCTTTATTAGTCTTGCTAGCAGTCTACTGATTTTGTTGATCCTTTCAATAAACCAGCTTCTGGATTCATTAATTTTTTGAAGGGTTTTTTGTGTCTCTATTTCCTTCAGTTCTGCTCTGATTTTAGTTATTTCTTGCCTTCTGCTAGCTTTTGAATGTGTTTGCTCTTGCTTTTCTAGTTCTTTTAATTGTGATGTTAGGGTGTCAATTTTGGATCTTTCATGCTTTCTCTTGTGGGCATTTAGTGCTATAAATTTCCCTCTACACACTGCTTTGAATGCATCCCAGAGATTCTGGTATGTTGTGTCTTTGTTCTCGTTGGTTTCAAAGGACATCTTTATTTCTACCTTCATTTCGTTATGTACCCAGTAGTCATTCAGGAGCAGGTTGTTCAGTTTCCATGTAGTTGAGTGGTTTTGAGTGAGTTTCTTAATCCTGAGTTCTAGTTTGATTGCACTGTGGTCTGAGAGACAGTTTGTTATAATTTCTGTTCTTTTACATTTGCTGAGGAGAGCTTTACTTCCAAGTATGTGGTCAATTTTGGAATAGGTGTGGTGTGGTGCTGAAAAAAATGTATATTGTGTTGATTTGGGGTGGAGAGTTCTGTAGATGTCTATTAGGTCCACTTGGTGCAGAGCTGAGTTCAATTCCTGGGTATCCTTGTTGACTTTCTGTCTCATTGATCTGTCTAATGTTGACAGTGGGGTGTTAAAGTCTCCCATTATTAATTTGTGGGAGTCTAAGTCTCTTTGTAGGTCACTAGGGACTTGCTTTATGAATCTGGGTGCTCCTGTATTGGGTGCATATATATTTAGGAGAGTTAGCTCTTCTTGTTGAATTGATCCCTTTACCATTATGTAATGGCCTTCTTTGTCTCTTTTGATCTTTGTTGGTTTCAGGTCTGTTTTATCAGAGACTAGGATTGCAACCCCTGCCTTTTTTTGTTTTCCATTTGCTTGGTAGATCTTCCTCTATCCTTTTATTTTGATCCTATGTGTGTCTCTGCACGTGAGATGGGTTTCCTGAATACAGCACACTGATGGGTCTTGACTCTTTATCCAATTTCTCAGTCTGTGTCTTTTAATTGGAGCATTTAGTCCATTTATATTTAAAGTTAATATTGTTATGTGTGAATTTGATCCTGTCATTATGATGTTAGCTGGTTATTTTGCTCATTAGTTGATGCAGTTTCTTCCTAGCCTTGACGGTCTTGACAATTTGGCTTGATTTTGCAGTGGCTGGTACCAGTTGTTCCTTTCCATGTTTAGAGCTTCCTTCAGGAGCTCTTTTAGGCCAGGCCTGGTGGTGACAAAATCTCTCAGCATTTCCTTGTCTGTGAAATATTTTATTTCTCCTTCACTTACGAAGCTTAGTTTCACTGGATATGAAATTCTGGGTTGAAGATTCTTTTCTTTAAGAATATCGAATATTGGCCCCCACTCTCTTCTGGCTTATAGAGTTTCTGCCGAGAGATCCGCTGTTAGTCTGATGGGCTTCCCTTTGTGGGTAACCCGACCTTTCTCTCTGGCTGCCCTTAACATTTTTTCCTTCATTTCAACTTTGGTGAATCTGACAATTATGTGTCTTGGAGTTGCTCTTCTCGAGGAGTATCTTTGTGGCGTTCTCTGTATTTCCTGAATCTGAATGTTGGCCTGCCTTGCTAGATTGGGGAAGTTCTCCTGGATAATATCCTGCAGAGTGTTTTCCAACTTGGTTCCATTCTCCCCATCACTTTCAGGTACACCAGTCAGATGTAGATTTGGTCTTTTCACATAGTCCCATATTTCTTGGAGGCTTTGTTCATTTCTTTTTATTCTTTTTTCTCTAAACTTCTCTTCTCGCTTCATTTCATTCATTTCATCTTCCATCACTGATACCCTTTCTTCCAATTGATCGCATCGGCTCCTGAGGCTTCTGCATTCTTCACGTAGTTCTCGAGCCTTGGCTTTCAGCTCCATCAGCTCCTTTAAGCACTTCTCTGTATTGGTTATTCTAGTTATACATTTGTCTAAATTTTTTTCAAAGTTTTCAGCTTCTTTGCCTTTGGTTTGAATTTCATCCTGTAGCCCGGAGTAGTTTGATCGTCTGAAGCATTCTTCTCTCAACTCGTCAAAGTCATTCTCCGTCCAGCTTTGTTCCGTTGCTGGTGAGGAACTGCGTTCCTTTGGAGGAGGAGAGGTGCTCTGCTTTTTAGAGTTTCCAGTTTTTCTGCTCTGTTTTCTCCCCATCTTTGTGGTTTTATCTACTTTTGGTCTTTGATGATGGTGATGTACAGATGGGTTTTTGGTGTGGATGTCCTTTCTGTTTGTTAGTTTTCCTTCTAACAGACAGGACCCTCAGCTGCAGGTCTGTTGGAGTTTGCTAGAGGTCCACTCCAGACTCTGTTTGCCTGGATATCAGCAGCGGTGGCTGCAGAACAGCGGATTTTCATGAACTGCAAATGCTGCTGTCTGATTGTTCCTCTGGAAGTTTTGTCTCAGAGGAGTACCCGGCTGTGTGAGGTGTCAGTCTGCCCCTACTGGGGGGTGCCTCCCAGTTAGGCTGCTCAGGGGTCAGGGGTCAGGGACCCACTTGAGGAGGCAGTCTGCCCATTCTCAGATCTCCAGCTGCGTGCTGGGACAACCACTGCTCTCTTTAAAGCTGTCAGACAGGGACATTTAAGTCTGCAGAGGTTACTGCTGTCTTTTTGTTTGTCTGTGCCCTGCCCCCAGAGGTGGAGCCTACAGAGGCAGGCAGGCCTCCTTAGCCAAGGCAATCTTAAGCAAAAAGAACAAAGCTACAGGCATCATGTTACTTGACTTCAAACTATATTACAGGGCTACAGTAACCAAAACAGCATGGTACTAGTACAAAAAAACAGATACATAGATACATGGAACAAAATAGAAAGCCCAGAAATAAGGCCATACACCTTTAGCCATCTGATCTTCAACCATCTGACAAAAACAAGACAGGGGAAAAGACTCACTATTCAATAAATGGTGCTGGGATAGCTGGCTAGCCATGTGCAGAAGATTAAAACTGGACTACTTTCTTATGCTATATACAAAAATCAACTCAATATGGATGAAAGACTTAAACATAAAACCCAAAACTATAAAAACCATGGAAGACAACCGAAGAAATACCATTCTGGACACAGGAATGGGCAAAGTTTTCATGACAAAGACACCAAAAGCAATTGCAACAAAAGCAAAAATTGACAAATGGGATCTAATTAAACTTAAGAGCTTCATCACAGCAAAAGAAGCTATCAACAGATTGAACAGACAACCTACAGAATGGGAGAAAACTATGCAAACTATGCATGTGACAAAGGTCTAAAATCCAGCATATATAAGGAACTTAAACAAATTTACAAGAAAATAAACAACAACAAACAACTTCATTAAAAAGTAGGCAAAGGACATGAACACTTTTCTAAAGACATACATGTGGCCAAAAAGCTTAAAATCACTGATCATTACAGAAATGCAAATCAAAGCCACAATGTGATACCATCTTACACTAGTCAGAATGGCTATCATTAAAAAGTCAAAAAATAACATATGCTGGTGAGGTTGCAGAGAAAAGGGAACACTTATACACTGTTGGTGGGAATGTAAATTAGTTCAGCCTTTATGGAAAGCACTGTGGCAATTCCTCAAAGGGCTAAAATCAGAACTACTATTCGGCCCAGCAATCTCATTACTGGCTATATACCCAGAGCAATGTAAATCATTTTATTATAAAGACACATGCATGCATATGTTCATTGCAACACTCTTCACAATAGCAAAGACATGGAATAAACCTAAATGCCTCTCGGTGACAGACTAGATAAGGAAAATGTTGTATATATACATAATGGAATACTATGCAGCCATAAAAAAGAATGAGTTCATGTCTTTTGTGGAAACATGGGTGGAACTGGAGGCCATTATCCTTAGCAAACTAACACAGGAACAGAAAACCAAATACCACATGTTCTTACTTATAAGAGGGAGGTAAATAGAACTCATGAACTCAAAGAAGGGAACAACAGACACTGGGGCCTACTTGAGGGTGGAAGGTGAGAGGAGGGAGAGAAGAAAAAAAAGTATCTATTGGGTATTAGGTTTAGTACCTGAGTGACAAAAAAATCTGTACAGTAAACCCTTGTGACACAAGTTTATCTGTGTTACAAACCAGCACATGTACCCCAGAACCTAAAATAAAAGTTACAAGAAAAAAAGGTAAACAAAGGTTCTATAGCTTATGAAGCCTGTGATTTTTCTCAATGTTATCTGATGATTTGTGACAGTTTTCAGAAATATCTCTTAGGATATACAATATCTATGTCCTTCCCAAACTAGACTGAACCACAGACAACTTATTGACTGAAGTTCTCTGATTCCTCTAGGTCTGAGGAGACATTTCTTCTCTCTTTGCCTAGGAGTCTGTGGCAGAGAAAAGGTGATAAATTCACCGTTCTCTTCCTCTTTCTCAGCATATATTATATTATATTAGCAAAATTAGTTTTCCCAACCTCCCTTGCAAATTTTCTCCCTTGTAGTAAATTTGAGAGCCATATTGCTTTCTCTCACTCTCTCCCCTCCTCCTTCTTTCCTCTCTCTTTCTCTTTTTCTTTCTTTCACTATTTAAGTCAGTGATGGAAAAAGAGTGAAAATTGTAATGTCTAAGTATCACTTTAAGGAGTGTTTTTTTTTTGTTTATTTTTTATTTTTTTTTATTTTGAGATGGAGTCTTGCTCTGTCACCCAGGCTGGAGTGCAGTGGCGCCATCTCGGCTCACTGCAAGCTCTGCCTCCCGGGTTCACGCCATTCTCCTGCCTCAGCCTCCTGAGTAGCTGAGACTACAGGCACCCACCACCACGCCTGGCTAATTTTTTGTATTTTTAGTAGAGACAGGGTTTCACCGTGTTAGCCAGGATGGTCTCGATCTCCTGACCTCGTGATCTGCCCGCCTCGGCCTCCCAAAGTGCTGGGATTACAGGCGTGAGCCACCACGCCTGGCCAGGAGTTTTAATTATGTTTGTCAATTTTAAGGCAAGGTTGAAAAATAATTCAAGATAAATATCACATTACTTAAATAAACCAAGACATATTTTTATAAGATAAATAATCTGCATTATATATGTTTCTACTTAGTCGACAGGAACCAAGGCGAACAATGTGTTATACCATAGTCTACACAAAAAACTGTGTAAAAAACTATCCAGAAAACTGAATTCCAACTGGTGGCAGAAAGAATAATAGTGAACCTCTATTTTCACTATGTAAATAAGTATTTTTTACTTGGAAAAACTATGAAAATCTCTCTTTTTCTCCTCCAAAAAATATAATTATGTAATTATATTGGACTTTTAAAATAAAAAGTGATTTCAAATACATTACATCAGTTAATTATAGGAGTCTTAGAAGGTAAAATGGCCATATTCTATCAATACACTGCAGTAGAGACTTGCCTAACGTAAAATTTACAGTGGTAGAGTAGCTTGGAAAATAAGTTTCCTGACTCCATTTCCATTAGTGTATGTTTGTTTGTTTTGTAAAATGTACTAAATGATCCTTATAGTAAGTGAGGAGTAAAAAGGCAGTATTAAAAAGAAAATGACCATATAATAACCTCCCACCCACTGGCGATTGCTAATACTCTGTTATCTTTCGAGTCTTATCCCTACATATATATTACATAGTTGATATTGTATCATTTATACCATCTTGTGTTCTCCTTCTCCATTTAACATTGTAAGAAAAACAGTTCTCCTTTTCTTAAAAACTTTTTGCAAATATAGTGTTTAATGATGTTTCAACATATGCTTCTATGATAATTAAATTCATCTCTTTTCTATTCATAGGCATGTAGATTGTTATTAAATGCTTGGTGCTCATAAATAATGCTGCAGAAACATCTCTGTATAAAGAGCTTTTTCCAATATTTTAGATTTTTTTCTTATGATAGATTCCTAGTAGTGAAATTTCAGAAAAAGAATAAATGCATATGAGTTCTTTTTACTATAGAAACTGCTTTCTATGGCTTTTTTTTTTTTTTTTTTTTTTTTTTTTTTTTTTTTTTGAGACAGGGTCTCATTCTGTCAGCTAGGCTGGAGTGCAGTGGCATGATCATGGCTCATTGCAGCCTTGACCTTCCAGGCTCAAGCTATCCTCCCCACTCAGCCTCCCTAGTAGTTGGGACTACAGGTGCATGCCACCACACCTGGCTAATTTTTGGATTTTTTGTTGAGACAGGGCCTCACCATATTGCTTAGGTCTTGAACCCCTGGGCTCAAGCAATCTGCCCATCTTGGCCTCCCAAAGTGCTGGGATTTCAGGGTTGAGCCATTGTGCCCAGCCTGCTTCTTGAAATTACCACATGGTCAATAAAAAATAAAACAACAACAACAAAAAAACCGAGAATAAAGTCACAGATTTGAAGTGAATGATGGCCTCCAGCTTCCATCGGGACTGGGCTATTAAAGGATAGTTCAGAGGAGTGGATGATGGTCTCAGTGTTTCTTATCAGATTTAACAGTTGATCACAGTAGCATATCTCCAATGGACTATACTCAAATTTAATGTGACTAATCTTCACAGCATCCCTGTGCTCTAAGTGGGTATTGCTATTTCTCGGAAGGAGAAAATACCAAACAGTATATTTGCTGTTATCTACCCTGGATCCTTCATATTTACTCACACAAGTGCTGTGCATACTGGAAAAGAAGTAGGGTAACTAGATGGATTTTTCTTCTCAGTATTGGATCAAAACAAGACTAAGATAAAAGACTACAGTTGGACCAAATGAACATATTTCTGCTGTTTAGCATTTGACACAGGGACAGAGAATGAGTTAAAAAGAGAAACGGATACTTCTCTCAGCAACAAAGCTAGATTGTCTAAATGGGTTAATGTGAGAAAAACTTACAAAACAGTCCTCCTTGTTCTATATTGATAAAAATCTGTGCTTTTGCCTCCGTTATTTTCTCGCCTTTTGTAAGGATAGAAAACTAATACGGTATTATGTTACTTCTTAGTGGTAGGGAGTCTATACAATATGTAAGTTAAAGGGAATCTAAATCTATCACATATTAGTAGTTGAATCATTTGGTGAATCAGTGAATTTCTGACTGAAGTTAATTTTTAGCTCAAACATATTTGTGATCTATATAACAGCAAGTATCCTTGCTTGATTTGTTTGAATAAACAAATCTAGAAATCTAGAAAAACCAGTTTGAAAGACATTCTTGTTTACAAATGGACCAATAATTATGCCAAAATATAAAGTCATAATTTTGAAATTAGAAAATTATATGCTATTATTCTCAATATATTTATTTAGGTTTGCCTATTTGACACTAGGAAATTGATGTTCTCTTGGTAAAGATCCTGTGTCTAGGCATGTATCACCATCAAGTAGAGGTTTTATTTTAGTCAATGGTAAACTTTTCATGAGATTTGATCTAACTTTGAGAAATAAAAATAAAAAGCACCAACTCTCTCTCCTTCTCTGTGTGTGTGCATGTGTGTATCCATTTATTTAAAGAAAGCTGAGAAATTTATGGTGTTAATTAACAATTAAATTATAAAACAATTCCTTATAATAGGCTTTTAAAGAAAAAACCTCTTTATGTTTATGTTAATTCTCTTCATTAATTTTTATTTTAATGTAGTTCCAATTATTCCATTTACAAATAAGTTTAGACTATTTATAATTCACTCAAATTGTCTTGTTGTGAAATGTCTTTAGTTAATGGATATGGGCAAGGCTTTGCGCTGGTATCCCTGGGCTGGTAAGAACGTCTCTCAGACTAATCAGCTAAGCAGAGCAGAGGAAGATAACCTGTTTTGCACAGAACATATAGGTATGCTGGTCACTTTTAAGAACTTCACCACAACGGTCTTTTTCTAACACTAATTTTCTATTCTCCTCAGAAGAGACCAACTTCCCATTTGTCCACACTGGCTTTCATTTTCTGCTGTTACCCCTGAATCGACTCATACTCATCAGTGTCTTCACTGGCTGATTAAGCATGAGTCAGAAATTTGTTCTGCCAACAACAACAAAAAATACTATTTTTATCTCCTTCAGATGTAAACCTTTAAAAAATATATTTTTTAGAATCTTTAATGTTTTCAAGATAGTGGGATTCAGACACATTTCTATTGATACACACCATGCTTCCTTTTCCTGGATTTGTCAGAGGAAGTTGCATGTCTGTGGCTGGATTTAGATGGATTAGTATGGACTGAGTAGCGGTGGTACATATGTATGGAGCGTGGGGCCGGGGGAGGGTTAAGGTTTGGGACATGAACTTGGTGGCCAGAGGGCCTGGAGGCCTGTAGGATTTGTGTGACCAAAGGCCCGGGCCAAAGGGTCCCAGGGCAGCATGAAGGGACTTGGCCTCACTGATAAGAGGATGCAGAGTTGGGAGGGGACATGAAGAAGCAGGATGGATAGGTCTCATTCTGAATAATCTTTGATTATGGGGAAGCCAGTGCTTACTATTGATGAAAGTGCTGTTTTAGGAAGATTTGAGAGCATGAGGAAAGATAAAAACTGAGCCCTATGACTATGACTAACTCTGTTTTAGATCCTTTGAATTGCTGATAGCACTCACTGTTTCTATGCCACATTTTCTGTAGTAATATTTTTTAAAATGAGAGCTTTAGTACATGCTAATATAATAATTCTTAGCATTCTCGAATTGTTTAATACGTATTTGTAGTTATTATGAGGAGTTGCTATCTTATTCTTTACTCTCAACAATGCCAAACCTGTGCTAGATCCTCAATAAGTGCTTGTTGAATATAATTGAATAAATGAGATTCATTAGTCTTCTAATATAATAAAGACAGTGTTCTTGAGTTTAAAAAGTCTCTTCCAATCGGATTTTGAGTGTATTATAGGCTCTATTGTATCCATGACTTCTATAAATTGTGGAGACATTTCAGTTGGCTTTAATGGCTTTCTAACTCTGAATCCATTTATACATGTGCTTTGCTGCAAAAGATTAATTAATAATTAAATATTTCCTTACTCTAGGTAGGATGGAGTCAAATGTATCTTTGGTGAAATAGAAGCTTCAGATAAAATTTGTGTAACTCAGCCCTGTTGAGGAGAACCATACTATTTTTTTCACCTCTAGTAATATAACTGTGAATGATACATTCATCTTTTCATTTTCGTATGAAGTGTAAAATAACTCATCCACTTTAACAAATGTGCTTATTCTGAAGTGTTTCCTCAATGGAATTCACAAGACACAATCTCAGTGGTAATTAGGCCAATGTCCTCTCCTTCCCACCTCCCTTCTTAATATACATAAAACACACACACACACACACACACACACACACACACACACACACACACACAGATCCAATACAAGAACAGGCAACTTTAGTTCTTAGTATAATTTCTATGAGTTTACTTCTGCAGGAGATTAAAGGAAGGGGTAGTTTAAAAACAGAACTGAGAAACTGGGATCCCTCTTAGATTTCTGCAAGCTGTTTTTCAGGCTGCTGTTGTTTATTACTTTGCTTACTCAAGTTAATTATACCTCTCCTCCTATGTCTCTTTGGATAGACCCGAGTTTTTATAAGGGCTGGTCCACATCCACTTGACTGGTGAAGGAAAGAAAGCATGCTTTTTATTACCACCAGTACTTGTCTTATGAAAGATAGGAAACTCAAAGTTAAGCTTGAAATCTCTACCTCTACCTTGGTCACTTTGTTAATCTGCCCGAATTTTGAGGTTCAATCTGCCTTAATGCTCACCATTAATTCAGCCCATCAGTTAACCATAAACCCTTTAATAATGTCCCACAGGAATTCCTGAGTAGACACAAGTTTCTGGCTTGCTTTGAAATTACACAAGGCCTCCTCATAGAAATGGTTAGGACTGTCAACAGACATGCTCTTTTTACCTAGTTTAAGGGAGAAGAAGGCTGCTTCTGTGCCAGCTTATAACAGTCTTGCTGCCTTCTCAGCTGTATCAGGGGCGCTCAACCCTGGCTGAACGTTAGAGTCACCTGGGGAGCTTTCAAAAATATCAGTGCTTGAGCCTGATGCTAGAATCACTGCATGATGAGACTGGAGCATCTGAATTTTAAAAATCTTCCCAGGTAATTCCAAGGGTTAGCCAGGCTTGAAAACGATGGAGTTAAGAACCAAGAAGACACTCCTCTGAAAGATGAAATAGGTGATACCTTCAACTCTATTGCGGAATGCTAAGATGTTGGCTAAGGCTGAACTTTTGATGTTTATCTTTAGAGTCACATTCAGGATAGCCTTCACCTCTCACCAGTTGAGTCCACCTATCAGAGTTGTCTCCATTTTTTTCATGCCACCTACAGAAATGTGACCTGGCCCAATGTAGCAGGGGTTGACCAGACTGCAGAGGACGGGGAGTTCAGCTCACAATGAGGATGGAGAAGGTAACAACTGGGCGTGATGATAGGAGCATTTGGACCACTAAAGGGTTTCACAACTCACTGTGTGACATTGGGCAAGTCACTGAATTTTCTCCAACCATATTCTCCAGCCAAGTAAATAAGAAGTCATTACCCTACACTTACTTCACAGGGCTGTTGGGAGGGGCACATGAGATTGTGTACTTGAAAGCACTTTATAAACTGTAAAGTTTCATACTTCATAGAAATTACTATTCCCACTTATGGAACAGAGTTACTTTGAAGTTTATTAAGTGTGTTCTTTCCATGGACCAAACACTGGGAAATAATATTTTAATATCCGTAGATGAAACATAAATGGACATGTAGCACATATTTTGAGTCACATTTTCCTTCATTTGCTATCATTTATCCTGAATATAAACCATCCACAAACTCTAGCTACAGGGAACAATTAAGTAAAAAGGAAAGTTAATCTGTTTATTCTAATGCATAAAAACTTGGAAAAAAAAATTTGAAGTATCATCACAGGTGTTATTAAGTGTTTACTGCCCAAGACCCAGTGTTAGGCACTGTGCAGTGCTGGCTTGATTTGAACTTTAACATATTATAAGCTAAAAATAACCTGAAATGCAAATTAATGATATATATTTGAAACCTGAAATGAAACAGAAATGTTACCTCAAACAGAATACTTAGAAAGTGGAATATATCTAAGAGACTGCTATGGTGAAAATATCTAGAACAAGCTAGTCCCATCCGTGGCCCAAGGGCTGCATGCAGCCCAGGACAGCTTTGAATGTGGCCCAATACTTATTAGTAAATTTTCTTAAAACATTATGAGATTTTTGCGATTTTTTTTTTTTTTTTAGCTCATCAGGTATCATTAGTATTAGTGTATTTTATGTGTGGCCCAAGACAATTCTTCTTCTTTCAGAGCGGCCCAGGGAAGCCAAAAGGTTGGACACCCCTGGTCTAATGTTTGTGGAAAGGAATGAAGGGGCAGCCACCTTTGACCTTTGCTTTCTCATAGTGATGATGAAGAGGAATAAACTATGGATATAATAACATTTGATTAACATATATTTCAGCAAGGAAGCTCTTTTGTGGATTAAGCAACAACAAAAACCAAAACAAACCAAAAACCTTCAAGAATCATATGAAAGAGAACAGTTTGATTTTGTACCTACAGGAAAATAATCTATCTTCATGCATGTCTCCTCGATCAACATGCATGTTGAAGGTAACTCAAGGCATAGGCATAAAGTCTTGAAAGCTCACAGCCTCTTTTTTCTCTCTGCAGCTCTCTGATGGCCCTCATCATTCTTTCTGCCTTCAGCTGGTTTTGTCTTGTCTGATATCACACTTAAAAAGCAATTTTTTATGCATGACTAAAAAGCATTCGAAGAAAAATTACCTCATTATATTATTAGTATATTGTTAACCTAATATTAACATATAAATATATAACAATACTAATCTAATTGTGGACCCAAAGGCTTTCTCCTAGCAGAAGGAATTTCAGCCATCAGCAAGCAGGAAGTAGCCACTTGAGAACAATTTGCTGGTATTGGCGAATGTGAGTTGTAGGGAGGAGAAATGAAGAAGAGTAAGAGAACTATCTTTTTCTTTCTTTTTTTAAAAATTTTATTTTAATTGACAAAAATTGTATACATTTGTGGTGTACAACGTGATGTTCTGAAATATGTATTAATTGTGGAAGGACCAATCAACCTAATTAGTCAACACATGCATTACTGTCAGAGGCATTTGAACCAGAACAACTCCATCTTGAGTAGGGGCTGGGAAAAAGACCTGATAAACTGCATTCCCAGGAGGTTAGGCATTCTTAGTTACAGGATGAGATAGGATGTTGGCACGAGATACAGGTCAAAAACCTTGCTGACAAAACAGGGTGCAGTAAAGAAGCCAGACAAAACCCACCAAAACCAAGATGGCGGTAAGAGTGACCTCTGGTCGTCTCACTGCTACACTCCCACCAGTGCCATGACAGTTTACAAATGCCATGGCAACATAAGCAAGTTACTCTATATGGTCTAAAAAGGGGAGGAACCCTCAGTTCCAGGAATTGCCCACCCCTTTCCCAGAAAACTCATGAATAATCCACCCCCTATTTAGCATATAATTAAGAGATAACCATAAAAATGGGCAACTAGCAGCCTTCAGGGCTGCTCTGCCCATGAAGTAGCCATTCTTTAGTCCTTTACTTTCCTAATAAACTTACTGTCACTTAGCTCTATGGACTTGCCCCAAATTCATTCTTGCATAAGATCCAAGAACCCTCTCTTGGGGTCTGGATTGGGACCCCTTTCTGGTAACATTACCTCACATACTTATCACTTATTTGTGGTGAGAACATTTTAAATCTGCTTTTTAAAGCAATTTTCAAACATACCATATGTCGTCATTAACCATAGTCACCATGTTGCACAATATATCTCCAGAAAAAACAGCTGCTATTTCTATACGTCTAACTTCAACTCCTGGCTAGCAGGATGCTGCCGCCCAGGTTGTAGCAGGTTCTGTTTCAAGAGCTGTTGGGAGCAGAGGGGAAAAGGAGCCTCGAAAACCCTCACCACTTGTTTCCCAAAGAACCCAAAGCTCATGGTCTTCAAAATTAAGTATTCATCAGAATCACCTGAAGGATTTTCAAAACAGATTGCTGGCCGGTCATAGTAGCTCACGCCTGTAATCCCAGCACTTTGGGGGAATGAGGCAGGCAGATCACCCAAAGTCAGGAGTTCGTGACCAGCCAGGCCAACATGGTGAAACCCCGTCTCTACTAAAAATACCAAAATTAGCTGGGTGTGGTGGCGGGCACCTGTAATCCCAGCCACTTGGTAGGCTGAGGCAGAAGAATTGCTTGAGCCCAGGAGGTGGAGGTTGCAGTGAGCCGAGATGGTGCCATTGCACTCCAGCCTGGGCGATAGAGCGAGACTCTGTCTCAAAAAAAAAAAAAAACAAAAAAACCCCAAAAATCAAAACAGATTGCTGAGTCCCAATTCCAGAGTTTCTGACCATAGTCTGCAACAATGCATTCCCCACATAATCCATATTATCCACATATTTGCTTTAGATATTCTTTGTTTTGGACCCATAAGGGTTCCATAAAAGCAAACTTTCTACTAATAAAATCTATAACTACATTTGAGACATAATCAATATTCAAATTGAATTTGAGTTTCATATATTCTTAAACATCTGTTGCTCATGCAATAACAAAACAGCAAACAGAACCAAGAAAATAGAGAGAAACCAGAAACCCACCAAGTGGGCAGTTAACTCCTGAAAAACCAACATAAACCATTGTAATTAAACCAATTCTCTAGAATGAATTTGATTGATATATTTTCATATATTTCATCAACTGAGTTAATATTTCCCTGAAAATAATTTTGCATTTATTTGATTACATAAATTTATTATTATTATTATTATTATTTTGGAGACAGAGTTTCGCTCTTGTTGCCTAGCCTGGAGTGCAATGGCACCATCTCAGCTCACCACAACCTCTGCCTCCTGGGTTCAAGCTATTCTCCTGCCTCAGCCTCCTGAGTAGCTGGGATTACAGGCATGCACCACCATGCCCAGCTAATTTTTGTATTTTTAGTAGAGACAGGGTTTCTCCATGTTGGTCTGGCTGGTCTCGAACTACCGACCTCAGGTGATCCACCTGCCTTTGCCTTCCAAAGTGTTGGGATTACAGGCGTGAGCCATCGCGCTCGGCCCTGATAACGTACATTTTTATTGAGGACCTCCTGGTAGCAGTCACCATGAAGGACAAGCAATATAGTGACGGATAAAATAGATACTGTCCTGCCCTTATCATCTCATTTTCTAGTAAGTTTAGTCAACCATTGTATCCACAAGTGTTTTAACAAGTTCCTTCTAATTGATATCTTTTAGGTTGTTTGTATTTTCCGTTGGTTTAATTACATAGAACTTAATTTTCAGAAGAGAAGGCAAATTAATCTGAAACACATATCATTGTTAGGAGAAAATGAATTTTTATATATTCCCAACATAAAAAAAGAGACAGTGGACTATAGTGTAGAAACTGATTACATAAAAGCAAGATTATGTAAGGGTTATATTTCCTTAGTGATGGCAGATAATTAACAGACAGATCGATTTTATTTTCGATTGAGATTAAGTTTCCTTGCAACAAGCTTACCAACTATTTATTGGGTAATAAACATCCATCAGTCTGTCTTTTCTATAAAAGAGATACAGCCATGTGATAAACAAAATGTAGGCCCCTAAACAAAACAAAGCAACAGTGACAACAAAACTCTTATCTCACGATTTCCCTGAGGTGAGATTTTCCTAGTTATCAATTCATTCCTAAATTTATAATTCCTTTTACCCACTTGATCAGAACACTTCCATTTCCTTTGAATGCTTCATCTTAACTGTATCTCTAAGGAAGAAGAACATATTTTGTATCTCCCTTCTTACCCTTCATTCAACACAAAAATAATATTATAGATTACTTCGGTCTTTATATTCTCTCTTCTATACCTATACAAATCATTTAAAGATTGATTATTATTAAACAGTGGGCTCTTAAAATGTAACATCTTAGAGTCAGAATGTGGAGAAATCTAGTTTCAAATTCTGTCTAATTTAAATATTTCCATTAGAATGTCTCTGAAAGAGGATTGCCTGCCTAAATGAGCTCAGTGCTAAAGAGCTTACTAATTTACAGTTTTGAGGAGCTTTCTTTACTGGGAAGTTCTACCTTCTATTTTTCCAAAATCTACCTCCTTCTAACTTTCACTAATTCCACACGCTGGGACCACAGAGACGTCAAATCCTTCTTCTACAGGCAATTCTCCAAGTATCCACAAATAATATTTGTGGGTTGTGTTCCCTCTTAGTTCTTTCTTAATGATAAGGAACTGTGGTTTCTTTAACTTCAATTAGTTCTATGATATGGTTTCTAGAACATTGCCCAATTAATTTATTTCCTCTAAATACCATTCTGCTTTTAATTTTCTCACATGATATACAGAGCTCAGACTGGACACAAAATTACAGGGCATAGTCTCCCTTGGGGCTCTGTGTAATTCACAAATGTGATAGGCATGTATTAGGAACTGAATATTTTTGTCTCCCTTTGCCCCACCTAAATTCATTTGTTGAATTCCCAACCTCCAGTGTGTTGGTATTTGGAGATAGGGTCATTGGGAGGTGATTATATATGTGTGTGTGTGTATGTGTGTGTGTGTGTCTTTATTATTTGCTTCCTCTTCAGCAAATGTTCATCTTCTCATGTATTTATTAGTGAATAAAAGCAAAAAGATGAGCAACACTGTTTAGAGAAATGTAAAGGCCCTGCTTAGTAAAAGTGTCTTATTCTTTCTTCTTCAGAAGAAAGAAGTGGGAGTACTTCCTGCAACCAGGGGCTCCTTCTCGTTGGTGTGATCACGAGCACACTCTGCTCTCTGCTTTTGGGACAGATAGACATCTCCAGGAATAAGTGGGATCTGTCTTATGCGACTTAACTCAAGTGTTATTCTGAAGGGAAGAAGGCTCAGTTCTGGTGGCCTCCATTTGAGATACCACAATCACAAATGGAATGAACACGAGGCCAGTGTTTGCATCTAATTTTGCAATAACTGTAGAGAGAAACCCCCTAGTCAGCAAATCCAGGAGCCCTTCATCTCCCAAGTCAGATACTTGGGAGCAGGGGCCACTCCTACTCAATACAGAGTCCAGAGGGTTGGTGCTCTCAACTCCTATGAACTGGCATCACCTTATTCTTGCTGTCAACCCAGAGACATTCCCTGTGACTCTGAACAGCTTTCGCCTGAGCTGAGAAGATTATCCCAAATCATTTAAAAAGTGCCAAATTCTGTTCTTTATTGTCTGCTCCTCAAGGCGTGTCATCTACTGCAGCAAGACCTGTCTCAAAGTTAAGGATCACTTTGTTGTTTGGAAGGCAAGTTGTAGTTACTTGCAAAGATAATTTATTTTGGATAAAGGTATTACTTTACAGATATGAGGTCTATACACACCCTCCTTTAATAACAGAAAGCTAGAAAGTTGACAGGATCAGAATAGCTCTCTCTTTGAAGAGGCTTCAAGGCTATCTGCAGGTGAAAAATGTACAAACAACAATCAGGTCTTCCCTTCTCACTTCTTCTGCTCCACAAGTCTAAACCTAGGACGGCACTGGTCACACAATGGGAATATTTCAGTCTCTTCTCAAAACATTGTGATCCATTTCATCAGATTCTTGGTCTGTGATAGATCAAAGCTTTGGGAAGAGAAAATGGACTTATCCTAATCATAAAACTCCTTTCTGAAAGAAAACTTGTTGAAGAAAGTAACACTAATACAGGTTCATCCCATAAAGGAGATTCAGAAAACGTATGAAGAATTGTGACTGTTTCCTTATCTTTTCTCACACCTGCATTTTTCAGACTTGGCAGACAGAGCTGTCCAGGACAGATTTAGAATCGAAATGTGAACAGCATACCTGTGTCATCTTGCTGGGATCCATCGAGCTAGGATGTCCACACTGAAAACATAACCACATTTTAACTTTCTAACCACTATTCTGTTCCAGTTCTGTAGATTCTTAAAGCTGGATTGAGTCTCCTTAGAATGCAGTTTTTTAAAATCTTGCTTAATTGCATGGCTACTACACTTTCCTAAATGTTTTCCTTTAAATAAACAATATTAGTAGTTGCTTTAAAGGCTGCCATTTTGCAATGTACAGAAAGAGCATTTTTGCTTGTTTAGACATTTTCACATAATCCACTCAGAGGAGAGGGCTAAAACAAAATGTCATCACTTCAGTTACTGAAATTACTCTCATTTCAAAGATGTTTTGGTAAACAAGTCAATGCATCTCACACTCACTATCAATGAGCCTTACCCACATATACTCAAAAAAAGGCAAGTTTTGTGTTCTTTGCAGATTCAGTAATGTGATAGTTCTAGTGAATACGAGCAAACGCTGAACAGAACTCTGATTCCAGGGTCTCTAGTGAGCAATATGAGTGCCTTCTATAAAACACAGGCTGAACCTCTGCTGGAGGAGTAACAGCATTATAATTGGCTCCCATGGGTTTTATTAGCAGCGGGCTGGGAGCAGAGTGGAGAGCATCGCCCGGTGCCTGAGCAACCAGCCTCACAAACACCTGGCTGTAGGGATCTGGAGACAGAAAACACGTTGTCAAGGTCTCAGTGGCACTGTATACGGCCACCCTGGTTGGGACTATCAAAGTGCATGCTTCTCTAAGCTCTGTACTTGGTAGTACGTCGAAGAAAGTTCTAGATGCTCTGAATTTGAAATGCTTGGAATTAAGCCAGGCTTGAACTAACTGAACAGTAACTTGCTCTGTTTTTCCTACATTCCAAATCCTTCTAAAGGACAGAAATACTTTTGGGCATTCCAAACTATGAATATCTGTCACCTTTTGTGTGTATGCCAGAAATGTGGCTAGATGACAGGAAGTTGTTCACAGTATAGAATTTGGATGCAGCAGCTTTGTCAAAGTGGAGTCTATGTCCAAAGAAATTGTTCCCTTTGCAGATGAGAAAAATAATGCTTGGACTTATCTTTTTGCTCCTCCTCAGCCTCCTCTTCACACTCATTTTCATTATTCTACTCATGTAGAAAAAATGATGGAAAACTTTGGACCTCCAAAGAAACAACATTTCTAGAATAGTCTGGAAACCTCTAGTTGCCTTGTCCTATCCAACCTCAGAAAGCTGCATCCCAGGGGCCTGTGGAGCTCCCAAGAGCTCTGTTCAGCTCAGCTGTGAGGGCAGATGGCACTACAGGACAGTCATGGTTGAATAAGGAAACAGCTATATGGAGGGTTTTTTTTCCCTCAGTGGCATTTACCCCTGAACTTTTGGAAAACACAGCAGCATGACAGTCCTTTTCTTACGAGAATAGTCACAAAGAGAGAAATGCAAACATAAAGTGTAAAGTCTGGTGCTCAGACTGGGTCAGCCTAGTTGCAAAAGAGCAAGTGAAAAGAAGACTTTAACTTCATTCCATTATTTCTGAGGGTATGCCAACAGTTCTAGAAAGTTCTTCACAGTTCTTCCCATTCTCTCTCCCATGTAGCCTTTGCTTGCATTTTTTTTGTTTGTTTCTGTTCTCTTTTCCTCAGGGCTGGTGAAGATTGAGTAGAGCTGGGCAGGTGGGATCAGAAAAGTGTAGCAACAGCTCTAAGCTCTGAGCTCTTCCCGTGTGCAGACTCTGTATACACGTCCCCCACCTGATCTCAGTGTACCTCACAGCAACCATTTCTATGTTGTGGGTGACAAACTCAAACAACACAAGTAAGGAAGTTTTATCATCACAATTCAAGTTCATATGTGATTCCAGGATCCAGGTTTGCAACCACTGCAGTAAGAAATTGTCTTTTTTCTTCTCATTTTTCTCATATTAAACCCCAGTCTAAGTCTTATTTTCTACACAAAATTAGGTATTTTTCCTGGAATAGACCTGGATTGGGTGTGTAGGAGAGCCATCATGTGCCACGTGAGACATTGCTGGCCATCATCCAGGTGACTCCTTTAATTGGTAAATTAATATGCACATTTGGCAAGCAATTTCTGTAACTAGAGGAATTAACTACTCAAATTGAAAATGTCTATCTCTCTGAGATTAGATGGCAATACTTTGAAAAATTATTAGTAGAATTATGAGCTGGCAAATTCTAGGTTAGCATTAGCCTGGATGCATGCTATTGCCTGAATGACACTAGCTTAAAAACAAACAAAAAAAACAAACAAAAAAACAAAACAATTGGGAGACTATGATTTACTTTCAGGTCTTCCGATGAATAACTTCGATGTCTTAGGCAGAGACTCCAATATGCGTCACTCCTAACCTCAAGCTGACTGTTTTATCAACAGCTCTGGCTGATGAAAAATCTTCCTGCAACTGTTGTATTCTTATTCAAAGCATTCCTCTTTCCCCATTCCAGCTGGTCTAATAGGTGGATGAAAGAATTGCCAGATACACACTGCAGGAGCATCAGGTCCTGAAGAAAGATGGACCACATTTATTTGCTTCATTTTTATTCCTTCAGAATTTGCAGTAAATTGAGGAAGTCTATTTTGTAAGAGGTTACTAATGATGGGAATACATGCTCCCAGCTTGGTGTGCAAACACACACATATGGGAAATGAAGAAACCTGAGTAAACATAGGGCCTTGCTGGAAGCAGCTATCATCTTCCTTTCGTGCCACTGGGTACAAGAGGCAACAAAATCTTGTAGCATTTTCAAATGGATTCTGGGTGTTTATATAGAAGATCAATACATTTTTGTCTTCAGAAATCAATGAATCCTTCTTACATAGACTGCAGAGAATCACTTTCTTGGGAAGGCTTAGAGAAATGCCTATAGGATACTGGGGGAGTATTTTCAATAAATGCTCACGTATGAGACACAAAAAGACAGTTCCTATTTAGGAAACTTTAGTGCTATAACCAACTTATTTCAATTGAATTTTAAAAAACCTTTATAGGCTTTAAGACAAATGTAATAATTGGGACACTTCTTATACCCTGCACAACACTAAGGATTCAAGTACTCGATACTGCCCATCTGTACTCCTCTGTTGGCTGAGTGTTTATCTAATGTAGGTAGTTTTCTTTATGAAAATACTCAACTGATATTACACACAACAAAATGTAATTTTGAATGTAGACGATTAATTTCACATATATTACCTGAATGATTTTAGCTAGGACATGGACAGGTCTCTTTGGTCACTGCCCTTGGTTCTGAAGTCAGTTCAGCCCATGGTAGGGGTGAACTCAGCCCACTGCTGAGTCAACAACAAGTCAGTCAGTGTGGCAACCAGTATCCACGGTTTCTCCAGACCCCAAAGCACAATTGGGTAGCACTGTGTGTGTCTTAAATTTTTTGTCTACCTACCACAATGATTGAAATTCCCTCATTAGAGATTCATTTCTTTAGCCATATGGCATTTTTATTTTTGTAAATAAAAAAGGAAATACATCAATATTTCATAAATACTTTTGATTGAATACTCATGGATTAGACTACCATTAATGGTGCTCATCAGATCACTTTTTTCCATGAAAACTAGATGAGGACAAAACAGAGACTGGGAGTTCTTCTGAGGTTGGTGGTTAGAAGAGTCTAAGGGAGAAGCCTTTAGAGGACATGAGGGTCCACTCAGAGAAGACAAGCACATTTGAAGAAACCTCACTCTGTGACAGGGTGTGATGAGTATCCAGGAGCCAGAAGTATGGCATAAAAAGGCCACGTGTTGCATTTGGCACAGAAAAAAAATGGCTTCATGATCTCTGGGAATTGCCACAACCCATCTTCTAGAACTTTGCTACATGTGATTCATAGACCAGTAGCAGTAGTATCAACTGGGGGCTTATTAACAATGTAGAATCTTGGGCTTCATCCCAGACTTCATCAGATTTTATATTTAAAGCAGATGACCAGGTGATGTATATGCATGTCAAAGTTTAAGAAACACAGGTCACTAAGATTCCTCTGGGTCATGATGTAATACATAGACTGCCCCTTCCTTAGCAGTTCCTGATTGAACAAGGGATGCGCACCAGATCCAAGCTGGGCCAGACAGATTCTCTCCCTGTGTTTGGAAGTTGAGACAGAGAGAAGAAAGTAGCAGAAAGAGAGAGAGAGAGAGCTAACATGTGAACCTGAGAGTCAGAGAAAGCCTGTCTGGGCCGAGAGAAAAAAATAAAGCAGATGTTCAGAGAAGCAGAAACAGGCTCTTGTTCTTACTTCCAGTTCCCTTCCAAGTCTCAGCAAGAGATTTACTAAACCTGAGTTCTACAAAGCGGTAGGTCCTTATAATACATCCCCTCCTTATGCTTAAGCCAATTTGGCAATATGCTTGATACATGAAACTAAGAGTTCTTAACAAACATGGGTGGCAAGAGTATGACATGGACCTAGAAAGAGGGGGGGTCAGGATAAGTATAGTCATGTGCTGTGTAAGACCGTGTGGGTCAATGACAAACTGCATGTACAATGATGGTCCCATAGGATTATAATAGAGCTGAAAAGTTCCTATCGTCTAGTGACTTCATAGTCATTGTAACCATTGTAGCACAGTGCATCGCACTGTTTATGGTGATGCTGGTGTAAACAAACCTACTTCTCTGCCAGGCATATGAAAGTATAGCATGTACAATTTTGTACAGCACATGATATTTGATAATGAGAATAAACAACTATGTTATTGGTGTATGTATTTACCATATTATACTTTATTTTAGAGTATACTCCTACTTCTGAAAAAAAAAAAAGAGTTAATTGTAAAACATCCTCAGGCAGGTCCTTCAGGAGGTATCCAGAGGAAGGCATTGTTATAGTAGGAGATGGCAGCCCCATGTGTGTTATTGCCCCTGAAGACCTTCCTGTGGGAAAAATGTGGAGGTGGAAGACAGTGATATTGATCATCTTGACCCTAGGCCTACCCAGGGTCAAGATGATCAACATCACTGTGTGCATTTGTGTCTCGGTTTTTTTTTTTTGAAATTGAAAAGTAGTAATTTTATTTGATGTTTTTGTTAGATAACAAAAGAAACCAAAATACCAGTAGTCTGTTTAATAGTCTGTTTTTATTATTATTATTATTATACTTTAAGTTTTAGGGTACATGTGCTGCACAATGTACAGGTTAGTTACATATGTGTACATGTGCCATGCTGGTGCGCTGCACCCTCTAACTCGTCATCTAGCATTAGGTATATCTCCCAGTGCTATCCCTCCCCCCTCCCCCCACCCCACAACAGTCCCCACAGTGTGATGTTCCCCTTCCTGTGTCCATGTGTTCTCATTGTTCAATTCCCACCTATGAGTGAGAATATTCGGTGTTTGGTTTTTTGTTCTTGCGATAGTTTACTGAGAATGATGATTTCCACTTTCATCCATGTCCCCACAAAGGACATGAACTCATCATTTTTTATGGCTGCATAGTATTCCATGGTGTATATGTGCCACATTTTCTTAATCCAGTCTATCATTGTTGGACATTTGGGTTGGTTCCAAGTCTTTGCTATTGTGAATAATGCCGCAATAAACATACGTGTGCATGTGTCTTCATAGCAGCATGATTTATAGTCCTTTGGGTATATACCCAGTAATGGGATGGCTGGGTCAAATGGTATTTCTAGTTCTAGATCCCTGAGGAATCGCCACACTGACTTCCACAATGGTTGAACTAGTTTACAGTCCCACCAACAGTGTAAAAGTGTTCCTATTTCTCCACATCCTCTCCAGCACCTGTTGTTTCCTGACTTTTTAATGATTGCCATTCTAACTGGTGTGAGATGGTATCTCATTGTGGTTTTGATTTGCATTTCTCTGATGGCCAGTGATGGTGAGCATTTTTTCATGTGTTTTTTGGCTGCATAAATGTCGTCTTTTGAGAAGTGTCTGTTCATGTCCTTCGCCCACTCTTTGATGGGGTTGTTTCTTGTAAATTTGTTTGAGTTCATTGTAGATGCTGGATATTAGCCCTTTGTCAGATGAGTAGGTTGTGAAAATTTTCTCCCATTTTGTAGGTTGCCTGTTCACTCTGATGGTAGTTTCTTTTGCTGTGCAGAAGCTCTTTAGTTTAATTAGATCCCATTTGTCAATTTTGGCTTTTGTTGCCATTGCTTTTGGTGTTTTAGACATGAAGTTCTTGCCCATGCCTGTGTCCTGAATGGTAATGCCTAGGTTTTCTTCTAGGGTTTTTATGGTTTTAGGTCTAACATTTAAGTCTTTAATCCATCTTGAATTGATTTTTGTATAAGGTGTAAGGAAGGGATCCAGTTTCAGCTTCCTACATATGGCTAGCCAGTTTTCCCAGCACCATTTATTAAATAGGGAATCCTTTCCTCATTGCTTGTTTTTCTCAGGTTTGTCAAAGATCAGATAGTTGTAGATATGCAGCGTTATTTCTGAGGGCTCTGTTCTGTTCCATTGATCTATATCTCTGTTTTGGTACCAGTACCATGCTGTTTTGGTTACTGTAGCCTTGTAGTATAGTTTGAAGTTAGGCAGCATGATGCCTTCAGCTTTGTTCTTTTGGCTTAGGATTGACTTGGCGATGTGGGCTCTTTTTTGGTTCCATATGAACTTTAAAGTAGTTTTTTCAAATTCTGTGAAGAAAGTCATTGGTAGCTTGATGGGGATGGCATTGAATCTATAAATTACCTTGGGCAGTATGGCCATTTTCACGATATTGATTCTTCCTACCCATGAGTATAGAATGTTCTTCCATTTGTATCCTCTTTTATTTCCTTGAGCACTGGTTTGTAGTTCTCCTTGAAGAGGTCCTTCACATCCCTTGTAAGTTGGATTCCTAGGTATTTTATTCTCTTTGAAGCAATTGTGAACGGGAGTTCACTCATGATTTGGCTCTCTGTTTGTCTGTTGTTGGTGTATAAGAATACTTGTGATTTTTACACATACACTCTCCCAAGACTAATCCAGGAAGAAGTTGAATCTCTGAATAGACCAATAACAGGATCTGAAATTGTGGCAATAATCAATAGCTTACCAACCAAAAAGAGTCCAGGACCAGATGGATTCACAGCCGAATTCTACCAGAGGTACAAGGAGGAACTGGTACCATTCCTTCTGAAACTATTCCAATCAATAGAAAAAGAGGGAATCCTCCCTAACTCATTTTATGAGGCCAGCATCATCCTGATACCAAAGCCGGGCAGAGACACAACCACAAAAGGGAATTTTAGACCAATATCCTTGATGAACATTGATGCAAAAATCCTCAATAAAATACTGGCAAACCGAATCCAGCAGCACATCAAAAAGCTTATCCACCATGATCAAGTGGGCTTCATCCCTGGGATGCAAGGCTGGTTCAATATACACAAATCAATAAATGTAATCTAGCATATAAACAGAACCAAAGACAAAAACCACATGATTATCTCAATAGATGCAGAAAAGGCCTTTGACAAAATTCAACAACGCTTCATACTAAAAACTCTCAATAAATTAGGTATTGATGAGACATATTTCAAAATAATAAGAGCTGTCTATGACAGACCCACAGCCAATATCATACTGAATGGGCAAAAACTGGAAGCATTCCCTTGAAATCTGGCACAAGACACGGATGCCCTCTCTCACCACTCCTATTCAACATAGTGTTGGAAGTTCTGGCCAGGGCAATTAGGCAGGAGAAGGAAATAAAGGGTATTCAATCAGGAAAAGAGGAAGTCAAATTGTCCCTGTTTGCAGACGACATGATTGTATATCTAGAAAACCCCATTGTCTCAGCCCAAAATCTCCTTAAGCTGATAAGCAACTTCAGCAAAGTCTCAGGATACAAAATCAATGTGTCTCGGTTTTTAACACAAGTTTCAAAAGTTAAAAAAATTGAAAATAGAAAAAAGCTTATAAAATAAGGGTATAAAGAATTTTTTTGTACAGTCGTATGTTTGTGTTTTCAGCTAAGTGTTATTATAAAGGAGTAAAAAAGTATTATAAGAGTAAAAAAATTATAAAAGAGTAATAAGTTCATAAAGTAAAAAAATTATTGTAAGCTACGGTTAATTTATTCTTGAAGAAATAATTTCTTATCAAGTTAGTGTAGCCTAAGTGTACAGTGTTTATAAAGACTACAGAAGTGTACAGTAACATTCTCGGTCTTCATATTCACTCACCACTCACTCACTCACTCACTCACTCATCCACAGCAATTTCCAGTCCTGCAAGCTCCATTTACGGTAAGTGCCCTAGAAATGTGTAACATTTTAAAATCTTTTGTATCATGTTTTTACTGTACCTTTTCTATGTTTAGATACACAAATTCTGTCCACTATATTACAATTGCCTACAGTATTCAGCAGAGTAATATACTGTACAGGTTTGTAGCCTACGAGCAATAGGCTAGAGCACATAGCCTGGGTGCGTAGTAGGCTATACCATCCAGGTTTGTGTAAGTGTGCTCTTTGATGTTTACACTATGATGAAATAGGCTAGTGATGCATTTCTCAGAATGTATCCGCACAGTTAAGTGATGCATTACCGTACAGGTTTGCCTGCTTTAGCCCAGGTAGACATAAATTATAATATACTCATTATGTGTATATTACAGTATACACATGTATATACTTCTTAACTCATGAATTATAGTATTGTTCTCAATCTGTTGGAGTTATTAGGCTGGTGCAAAAGTAATTGCGGTTTTGCCATTACTTTCATGGCAAAAACCACAATTACTTTTGCCCCCACCTAATAGCTTTTATGCTAGGCCCATGCAATTTCACTTTAAGTCAGGGACACTTTGAAGATGGTCATCTGAATTAGCCAATGTTTTTAATAATAACCCACCCCCTTTCTCTCATTTTCTCCTTTCCTACCTCAGCCTCTTTATTGCTCCTGTTCTTGGCCTAGGCAGCTCTTAGGGATAATAAATTGGTCTCGGTCCCCACCTTGGCCCAATGAAAGTGAGGTCTGTAGGTTAAAAGATCCATCTCCTCCTTTGACAAGGGTATGGAAGCTACTCCACTTGTACTTTCTCTTTGGTGACTTGAGGGAGATCATAACCCTCAAGGTCAGCATGCCTTGGAGGCAGTGTCCTTAATGCCAAGAGAAAGCAGACTGTTTGAGTAGTTTTCTGCTTTCGGCCCTGGAGTCTATTCAAGTTTCATGGGTGGAGCTGGGACCGAATCTGAATCCAAGCTGATGGCAAAATGATCCTGGCCCCTCATCAAATGTTTTCAATCCCATTTCTCTGGAGGTGAACCATATCTCCACCCATCCTCCATGATCAGGTCTGGATCCCTAGATCTATGATCGTGTAGACATCATTAGCGCCCTCAGCCTCTCAGAAGCCCCTGCCCATCTACTCCTATGGTTGGCCATTACTGTTGTCTTAACCTGAAGCGGGAGGATTCTACCTCTTTGGACCAGATGATATAGATTGTTGGCTTCTTGCTATAAAGGGCCAATGCTTCTGCTTGGCTGGTCTCATCTCACTTCCTCCCTCCCTGTGTTGACCAGGATATTGCTAGTCAGACAAACTGACTTCAAGCTCTCTCAGAATACACAGAATTCAGAGGATGGATTTCTATTTCCCCATATCTGGACAGATGTATAGAGGTCCTACACTAGGTAAAGACATCAATGCCCATTCTCTGCTGCCTGGATGTGGGGACCTCTAGATAATGAATGGGATAGAAAGTGTGTGGTTTTAGAAAGTGAAATAGCCTAGGTGAACCAGCAGGAAGCCCAAACCAATAAAATGTCAAGGCTGACATCCCCAAAGTTATTATCATACTATTTGCAGATCAGACTGCTTGTAAAGAATTTGACTGCCAAGGCAAATAACAATAATAATGAAAATAGCTCTAAGCAAAGGGATATCACAGGGCCTCTGAGACATTTCTTGGCATTTGCTATGATTTAAAAGATGGCTTAAGCTGTCTTCCCCATTTTACTTTTTAAGTGGTCAAGATGTAGTTTATGGAATCATTTAGAGAGAGGTATAACAAATGAATTCTAAAGACCTAAGGAAGAAAAAATGGAAAGCTGTCCTTCATCTTCTTTGAGGTCTGTTTTACTTACTCCCGCTCTGCCCTGTAAACAGGTGTATTATCACTGCAGCCCTTCCCCAGGTAGAGGTGTGGAATCAAGCAGCTCCCAGCAGCGCCATTGGGGAAACAGTACAATTGACCCTTGAGGGCCTTTATGGGGGCTGAGAACTTATTGTGATGACCAGAGGACCTTTGCTGCTCTCTCTGTTCCTGCTCCTTCCTCAAGTGGCCCAGGAAAGCAAAAGTTGAACTGTGGAGAATGCTGCTTGAGGAATAGAGTGTAAAAGTTCAGAAGGGATTCATCTGAAACATTTGATAAGAATTTTTCTAAGGGATTACATAGTTCCCTGCCTTCTAAGAGTTTGCCAAACTCATTTGTAACTAGTTTGATTATCTGGGATCTAGTAAGTGGGCTGTTTTCATGGTCCCACTCTACACAGGTTTCTGTGGTATCGGCTGCAGGTCTGGATACTGGAACGCCACCATTTCTGGGTTCCCTGAGGCTAGACTTTGCTTTTCTGTAAAGAATCACCTAGGAGTTTCCAAGGTTCCAAATCCTGCATTCTGGTTGGAGGATTTGTCTCCAACTCCATGGCCTGGTTGGAGACATCCTCTCCAGCTCACTGTAAGGTCTCACTGCTGTGGGTGGTTCTAGTCCACGTTAATTTACCAACTGTCCCAGTCCTGACTGTGACACAAATTTGGCACCTAAGGTATCCCCATTGGGGGAGTGAGTATATCACTTCTATTTTTATAGCTGCCAAATATATAATTTTTAGTCTTAAATCTCATTGAGAATCTACCCAAAATGTCTTAAGTTGTTTTAATTTGGAAGTTTTGCTGTTCTCTTAAGCCCAGAACATTGAAAATAGAATCCTTTTCTTTACTTTCCCAACTTCCTTATTTCAGCCAGAGGCCCTGCAGTGCTCTACAAGGCTGTAGTTCCTTGGAGAAACCCAAATATGCACACATTCTTGTCTATGATGATCTTGAGTTACATACTCCTCTGTCCAAAGGCAGTAGGGAAAGGGCTGGATTTGGGAGCCCAAGATTTTCTTTGAAGGACCTGCTCCTCACTTTCCTCAAAGCTCATATCCTTCCTAGTGGAAGGGAAGTACTGCTTATGATATCCTTCTGGTTGTGAGAGGTCAGAGAGGAAAAGCTGCTGAGGGAAGTGCAGGAGAATATTTTGGCACTTTCTTCCCCACTGAGAACCCCTAAAGTGTAAGTTGCAAAGTAGTGGCCTGGTGAACTTGCTGCATTGTATTTAAAAGAAAGAAATCTGTATTAGTTGCCAACATTTATCAATCAGTATATTTTACACAGACATCTGAATTTCCAGGTTTTCTTGAAAAACAAAAAACAAAACAAAAAAAAAACGACTGGAGTTGGCCACACAGAGCCTGCATTCCCTCATGACATTTTGTGGCAGTGGCAGAGCAGCAGCTGCTGCTCTAGTTGGGGGCACATACTCTCCAGGGGCCTCAGCACCATCACTGTCTCTTGTATTGAACCCAGTTGGCTTCACTCACTCTTGCACCTCACCCTTTTGGCTCCTGGAGGCATTTGAGTGTGTGATCTCCAGAAGAAGCTCCAGAGAGGAGTTTTGGAGACTTGCAAATTCACCCTTAGAAACCACCAGCACCATCTCAGAAACTGTAAGCACTTGACATGCTGACAGAATTGAAGCGATTTTGAACCTTTGGATCAGAAAAGGTGACACCAGGAGGACTCCAGATTTGCAAGATCATGATGATTGTGTAGCTGTAAAGATAGCTATAATATCTTGACTTAAAGTACGAGAGGTGTCTGTCACATATTCCTGACTATGAGAATATACCTTCTGGGGTGTAACTGCCTAGATATAATCAGGCATGCTGCCAAGAAATGATCAGCCTGGAAAAGAGAGTCAGAGAATTGCACATGCAACACTAACTACTTCCAAGTTTTTTCTGTTTGAGCCATTTGGGAAGAAATCATTTACTTTCTTTTCTTTCACCAGAAATTGCTACATCTAGTAAGACTTCAATCTTTGAATATAAATCATTAAAATTTTCTACTGTAATTGGCTGATTATTTCTCAAGGTCAGTGTTTCAGGGAACATAACACCCATATGATGAAAATAAGAAAAGTGTAGTATTTTGTAGAGAGGATTGAATTTTATATATGTACATATATATATATACACACACACATACACACATTTATAAGATATATATATATGTATATAGACACACAGAGAGATTTGGTTAATTGGAATGAGAGGATATTGATAGCACTTAAAATATTACAGGGTTATTTTGAGATTTAACAAAATAATGTATGGGAATCACATAACAGTGTCCAGTCTATGTTATCTATTGTTATAGATGATCAGTTACTAGTTAGTGTATAACAGTTGGTTAGCCTTGCTCTAGGCATCTGAAAAGAACATCTTTTGAACACTGCATTACCAAGATGTTAGGAATGGTTTAGTCTTGTTCATTGATTCATGTCATTCTTCAGTTTATAAAGTCTGAATATCAGCAGAGGAACAGAGGACCCCTAGTACATGGAGACTGAATTGTCTTCCTGCTCTTATGAGTGGGGGCATGAATAGCAAGGCAGCACATGCAGCTGATGGTGACTCAGTCTGGAAATAACTCTCTACTGGCCAACTAAAGTGTTACCGTTCAAATGGGCATCTTCTAACAAAACATAATTTATTACAGAAAAGAGGACAATATGAAATAGATTAAACTCTAAAACATATAAAAATGGCCAACAAATAAATTTTGTTTAAATGCTCAGTGTCACTAATTATTAGGAAAACACAAATCAATACCACAATGAGTGATCACCTTATACCTGTCAGGATGGCTCTTATGAGAAAAAAGACAACAAATGTTGGTGAGGATGTGGAGAAACTGGAACCCTTGTGTACTATTGATGGGAAGGCACAATGGTGAGGTGCTATGGAAAACAGTATGGAGGTTACTCAAAACATTAAAAATAGAACTATAATACTATCCTGCAACCCCATTACTAAGTATTTATTTAAAAGAACAGAAGTCAGGACCTCGAAGAGATATTAGCACCTCTATGTTCATTGCAGCACTATTCAAATAGCCAAGATATGGAAACAACCTAAGATCCATCAACAGATGAATGGAAAAATAAAATATGGTAGACGCATACAATGGAATACTATTCTGCCTTCAAAAGGAAATTCTGCAATTTGTGACAACATGGAAGAACCTGGAGGACATTATGCTAAGTGAAATAAGCCAGTCACAGAAAGACAAATACTGTATGACTCCATTTATATGCGGTATCTAAACTAGTCAAATTCATAGAATCAAATAGTAGAATACCGGTGGTTTCCATGGTGTACGGGGAAGGGAAAATCAGGAATCACTCATCAACTGGCTTAAAGTTTCAGTTATGCAAGATGAATGAGCTCTAGATATCTGCTGTAAAACATTGCACCAGTAGTCAATAATGCTGTATATACACTCAAACATTTGTTAAAAGGGCAGATCTCCTGTTAAGTGGTCTTACCACAATGAGGTAAAATTAAAATAGAATATGTTACAAAAATACAAAATGATACATATAAACAAGCCCCCAAACATTGTGGGGGTGAAAGATTGTTTTTTAAAAAGTATTTCTGAATTGTTCTCTCCTCACACCCACTCCCAACCCACCTTAGCTGTGCCAAGAACATTGCAGCTGTCATCTATCTGTCTTGGGTTTTCTTTTAGTCCATTATCAATGGTCATAAAAACCTCTTGGCTTATTTCCATGAGCTGCAAAATTTGATGCAACAGTGGTAGCTAAGATGGTTCGTTTCTGACCAACGGAATATTGATTTAGAGCAGACACTGAAGTTATTATTTTTAAAATAAAAATTTCTGCAAAAAAATACTTCCCATCTGAACAATTCTGAGAACCACAGTGTGATGTGTGCAGCAGGAAGAGGGAGGTAGATTAGCAAATAAACACACTAACTTCAAAGGTTTCCATCTTGTTTTCATATAACCTAAATGAGATTAGATGACTTATGATTTATGCTACCACAATCTTCTGTTCCTTCCCACTTTAAATAAAAGTATGGTTATAATTAAAATCACATGAACTTGGATTTTTTAGCTTCTAAAAAATAAGATGGATGACTTGACAGTAGCCAAAACAGACTCTCAAGCATTCTTGTAACATCAAAGCTCATGACCCATGAGTTGCATGTCTGGAGCAGACACATCCCTGTTTTTTGGGTTTTTTTTTTTTTTTTTTTTTTTTTTTTGAGAACAGTTTAGCTCTAGTTGCCCAGGCTGGAGTGTAATGGTGCAATCTTGGCTCACTGCAACCTCTGCCTCCCAGGTTCAAGCAATTCTCCTGCCTCAGCCTCCCAAGCAGCTGGGATTACAGGTGGGCACCACCACACCCAGCTAATTGTGTATTTTCAGTAGAGATGGGGTAGCTCCATGTTGGTAAGGCTGGTCTTGAACTCCCAACCTCAGGTGATCTGCCTGCCTCTGCCTCCCAAAGTGCTGGGATTACAGGCATGAGCCACCGTGCCCGGCACATCCCTGTTTACTATAGCGTTATGCACATTATTATCTATTATGGCTGGAACAATAACACCAGCTGCAGCAACAATGAGAAAACAGCTGCCACAACTAAATTTACATAAGGTTTCATACTTTGTAAGGTACTTTCACATGTATTTCTATTTTATCTGGACTTCACAGCAGCCTGGTGGATAGGTGCCGTGGGTAGTTTATCTCCAGTGAGGAAACTGAGGGTCAAAGAGTTTAAGACACTTGCTTAACCATATGCAATGAGTAAGTGGCAGAGTTAGAACTCATACCAATGTCTTTTGAATTCTAGTCCAATGAATTTTTTATTTTAACACTCCAATTCAGTAATGTCACTACTTTTTGGGTTCAAAATAAAATTTTTATTCTACACCATCTGTTCCTATATCACAGCTTTCACACATGCTCACATGCTGCTCTCTCTTTCTGGAAAGCTCCTTCCCCTGATCATTAAAATTGACTCCTTCTCTGACGGGGTCTGCCTAAAAGAGCAATCTCTCTTTCCCGCTACTATATTAGGACGCTAGGGCTGCTGTAACAAAGCACCATAAACTAAGTGGCTTAAACAACATACATTTATTTTCTCACAGTTCGGGAAGGCTAGAAGTCTAAGATCAAGATATTGGTAGGGTTGGTTCCTTCTGAGGGTTCCTTCAGAGAAGCATCTGTTTCAGGCCTTTCTCTTTGGCTTGTCGATGACTGCCTTCATGTTTGCGTGAAGATGTCTATATGTGTGTCTGTGTATCCAAATTTCCCCTGTTTATAAGGATATCAGTCATACTGCATTAGGGTCCATTCTAATTATCTCACTTTAACTTGATTACCTCTGTAAAGACGGCTAGCTCTAGAAAAGATCACATTCTGAGGTACGGGGGAATAGGACTTCAGAATGGGAATCTTGGCAGGACACAACTCAATCCATACCCCCACCTGCTCTGCTGCCATGCCATCCACTATCCCTTACCCTCCTCTTCCCATCTCAGCTGATGACATCACCATTATTCAGTTGCTTAAGCCAAGGATGCACGCTTCCCTCTTTTCTTCTGTTTACTACCTCCAATTCATTGGCAAATATTATCAGCTCTACCTTCAAAATATTGCCTGGATCCAAACGTCTCGCTGCCCCACTACAGTCTCCCTAGGCCAAACCACTAATTTCCAGCCCTGACGAATGTCGTAGTTCTTTCCCAGTGCCCACGTAGAATCTATTTTCCATACAAAAGCAAATGTGATCTCTAAAAATATAAGTTATGCCACTCCTTGTTCAGAACACTGCACATATAATAGAATGAAATCTAAACTCTCCATTATGGATTAGGAACTGGCTCTTCACAATGTATACCGGGGACTGGCATTATCAGCATCAGTGGGAACTTGTTAAATAGACCTAATCTTAGGCCCCATTTCGACTTCCTGAATCAAAATCAGCATTTTAGCAATATGCCCAGGTGATTTGCATGCATGTTAAAGTTTCAGAAGCACTGGCCTAGACCCCACATAATTTTGCCCCACTGGGGTCTTTGAACTCATCTCCTCCTACTGCTTCTCCTCTTGTTCATCCCATTCCACACTCTGGCCTTCCTCTTGTTCCACCTGTTGCCCTCTCTGCCTGGAATGCCTTCTTAGACCAGCCTCTCCACAAAAGCTACCCACCTGCCACCACCATGTCACTCCCTGTCCCCTTATCCTGCTTTTCTTTTCTCCATAGTCTGTATCACGACCTGAAATGATTTAAGTATGTGTTTGCCTGACTTTATTTATCTCTACCAATGAAGTGTAAACTTTATGAGACCCAAGGGATTTTGTTTATTTTCATCACTGCTATTTCCACGCAGGTAAAGAAGAATGGCTGGCACGTACTAGATACTCAATAAATATTTACAGAAACAATAAATTGCTGGATTTTTGATATGAGAAAGGTCACTTTTTTTGCACTGACTCAGTCACTATTTTCTCTAGTAAAACACTCTTGTCAACTGTTGGCTATAGCATGGCACTTCACTAGTTCAACACCATCTTCATCATTTCCCCACCTGGGTTATTTTCTCTTTCCTATCATCTCATTTCCTTCCTTCATCTCTGAATAGCCATGGGGTCCTTTTCCATTATACAGTACATTAAAAATGACTCAGACGCTGATGATAGTTTCTTTTGCTGTGCAGAAGCTCTTTAATTAGGTCCCATTTGTCAATTTTGGCTTTTGATGTTTTCATCATGAAATCTTTGCCTGTACCTATGTCCTGAATGGTATTGCCTAGATTCTCTTCTAGGGTTTTTATAGTTTTGGGATTTACATTTAAGTCCTTAACCCACCTTGAGTTAATTTTTGTATAAGTTGTAAGGAAGGGGTCCAGTTTCAGTTTTCTGTATATGGCTAGCCAGTTCTCCCAGCACCATTAATAAATAGGGAATCCTCTCCCCTTTGCTTGTTTTTTTCTCTTGATCTATGAGACCTTTTGCTCTCTAATGAGCCAAGGAAGACCCTGAAATATGATTTCATGCTAACAAGCTCTGATTCATTCCTCATTATAGAGAAGTTTCTTTCAAAGCTATCCCTAGAAAAATGCATATTTTAATATGTGAAATGTATATTACAAAGCTATTTTATTATTTTTTAAATTTTTATTTATTTTAAGTTCCAGGATACAGGTGCAGGATGTGCAGGTTTGTTACATAGGTAAACGTGTACCATGGTGGTTTGCTGCACCTATCAACCCATCATTTAGGTATTAAGTCCAGCATACATTAGCTGTTTATCCTGATGATCTCCCTTCCACCCAACACCCCCACTCCACACCATCCACCACAGGCCCCAATGTGTGTTGTTCCCCTCGATGTGTCCATGTATTCTCATTGTTCAGCTGCCATTTATAAGTGAGAACATTCAGTGTTTGGTTTTCTGTTCCTGCATTAGTTTGCTGGGTATAATGGCTCCCAGCTCCATCCATGTCCCTGCAAAGGACATGATCTCATTCCGTTTTATGGCTGCATAGTATTCCATGGTGTATATGTACCACATTTTCTTTATCCTGGCTATCATTGATTGACATTTGGGTTGATTTCATCTTTGCTATTGTGAATGGTGCTGCAATGAATTTATGTGTGCATGTGTTTTTATAATAGAATGATTTATATTCTTTTGGTTATATACCCAGTAATGGGATTGCTGGGTCAAATATGGTATTTCTGGTTCTAGGTCTTTGAGGAATCACCACACTGTCTTCCTCAATGGCTGAACTAATTTACATTCCCACCAACAGTGTAAATACATTCCTATTTCTCCACAGCCTCACCAGCATCTGTTGTTTCCTGACTTTTTAATAATCGCTGTTCTGAGATGGTAGCTCATTGTGGTTTTGATTTGCATTACTATAATGATCAGTGATGTCAAGCTATTTTTCATTTGTTTGTTGGCTGCATAAATATCTTCTTTTGAGAAGTGTCTGTTCATGTCATTTGCCCACTTTCTTAATTTTTTTTCTTGCAAATTTGTTTAAGTTCCTTGTAGATTCTAGATGTTAGAATTGTCAGATGGATAGATTGCAAAAATTTTCTCTCATTCTGTAGGTTGCCTGTTCACTCTGATGATAGTTTCTTTGCTGTGGAGAAGCTCTTTCATTTAATTAGGTCCCATTGGTCAATTTTTGCTTCTGTTGCAATTGCTTTTGACATTTTCATCATGAAATCTTTGCCCGTGCCTATGTCCTGAATGGTATTGCCTAGACTTTCTTCTAGGGTTTTTATCATTTTCAGTTTTACATTTAAGTCTTTAATCTATCTTGAGTTAATTTTTGCATAAGGTATAAGGAAGGGGTTCAGTTTGAATTTTCTGCATATGGCTAGCCAGTTCTCCCAACAAAGCTATTTTAACTAGAGATGCTTGCGTCATTTGTTTCAATATGAATTTAAATCTGTTTCAGTGTTGCCAAAAAGCAAACCTTTCTTCAATAGCCACAGTACCCTTGCCAAGGCTTCCAAAGAGATGAAGAGAATGCTTCTACAGGAGTCATTGACTTTCTCTGTTCTCAGCTACCTTGGCTTGGGGATTCACAGTCTTGGTTGGCCTTCAGGTCCTGCCCAAGTGGCGCTGGCCCCTTGTGGATATCTATTATGTGCTCTTGCCCATGACCTCTTTAGTCTTCTCCTTATACGAGTATTCATTCGGCCATGAGCTTTCCTACAGTTTCAGCATGTATTTTGGAGAAAGCAGATAAGCCAAACCATTTAGTATCCTACAAAATTAAGCATCCCTCATTCTTATGAAGGACAGTTATGGACATAGACCCTAAAGAATTCATCAGGAAATTGACTCCAGGAATATTTGCTTGGCAAGTCTGCTTTTGGTGCCTGAGAGCAGATAGGTTGTTGTGCCTGATCCAAGGTCACAGATTTCAGGACTGTCTCCTTCACAGCGATAGCTTAGTATTTTGAAAGCTGAAGTTCTGGTGCTAGCAATTCTATTCAATTAGTCATTTTTCACTAAAGGCACACTAAAGAAAAATGTGGTTCACTCAACTACCAAGGTTTCTTGATAGAAAGTGACCATACCCTTTACAAGCCTGATATTGGCATAGACAGTTGATTTTTTTTCCTGTGTCCTTTACTCATATTGTTATTTCATTCAAACTCATAAGCAATGCAGTTAAAGTTGGGGTTACATAGCGGGTTGTTGGACATGTTTGAAGGATGGGGAATTTGAGACAGAGAGAGATTATGGTGTACAATCTGGGGAAGGAGCCAGGACATAAAATCAAGTCTCCAGACTGTCAATTGAATCTACCCATTATAGACTTTTCTGGGCCTATCAATGCTTTGACCAGGATAAGCATGAAACAACTCATAGAGGAGGCCCAGGTTCCAGGCTGATGTGTGTACCTGAATATCCATGAGTTTGTAAAACAATGCCACTGCAGGGAAAGGGCCAGTCCTGTTTCATTCTCTTGCAGAGCAGAGGGGGCTGACTGTATAATGCTAGAAAACAGAACACGGGAGATGGGGCCACACTCATTTCTTCCTATCCTTACTACCAAGCATAGTTCTAGGATTACAGTAGATGCTCAATAATTGCTGGCCAAACTGAGTGGACAATTATATTTTGTGTTTTGGGTCTCCTTTTCACCGAGTTACCTTATAAATTCTGTATAGATGTGCCTTTCTTTAAAAATTCACACAAATTTTTCCTTGGAGGTAAAATTAAAGGGGATGGGAGTAGAGAAATGCTGGTATTCTCACTTTCTGACTGAATAAATCAAAGAGAGGGTATTTGGGTCAGTCCATGGTTCTCAGACAAAAAGGGCATCAGAGAGGCCAAAGCCTGATGTCTGTGATGAACCAATCTCTCATGCCCAGGGCTGCCACATCGCAACCCTAGGGAGCGCTACTCATTCTAGCCTAGGTCAATGGCACCACTAATGTTGTCAGTAGACAACTTTCTGAGAATGCAGAGTCCCTGCTCTGTCATAAAGAGACTCTGGAGCCTGCTTAACTCTGCTAGCATTTGTAAACACCTACCTTAAAGATCATGGAAAAAGGAGAGGCTTCTCTTTCCTTTGTTTTTTAGTAAAACTAGTTTCCTGAGTAAGCCATTAACTATGATACCAAGCTATTCTTTAAGAAAGGTAGAGAGTCAAAGAGAGAAAAACAGAAGCGGAGGTAGCCCCCTTCATTAAAACTAGAAAAAAGCCACTCTAAAGACAAATCAAGTACGGCAAGAATTCCCCAAGGAGGGGAGTTTTCTAAGGACGAGATTGCCAATCACTTTTCCTTTCTAAGTCCTAACTCCTTTAAAGTGGTATGTTCTCTAGTTGAACTTTCTATGTTAGATGAACATTAATTACCATATTACTTATCTGGAGCATATATAACATATGGCTTTAAATCTCTTTATTGTTATTACCCTAAACATATCCTTTCAGTGCTTGTTTAAGGACAATGGCAATATACTGCAGGCACTTTTTCCTTATTTTGTTAATTTTCAAAATCAACCTAAGATATCCAGTATTTTAAAAAGGAAGTCAGATTCCATGACACTAGTGTTCAAAAATTTCCTCTGGCTCCTCATCTCATGCAGAATAAATCTACAGTCCTCATGAGGACTCCTCAATTCTGCCTCCCATGACCTCTTGTCTCCTAATCCTCATTCCTTGGTGATATGGTTTGGCTGTGTCTTCACTCAAATCTCATTTTGAACTGTAGCTCCCACAATTCCCATGTGTCATGGGAGGGACCCAGTGGGAGGTAACCGAATCATGAGGTTCGGTTCCCATGCTGTTCTCATAATAGTGAATAAGTCTCATAAGATCTGATGGTTTTATAAAGGGGAGTTTCCCTGCACAAGTTCTCTCTTGCCTGCTACCATGTAAGATGTGCCTTTTGCCTTCTGCCATGATTGTGAGGCCTCCCCAGCCATGTGGAACTGTGGGCCCATCAAACCTCTTTTTCTTTATAAATTACCCAGTCTTGGGTATGTCTTTATCAGCAGCTTGAGAACAGATTAACATACTCAGCTTTAGCCACACTTGTTCCTTTCTGTTCCTTGGGTTCTCCAGGCTCACTCCTGCTCCAGGCCTTTGGCAGGTGCTGTGCCTTCTACCTAGGACAGTTGCTGCAGATCCTGAGCAGATCCTGCTGCTCCTGAACAAGCAGATCCTTGTTCACCTTCTCAAATCAGCACCCTCACCTCCGCCTCTACCACTGTTACTCCATTTCTCACAGATACTTCTGCTTTATTTATTTTATAGTCCATCATGTTCTAAAACAATGCAATGTCTTATTCATTTATTCATTTATTTATTTATGAGATGGAGTTTTACTCTTTTTGCCCAGGCTGGAGTGCAACTGCAAAATATCAGCTCACTGCAACCTCCACCTCCCAGGTTCAAGTGATTCTCCTGCCTCAGCCTCCCAAGTAGCTGGGATTATAGGCGCACGCCACCACACCCAGCTAATTTTGCATTTTTAGTAGAGATGGGGTTTTGCCATGTTGGCCAGGCTGGTCTCAAACTCCTGAGCTCAGGTGATCCACCCACCTCAGGCTCCCAAAGTGCTGGGATTACAGGCATGAGCCACTGTGCCACTGCACCCAGCCTGCAATATCTAATTTAATTTTTTATACTGTTTACTGTCCATTTACTGCACCCCCACATCCTACTAGAATCTAAGCTCCTGGGACAGAAGTTTTGTCTGTTTTATTCACTACTGTTTTTCTGGTGCCTAGAAGAGTGCACCTATTTGGTTGGAACTCATTATCTACTTTTACTGGACAAATCCATCATTATCAGATCATATAGCTATAGAATATTATATACGCTCTAGATTATCCAGGCTCAGAGTATAAGCAAAATATTATACAAATCAACTTTTTCCTTATCATTACTTTATAATTGTACATTAGAAATCCTAGTATATGACTGTTACTTGACACTGCTCTTTGGAGTCACAATGATTATGGGTACAATTAAAGACACTATATACTTTTGGGAAGCCACTGATTTTCCCTCCAGTATGATGATTTACTTTAAAAATGAACCCAGAGGGACGGGCATGGTGGCTTATGCCTCTAATCCCAGCACTTCAGGAGGCTGAGGCAGGCAGATCACCTGAGGTCAGGAGTTCGAGACCAGCCTGGCCAATATGGTGAAACGCCTGTCTCTACTGAAAATATAAAAATTAGCCGGGTGTGGTGGTGTGCACCTGTAGTCCCAGCTACTCAGGAGGCTGAGGCAGGAGACTCACTTGAACCCTCGTGGCGGAGGTCGCAATGAGCCGAGATTGCACCACTGACTCCAGCTTGGGCAACAGAGCAAGACTCCGTCTCAAAAAAAATAAAAGAAAAAAAAAACCCAGAAAAAGCTTTTTATGTTAAAAACAAGTGGTCACAACACATTTTAATTTTTCAATGAGAGAACAATGAACTAGATGATAGAGCCTGAACAAAGACTTGCCTGTCTCTTTGTCCTCGGGAAAGTTCTACAACAGGATGCTGTCCCTGAACAACCTTTCAGGGCCTCTTTAGAGCTCACTGGACCTCAGCTGCACACTGCTCTCAGCTTTTTCCCCCATTTCTTTTTATCCCCTTTTAGAGAAAAAACAGAAGCAGAGGTAGCCCCCTTCATTAAAAATAGAAAAAAGTCACTCTAAAGACAAATCAAGTATAAAAAGAATTCCCCGAGGAGGGAAGTGTTCTAAGGATGAGATTGCCAATCACCTTTCCTTTCCATGTTTTTTTAAAAAAAGTTACCAACAGGTTATTTCTTTCTCATGTTTATTTTTTCTATTATGAAAGTAATACATGTTGATGGTAGAAAAGCTGTAAAATGCAGGACAAAATACGACGAATCAAATCAAATTAAAATTTTTCTTACCACTTAAGGTTCTATACACACATGCACATATACATAACCATTCATCTTTGGAAAATCACACTGTATTTGTAGTTCTTTATAGAGTTTTGTATCAGCAGGATCTTCATATATTTGAGGCAGACATTAGGACACTCAGAGTTATATAGCATTTCTCTCCGTTTCTTCTCTGAACAGTGAAAGTAAACTAACTGGTTGCACAAAATAACTGTACCTTTATTCCCTCAGACAAAACTATGCCTTTTGGGTCCAATTTGAGAAGAAAGGAAGAAAATAGAGATCTTGAACTTGGAAATGTGCAATTGCCTTTTGTTTGTCTCTTAGCTTAATGAAAACTGCAAATTCCCCTGGCATAATTGAAACATGTATTGATAACATCTTGAGGATGTCTCTGAGGCAGAGGCAGGCTGTGTCTCCATGTGTATATGTGCACGTGCATGCATGTGTACTAGTGTGGCTGTGTTACATGTTTCGATTTTGAGAACCTCAGAAAGTTCCACAGTGTTTTGTTCCACATTACTTGATATCATTTGTGCAATGAGCTCTCACCCATCCCTACTGCAACAGACTCTTAGTGTGTTGGTTCTGGAAGGCTTCCATTTGCCGCAGAACCACAAACCTCAGTTACTTGACTTTCCTATTGTTTTGCAACTTCTGTGCTATGTCATGGGCTGGATGTCAATGGGTGGCATGTTGATCTATGATACAAGGTACTGGATTTTTGGGTCACATGCCCTCTGCAAAAGGATGGCTGATCTCAGGAATTCCATTTGTTTGGGGTCAGGTGACTTTGTGAGAGAGGTTTAATAAAAGCCCTGACTCAACTCTAAGATGCAGCAACTGGTGTAGTGGTTACCTTAAGGCACAGTTGAAGTCACAACCACCTCTCTATTTATGCATATTCCACCATGGGAGTCAGTTATCAAAACCTTTATACTTGGGAGATGTAGGTTTTAGTAATGCAAACAAACAATAAGAAACACCCTTTGTACTCTTAGAAATCAGAGAAATAACCTAAAATCTCTTTTATTAGAAAAATGAATGACCACATTTTATTGAACACTTGGAAAATATAAAGAGACAAAAAAAGGGAAATAAAAAATATGCATGATTTTACCACCTGGTAGCAAAAACGCTTCTTGAATTTTTTTATACGAAATTTATAATTCTCGCATTCAACTCAATTCTGATACTAGCTAAAGGTGACCCTCCCCACCTGCACATACCCAATACTGAGAGAAACTGATAAAAAAGGCCAATTGAAAACACTGCTGTTTCATTCCTAGAGCAAGTATGTATAAAGTCCATGAAAACAACACATGAAGGTTAAGTTTAGAAGTGTTAGGCTATATGATTTCATAGTAAAGGACTAAACTATCGATTTTTCCAAATATGATGCCTTAACTATTATTTTTTAAGTCTTTTAAGTCTTTGGTTTTTTTAGGGCAAAATTGAGAGGAAGGTAAAGCAATTTCCCATATACCCCACATACCACACATCACAAACTTTCCCATTGTCAACCTCCCCCATCAGAGTGGTCCATTTGTTATAATTGATGAACCTTCATTGACACATCATTATCATCCCAAATCCACAGTTTACATCACAGTTCACTCTTGATGTTGCATGTTCTATAGACAAATGTATCTACCATTACAGTATCATACAGAATATTTTAACTGCCATACACATCTTCTGTGTTCCTCCTATTCAGCCCTCACTCCCTTAATCATAACTTTTCATATTATAACTTTAGATCTGTAAAATATAGTTAGTTGTATATTTTGTTGAGAAAGAAAAAATGAAAATTAATTAGGTCGACAGAAAACAGTTTTTATTTATGAACCAGGGTTTTGTTTATAGTTCCCTGTGGGTGAGTAAGCACTTACTAGGATCATTTGTGGGACATTTATTTTCAAGTGTTCAACAAAGAATAACTATTAATTCAGTTTATGCAACAAACTTCATCAACTCTTTAATGCTCATGGATAATCAGCAAATAAAATTTACTCATTTTATTACTACCATCATCAACCTGATGGTAACACCTGATGATTTGTTTACTTAAATGATAATCATGATCTTCATTACAGGCTATTACATAAACTGTTTTTATTGAGTCAAATGATGAATTATGCATTCTAACTTTTACTTAAGTTAATCATTGAGTGTTAAATTATTTGTGGGACTTTTGTACACAGCTGGTAGGAGGATAAATTGGTATAGCCAGTTTGGAAAACTTTTTGGCAGAATAAAGCTGAACTACACACACACACACACACACACACACACACACATACACACACACACACACACACACACATATACACTCTATGACCCAACAATTGCAATTTGCAATTATAGGTAGATACTTGAAAGAATGTGTGTAATTTTTTGCACAAAAAGACATGTATAAGAATATTTAGACACTATAGTGGTAATCGGCAATCTCTTTCTGTGAAGGGACACATAGCAAATATGTTAGGTATTGGGGATCAGATGGTCTCTATCATGACCAAACTCTACCATTTTGTAGCATGAAAACTGCCATAGGCAATATGTAAATGAATGGACATGGCTGTGTTCTAATCAAACAGGTGACAGGTCAGGTTTAGCCCAAGAGCTGTGACTTGCTGACTTCTGTTCTATAGCAAAAGAAACAAATAAGAATGAACTACATCTATATGCAACAGCATGCATGAATCTCATAGACAGTGTTGAGTGAAAGAAGGCAGACTGGACAAAGAATATACTCTTTAATTTCATCTATATAAATTTCAAAATTAGGGAATGGTGATAGAATTCAGTGCATCAGAATGGAATCTTTGGGAGGTAATGTCTAGGAGGCGGTACGAGGGAAACTATCTGTTTTCATCCATGTGGTTTTGTACAGATACGTTAACTTTGTAAAAATTCATTGAGCTGCACTTAAAAACTAGACATTTCTCAGAATTTAAGCTGTATTTCAATTAAAAAGTTAAAAACCCCACTTTAAATCAAAATAAACCAATAGCTAAATAAATGAATAGCAGGAGAATTAGAGGTGCCAGTAAGTATATAAACTACCATTTCAATTGTTGAGGCACATCAGGCTACTGGTAAATATAAGCTTACACATGTGTATGCACATTGTTGGTTCATACTTACTAATGTTAAATACAGTAATTGAAAATTTTCTCTCTTAAAGATGCTAACATTTGAAACTGATCTTCTAAGAAACTTTTCCATAGGAAAGTAAACAAAATAAACATGGCAGTCACATGTTTTGTTATTAGTCAAACACTTCTCCATTTTCAATGGTACAGTTGCTACAAGGGAAAAAATCCTTTATTTATTGTTATGTCCTAGAAATTTACACAAATTTGTATGGTCACATGTTGGAGACCTGTCCGTCAAAATTCTAGAATCCTAGGAAGTAGACCAGTCTGGGAGAAGAAGTTATCATCTACCTCTTACTTGAACTGCAACCTTAAAGTCCCATGAAAGCAATATTTGAAAGAACTAAGCCCCTTCAGATATTCAGAGATTTGCTTAAGACTCTGTTATGAAGGTCAAGGTGAGAGAATCACTTGAGCCCAGGAGTTAAAGACCAACCTGGGCAAGATGGTGAAACCCCATCTGTACAAAAAATTTAAAAATTAGCCAGGGGTGGTGGTGCACACCTGTAGTCCCAGGTACTTGAGAGGGTCAGGTGAAAGGATTGCTTAAGCCCAGGAATTCCAGGAGGCAGCGAGCTCTGATCACACCACTGCACTTCAGCCTGGGTAACAAACTGAGACTCTGCCTCCAAAAATGTAAACTTTTTTTTTTTAAGAAAAGACTCTGTGATATTCCAAATGTCTGTTAAATTATACAAAACATGATCATAGTCATTCATATACTGTTACCCAGAGTCCTCTTGGCATTTCATTAGTCAACCATCTTGTAAACATGATTCATGAGGGAAGATTTTTCCTGACACAAAGAGTGAAATAGCAGACAAAATAAGGTACCTTTCCGTAGACTGCCTGGTGTAATTAATTATTAACAAACCCATTCTATAAACAATGCAGTAATTCAGGAATATGATGCTAATTTTTTTCCTCAGAAACAAGGAAAATGTATTTTTGAGTTCAATATATACTTCCAAGATGTTCAATTTCTTTTTTAAATACTTGATTTTCTAAAAGAAGAGAAAATATTAAAATGCCTTTTTCTGAAATTTACATTTCGACATAAATTTTAGAAAGCAGCTTGACATAGTAACTCTTTTCTTATATTTACTATTCATATTCCCAAACTCTCAGATTTGTAGTATATGATTATCATTGAAAAAATGAGGATGGTGCTATTCACCAACTTCATGGAATTCTATATCCTATTAGCATTTCTGGCACTATTTTCTTATATTTCAGAATGTCAGGTCCTTGTTTAGAATGATGTCTTCAATTTTTCTATTGTGTCACAAAGAACTAGAGCTCCCAGAATCCCAGAATTTAGGTAAAGCTAAAATGGCAATGTACAAGATTTCATGTTAACTATCTCCTTAAATTACAAGTCAGAAAATGTAAAAAATGTTGACTACAAATCAAATTAGGCTCCTATGTGGTTGGGTACCTTGAAGTAGGCAAAAAAATTCTACACATTTGGTTTTCATTTGTAAATATCCTTAGATTTGCCTTTAAGGTTTTTATAGTAAGAAATAATCAGTAAGCTTGATAGCGTTCATGCTAGAGTCACAAAAACATGCATTATTCAGTGAGAGGGGAAAATGTTGGGTTTATGAAAACTGAGCTTTCTATACCATCAGCTAGCTACTTCTTTAGAATGGATCTCCTGGTAAGAAAACAAAATATATTTTGGCAATTAGATATGAAAAAGAAATGCTACAGTTCAAAGATAGCAATTGATATAATGAGAACAAGTATTTATTTATTTAATACTTCAACATTTGTTCTTGTGCATCCTTTGTAATACACGTAATTTGTCTCATTCTGAAAATTTCTATATTTTGTGAATATTTATAATTTATGAATATTAGAAAACCTCATATATTTATGAGGTGGTTTGAGATTGGCAGGTTGAGATCTCATAAACCTATATTAATAATTTGTTTAAAAAATATGAATTTACAATGAAATATAACTATAATCTATACTCCTTCCAATAGAAAGCCTAACATTGTTTTGGGGTCAAAATTAAAAATGACATTGTCTCTGGAACATTTTAAAAAGTACAGTTTGATGTATACAAAGATTCCTAGATGGACTCATCTTGAAAGCAAGAAGTTTTGAATCCAATTTATAGAAGCGGAAAATGAACCAGAATTAGAGAGGATGAGGAAGAGGCAGTTTTCTTAACTCTTATTGAGACAGAGTCTTGCTCTGTCACCCAGGCTGGAGTGCAGTGGCGCGATCTAGGCTCACTGCAACCTCTGTCTCCTGGGCTCAAGTGATTTTCGTGTCTCAACCTCCTGAGTAGCTGGGATTACAGGCACGTGCCACCACACCTGGCTAGTTTTTTGTATTTTAGTAGAGATGGGGTTTTGCCATGTTGGCCAGGCTGGTCTTGAACTCCTGAGCTCAGGGTATCCGCCCACCTCGGCCTCCCAAAGTGCTGGGATTATAGGCGTGAACCACTGTTCTGGCTGGAAGAGGCAGTTTTGATGTGATTGGACAGGGGTGGGCCCAGCTCAGGGGACATTTGTACTCCCAGAGCTCAAATGGCTTAGCACCTTTGGTCTCCTTCACAAAGTGGGAGGTGGATGTAGAGGCATCCCCTTTTAGGCCAAGACAGGTCAAAAAATAACCTTCTAGAGTCACCATGGGTGGTGGGAGAATGTTAGGGGTGAATATATAACCTTAGACATTTTGTCTACCTTCATCAGGAATTATTTTTTGTGTTTTCTTGGAATTCTAGGCCAACACAGGGTGCTAGAAAATTAAATCAGAGACCTATTACCCGGAATGTGCAGGCTCACTGGGGAAGTGGAGAAGCAACTTCACATGTACAATACCAGGGAGAGGGATTTGTGAATTGGGTTCAAGGCATCCCCTTGCAGATTACCTTGGCTGGCCATAGGGAAAGGACCGGGAAGCAGTTAAGGAGAATAAAGGGAAGGGTCTTTATGAGCATGGGACAGTTACTCTTTTGAAATGAGTGTTAAGAACACATAGTTTGTCTTTTCTGTATTTTTTAATTTTAAAGAATAGGCCTGGATATTTACAGTGTCCAACTCAGCTGGGTCCTCAAAACTGCTCCACATTTTTTTAAACACCTCTATTCAGTTTTTTTATATTTCTTGTAACATTAGTTTTGAATTAACCTAGTTCTGTATGCTTGCATTCACCTGCTCCTCTCCTTAAGCTCATCAGAACACCATATTTCCTTCTTAAAAAGAAGGGAAGCAATCAGATGGAAACTCTTCCAGCTCTGCCTGGCCGGACCCAGGCACACCTGTCTCTATCTCCATGCTTCCTCGCCCACGGGGACCATCTTCTCACAATCGCAGGTTTAAGGCTCACAACTACTCCATTTCTCTTCATAAAACTTCAGCCAGTTCTTCTCCTCTTTCCTCTCACCATCAAAACATTCTCAAATCCTTCCTATCCTAAGAAACCCTTCCTGACGGCAGACTTTGAGAGGTACTGTCATATCCTCCACCAGCCTTTCTGACTTTTCTTTTCGTTCCTTCCTTCCTTTCCTTCCTTCCTTCCGTCTTTATTTCTTTGCTTTCTTTCTTTTCTTCTTTCTTTCTTTCTTCCTTTCTCTTTCTTTCCTTTCTCTCTTGCTCTTTCTGTCTTTCTTTTCTTTTCTTTTTGAGAGGGTCTTGCTCTGTCACCCAGACTGGAGTGTGCAGTGGTGCCATCATGGTTCACTGCAGCCTTGACCTCCTGGGCTCAATGGATCTTCCCACCTCAGCCTCCTGAGTAGCTGAGACTATAGGCACCTGCCATCACCTCAAGGCTAAGTTTTGTATTTTTTGTAGAGATGGAGTCTTGCTATGTTTCCCAGGCTGGTTTTGAATTCTTGGGCTCAAGTGATCTGCCTGCCTTGGCCTCCCAAAGTGCTGAGATTACAGGCATGAGCCACTGCACTCAGCCCTCTCAGACCAATTTCTTGACAGAGGAGTGCCCTCAGCTCCCTGTGGCCTGGCTCCACACTACCCACCTCACCCCACCTTCTGCTGCTGATGCTCTTGCTGTTGTTACCTTCAGGTTGCTAAGTCCAAGCAACACTTTTTAGGCTTTATCTCATTTGACCTCTACAGTATTTTACATTTGTATTATGCCCCACCTTTTGAAACTCTCTCCTCTTGGCTAAGGTGGCTAAGATACCATTCTCTCCTTTTCCTTTATCTTTCTGCCCACTCTATTTTAGTCTCCTACCTAGTTAGGCTAAGATGGCTAAGGTACAATCCTCTCCTTTTCCTTTATCTTTCTGCCCACTCTATTTTAGTCTCCTACCTAGTTAGGCTTCCATAGGCTCCTTTTGAACCTGCCCAACCCTTTTGGGGATGCTTCTGGGCATTCCAAAGCACAACCTCATCTCACTCCTCACCTTTCCCTGGGTGATCTCATTTCTGTTATGTCGCCACCGCCACTGACTTGCAGAGCCCTCCTTCTGAGCTGTGCTGCAGTGGAAAGTTCCTTGGGCATCTCAGATTTACTGTGTCTAAAATTTAACTTCTCCCCACCCCATGCAAATTCAATTCTCTTGGACTCTTCTTTGCGGGACAGGGCAGTATCTCGATCTGTTTAATAACACTTCATACACTCAACCCATTGTAGAGTTCTATCACCCTCTTGAAAAGTTTCCTGTATTTTGCACCTTCTGTTCTCTCTGACACTGTCTCAATTCAGGTAGGACTCATCCTTTCTCACCTGATAGATACCACTGTTCCCTAAACTAGTCTTTCTTCAGCGATATCCTCCTCCTGTGCATTCTCCACTCTAAACAGATGATCTGTCTAAAGTGTGTATCTCCCCTTGTAGCTCCTCTGCTTAAACATCTTTCAATGGTTATTTGTCCTATTATAAGGCTCTTCATAATCTCTCCTGCCTTCCTGTCCACATTCGATTGTCTTATCTCATTCCTCTTACTCTATTTTCCAGGCATAAAGACTTTCTTACAGTTTTTAATTGGTCACATTAAGCTGCCGGTACCTGTTGCTCTTAGAAATACCAACAACACCTTTCCCAATGGGCTGTCCTCAGTGCAAGCTCCAGGGCTGTCTGGAGCTTCTCTTTGACACTCAGCTCCTTACCATGTCTTGCACAAGGTCTTTCCTGATGCCACTCCACCCTTCCCCTTCCCCTTCCCGTAAGACCTGGGCTCTCCTGATTGTGGTTTATCATGCTATGTTGTCATTGTTTGTGTGGTCGTCCCTGTGTCACTAGATTGGGAGCTTGCTGAGGATAGAATTTCAATATCTTTGCATCCCTACTCTGGCACACAATGTGTATCTATGAAGTGTTTGTTGATTGAACATGTTTTCTGAAGTGTAGCTTTGTGTAAGGCTGATAGGTCTCATTGAATTCCCTTTTTCTAGCTTTAGACAGAAAATGAAGCTAACTCAATACAAGACTGACACTTCTATCACTTTTGGGCTTGACAACTTCAGTTCTGATAGTTTGGACTTCGCTTGTGTTGTTATTCTGCAGGTAGCTCTCATCTGAGCCCTGGCTTCCAGCTGCATTCAAAAATGAGGTGTTCTGTTGCTGTGGAAATGCTGCAACCTTCCACAGAAAGCAACCTTCAAGCTAGGAAACTTGTTTTTCTTACACAAAGCAATATTGACTTCCAAAATTTTAAAAGGCAGTAGGATAATGTGGAATGCCTTTTAAACCATAACCCTCAAGGTGAAAAAATTTTCTGTATATTCCCATAAACAGAAGACAAAATAATGGGCCTCTTCCTGTATTCTCAGCACAATGCTCCATCTGCCCAAGAATATACTCTGTGGCAATAGGGATTCTACCTTGCTCATTATTATATCAACTTTCAGAGTACTCCTAGCAGAGGGTTGGGCATACAGCAGTGCTCAATGAATGCATGTTAATCTTCCTCTTAGGATAGTTCCTCATTGCCTATTTGAAGGGAACCACTTTTTCTTATCTTGTAACCTGGAGTAGTGTGCTTGGGAAGCCACCAGTTAGTTAATGTAGGAGCTGACCCTTGGCCTTGGCTATGTTAGCAGAGAGTTTTAAATACTAGGCCAACCGATCTTTGACACACTCGAGAGATGCACTCCGGATGACTGCTGTTCTCACAAACACATCAGCACGTATCCATTCAGCAAATAGTGAGTTCCTCTTAGGGGCTGGGCAGCTAGATGTTCCAGATGCTGGATACTCAACAGTGAATGAAACGGAGTCCTTACTTCTGTGATAATCACATTCTGCGTGTATGGGTGTGTTGCAGGGCAAGGCTGGGGAACAGCGATGGACAAATAGAAAATATGTCCTTTAGTGATAAGTGCAATGAAAAGTGAAACAAGACAGGGCCTTGGGTGAGTGATGGGGAATGATGCTTCCACCATCCTCCCTTGAGAATATCCAGGTTCAATTTACCCTCTTTGGGCAGAGTAAGAAAATATCATTCAGCAATTTTGTTGTCTGAGCACGCATATAGAGAGAGTGAATTGATGAATCCAAGTGACAGCAATGAAGAGCTTTGAAAGTGTAAGTTAAAATTAATTCAAATTCCTGAGGCATTCTAACCTTAATAAATCAAAATCGAGCAACTTGAAAACGTCTGTCTTTCAACACAGTCTTTACTTGTTAAGTCAAGTGCACGCAAAATAATCTTTACAATAATATTTCTTTCATAACCTATAAGGATGTTCATTACTAAATTGCCAACATGCACTTGAAAATATCTATTCACTTGAACCAAATTGAGATCATTTAATATTTAAAATCTACAATACTGTCAGTTTGCTATAAAAATACTACTAATATAAAATGAAGTGCAAGGACTTAGAAAAAATTGAGTATTAATAAAAATAATAACTTATATTTATAGTACTTCTAAAAGTTCACTGAATGTTTTAATATTTATTGTCACGTAATCCTCAACAGCCCTAATAAGGTAGACAATAATATTGTTATTATTGCTTATTATTCAGTTTTAGAGAAGAGTAAACAGGTCTACAACCCCTAAATGACATGCCTCTGCTCACACAGTTATTAGCTGGTACCAGGTCTTTCAATGCCCTGTTCTTTCTACCAACACCACAGTGGCCTACTTTGATACCAAATCTTATTTTGCCTTAAAACAGATTGTGTATTATTTTTTTAAGAAACAGTATATAGGTCTCATAAGTGTCCACATGCAAAAACCAAAAGCTGAAGCAAGTGATAAGAGCAAAATATAGATATAAAATAACTCCCAACTTTATTAGCTGACAAAGTTCCAAAAAAGTGAAAAAAACATTTTTCTCTACTGTCACAGATGAAAATATTATCTTGTTGCTTAATAAAATACTATAATATTTGATATGAAGAGGAAAAATAGAATTAACATGTTTTTAAAAAAAATCAAACCAGAATTCAGGTCGTCAGATACGCATTGGGTTAAATATGCATTGGTTTAAAATTATTTAATTTCACAAGTAGCTGATGAATGGCTGTACTTAATACTACCCAGTACCTAGGAGCTTATAGAGTATTCTCTGATATGCTATAACTAAATCGAAAAGACTCTCTAACTAAATAAAAGAGACCAGAACTCTCTTTTATCTGGTACTTCTGTCCTTTTTAGGGCCAATGATGACAGTAAAGCTCTCTGTAATCAGGTCTCAAGTTTCTTTTCAATTTATTCTTTCATCTACCTCGTGGCCTGAAACACTGCCCCAGAAACACTCCCCAGTTTATCTCTGAGCTTTTGAGAGTGGTCTTGCATCCATCTAGAGTGCTGCCACGTTCTCAACTTTCATATCTAGATAGATGAGTCTTCACATCCCTGCTATATGCACTCTATCCATGTTTTGAAGTCCAGTGTAGTTTATCTTTATTTCTTCTGTAGCCTTTATCAGTCGAGTTGGTGTTGCATACATTGGGCTTCAGGACCTCAATCTCTTGCTGAACAATAAACCCTCTAAGGGCAGACTCTATGCCCCACTGGTCTTTGGATTCTCAATGCTAAGCACACGACCTTGTAGGTGCTTGATGCACATCCGATTAATTAAAATTAGATGAAGGTCTCGTTCTACCCTGGAGGCACCATGCAATTTTGAAGAATGTATTTAATATTTAAAAAATTGTCCTTATATTCATATGTTTTAGCTTTTCGATTGCTTTTCTAAACACCATTGGTATCATCAGTAATAATTTTTATTAGCTTATTTATATTTGCTTATTATCAATTTTTACATTTTCAATTATTTATCATTTATGCATCAACTTATTGATGCATACACAATATTTAGGGCAGACATCATAACAGGCTTCTCCTCATAGAACATCTCATTCTCTCACCAGAAAAACCCCTGGGCTAGGAAGGACAGATGTTTTTATTTCCACTTTGCAGGAAAACTATGAATTGAATCCTAGAGAGATGAAGCAACTTCTGTGAGTACACAGTTAATTTTTTCAGAGCTAGTGCTACAAAGCAAGTCCCTCTATGCCTATGTTGAGTGTTAATAAAATATTGATTTTCTGGTGTTCTGTTGTTCTGAAGATTAGCAATCATTTAAATCATTTATAATAATTTTCAACCAGAAAACTGACTAATATGAATACTCCCTTCTAAGTTATGGCAGGTAAGAAAGTGCTTATTGTACATTCTAATAGTCATGATACTCATCAGCATGAAAGAAATCATACATGAGACAAAAACAGGGCCAATGAAAATTTCAAATTAAAAAAATTAAACCTTGATAAAGAGGATGGAGAAATTGAGCCAACAAAATATCATAAATTAAAAATTAAGGCTTATAATTTGAAAAAATCCCATTCTAATAATAAGAAAAATAGGAGATACAAAGAAGCACTAAATCTGATCAGCAATTTCTTCTTGAAAGTTTCTTTTCCCATGATTTATCGTTTCACAGAGCAAGGTTCACAAATGAACTGAGAAGTGAATCAACATTGATCATTTTACATAATTTCTTTAAATATTCTGGGCTCTTTTTGCCCAACAGTTTTCATTATGCTTTTGAAAAGTAAACTCTGTTTTGTAACTTGCCATACTTCATGCATTAATTATACAGTGAGAGATAATGTCTCTTCCACTTCCTCTTTCTTTTAGTATCTGTTCATGAGACCTGAAGAAGGTAAAAGTGTTGCTATACAGTTGTATATCCATTGATATAATTATATAAACTTCTGAGGCCAATTTGAACTTGAGTGAAATCTTATGGCTAAATTTATAAAAAGGAAGGTGGAGAGGGGAGGACAGGGAGGCAGAAGCTCTACACACATTTCCCTAAGCCTGAAGGAAAAAAGAAAGCAACATATATTACAATTTGGTGTTTAACTTGATCATCCACATTTGCTCTCTCTGAACAATTGTAAGGAATAAATAGTTAACACTCCGTGTAGTCAGCTCTGCAGTACACCTGTATTTACCTTCATATCCAACATGAGCTATTCTCTTGAAGCCAGAAATAATTCCCTGCAAGACTCATACATGACAGTAGTTTGGTTCCATTTAAAGCTGCATTGAATCCGGCGCACCAGAGTAACTCGAGGTGAATTTTACACTTATGTCTCATTTAACGGAATGAGTCAGAAGTGTAATTTTCCATAAGAATGGCATATTCATGGAAGTCGTGAGGTAGACAACACAAAGCATAAAAACAGTACTTTTCAGAATGATATGGGGACTCGCCAATGGAAGAGAAGGAAATGCAAATGGAGTCCCTGGCTAGTGACCCTTCTCCAGATTCCACCCCAACTGTGCTGAAACCAGTACACAGCTAGGATCCAGCAGGCACCCAAACCTGGAGTGTGAGTGGGTAGAGAGGGAGGTTTCCAGGGGAGTGAGCCAAGGGCTTGACCAGTTAAAGATGAGGATGTCTCAGGTTGGTCCCCATCAGGGATCTGAATATTGAGGTGGCCCCATATATTTGGTTTTCTCATTTAGAAATTTTGATTTATTCATAAAAATGTTATAAAATTACCTACAAAAATAAAAACTACATTTATGGTTGGCAGGGCTTATAAAACACAATAGTCCTTTACAATATCAGAGACTCCTTATACTTTCTTGTGTGAGATGTAAAGTTTTCTCAAAAAATGCTTTAGGAAATCATAAGAACATTATCTGAGATTCCTTTTGAAGATAGCAACAAACTAATTAATACCTTAGACAGTGGTGAAGAGGTGCTTTTTGTGTTAATATAGATATTCTTTCTTGAAGAAATACAAGATGTGGTCTCAGTTTTAGGGACTTACGTGCTCATAATTTGATTTCTCTTGTTTATTTTAAGTGAATAAACCATTAAACTTTACTTCTTTCTTTTATCATCTAGGATCATTTTGCTGTGAAGTGGCAGTCCTTGGGCTTCAGGTGGATGCATGTTAATGGTGGGGTTGATCCATGTGTATTGATATCCATAATGATTTTATTTTGGTATTCTTCCATCTAAGATTTCAAAGGACTTCATAAGTGTCTGAATTAAAAGTTGCAGCAATTCTCTTAAAAAATCTAAGCCGTCTTAAATATAAGCTCCTCAAGGGCACAATTTTCACTATGTGAGCAACTCAAACTCACTAAGCATAATATTATCTTTGAATAGTCATTAATTATTTACTGTCTATCTTAAAGGTAAAATGTATACTTGTTATTCCTATGTGTCCTGAAACTAATAAAAACTTCCATTCTCACAGTTCCTTTTATTATTTAGTTCTGAATTACGAAAAAAAGGGAAATCTAACAAACTAATGAAATCTACAAGGTTAATAACCAGTATCAGCTTAATTAAAACTCTTCTATTGCTAGAGATATCTATATTTTGAAAGATAGAGCTTCTCTTAATTTACTTAGAATAAATGATCTAATTATGTAAGGTGTTTGGGATGGATTTCACCTGCCACATATTAAGTGCTCAATTAACTGTAATTATTATGACAGTGGTAGCAACATAAAACTGATTTATATAAATGCATTTCTAATTTTAGAATTTTGTGCAATCTGGCAGATTCATTAGAGACATATTTGGCGGTCAGGATTGTTTTCTGGCAGCTATATAAACCATACCACATAATCTAGAAGAGATGGAAAGATAATTGATCTTACTTTAAGTGAATTCAAATCTATAGGCAGTAGTAGAAAGTCTCTTACTGTTCTAGCTATAAACTAATCAATCAACTTACATGGAAGACAGGACACAGAAACATTCAGTCAAAATAGATGATGCATTCATGTGCTTAAAATTATCATGAGTTAAACATTGATTCAAGTTACTAGACCAGGTGAAAGCTACAATCAAATAATATTTCAGTGGTAGTAAGGTACCTGCAGTATTCAACCATTTCCCTCAATTTCCTTATTTATAAAATGAAGATAACAATAGCACCAACCTCATCTTGTTATTGTGGAAAATTAAATGAGTTAATTGTTGAATAGATTATTTGATGTGATGGTAAAACAGTTTCCCAAATCCAAAACTGGGACACATGGCTTAACAAAGGATTTTTTTTCTGCTTCCATCTGTACCTGTTTTGTCTGTCTGTCTGTCTGTCTGTCTGTCTGTCTATCTATCTATCTATCTATCTATCTATCTATCTATCTATCTATCTATCTATCTAGTACCTGAAATATTAGAACTTTGGAGACATTTTCATTTCACACTTTCAAGGGGAAGGAATATTGGATATTTGAAATGGGTGTATGGATGCAATGCTATATTCTTCGTTCATGTGCTTCTAGTAAAACGTTCATTTTTCAATGAATGTATTACTATATAGCCACCATCTTAATTAAAATAAAAACATAGAACTGCAAAGAGAGATTTAAAAATCAGTAAAGAATTTAAGAAAGATTAGAAGGCTAGAAAAATATGATGTCTGGTTTTTGTTTGTTTCTTAAGTCGTGTACCACCTTTGATTATTTGTTACATGATTATTTTGAATTATAAATTACCAAGATCTTTGCCTGCCTCTATTTAACTTGCTGTCTGCTTTTCACCAATAATCTAGACTGTCAATATATGAAGTGGGCAGAGTAAATAGAAAATGCTAAAATGAATAATTTTTTTCTTTGCTTATTAATATAGTTCAAGGTTAGAATCTACAAAGGTAAAAATTTGGTGAAAATAAAATTTAGAAATTATTTTTATTTATCCATGCTACTGTTTACTTCTATTACTATAATGAATTGCAACTTTATTGGACATAGTTTAGTGGCTTAAATAAGATCTAAACACTAGACCTAAAATTTTACTGTTTAGAAACTTTCATATCATGATTTGGACCATTTCTCACTTTGAGGTTAAGTGCATCACTTATATTCTCTATAATTGTTTCTAACCTATAAAATGAGGAAAATAATACCAACTTCATTACCTAACAGTATATATTAAAAGAGTTTGTCAAAGGCATTGATGATATATCATCCTACAAGAACAAATGATTATTCATTACAATGTTGTTATTTTGTTACAAATGCTGTGTCGATAATAGTTGTGCTGACTTCAGATTACAGTAGTTCAAATATACATTTCTTCCAGAAATTCTAAGTAAGGGTTTTGTACTGTGATGTAAGGACTTAATAATTTACTTGTCTATCTTATCATCCATCTTTGGTTTAGGAATTACAACATGGTTCTTACCTTTTCATCATAGCTGCCTGAATACAAACCACCTAATTCTATGTTATGCTGATGATCCAAGAAAATTTTTGAAAGACTCAGAAGCATGGTCCTTGACTGGCTGACAATTAAGAAAATCAGAACCTTTTCTCATCATCAAGTGTTACACATATAAATGTGTTATAGCTGTCTGCATAACCACAAAAGAACCTATCAGCCTCTTCAAAACAGAATGAGAGACAGCCAAAAAGGCAACAGAATGATAACTCCACATGACATCAACATGCTTAATATATTTAAAATGAGAAGCCTTCTTACCCAGCATGCAAACACATTTGGCATTCTGATCGGGGTTCTCAAACAAGATTTCGCCACACCTCTGAAATAGAAAGATAGCCAAGGTTATTTTAAGATTTCATATCAAGATTCCCAAGACAATATATCCATGTGACCTGACATTACCATAACATTATTCTACTTTTGTTTTCATTGGTTACCTGAGTCTAGGGACTTATGTCATGAGCAGAGACTTGCCTGGTAGTAAAATATTTGAGGGATAAGTTGGAATAGATTGTTTCTGCATGCCTTATGCCCCTGCATAGAGCAGATTCTATGTGCTCCCATGTGAAGTCACGACTAGAGATGCATTTGGTTTGAAACAGTTTCTATTTCAGTGGAAGATATGCAATCTATTAGGCCCAATAATCTGCGGCTAATTATTCTCAAAATTGGTCCTTATTCATCTCCCATATTATTCTACACTACCCACTCTGCAAAGCACAGATACTATCAAACATAAAGCTAGGTGGCCTATACTTTATCTCTCTGAACTTGGAAGGAAAAACAAGTAGATAAATAATGAAAAACTGGCATTCCTAATGCTTTTCCTGAACTCACAGACTTACGGAAATATCAACTTTCTTATCTATATCTTAGTTTTAACTTGCTTGTTAAAACTTTTGTGCAAGGCAAATTCCTGCAGAGATACAATCAGTTATTTAAGAACAGGCCACAGTTGTATGATGAGTATATTGACAAAGCGTTAGTACTTGAATGTATACATAAATCTTTCAAATCAGTGAGAACATAACAAATCTAATAGAAAAATGGATAAAGTACATGAGCAAGCAATTCATAGACGAGGAAAAATCTGAATGGTCAATAAACATAGAAAACATATTTAACCGTAGCTGTGATCAGAAGCAAGCAAATTAAAGATAAAATGAGGTTTATTTTCAACTCATCAATTTCACAAAATTTAGAAGTCTGGCAATAACAAGTGTTTTCAAGACTGTAGAGAAATGGATACTCTCACACATTGCGGGATGGAATATAAAATGATACAATTGCTTTAGAAAATTATTTGCAAAATCCAGCAAAGATGAAATGTTCATACCCTATGACATAGCAAGTTGTCTTCTAGATTTATAAGTAGAGAAATTTCATATACAACTTTAATGTCTTGGTACAAAACAGACAAATAAGTATTATTCATAAGTGGAATACTACACAACAGTTAAAATGAATTAGAGCTACATATACTGTAAAACATATATATATAATATGTATATATGAAATACATAATATTAAAAATCTGGAATATTCAAATAATATAAAATATATAATATGCCAATCATATAAGACATATATAATGTTTAAAACATAAAAGTATAATGTTAAGCCAAAAACAATTGTCCATATTTTATGAAGTTGAAAATATCTGAAAATAGTACATATTATTTATGGATACATTAATTTATAGAAAAAGCAAAAAACATGCAATGAATAATGAAGCATCAAATTTAGGGTAGGGGGAAGAAATGTTGAGAAATGAAATGTTGGAGGGCACACTGGGGCTATCAATTTTTTCTATAATGGTGTGTCCCTTAAATTATTCTCTGAATGTTTTCCTTCATTTCAAATATTTTGAAATAAGAATTGTCCTCATATTCACAACTCTGAATATAAAAATGGCCCTTTGTACAATACATCTCTGCACCTGTCTTCCTTGAGAGGCCATTTGGTAGCAGACTGGACTGTCTTCATCAATAACTTGTTCTCACTACATATTTCCTTTGCCCTTAAGGAGACCGAAGATGAGCTACATTCACTCATTTTCCTCTTTCTTTTACAGTTCACAACTTGGTTAATTCCATTCCCATCAATCTTTGTTGTAACTATACATTATATAAGACAAAGAAATTTAAGGGGAAAAAATTCCTGGATGTGAGAATTCATGTTCTTCACACCTGATTATGACATCCTCTGGTACAAAGAGGGGCAAGTTGAGAGGAGAAAGGATGATGCTGTTACATTCAAATCAATCCATTTTTTTTTAAGATGGCCTACATTATGTGGAGATGGACAGTTGGTTCAGTGATATGAAAAGAAAGAAAGCTGCTTTTGTGAGTCAAGAGGCTGGACCATGGAGGAAGGAGGTTGGATACAGATTAAGGGTGCAAAAGAGCATTGAGTTCTCAATGGAGATCCTAGATCTTGAGCTTTCTTCCCAGCTACTCTGCTCACCTCGTGTCATATTTATCATTTCACCTAATCTCTTCATGCTTCATTTCTTCATAAGTAACATGGGGATGCCAATGTATGCCACCAAGTCAGGTCAGAGAAGCAAATGTGAGGATTAACGACCCATGGAGTCTGATCATAGTATTTGTTCCTATTTCGTTGTTTTGGAAGACATTAAACCTTTTCAAATTACTGGGATGCATTTTCTGCATTACCTGTATTTTAAAGTGATTATGTTTAAAGTGATTAAAGTGAAAGTGTTAATATTTTTAAATGAAGGATCAGAGGTTTCCTAAATGTTCTAAACTTCTAGGCAAAACAAAGTGCTAGGAAGCTCTATCAATTCACATTCTGAGTCCTACAAGGAAATAACTCCAGGACCCTAGGGTGCTCCCCTGCCATTTGCTATGGAAAAAGTCCAGACATGTGTTGTGAAGGAAGAGCTTTTCTACTTTCCTTGCAGGGCCTCTAGGGGCAGGGGTTGATGGGTTGAGGTTGCATAACTTCTCTTTGCTATCATAGCCCAAGGGCAGCCTTATATGTGCCACTCAACAGGCACATTGGTGTGAATATGGGCACAGGAGCTGGGGTCTTGCTCTCTTTCTTGGCCATAAACAAATTCAGGAGGAGTTTTTGAAACTCCTGTGAAGCATGCATTCCTTAACAGTCATGGCCTGCCTGGGTTCACTGGCTAGACAAGCTCATCACCAAATAGCAAGAACAGGTGTGGTGGCCCTTCCAATGACAATGAGGTGGTCCTCTTCCTTGTCTTCACCTCCCTGGAGGTCTGGGAAATTGCTGAGGCGCCTTTAACTAGCTCTTTAATTGCCCTGTTTTGTAAAGTTACCTGATGATGGTAACAGATTTGAAAGCAATACCTGAGGGAATCTGATTGTTCTCAGGGCTTGAAAAAAACCAGTTTCTTTCTAGTGCTTTTTCCTGTTGATGCCAGTGTTTATCCAGCCTTCGCTGCCAGGCTCCTGCTTGCTGTGCAACCCAGGGTGATGACCCAGTTTACGAGATTAACTGGGCTAAGCCACAGGGTCTACGTTTCAGAAAACTGCAGGATCTGTCCTGGGGGAACGTCTTGTGCCCTGCTGGATTATCGGGTGCTGCAACCCTCCTCCTTCTATGCTCTAGTCAAGCTTGCTGGGAGTCCCCATGCAAGCACCCTGCTGCCAGGTGACCCTGACTTTGTACCTGGTGCTGCTCACCAGGATTCTGCCTAATTCTCAGGATCCAATCTCTCCTTAGGGATTCTATCTTTGTCTTGTCTTCTGTGCCTGAAATATCGAGACCAACTTGCCTTGTTTGTGCCCATCTCTCCCAGCCAACACTGCCTTCAGATAATAGGGCATAGTTATTGAAGAACTCATCCAAGGGGCTGGATCTCTGCTAGCAACAGAGGGATCCTGCTGGCACATGATCTCCTTCCACAGCACAGAGGATATGAATTCATGTGTGTAATGTCCATTGTTGCCCTCAGAGACCATAAAGAGTCAAACTATGTCCATTGTTAGTGTTCCTAACATGCCTCATTATTGTAATCCTGCTGCCTTGTTCATACCAGGGCCTTCATAAATCTTTGTGGATTAGGTAGACTAAATATCTGTGGACTTGCTAACATTTGTGCCCACATTATGGGCTAAGCCTTGTACTAAGTGCTGTGCCTCTACTTTTCACACTCGCATTGTACTCTTTTAGCAGAGTAGAAAATTGAGGCACAGGCAGTACCACTCACTATGGAATACTCTTCTCCAATGATGGATAGAATAAATGTTGACAGCTTACTGGATGTTTGACTGAGATATATAGATTCTCGAATATTGGCTACTTTTGACCTGCTCATTGCCTTGGCCAAATAGACTATCTTTACTTTTATCCCCTTCTCTCACCCACTAACCACTGGCTGTTTGCAAGAATTGCCATCTAGTAGAGCACGGGCTTTGGATCAGACTGATCAAAATTCAAATCCTGTCGCTGCCTCTTCTTATCACTGTACTATCATGGGCATTTAGTTTTGCAAATCTGCCTTCTTATCTGTAAAACAGGGTAATATAATCTACATCACAGTATCATTGGAAGCTTAGTTTTTACTTCATTATGCACAAGAATGTACTGATTTAAATTATTGTCGATAAGATTGTAAAACAAAAATAAAAATTAACAAATTTAACTGATCCAGTAAAATTCTATTTTAATTCCCATATTAGTTTTTAGGATTGAAAATGAAGAAATTCTTCTAATTTTAAAAGTCACAACATTTCACAAGTTGGTTGCTAATTTATTAAGAATTTTCCACATTAAATCTAAAATTGGACTTTTATTCAGGAAGGGAAAGATGAATGCTATAAAATACTGCATCTATTATTCACAATAGCCAAGGCGTGGGGCCAACTGAGTGTTCATCAACAGTTGAATGGCTAAAGAAAATGTGATATAGATACACACACACACACAATGGAATATTATTAACTCTTGAAAAAAGAAGGAAATCCTGTCTTTTGTGATAAGATGGATGAATCTGGAGGACATTATGTTAAATGAAATAAGCCAGGTACAGAAAGACAAATACTGTATGATCTCACTTCTATGTTGAATTCAAAAAAATTGAATTTGTAGAAGCAGAGGGTAGAACAATATTTACCAGGAGCTTGGGATGTTGTGAGGTTAGAGGGTGAAATTGAAGAAATATTGGTAAAATATTACAAAATTTTACACAGGAGGGATAAGTTCAGGAAATCTATTGTACAACACGGCAACTATAGTAATGACAATGTATTGTATATTTGCAAATTGCTAAGAGAGTAGATTTTAGGTATTCTCACCACAAAACATTAAGTATGTGAGGTAAGGCATATGTTGATTAGCTTGATTTAGCCATTCCACAATGTACACATATCTCAAAGCATCATGCTGTACACAATAGATATATATAATTTTAATTTGCCATTTAAACATAATAAAAATTACTGCACCTATCCTTACATTAAGACAATTTTTAAATTAAAATAATATAATTTCCATGAACTAAATAATATGTTCTAGCAAAATGTGCACAAAATATATTTCTCTTAAGTAAACTGAATTTTATCATCACTTTCACCATACGTTTAGTTATAAAAAAATTGATGTTAGGAGTCATTTTTAAAATCACCCTTAAGTATTAAATGAACCTCTTTTCCTTAAAGAAAAATTATATCCAATTGACAATATTAAAATACTGATAATAGTCCCACATCACATTCAATAGGAGTTATTAAAAACAGTGAAAAGCTCACGTTTTTGTTCTCATTGTTCAATCGACAGCACTTCCAGCTTTCTTAAACCAGTTAATGTTTTTTCTGCTTCAGATAAGCTTTCATATATCTTTTTATTTTCCTGAGTAGTTACTATAACTTGAATTTATTATTCTCTCAGCAGACCTCCAGCAACTAATCTTTTTAGAGAATGTGTCTTGATATCTTCAGAACAGTGGAAACATTAGCAAACAAATAAAACCAAAGACAGAAATCCTTGATGCTTGGAGGTTTGCCTGAGTGTCAGCTGAGAAGATAACAGTTTTCTGCAAGTAGGTAATGTTAAATGTTATCAGAAAGAAATTAATAGGCTATGGTTATTATTTTCTTCTCACATTTATAATTGTTTTTTAGCAGAAAGGAATTTAATAAAGGGAATTAGATGTTTATGAAATTATTGGAGGATTAGGCTATAGGCTAGACCTCCAGAAATGACACTCAAAACCACACTGTGAAATTGACTCACCAAGCTGGGAGTTTACTAGGCCAGTGGGCCACAATTGGGAAAGTGGAAAACTAGGAAGCATCACTGAGTTGTTGACTTCAAGAACACAGCACTGTGGCAGTGATCCAGGGTTTAGAAATTTATTGGTGCAATTGCCTCTTGATACCCATGAAGCTGGGAACTAAACACTGAATGCTATTGCAGAAATGCAGAAAAACTCACCCACTCCATGACTGTGCTAGATAGCATGTTAAAACAAAATCAACCAGAACAAAAAGAACCCCTGACATATGACTAGAGTCATTTTTTGGGGAAAAAAAAAATCAAACCTAAGTTTCTTGAGCTGAAAAAGTGCTAACCATGATCAGTCTATGGGGAAGTTTTTGAAGTTTAGTGGAAAGTAAAGTACATCTTGTCCGTCCCAAGAGTGGCAAAGGGAATCTGGAGTAGGCATAGCTTAAGCACAGGCTGCTTTCACCCCCACCCTCACTTCCTTTCTATTTACTTCGAATCTGCAAGTTTGCCATATAATACATGAATTTCCCAAATGAGGTTTTAGGTAAACAAGGCAAATGCCTGTATGCTGATATATCTATTGGGATTGCATCTATTTTATTTGCTTACCACTGAATCCCTAAATGTCTAGGACAATGACTAATGCATAATGGGCGCTCCCAATGTTAATTAAATGAATGAATGAATAATTCCTTACCGTAATTCTGTGGGCTATTCTGAAGTTTTCTGGGGTAGCATGAGAAGAGATTATTTTTCCAGGACATTTCTGCATATACACCAGTAAGCACTGCCATAGATGCAGCTGCATGATGTGCAGCTGCAATGGGCTGATGAAGGGCGAAACCTGACATTGAGATGACATTTCCAAACATCTGGGTCACTTCTCATCTCACACTTTTCCCCAACCAAGAACTGAATGGTACTAATCAAAGACAGATCCCTAGAAGATAGGCCTGGAGAGAAAGTAGTTTAGGTCTGTAGAGCATAAAAAGATATCTCCTGTTAAGAAACTGAACTCCCTGACAGTGCCTGGAAGTTTGGATCTCCATTAATGTCTATCAAGTGAGTGAATGAATAAGTGAACAGTCAGCAAGACATTACTGAGTGCCTACTCTGTGCTAACAGTGTATCATGAGTGTGGATACAAAATGAAATGAGATTCAGGCCAGGTCTTTTCCTTAAGAAGTTTGTAGCCTACTCTGAAGTCAGAACATAGAAGGCTATGGGCACTTTCAATGCTGGGTACCCACCCCTGACTGGGGTTACTGGAGAAGGCTTTGAAAGACATGACCGCAGGCCTGAGTCTGGAGCATAGGAAAGAGTTATCTGGTAAAAGAGAGGACTCCTCTAGGCATAGGTAGCTGTCTGGGCAAAGTCCAGAACCTTGGTTAAGATCTTGAAAGCAGCTGCCAAGGATGGGAGCAAAACTGCTGGGGGTGAAAGCAGAGAGCTTAATCAAAGTGGTCGTCACAGAGGGGATTGGAGAAAAATTGGGGTCAATAGTGATTTAAAAAAAAATCTTTATGGACTGGACTGGAGAGGCTTGGTTTGCTTTCGAAGAACCAGGATGCTTAATGAATTACTCTAGCATTGTATCAAATAATTACAATATAGCTATCTCTGTATTAGAGCTCTTAATTGGCTCCAGATGTCTCTCACCAGTGATACCGGCTGCCATCATTTTGCCCATTTGAGGTAGAAGTTACCCCAAAGAGGATACCAAGCTGAAGTGTTTCTTAGTCCTTTTTCTTGAATTATCTTATAGAATGGCTATGACCAAAAGAATCCCCCCAGCCACCCAGCTGAAACCTCAGTGAGGCTGATTTCTCCTACTGCTGAAGCCATTAGCACCCAGTGTTGAGAACACCCCAGCTCCCAGAAGATACATTTTCAGGGTCTCCTACGTGACAGTGGCCCAGGGCCACATCATTTTATGCAGAGTCCTGTCTACCATGTGGGTGGCATAGTCAGGCCTCAATCTCTACACACTGTGGCAGCCCTCAGCACTCCGGTGCCAGAGGACGGCAGATTTGGAACTGGGGCTGATTTCAGCTCGAGCTCATGTTTTCCTTTTTAAGCTTTTCCAGTGAAAGAGCAGATTTCTATCCCATTGCAGGCTGTTAAAACGTCAGAGACTAATAAGTTTTCAACAATCTGTCAGTGCAGATCTCCAGCAACAACCTGGCACTGCTTTCAAATCAGGGCCTCATCGTCCAGCCCAACCTCAGCCAGTCAAAATAAGAGACACACCAGCAAAAGAAAAAAAAGAAAAAAGATAATCACCTCGAGCTGAGCAGAAAATCTACACAAATCCATTGTTGCCAACAATCAACAGCAAATCTGTGGGCTACGTAACCTGAGGTGACCCTTCCAGAAGAGCCATCCCTTATAAACCTCTAATTAGGTATGGTTAGGAGTGACTTGAAAGATATTAATGCTATTGCTATTGGAAAATGAGCTTACCAGCTTTTAACAGCTTTGTTTTCTTCTTCAGTCAAAGAACAGAATGTTAGCTCAATGGCGTATGCTTTCTATTAGAGCAGTGCCAGCAGCAGCGGTCTCCAGAGAGTCTCTCAGCATTTTATTACATACCCCTATTTTTAAATGTTTAAAAACTACTTATTATGAACCAAAACTTGGAAAACCTGCTTTCAGCCCAAGAGTAATTTTTATTTTTATTTTTTTAGTTATTAAGCAAACTTCCAAAATGCAGAACTGTGTTTTCTGTCATTTTATCCCTAGACAGTAGAGGGCAATAGAAAGGCTATATGGCTAAGATCTCCTCGTATCCCTGCAGGGAGATCCTGAGGTCAGATGGCGTGGTGCAGGCTCAGAGTCATTGCGTCTTACGTTGCACTCTCCAAGTCATGCAGCATTGTCTCCATGGGTCGTGGTTAGTCCTGATTCCCATAGCACACATCGAAATGCACATTGAAGACAGCCTCTTTCATTGTGCAAAACGACTATAGCCTCTGCACAAGCTCCATTTTAGAAAAACCTGTACCTGTGAAGGCTTATGGCATGGAGTACAGTGCGATCTCTGGTGCACCCAGTTATAGGAACTGACTAGGCATCTCAGTTCAAGGTACTTTGGGAATAATTGTGGTATGTGCTCTGGGAATTTTCCTGTAGCAGACTCAAATACATATGCCACAAATCTTGATACACAGTTCAAAAATGTCAGAAGTTTGCAATGCTATTTCATCTTTTACTTATTGTCTCAGAATCCCAAGGGTTTACACCTAGCCACACTTTGTTTTCAAAAAGATAGCTGTGAAGGCAAACAACTAAAGCCAAACACATTTCACTTATATACAGTCATTTTTAAAAGGTGAAGTCCATAGACACTTTGTGTTGGAGAAAACAGGAGGCAATATAGAACAAAAAAGAAAAGAAAACAGATTGGTGGACATAATGGAAAGAACTGAGTATATCGGGGTTCAAATCCCAAACCTATTCCTCAACAGCTGTGTGATCTTAGTCAGAGTTGACTTTTCCTTTCAAAACTCATTGTAGAGTACAGGGAGTAACAATGCTCACTCCTCTACAGAAATGTAATATATGAGAAACCATCTTATATACCCTAAAACCATAATGGGGCCTGCTGTGTATCTGGTTTTGCGGAAGGAAGAAGGTAGAAGCAGAATAGGGTCATTTGGTGGTAGTGTGTACAAGATACAAAGCACAGTTCTACCATGTAAATCATGGGGTTTTATGAGGGGAAGATTTTGCTCCTCCCATGATGGAGAGCCCTGGTCCTTCAGAGGTTAGCCTGCAGGACCAGAGGTCTACAGAGCAGAGGTCATTGGGGCAGGATGGAGGCAGTGACTCTGTCTGATGTGCCCTTATCCTTGGCATTGAGGAAGCGGGAAGAACCAACCTAGATTTGGGAAAAAGGGGTCCCTTCTAGGTGATCAGCCAAACTGGCTACATCCTGATGGGTTGTGGAAAACTTTCTGAATAATGTATTCTGATTAAGTAGGGGAGAGAGAAACTAGTATTAAACAAGTCTTCAGTGAAGGTTGGAGGTGCAAGATAAGCTGGGAGGGTGTTTGCTCTAAGAATGAGAAACTGTTGATGCAAAACTCTAAAGGCAATTGAGGAAATGAAGGAAATGAAGAATGGCTAGAAGGGAATGGGATTCAGATAACCAGGAGAACTGGAGAGTGGAGAGACGCAAGGCTGGGGAAGTTGGCAGGGGCCAGATCAGGAAGGGCCCTGCAGGACTCCATTTAGTGATTGGGCACAAGCCTAGATGCTGCAGGCCGTGGATCTGGAAGAAGGCCCCGCAGCTCACAGGCCATCTGTTCAAGGCAATAGAGAGATCCCAAAAGGGTTTAGGAAGTTTCTGTAACATGAGTACCACACGCAGCAGCCACGTTTGCTGACCAATGTCGCTCCTCACCACACTGAACAGGACCCTTAGGTGGAAAAAGGGTTCTGCTAAGTGGGGTACCACCTTGTTAGTGAGTGTCTAATGACATACTCCCAATTATGTCTAACACTTTTAGTTGTGTCAATCAGCCAAGTTGGAAAATGCCACCAGAGGCCCTCCTCACTCTGACTCCCTTCTTAGTAGTGTCTCACACAGTGTGTTCACAATCAGATAGATTTCTTTAGATTTAGTATACTCCATATGGTCTTTATGAAGCATAGATCACAGAAATGAGAACATGGCTTGTCAAAATTCCAAGTCTAGCATGACTGTATTATGAAGAATGTGGCCTTCTGAATCATGCAGAGAGTGAGCGTTGAGAATGCACTGAAAGTGGTGATGAACAGTCAGGCCTCTGGATCCTGGAAGGTGGAGGAACCAGGGTCCTGGAACAAATGCCCTCTCTTCACCCTTTTAGGGACATCTCCCTCTCAGAAACTGCTGGAAGAGCATGCTGCACTTCAAGAAAATCATTCCTTGACTTGACTCTCACCTTCAGAGGGAGATTTGACCCAGAAAAGGACCCTATGTTCCTGCCCCTGAGCCTGATACAATGTGCAGCAAGGCCTCAGTCTGTGTTGCTGCCGCCCCTGGACAGACGACACTGTGAGCTGCCAGGACAAGCGCCTTTTTGTCTGACTGTGTGTTGCCAACAAATATGTACTCACACTTGTTAAACTCCAGCCATCTGGTCGATGTGTCCAAGCTTTAGGCATTCGTTTTCCTGATTTACACTGCAATTGTCAAGCTACTTTATAAGACCCTACAGATAGCAAAAGGTTAATAGATAATATCAGCAATATCTCCAGATATTTGCCTATCTGATGTCCAGATCTCCAGACATCATGATTCAGAGATGCATGGGCTCTCATCCAGCCTGTAACTGAATGAATATTTACTCAGGACAAACGAGTACTTTATAATGTGCTCCTTGCAGCTCAGTGTAGCAATGCTCCTGTACATAAACCAACAATTAAATGTAATCCTATACACTTGTAGTTTAAAAAGAAATTCAAACCAGTCCTTGGAATTAAATAACCTCACTGCTAGAGAAAATGACTTCCAGAACATGAAGCCCAACATGCAAACGCAGAGCCTCTGAGCCACAAACGAACAAACACTTTTGCATAGGGAGAAGGGCATGTTGTTTAACTACTTGTGAGGTCAAAGATCCAGATGTTCCCATAGACAATCAAAAAACTATTACTGGTCAAATTGTATTGACCATTTCCACATGGACAGCGCTGAGACATGCATTTGGCCTCAGAAAGGAAATTTCCTTAAATTCTACTGGCAATCAATGGAAATCCCAAGCTAGAGCTAGAAAATCCAATATTTTGGAGAAATGACTGACAGGTTTTATAAGCTGCAAGTGAAAATGAAATTATGTGTATTTTGCTAACAGTCATACACTGCTTTGGTACAGTTTACTAAACTCCACAACAGACTTTGGCAAGATCAATATTTGAAAGACACCTCTTCAAGGTTCTCCCTCACTTCCTGAAGGTAGAGGCTTTCTGTATAGTTCATTCATTGCTGCTTCCAGCACTAGGATCAATATCCATCACATCATAGATTCTCAATAAATATTGCTTAGCTGAAAGAATGAGTACATAATCTGGGGCAAAAATACACTGAATCCATTTATTACTGCAATTAAAATCCGTGAGATGAAAATCCTTAAAGAGAAGAATATGTGAATAAAGTTATACTTAAATTAGTTCAGATTACAAGTTTTGATGCCATTACTCCACTAAGAAGTTAGCATCTGAGGCCATGCAGTGAATCTATTACAGATGCTTTAGGTGGAGTCAAACCTGAAGGCAAAGATTTCTCCATTCTTTCAGTGTTGAAATATCTTTCAATGTTTTTGAAAGATGTTTTTCCTGGAGAGCAAGAATCATGAAAATATATATATATATATATATATATATAAATAAATATATATATATAAAATTCTCTGTCTCATATATTTATTTATATATAAATATATACTTCATCTCTCTCTATATAAAATATATAGAGAAATATATATTATATATTTATTTATATATAAATATATACTTCATCTCTATATAAAATATATAGAGAAATATATATTATATATTTATTTATATATAAATATATACTTCATCTCTATATAAAATATATAGAGAAATATATATATTATATATAAATATATATTATATATTTAAATATATATTTAAATAAATATTTATATATATTTAAATATATATTTAAATAAATATTTATATATATTTTTATATATATTTATTTAAATAAATATATATATTTATTTATTAAATATATATATAATAAATATATATATTTAAAATATATATATAATAAATATATATATATATTTAAAAAATATATATATATATATTTTTTTTTTTGAGACAGAGTTTCACTCTTGTCTCCAGGCTGGAGTGCAATGGTGCAATCTCAGCTAACTGCAACCTCCACCTCCTGGGTTCAAGCAATTCTCCTGCCTCAGCCTCCCAAGTAGCTGGTATTACAGGCACCCACCACCATGCCCAGCTAATATTTGTATTTTTTTTAGTAGAGACAGAGTTTCACCACGTTGGCCAGACTGGTCTCGAACTCCTGACCTCAGGTGATCCGCCTGCCTTGGCCTCCCAAAGTGCTGGGATTACAGGCGTGAGCCACTGCACTGGGCCCGAATATATATATATTTTAAACAGCAGCTTTTTTCACTGACAAATATTACCAAAATTAAATAAATAAATAAAATTTGTTTTAAATCTCCTTGGTCAGAGTACGTATCCTGTAAATGGAGGGAATACCTATATTCTATCTCATTAGTACAGGGTTAAGGAGTTAAACTACCAAAGTGTTTCAAATGTCCAAGAAGAAAAATTATATAAAGGTCACTTGGGGATTATTTGAAGTAGTAGGTGTCATGTTATTCATGGTTTGTAGTTTTCATTCAAATTACTTTATTGCTTCAAGACCCTCTGTAGGCTTCTTTATAAGGAGAGATAATCATTGACATGAGTTTTAATTTTTATTAGTACTTACGCTCTAGTATGGGTATCTATTGGAGTAACTAAAATGCAAATACCAAATAGAGGTGAGTACCAACAGAGGTATAGGAAAGAAATAGTTCTTTATTTTTTGTGGACTGTGAAATCAATCCCAAATCATTGGGTTGCCTTTAAATTATTAAAGACTGACCAGGGGCATATTTGGTCCTCTTAGATCCTAAAATTTATAAAATATAAAGGGAGGACTCTTAAGAAAAGGAATACAAATGAATGGTCACAAAAATAAGAATGGAGTCTTAGAATGTGTCAATGAAATTGAGAAATCTTGAAGATCATACTTCATTAGCTTCCTAGTAAATCTGCCTGTGAAACTGACATTGCAATATGACATATTCATCATTTAACAATGATTATCATTTAACTGATAGTTAGCAAACTAGGAGATTTTTGCTTATTCGAATTTTTTAACCTTGTAATTTATAACTGTTATCTCTATGTATTCTTAGCAAACCAAAAAATAAATTGAACACAATAATAGCAAATAACTTTCAAAATAATGCAACACATATAGACCAATTTTATTAAACCTACCAGCTTATTTAAGGGCAAGAGTTATATCTTAGCTTTGAATCCTGCTGTCTACAGAATGTTTGGCTTAAAGCAGGTGCCCAGTAAATGCTCTTTAATTCATGGCCAAATGAAGAAAATATCACCAAGTAACATGATCACTAGTTAAACAAATTGTATTAAACTCAAACATGTCAACACAAGCATACTTGGAGATCACTGATAGGTATGAAATTTTTAAGGGGTGTATCTTGTGCAGGTATGTGTGTGTACACACAAAGTAAACACATATATATGTATACATGCATATTTATACACAGATACATATGACATATGTTACATAACTGTGCTTTGTAGTGCACTATGTTTAGTGATTAGGACCCCAGGTTCTTGTGTGGAGTCTAGTAACAGTGAGTTTGAATCCCAACTCCACTGTATCCTAGCTCTTTGACCTTGGAAATGACCTTATTCTAACCCTCTGTGCTTTCACCAAAAACCATGGAGACAGAGCCCCTAAGAGATCAAATGAGATAACACACAGAAGGTTTTCAGCACAGCGCCCAGAACACAGGGAGTGCATACTCCATGCCATCTATGACTAATAGACCCTTAAATTCTGGCCCTCGTCAGGTAAAACAGATGAAGAAGGAAAAACCTGACTTTCCACTTTGGATATTGTGCTATCTTGCTCTCCAATCAAAGGGAAGCTTTGCTCTTCCCTTTGTCCTACAAGCTCATGTCTCCAAATCATTAAGCAAGTGTAAACAAGTGGAGCCAGAGAACGTGGGCTTTGGATCCAACAGCTCCTGCATGGCACTTCCCAGTCCGGTGACCATAGGAGACTTTCTGAACCTGCTTCCTTGTTTCTGGAATGTGAAGAAAACTTTCTGCCTCACAGGTTGTCCTGGGGTTAGATATGATCAGGAAAGCTCCTGGCTCAATAGTACGATTTCATGAATGTGTGCATCTATATATTTATCTATCTCTTTCTCCATTTTTTAAAACTTCAATGTTTGCCTCCCCTTCTCCATATGTTCAGATTATTCCTATTATTCAAGGTCTAGCTGAAATGGTGATTTTTTTTTAAACTTATTTTTAATTTGTGTGGGTAAATAGTAGGTGTATACATCTATGGGGTGTATGAAATGTTTGGATACCGGCATGCCATGTGAAATAAGCACATCATGAGAAAGGGGTATTCATCCCCTCAAGCATTTATCTATTGAGTTGCAAACAATCCAATTACACTCTTTAAGTTATTTAAAAATGTATAGTTGAGTAATTATTGATTATAGTCACCCTGTTGTGCTATCAAATAGTAGGGCTGATTCATTCTTTCTATTTTTTTATATCTGAAATGGCAATCTTTTATGACACTTTCCTGATTGTTTTTGAGCCTAAGTTAACATTCTTCTTTCCTGAATTTCCTATAAATTTTTTAAGCCACTTTCTACTTTACATTTTTTTCTTTGTCTATTAAGCCACGAGGTCCTTAGGGCCTGAATCCAGGTCTACTTTATTTATATTAATATATTCGGCTCTGCTTTTGGAATAGTGTATATACCTATGTGTGTGTGTGTGTGTGTGTGTGTGTGTGCGCGCGCGTGTGTGTGTGCGCGGTAACAAAAAAGTTTTAAAAATCTTGCTCCCCACTCCCGCCACCTCATTGTACAAAGATTTTTAGTTCAATGTACATTTCTGTTTGTGTGCATGTTTGTACACAGATTACCATTCCCCATACACATGTACACACATGTATATTGCCAAGGGTATTAAACCTAAAGTCTTAAAGCCTCAAAATGTTCCAAAAAATGATGTATTGTGCACCGTGCTATCATTGTGGAATTATGTTCTTCATGTTGAAAAATCTCTCATTTATTTTCAAGTTGTTAAGAGAGGAGACATTCCCTTGTAACACTTCCCATAATATATTCCATTGTTTTTATTTCTGGGAAAAAATTTTTATCATTGTTACTCATTTATTATAAATGAAAATATTAAACCTTTGGAATCAAGAAACTAATATTCAGTTGTTTTCTTGGCCTGCCACCATTCATACCTTCACTTTAACTGATGCCAACATTCTTTCAGAGCCCTTTGTTAGTGAAACATTTCTGCATCTAAATCCCAAGGGTAATTTTTATTTTCAAAAACATGATCTTGTTATTAAATAACATTCTCAATGTCATCTATACAAACAGATCATACATAATTCATGTGCTATCACTCGCATTGGATAATCAAAGAATATTATTTTACAGAGATCACTTAGGTGAAATTGAGGAATAAAGGAGTAAAATTATGGAATGGATTCATGTAAAGGTTTAAAATCAAGATCTGGTCTTGAGTATCTTTAACTACTCATTGGGCATATGTGTTAGTTATAGGAAATCATTACTAGTCTTTATCTTCGAATTTGAACCTGTATGTGGTTTTTACTTTCTAAAAAGGAAAGCAAACCTCTTTTGTGACCTTTAAAGTGGAAAACCTTTAAGGTAAGGCAAATTTCACAAAAGATAAAATATCAGCCAACCTATTAACATCTGATGTTTCAAATATGTGGTTAGGTTAGTTGGCAAGAATACTTCTTCATAAGGAAACTATTTTGATTATCAGAATAATAAAGTCAAAGGGCTCTGGCAAAAGATACTTTTGAAAAATGAACTATTATGCAAACTTTCAATGACACATAGAACTCCAAGTAGCCTCAGAAATCTTATGGCAAATCATGAAAGTATATTGTAGTCTTGGTCACCCATGTACCATTAAGATATACGGAAGCTGAATATCTCGAAAATAATTTTTATAGCATTGTTGATTATTCTTATTTTCCAGCTCAGCTGCACAACCCAGCATCCTAGGGTCTCACTTGATTTAATCCTTTCTCTCATTGCCTGCCTCCTCCACTTCCCTCCAAACTCCAAACAACTGAATGCATTGCCGAGTCCTTTTACTTCTACTTCTCAAATCCATTTGGCTTTCCTTATTCTACCATGGGCCCTCAGTCCTCACTGCATTCTCATCCTATGCTTAGATTTCTGCACAGCTGCCCCAGGGACCCTCTTTTCCTAGTATTGCCTCACTCCATTCTAATTGTCACATAGCAGCCAGAGTGATCTACTACTGCCTGAGTCAGTCACATCCCTGCTCCACAACCTTCCATGGTGATATAGTTTGGCTCTGTGTCCCCACCCAAATCTCATTTTGTAGCTCCCATAATTCCCTTCTGTTGTGGGAAGGACCCAGTGGGAGATAACTGAATCATGGGGCCAGGTCTTTCCTGTGCTGTTCTCATGATAGTAAGTCTCATGAGATCTGATGGCTTTATAAGGCAGAGTTTCCCCACACAAGCTCTCTCTTTGCCTGCTGCCATCCATGTAAGAGGTGACTTGCTCCTTCTTGCCTTCTACCATGATTGTGAGGCCTCCCCAGCCATATGGAATTGTAAGTCATTAAACCTCTTTCTTTTGTAATTTGCCCAGTCTCGGGTATGTCTTTATCAGCAGTGTGAAAACAGACTAATACACCTGACTACTCTTTTCCCTCAAAATAACCCAGAATTCCTAGTCTGGCACACAAGGCCTTCAGCTCTGGCTCTTGCTCCCTAGTCACACACTGCTCTAGGTTTACCGAGCTACTTTCTAGTGCCCATTATTCCTCCTTACCTCTGAGCCCCTGCACTTCTCTTAGGAGCTTCCCCTTATCTGCCCTTCAGGTTACAGCTCTGGTATCACCTGGTCCTCCTGGAGGCCTTCATGAACCTCCACTGTTCTGTCAAATGCCTCTTCTAAACGCCCTCGTAGCACCATCTGTTGAGGCATCAATCACACAGATGGAATTTCCTAGTATCAAATCAGGGAAGGCCTCTAACTTCTTTTCAGTGTTGTCCATTAGAAATATAAAGCAAGTCACATATGTACTTTTAAGTTTTCTAGTAGCTGCATTATAAAAAGGAAAAGAAAACAGGAAAAAACTAAAACAAACAACCCCAGTGAAGTTAATTTAGTAACATATTTCATGTAACCTAAGATATCTAAGATATTATCATTTTAGCATTAATTTAAAAATGAAGTATTTTACTTTTTTGGACTAAGTCTTTGAAATCTGCAGTATATTTTATACTTATAGCAAAACTCAATTCTAACAAGCTACATTTCAAGTGCTCCATACCATGTTTAGACAGCATAGTTATAGATAAAACTCTTACAGGAAATAATAAGCGCTTGTTTGTTTTATTTTGCATGTCCCGTACGCTCATTGTAAGTTTTAAGTATTCTTGAATCATTTTTGTAAAAAAAAAATATGATGTAACAAGACTCTGAAATTAGAAACAAGTCACTTTTAAAACTGAAAACTTGGAAAGAAAATTTTACCATGTATTGAACAAAAACAATGACTTGATATACTGGATTCTTTCACCGTTATTTACCACACCAACACTGTGCAAAACAAAAGTAGCATGCAGAAGGGCCTTCCACATAGCACTTGGTAATTGCATTGAGTGTTATTAGGTATAAAAATAACCCAGTTCTTACTGTATTTTAGGCTGTGAAAATTTTGCATAGTAGGTCTATACTTTCTGTTATTTATTTTAGGTTCAGAGGGTACACGTGCAGGTTTGTTACATGGGTAATTTGCATGATGCTGAGGTTTGGTGTACTAATGATCCTGTTACCCAGGTAGTGAGCATAGTACCTGATAGGTTGTTTTTCAACCCACACTGCCTCTCCCACCCTCCCACTTCAAGCAGTCCCCACTGTTTATTATTGTTCCCATCTTTGTGTCCATGCATATTAAATGTTTAGCTCCCACTTATAATTGAGAACATGTGGTATTTGGTTTTCTGTTTCTGTGTTAGTTCACTTAGGATAATGGCCTTTAGCTTTGTTCATGTTACTGTAAAGGACATGATTTTGCCCCTTTTTATGGCTAAGTAGTATTCCATGGTGTATATGTATGTATGTGTATGTGTGTGTATATATGTATATATAGGGGTGTGTGTGTGTATGTGTGTGTGTGTGTATATATATAAATAAATATATATATATAAATATATATATATAAATAAATATATATATATAAATAAATATATATATAAATAAATATATATATATATATATAATCACATTTTCTTTATTCAGTCTGCCATTGATGGACATCTAGGTTGATTCTGTATCTTTGCTATTGTGAATAGTGTTGCAATGAACATATGAGTGTATGTGCCTTTTTGGTAGAAAGATTTATTTTCCTTTGTGTAGATACCCAGTAGTGAGATTGCTGGGTCAAATGGTAGTTCTGCTTTTAGCTCTTTGAAGAACTGTCACATTGCTTTCCACAGTAGCTAAACTAATTTACATTCCCACCAGCAGTGTGTAAGTGCTCTCTTTTCTCTGCAACCTTGCCAACATCTGTTGTTTTTTTAACTTTTTAATAACAATGGGCATTCTGACTGGTGTGAGATGGTATCTCATGGTGATTTTGATTTGCATTTCTCTAATGATTACTGATGATGAGCATTTTTTCATATATTTGCTGGCTGCATGTATGTCTTCTTTTGAGAAGTGTCTGCTCATGACTGATGCCCAATTTTTAATGGGATTATTGGTTTCTTGTTTGTTGTTTAAGTTCCTTACAGATTCTGGGTACTAGACCTTTGTTGGGTGCATAATTTGGGAATATATTCTCCCATTTTGTAGGTTGTTAGTTTACTCTGTTCATAGTTTATTTTGCTGTGCAAAAACTCTTTAGTTTAATTAGGTCCCACCTGTCAATTTTTGCTTTTGTTGTCATTGCTTTTGGGGACTTAGTCATAAATTCTTTGCTGAGGCCAATGTAATGCCAGAATGGTATTTTCTAGGTGTTCTTCTACAGTTTTTATAGTTTCAGGTATTATCATTTACAATAGCCACAAAAAGAATAAAATTCCTAGGAATATAGCTAACTAAGAAGGTGAAAAATCTCTTCAATGAGAATTATAAAATGCTTCCGAAAGAAATCAGAGAAGAGACAAACAAATGGAAAAACATTCCATACCCACGGACAGGAAGAATCAATATCATTAAAATGGCCATACTGCCCAAAGAGTTTATAGATTCAATGCTATTCCTATCAAACTACCAACATCATTTTTCATAGAATTAAAAGAAACTATTCTAAAAGTCATAGAGAAGCAAAAAAGAGCCTGAGTCACCCAAGTAATCCTAAGAAAAAAAGAACAAAGCTGGAGGCCTCACACTACCTGAACTTCAAACTATACTACAAGGCTACAGTAACCAATCAACATGGTACTGGTACAAAAACAGACACATAGACCAATGGGACAGAATAGAGAACCCAGACATAAAGTTAAATGATTTTAAAACAAAGCATAGGGAGCATAAAAATAAGGTTATCAGATTAATTTAGCATACATGTTACAGAAAAAAATGGAAGCAATGACAAAATGTATTGTTTGTGAAGAAGAAACGCATTTTCTCCAGAAAAAGCTCATTAAACTATATGCTAACAAGTATGTTAGATGAATAGGCTGCTATTGAAGAAACAATTAGAATTATGGTGCTATAACCTAAGAATATTTAATAAGAACATGAATTCAACATACTTCATTAATTCAAGCAGCTACATTAATTCAAAGAATTCATAAAGATTATGCGGAATCTTTATGAGTCAACATTTTGAGAGTATCACTACTGCTGATTTTTCTTCTTTGTTCAGTAGGTTTATGCAGGAAAAGATAAGGAAAATTTATTAAGCACTTGCCGCACAGTAGAAGTCGTTAGATTGGTTTGGATGGGGTTCAGGACATGCCACCCCAAAATGTGGTACATCGTGACATTTGAGAAAGCAGTAGAAACAGGAAGGCCTTTCTGACCACCACCCTCTACCCCTGCTCTTCTCTCCTGAAGGAGGTCATAAAACCTAGGAGGGATTTTCTGATCTTCACCGGAAGCAGGTCATATGACCCTCTTTGAAAAGTGCTCTCCCTATACCCGGGGTATAGGAGCCAAAGACACAGAGATACCAAGAAGAATGTGAACACACAGGTTTTGCTAAGCCCCCCCCACCCGCAGTTCAGTACCATTAGACCACACCCTTTGTCCTCTAATCATATTTCCTTGTGACCGCCCACTCTTCCTCAAGCCTTTCATAAAAAATACAGAGGTTTGCCGGGCATGGTGGCTCACGCCTGTAATCCCAGCACTTTGGGAGGCCAAGGTGGGCAGATCACGAGGTCAGGAGATTGAGACCATCCTGGCTAACACGGTGAAACCCTGTCTCTACCAAAAATACAAAAAAATTAGCTGGGCGTGGTGGCGGGTGCCTGTAGTCCCAGCTGCTCGGGAGGCTGAGGCAGGAGAATGGCGTGAACCCAGGAGGCGGAGCTTGCAGTGAGCCGAGATTGCGCCACTGCACTGCAGCCTGGGCGACAGAGTGAAACTCCATCCCCCCTCCCCCCCCCCCCCCCAAAAAAAAGAAAAAACAGAAGCATGCCTCATTATTCAGGCTTCATTTCCTAAAGAAGTCTACAGTGTCATGTAAAACTTATATAACCAATTTATATTCTTTTCTTTTGTTAATCTGTCTTCTATTATAGTGGCCTCAGCCATGAACCTAGCGATGGGTGAGGGAAATCCACTGCTTCTCACCTACAATTTTCAACACACAAACGAACAAAAGGGCAAAACATTTTTTAAAAAAAATTATGTAGTTTGTGTAAAATGAATATCAGGGAAAAAATAGTCAGGCTAGTGCCTTTCAGAAACACTATTTTTGAAAAGCTATTTGGGTGGCATAGGAGAGCATAAGCTGTTAAGATCTTTCAAGCAAGGCGTTAAGATCATTCTAATTGTAAATGTTATTCAACCAGGGCTTTTGCTTTTTTGTTGTCTTTTAAGAATTATTTAAACAATATGCGCAGTATTCATTTCAGAATTTTTTTTTCATGCTGAAGTCCCTTGGGTGTTTTGTGGCAAGGTACTGGCAAAAATTCGTTTTCACTGAATTTCATCTAGTGAAATAGTTCTCAAAAAACTGATTTCACTAGTTTGCATGTCTTGCTGATTTTTTGTAGTAAACAGAAGAAGCTCAGTTTTGCAATGTAAGATCACATTGTAGTCAAACTTAAAATTTTAAATAATGTGTCAGCAATGAAATAAATTTGACTGAAAGCTAAAGTGACTATCTAGCTGAGATAGAGAGTGAGGTATGCCCTTTTTGGATAATGTGAGGGATTTCAACTGACAAGTTGAACATCTTATAATGTTATAACATTCCCCAGTGTTCACTCAAGATCTAAACTGCCTGAGGACCCTGTTACTGACTCTTTCCAAGTTGAACCCTTGGCAGTTAGGGAACATAATGTTTGTTGGGTATTTTTAATGATTTATTTTTTAAATATTAAATTTTCTACTTCTTTTCTTTCAGCTTCTGTTTCAGTTTAATTGAATAATATCTTGAGACAGGTTGGCATATAAACTATTAAAAATGTTCATCATTTTCAGCTACTTATTCATATGAAACAAGATTTTCCCCATTTTACAAAAAAAAAAAAAAACACCCAAATATAGAAATACAGTGTGTGCTGACGTTGATATAAAACTATATCCATCACCCAGCCTTCAAATGTTTGTGTTTTTAGAACAGCATCTTTTTTTGTTGTTGGTATTTTAAAAACCAACCTACCCACTCAACCTAACCACTTCTACTATATGACAAACACTTAATAAATTTTCCTTGTATTTTCCTATGTTACTCACTGATTGACTTTGTAAGTAAATATACTTTTACATTAAAAACTATATAGTACTATAATACTTTGATCTCTTTCATTTATTGGAAATTGTGCATAAGATTCTGCCACTCAAAAAAAAAAAAAGAAAAACAAAAATACTTAGAGGTGACATCCCACAAAAAAAAAAAAAAAAAAAAAAAAAGAGAGAGAGAGAGATTCCACTACTCAGAGTTTGAAATTCACTGTTCTAAGCAAGCATTATGTGGTAGAACAATTTCTGGTCCTGCTACCAGAAGACCTGAGTTTGGTTTCAGATACACCAAGTAGATGGTATGACTTCGGACACGTCACCTTGCTTTTCAGGCTCTCAGACTGCTCACCTATACACAGGGCAGGTTATGGCATTCTGGGGAAATTGAGGAAGCTAGGATGGAGCTGGAACAGAGAGAATCTAGAGGGAGCAGAATGTGGGGCCACCCTCAAAGCTCTACCATATGGTACAATATCCTTTGGATAGACTATATCTATTTCTCTACATCAGAACAATTAAATTGTTTCCAATTTTTTAGGTCATAAGGAGCATTGTGATGAATGTATTTTTACATGTTTTTTAGGTTAGGAAATTTTTCTGGAATAAGAATTATTGAATGAAAGAATAATAACTTTAGTTTTTTTCTAAATACTTTCTGTAAAACACAGGTCTAGAAAATTTATTCAAATTTTGGCCGGAATTGAATGAGATTGCCTGTGCACCTTCCTATCACTAATTGTTTTTACATTTAAAAAAATTTGTCAACTTGATAAGCAAGAATGTATTTATTATTGCTTTCATTAGATTTCTTAGATTACTAGTGAAGTTTAATATATGTTTGTGTCCATCATTTCTCTGAATTTCTTTTACTGTGTACTGCTAACCATCTCAGTTGTTATTTTTCTACTCTTGGTAACAACTGGTTGGTAATAGTAATTGTTTCATACAGTTTCTTTGATTATAAAGGATATTAATTCATTGTCATATTTTACAAGTATATTATCAAGTTTGTCACTTGTGTTTTAATTTTATAAAATTTCCATGTATAATTTCTACATTTTTATGTTGTCAAGTTTGACATTTGCTCTCTCATTCATGACTTTTATACCTTGAAACTCCTTCTGTGTGGTAAGACCACTATATGTGTTCATTTCTTTCTATTTTATATTGTTCTTAATACAAACAGCTATTCATCTACTTTTTTATGTTTTATCTGAGATTGGTATAACCTACTTTTTTCTAAAAAGTCAGTTCTGCCTATACCATTTTTTGAATGACCCATCAGTTTCCCATTGTTTATGAAGCTTTACTAATCATATACTAAACATTTCATATATAATACAAATCACTTAGTGTCAATTTTACATATTTTTAATATTCTATGAAATGTGATATTTATACAAAGATCTCTATATACCTTACAGATTAATTTTAGTTATCAGATATTTTTACAAAGTAATACTGCGTCTGTGTAATAGCTCTAAGGCAAGTCATGCATCTTCTTGGTGTCTCCATGCCTAGTGCAGAGTTTGCCACACAGTAGGCACTCAGTATATAGCTACGGAATTGTATGAGCCTTTTTCAAGAGAAATATTCTATTTTGTGTGACAAAAGAAGGGACATAAAGTAGACTACATAGATCGTGTTGGCTACTTCAGCTTCTTTCTCTTCTTCTTCTTTTTAAATAAACACTAATAAAACAGGATTGATATCTCTTGAAAGTTCTAGTGAAGCAGGGAGGTTTTCCAGAAGGTGGTTGGATCCCTTTATTAAAAGCATCTGTGCCACGGCCACTGGCAGAAGCCCAAACATCCTGAAGTGGACGGCTCTGGGAAATCAGAAAGATAGAACACAGCCAAATTCTAAGATGGAACAAATCGTAAAGTCATACTGCATCTTAATTTGATGACCCACAGGAAAGGTTTTTCTGCCTCATCAAGTCTATAAAGCAAGGTATTTATGGTTTTCTTGAGCACTTAATAGGTAACAAGAGTAATGTATAATGATGCTATTACACTGACTTAACATAGACTGTTTCTTAAGGTATGTTGTTAATTTTACTACTTTGATTTTCTCCATGTGTGATTGATTTTGCATTCATTGTTTCATAATATATATCCAGCCTCAGTAAAGCATTCCAAAAGCAGAAGCAAGCAAGCACTTAGGGAATATTCACATTAAAGAAGTCTTGTAACTCAAAAGATGAAAAATGCCATGTATCTCCTCTCCAATATGGTAATTAACAGCTGAAAGTCAACTCTGGATCATCTGTATAGTGGGGCAGTAAAGGGCATATAAAATCATAAATAAACCCAGACTGGTTTTTGTTTTGGAATGGCTCCTGTACTTCCATATGAATAAGAGAGTGACTCACCCCCTTGGGAATTCACAGTACATCAAACCAAATTAGGAAGCCAGGCAGCTGTGACCTGGTTTTGTAAGGGCCAAGAAAACTACAGAGTTTCACTACTGAACCTAGTAACTCAAAATGATTCCCTGGTTCCCATGCCATTTGATACATGGGTGTACCTTACTGACTCATATAAAATGCCACTCTGGGCTTGTGTTTTCTCTTACCTTACCCAGAGTTGTATGTGAGGAAATAAAGGCTTGAGAGATCTTGAGGTGGCAGTTTACAGGAGGGTAAAAGGAAACAGGAGTTAGAATAAACAATGTTAGTAAAAACTTGGATGCAAGATTGACCTTATGCAATCTCTAAGGTAAATCCCCAAGATTTATTTCATATAACTACAGTAAAAATAACCCTCATGAATTGAGTTCTAATACTAATGCTCATTTCAGGTACATTGAATTGAATGAGGGAGAGAGTTCTAAACTGCTTGTTCTCAGTCTACTCCAGTAAGTTTTATTTTTCATTGTTTTGGGGATGCTTTTGGGAAGGATAGGAGGTTGGGATGAAAGTATAAGGGGTATTTTTTTATAGTAGAAAGGGATGTGGAGAACAGGGTAGAAAGAGACTCTGATTGTATTAATTTAGGATCTGATAATATTCGTCCAAATTTGATACACTCACAACCTACCCAATAGCTATGACTTTTTGGTACCTGGTTTAATTTTCTGTGAAGGTATTAGAATAAAAATTAGGAGATATATTCTATTTATTTATTTTCATTGGCAAATCAGCCTTGTTTCTTAAAGAAAATGGAAACCTGTTTTTATAAAGAATTACTGAAGTAGTTTTCCTTGAAAAAAAAATCTTCAGAATGTCCAGATGATGGATATATTATGCTATGAAAATTTTAATATAGGGGAACATCTCATAATGGAAACAGCTTAATAAGCAGGGAATTTCCATGCACTGATTTCTGTAGAAACTCTAGTATTATTTTTATTCCTTGTTTGGTTACAAGCAATGTTCTCTTGGCTTTTGTTCAGGGTAAAGCTTACAAAACTGCCTGTTGGGTTCTTTCATCGTTATTGTTGCCACTGGAAGGGCTTTTACCACCACTTTTGAACTCTACAGCCTCCTGAATATATCTGTCCATCTAAGAAAAGGATTAAATTCAAGATAACCCTTGTCATCTGCATGCTGCCACATGGTTAGGATGAAGACTGACACACGAGACAAGTGATGGTAAGTTGGAAATAGCCTGTTATCCAAGAAACGACAGTTATTTTCTTATTTTATACTCAAAGAAGTGTGGCACTAAACCAAAATATTGTCGTCTACACTCACTGACTTTAATAGGCGATCCTCCTCGGGGCCTGACCACCCCCAAGCTCTTTCTGTCTTACCCTCTATTATTCTTTTAACAAAGCTTGAAAATTTATAAGGAACTTTGCTGGCACCTCCCAAGAGAAAAAGAATTCACCAGTGGCCACTACCAGCACCACATTGTTTATCAGAACATAAAGTTCGGTTGAAATCCCGCAGTGACGTCATCCCCCAGCACTTACTGATGAAGCTAGGGACAATTCCAAGACATTTTCAATGGGATTGGATACTCTGCGCAGGAAATGGTCAACCAGCTTGTACTTCAAAGACTTTTCCTCTACTTAGGTTGTGCTTAGCTCTTAAAAGACGTGGAAAGGAACCTAAATCACAGACTCAGGCTAAGTTGATTCTTAAAAAGATTCCAAGAGAACTTCATATGCTGTGGTTATTTTTCTGTGGGTTGATAACTTGATGTAATTACTGGCATTTAGGTGACTCTTTTTCTGAAACATCGTTAGACTCATGGAGACTTTGCTCTAGGAATGGAAAAACATTCACTATCATATGGGTGACACAAAAATAGTCCAGAGAGACTGGTCTTTTAGGAGGTGGAGCTGCAAATGGTTTGAAAAGCAAACTGCCCACATTGATGGGGAGGGTCATGTATACCTAGATGTTGAAAACTAGGATCAAAGAAATAACTTCTCAAAAGACTAAGAGATCAGAAATTTAGGATACATGTATTTAGATGGAAAAAGAAGCATGGGGAGGACTTGACATGCTATATGCCAACCTAGGTGTTAAATATTTAAACTTTTTCTCATTCTATAATCTATGTGTTCTCTATTCTAATTGGAAATGATATGAAGCAGATATAGGCACATTTTCTATTTATAGAAATGCATTATGATCTTGAATTCTCTTTTGCCAATGAAATTTTTGGATGACACGACAAATATTCTTATAAAATTATTAAAGAAAATGACTAAGCTAAAATTAGTGAAGGCTCATGATCACTTTTTAAAAAATCTGAATGTTTCAACATTATCTAGGATACTTAAGACAAGAATATAACCTTTTAGGGTCAGGAGACCTAGGTTTAAGTTTGGTTTTCTTATTTATAAAATAAGGATAGCAATATTTACTTTAAAGATTTCTTGTGAAGGCTAAATGAGCTAATTTTAAAGAGTTCTCTAAACAGTAGTGGTAGTAATGATAATAATAATAAAAACAACAGATGAGGCAGAGTTTCTTCAGTGCTTACAATGTGAGGGGCACTGTTCTGTCCTGTATTAACTCCTTTAATTTTCGCAACTCCTTCGTGGATCAGATACTATCCTAACAACCCTTTAACATATAAAGTCAATCATAGAAAGGTTAAATAATTTGCTCAAAGTCATTTGGTTAGTAAATGGCAGGATCAGAATTTAAACTCTCTTCTATTTTGTGCTGCTTCTGCCCATGCAGTTCATATTGAAACACTAGGAAAAAGAAAATATAGTATGCTTTGCCTAAAGACCACCTATGTAATAAATATGACACAAGTAATCTAATGAGGATTATGTAGTCACAGTAGGGATGTACTACTGTCATGTTGAGAGAAAATCTATATGTGGTTGTAGGGACTAATAGAGCGATTCACAGTGAGGACATGATTAAGTGTAGAAATTTTTCATAACATTTTATTGGGTGGCAGTATCTTAGATATTTCTTTTTTCTTAGCAAAGTTCTTCAAGAAGTCATAATAAGCCACAGAGTCACGTTGGTAACATCTGGAAGACTGGTTCCCTAGGTAAGCCTCCTAAAAGGCCTCTTGTTAGGTCAAAATGAATAAAGGGTTCATTATCTGCTGCCCTTATTTTTCCATTGAAACTGAAAACTTTCAAAAAAGGAGGCGTTCGGTAGCACAAGTGGAAAGATTGGCTTGGCTTGTTCTCTCTGCCTATTATAGCCAGAGGAGTTCTTTTGTTTTGAGAAGACATTTATGATTCTTTCCACAAGCTGAACACACATTTACCCGGGAGAGTAACTCCCATACTCAGTTGAACTGAAAAAGTGATATAATAATATTTTGATACTTTCATATTTCCCTTTATTAGGAATAATAATTTGGGGAGTTTTTAAAATGAATACATAAGGCAGTTAGCTTTAAAAATTTCCCATAATACCGCAGAGGAAATAAACACAACACAAAACAATTCCCATGTGAAAACATACTAGCCAACTTATAGTGATAATCTGATCGGAAACACTTTGTTCATTATAAAATGTTAGATACTATATTTCAAACATGAGAGAAATCTGATAGTAATCCCTGTCCACGCATAAATGGAATGCCTTAAAATGCCATAAGATATTGTATTTCCACCTTAAACACCTGTGTGGCATAAGTCACCCACAGGAGCTATCTTTTATAATAAAAAAGTAAACTTGCTTTAAATAAAATTGAAATTCCAAATATTTTTTAATTTATTTAAAATTTATTTATTTAATTTATTTAATGGACTTTCATCTTACAGGAGGGGATACGCTGTCTTTTGCAAATACTTTCACTCTGCTTCATAGCTGCACATATTCTAGTAGTGGTACAGAAACAAAACTGGAATTCTGGTTTCAGAGATGACACCAGATGTGAAAGATAAAGAAAATGTCTTAGGCCTAGTATACTTATTTTTTTTAGATTCATAAATAATGATATGGGTAGCTGCCATTCCCAGCCATGACAAAATAATCAGTAATGATGAATTCATCCAGCCATAAACTATTACAAAACTGAACAAAATGTTTGAAGCAACTGTTTCAGATGTTGGAAAACATTCAGAGCAGAATTATGGTTCCTAGGAGAAAGGAATACCATGATAAGAGCCCTCCAGTTGCCCCAGCTCTCTGTCTAGGCACAGGGAGGAGGAGCCAAAGCAGAACCCAGGGATCTTGCTGACCTGAGGAGGAACACACTTTGAGTTTGAGGCTAGAATTTTGAACCAGCCACCCAGAGAGAAGAGAACTAGAAACTGCATAGAGAAGAAAGACCAGAAATCTGCATAAAGGTTCTTTTAAGACTTGGACAAATATTAACCTCCTCGTTCATGTCCAGGGAAAAACTACAAGGTACAACAATGTAGCTCTATTGGGGAGCTGTGAGTGAAATGAAGATGCCAGGGCCACAAAGAGCTGGGAGTCACAAGAGTTCTGGCCAACCAAAGGAGAGCGGGCTCACCGACACCTTGGGCATGCAGCTGAGATCTCCAATCACCATACTTTAAGAGGGAGGCCACTTTAGCCCTGCAGACTATGTCCTGGCAAAGCTTATTCACAGGCCTTAAAGGAAGCAACTGATTCATAAGTAAATTAACTTCCTACCAGGGCAAAATCCAACAATTATTAAAGGAAGACAACAAAATCCAGATTCTCCAGTTAGGATTCACGGTATCCAGCATATCAAAAAATTTTACTGGATGTGCAAAGGAAATGAAAAATTTAACTAACAACAACAACAATAAAAAAAAAACAACAACAAATCAATAGAGGCAGACTTGAAATGACAATGTTGAAATTAGCAGATGAAGCCTTTAAAATAGCTATTAACAGCACATTTAAGGATTCCAAAGAAATATAATGGGTAAACAGATAACAAATCTTAGTAGAAAACTGGAAACTGTAAAACACAACCACATGAAACTTTTAGAATTAAAAAATATAATATCCTACGTTAAAAATTCATTGGGTAGGGCTTAACAGCAGACGTGACGCTGCAGAAGAAAAAAATAAGTGACGTGGAAAATTTGGAAAAAAAAATAACCTATGCAAACAAAGAATAAGAAAAGGTTGAAAAAAATCCCTGCAGACTTTTTGTAAAAATCTACAAATTAATTTTAAGATGCACATGGAAATGCAAAGGACTTACAATAGCCAAAACCATCTTGAAAGGAAACCTAATGTTGGAAACTGTTTGATTTTACAACCTGCTATAAAGCTGCAATCATCGTAATAATGTAGTATTACTTTACCATGCACACACACAAAATTTTATGTATTGTAGACCTAAATTAAGTGAAAACTACAAAGAAGGAAACATAGATTATCTTTGCAACCTTGGGTTAAGCAAAGATTTCTTACATAGAACACAGAAAGGATGAACTATAAGTATTTTTTGATAAATTCAACTGCCAAATTAAAACATCCGTTCATCAGATACTTTATAAGATATGAATTACATTAAATATGTATTATAAATTATATTAAAAATATATTATAAACCATGAAGATATATTATACTTCTCTCAAGCCATGGATAGGAAGAAAACATTCTGAATATATATCTGACAATGAAATTGTATGTAGAATATATTTTTTAAAACTACAAGCCAGTCAATTAACTACAGTTAGTAATAAACAGATAACCCAATAAAAAAGGGCAAAACAGGCTGGGTGCGGTGGCTAACGCCTGTAATCCCAGCACTTTGGGAGGCTGAGGCAGGTGGATCATGGGATCAAGAGATCGAGACCATCCTGGCCAACATGGTGAAACCCCATCTCTACTAAAAATACAAAAATTAGCCAGGCATGGTGGCGGTCACCTGTATTCCCAGCTACTCGGGAGGCTGAGGCAGGAGAATCACTTGAACCCAGGAGGCGGAGGGTGCAGTGAGCCGAGATTGCACCATTGCACTGCGACCTGGGCAACAGAGCAAAACTCCATCTCAAAAAAAAAAAAAAAAAAGAAAGAAAAGAAAAGAAAAGAAAAAAAGGGCAAAAGACTTGAGTAGATACACTTCACAAAGGAATAAATACAAATGGGCAATAAGCACATGATTACTCATCAGAAAAATATAAATTAAAACCACCACACACCCATTAGAATGGCTAAACTTAACACAACAACAACAACAACAAAACAGAAGAAACTGTGGCAGCACGTGGAGCAACTGAAACTCTTATGCATTGTGGGTGGAAATGCAAAATGGGAAAGTCACTGGGAAAAACAGCTTGGTGACCTTTTATAAAGATAAAATTTACCTACTTTATGACTGTGTAGTTCTGCCCCAGCTACTTATTCAAGAGAAATAAAACATGCCTTCACAAAAATCCTTGCACAAAAATGTTTATAGTAGCTTTATTCATAGTAGACAAAAACTGAGAACAACTAAGTGCCTATCAACAGGAGAATGGCTAAACAAATTGTGGTTCATCCATCCAAAGGGAAGCTCCTTAGCAAAGAAAGGTAATGCACAGCAGTACCAGACTGCAGCTCAGATGACCATCAGACTATATCAGGCTGAGAAAAGGAGCCAGCCCACAGACAGACGCACATTCCGTATAATTCTACATGGATGAAGTTCTTCAACAGGTGAAACTAATCTATGGTGGAAAAAATCGTTGACAGTGGTTGGTTGTGATGGAGGAAATTGACTGGACAGAGCATAGAGCGATTTCCGGGGGCCTGGCATGGGTCTATACCTGGACGTGGTGTGTGTTACATAAGGGGTGCGCACTTGCCAAAACTAAACCAACTTTGACACATGAGAACATTGTACAGTATACGAATTATACCCCCCAAAAGGTCTATTAAAGGTATTTGCAAGAAAATGCAAATTAAACCCACAATGAGATACACCTATTAGACTTGCCTACAGGAATAGCTAAAATTAAAAAGATTGACAACATCAAATACTGGCAAAGATGTGGATTATCTGGAAGTGTCATATGTTGCTGGCAAGAATGCAAAGTCTTACAAGGAGTTTGAAAAACAATTTGGCAGTTTTATATAAAGGTAAACATACACCCACCCTCTGACCCAGCAATTCCACTCCGAAGAATTTATTCAAGAGAAGTGAAAACATACATCCACACGAAGACCTACGTGCTGTTTTGGCCACTTTATATGTGACAGACAAAACTCCAAATGTCCGTCAACTGGGGAATAGGCAGTTAAATTTTGGTATACACACATTAGAATAATAATCAGCAATGAAAAAGAATACTGATGAATGCAACAATAGGAATAAATCCTTTTTTTTTTTTTAATGGAGTCTCGCTCTGTAGCCCAGGCTGGAGTGCAGTAGTACAATATTGGCTCACTGCAACCTCCACCTCCTGCGTTCAAGTGATTCTCCTGCTTTAGCCTCCCAAGTAGCTGGGATTAAAGGCACCTGCCACCACACCTGGCTAATTGTTGTACTTTTAGTAGAGATGAGCTTTCACCATGTTGGTCAGGCTGGTCTCGAACTCCTGACCTCGTGATCTGCCCACCTCGGCCTCCCAAAGTGCTGGGATTACAGGCGTGAGCCACCACGCCAGGCCAGGAATGAGTCTTAAAAGCATTATAGCCGGGCGCGGTGGCTCACGCCTGTAATCCCAGCACTTTGGGAGGCCGAGGCGGGCGGATCACGAGGTCAGGAGATCGAGACCATCCTGGCTAACACGGTGAAACCCCGTCTCTACTAAAAATACAAAAAATTAGCGGGCGTGGTAGGGGCGCCTGTAGTCCCAGCTCTCGGGAGGCTGAGGCGGAGAATGGCGTGAACCCGGGAGGCGGAGCTTGCAGTGAGCCGAGATCGCGCCACTGCACTCCAGCCTGGGCGACAGAGCGAGACTCCGTCTCAAAAAAAAAAAAAAAAAAAAAAAAAAGCATTATAAAAAGGGAAATAAGCCAGTCCAAAAAGCTATCTGCTGTATGATTCCATGACTTGGGAAGGCAGATCTATAGGGACAGAAAGCAGTTCACGTCAGTGCTGGGAAGTGGGGTGGGGCAGGGGTCGACAAAAAATGAGCACAGGGAACTTTCTAAAGTGATAGAAATGTTCTAGATTCTGCTTGTGTTCTATATGCAGTTGTATATGCTTGTCAAAACTCAAGGAATTTAAAAGGACAAATGTTAATGTATATAAATTATATGTCAATGAAAAGGTAAATAATTTAAATATCCAACATCAGTTTCTCTTTCTGAAGTGGCAACTACATATCAACACTGTTTAGAATACATGCCTGTGGAAGGTTGAGGCATGAGGAGGAAGAAGTGACAAGGCTTAAAGCCACAGACAATAAGAAACTCAAAATCCTCTGGCTTCAACCCTGTGCCAGTGAGGCCAGTGAGATCTCACACTCACTCAACGCTATACTCCACTCAATTCATTTCTGGAAAACATATGTCAATCACTATGTCAGTGATGTGTGGGTTACAGAAAAAAAGTGGCATAGTTGTTTTTACTCAGGAATTTACGGTCTTAGGAAAATGACAAGCTCATCATTCTCATACTGGGAATGATAACATGAAGTAACATTTTATATCTGTTCTGGTGCTTCAAATGGTGTAAAGTTCTGCCATATAAAAATAATGCATATTCTTTCAAAGAACAGCTTTTTAAAAATTACATCAAAGGTGATAACAAAAAACTAGGGTTTTATTAAAGAAAGCATAATTGTTTTAATTTTAAAGACAAATTATCTGGCAACTCTTGCCAGTACATGTTAAATGAAAAGGAAACTTTTTTTCTTTTACTTTTTAAGAACTCTTTTTGAATCAAGGTACCTACTAAAAGGTGGGACAGGCATTGGTAGGATGTTAATATGAGAGGTCATTTCAAATGGAAGACTGGCAAGATCAAAGCCAGGAGGCATAGGTGTTATGCACTAAAGAGTGACCGCAGTAGTGGACGCTGGATTCCAGTCAAGCTATGTTTTCATACTAACATGATGAAAAAATAAAGGAGTGGGTCAAAAGGTCCAGCAGGAACCCTGGGCCTTAGCAAGCAGGTGAGGTGGCAGCACCAGGCTGGGCATCTTTCATGGTGGTTAGCAGCACAGGCCCTGGACTGGAATGGCCTGAGTTAAAATCCAGACATTACCAGCTGTGTGACATTGGGTAAGTTATCAATGATCTGGGAGACTTAATTTTTTTATATCTGGACTATGTGGGGTGGTAGGAGGAGGAAGTGCAAAATCAATACTCAATTTATAAAGTTGTTTTGTAGATTAAAAAGATAATTATGTGAAGTTCTTATTACAAAGTTCGTGGTACACCTAAAGTATTCAATAGATGTTTGTCATTATTATCAATGCAAAGAGAATGGGATTTAGAGTCAGAAGACATGGGTTCAAGGGTAGAGTGAGCAAGTTCCCTGCTTTGCCCAGGATGTTCTCATTTCTAGCACTGAAAGTCCTGAGTGCTGGAAACCCCAGCCCAGGGCAGACAGGATGGTTGATCCCCTAAATTCTGGCACTACCGACTGTGTGATCTTGGGCAAGCTCCTTAAATTTGGGCCTCATTCTTTATCTGTAAAATGGGAATGATAAAAATAGATATCTATCATGATGAAATGAAATAATGCCTGTGATGAAATCTATGTAAATTAAAAGCTATTTTCAGATATTAATTATTGTTACTAATAGCCCAACTGTCACTATTCTCCTAAAGACCCATGTTTATTTTTTCCTCTCAGCTGTTGCTCATTTTATTTTCCTTTTCTGGAATGTCCTTCACTTTTCCATTCATTCAGCCAGTGATCTCTCCTGCTTGTTCTCTCAGTTTCTTCTTTCAGGTATATTCTTCCTTTAAATCCCCAACATTTAGAAATATAGTCCCTTGGTATCCATGGAGGATTTGTTCCAGAACCCCTGCAGATACCATAATCTGCAGATGCTCAAGTCCCTAATATAAAATGGCATAGTATTTGCATATAATCTATGCACATCCTCCTGGATACTTTAAATCATCTTTAGATTACTTATAATACCTAATAAAAAGTAAATGCTACGCTATGTATGTAAATAGTTGTTATACTCTATTGAGTTTTAAATTTGTATTTTTTTATTGTTGTATTTTTCATTTTTTTCTAATATTTTCATTTTGCCATGGTTGAATCTGCTGATGTGGAACCCAGGGATACAGAGAGAGAACTGTACTAGGTAGGAGATTCTTCCAGTGATGCCAAACTCTTAATGTATAGCAACTCTTCGCTTATGCTGGTCACAGTGTTGCATGCATGGACATTTACATGTGTTAACGTGTGTGTGGTGGAAAGTGAGGGCTATGTTGGACAAATATAAGCACTTTTACACTATTTACTTTTGGAAATCTCTTCCAGATAGGAAATTCTATAGCTCTAGAACTCCTGGCTTCTTTTCAAAAATATTCCATGTGTACTTTGGGCTCACAGTGGCCACTTGTCCTGCCATTCAATATAAATATTATGTATACTACAAATGCAAGGCACATATATGAAATTTAAAAATTTCTAGCAGCTAAATATTTCTAGTAGTCAAAAATATTATACAATTTTTCATGAGATATTTTACTTTTTTTGTACTAGCTCTTTGAAGTCTTGTAGTACATCTCAATTCAGAGCTTCACAGCAAGAGCTCAAAATCTACAAGAGACTTGTAGTTACCATATTGGATAGTGCAGATTTGGACTTTTGTGGTTTTCTGCATAGGTTCACAGTGCCTGGCCCCTAATAATTAGACCATGTCTTCTCATACACAGCAAACACAAAAACACATAGATAGCATGGTGAAAAATCATATTCAAACACAGACTTAGGAAACTGACATAATAAAACAGCAGAATGTTTCTGGGTCAACTCAAGGATTTGCATCTAAAGTCTACCATAAACTTTTGTAAATTGTTTATATCACGTTGGTTTAAAAGTTTGTTCAAAGATGGACAAACTATTTGTTGAGTGTTGAGAAAATCCTATCCTTGGTTATAGAAAAAGAGGACTTCAGTTTCCCCTGGGGAGAAGAAATATATGATGTGTGGTGGCCAAGGTCATCCAGTTGGTCACTGAAGAAAATTCACCAACCATCCAAAATAAGGGCAGTTAGGGTTTGCTTATATTTTTCCCTGAACAGCTGTGGGTGTGGAGATTTAATGGATCACCTAGAATTTTCCTGCCACAGCTAATGATTCATAGGGACAGCTTATGAGTTAATTAGAGCTCTCCCAGCCTTCTTGTAAATAAAGACTATGTTTAATGAGATGTTCATTGTAATTACTGAATCCCTTTTTATAGCCAAATGTTTTTGCTTTTTAATTCTTACATTTTAAATATTTTTCCTCCTGTGAAAGATTTATGTACACAGGGTAGAGCCTTGTGTTATCAACTGCATAATTACTGCCCCACCAATCTGTTTTTTAAACTCCTTCTTAGTCATGCTTCTGAGACCAGAATGTAGGTTAATCATGCAGAATGATGGTCAGATATTTTCTAAGAATATGGGGTTACTCTTGGGGAAATTTTCATTAATATTCTCATAAAATAATCTCCTTGGCTGTGTCGAGATAATGCAATAAAAAAAGTTTAAAAATTGCCAGGGGTTAGATGCGGGGGCAGGGGGTGGTGAAGGTAGTGGGTGGAGCCGGGGTTGTGGGAGGGATGAGTGGCTGGAACACAGAAGATTTTTAGGGCAGTGAAAATACTCCATATGGCACTATAAAGAAGGATTGATATCATTATACATTTTTCCAAACTCATAGAATGTACAACACCAAAAGTGAACCCTAAGGGACTCTATGGACTTAGGATGATAATGATGTGTCATTGTAGATGCATCAACTGTAGCAAACTTTGGTGGGGGATGTGGATAATGGAGGAGGCTATGCCTGTGTGGGGGCAAGTGGCTTATGGGGAATATATCTTCCTCCAAATTTTGCTGTGAACCTAAAACTTCTGTAAAAAAGAAAGTCTTTAAAAGTGAAAAACAAAACAAAACAAAAAACAAACAATTAGTGAGTAGTTACTTGTATAACCTCGGTGTTACTGACAGTTCTAAAGTGCTGACTGTGATACTGGCTTCTAGAGGAGTGGGACCTGTGGATACCAAGATTGTCCCAACACCATCTAAGCACAGATATTGGTAAGTGAGGAGTTGGATCCCCCTTGGATGTTGTAGTGGGTAAGCTTTGAGGTTCATACTCTTTGAGTTTCACACCCTCCCTGGTGAACTTAGCTGTGTTCACAAATGACTGTATATTGGTAACAGCTATATCGCATGTCAGACATCATTCCTAAATTTCAAACTCATATTTCAAGTGTCCTTATTGGATATCCTCACCTATTCCCACAGACACTACAAAAGCAATACACCTGTCAGGATTTTAGGTAGCAAGCAACAGGAACAGTCTCTTGCAAATGTAAGCAGTAGAGGGCGCCATTACAAGACTAGCTGGCTCATAGTGCTGGAGAATTAGATGTGAGCTCTTCAGCCTAGAGCTAGTCCCAAGATCACACCTGCGTTTGCCGAGGATCCGAGTCTACGGCTGCTGACCTTGCAATGCTGTACCTTGCACTTTTGTCTCCACCAGCACTGGGCTCTGGGCCCCACCCTATCACCAGGCCACTTTTGCGTAGACACTTTGATCTTCCCGCAGCAACTCCAGAAAGCAGTTAAAAATTCTACTTGGTGAAATATAAAATAAAATTAAAAATATAAAAATAACATATATGATTATTATGAACTATCATACAAAGAGAATATTTATTTATTTATTTATTATTTATTTATTTGTGGAGACAGGGTCTCATTCTGTGGCCCAGGCTGGAGTGCAGTGGCATGATCTCGGCTCACTGCAACCTCCACATTCCCAGTTCAAGCAATTCTCGTGCCTCAGCCTCTGGAGAAGCTGGGATTATAGGCGCACACCACCACTCCCAGCTAATTTTTGTAGTTTTGGAGTTTCGCCACATTGGCCAGGCTGGTCTCAAACTCTTGGCCTCAAGTGATACGTCCACCTCGGCCTCCCATAGTGCTGGGATTATAGGAAGAATATATAACTATTAATGCACAATTTAAAGAATGATCAGAGAGTACCCATGTTCCCATCTTCAGGGCACGAAAGAAGATATGACAGCACCACACCTCTGAGATCCCTTCTGTTTCTCTACACACTCGCATTCCTCTTCATCTATCCAGAGGAAATGACCACTCCGAATTTTTTTTTCTTTTTAAAATTTCACAGTAATTTAACAACAATTTTACATGCCCCACAACAATTCAAAACACAAAGTCATTTATATTAAAAGTTAAGGAACATAACTGAATTCTCAAATATTGTCATAACTAACATAAGATCCAAAGTTCACTTTGATAACTTAATGCTTTAACTAACAAAATCCACTTATCTTGATCATGCATAGATTAGTTTATAATAATTGAAAAAGGCAAATATTTCTAGGTACTGGAGATACCAGGTAAACTTGTGGTAAATTCTCTGTGATTTCGTTCATACTATAACAGACTTTTCTACTTGATGCTGGTGTTTTTTTGACCATTCAGAAATTTATCTTATTCTCTTTCTTTTCTTTCTCACTAGACCCACCTACATAGGTATTCCCCAAGCAGCATATTATTGTATGTTGCCTGAACTTTTTGCAAATGGGAACAAATTGGATACTTGTGCTTCCTTCTTTCAAACTTAGATTTTCAAGTTTCCTCCATTTTGAGATATAGCTCTATTTTATTCATTTTGCCTGTGGTATTGTACTCTAATGTGTGAATATAATACAATGTACTTATCCTTTCCCCTCTTGGTAGACATTTCAGTTGCTTCCAGTGTTTCATTTTTGTTTTTTTTAACATATTCTTATAAATATTTTTATACAGATACATGTAAATGTTTCTTTAGGTAAATATCTAGGAGTAAACTTACTGAATTGTAAAATAGGTGATGACAATAGTTTCTAAGGAAATTGGACCAATTTACACTCCTAAAAGCAGATGATAGGCCGGGTGCGGTGTCTCACGCCTGTAATCCCAGCTCTTTAGGAGGCCAAAGTGGGAGGATCACCTGAGGTTGGGATACGAGACCAGCCTGACCGATATGGAGAAACCCCGGTCTCTCCTAAAAAAAAAATACAAAATTAGTCGGGCGTGGTGGCACATGCCTGTAATCCCAGCAGCTCAGGAGGTTGAGGCAGGAGAATTGCTTGAACCCAGGAGGTGTAGGTTGCAGTGAGCCAAGATCACACCACTGCAGTTCAGCCTGGGCGACAAGAGCAAAACTCCGTCTCAAGAAAAAAAAAAAAAAGCAGTTGACAAACCTTCTTGTTTCTTCATAATACTCCACAAAATATTATCTAACTTTCAAATTTCTGCCAATTTGGTAAATATGAAATAATATCTCCTAAGAACTTAATTTTGCATTCCTGAGATTTTCAGTTACAGCATCTTCCCAAATGTTTAGGGGCCATCTTCTATTTCCTTTGATATGACATGTCTTTTCAATCTTTTGCCCATTTCCTCCCTATAGGAGGAATGAATATCTTCTTTATAACAAGTCTATCCAAGAGCAGGATATATCTGTCTTTATTAAGGTTTTCTTCAAAGTTTTTCAAAACTGTTTATTCAATAAGTTTTATAATTTTATCTATAAGAGTATTACATGTATTTTTAGGAATATTATTCTGTACTTTATATCCTTGTACTAAGCTGTAAATGTAAATTAAAATTACATTGTCTAACTACTTTTTCTAGGCATATAGAAACAGTTAATGTTGTACATTCAATTTTTAACCAGCACATTTCTAATATTCTCTTATTAATTATAGTAATTTGAGATTTGCAGGCCTGAGCATAGCAGAGTAGCTTGTATTGGACTAATTCTCCTCTGATAACAACTATAGAAACTAGACAAAATATAAACAAATAATTGACTAAAAGCACCGCTGAGCAACCAAAGCAAGCAGAAACTGGAAGAGGCCTGATCCGTGAAAACTAAGCTCTGTAATTCTTTGGGGTGCCAGGGGAGAGAATCCAAGTAGAAAGGCACAATTTTACTGGTTTAAGGAAACAGAGGTCAGAGTTTAGGGCTGCTAGAAGAGTTGGAAATGGAAGGTAGTCTCAAAGAAGAGCCAGGTGGAAGGAATGTCAAAATCTCTCTACCAAGTCTTCTTAAATTGTTGGCTGACTCCTAAATCCTGCATGTGCAGGGAGGGTCTCCAGGAATTTTATAAAAAGCAGCAGCAGAAAGCTGTAGCTAGGAGGCCAAATGAGAGCTGAGCAGAGATTTCAGCAGAGATTTCCTGGATGTAGGAACAGAGTTTGCAGTTCACCAAGGACCAGCATTCATCAGTTGCTTTCCTCTGACCTTGCCATGTCATTTCAGAGATTTTCATGAGCTGGGAAGAATAGGTAGGTGGGCAATTAGGGGTCAATTTAGCTGGTTAAGTTTGGTTACCCTACCAACTATATAATATGAAAGGTAAAAATGCATTTAGACTCAAACGATTTCTCATTAACCACCTTTCCACAATGACATCCTGGGAAAAGCCTAGAGGATTAAAAAAAAAAAAAAAAAAAAAAAAAACAAACCTCATTAACATTTGAGTCAAAAGAAGACATGTAAATGTTTCTGCTATGAAAAGTATTTGTATGAGTCATTACATCAGGACACTATATAAGTACGTTCATACCATTTAGTCAAGCAAGTGCTTGCAGAGAATTTATATATAATCCAGAACTTCAAGTCTCTCTTACTTTAATTTGAAGAATAAAATCCAACAAAAATAACAAAATAGGGAAGACATTTCTAGCGTCTTCCTCTTATATGGTATAATCATCTATAATCTCTATTCTTGGTAGGTGAGATTGGGTGGGCAAGAGCTGTAAGTTCTGTTATCAGAATATCCATTTGGGAATGGTGTAAAATGATGACTGTTCAGAAGACTGAGACCTCGACTGATGGGATAATAGCTAAATATCAAACAGTAGGACAAAGGGAGAGCTTGCAGTTTCCCTAACTTTGTAAAATCATAGCCAGTAGATCTATAAGTAGTTCAACGGGTAAAGATTTTGCTTGTTTTGTAAAGAATCTGAAACTTTTAAAATAAACTTTAAGATATCACAAATCATTCTGGCTTTCTCGTTAACCATTTATACAATAAGTTCTCTAAAATGCTTCTTTTTCAAGCTTTTTACTGTCCTAACATGGGCCTTATCCACAGACCCTGACTAAAATATCCTGAGTCTCCACCATAGGCCTGCTCTGCGGAGTTCCCTAACTCATGTCATTGTGGGCACACTTCCTGAACCGTCACTTCCAAGCAACCAGAAAGAGAAGGTTGTACTTTTGAAACAGCAGCGTCCAATTGAAAAAACCGGGCTGAAGTTTTCCGAACATGTGGGACTCTTCTTTATAATTTGAACAAAGAAGAGGAGGAAAATTACAGGGTCACCGCAGCACAGGGCAGGAGAGCTCCCTTCTGTCCTGCTTCTCCTCAAACAATCCAGCAAAACGATGCCTGTGACCACCACTCCAAAAGTGACTGGCACGCATTCCAGCTGCTCGCCACACAATCAGTCCTTTCTGTCCAGAAAAAGGCCTGGGATTCATGCTGGCTTTTGCGTAGTGCGTTTAGCGTCATGCTGGCCCACTCCCCACACCCTCGCACCCACACAGAGAAAGAAAGAGAAACATGGCAAGACGGGCTGTGCTCGGCTGACTGTTAGGAAGGCATTCAGGTACTAGGCTTCCACGATGTTCGGCCATGTTCAAGCTCAGCTTTAGTGACATATTGCACATCTGCAATATTTTTATAAATTACAATAATCCAAAAATAAGACAGGAATGTGAATTCTCTGAAAGAGGCAACGTGATGATTATAGTGAAAGGAGACCGTATTGGATGTTTTAAGCATTTAGCCACAACTAAGTAAAAAGACTTTGGAATCTGGTTAGTGTTTCTCTTTTGTCACTTCCCTCCTGCTCAATTTTCTTATCAACCATTAAAAATGTATTCACACACACACACACACACACACACACACACATACACACACACACGCATGTATGTATGCATCATAACACATTGAGAATTACATCAGTCTAAAAAACGGGACTATTTTACCAAAAAATAAAATAAAACTCAGGTCAATTTACTAAATGCAACATCTTACTTGGAAAAAACTCTCAAATATGTTAGTGGCACTTGGTTGATTTTTTAGTTCTTTTATTTTCAATCAACTGTATTTGCTACACTGATACTATAATGTGGTCAGTAGTGGCCACATAATTTGCAGATTCTACTGCAAAATAAAAATGCAAGGCCCCTTGTTCAGAAGTTATTAATGATTTCAAGATGGTGACAGCAAAACGTTAAACCAACCAAACATGAGCCTTTCTGAGTATGGGACCCTGTGCAACTGCACAGATTCCATGCCCATGAACCACCCCTGAATGTGACTTCCAGGAATCCTAAAAGTTCTGTCACCCAGCTTTACAAAGAGCAAATCAATTTTACTTCTGCAGAAGGTAAATGAACTCTATGAGGTTAATGAACAGCAGTGAGTCATATCTTGTGTTACTCATGCAGGATGGATAGGAATGGCCAGTCTCTGATCAGGTATACACAGATCTCTTCAGAGACCCTGTATATCCCCATGAAGGAGAGTCAAGTTAAGAAATGCATTAAAATTTTGTCGATGCTATGACTAAAAGTAAGACTATGTCCCTACACATGTCAAAGTTATTTTACATCACAGTGTTTGATATAATATAGTTAATATCATACTATTACCATGAGATGGTTGGAAAGAGAATTTATTGAGACCCCCTTGATTGACAGTTGGTTAGAAATGTAATCAGAATGCCCATTTGGAAATGGAGAAAGGATGGACTGGGGTAATCTGTTGTCTATAAGTATTTCTGGGTTTTCAAGGGGTTGTGGTGGCGTGGAAGGTAATGGAATTTGCAAGAGCAAGTACATAAGCAAAGTGGGCTCTGTGTTAGGGTGAGAGAATCTCTGGGTGATTCCCATTTTTCATATGTATAATCAGGCTCAGCCAGCAACAAGCAGAAAGCTGCCATCAGGCTAATAAATGATGCTCTGGGGTCTTGGGAGCATTGGTTTCCAATTCCAGGTGGAGATATTTACTTATTCTGACTTGCCACAAGGTCAGGTGCTTGCCCCACTTTGCAATAATTTAGTCTTTGGCAAAGAAAATATTCTGGCCTTAAAAGCCTTGAAAAAGTCCAGTTTAAACATACAATTTCTTGCCCATTCCCTGTGGTATTTGAATATAAATAAGACATTTGATGTGATGGGAACAAACTCTGAAAGGAGAACAATTTAAATCCAAACTGCCTCTTACTTAGTTGGTAATATTTTTTAGGAAAAGCATTCTATTCAAATAAAAAAGGGAAAAATAAAGCAACTCTAAATCTATATTGCATTTTGCTTTGGAAAAATGAAAAGTACTTTCTTACAGATTTCTCATATATTTCACCTTCTAATGTTTACAGAATGGTCCTTCTAGGGCACCCTATAGAGGATGCCAGTTTTCATTTCTGTACATGCTCATGAAAAGCTATGCAAGTTCATGCAAAAGTTTTCTATTAATTTCTCTAAAAATACAAGATTTTGTACATAAAATACTGAACTCATTTATTACCACTTTAAAAAGGAATTTAATGTTTTGATGCTATTTTAATTCTAATGTGTGTGCTATTCATTGGAATTATGTCCCAATTTGTTCATGGACCTCTTTGGCCCTGAACTTGAAGGCAGTCCTTCCAGCACAGTTTGGGCAATGCAGACTAAAGTAGAATACTATAGGAGAAGCTCTGAAATGTAGAAATTTGGTTTGGTTGACATTACCCCTAAACAACTTTTAGAGCTTCCCCAATATTAGGAGAAACTTTGTGTGCCCCTCATTCTAGCTCAGACACTAAACTGAGTATTTCACTTGCACATACTCCTGGAAGCAGCATATTGGAGTACAGGAAGTGTAGGTGGTAGAAACACACAGATGGGTTAGAACTCAAGCCTTTACCAAGCCTTACCAGCTGTGCAATCTTTAGCAAGTGATAACCTCCTTACAATTCAGTTTCTTCATCCATAAAATGCCACTGATACAACCTTTGCTTATACAGTTTTTGCAAAGACGAAATAGATGTGAGGTGTTGAGTACAGTGTTTGGGCCAGTTTAGGTGCAAAGAAAATCTGAATTCCCTCCCTTATCTTTGCCCTTTGTTCCCATGTCATTATTCCACATTACCTAGTAACTGACTCTACTCAGAGCCTAGAATAATTAGGCATCATTAAATGCTTTTTGATTAGAAGAATAAATTATTATCTAGATAGCATTGTGGTTAGGAATACAGATACTGAAACCAGACTGCCTGGTTTGGAATCTAAATACCACTTACTCAGTGCTGTGACTTTGTGAAAATTATTTAACCTCTCTCATCCTGTTTCCTAATCAGTAGAATGAGGAGAATAACAACATCAACTTTCCAGGGTTGCTGTGATAATTGAGCCAGGATGTGCCGATTATATACTAACAGCTACATTTCTATTAGCTATTTTTCTTCTTCTAGTCATAGTAACAGAACTATTTGACTTATTTGTGAAAAGCTGAGCTAACAAAACACCAGTTATATCTGCTTGTCAGGTAAGTCCTTTAAAATACTTCCAAGGGTTAAGCAATAAGCCAATGATATACAAGATCAATTGCAGGACTGAAGAACAAATCTAGGATCAAAATAAGAAAAAGTAGATATATTTTTCCAGTTGTCCATCTGATGATCATTGATCAACCTTCTATATTGAAATTAAGCAGAGGCCACAGCAAGAGGAAATATTGCTTAGAGAGTGCTCAAAATCTCAAATATTCTGTGTTTCAGATAACTATGGACTCTTTTATTTGATGTGTAAAAAGGAGATTTTGCTTTATTTTCCACATTATGTCTATTGCTGACTCAGGGCACAAAGAAGAACAAATTGTGTAATTTGAGTTGAGAGCAATCATTTTTGCAGTTGTTCTTTAAAAAAAGAAAAAAAAAAAAACCTTCACATAATGAGCCAAAACTTGCCTAGAGATCTGTGTGCTCTGCTTCCATTGACGTCACTTGGAAGTTGTGTGGGCAGAAATTGGCTGACTTCCTCCAGCATGTCTTTTTGAAAGTTGAACATATTGAAAAAATGCACCCTTCTTATCCCAAACTACAGTATGGAGAAGAACATCATAAACAAATTTTCTGTTTACGTTCAAATGAACAACTATAAAATTCTGAGAGCCACATTTGCAAAGTAAACCCTCTTAGTGTCCGGTAAGAGGAAGGATGTCCTCTCTATTTGAAAAGAGAATCGTAGGGTGTTACAGCTGAAAGGACTTTAGAGATGATATCGTTCAACCAGATATGGAAGCTGAAACTTAGAGATTCAGGAACACTCCCAAGGTCAGACAGGGCCCAAGGCTGGATTAGAATGTAGGCATTCTGCTTTCTATTTCATTGCTCAGCTCAGGACAACGGGATGTGTAATAATCATTGTGTCTGCACACTTCTCTCTCATTATATAAATCTCAAGCACTGAGGCAACTGTCCATGAAAACTAGGAATTTTGTGTACAGTAAAACTACCAATTGCTGTAAGTACAGTAAATAAGCATAGTGCGCTGGAATTGAATAGATTGTGGACACAATTGGAAACTCATAAAGTGCTTCTGCATACAGCTGCTCCCTGGGGTGTGCTGCCGGGTCAATTTGGAGCTTGACTTGTCCACCTAGAGCTTTCTCAGCTCAATGTGCTCTTCCAATCGCTGAGAGGCTACCTCTTGGAGACAGGAAGAAGAGAGTACCCCAATTCCATCTCAGCTCCCACCCCTTTCAGGTTTATTCTTGCAAAAAAAGGTCTGTACTCATTCAGTCATCTGCTATGAGCTGGGCTGTGGCTTTCCGCCTATTGAAAACATTTTCAAATTCAAATATTTTAATAAAGTACCACTGTCTTTATTAAAATATGAGTAATTACAATTTCCCCCACCAAGATCCCATATACACTATAGTCAATAGTGAATAGATGAATCATATAGGAGAATGCCTAGATTTATTATGCTCCTGAGTATACATTGTTACTTATTATTTAGCTAGTTTGTAAATTTAAATCCATAGGAGAAGCCCAAGTATGAATGTAGAGTTTTTCTATTTCTGCTTTGCTTCATTCTGCTTCTTCCTAAAGAGAAGAATTCTTTATAGGTAGAAGGTCATCCCCTCTGTGGCCAGCCAGCTCAAAAACCTTAGCAGCGGTTGCTACTTTAATTTCTTCGTTAAACGTCTGTGATGGTCACATTTCTAGCAGTTCTATAAGTGGAAGTCCAAGGTGGCATTCAAAACTCTTTGGGGAAAACACTTGGTAAAATTTTTAGAAGGGCCAACAGCATTCAAATTTATGGATCAAAGAACCAGATATTGAGAATAAAAGATATCACACCAATCTAGCATAACTACTCCAGTTGAATGCTACCTAGACACTGGACAGGGGGCTAGGAGAATCTGCCACGATCAACACTGAAATAAGTGAGAGCTCTGAGGCCAATCACATATCCTGTTAATTGGAAATACTGAGTATGTCAGTCTATCCTATATGTGAGAATTTTGAAAAAAAAATACAGAATAAGGAAATTATCCTAAGGACACATAGGAAAATAAATTACTGTCATGGCTAAAAGAAGATATTTAATATTTGGCTCCTGAAATAGGCAGCAAGTAGACATGCCTTTCATGACACAGGAGCAGAAAGACGTGAAAGAAATGGAAAAAAAAAATCAGGATGAAAACCAAGCAAGAATTGGGTAAAATAGGGTAGAATTGAAAGAAAACTGTAAGTGCAATAGACTTATCTGAATTATCATTGGAAATAATGAAGGTCAGAATTAATACTATAGAAAACTGGATCAAAGACCTAGAGAAAACACTGGGAAATCTTTAGGAATGTAGCTAAAAAGGACAAAGAGTTGAGGACAAGGATGTAAAATATAGCAGATATAAAAGAACATATAAAAAACCCACTTAAAGTTTACCAGTATTCCTAAAGAAGTACACCTATTTAAGGAGCAATGACCAAGACATAGCTAAAGAAATATTTTTTGCACTAAAAAGATTCACATGCTAAGGTTAAACATGCTCACTGTGCCCCCGAGATATTAAATTTTAATAAAAAAGAGAAGACTTCATGCTAACAAACTACCTCTCAGGGGTTTTCCCTTTTTAAAAGATAATGTTTTTTTAAAAAAACCAGAACACACGGGGGAAAAGTTAGCTACAAAGGAACCATGTCAGACTAACTTTAGACAGTTTGTTTACAACATTAATTTCTTGAGGTCAGATAGAGAAATAACTAGAATTTGAAGTTTAAAAGGGTGTTAACAAAGAATTGTATACAACACAGAATTCCAGAAGTTATATAAGGAAGTAACTAGAATTTTGACATTAAAGGATGTTAACAAAAAATCATATATCCAGACAGTTGCCGTCCATGGCATATGTGAAGACAATAGAAAGATTTTATCATATGTGCAATGACTTTGAAAATATACTACCCATGGGTGTTTCTTTAAAAGCTTCCAAAAAGATCTATATTTAAAATTAGAGAAATCCAAGACTACCATAAACAAAATTAGAAATCCAAAAATAAATTATTATATTTGTATACTTCTTTCATAAATAAGAATTACTATTTATATAGGAAGCTACACATACAAATAAATATAACTATCTCAATGGAAAACAGACGAGTATATAAACAGGCAATATGGAAAAAGACACACATTTTTAATAAGCCACTTTAGAACATGTTTACTCATACAAGTAATCACAGAAAAACTAATTTAAGCAAAATTATTTAATGCCAGTTTTTAACTTATCTAACTGCAAGTTTACATATAGATCTCATATATATCTATATCTATATTATATATACATAATAATCTATATATAGACATATATAACCTTGCCATTGGATAAGATACATGTAAGTATACATAAATACACACAGATACATATGTATAGACATTACCCAGGTTTCAGGAAAAATGGCCGTCTTATTATTATTAAGATGAACGTTGTAGAACTCTTCTGACATGATGTATTAGTCTGTTCTCATGCTGCTAATAAAGACTTACCTGAGACTGGGTAATTTATAAAGGAAAGAGGTTTAATTGACTCACAGTTCCACATAGCTGGGGAGGCCTCACAATCATGGCAGAAGGTGAATGAGGAGCAAAGTCACATCTTACATGATGGCAGGAGAGAGAACTGTGCAGGGGAACTCCCATTTATAAAACCACCAGATCTCAGGAGACTTATTCACTACCATGAGAACAGCATGGGGGAATCCACCCCCATGATTCAATTATCTCCACCTGGCGCCCCCCTCAACACATGGGGATTATTACAATTCAAGGTGAGATTTGGGTGGGGACACAGCCAAACCATATCATATGTAATTTGGTAACATGTATCAAAAATCTTGAAAAGGTTTAATACATTTGCCACTAGAGTTTTACTTCTAGCATTTATTCCCTAGGAAAGAATAATAATTTGTCCCTAAATTTATCTATAATAATGTTAATGCTAGGGTTCTTCATAATGCATGCAACTTAGATGTCCAATGATAGGAGACAGATTAAATTTTGTACACAAATTTATGGCCATGCTATTTACGCTTTATAGAAAATTTTGGTTCAATGTCTGTATTTTTTAAAGAAAGTATATAATTTAAAATTTTGTGAAAAGTTATTTTCTCTTTTCAAAATGACCAAAATTGCTCTATGTTCTATGGGTGGTAGAATTATGAGATATTAATTATATGTGCTGAGTAATTTCTAAATATTCTATAATGACATATATAACTGCATTCTTCATTCAAACAAAATATTCTGTCTCTGGGGGACATGATTACAGGTCACTATTTTCTTATATTTTATAATTTATTTTCCAAAATTTTCACAGGTACTTTTATAAAAAATAAAGAAAAAGTTTGTGTTTTTTCCAAAGAATTCAGTTAGGTGACCAAACATGTATTTATTACTTCATCAACTAGTTATTAAAGTGTGTAATAAATTTCTTCTGGGGTTTACATGAAGTCTTTTAGCAGACAATGAAAACTACAATCTGCAATTAGTGTAGTTTTTAATCTAGTACATATTACTTTCTTCCTCCTTGCGAACAAAATGCCAGTTTTGATCTGGGCAGCAATGTGCCTAGCTGCAAGTAAGCCATGTTTTTAAAACCCTCTTCCAGCTATGAGTGACCATGTGACATAGTTCGAATCAGTAAAACATCAGAAGTGGTCTATAAAGGCTTTTGCTTTTCCTAATATAAGGATCAGACATGGTTTATTAAGCCTCCTTCCCTTCTTCATGCCTTAAACCTGGATGTGATGTCTGGAACAGCAGCAGCTGTCTTGCAGCGCAAGAAGCTCAAGGAAAAGACCAACAGACTTGCAGAGATGCTGGCCCTGACATGATCCAGCTACCGAATCAGGGCTGGTGGCCACTGGCTTTAGATCCCCATGAGAGGAATGAGCCCTTACATGTTTAAACCACTGTGAACGAATACTGGTAAGTCATGGTACTGAATGGCTTCTGACTTTGTTTTATTTGTCAGGAAGCATTACTAAATTTAGTGCCTAAATTGAAGTAAGTGGTTCATTTCAAATGCCTATTAATACCTACTTTTCTTTTTAGGCTGTCTCCATTCAATATTTATTCTTAATTGTCTAGCCTTATATTGTTTAATTTTGTTAGAATCTTAAAGCCTTCTGCAAGTTGGTGAGATCCACCTGCTGAGTAAATTCTCATTTTTCTCTGTTGTTATCAGCTCCCTGGCTACCTTTCTCTTCTGTATAGTTCAGTTCACCTTCATGGGTGTCTTTAACATGACATGAAAATAGGGCCATTCACTCTGCTGTCTGCAGTAGGCAAGGAGCTTTGAAAGACAAGCACACTAATGAAAGTAGAAGACATTGACCCTACTCTCAAAAAAATGTGAAAGTTAGTTGAGAAGATTAAACACACACTGTCCCTCCTTCCTCCGCCTACACACATACCCACACACACACACACACACACACACCCTGACACAATGGGAAGGCACTTCTGAAGTTTCAGATGAATTCCATTCAACAAGCACCCTCAGAGTTTGTGCTTATGCCAAGCATTGTGCCTGGTTTTGGAGATGTGAAAGTTAACAAAGACAGGTTTCTTACCTTGGAAGGCTACTGTGTAGGTGGGAACACACCTAAAGTTGATCATTGTGGCAGTGGACTACTGAAAGTGATCTGATGAAGATGGCTTAGGGTGCTTGTGTATGAGAGAGGTATCAGAGAGTCTTTCTTGAGGAAACCACATCTGGAAAGAGGAGGAGGTGCTAAGCTTGATTGGAGAGTGGTATTTCAGGCAGAGGAAAGAGCATAAATAAACACACTGAAGAGATGGGGGATGGTGGACAACAAGTATTTAACTATTGCCTCCACAAGGAGGGTCAGAGATGGAGCTGGAAGGAAGGAGCTGGAAGGAAGGAGCAGTGGAATCGTGGAAGGCTTTGGAAAGCATACTGAAGATCTGTTGGGTAGTCTAAGGTTTGGTGCGTTGAACATTGACTTGGGAGCCAGACTGATTTGGTTTGATTCTCAGCTATACCATCATTTTTTGCATGCTTAGGCTAATTTTTTTAACCTCTCTGCGTCTCCTTTTTTTCATCTGTAAAATGGGGACAGTAACATACACTTTACAGTTGCAACAATATAAGTTGCAAGGATCACAGCAAATATATGTAAAACACCTAACACATGAGCAGGCATACAGTGGCTACCCAATAAATGGTAGCAAAGTTTTGAAGCAGATTAGCCTGGTCAGATAGGAACGGGTGCAGAAAAATAGATCAAGGCCGTGGGTGTTAGTGCTAAAGTTATGAGGTGTTACAGAGTGCTTAGGAAGGCATTGATCAGGCCAATCCTAGGCAACTATGGGTTGGAGTAGTTATCTTAGGAACCAAGGGAGGTTCTTTTCTTTTCTGGCAGAGACCCAGTCCTCAACCTGTTCGTGTATGAACAAGTTCATAGGAACCAAGGCTCATACATGTTAGCTCTACCTCCAGCCCTAATCCACCTTGCTACTTGTGCTTTTCACTAGATTGAGTTCATCAGCACAAGGAGAATAGGCTGTTCTCTCCCCGCGTTTTCATATACCTGTTGTTTGGCATGTTCTAGGCTCAACCTCTCCAGAATTGTCCTCTATGTGTTTGACAGTTAAACTTCTTGTAAATAGCATTGAGTTTGCAGCTAGTCACACAAAATATACCAAATGCAGAGAAGGATGTATAGAAAATTGTGAGGCATTCTCAAGACACCATTCACAGAAAATACGAAGATTGGTACAACTAAAGAAGAAGGAACCCTTGGGGCAGATTTCAGGAGAGCCTAGGGTGAGCTAGGGAGTGTGATGGAATCAGTGGTGGTGGAGGAGGAAGTACAAATACAAGGCTGTCTCTTTTATTGCCCAAATCCTCCTTGTATTCTTTTCCCTTTCTGCCTTTTTTCCCTTTGCCCCTCCAAGAACACTCAAGCTAAAGGCTTGGCAAGCCCTGTCTGTACTACACAACAGAAGCCTTTATTTACAAGTAGAAAGCTCTGCTTGGTCCTTTTAAGTGTTTTCATGAGACCTTATTTCTATTCCCAGGTTGCAATGAGTCTACTTTTTAGCCAATATTTCTGAAATGTTTTTGCCTGCAAGCACATTTAATTCTCATCTTTGCTGAAACTCCTACAGGCCGACCAGCACTGAACTTACATTGGAAAAAGGACTTTTTTGGTGGGGATGTTGAGAAGGAGCGTACTAGTTTACTGAATTACTCGTAGACCCGGCAATGTTGGCAGCTATCAGAGAGAGGTCAGGGCACCAGGTCTCTTTCCAGTCTACAAGCAGATCTTTCTCTCCCCGTTCCAGGTTATCACAGTATCTCACACTTGGCAGTGATTTCATTTGGCGTGTTAGAAATAAACAGGGGTTTATTTTCCAGGCCTTGATAAACAACATTGACTTTGAAAATGAAGTCCTTAACTTTTGCCGCTCACTATCATTATTCGTGGATGCCCAATTACTTATGGATTTCTTTATGAATGACAAAGTTCTTTTGTTACATGTGCCTTCTAAAAGCCAATGGGCAATGTACATCTCAAAAAAGTTGTATCTAACTCCTTTTTTTTTTATTTCATCACATGATTATCTTTATTGGACAAACAGGATTTGCCTGCCTTCTCTGATTTGACTGCTTATATATAACTCTATTTATAGAAATTTATTATTAATAAATTCTAATTGTAATCCTATCTTAAACCCTTTTTAGCACATTTAATATAAAGGCATTTGATCAAATTATCCAATATTTAAAATTGAAATATGATTCTTTCTGTGAGAAAAATTTCCTTAAAGAAAACTCTAAAATTAATTTTTAGTTTTTGCAGGCGAGATTGAAATTTTATTTCACGGAGTAGAAATTATGATTGAACCCACCTGGGTAAACATGTTCCCATATTTAGTGGGACCCGTCTCGTACTGATGTGTCCAGATGTTTCATTTTCAATTTAAATAACATGTTCAAGATGTACTGTACATTTCAACGTAGCTGGGTGGAAAGTTAAACATCAGCCACGCAACCCCTTTGGACAGGTTAATTGTGCAGAGCTCATTGGAATAATGCAATTTGGCATGTGTGCCTTGGATGGAGAGAATGTGGGAGGCTATTGTCCTTGGGGTCTCCTCTCTCCTTTTGTCTCCATTTGCCTCATGTTTCTGTCTTAGAACAGAACGCTCTTGTTTCCTTGGAGTCCTTACCCCAAATCACCTATTAAGAAAAATAGGAACAGGTTATAATTCTTGTTATTATGGCTTTCCTGAGACGGAAAAGTGTTTGGCTAATTTCCCCACTCCTTGGAATTCTCCTTATTTGAATTCACTTGAAGGCGGGAGTTAAAGTATCTTTCACGTAGGTTTTTAAATATACATTTAAATTCACTCTATAGTTCTTAACATTTACAAAACAGTGTCAATTAAAAGAAAAATAATATAAAATGCTATGTTTGAGATAGAATCACATAATAAACTAGGAACTAGTTTAAAACGTCTAATAAATAAGCCTTCCCAAACTCTATTTGGTACAGAAATAAAGCATATAGATGTGGTTAACATTTTAACCTAGAAACATTTAAAAATACCAAGATGATTTTGGGAATAAAACTTTTATGGTAGGTTTTGTTACTGATATTTTAGTAATTTCCTTAACTGGCATCACCTATCACCTTAGTGGCCTATTCAATTAATTTTTGGAAGTGGGTGGAATATAAATTATGCATGAATATATAAACGGATCAAGTTTTTAACTGGAATAAATGCTTTTGGTGACAGGTTAAAAGATCTACTTTAAATCAGCTTATAATATCTATTTTTAAAAGACTTCAAAACTTGAAATTAAATGTTCTCTTTTCACTTCAATGACGATGGTGTAATTATTCTTGGGATTAAGAAGATATTGTCATTATTAATTTCTATATAAGTGATTATCAATTCAGAGAGTCTACAATTAGATACCTGCTATGTGCTTATCATAGCAGGAGACACAGGATGATTAAGAAAGGCTCCTTTATAGCAGCATGATTTATAGTCCTTTGGGTATATACCCAGTAATGGGATGGCTGGGTCAAATGGTATTTCTAGTTCTAGATCCCTGAGGAATCACCACACTGACTTCCACAATGGTTGAACTAGTTTACAGTCCCACCAACAGTGTAAAAGTGTTCCTATTTCTCCACATCCTCTCCAGCACCTGCTATTCACAATAGCAAAGACTTGGAACCAACCCAAGTGTCCAACAATGATAGACTGGATTAAGAAAATGTGGCACATATACACCATGGAATACTATGCAGCCATAAAAAATGATGAGTTCATGTCCTTTGTAGGGACATGGATGAAGCTGGAAACCATCATTCTCAGCAAACTATCTCAAGGAACAAAAAACAAACACCGCATGTTCTCATTCATAGGTGGGAATCGAACAATGAGAACACATGGACACAGGAAGGGGAACATCACACACTGGGGCCTGTTGTGGGGTGGGGGGAGGGGGGAGGGACAGCATTAGGAAATATACCTAATGTTAAATGACGAGTTAATGGGTGCAGCACACCAACATGGCACATGTATACATATGTAACAAACCTGCACGTTGTGCACATGTACCCTAGAACTTAAAGTATAATTAAAAAAAAGAGGCTCCTATCCCTATAGGTATTTACAATTTGGTAGAAATCTAAAAGAAGACAGAACAAGAAAAGTGCACAAATGAGCTCTAAAATCAATGCCATGTGGATTCAAAAAGAGGCAAGATTATGGGTAGAAGAGAATAAGGAAGACTTTCTGGAGCATAAGTTCAACAGTGAACATGGAAACAAAGCATATGTCTCATTTATACAGCTTCAGCTTGGTCCATTGCAAATACACTGTAAATAAGGCATAGGCATCTTTACTAAAGATACTGAGAAATATTCAACTTATTGTAATTCCTATGAAGATGGCTAGCTGAACATTTCAAATCGTCTCTTCTATATATGAGCTTCGATGCTGACCCATAATAAGTAACAACTCATGTTAGATGTCAATCAATTTTAGCATTCTTTCTTATTTCCAGTTATCAGCAAATGGTATTTGAATAATATAGAAGAGGTGAGCTATTATAATATATTCCTATTACCCGATACTATGTATGTACTGATGGAAGTAATTATTTAATGACTAGAACTGCTTCATTTCCTTTCATATGCTTCACTAGAAAGTATAGGAAATATCTCCTCAGAATAGAACTCAGATTATAGGACCTTAGAAATCATATGGTCATATGGATCAAATAACTTTTTGATGCATTAGCTATAAAAATAATGCATTATGCTAGTACTGTGAGTCAAGATTTATTAATAATGCCACTTGGGAAGGTACTTGAAGTCACAGGATCAACTGTATCTGCTTGTTTTGTTAGTCTGGATTAGTTGATTCTCACGTTTCTGAAAGCCGATATAATTAAGCTGCTCTCAGCAAGTCTAGGATAAGCCAAAGATATATTTCATAGAAGCCCAAAGAAAGAGGGCAGGAATATAAAGTCATGAGACTTATTTCTACAAATACCACTCAAAAGCCCCTGAAAGTGACTCATATTTAACTTCCAAAATTCAGTGTGTTCACTCAATAAGCATTTGAGAACTCACTGGGTACATAGTAAACAATAATATCAGAAAAGAGGAAAATCAATTCAAATCCATATGGATATAATTAAATTCCTAGTATTCATTTTTTTAATTCAATTTCTTGGGTACCAACTATAGACCATGTGCTCTTCTAGCTGTGGACTGGAGTGGGAGGGGTGGGCAGGAGTAATTATGATAATAAACAAAACTAGCATGCTCTCTTCCTTCCTCAAGCTTACAGTCCAGCTATGCTACAGACAGCAGAGGACACAAGGTAAATATGACAGAATCCTTTCAAAAGAGTTTGCAATCTACTGGAAAGGTAGTAGATACATAATGACAAGGTAGAACATGCTTTCTCTTCTTAACCAGAATTATCATCAAAATCACTTGGAAGGCTTTTTCAAAATTCATATGCCTAGGTTTCATTCCACACCCAAATGAATGAAAATGGCTGGCAGTGGAGCCTGAGAATGCACATTTTGAAACACTGTGTTCAGATGATTCTGGCGTGGACCACTGGTTAGGAGCTCCGCGTTTAGAAGGTGTTTGAATTTCTCACCTCAGTTTTGCTCTGACTTCATTATAATGCATCCATAATTTTCCCAATGCTCCTGAAGGTTGCCTTGTTTTCCCAAGGATTATTAATGAGACCTGTGGATGGAATTCTTAACAGATGGTAGGGAGAGATGAAACTATCTTGCCATTTCAACATCTGGCAAATACATTCTTCCTTTAGCCCTAATGATCTATGATTTTATATGCAGTCATCAACACAAAGATTTTCATTTTAATGAGTCTCACTCTTTCAGATTCTTTTTCTAATCATTTTTGTTACTCTTTGGGTTCTCATCTTGAAAATAAATGTATGGCTTCTGCTTTGAAGCCTAATTTTCCAAACAGAACAATATTATAGTTCAGATCTTGTCAGAAATATTAAAGTATGTCTCTGCTCTTTGGCTTATGCCGAGGGAAAAATCTATTGCGCCTGTAAATGCAGCCTCACTTGAAGAATGTGTCCCTTTAAAGCTGAGGCATGTTTAAGATGCGTATGTAATTCAGACCTGTTTGCAGCAGAAACCCTTTTAATCCTAAGAAGCATGTTAAACAAGAGCTTTTTTGGCACATGGCTTATGGATGCAGGAAAAGAAAATATGCCTTTCTTTTATACAGTTAACTGTTCGAAAATAACACGTGAATAAACACTTCAACTTTTAGTAGTTTCTTGAAGATGGGGATACTCATGGGTAGAGCAGCCTCGGTAGAAAAAAAACAACTCTAATATCAGAGTCCTATATGGACCATGCTCGTTTTCCCATTAGCAGTTTCTGCATTTCCTCCCCGGACCTCGAAGAGTATCTTTTTGCTTTCCTAAACTTAGTGCAACTTGCCTTGCATCAACAAAATAGGTGAGTTTATAGTGACTGCCTCTTTTGATCTCTTGCCACATTCTTCTCCTTCTCCTCATTTTGGTGGATATATAATGATCTCAGGGAAGATGGTGCAGACTCCTTGGAGAGTTTATGATGTATTCTCAAAAATGCCAGTCATACCCACTGCGTGCTGGGTTACCATCACAGTCAAGCTGCACCTTTGAAGCTGTGCACATATTCCTTATGTTTTATCTCCAGTAGGACAAATGCTGCCAAACATGAATGATTTACATTCACCGGAGTGAAACAAATCAATAGCAGCACTCTGGTCCGCAACTTTGACCAGTTTGAACGCACAAACAATCTGCATGTGGCTCTAAGTACCATAGGAAATATCTAGAACCTGTCTGATAAACTTACGGTGTTAAAACAATCAGAGAGTAAAGAATAATTTTGTAAGGAAATTCTTCGCTTGTCCACCATATCCCAACATTATGTTTCTTCAGAAATCTCTAATAATGGAAATTCATTTTTTAAAATGTTATTGTTTTATCAGTTTGTAAATTATTGTGAATCATGTATCATACGAAGTAGAAAATAATTATATACATCAAACAATTGGTACACTCATGTCCCTGCCCAATTCACACACTGAGACTGATATAAAAAGTAGCACCATCTGGGTGTGGTGGCTCATGCCTGTAATCCCAGTACTTTGGGAGGCTGAGGTGGGCGGATAACCTGAGGTCAGGAGTTCGAGACCAGCCTGATCAACATGGTGAAACCCCGTCTCTACTAAAAATACAAAAATTAGCTGGGCGTGGTGGTGGGTGCCTGTAATCCCAACTACTCAGGAGTCTGAGGCAGGAGAATCGCTTGAACCCAGGAGGCAGAGGTTGCAGTGAGCTGAGATCGCGTCATTTGCACTCCCGGGTGACAGAGTGAGACTCCATCTCAAAAAAAAAAAAAAAAAAAAAAATGGTAGCACCGTCTGGGTGCGGTGGCTCACGTTTGTAATCCCAGCACTTTGGGAGGCTGAGGTGGGCGGATAACCTGAGGTCAGGAGTTCGAGACCAGCCTGACCAACAAGGCAAAACCCCGTCTCTACTAAAAATACAAAAATTAGCTGGGCCTGGTGGTGGGCGCCTGTAATCCCAACTACTCAGGAGGCTGAGGCAGGAGAATCACTTGAACCCAGGAGGTGGAGGTTACAGTGAGCCGAGATTGCGTCATTGCACTCCTGGATGACAGAGTGAGACTCCATCTCAAAAAAAAAAAAAAAAAAAAAATTGGTAGCACCATTCGGGTGCGGTGGCTCACACCTGTAATCCCAGCACTTTGGGAGGCCAAGGCAGGCGGATCACTTGAGGTCAGAAGCCTGGGTGACGGAGTAAGACTCTGTCAAAAAAAAAAAAATTGTTCAGCTGGAGACAGCTGGACATGGTGGATCTAGAGAGCCAGGGTCTTCCCAGGTCAGGTTGAAGGTGGTTCAGTGAGAGCCTGAGTCACATTAGACCTATACTCTAACATAGGCCTGGGGTATCTGTTGGTGGGTCATTGTATTCAAACCTCAGGATTCCTTTAGAATTTAAGAGAATTTAAAGATGTCCTCAAGAATCTATTAACTGGGCATGACCCCTGGAAGATCAACCTGCTGAGTAAAAGATTCCATTTATATTATTAGGCAAACTTTAGAACTGAATTTCTGCTCAAAACTGAAGTTAGGGATGAATCACTGGGAAAATCATCTAGACTAGATATTTAGTAAAATTCACTTGTAACTTATAGAAATCACACAACTTTAGATGTATTTATAGTATTTCTTATTGTTTTATTTCTGCTTGTTTTCCTTAAGGGCATGTGCTTGTGGTAGATTATATTAATCACATTTATCTTCTGGACACCAGAATTATATAATTAGAAAAAATATTTATAAACACAGAAAACCAAAACTACTACACCTACTGTTGACATTAGTTGTTCTTCTTGGATCTATATTTCTAAATAGTCCAGAACAGTGATGTTTATTTTATACCTATAATATTTATTTTTTATACTACTTATTTTTTATAATATTTATTTTTTAAACTAGTACACCTACTGTCGACATTAGTTGTTCTTCTTGGATCTATATTTCTAAATAGTCCAGAACAGTGATGTTTATTTTATACCTATATTTTATACCTATAATAAGTATAAATAAAATAACAAGAACCTATTCTAAGGTGTTATACATGCACACCTATTTAAGGTGTTATACATGCACACACACACACACGTGTGTATTTCAGCTTTATTGGAGCTCAGAAATGTCAGTTACTTTATCTGAGGTCCCAAAGATAATTATCCAGTAGCATAGCTCTAAGTCCTTGGAAGCAGCAGAACATAATGGTTAGGTACCTAGATTTGCCGTTAGATCTGGGTTCAATAACTAACTGAAGGTCACACTAATTGTGTGACCTTGAGCAGGTTACTTAGTCCTCTTTTTTACTAAGTAGTCCTCTTCTTGTAAAGAGGTTACTCAGTGTCTGTAAGCCTCAGTTTATAAAAGTCTTTAAAACGAAACTCACTGAGGTCATAGAGGTATCATAGCAATTACGTGGGATAATATAGGCAAAAGCACTCAATGCAGTAGTTCACAGGTAGTAAGAATTTGTTAAATGCCAATAGTACTATAGTTGGAGAGAATTAAGAGATGACATAGCAAGATGAAAGATGATGTAAATAATCACAAATATATGTCCAGGGAAATAGTAAGCGCAGTAGAACAAAGAATTGGGGAGTAGTAGGGAGTAAACTGTCAAAAGGTAAATCATGATTGGATTACAGGGGAATCTAAACATTGGGCTGAAAGATTGAGGTGGCTGCTAGAAACAATGAGAATTCATTCAGAAAAGGTCACATGAGATTTATTTTTTGTTTAAAGGTTTAGATTTGACAACACCAAGGTAACTGCCACAAATTATGCTTATTTAGACCAACTAAGTAAACTTGCTCCAAATGTAGATAATTGAGAGGGTGTAGATTTGCATAGCCAATTAAGCCTTTTCAATAAAATAAAGCCCCTAATTAATATATTCTCTGTAAATACTGGGTAACTACTAAGGACAAATCTTTGCTTAATAATTTTGAAAGCAGAATACAGTACACAACATTTAAATAAATATCAAACTTAAGTGTATATTTAGTATCTTTGTCAATATTGGGTTCACCATCATTACTTAGTCTAACTGATACGTTCACTTTTCTGATTTAAGCAGATCCTTTCATATTCTCTTAATTATTTTTCTGGTAGGGTTACAGGTTAGGGAAAATTATTTTAAGTCTGTACAGTTAATCTGCAGAGCAATTATAAAGTACTGAAAGCAAGACTCATTGTTATATCTCCAGCCTCTAACAAAAGGTCTTGCACAGTATAAATGCTCAGCAAATCTTTGCAAATATTAACTATGGATTCAACAAAGGACTAGTATCCAGAAGCCACAGGAACTCAAACAAATCAGCAAGAAGAAAAACAAATAATCCCATCAAAAAGTGGGCAAAGGACATGAATAGGCATTTCTCAACAGATTTACGAACAGCCAACAAACATATGAAAAAATGCTCATCATCACTGATCATCAGGGAAATGCAAATGAAAACCACAATGAGATACCACCTTACTCCTGCAAGAAGACTATTATTAAAAAGACAAAAAACAACAGATGTTGGTGTGATGTGGTGAAAAGGGAACACTTTTATACTGCTGGTGGGAATGTAAATTAGTACAACCACTATGGAAAACAATAGGGAGGATCCTTAAAGAACTCAAAGTAGAACTACCATTCAATCCAACGATCCCACTACTGGGTATCTACCCAAAGGAAAAGAAGTCATTATACAAAAAAGACACATGCACGAGCATGTTTACAGCAGCACAATTTGCAATTGCAAACATATGGAACCAACCTAAGTACCCATCAACCAATGAGTGGATAAAGAAAATGTAGTATATATACACTATGGAATACTACTAGGCCATAAAGGATGAAATAATGTCTTCTGCAGCAACTTGGATGGAACTGGAGGCCACTATTCTAAGTGAAGTAGCTCAGGAATGGAAAAGCAAATATCATATAATCTCACTTATAAGTGCGAGCTAAGCTATGAGGACACAAAGACATAAGTGTGATGTTTGAACTTTGGGGACTCAGGGTAGGTTGAGAGGGGAGTGAGGGATAAAAGACTATATATTGAGTACAGTGTATGCTGCTCAGGTGACAGGTGCACTAAAATCTTAGAAATCACTACTAAAGAACTTATCCATGTAACCAAAAACCACTTATACCCAAAAAACTACTGAAATAAAAAAATTTGCAAATATTCCTTAAGGGAAAAAAGGTAGGAAAAAGATGATAAAGGGAAGGAAATATTGCTGTAACATGTTGTTATCATCCTGCAGAGGTCCTTGGCTTCTTGCACACCTGCATGATAAAGGTGCTATTGATTCACAACCCTACACTCAGGAAAAGTTTCATTACAACTACAATATAAGGACACCTTATGGTGTCCTTAAAAGCACTCAACGGTATCTTAGTATTTTTCACTCTTCAGTCAGCTGCCATTTGACTACTGCTGTTTACTGTCCTGATTGAAGCAAGGCCATTGTATGTTTCAGAAAATGTGACGGGGGTTGATATTAGGTTAGGCAAGAAACTAGCAGCAAACTAAATTGAGTCAAGTTGTACGTTTTGCTCAAAGCTGACAGAAATCTCCACAGCAGTAAGGATCCTCTATTATAGACTAAGTTTTTACACATGATCAAAATGTGCCTGCATGCCTGTGAATTAACAGGAGTCCGCCAGAGCATCTTGTCTTAACAGTTATGAGAAACAACTGATTGGACTCAGCTTTGCTTTTCCATCTCACATGTTTTCTCAGCATTGCTTGCTATCACAATGTGCAAGGTATGTAGGTTCTTTCTTCTAGTCATCACATATGATCATTACAATTCTATTTTGTGCTCTTTTCAACCAGTCTTTCCAGCAGCTAGCTAGTTCTTTTCTTTCAGTAACCTCTTTACTTTTGCTTGTTTGTTTGTTTTCCTCTTCTTCAAAGCTTAATTTCTTGGAATGGGGTTACACTTAATAGCAGAATGTGTGTATTTTTCATTTGCAATAGACATTGCTTCTCCAAAGGACTCTCTTATTTTTCTGAACATTTACAAAGATTTAAAGAGAACTGTTTATAAATGGAGATCAGCACTGGTTTTCTGACATGTTGATGTGGGAAGAGTGGTATTTCAAACATTTGAGTGTAGAATGGACTGATGATGCCCGAGAGATCACTGGAAAGGTGCACACCATTATGCAGATGCAGCCCTGGGCCACGGTAGTGGCAGTGAGATAAAAAAAAAAAAAAACAACAAACAAGCAACAACAAAAAACAAACAAACAAACAACAAAACCCTCCCCACATTTTCAAGGCATCATGATGACAGGCTTTATGAGGCATCATGATAACAGGCTTTATGAAACATCATGAATATTTGGCTCTAAGAGTAGGGGGAAGTGAGAAATTGAGAGATATCAAATATTACTAAAATCTAGACTCTGAAATAGAGAAGAATAGAAATATGATGGCAGAACTAGAAAACCAGGAGAGTGGAGGGTTGGATCAGGGCTTCAGAAGACCCTGAATCAGGTTCTACACAAGTTAAGTGACGGCATGGAAATCCCCCTGGCTTTTCCATGAGTTGATGTGGGCTCTGCCGCTGACATGCTGTGAGATCTTAGAGCAGACGTTTAATTTAATGGGTGTAATATCCTCATCTGTAGAATGCTAACTAAGTTAACTGGTCACTATAGTCCCTTCTAACTCAAAATTCCTGTAATTTTACTAATTTGACTCATAGGCAGACAGCTTCGAGAAAAACAGTGAAAGACAAAGACTGGATTTGAGTTCAGGGATCACGAAAAGAGCAGTGGAAGGAGACAAGAAGAAAGATACACATGATACAATCCCAGTGTTCAATAAATATCTATTGACTAATCAATAAAATTAGAAATATAGGTGTCCCCAAGAACAAGAGAAGAGAGTTCTATAAATACTACTGACTGTCAATGCTATTAAATGCCATAGTCAATAGAGAATAAGACCAGCAAGTGTTATGGGATTTGGTGTACAGGATGCTAGTGACCTTAAGAAAGTACTGGGACCAGGATAGAGATTTCAAGGACATGAAGTCAAAAAGCCATAGAAAGGACTTCTGTGATATCGAATCAGGAAAATTCTGAAAATTCTGCCGGAAAGACTGGTTGAAAAGAGCACAAAATAGAATTGTAATGATCATATGTGATGACTAGAAGAAAGAACCTACATACCTTGCACATTGTGATACCAAGTACTGCACACTAGCTGATTGCGCCACTGGAGCATGCTTTAAATTCTGAAAATTCTGACAAGTCAATACACACTAAGTGGTTACTAGTAGAATCTACTTTTAAAAAAATGAATTTGGAATATTTAATTTCACCCATTATTTAAGCAAAATATGAAGCTAACATAGACCCATTAAATATATAGCGATATTTATTTATCCCACATGGACAGTACTGGCAAGCAAACTCTGCAGATGTGTGGGATATGAGCTGCTATAATTCAAATGGCAGGAATTTATTTATACATACTAAGCTTCAGAGATTATTTTACATGAAACATTTATAAAATATAGTCATATTCAGTGTATTAAATGAGTCCTTCCTACCAAACGCAAAACAAAGCTGAAACCCAGATGACTTTGCCGATGGGGAAATCAACCATGCAAATTTAGTCATGTCCATTTAACCCAGCAAGGCTGGGCAGAACCTGATAATTAATAGAAGCCAGCTCCTTTCACTGGTGATCTGAGTACATCAGAGTGAGGCACCCCAGCAGGAAAGAGCTTCGGCATGGTAAGGGAGGCCCTGAAACAAATGCTTTAGATGTCAGTGCAGGACATTCAGTGACCTGGAAATATGAGGTCTCTCTTTATTTTGACCCAAATTGAAAGCCCAAAGAGTGTAGACCAAAGACAGAGGACACAGCCTAGTTCAGTGCCAGCCACATGTGAGCACTTGATGAAAGTTCTTTGAATAAAGCAGGTTTCTTGTTGATCTCATTGACAACATTTATTTACTGTAATTGTCTTGTTGACTAAAGCACCGTCTATTGCAGACTCATATTTTAAGCAATAAACATCATCGGATTTTGCAGACACACTTAGAAATTACTTTTCATAGAAATTTACTTTCTTTTCCTAGGACTTGATGGCCTAGGAGAATTAACATAGCTCGTTAATAAATATTAGACATTGAGAGACAGTCCTCACTTAACTTTGCTGAATTGTTATTATTTAAGCAGCAGAAAACATAAGCAAATGTGAGCTGGGCAGGCTTGAAGGCCTTCTCATGAGGGCTCAGTGTCACCTTGTTAAACAGAGCTGTTAGGACACCTAGTGTATGTCCAATTGAGCCGCATGTTTAACAGGCTTTAGGGGGATTTTCCATATATAGAATACACATTAGTACTTTAGTGGTGGACATAAATTGTGTATGACTAAGCCATTCCTCAAGATCAGTGACAAGATTTAAAGAGAAAACTTGACCAAATGGAGTGTATTAGTAAAAAGAAACCATGAACTCAAGGCACCTGGACACCCTGATACCTGAAGAATGCCTGGAGTAATTGAGGATATGTAGTCTGAAAAAGAGGAGATTTGTGTTTTGATGTTTCAATGTCTACCTTATGAAAAAAGAGATTATATTTGTTCTCTTTTGTACCAATGGTGAAAAACAGAAATGGATTTCAGCTCTTTGTAATAGAAAACTTTATAATAATGGGAACCATAAAACTACCGGCCATCTAGTGAAATATTCAGGTCTCCACTGGTCATTGAAAGTGTTCAAATAGGGGAAGACAATCTGTTATTCTCAGCATAACAGATATAGTTAACAAAATAGAAATTACAAGTCAAGTGTGGTAAGGAGCCTGCCTTCTGAAGTTGCAGAGCTCACACAGCACAAAAATTACTTTAAAAAACTGCATAGACACTATCATCATCACCTTTATTTTCTTTGAGAAGTGAAAATTGCTATACATGGAAATCTCAAGGGAAAAAGTCCTGTAATCCATCTGTTCAGTCTGTGAAGTGTATGTATTTATTGAATAAGGTTTAAATTGAGGAAATACTTAAGGGGAAGGTGGCAGAAAGATTGATGAATGGAAAGGGAGAAAGTGAGAATGTTCAAACTGAGAAAAACAGTGTGGAATATGATTTGATATTGAAGGGAAACAACAAAGGGGAGAGCCAGGAAGCAGGAAAAACACAGAGGGAGAGAAAGTTGGAAATAATTTTTACTTAGTTGAAGACTTTTTTATTTTTTTACATGAGGTTCATAGTATATTTTAGCGCTGTCAGTAACTCAGGGAAACAGAAAATAATTTAATCGAAGTCTTTGTTCTCAGCGGGGGTCACACCACATGGTAATAAATGAGAATTTGGTGGGCTGTGGATATCCAATAGGAAAATTCACCACAAATTTTATACCTAACAGGCTTTGAGTAATTCCCTTAGATAAATCAGGCCAGCTGCTCCTGCCAGCCTTCCTTCTCATCCCAAGCCTAATAACTTCTTGCAAATTTAAATCTAAATTGAAGAATGGTGCCAAAACATATTATGAAAAATATGGCAAAAGAATTTCACCTCTACTAAATAAAGACTACACCTCAACCCAGTCTACAAATTAAACACGCATGTGGGAAGATGGAAGAGGTTGAGGTAGACAGGTATTTCTCAAGTTTGTTTCCAACACATTTTCAAGTCTGTTTTTTTTTAAATAATGTGTAACAAATATAATTGTACAGTTATTTCAGTTATACAATGCAGTAACCTCAACTGCCTTCTTCTAGAGTATTTTGAGTTCTTCTAAAATAAAATCCCATGTAATGTAGAGAAAGAGAGGAAATAATCTAGAGAGATGTTAGTGACTTCAAATGGATTCAATTCTGATGTCTGTACAAGTTGCCTTATCTACAGTACACTTTGGCCTGGGTTTATTAGCTTCTATTCCCTTAAGTCTTCAGGCTTACAGCTGCTCTACATTAACAGGTCATTGCAGTAGGTGTTTGTTATTAAAAAATATATTGCGGGACCTGCCTATTAGCATGCAGACTCCAACACTGACCTTACTATTTCTTTTTTTTTGAGACAGAGTCTTGCTCTGTCACCAGGCTGGAGTGCAGTGGCACGATCTCAGCTCATTGCAACGTCTGCCTCCCAGGTTCAAGTGATTCTCCTGCCTCAGCCTCCTGAGTAGCTGGGACTACAGGCATGCACCACCACACCCAGCTATTTTTTTTTTTTTTTTTTGTATTTTTAGTAGAGACGGGATTTTGCCATGTTGGCCAGGATGGTCTCGATCTCTTGACCTTGTGATCCGCCCACTTCAGCCTCCCAAAGTGATGGGATTACAGCTGTGAGCCACCGTGCCTGGCCCCTTACTGTTTCTTTATACATCATTGTGATTCCAACAGTTTCTGAGTCTCAAAGATATGCTCCCATGTAGCCTCATACAACAGCATAGGGCACTTGCATGTTCCAAAAAACTTAAATGCAATAAAAGCAAATGGTGCCTACCCTCCCCATGGGGTCTCTGTATTTCCCAGGCTCTGAAATACACTGACTGAGAGAAATGTGCGAACTTCATACCTGGTCTGAGATTTACCCTGAGATGACTCTTGCCTAGAAAAGAAAAAGAGTTTTCTCTTCAGCATCTCTGGGATTAGAACTATTAGCAAACTTATAATTTTCTTTCCTCACTTACTGAGCTCTAGTATTATCTTGATTGCAAAGAAAGCATCCAGACAACTTCCCATTTCCTCCTTGCTTCACCCCGTGAACACAACTGCTTCTCTTCAGCAGCCCCAAATGGAAATTATTCAGGTCAGTACTTTGAAATCCCCTTTGCTGAAAGATTTCTTTTGCATAGCAATCTTGGCTTTAACTTCCTCTGCCTCTCTCAACTTCAGGGCCCAGTGGAAGATCAGCTCCAAATTCTCTTTTTCTTAAGTCCCAGGACAGGGGAATGAAGACAAATTTACTTCTTTATATTCATGGTGTTGCTTTCAAGCGTTGCTTTCAATCCTGTTTTACTTTCAGTTTTTCTACTGCCAATCTGAGGCCTCCTCCCAGCCATCAGACTATGTCTGTGATGTTTTCCTTAGTTCTACACATACAACTTACCGTACCCTTGCCTGAGATTTTCCTTCCCTAACTGCTTAAAAAGTGCCTCTTGACTCCACCCATCTAAACATATGATGTTTGGCTTGTAGTCGGTATTTCATAAGTGTTTGTTGGATGAATAAACTCATGAGACCTCAAGTTATACACCAACATTCCTGTTCCCAAAGTACATGGCCCCAAGCGGAGACTTCCCTGAGTTGATTTTCTGTTTAGTGGATTATCTGTAGTCCACTGCTTTCTCCCTTTCATCTTCCCTCTGAATCCTGTTTTACTGTCAGGCAACTCAAGCCAAACAGGCTCAGGCTGAGCATGTATAGGAGGGGTGAATGTCAGCAATGTCAGGATGTGGTTTGTGGGGTGATGTTTTACGATGCGTATGAAAACAAGAGTGATTTTTCCAGAGCATCTGCCTTCATGGCTTGCTCACTTTTCTGCTCTACTACATTAACATTTAAAACATCAAGACTTGGGGGTTGTCCTTATTTAATTTGGGGGTAGATATTTATAGTTTTGCATAATTATGTACATACATAATTTTATTTAGATTTATATCATTCCCAATGTCTAAGAGTTCTTTGTATCAGCAAGCATCAATACAATCTATAAGATTACAACTTGAGGAAGTTCTACATGGAGTTAGTATGAATACTTGTTGATTGCCACAGGGGCACTGAGGACCCTTTTCCTAAGCTCTGACCATAAGCACAAGATCTATCCCACATTGTTTTGTCTGGTCTTCATATCATTCTTAGGCTGTTTCATTCATATATAGTTTGCCTCTCCAACTGTATTTCCTTAAGGACAGGGATTATGTCTTTAAAAAGTATTTTTCTTGCATCAACATTTAGCAAATTATGGTCATTACAGTTGTCTACAAATGCTACTGAGACGAGTATTGGTTAAATATTTTTAAAAGTACTCTTAAGAAAAAAAAAACCACTTTTTGTAGGTCCTGCAGAGTATGCCTTGGCTAATGAAGTGGCACTGTTTTTGCCAGTCTTACAGTATCAGTATATAAACAGACCTTGAGTTCTAGGCCTGGCTTTCTCGCTGATCAGTTCTGAATATTATTATTTACTATATTTGTTGATGTTTTGACTGGTTGGAGTTTTTCTTTTAAAAAAGATACACAAGTTTAGAGACTTGTTATCTGTTCCCTTGTTTGTTTGTAGAGGGGAAAAGGTCTATTTACTTCATTCCTTCTAGAGAAAAAAATATTTTATATTTAATATGATACTCTTTGAAGCAATAAAAGGCTTCTTATTCATCTCTGTCCCTTTCCCCTCATGCCATGGTATATCCAATTCATGGGAGGCGTCCAATAACTGCATAAAATCTTTTTATAATTAATAATTATAGAAGGCTTTTTAAATGTGTGATTTGAAAAATGAGAAACCATGAAGTCAAAAATGGATGAAATTGGTTTCATAAAATTTTACATGGGTAAAAAGTCACAATAAACAAATTCAAAAAATGAAATATAAACTTCAAAAAATATACTCAAGATATATGACAAAGGGCTAGTGTTCATAATATAAAGCTGTTACAAATCAAATAAAAAAAGGGGGCAGGCCCATAAAAATACGTACATGTGAATATCAATTGTCAGGAATATATAAAATGTTTTGCCTTCTCTAATAATTAAGATAAAACAAATTAAGTGATCTATCACTATTGACTCATCACATCATCAAAGAATCAAATGACTGATGTTTATAGATTTTTGGTAAGGATAGAAAAGAAGATACCCTCCCAAGCTGTGGGTGAGAATAAAGAATGCTAAAAGCAATTTAGGCAGATTTCACAAATATCAGTTAAAGTTTAAATGTGCTAAAAGTTTTGATCCCTGCCATCTAGTACTAGGAATTTATACCAAAGATATACAAGCATACGTATGAAAGAATAGGTAAAATAATGTTTATTGCATTCTTTGTAATAGCGACATCTGTAGACAAATATCTATATTAATTTGGAGAAATACATTTTACAAAGTAAAGTGGACCTACATTTATGGTTATGGAAAAGTTGTCAAAGTTATTTTGAATATTAAGGCAAGTTGTGATGGCATATTTAGTATTATTTTATAAAGTTAAAGTGTACATTAAAATATTTTGAAAGTTTGGTTCTAACAACATGAGCACTGACGTAAGCAGACCTCTTTCCCACTATAAACACACTATTTTAAAAAAAAAGACTGATAAAATATGTAATAAAAATGTAAATGATTTATTAAACAAATATCAAAGAAAATAAAATTTCTAAGAACCATAGCAAAGAAGTAACTTAAATTCAGTGTTATGGTCATGAGAGAAACGTGGCAACTAACAGGATATTGCGGCAGATGATGAAAGTTCTCTGTCCATACCCCTTGGGCCTTTTAGGGTATTCCCTTTGACTTGGAACTGCCAGGATTTCCTTCTCTATAAATTAGGGCTTCCTTTCCCCAGAACTCTGGAAACCTGCTCTAATTGCATGTGGCACGTTGGAGATGTCAAAGACTATCTCCTGCTTCTGCTCTAGTAACCCTCAACCAATGACTCCCCAGATAGGGTGTATAAATATACGAGCTCCTTCAGCCCTCTGGGTGGCTTAATTCTGAAGCACGTGTTTTACACTCTTTCCCGTTTCCCACTTTAATCATCCACTGACGTTGCTGGCTTAAAAACAGTCTATTGATTTCCTTTGTCTCCCTGCCCCTCCCTTTTTTTTTTTTTTTGTTTTGTTTTGTTTTCCTGGAGGTCTGTGTACTTCCCAAAGAATATGGAATGCCCTTGAGTCTCAGGATCTGCTTCTGAGCGAACCAAATCTAAGAAAGATATTAATGACTTCTGAGACCTCTGGTATAGGGTTAGGGTTTTATTGTCCAATTAGAAGCCAAAGTGAAGGAACTGGAACCTAGAGCTTTGCATTAGCATGACCCTGGGCTGCCCCTCAGGGAAAGGAGAAATAAAAGGTCATCATTCCAGGGAAGTGACAAGCCAATTTCTTTCTGTCATCCCAGGATGGGAAAAAGGAAACAAATAGCAACCCACATAAAAAATTGAAAGCCCAAATCTGAAACTGACATCTGAATGGTACAGGATATCTAAGGTGAAAAAAAAAAAAAAAAAGGAATGTGTAAACTGGTTCTAGAATGGCAAAATTTCTGGGAAACTATTTGGAAGCAATCCCAAAACATGACATGAAAAAGAAGTAAATAATAAAAATAAAAAATAAAAAAGAAAGGAAATCCATCAAGAAGGAGTCAGCAGACAGAAGTTTCAGAACACAAGTTAATGGAACAATGTCAAGGAATCCACAAAACAAGCAGGTTGCAGATTACTGGAGATAAAGGAAAAGATCAAAATTATAGAGAAAGAATGGACACTGAAATAGAATTCGGTAGATTTTTTTTTAAAGAACAAATGTATCTTCTAGAAATGAGATATATGGTAATTAAAGATGAAAACGCAAATATGAAGCAAAAGTATTTTAGACCCAGTTCAATAAAATACTGAACTGGAAGAGAAATCTAAGGACATTTTCACAATGAAGTATAGTGAAATAAATATATGGCAAATATGAAAGGGTGGTTTAGAAATAATGATGGATGGGAATTTTTTTTTTTTTTGACACAGAGTCTCTCACTGTCACCCAGGCTGGAGCGCAGTGGCGCAATCTCAGCTCACTGCAACCTCCGCCTCCCAGGTTCAAGCAATTCTCCTGCCTCAGCCTCCTGAGTAGGTGGGATTACAGGTGCCCACCACCATGACCAGCTAATTTTTTGTATTTTTAGTAGAGACGGGGGTCTCACCATGTTGGCCAGGCTGGTCTTGAACTCCTGACCTCGTGATTCACCTGCCTCAGCCTCCCAAAGTGCTGGGATTACAGGCTTCAGCCACCACGCCCAGCCTGGAATGAGGATATTGAACATATCTATCGACTATATAAGTTCAAGAAAGTGAGAAAAGGTAGGAGATGCCATTTTCCAAGAAAGCATGGCTGAAATTTCACCAGCTTATGATGAAATATATGAAATGTAGGAGAAGAAATGCAAGATTATAAGGTAGGAAAAATAAAAGTAAATCTAGACACTTTAGTGAAGCTGTAGAACATGAAAGACAAGTGTGGTGGCCCTCAGCTCTCCTCTTAAAGGGGAGCTGCTACCAGGCGTGCAGTTAGCTGACAGCCGACAGCCTCAGATCCACAGGTGTGTGCGGAGGCCACTCTCTCCCCAGACTGCTCCACTTCTGTGCTAGGCATGGTGGGGTACTACAGCTGAGGCCTTCCTGCTAATGCCAAACTCTTCTCACAGCCATTTCTACTTAGCAGGTCCCCAGGAGCCTGGCTGCACTGCTACTTGAGCCTTTTCCTACCCCATATTCCTTTCTTCTCCCTCCCCTTTTATCGGGTCACACCTGCCCTGAGGTCTGAAGGCTGTCTCTATCTATTCCTTTCCCGTTCTGCTCTGTCCTTCACAGCCACTTTCCTCCCCAAATCTCTTGTTTCTAATTTTGTCTTGGTGTGTCCTTTGCAGAAGACCTGAACCACCACAGAGAGAAAACCTTAAAAGCAACCAGAAATAACAGATGACCACAAAGTCACACCAATTAGCCTCACAAAAGAATTTTTGTTGGCAACAATAGAGACCAAATGGCAAGTGAATATTGTCCTCAAAGTGCTCAGAAAAAATAACGAAAACCTAGAGAATTCTAGATCCTGTTAAATTATCATTCAAGAACAAAGGTTAAATAAGGATACGTTTTAGTCTAAACACTGAAAATATTTACCACTTACATACCCTTCAAGATTGAATGTGAACCTGAAAAGTAAAAATGAATTCATGAAGGAATGTTGAGCAATATTGGGAAACACATGAGGAAATTTAGATAAGCATTTGCTATAAAAATTTAAAAAGATAATAGTTCAGGGTTTCAAAACAAAGTAGAGCTCAGATATATATAACAATAACAGTTCTAGGGATGGACATGATCTCATTTAAGATGATTTCAGTAAGTTTCTTATATTTTTCTAGGGTATGATAGGGATATTAAATACACATAAATTTATTTATATTTTTATTCTAGTATAAAATGCTAAAAATGTGAGTGTATCTGCTGAAACCACAAAAAATGAAATGTCTAATCTCTAAACCAATAAGAGAAAATATATTTAAAACCTCAATCCATCTAGTTGAAAGCAGAAAAAAGCAAAGAAGTAACAAAAAAAGGATGAATAGCAAAACAAAGTTAGATGTGAATAAATAAATAATTCTTAATACATATATGGATTTAGCTTGACAGTTAAAAGAAAGTGATTGCATTAAAAACTAAATTCAGTTATATATTGTTTTAAAAAGACACACCAAGAATATGCACTCACAGAAATGTTGAAAGTAAGAGGATAAAAAAGATCTATCAGGAAAACTGTAACCAAAAGAGAACTGGAATAGAAGCTTTTAATATTAGAATATTATTAATATTTTAATAAATGGAATAGACTTCTTAGCAGAAATAAAAGTAACAATTACCAGGAAGATTATCCCTCTGAATTTACATTTATCTACCAGGCAAACTTCAAAGTATACAAAGCAAAAATTGACAGAATTACAAGGAGAAATTTACAAATCTATAAACATAGCAGGAAATTTTAATTTACCTATTACAGTCATTGACCCAGAAGGCAAATAAGTAAGGGAATAGACTATTCCCAGTGTAAGCAAATGGACAATTTTGACAACACAGTTAACAAGTTTGCTCTGATGACTACATATAATCACTGTTTCCAACAATTACAGAAAATATGTTCATTTCTACATGGATTTTTTAAAATAAAAATTAGTGACAAGCTACAAAGCAAACCTCAAAGATATCTAGGAATCATTTTACATAAGCAGCATTCCCTTAATACAATGCATTAAATTTGGAAATCAATAATAAAAGACCGCAATCTCCTTTCCACTTGTCACACTTAAGAAATCTAAAGTAACCACTTCAAATAATTACTGAGTAGAAATAAAATTGTAGACATTATAAAATATTTAGAAATGGACCACAGTGAATATACCCTCTTTCAAAGGTTGTGATGTTCAGCTAAAAAGGCATTTGGAGGGAAATTTATAGTTTGCAAGGCATAAATTAGAAAGAAAGTAAGAAGAAAACTCAGCAACAGAGTAAGCCACAAATCAGTAGAAGAAAGAAAACCATTAGACCAAGGATAGAAATTAATGAAGCAGACAGAGAGATAACAGAGAGACTCACGACATCAGATGCATTCCCACCTCCAGGCATTTGCACTTGCTGTGTCCTCTGCTGTGAACATTCTTTCCCCAGGTATCTGCATGGTTTACTCCCTCAATTCCTTCAAGTCTCAGAAGTTATCTGCTTAGTGAGACCTCCCAAGCACCTTCTTAAAAATTTCATGCCCATCCTCCCACATTCCCTAGCATTTTCTCTGCTCTTCTTTTTTCTATAGCAATCATCAGCAACCACCATCTTTTACATATGGATTGAATTTATTATGATCTATTTTGCTTACTGCTGAATCTGCAGGTGCCTAGAACAACATCTAGCTTAGTAGTTCCCAATAAATATTTGTTGAATGAATAAATGAATTAATGAATAGATGGCCATCTGTGTGGTGGATACATGGATGTCTGTCATATTATTTCTGATAGTTTTCTTATATTTGAAATATTTGCAATTAAAATTTTAAACTTTTTAATATAAAAACATTGTCTATGTCTGTGAATATAAACCAAAGTTTATATTGATTATAAGTTAAAAATTATCAATATTTACATTTTCTTATTTGCCTATCTACTTACAACATGTTTATGTTGCTATTGCAATCACAATGAAGATAAAAACAATGCCCTCCAAAATCAATCATATATGCCTACCTCATATATTCAGTAAATTCTACTATTGTCTCCAAGCACCCATTATTTTCCAGAATTCATAAAACTACCAGAACTACATCATACTATATTAAAGATCTATATAAAAGATAATTCAATAATCCTTCAAAAACAATTTAGCCAAAAACTCCAAAATAAAACTACTCACAAGACACCGTATTATTTCAGTGAAAAAAATTTTGTGCATATTTGTGGACTCAAATATTGAGTTTGCAAAACCTGGAGACAAAGCAGACACTTGAAGATATTGGGAAGGCATCTTTACCCCCATTCATAGATATTTGTGTCTGTCATGTCATTTTGTGTTTGTGAATGGTTTAGAAATTCAGGTGTGTTCTTGACAGCAGAAATTTAGAAACTTGTGGTAGAGAAAAGTGAAGGGAGTTAAACAACAATTGCCACTTAATGACAGATCACTAGATTTGTTTCGCTCTCAGCTCACTCACCCAGCTTCAAAATCAGGAACCTTCATAGTATGGAGCAATCGTATACATGGACCGTCCATGTATACAAAAATTATTCGTTACATAGAACGTTTCTATTTACAGAATGAAGTATAAACTGAGAAAAATCATCCCTAAGTTCAAGATAGTTTTAATCTGCTGATTATGAAGTTTTCAAAAACAGAACATAAGAGAAAGATTTGGATGTGGAGAAATGAGAAATAAAGCACATTCACTCATTCACACACACTCACTACTATATAAATGAGTAGTATTAAATAAGGTTATGTTTTCCAAGGTTCACATGTATACTGAATGCATTTTATTATATATTAACTTATCAAAAAGTTGATTAAGTGGGCAGAAAAGTAAATTTTCAGACAAAATTTCCATAATAGACTTCAGTTAATGTGTCTACATAGTCCTTGATAGTCTTTATCCAACAGACTCACTTCAAACATAGAATGAGTTCACCTTGTGAGACTTTGTTAGGTAGGGAGGGTCCACAATGTTGGGTTTTCTTCTGTGTGGTCTTGAAGCAAAGAGCATTAATCTGACAGTATAGAAAGGAAACACTGATTCCTAACCAATTTTTAATATACTGTGAACACTTGCATTTGACATACTGCATTCTTTGGAGAAGCTATACAAACTGCAAAGCTCAAATATATCTTTTCTGTATGATTTTTTTTGCAGTGTCTTATGTGAAATTGAAAATATTTTTAAAAAGACAATTGCAATGTTAGTGTATTGTGGATGATACTCTACAAGAAAAGCCTGAGCAATGTTGGTAAGTCATTGATAAAATTATGAAAATCTTAAACAGGAATTCTCCCTGCTTAGTACACTGAATGATGCTGTGAGAATAAATAAGAGTTTATAATGAAATTCTAGATTACTTTCTGGAGGCAAATTACCAGGATGCTACTGGCCATATTTACATAAGATAACTTGCTAAAGCAACTGAACTCTTTGCTGCAAGCACCAAGCCTTTAAAAAGGCTGGAATTAGATCATTTTTGACAACTCACTGAGGCATCTGTTAGGAAAAATTGGAAGAGCTAATGAGAAACTAGGTGACCTAATCACAATGTTATGAATAAAATTTCTCCCGCATTGCTTGAATTTGTTGTTTTCTTTTAAATCTCATTTCTGTTATTATTGCTCCACATTATTAAAGTCCTGCCATTCATAGTTTCCTAAGAATCATTAATTAAAATTAAAAACCAAGAGATGATATGAGGCTACAAGACAATAATAATAAACAATAGTTAATAGTTACTTAGATCTTTCCACCATCCACATGGTCACACATGAATGTGTATATTATATGTGTGTGTGTGTGTGTGTGTGTGTATACACCTATCCTTACGACAACATTGAAAGTGATTATTGTAGCCAATATAAAATGAAAGAAAACTGAGGCACGGAACAGTTAGTGACTTCCTTCAGGCCATAGCACAGGTAGCTGTCAAAGCTAAGAGTAGATTTCCAGTTTCCTGTCTTTCCCCAGAATTCTTTTTCTCAATTCAACATTTATGTTTTCTACAGTCATTGACTACCCATGTGAGTAACTGGCCACAGAAGTGCCTTCCCTAGCTCCTCCCACCCCACCCAATAGGCAACTCTCTGTCCTTGCTTTGCTGAGCCCAAATAAGAGGAGAAGAAAATGTCTTTCTGGTATCTTAAGGAATCTAAGCAAATATTTCTGTAAGCCCTGTTGCTTCTGCTGTTTGGGATCTATGTGGTCTTTGTACTTTGATTTCACGTCCTTGTGGGTTACACAGGCTTTTGTGGGCTGACTGGGAATCAAATGATAATGAATAGTACAGTGTCCATGGAAACATTCTTTTTCAGTTCTAATCAACTTTGTAAATTGAAGATGCCCATCTCTTCATGTAAAGTAAAATATATAATAATGACACAATTTAAAACAATTGATCTATCATTAGGGGCCACATATAACTGTGATTGCACTAAAAACATCTCAGAGTAAATAGAGAGCAGCAGATTCCTACCACAGCTTCTTTGTGCTACTCTCAAGTATAAATGGAAAATTCCTGTCATCAGGGTCCAAACTGGAAGCCTCAGCCCCTTACCAGTAAGAATGTCTAAAGAGGCTTTCATGTCTACAGAAGCTTCTGTAGCATGAGCTCTTCGGGCAGGGCTCCAATAATATAGGCAGCACTATGGGAAAACCAGATGTGGATGCATTTGAATCATTTCCTGCTCCTCCTCCTTTCCCAACCTCCCCACGCTTCTGGGAGTCTTCATTCTCCACCCTCTTCCTCTTTACATTGTCTTCCTAGGTGAGCTCATCCAGTTCCAAGGCTTTAAATAGCATATATATTGATAAATTTAAATTCAGTTTTCATCTCTCTTCTGAATTCCAGACTTTTCATCTCTGTTTCACTGATAGGCCTCTCAAGCTGAATGTGTCCTAAACACAACTCTTATTTCCTGCATCTCCCCTCCTCCAAACTGATCCTCCCTCGATCTTCCCTAATTCAGTGAATGGTACCACCTAGTGATGTAGGCCAAAAATCTATAATCAATTGTTCTCAAATTTAGTTTATTTAGGTGATATGTACTTGTGAAATGTACATTTCACAAGTACATATCACCTAAATAAATAGGGGTAGTACTTACTACTGAACTCAGTTCTAAGCCTGTGTGCACACACACACACACACATTTAATCCTTATGGCAATCCTCTAAGGTAGGCACTATTAGCACCCTCCACCAGTTTTACCAATGCAGAAACTGAGAAGAGGCTATTTGACCAAGGTTACAAAGCTGATAGGGGGCAGAGCCAGAACATGCCACCAAGGAGCCCAGCTCCAGAATCTGGAATCACAGCATTGTGTATTGCTGCCTCTTCTTTTCATCCAATCCACCATTTGGTCCTATATTCCTATAGTAAATACCCAAATCTGAACACTGTCCACCACTCTAGTGTTTCAGCTTACTCCGGGCCATCGTCATCTCCCATCTTGCCTACAACACCCACCAGCTGCTTATGATGTCGTCCCTAGCCTAGGCTGACAACCCATTCTCCACACTGGAGTCAGAGTGCTCCTTTTAAAGCATGAATCACTTGGTCTCTCCTCCCTGTCTACATGGTTTCAGTGGCTTCTCATTTACTGTGAGAAGAGTACAATTTCCACCACGCCCTGTGAATATCTGCATGCCCTGTGCCTCACCTTCCCATGCCTGCTCATCTCCTTCCATCCCATCACCTCATTTTGCTCCAAAAGCACTGCCCTTTCTGTCTTTCAGACATCAAAACATGTTTTCTTCTCAGGACTTCGCTCTTGCTCTCTCCTCTGCCGGGATCACTCTTTTTCCAGGTTTGGCTGTCTCTTTCTCAATCATTTCAGTAGAGAAAAGACTCCATTGGGCTCTCTTCTGGCTATGGAGCCAAGTCTCCACAGCCAGCAACCTGTTGTCTCATTACTTTGTCTTACTTTCTTCGTAGATTTAGCAATCTCTGAAATTAACTGTCACAACTACTAGTCTATGTAGTAACTGTCAGTCATCTCTGACTGGAATGCAAGCTTCATGGGGATGGGAACTTTGTTTTTTCTACTTATTTCCAGTCCCTAGACCATACTAGGGCCCCAAATACCTGATGGTTGAATGAATAAATCTAGGCTCTCTCACCTAAAAGTACTGACTTTATGCTAATTAAGTAATGAGAGTCTGAGTTTGTTCTTCAAGATGGGGACAATTTTATCCATATATTAGAGATTTTCTGAGATTATTTGAGAGATTTAAGCAGGAATCAGAATTTTTCTCAAGACTTCATAAATATACTATGCAGTAATAGTATATGTACTAAATATATGTATATATTTATACTAAAATTTGGGGCTGATTAATAGTTTGTCACATGTGCAAATTACAGATACTTTCACACCATCGAAAGCAGTCTCTATCCACCCCAATCCTAAAATCTAAGGAAACTACTTATAATTTTAGATTCTATTAATTAAAAGACTAACATCATATACCAGTCATCTGGTTTTATGCCCTCATATGTGTACAAGTATACATACACACACACGATTGGGCCATATGAAATTGCTGATATTTACTTTTTTGGCCAAAAGATGATCATTTCAATGGCTTGATATAATATATGTATATTTATACACACACATATGTACACAGCCTTCAGCAGTAGGAAACACAGAATCATGTGATGATTTATCTGAGACTGTCATAGTCAAAAAACAATTGAGCCAGTGTACTTAAGGTTCGGACATACTAAACAAGACAATGTAAAATATTGTGCCTAAAATTCAATTTCAGTTAAGCAGGAGTAAGAATCATTTTTAATGAATAGTGCACAGGCACCATCAGAACTGTGTTCATTACACAAGTACTCCCCAAGGCTGGGCGCGGTGGCTCACACCTGTAATCTCAGTACTTTTGGGAGGCCCAGGCAGGCAGATCACCTGAGATCAGAAGTTCAAGACCAGCCTGGCCAACAGGGCAAAATCCTGTCTCTACTAAAAATACAAAAATTACCTGTGCATGGTGACACCTGCCTGTAGTCTCAGCTACTTAGGAGGCTGAGGCAGGAGAATCACTTGAACTCAGGAGGCGGAGGTTGCAGTGAGCCAAGATAGTGCCACTGCACCCCAGCCAGACTGGGTGACAGAGCGAGACTCCGTCTCAAAAAAAAAAAAAAGTTTATCTCCCCAATTGATGTTTCCACCATCATCCTGATAAAACACAGGCACTGGAGTGGGGGTGATGGTGATAGTAAAAATATTTAACCATTAGCTCGACCAGAGGTGAATGATTGATATGGCCATGCTGGCATCTACCTGTGGAACAATGGCCCAAGACAAGGACAAAAACTCAGAGAACCCTCTGCCATGTAGAATTTGAAACTCATCTTGGTAGTGCCAAAGAACTTATCCTAGCCTGAAAATTTAATTAGAAAAAAAAAAAAGCTATGTTGTGAGACCTCTTTGGAGATAAATGACATAATTTGGGATTCACTTCATAGTTAGAAAATAAATGTCATCTTGCTTACTCAAGATTGTATGAATAACCTAAATGCATGTCAAATTTATCAGACTTATAAATTTTTTTTAATTCAACACATAAAATGAGCTTTGAAAAATTTATTTGTGGATTCCTTAGATTACCTTTTTGCATTACTTTAAAGAAGAAACACTGTAAATGTTTGCTGTATTAAAGAGAACAACTCATACACCTTTTCACAGAAAGTAGCAATTAAAAACTGTATCTTAGTGCTATTATCTACTTCTGCAGCTCCAGTTTGTGATAACTCTTTGTTATTACTTAAAAATATGCCAAAGTTAAAAATATTTTCTCAGTTAAGAAAATTCATGGAGTAACACATTAAAATGTACTTAGTCCTTCGGCTTAAATATTAAGTCACTTTTCCTTAGCTTCTACTGTTACCTGTAAGGTATAATATTATCAACGGAGAAGAGTAACGTTTCATAAAACTTACCATTTAAGAGGGGAACAGTGCACACTGGGGCCTACTGGACGGTAGAGGGTGGGAGGAAGGAGAGGGATCAGGAAAATAACTAATGGGTAGTAGGCTTAATACTTGGGTGATGAAATAATCTGTACAGCAAATCCCCATGACACACGTTTCCCTACATAACAAACCTGCACATCCTGCACATGTACCCCTGACCTTAAAAGTTAAAAAAAATTTTTAAACCTTACGATGTATTAACATGTTTTCAATTTAATGTTTTAGCATACATTTAGTAACATATATTATTAAAATTGTTGAACATTGACTCTCTCAAAAATTTTAATTTTCTAATTTCTGTTTTGAAAAGGAACAAAAATACTGCATAATATTACAAAAACTAGAAATATGTATCTTTTTATAAAGAAAATCTGTCCTATTGAAAAAGTTATAGCAAACACAGTTTTAAAACTGTTTACTATTTCTCTTCTACACACATATACTTTCAAGTTACTTGTAAATTGCTCAAATTGCTCATAAATTATTAATGATTGGACTCTAGGCTAAGGACTTAGCATATTTTACATTTATTAGCTGTAACTTCAAGTTCACCTGTGCTCGAAAGATCCCCCACACAGGAAAAACCTGCATAAAGTATTAGGAAAACACAAGCACCCAAGAAAAGCTGACAAACCGCCAGAGGCAACAGATAAATACAGAACACCAAAGACCTAGTTTTACATAACTAGACCAGAATTTTACCGTAGCATAGCTAAGCTTACTCTAGGGTTTATATTATTTGCAATCATCTAAATAATTTATTTGCTATTTCCACAGGACATGGCTAGTGTCCTGGAAATAATCTTTTATGTGTTTACGACACGTATGCACTATCATTTTCATTCTGAGACATTAGCTTGTACAGAACTGTAAACTGTGAAACAATTTAGATAATGAAGAAAGTTGCTATGAGCTAATTTTAGCTAATTTATATCAGCGACTATACAAGAAAACACTAACTTCTATGCACGAAAGCCATAAATCAGGAGCTCAATAGTGTAGTATGCCAAATATATTTGATGGAAAATGTGAGCTACTGATGAAAGGCAGAATCTGTAACAAGTAGTTCTTTGACCTAAGATCTCCCTAGCCTATTAGCAACCTCAGAATGATACTTTGTTAAAGTACTACTGGCAAGTAACAATTACAAACTAACGTTATTACTCTGATGAGATTGTAATGCTTTTGTAAAGAAATGTTCGCATAATATTATAATGGCCACAATGAAATATGGAAGGTGAACATATTATTATTTACTTAGTTTATGATTTTGATAAATACTTCTCATTTTAAAATTTATTTCTTAATTGTACAAAAGGGTAGGTGAGTACATGTAGATGTGGGTACAAATAAAACATGCATTTTTATGAATATATTAAAAAATTCTAAACAATTTTAGATAGAGATTGAGGTGAATGGTGGTGGTGAGAGGAAGAGGAAGATTTTTACTTTTCATTTTATGCCCTTCTGAACAGTTGGAATTTTCTAATGTGTGTTCTACTTTTGTTTTTTAAAGTTAATGATTAAAATAAATCTGCTAAATTGAAAACAAAATAAGATACAATTTGTTTCAAATACAAGATAAAATACAGCAAAGTAATAAAAATTTTTGAATATTTACTTCTAGTCCATATTGGAGTCTTTTAATACTATATGTGTTTTCCTCACTATGCACTATTCACTACTCCTCACTACCCTTACTCTCTTTCCCTATCTTTTGAAGAAAACAATAATAGATAAAAATGAATAGCTGCAGACTTCTTATTAAGTGCCAACCACTTTCAATCACCTCATATATATTAATTCAATGTGAAATCAGATTAAGACAAGATTGTTATTACCACTGATAACTGCTGAAGCAAATGTAGATCCTATCTAGAGACAGATAACATCACACTAGGCCTCAAGTAATTTCTCTGTCTCTGTCTCTCTCTCTCTCTCTCCACACATACACACACACACACACACACACACACACACACACAATGCCTAGTGCTTCATCAAAAATAACCAGGTATATGAAAACCAGCCACTTTGATTCAACCAGCAGCAGCAGCAGACAACAGCTATAAACACTCAAGAGATCAAAATAAAAGCAACAAAAGTTTTATAATGATTTGCAGAATATGTTTAAGGATATGAGAGGCAAGATTGAGAATTTTGACAGAAAGCTAGAAATGACCAAAAATCCCTAAAAATTTTAAGACCGAAGAATATCATAACTTAACAAATTGTTTTATGGGATAAATGACAGATTAGATACAGATGAAGAAAGACTTAGGGAAATAAAAATATTGGTCTAAAGAAAATCTTCAAAATGAAGAACAAAGAGATTGAAGGTAAGTAATGGGAGTAGGAACATTCAAAACTCGAACATACATGTAACTGGAGTCCCATTAAGAAGAGCTAGAGAATGATGGTTTCCAGCTTCATCTATGTCCCTACAAAGGACATGAACTCATCATTTTTTATGGCTGCATAGTATTCCATGGTGTATATGTGCCACATTTTCTTAATCCAGTCTATCATTGTTCGTCTACTGCAAGGACAAAAAAACAAACATTGCATGTTCTCACTCACAGGTGGGAATTGAACAATGAGAACACTTGGATGCAGGAGGGGGACATCACACACCAGGGCCTGTTGTGGGGTGGGGGGAGGGGGGAGGGATAGCATTGGGAGATATACCTAATGTAAATGACGAGTTAATGGGTGCGGCACACCAACATGGCACATGTATACATACGTAACAAACCTGCACATTGTGCACATGTACCCTAGAACTTAAAGTATAATAATAATAATAAAAAAAGAAAGGCTAGAGATAATGGGGCAGAAGCAATATTGAAAGAGATAATTAATGAAAATTTTCCAAAATTGTTAAACAATATCACGACACACATTTAAGAAACCATACAAGCCCTAATTGGGATAAATGCAGAGAAAACCATACCTAAGTAATCATGGCAAAACAAGCAATCAAACATGAAAATAGGGCTACAAACAGAGGAAATGGACAGATTGCTTTTAAAAGACTATTTTCTGACTTATCAACAGAAACAATAAAAGTGATAAGACAATACAATAATATTTTAAAGTAAGGAGGAGGGGGATTACAATCTATAATTTTATTACCAGCAAAAGTACACATCAGAAATAAAGGTAAAATAAAGCCATTTCATACAAAACCAAAATCTAAACAAAATCATCACTGCACTAAAGGAAATCCTATATGTGACCTTAGAGATGCAGGAAAGAATGAAGAAGATGTGTAATTGTAAGAAACCATAATAATATATAATTATTCAAAGATTTACATTATATAAAGTTAAATACCTAACAATAGCATATAATTTAGGAGGGATACAAAAGTAGTTAAGGCATTCCGAAGTTCTCAAATTTGCCACAAAGGAATAAAAGTACTAATATGCATTATGCTTGTATTAGGTCATAGATGCATCCTGTAACCGCAATAGTCACCAGTAAAACAATGTAAAATAATGTAAAAGTAACAAGCTAAAGCTAACGGAAAGGGGGCAGTGCAATTACAAAGATACTTAATTCATAATTAGGAAAGTGAGGAGAGAAAAAGAAATATAGAACAAGAAGAATAAATAAATTGTACATAGTAAGTCAGCATGTTTGAACCCAAATATATCACTGCTTCCATTAATTATAAAAGGATTAAATATTCACTGAAAAGGCAAATATAGTCAGACTGAATGATAAAAGAAAATTTACTTATTTGCTGCTTGTAAACAGACACACCTAAAACATAAACATATAGACAATTTAAAACTAAAAGAATAAAAAATGATAAGGCATGCAACCACTAAGCAATGGAAAGCTAGCTTTATAGATTTTAGTATCAGCCCAAGGAGAATTGAAGGCAAAAAAAAAAAAAAAAATTGGAAGGGATGTTTTACTATGGTAAAATTTCAATTCGCCAGGAAGTTACAACAGTTCTAAAATTGTTTATAAGGAATTCTCAACCTTTTTTCCATTATCATCCTCCTCCCTTATGGAGCCATTATAGATATTTCTTTCCCTAATCACACTCCCCCCAGTCAAGGAAATTTTAATGCCAACTTGACTGAATATCTGTTTATGTGCTGAACCTTTTTAGGTCACAAACCATTATGATGTCTAAGGGTTTTGGCTCCCCAAGAACTAAGTATTGCCCCTACTGTGAAGGCAGCATATAACAGCACAGTATCAAAATACTAGTTTAAATTTTATAAAATTGCTGATATTCAACCTTGATCTAAAAAAATGGCAATTTTACATTGTTCAATATAATATATAAGCAAATGATGGCAAAATAAAGGAAAATAATTCTCAATCATGAGGAAGTTTTTAAATATACCTCTTTCAGTAATAGAAGCAAAGAAAATCAATAAAGATACAAAAGATTTCAATGATATGATGAATAAATCTTCTAATTGACATCTATAGAGCACTATACCTAACAATTGCAGAATACATTTACTTCAAGCACATGTAATACGTTTAGAAAAGCTGACTATATATTCGGTTATACATTCAAGTTTCAAAAAATTCAAAGATCTTAATGGTATGACTTGTAAGCACAGTAGAATTATACTAGGAAACAAAGACAAAAAGAGAACTAGGACATCCCAATTTGTTTGCAAATTAATAAATATACTTCTAAATAATTCACAGGTGAAAAACAAATTATAATTGAAATTGTCTTGAATTAACTGCTAATAGAAACAGTAAATTTTAAAACCTAGGGGAGACAGCTGAAACTGTGAAAAATAAATTTGCTTCTTTAAATGTATATATTCAAAAAGAAGAAACACTGAAAAATAATCAACAACAACAACAAATCCATGAGAAATTACTAAAACTGACAATGAAAATAGAAAATCTGAATAGCCCATAAAAATAAATGGAATTAAAACTGTAACTAAAAACTTGTCCACAAAATATTTCAGACCCAGATGGACTTATGTGCAATTTCTATCAAATATTTGAGGAAAAAAAATAATATAAACTTACAAAACTGTCCCAGAACATTTTTACTAGGGTAATATTTCCTAACTAATTTAATAAAGTCAATGGAACCTTGATAAGGCCATAACAAAAAAGGATAATTTTAGGTTAATGGTTTTCATCAACATAGTTTCAAAATCCTAAAAATTATTAGCAATTCAGAAACAGAGTAATGAGTGATATTGAAAATGAGCATAACATAACATGACCAAGTTACATTTATCCTAGGATTTCAGTTTTGAAATTATAAAATCAATCACCTATAAACAGAATAAAAGGGAAAAGTCATACGAAAAGTATTTTAAAGAACATTTAATAAGAAATGCTTAGCAAACTAGGAATAAAAGGAAACTTTCAAATGTTATAGAAAATATCAAACTTAGTGGTAGAATGTTGAAAGCTTTCTTTCTGAGACTGGAAACAAGATAATATTGCCACGATTACCCCTTCAACAATATACTGAAAATCCTATCCAGTACAATAAAACAAAGTTATCAGCATTAAAAAGGAAAATCGGTGACCACCAGTATTCTGGATGCTCTGATTACCTCTATGGAAAAGCAAAATAATCCATAGATAATGTATTGGAATTTGTGAGTTTTGCAAGGTTGCTGATAATTAATTGATATACAGAAGTTGATTGTTTTTCTATGTATCAGTAACAAAAAGTTAAAAATAGAAATTGAAGAGATGCCAGTTGGAATACCATCAAAATACTAAGTGCCCAGTAATATGTCTAGCAAGGAATATGTAAAATGACCAAAAGCTAGCCAGAAGATATTACTGACAGAAATTAACAAACACCTAAATAAATAGAAGGATACATTATGTTTATGAATTGGAAGACTCAGAAAAGATGCCAGTCTTCCCAAATTGATCTATATCCCAACAGTATTTTGTTTTAGGGAAGAATCTTAAGTTAATTCTAAAATTATTATGAAAATGTAAAGAATCAAAAATGATAAAAACAATCTTGAGAAGAATAAAACATGAGATTTTACCAATGGAAAAAATGTTTGTAATATATATAACAATCAAAGGTATCAAATATGTTTATTATATATATATAAGTATATATAATATCCTATAAATATACAAAATAACTTGATCAGAGACTTGACAAAAAAGATATTTACATGGCCAATATACATGTGAAAAGGTGCTCAGACCATTAGTAAACAGGGAAGTGAAAATTAAAACCAAGATAAGTTACCAGTGAGGAAGTAGAGTAACTGAACATGTATTGTTGGTGGGGGCGTAAATTATTTTAACCACTTTGAGCAATTTTGAATTTTTTACTAAATTTGGATATAAACATTCCCTGTGGCCCAGCAACTTTATTCCTAGGTATAACCTCAACAGATATACCTGTACATGTGCACCAAAAGACAGGCCTGTGAATACTCAGGCCAGCATTATTCATAATGTTAAAAACTGGATACAATTAAAATGCTTTCTACAGTAGAATGGTAAATACCGTGTATTCAGATAATTAAACATCATGCAACAATGAAAATGAACAAAATACAATGATAGGCAACAACCTATCTAGTCTTCAGATATAACACTGCATGAAAGAATGGAAGAGGCATGATGGGTTTCCTCAGGTGCCAAACATGTAATAATGTTCTATTTCTTGACTCTCTTGACTTCTATGTAGGGGTTCAATGGTGCATAATTATATGTTAGATAATTTTCTGTTATGTGTGCTATAGTTTAATTCAGAAAGTAAAAAAAAAAATTTAAAACAAGATTTATCTTAAATGTTTAAAGCACCAACAACATTGTAAACAAAATAATTCCATGAAATAATTTCTAAAACTTGAAAGCAAATAATACCAGTTGATACACTAACATTAAGTTTTACTCTTTCATACTCTGTTCTAAGCATTTTACAAATAAAAAGTCATTCCATTCTCTCAAGAATTCTCTCAAGAAGCAGATATTAGAAACACCTTAATCTAACAAATAAGCAGAGCGAGGCCTAGAGAGATTAAGTAACTTCTTCATGGTCACAGAGCTAATAAATGAACCATACTGAATGTCGCCAAATTATGCACTGTTGATCAATGCACTCTACTGCCTCTCAGAGCAAAATTTCTGAAGTTTAAAGTATCAGATTAATCCATTTAATCAATTTAAATCCATTTAAAATGAAATAATACTGTTTTTCTGTATATTTGAACTTTTGTATAAAAATATAGTGGGTAGATTAACATTTTCAAAACAGACATTTTTATATTTTGTGTATTTTAAAAATGTTTCCTAACTCATTCTTAGAATGATTAAGGATGGATTTTAAGCATATAAAAACAATTAAAAACTGTCAGCAAAAAGCTGAAGTTGCATTTCAACTATTAGCCGCAATTTATCTGAGTCTCAATTTCCTTGCCTTTAAAGTGGGCATAACAAATCCCGATCTAACAGGAATGTTCTAGAAAGTTACAGGACATTTGTATTATGAACTGAGTAACTACTTACATAGGAAAGCCAGAAATTTTGGAACCTAAAGGTTTACATTTACATTTTAGACACCTGAAATCTAAAAATGTTAAATAACTTGCCAACAGTATCATTCTTAGCATCTGGAACTTGAACTCGGGGCTTTAGGTTACAAGTTCAATGCTCCTGGAAAAAAAATGGAATCCTCATTTTTTTTTCCTGCTTTTCCTTTTCTCCTTTCACACAAAATAAGCAAATTGAATTTTAAATTATTACTCATTATTGCCATTTAATCCAATAGATGTATTTGATTATTTGGTTTCTAAAGACTTACATTAAAGGAGACAATATATTTTAAATAGGCTGTATTCTCCAACTCAATGTTTTGATTTTTTTTTTGTATTACTACTACATACAAAGCTCTTACATGCATTTTGTCAAGTTTAAGAAGGGCCTCTCTCATGCACCCACACATGGGCACTTGGGGCAACATATTCAATGAAAAAGAGAACAATATTTCTCAATTATTTTATTTATAAGCCATTGAACTATATTTCTAATACTTAGTGATTTTTAATAATTAAAAGAGATTTATAGGGAAAAGTTTAGAATGTTAGTCTTTGTCATTCCAAACTGCTATCACACAAATTCCTGTTTTATGTTTATTCCTTTTGTATTATTTTAACTTAAAGATTATTTTTTACTCCAAACACAATAATGAAGATCTAGAAAAACAGAAAATAAAAACTACTAAATATGGAAAATGAGCAATACCTACACTTTTCCGAATGAAGCTAAAAACCCAATTGAAATTAGGTTTTTATTTAATTGGAAAAGCATGAACACTCATCTTAAGAACATGGAAACACACTATATTTCTGTCACATAGAAAATAACTTTTTTCTTAGATTTAATGACCTTTTCTAAATCAAGGCATTCTTTAGACCTCTGTATTACTGCAGCATCTCCTTTTACAAGAATGCTTTCTACACTTTTGTGAATGACTGAGTTCTTTCATCTAACTGGACCCAGCTGGCAAGTGGCATAATGAGAAAGGGAAATGAAGGTCTTTTTTTTTTTTTTCTCTCCTGGAAAACCAAGAAATGTATAAATCATATCCAAACAGAAGAAGCATTACTTGCTTGCATAACTGCACAAGCTGTACATCTTAATATAATGTTTTCTACTGTTTTATGAATAACTGATATTATAGTATAATTTTCCTTTAAAAGTCTATGATATGTGATTTCCTTAAACACGGTTTGAATAAATACTAATTTTGCATGTATAGTTAATGTGAAAAATTAAACTGAACTGATCAATTCTAAAACAAAATTTAGTCAAGATGTTCAAACCAGTAAAATATGTATGGTAAAATATGTTTATTGTTTATGGAGAAAGATCTCAAATAATTGGGCGTGTAACAGGCCAAAGTTTCTTAGACCCAGATCAAAGGAACTTTGAGCTTGACCAAGCCCCTCATTTTATACATGAGAAAGCTGGTGCCCAGAGGGCTGATTGGCCCAAAGTTACTCAAATAAGAATGATGGGCTCCCTATCTCCTGGCTTCCAGGATTCTTACTTCCAGGGAATTCTCTGCTCCCTAGCCATGTCAAAGGTACATGGGAGAAATTTAGTAAGGGTCAAAGAAAGAAATTAATGAAGAAATTTTAAAGCAAAACAGAACTCAGGCTGGACGTGGTGGCTTACACCTGCAATACCAGCACTTTGGGAGGCCAAGGCGGGTGGATCACTTGAGGTCAGGAGTTTGAGACGAGCCTGGCCAACATGGTGAAATCCCATCTCTACTAAAAATACAAAAATTAGCCAGGTGTGGTGGTGCATGCCTGTAATCTCAGCTACTTGGGAGGGTGAGGCAGGAGAATCGCTTGACTCTGGGAGGTGGAGGTTGCAGTGAGACAAGATCGTGCCACTTCACTCCACCCTGGGCAACAGAGCAGGACTCTGTCTCAAAAACAAACAAAAAAATAGTAATTAAATTAAATAAAATGAAAAACATAAAATAAAATAGAACTCTTTCTTCTTTTACCTTCAAATTTTTCTGGTCACTTTAAAATATCACACAATAAATAAATGTCAGTAACTTTTTCCCTTTATAAATATAATGCATTTATGGAGGGGAAAGTTGAACAATTCTAAAGTATATACAAGAAAAGTAAGCCTTGTTCCTATCCCATACTCCAAGTTCTCCAAGGCATTGTTTGTTAAGTTTTTAATTCAAATTTCCAGAAATTTTTAAAAAGTATATATGAATGTGTCTATGTATTTATACCACTGTTAATGTAGCTTCCCCCCTCCACTTAATACATCTGAAAAATTATTCCAGATTTTTGCATGTAGAGGTACTTCATTCTTTTACATGACTGTATGGTGTTCTATTGTATGATTTTGCAATAATTTTTCAATAATTCACCTATTATTGGGCTCAAGTTGTTTCTGATATTGTTTAGGTTACAAACAATGCAAAAATAAACAATTCTATATGTTCTTAGACAAAGATTTGCTAGAGTCAAAGAGAATGTAAAACACTGACCGTTTGGTACCTTCAGGTATCAAATTTTGACCAATCCAGGCATATGGTAGCCTCTCCATGTCTATGCCTGGACCTATGGAAACATACTCCTCACACCATACTAGTCCTGGACCCCACCCCCACGCCAGAACAAAAGAAGATTCTTAGAGATTAAGTATATTTAAGTCATGTATAAACTTCATTTTTGAACAGAATCCTTTTTTGAGCACTTCTAAAGCAATGGGAATAATTTTCATCTTGTAGAAAGAATATTTTATATACTTCCTATTTATATGTGAATTATGACTATGTAGAACACAGAAGGTATTAATAAGAAAAAAATATCAGCAGGAAATTTAATGAAAAACTATATGAATTCACCAACCACTAGGAAAAAAAAGTAAGTATTACTCCAAACTTTACACAAGGAAAACTCCTCAAAACCTCATTACCAATCTATTTTTCCCTTCTTTCCTTAACAGATTCAAGAAAGAAAGAGAAAGAGAGAGAGGAAAGGAGGGAGAATGAAAAGGAAGGAAGGAAGGGAGGAAGGAAGGGAGGGAGGGAGGGAGGGAGGGAGGGAGGAAAAGGAGTAAGAGGGCAGAAGGAAAGAAGGAAGGGAAGGAGGGAAGAAAGGAAGAGAGGAGGGAGGAAGGGCAGAAAGGAAGGAACTTCAAATGCATGACAAAGTTTCTTTACTGGTATATTGACTGTGGCTATTATTTTCATACTTCTATACTGTATACACATAAATATGTAAACCATTCATGAAAGGATTTAAGCTTTTAAAATGTTGGGATATTTATACAGTAGTATCAAGAATTATATATTGCTTAATAGATGTCTGTGTGTTTTCTGTTACGTTGTTTTTAGGTTTATCCAAAACTACAAAACCAGCTCCCTATTTTCCATGCTTGAGGTGTTAAATGTAAACTCTCACTCAGAGCAGACACCAGCTGGAATGCTCTGAGCCACGCAGAATCCCAGAAATGTCTCGATTAAGGTGATTGAACTGCATCAAATCCCATCACTAGTAAGGGGCAGCAACCCTGTACCAGCAGGGCAAGGTCTCAGAGCAGATACTCAATGGACAATCAATTCACCAAAACTTTCTTCTGAAGGTTCCCTCAACTTAGTTATCAACAGGTTTTCATTTATTCTCTAAAGAAATCAGAATTAATATTGAGAAGATATTAAGTGAAGTAATATAGAAAATCCAGGACAGTGATTGGCATTTAGGAAAAAGACGTTTGTCTTGTAATATTAAAGTTTCTAGCTACAATTTTCACAAAGCATGCCTCTTTGCTTTCTCTAGGAGTGTCACAGCCACAGAGGGGCACATCAACCTGATACAAGAGAAATGGAGCGAGGAGAGGTGACTGTCTCAGGGGAGTGATAGTCTTTCTGGGGAGGAATTCTCAAACCCAAGTCCTTGTTTTGTTTTGCTTTTCCTTGGCAATGAGATTATCTTGGAGGTAAAATTGTGTAAATGTGGACAACTGAGTAAAGGCAAACTACACAGAGAGTAGTGGAAATAAGGAATGGGAGAGGTGGAAAAGTAAAAGTAAACACATGCTAATGATTCAGTGTTAATTTTGTCAGGTTAAATCACAGAATTTGGAAAGAAAAAGGGCATCCAACAGCCTTAAAGATGAAGAAATGGAAGCTCCAGAGTTGAAGAAATGTGTCTTCACTCCCACAAGTAATCTTGAAGTTCCGAGCCACCATGAGAGTTTTCCTGACACTGAGGTAATTTCCTACCATGTTGACACCACCTTGCGCCAGTGTTCAAGACCATCACAGCTATGAACCTTGTTGGCTTGTATCAGATGCCTGCTGGGACCTTGGCTGCCCATAGTGCTCTCTAAAGACTCCAGCTTTCCATAACTCCTACAGTTTTAAGTTCAAGGAATGATGAAGAGGACGCCAATGTACGGATTTGATTTACCAAATCAGGCCTGTACAGCAGCTGAATCAACCTATGGGAAAATTTTGGCTCTCTTTAACATTCTAATTTTTGAGAACACCATTGCAAATACATGATTTCCAAAATAATAACAATGCACTTAATTAATCACATTATAGATCATCATATAAAAATAAATACCTAAATAGAAATACAATTTATTTTTTTCTTAAATTCCAAATTGCATAGAGCTGCCTCCTCTGCAGTTTTCCATCACTGCCTCCTTCTCAGACTTCTCCTTTTGTTTTTTCATTTCTTTGTACAGACTCCAGTCATTTGTTTAAATATTCATACTCAACCAGAATACGTTTCCTAATGTGGGAATCATTGCTTATTCACAGGCACAGCCCTTGACATCCTGAAAACATGTAGTAATGATTTTTGGAATAAAGGTTTGACACTTCTACATTTACATGTAAATGGAGTTAAAAAATTCTAGGTTGAGAATAAGAATACTATAAAAATTTTGATCTAAAATGGATGTTAGAGATAACCCAGCGCAACCAGTTGCTCTTACAATTGAGGAAACTGAGGTCAAGAATGAGTGAGTGGCTCAGAGTCACCCAGCTCATTAGAGCCTGAATGAACCACCTTGGTTCACTACCTCTGTTCACCGCCCTTTCTAGTGCACTTCATGAAATCACTCTCTAAGTACACATCAACTCATTTAGATACTTAAATGATTCTTGAGAAAGTAGAAAGTATAAATGCCTTGACCACACATAAGAACTTTGACATATTTCACTCTCTGTACTGAAATTTCTAACAATGCCTGGTACATAATAGGTATTCAGTTGATTTGGGTTTCTACATCCCTTTTCTCCTTCTCTTCTTCAAGTTTGCATGTAAACCACATTAAAGACTGCTAATATATAAAGTAGGCACCATCTCATGAATCAAAGAGGGGATTCCTAGAGCCACTGAGGATGTCTTTAGAAGCCAGTGGTGCTGATCCCACAGCTACTCTCCTGTGGACAGTGGAAGTGCTCCCCAAAGTACATTCTTAGGGGAAATGGGGCTGCCGCCATGAGGAGGTGTCAATAGAGATTAGAGATGGTCTTTGTGCTGTGAGAGAGACCTCACATTTCCAAATGCCAAGTCCTTTCTTCCTCAGTCAAATGTACCCCCTAGAACATAGATACCTACTAAGCTGTAGATTTTTGAGGGGATACAGAGCTGAATCCATAAGATAGTGGATTATTCAGATAAGAATTTCTGTAGATAGAGAGTTTCCAATCAATTATGTACCCCAACAATGTGAGGTCAACTACTTAGACTACCTCTTAGCTTCTACATTTAGATGTTTCAAAGTCTGTTCTGATCCTTAAATTTGACACTTCTCTTTAATATAAACAAAGCCCTTTTAGTATTCTTTGGGATTAGCTTACCACTTAATAAATTCCTTCCAACACTATCTTCTGTGAGTCAACAAACAGCTTCCTCCTGTGATTTGGGCCTGGCTAACAACAAGTTAGACTTCAGACGAATAATTACTAGGCTGAGGCATTTTCCAGGTGGTACATTCCCACTTTGAGGAAACTTGGTCATTTTACTTTTGCATTTAAGATGTCCTTAGGCTGAAAATAAAGTGTCAGTGTTTGAAATGTCCTTCTCTGTATCATTGACTTGATTTTTAGATAATATTTCAGGCTGGACTGACACCAAAAGTGCTTTTCAAAAACACATGAAAAGACCAAAATTATTTAAATAATTTACAATATATGAAAGGTAGTAAATTCTAGGCAAACATTTTAACTAGGTTTTTATGGAGAACTGACAGTGAGTAGCTTTGTGCTGAACCCTGTGTAAGGCATTAAATGATGCACTCGTGTAATTATTTTCCCTAAATTAATGCCTGTCCCTGACACATCTTAGACTTTTCCACCCTTGCCCTAAATAACTTAATTAAAAAAAAAAATTCTCCCAGCTAATTTGCTGACATATAGTCACCACTGATTTTGTCACATGTTGTTCAAGAGAGTGAGTACATTCTGAAATTAGACAGCTTACAGTGTCAGGTAAAAATTCTTACAAGGCAGAGACAGTTTTTGGAGTTGCAACTAGTTAACTGTGGGCTTCTACTTGAGACAAAAGTGACTTCATTTTATTGGAGAAAATGTCAATCAAGACGTAACTACTGACACCTGTCTTTGTTTCACCAGCCAGTAATAAAAGATAAAGCAGAGGAAATGGAGGAGCTGCAGTTATGCGTTTGCAACACACAAAGTCCTTGTTTTCCCACTAGGCGCTGCAGAAAAGCAATTGTCCATTCACGGCACATCCTCTGCATTTCAGAGCTAATATTTTTGCAGTTCTTAACTTAGTACATTCCAGTCTTATGCAGTTAATTTTTTTAACCCTTTGAAATACACCTCATGTTTGAAATCGTGCTTAATATTACTGCTAACATGACCCAGTTTTAAAGCTTTCAGGTTCTCAATGTTGAGAATAGAAACTTTAAGAAAATCGGTTAGAAATTTTGGAACAGGGTAAGGATTTCAAATAATCCTGTCTTATTTGCTATTGCATAACTTTGAGAAGGGTAATAGGGAAATCCATGGTAACCATATATTACTTAAATTGCTGTTACAAAAACCGACTCTTTGGATAGGAATGATTTTTAGCAGGGATCCTCCTTAAGACATAATAATGTGCCACTGAAAACAACATTAGCCCTGTATTGAATTGCCAATCTTCCTGCAGCATTTAGTGTGTTTACTGTATATGAATGCCTATGCCTGTCTCTGGTGCAAAGAGGTTTACTCTTATTGCAATAGTCACTCTGGCTAGAGCACATGAAGAACAGAATTTTTAAATGATTAATTAGTCCCCAGGCTCAATCACTTAAGCCCCTAATTGAATATCTGACTCCATTTTCAACTATTGTAGGAAAAGATAATTAGCAAATTTGCAGTGGTAATAAAGAAGTTTTACTTTCCTTTATAAATAATAATATCTAAATTTCTGGTCATGTAACTTAGTACTTGCATCTCTCCTGGACTTCTGAATCCAAAACATTTTTTGAAAAATGCAACAAGGTGATGAAGGATTTTTCTTCAGAGCTCATTTTTTGGACATCTTCTATTGATTTTTTTCTACCTTCAGTCTCACTATCAGCTTCTTCCCTTCTTGCCACTAATTTCTTCATCTTGAAGTCTGCTATCAACCAACATGAAAAACTCAAGAAAAAAACTAATTTCCTTCTTCCCTGTTCCACAAACCTTACCAATCCCTTTACCAGCATTTTCCTATCCTGTCCCACCAAAAATGAAAATTACCCAACTCCAAGATTTATGTTGGAGAAAAAAAATATTGCATTCTTTATTTTTTTTTTTAAAGACCACCTCAGTGTGGGCTCAAAGTGCAGTGAAAATGCCGGAGTCTCATTACACTGGTTGGAATGAAACCCTGCTGCCCTTAAACGGTTAATTCAGGGTAAGTGATAATGTTTAGTCAGTTCGCCTAGAAAAAGGAAGGAAATTCAAAAGCTGGTTGCTGTAGTAACAATCACAGACAAAAAACATATATATGTACAGGTTCATTTTAAATAAAAATCCTGCCATCTCTCTGTGACTCTATTCTCTCAAGAAAACTGAGCTTGCCGCTTAAATTTGTTGTACATACCTCAACCATTAAACAAGACATTTAACCATAGTGGCAGTTCTGTGACCTTTGAATGCCGTGAAATCTCTGAGCGGTGCTGCTTGTTCATGAAGACTTGTGCTGCAGAATCCAGCAACTTCATCCAGGATTAGGAATATAATTAAGTAACAAAAAAAAAAAAAGAAAAAAAAGGAAAAGAAATAAAGAAACACAAAAGCACACAAGGAGATCGAGAAAGAAGGAAGGTAGAAAGAGAGACTCTCCCTGGGTGAGTAACACCACTTTTCTCCCAGACAAGTGCTGGGACAGAGCCGAGCCTGCTGCAGTGCCCAGACCAACTGACTGGCTGGGTGAGCAGCCGCCGGCCTGCTAGGCTGGGAGGTGCTGTCAGTTGCCACAGGCAAGGAAAAGCAGAGACCAATCGGCTTCAACTCTGGCAGCTTACTGGAGTGGAGCCTTTTCTGTTTATGTTTCCTCATTTCAAGAGTGACGTCAAAGGGTTTAGTTTTTCCTCTGCATGTGCTATTAATTTTAAAGTACTGTACTATGGGAAGAATGTGTGTGTGCCTGTGGTCAGCCTGGGCACCCCACTCTCAGGAGAGCCCAAGAAACATTTTCTATATTCGGGAATACATTTAAAGAATTTAAAATACCTTGTGGTGAGGTGTATAAAAACAAAAGCAAAACAAAACAAAAATTAAATATAAAACCCTGAGCTAAATCATAGCAGCAAGATGTAGATTTTTTCCATCTGTGAGTGTATGTGCTCCATGCTCACTTGGCAGCTGTTGCTTATTTTTTTTTACCTAATTCATTTTTACTCTTACCTAAAAATGAGTTGTTAATTAAACTTGATAGCCATAGAGGCAGAATCGTACAAATGCACTGGTGAACAAAATGATGTGCAATGAAACATAGAACTCCTGTGTCAGTTTGTGCCATGGGTCCCTGCGTTTCCTCCAGCTTCCGTGGTGAAGCCTCAGGCTTGTTCCTGCCAGGGAGATGCCTCCTGATGCCAGCAGGAGTCATTCAAGAAGCAAGGCTATGGTGATGCCATGCAGGTGTGCCTGGGGCCTCAGCTTGTTCTTTCCCAAAGAGTATGAAGGTCCAGTTATTTAGGGATACTTCCTTTACCAGGGACCCCAGCTTATCCCTGGGTTACACTTCCCACTCTGGAAAAATCCCCATAGTTGCCATCTGTTGTTTCTGCCTCCCCCACATCCTCCTCCTTTTCCCCATCCCCATCCTAAATTCTGCTAACAGACCTTTTTTGGGTGGGCGGTGGGCGGAACTTTCCTTCCTCTATCTTCTATGGATTGCATGGACTTTGCCCCCAGCCCCATTCCCACGACAGAGCCACAAGGGGGCATGGGACCCACAGGGGCCAATCAGATTTCTCCATTGCTCCGAGGCAGACTATGTTTTAGGGGTGGGCGCAACACTAAAGAATGTCCACATTCCTTTTTCAAATACTAATATTGTTTCTTTGAGAAAGAAAGTATTTATGTATCCCTAAGAGCCTAGGCGCTAGGATTAAGCATCCCTGTAGTTGTTGGGGTTTATCTTTGGTGTTGAAGCTACAATAGTGAACAAAACAGATGGTTCTTTGCCCCCATGGAGTCTACATTTTGGAGAAGCAGGGAAATTGTCAAAGAAAAATAAGTAAACGTATAATGTCAGTTGGCAATGAGGGCTTCAAAATAAGGTAAGGAGAATGAGGTGTGTGTGTACACGTGCATGTGTGTGTGTGTGGTGTGTGTGCTATTTTAGGAAAGATGATCAGGGCAGCCCTCTGATAAAGCAACTTGGAGCGGAGGCCCGAATGATGGGACATAGCAGGTACTGTGTGCCTCTACCTTCCATGCAGATGAAGCCATGGAAAGGTCCCACAACACATGAGTGCTTGGCAGAGCCAAGGAACAGGAAGGGAAATAGAGTGGCTGGAAGAGAATGAGCAAAGGGAAGAAATAAGTTTCAGAAGGTATGTCTGGGACAAGATCAGGACATGTCTTACAGGCCATGCACACGACTTAGATTTTATTCCAAGGTGAAAACCTACCTATCAGAGTGTTTTGAACTGAGGAATGTCTATGATTCGACACGAATTCTGAAGAGATTTCTCTCTTTTCTCTGTGGAAGATAGACTCCTAGGGAGCAAGAGTAGAAGCAGAGAGACCAATAAATGAGGCCACTGTGCTAACCTAAGTGAGAGCACATCATGGCTCGGACTTGGGTGAGAGCAGTGGAGAAGGTGGGAGGGCCAGATTTTGGAAGGGGGCCTGTGTATTTGCAGAGAGCGTTGGCAGTATTTGAAGATGAGAGGTGTGAGAAAAAGAGAGGAATCAAGAGTAATTTCCAGGTTCCTGGCTTGGGCAAACTGGACTAGAGTTGCCATTTACTGACATGGGGAAGACTGGGAGAAGAGCCTGGTTTTGAGGTGAAATAAATAACAGTTCTGGACCTTCACTGAACAGCAACAGATATTTGATTGTGTACTCTGTACCAGGCACTGTTCTAGGTGCTGGGGAGAATGCAGTGAAAACATATAACACACATACACACCCTCCAACACGTAATTCTTTGACCCCACGAAACTTAGATTCTTCTGAAAGGAGAATGGCCATAACAACAAATAAAAAATTTATATAGGATATCGGGTGGTAATACTGTTGTGAAGAAGAAACAGGAGAGGGAAGGGTCACTAGTCAGATAGAGGCTTGCAATTTTAAAGTGAGTATGCAGAGAAGGTGCCACTGCAAAGATGATGTTGGACACAAAGGGGAAGTTGATGAGGGAGGCATAGGGAGAGCATTTTAAACAAGAGGACATTAAGTGCAAGGCTCTGGGGACTGGAGTATTTGGCTGGTAAGTAGTAGGATATGGCAATGGGTGCAGAGGTGACAGATCAAGGAGAGTTTTCTAGGTCATTGTAAGGACTTTGGCTTCCTGTCTGCATGAAACAGGGCTTTAAGGAGAGGAATGAGGCAATCTGACTTACTTTTTGACAGGATCGCTCTGGCTACCATGTGGAGGTCAAGGTAGAAGAGAGTCTAATAAACGATATATTGCAATAAACAAGCCAGACATCCTAGTGGTGTCTACCACGATGCTTTGGTGGAGGTGGCTAGAAGTGGTTTACTTCCAATTATATGTTGGTGTTAAGGACAATAAGACTTGTTAAATGGATTGGGTGCTAAGTACAAAGGAGGGAGATTAGTGAGAGGAGCCAATGACATCTCCAAAATTTGGGGTTCCATCAAGTAGAAGAACAGAGCTAGCACTGACCAAGGGATGGCGGGAGAAGCAGGTTTTGTGGGGAAGATGAAGTTTGATATTGAATTTGTTAACCTTGCCTGTAAGATATCTACATGGAGATGTTGACTAGGCAGTGGAATATATAAGCATGCAGTTTAGGGTACAGTTCTGGGCTGTAGATATAAATTTGGAAGTCATTGTATACCTGTAGAACTTAAAGCCATGAAACTAGATACAATTACCAAGGGAATGAATGCAGATGGAAGAGCTGCAGGCAGTCCACGATTATGCTGTCAAGAATATAAAGAAGGACTAGCAAGGAAGGCTGACAAGGAGCCTCCAGAAAGTATAAGAAAAACCAAGAGAGAATGGTGCCTTAGAAGGTAAATTAACTATTTCAATGATCAGCTGTGTAAAATGACACTTAAATGAAGATTGAAAATTGACCCTTAAACTTAGAATGTGTAATCATTTGTGTCTTTAACAAAAGAAGGTTGAGTGTAGTAGAAAGTTGAAAGGTTAAGAAAAACGAAAGAAGAATTGGGAACAAAGAGTATAGGCAATTATTTCAAGGTGTTTTGCCCCAAAGAGAGCAGAGAAATGGAGCAGTCATTGAAAAGGAATATCAGCATGTTGTACACTGATGGAAAAAATGCAGTTAAGGGGAATAATTGGTGATGCGGAAGAGAGGGAGCAAATTTCTGGGGCACAAATCAAATTTGTGGTAGGCTACATGCCCTCCAGGTAAGTCCACACTCTAATTCCTGGAACGTGGGGACATGTTAATTGCATGGCAAAAGGGACTTTGCAGATTTAATTGAGGTTATGAATCTTAAAGTAGGGAGATTTTATCCTGGGTTTTCTGAGTGTGCCCAATCTAATCACATGAACCCTTAAAAGCAGAGAGATTTTTCTGGCTGGAAGCAGAAGAGAGATGCAGCAGACATCATAGAAGTTCCAAGTTTGAGAAGAATTCACACGATGCTGCTGTCTCTGAGTTGTGAGCCCGTGTGCAAGGATGCAAAAGAGATCTCTACTAGCAAAGAGTGAACCCCCAACTAACAGCTAGCAAGAAAATAGCCACCTAAGTCCTACAACTGCAAGGAACTGGATTTGCCAACAACTTGAATGAACTTGGAAACAGAGTCTTCCCTGGAACCTCCAGAAAATAATACAGCCCTGCTGACACCTTGTTTTCTTGCCTTGTGAGATTTTAAGCAAAGTACCTAGCCAAACCCACCTAGAGAAACAGGGACTAATATATTTTGTGTTAGTTTGTTTCAGCAGTGATATATAACTAGCAGAGTTATTGGCTTTGGAAAAGAGTGTGGATGTTTCATCCATAGACATAGAAGGCAAAACAGAGTAAATGGTACAGGTGTTGGTAGGCAGGTTGCAATGGCAGTGCAACCGTCACTGTATGTGAACATTCTCTGTGACTTCTAATTTCTCAGTGAAATGACAATTGTCTAAGAGAGGGGACGGGGAGGTGATGGAGGTTTGAGGAAAGGAGGTATAAAATGTCATCCACCAGAGTAAAGAGCCTAAATTACCAGAGAAATATAATATGATGGCCAAGAGTACTAGGGCCTATTTGAGTTTGGTTGTCATTAACTAACGTGATGCTAGATAGCATGTTACCTTTGCAATATTTATGATACATCCAAATATGAATCTTATGTAGGCAGCTTATATAGCATTCTGGAGCACCAAGGACGATGAAATAGTATTGAAAGCTGTGGGAGGGCATGAGATCACTTAGGAAATGAGAATAGACCCAAGGCTAAACTCTGTTTAGGTAATGGGAAATTGAGAAGGATCCAGCAAAGAAGATCAAGAAGGAGTGCCCTGAAGGCAGATGCACAGCCAAGATAATGGTCTCTCAGAAATCAAGTTCAAACAGTTGGTGCTATGGATTAAATTATGCCTCCTCCCTAAGTCATATGTTGAAGTCCTTACCTCCAATGTATTTGGAGATAGGTTTATAAGGAGACAACTGACTTAAACGAGGTCAAAAGGGTGAGTTCCTAATCTGATGGGGCTGATGCCCTCATAAGAGGAGGAAGAGACACAAGAGGTCTCTCTCCTTCCACCATGTGAGGACACAGACAGAAGGTGGCTGTCTGCAAACCAGGAGAAGAGCCCTCACCAGATACCTCCCTGCTGCCATCTTATTCTTGGACTTCCATTCTCCAGAACTGTGAGAAAATAAATCTCTGTTGTTTAAGACACTCAGTCTGTGGTATTTTGTTATGACAGCCCAAGCAGACTAAGACAGTCAGTTATGATAGTCAATGGATTTTCTTTTTTGTCTGAGGTTAAGTTGGCTTTCTGTTGCTCATCATAGGAAGTGTCTTAACAAATTCAGTGTCCAGTGTCCCTGTTTCCTAGAGGCAACTGCTGACTGTGTTCTCCCATGATACAAATACTTCACCATTTGCAGCTTGAGAAAACTTTAAGGATATACCTACACCTGTATCGATATGCATGTCCATGTCCATGTCTATGTCTATGTCTTTCCCAGTATCTATCTAATTATCTCCACCAAACACAGTAATATTAATCTAAGACTACTAGGTTTAAAACACTCACTCATCTGCAGAGGTACTATTATTTAATAAATACTTCAAAGTATTCTTTGAAGCACAGCATTTGAAATGACCCCACTTTCTGTAATTTATTAGTTATAATCTAAAAGGAGTAACTTTTTTATTTTCACTTTCATCCTAAATCTTCTTCTTAAATAGCCCATGATCTGTCACTCATAGAAATGACCATTTTTAGTCATTTTCTTTCCTTTGCAATTCAACTGTCTATATTCTCTTATTAAAAAAATATTTTTTTTTAGAGAGAGAGGGTCTTGCTATGTTGCCCAGGCTGGTCTTGAACTCCTGGCCTCAAGCAATCCTGCTGCCTTGGTCTCCTGAAGTGCTGGAATTACAGGTGTGAGCCACTGTTCCTGGCCAAAACCATTTTCTTTTATTTCCTTTTTTTTAGACAGGGCCTCACTCTGCTGCCCAGGCTGGAGTGCAGTGGTGTGATCATAGCTCATTGCATCCTGGGCTCAAACAATCCTTTTGCCTTGGCTTTCCAAGTAGATGAGACTGCAGGCATGTGCCGCCATCATGGCTGACAGTCTCTTTTTAACAATCAGTTCTTGCAAGAACGAGTAGTGTAAGAACTTATTACTGCAAAGACGTCACAAAACTATTCATGAGATCTGCTGCCATGATCCAAACACCTCCCACTAGGCCCCACCTCTAACATTGGGGATTAAATTTCAACATGCGATGTGGAGGGAACAAATATCTAAACTATATCAGGCATGGCAGATGATAAGTTCACTTTTGAACCTAACATCAAAGTGAAGATGGATATGTGGCTATGAAACTTAGCAAAACAAAACAAAAGAAACTTGGGCTAGAAGAACAGTTTTGAGTAGCATCATATTGGTGAAATTAAGCTACATTAGCTCATGAAGTGTGCTTAGAGTGAGGAGAGAAGAGGGTCTGGGGGAAAATTGAAGGGAATACCAGTATTGAAAGGAGGAGAAGCCTATTAAAAAATCGAGAAGTGGCAACATATGAGGATAAAAAGAAGGATGTGGTATCACAGTATACAAGGAAAACGATGTAAAATATAGTCAGCAATCTTAAATCTGCTTAGAGAAAAATAGAAGAAGACGTCTTTTACAGCAATTAAATAGCTGTACATTGTAAAGTATTGCAATATTGGTGTAGGCATCTATAAATTGTAAAAAATGGAACAGAAAAAAGTCTAAAAGTGAATCATCATGTATATAAAACTTTAAAAGATAAAGTTGATATTTTAATGAGTGGAGAAGAAATGGACTAGTTAGTAAATGATGTTAGAACAAGGCTAGCCATCTGCAAAATATAACATCCAACCAAGTTAAACTTAGATTCATTCCAAAATCCATTATACAAATATAAATTGCAATTAAAGACTTAAACATGAAAAACCAAAACTGTCAAATTGTCAGAAAATATTTGATTGGATATACCAATGATCAAAAGCAAAAGACCTTCCTATAAAAGACACAAAAGCAAAGGCCACAAAGAAAATGTGCAAAGTAGCTAACATCAAAATCATAGTCTCCTGTAAGATCAAATATATTATAGAGTAAAAAGACAAAGGATCAATGGAAAGAAATCTGAACCTGTATAAAAATAATGAGATACACAATTGTACATTAATGTATCTCCATTAGCTTTATAAAACTTAGAGAGTCTGGCTATAAAAAATGTGGATGAGAATATGGGGCCAAGGGAACTACTGTACACTGCAGGTGGGAATGGAAACTGGTCCAAGTCTATAACCTCTTATCTAAAACCTTTGGGACCAGGGTTTTAGAGTTCAGACTTTGTGAGATTTCTGAAGGGTAGTACAGAGTTTCAAAATTCAGGATTTTTAAGGCTTTCAAAAGATTATACAGACTTAATCTCTAACATCCTCAGTGGGGGCTGGGGCAGTTCATCATTCATGCTCTCAGCCCCTCCTCCCAGTACAATGCTCTTCTCAAACCTAGTCCTAGACCTGACCCTCTGGCATGTGCCACCCATCCAAGTCTATCTAGCAACTTGTCATTTCTGCCAACTGATGCTGTATCTTATACCAACTTCTTTCCACTTCATTATAACCCTATTGTCCATCTGAATTCTCCTCCCTGTTGGCAATAAGATAGTGATACAGTCAGAGCACATTTTAATCCCTTTGAAAACAGAACTGGGCTAGGTATGGTGGCTCACACCTGTAATCTCAGCACTCTGGGATTGCTGAGGCGGGAGGATCACTTGAGCCCAGGAGTTTGGGACCAGTCTGGGTGACATAGCAAGAATCTGTCTCCACAAAAAATAAAAATAAATTAGCTGAGCATGGTGGCATGTGCCTGTGGTCCCAGGTACTTGTGAAGCTGAGTCAGGAAAGTTGAGGCTGCAGTGAACTGTGATTGAACCACTGCACTTCAGCCTGAGTGACAGAGTAAGACCCTGTCTCAAAAAAAAAAAAAAAAAAAGAATTGTTACTCATTTACCATACCAAAAAGTCATTCCATAATGATAATGTAAATAATGTTCACAAATATTTATTGGCTACTGTGATTCGTAACTTATGTCATTAACAACCAAATACATTAAGAATGAATGGCTTAAAATTTGATGAGCAAAAGCTATTCAGCCCTACTACTGCATTTTTCTCGTATGCATTTACAGTGCTTTGCATTTCAAATTATTTCTCTTTTCCTTCTACCACCTACTCATTTTTCATGAAAACTGTTTTCCAGATCAACAGACTATCTTACGACCATGTCTCCAAAGGGCTAATTTAGCTCAGAATCATGGCAAACTGTCCAATAGAAAGAACAATTGGAAAACAAGAAGAAAAAAACTTCTTCTAAACTTTGCTATTTAATGCTTATCATCAAATATTCTCCATCAGGGCAAATTCGTAAATCACAACCTGGCTTTGGTTACCCCCTTCATCTTGTGTAACTGAGCTCCCCGCTAGCCTGCAGGCTTCAGGAGCTATCTGCAGCCCTCCCCTGCCCTCCACTCAGCCACTGTGAGCATGCCTTCTTGAAGCAGTGCCTTCTGGCATTTTTCCAACCCCATCTTCCACCCATTTTCTGGGTTCATTTTCTATTCCTTTACCCTCTGCTCTTCAAGGTGAGAGCTGTCATCATATCATCAACAAATCTTTAGAAATGCCTATTCTGAACATAGCAGTTATCTGATAACCTAATCCATGCTGAAGTTTTTATAGGAGAAAAAAAGTTTGCATTGTGACTCCTCTGGCTATTTACTCGCAAACTGGAATTTTCTAATCTAGAGATGTGCCATGTTATAGGCTGTATCATGTCCCTCCCTCAACCAAAAAATGCATATGTTGAAGTCTTAACCCCCAGTGTCTCAGAATCTTACTTTATTTGGAGATAGGGTCTTTAAAGATGTAATTAAATAAGGTAAAATGAGGTTATGCAGGTGGGCTGTAACCCGATATGACTGGTGCACTTATAAGAGATTAGGACACAGTCAGTCACAGAAGAAAGGCCACGTGAAGACAGAAAAAAAAGACAGCCGTCTATAAGCCCAGGAGAGAGGCCTCAGAAGAAATCAATCCTGTTGACATCTTAATCTTGGATTCCTAGCCTCCAGAACTGTGAGGAAATAAATTTCTGTTATTTAAGCCACTCATCTGGGGTATTTTGTTATGGCTGCACCAACAAACTAATACATGCCACAACATAGACTCTGAGGCAGACGCTCTGGGGAAAGGTTTCTTCTTCAGAACACAACAGGTAAAGGGTCTCATGTAGCCTACTACTCGTGTGTTCTTTTTATTATAACGAAGTATATTTTGTATTTTCTTATTGGTTACATTTTTTGTATTGCTAGAAGTTTTGCTTTCTACAGTATAGAAATTACAATAAAAGTCCACATTTAAAAAATAAGTTAATGATTAACCACTTTCCTTACAATATTATATCAGGATTCCTTTAAATAGCATTTACTCTTAGTGCATTTAAATAGAGATTCCATTTACAAAGGTTTTCGTTTTATGCATTTTAAAATGTTTGAGAGTTTTGAGTGCTTATAATATTGATCAACATTAAGAAAATGTATCAGTGCTAAAGTTAAAATTCATATTAAAAATCAGAGTTTGCTTATTAACTTTGCAGGAGGCTCTAAAATAGCAAGCTGTATACAGCATTTAAAACCTGAATTCCAGGCCGAGGCAGGCAGATCACGAGGTCAGGAGATCGAGACCATCCTGGCTAACACGGTGAAACCCTGTCTCTACTAAAAACACAAAAAATTAGCCGGGCGAGGTGGCGGGTGCCTGTAGTCCCAGCTACTTGGGAGGCTGAGGCAGGAGAATGGCGAGAACCCCGGTGGGCAAAGCCCGCAGTGAGCCAAGATCGCACCACTGTACTCCAACCTGGGCGACAGCAAGACTCCGTCTCAAAAAACAAAAAAAAAAAACCTGAATTCCACTTAACAGAAGTTTAACTCACACATTGTTTTTTAGGAGTCTTCTAGTGAGTAGGGAAATACTTTACCTGTATTTTCAGAAAGCACATACATAGCCATCCAAATACTTCTCAAGAATTCAGTAACAGGCCACTATTAGGTAGTAAGCTTTTTGAGGCCACTGGACCAAACTTAAAAAGCTGTGCAGTGTGTTCCCAACACCTAGCACAGTACCTGGCATGTAATAGACCATCAATATATAGTTGTCTAATGACTGAATTGATGAGGAAAAGAGATTGCTGGAGAAGTTATGTATAAGTCAAACATGTAATTCAAAGAGACTAAAAGGGGGTCCTTACAACAACATACCCAATAACCCAGCAGTTAAACCGGGCAGATTATGTGAACTCAAGGGAAAGAAAATGGACACTTTATTGAATGATCAAGACATGAGGCTTTTCTTTTGCAAAAGGAAAAAGATTTTGATGGGCAGGGCAGTAAAACAGATGCTGCACCTAGCATTAAAGAAGAGCTAGAAGACATTATGTCTCAGAGAGGGTTGCTAGCAGCAGGAACTTCCCTCATTATATTTCTTTTGGGGACCTTGGAAGAACAATTAAAATATACGCAGAGTTGGTGTAGTTGGGTGTAGACAGTAAAATGAAAAATAGGAGCTTCTAGTGATAGCAAACCAAATACTTATTTACCAACACTCCCTGAGAAACAGATACTTAGCAGAGACAGTTTATTTACCTCAGATCTCTCATCTTAACATTCTGAAATGGCTTTAACCAATCATTTAAGAAATAGAACAAATGTCTGCATCTTGTGCTTCATGTCTAGGGTGATGACCAGCTTTAAATATTATCCGGTCCACCTAGAAACGATTGAGATTTTACCGCTTACACTACACAATCCTTCTGGCAAAGACCACAGAGCTGTGGGGTGACTTTTCTCTTCGGACTCACAATCACATTGTGGCAACCTGGAACACATGCTTAAAGAGAGAAGCAAGGGGCCATGCCTGGGTATAGTGCGGATCTGCCATGTTGGCTAAAACTGACGTGTTTTGTAACACTTAAAATGAAATGTTTGAGTTAAATTATGTTAAACGAATCACATGTAAAGTTAATTTTGTAACTTGAAAACTATTTCTAATGTTTAGCGTACATACATGTGCAGCATTTAAAGTGCCTCAGATGGTACTTTCACCTTATTTATTGAGGTAGACATCGTCAACAAGAAAATGTTCTTGATTCTCAGAACTAAAGAATAACTAGGAATACGTTTCAGCAAGAGGTTGGAAGCGTGGATGCATTTTTCTCTAGCGTTGCCTATTTTTTCCCCCAGTGTCTCCCATGCCTGCTTGTTGTCATGCCACAAACCAACCCCACATTTCCCATGCTGCAGGATTTCCAATCAATCCTGACTTTACCACCTTCTCCGGGTTTGCTAGGGAGTAAAGGAGCACTCACATTGCACTTGTGCTGACCAGTGAATATGTAGCAGGGGTAAGAAACTATCTAGTTTCTTAACTCGTAAAACTGATCCAAACATATCATTCCCTGAGTCCAATTAGAACAGTGTTAAGCTTTTAATTCTTTCATTTTTCACCATTTTCTAGACACCCAGGCTCACTCCCCAAGGCTATGCCAGCACTCTCTCACCCAATTCTACTGATAGTAAAGAAAGCAAAGTTACTTTTAGTTGGCTTCTCTATGGTTTACCCTTGAATTAAGGCAGAATTGCAGCACAGTGAATATCTACCCTGCCCAGGGGTGCACCTCCCCTGACTCACAGAAGTCGCCATGAACTTCCCGTTCCTGGTCATAACCTACGTCAACTTCGTTGAATGGGTTCTTGTTTCCAAATCGTTCCTCACACTTTCTTCCTCTGAACACACTCTTTTCTTATTGCGGTGGCAGCTCTTTTACCCCTGATTAAATCAACATGCTGTCAAACACTCGCTTCTCTTAGTTGTTTCCCTCTGTCCCCAGCTTTGCCTCATTTCTGGTCAACAGCCTGCAAGGTTGTTATGATCTTATTCAATTTCTGGGAATCTTTCTTGTTTATCATTCAACTATAAAATAAGTCTCAGGAAAATTCCATCTTCTGTTTGACAACATTTTGTTTTTTACCAAAGCAGAGGATATAATCTAAATCTGTGACAGGAACATTTTCTCGTATTTTCATAGGTAACATTATAAATTTAAGGAAAGCCAGAATGCTAAAGGTTGTCAACATTCCTACATGGAAATAAATTGTCCCATATCTATCATCCTTTCTTGTATATTTTGTATCCTTCATTGTACAAATCATGGTTCCCTGCACATGATAGGTATCCAGTTAATTATTCTATACTTTTCTCAAACACTTTCTCTCTGCTAATTCTAAGCATAACATCAGCTTAGATAGCTAGCCTTTTGTATCTGCAGAGAAAATGTAACTTCAGCATGTACCGCATTGGTTTCCACGGATACCAAATTTCTGTGAATGGCACTTAGAGTGAAAAAATCTATAGGGGGAAGTCAAATTTTGCTCATTCTTTTGGTTCAGGTCCTTCTCTTCCTGACCCTCTTTTCTCTTGTACTTTCCGTCCCAGGCCATGTAGTACAAAAATCCTGATACACATGATGGCAATAGAACACCCTTGCGTTAAGATCACAGGACATTGTGTTTGTATCTTTCTGACTACTCGGTGAACATCAAACCATGAAAACTGAAGCTGCTACAGGAAATGGGAAGGTAAAAGCCTAAATCCATTTTGACAAATTCTAACTAGGGATCCCACAGTAATGCGGCGGGGGGGTGGGGGAGCAGTTTCTAGAGCAATTTTACAATTCTCAAAAGCTAAATTGAAACCATAAGACTTCACAGAGCAATAAAATTGTCAAGTTCTTTATTTTTGGTTGGAACTTTATTAACTTAGCAAGTTACTGTTTACTACATTGTGCTGTTGAATGCTCTAGTGGCTTGTTACTTTTATTGTTAAGTAAGAAGAACAGAAAACACTCATTACTATAGTAAAAGGGGATATATTTGTGTGATAGGAAGAGAAACCTGAGTAGGGGGTAAAAATTAATGCAGGATGCAGTCTGCTTTGCAGATGAAATCTCTCAAAATTGTCTTCATTGACAAAAAAAATACAGAATCATTGATGATTTTTAAAAACTGAAAATAAACTTAATGCATTATTTATCTGTTTGTTGGTTTGCATGTTTTATTTTAACACCTACACTTGCTCCAAGAGCAAGAGACAAACTGAAGTTAATTTCTGATATGTTTTCATTGTGGCTATTCGCTTGTTCTGAACCTAAGAAGGGAAAGGAGATCTCAGACCACTGGGTGAGAAATCAGATAGGACTGCCTTGTTCAAAGACCCCCATACCAAGAAATTGAGGGGCAGGAGCATGGTTACCCAAGAGACTAAAACTAAAAATGGCAAGGAGGCAAGTACTTCCCAGAGGCCATGGGACTGCTGCAGCCGTAGCCTGAGCGTGGCATAAAGGCTACTCCTTAGCCCCACTAGCACCCAGCACGAAGTCAGTGGAGACCTTCTGGAAGGGCTGTACTGGCTCTCAGAAAGGAAAGGCAGCCTACTGGGGACTGCAGTCTTTAGGGATCAGTTAGGATTGTGCTATGGCCAAAAATAGGGTTTAAGACCAACTATAGCCTTCATTATCAGACTTTTTTTTTCCTTTTTCTCACTAAAATACATGCCAAGTTTGGGATATAAAGAATTTTTTTCCATTAAAAAGGAACCATCTCCTTATTCAGAAATCATGCTACCAACAGTGACAGATAACTGCAGGTGAGATTGGCTAAAAATTCCTCCCTGCAGACGGCTGTCAGAATCAAGCTCCCTCCCACATTGCGGGGGTGGTAGAGGGAGCAGAAAGGAATTTGGGGGAATATTCTTGTTTATGCTATCCCCTTTGGCATTCTGAAACAACTCTAACAAATACCTCTTTCCCTTTCCAAGTTAGGCAAAAACAGAAGTCCAAATGTTTTTTATTCAGTAGTAGGTCAGCACCAGGTATGTCTGAGCAAGGTACAGACTGTGTTCCTGATCCAAAATTTAAAGCTGCAAAAAGACTTTCTCAAAAGATAGCAAAAATGTATAAAGAAAACTGAAGAAGCCACCAGCCTGGGCATATCCTGCCTTCAATATTAACACACCCAGGAAATGTACAAGGACGTGATGCTACTCACCACAATGATGAGAACATTTGTTGAGAAGGAAGAGTTTATGAATTGGATGATATCGAGTAATTATATCCTGGAAAATATCTGTCAACTCACACAAGAACAATTTAAAGAAACACTCAAAAAATTATACTAGGACAAACAGCAAAACATTATTCACTTCAGTGAAAATGTCAGTGTATATTCCTCAAACTGAAGGATAACAACTTTGCTTAACTCCTGCAGACAGAAGGTGATGCCACAGTTTTCTGTTCCATTATAAACAAGATAATTTTGTTCTATTACTTTTTAACAAAAATCTTCATTTTCATACCAATCAGCTTTCAAGAATATAACAAAGGTGGACTTCTTCTGTTTTTACCTTTACCAGTCCCTACCCCCAAATCTTTGGTCTACTTCTCCATTGTCTCCACAGTAGAAAATCAGATGGCTGACAGTGAGGAGGATTCATAAGATGCTCCTCCAAGGAAGGATCATGTTTTATATTTCTTTGTAAGCCCCATTGCTTCACTTTATTGTTTGGCAGGTATAGGTACTTGGAAAATGTTTGTAAAAAGCTCAGTGGATGAGCTGAGGGATGCATGAATGAATATATATTTATTCATATAAATCATTCATACTCATGAATGAAATGTTTCTATTTATTCATATGCAATACATATGAATAAGTATATAATTCATATATTATTTATATAATATATATAATTCATATAGTATTTACATAATATATATTTTTATATAATTCATATATTTACATAATATATATTTATATATAATTCATTCATATTCATATGAATGAATATATACTTACATATATAATCCTTCTAGTGTCACTTACAGGGAAAGAACATATTGCCTCAATGTTTATTAGAACTCTTGTTAATACCTGTAGATGTCAGGTCAATTGTACCATGTAAAGGGGCAAGGAAGGGAATGGCATTTTGTACACACTAAGAACATGTCCTGTGCTGGTGTTTTCATGTGTGATCATAGTCCTCATAATAACTCTATGAGATAGTAGGATCATTATCTGCCTTTTATTGATAAGCAGATACAGTCCCAGAGAGTTTACTAACCTGTCCAAAATCACTTGAGTTAGAGCTAGAATTTAAGCTCAAGTGCTGCTTTCTCCAAACAGCATAACTTTTCCTCTCTTTCTTCTCTAAACACAAAAGCAAATTATGAAGTTTAAATCACTAATAAATCAGGTCTAAGAGGTCTGGTCATTATTTATTGAGTATTCATTATGTACAACGTGCACTTAGACTACGAAAGAGCACAAGAAAGATAAATGTCTACCACTTTTTCAATGGGCCGCTTAGACATGATATCAATAATCTGATTCCTACAGATCAGGGCTACAATTTGAATGCATCCTCTCCAAAATTCAGGTGTAGCCAATGTGATGGTTTAAGAGGTGAGACCTTTAAGTGGTGGTTAGACCAGGGGTACTTTTTCTGCCTAAACGGGATCAGGTGCCTTCATAAAAAAGGCTTCACACAGCATTTGAGGAGCTTGCTCTTCTACCTTAGTGTCACTTCCCTCTGGAGGAGGCAGCCACAAGGTGTCATCTTGGAAGCAGAGAACAGCCCTCACAAGGCACCCAAACCTGCTGGTGCCTTAACCTTGGACTTCCCAGACTCCAGAACCATGAGAAAATTTATTTCTGTTCTTTACAAATTACCCAGTCTCAGGTATTTTGCTATATATTTTGTCCCAGTACAAATGGACTAAGACAATACAATATTCTGGGTGTAAGAGAAACTGTAAAAATAATTTTAACACTTCAAACATCTTTTGAAGTAGTCAAAAATAATATATTTTGAAACTCACGGTAATTTTCTCCCCTCAGATTTAGTGCTAAAATAATATCTTTATCAATGTAATCATTATTATTAAGCTAATTTTGTAAGCAAATAATTTTCAGAGGCTAAAAAGTCATTAAAATTAATTAAATTTTCTTTGAGAAGGTTAAATAAAAAGTTTGCCTCAGGAGGCTGAGGCAGGAGAATGGCGTGAACCCGGGAGGCGGAGCTTGCAGTGAGCCGAGATCGCGCCACTGCACTCCAGCCTGCGCGACAGATCGAGACTCCGTCTCAAAAAAAAAAAAAAAAAAAAAAGAAATAGAAAAAGAAAGTTTGCCAGACGTCTAAATTTCTGTCCCAATCACTAGAGGTACTTAGATACTGATGTTTCCCAGTTTCCTTCTTACTCAGAATCCAGAGACAATCAGCATTATTGAGCTGTAAGGAATGGTATCCTGTTAGCCATTTGTTCTAATTCTACCCTCAAGCAGTCACGGAAACGTGGAAAATCACAGAATCAGGGGGATTCCTAGAGCACAATCTCCAAGAATGTTTCGGCGGCATATGAAGAGGGTATATTTGTCAGGGATCCTGCCCACCACTCCCCCGCCCCCCGCCAATAGTCATCTATCATTCTGAGAGAGAAAATACTCAGCTAAATAAACAGCACTTCTGGATAGAGTTTTGCCCTGAACCTCTGCCTTCTTTCTCCATTTTTGGTCCCAAGCCTCTCTAACATCTCCCTTTCTCTGCCTGGATGGGAACAAGCTTAAAGCTGTTTGGGAGCTGAGCTTGCAAACCCGGCGCTGCTCGGTCAGATCAGAGACATTAATACTCACCTCAACGGGCTTCACAGGGAGACACAGAGGGTCAGATATTCCTAGTTCAGGGGGAAGTGCCACTCCTAGATACCATGCAGGGAAGAGAGTGGAGGAACTAGACAGAACTGGCCCACCCCTTCATGGGGAGCTGAGCAGTCTCTGGAGGTGGGGATGACGCTTCTCAGATGCTCACCACAAAATAAACAGGCATCCCACAACTATGATCCACCTGAGCCTCTAGGTTGTGTGCTGCTCAGGTGTGGATAATAAGGGAAGGAAAAGCCTCCCAGATGAAACAACTCTTCCTCCAATAACCTTCACCTGTGCTGTGGCCCAGGCCGGGCTGAGGAACAGAGGTTGTAGGAAAACCACTTCCTTCTGGCCCTTATGGGGCCACCAACTCAGAAGGCTTTGTCCTAAGTTACTAATTGTCGGGGTCCAGCCAACCCTTCCTTAAAGGGAAGGCACAAGGAAGACATTGTTCTAAGTCAGACTTTGCATTAGAAGAAAACATTCTACAGCAAAACCATGGCCACGGCTGGACTTTCTCCAGGGTCTGAGATGCTGTGTTGATGCATTTGTTCCTCTCTGGTTTTGGGGAACTTTGAATCTCCCTCAATCCTGTCAAGAAAAAGTCCCAGCACGATATGAGATGCACAGTGTCCTGGCTGTGAGTGAGGAGATGTCCTCTTGTCTGCCTCTCCAAATGGAGGGAAATTGTCACAGGGAAGTTTTCTAAAGAAAACCTAAGGAGGACGGGGCGGGGGGACGGGGGACTTTAATTTTTCAGGACTTATTCTTCTGAACTTCTGATTTTTTTTTCACAAGAAGCATGCCTTGTTCTGCAATAATAATGAAAAGAAAGTCTAGAAGGAATGAGTTAACTTCACCACATCACATAAAACCATTATTATAAATGAGCTTAAAGATATTAAATATAATGCATGGGTTTTATGGCATGCTGAGGGAAGTGGTATAGTTTAATTGAGGATTTCCTGTGCTGTCTGGAGCTGAGAATAAAGGACTGTATTGTGACCTCTCTTCCCCTCTTTTCCCTTTCCTCCAGAGCCTAATATATCAATCAAATAAAATTAGTGTAATTAGGAAGCCAATTAAAGACAGAGGGGTGCTTCCTCGAAATTTCTCTAATGAAAACCTAGGTGCTATTGTAAAGCAAACAAGTGTATCTATTTATGGAAATTAAGTGAATATGATCATTGTAGCTTTAAGGAACTCAGATAATTGAGATTCAGATTGTTCCAAATACAAATGGGTTCTTGGAGAATGAACGCTAATTTTTATAAAAGATAATCAATATTTCCTCTTGAGACTGGTAACTTTGTGACTTCCAGAGTTGTCACTTTTTTTTTTTTTCCTTTATGATGACTGCTTCCATCTCATCCCTTGTCTCAGCTCACCTGCTTCCTGCCTTGGAGAGCAGGGGTTGGTAGTGGGTGAACACTGATGGGGTTGGAAAGTTGCGTTCCTTTGATATCAGCCCAGGATAGTGTAGAGCTCTCCTGGGGCTGGATCAAGTTTTTCTCCTTTAAGCCTATGGTAAGTTCTGAGCTGCCAGCTCTCCTCTAGCTGGGTAGAGAGCAATTTTAAGGGAGTAGCGGGAACTGCAGGAGGTTGAGCAGTGAATGGGAGTGGAGGAAATGGATAGAGTCAGGGAGGACTACTTCTTATGTACTCTTGGCTGTGGAGGAGAGCAGAGGGGGCAAGGGCAGCTTGAGAGACTGCCAACTCCCAAGCAGGCTACTTTAGGCTGGGGATAAGTTTAATATGTTTATAATCTGAGAGAATCAGCCAGGGAAGATGGGGATCTATATAGTTTTATGTTCATTCCAAATTTCCATTGAATTATTTTAGATCATAAGATACTTGATCTGTTATTTATTGTCAGTTTATTTTAAGAACTGAACATCTTTTGAAAATGACAGAATGAGTCCAGTGAGTGGGAGCTACCATGAGCCTCACTACCAGTACTGCAGGGCTGGGGTCTCTATGGGCAAAAAAGGAAGACAGAGCCTGGCAGTCCCTCAGTGGCCAGAACACCACGAAACTTAGCTGACGACTTTGAATGTGATTTCAAAGCATTTTAAAATAATAATGTCCTTTTCCACGTGCCTTTCCTTTTTCACTATTCAGTCCACATAGGGTACTTTCAAAAATGCTCATGTTTTTCTTAGAACATGACTCAGGTATTGTCCTTTTCTGAAACAAATAAAGCAACATAAAGCTTCTTTACCAAATTTAAAGTTCTTGTTTTCCAATCACTGCTCTAAATAGATCACCATTATGAAATGGTTAAGTGTGACAGAATTAGTGGTAACTTCCTAACTGCCAATATACCAATTTTAAGCGAGTTTGTACTGAGTGCTAACCAGTTGCTAAGGGATTTCCAACCCGTGATGCCAGCTGGCTCACTTTGATTAACAAGAAATGGCCTTGATGTCCTTGCAAGAGATACTAGCTAGAAAGAATTAGATCCTTGCCTTGTGTCAGGCTCTGGGCTAAGTGCTTAGTCTAAGCTCATTTCGCTCTATGAAGTATCACACGATCACCATGCCCTTTTTATGAGGCAGGAATCAGAGGCTTAGAGAGGCTGTGAAACTCAAATCACAGGGCTGTCTGGTAAGTAGCAGAGCAGGACCCAAACCCAGGCATGGCTGGCCACAAAGCATGGGCTCTTATCCATTAAGCTGTAGCTCTTGCCTCCTACAGGAGAAATAAAAAAGAGAAAGCACCAAAGGTCATGCTGTACAGCAGCAGAGTTGAGCCTGTTCTAGTAGGTCTCCTTTGGGATAATAACCATACCAGTAAAGCCGCACTTGATTATCTAAGGACATTCTGGCCCAGCCTGCCTGGGACTACTTAGATCTGCTGAAACCTGCTATTCATGTAACCTGATTGCCAAAATGCTTTTCCTTTTTCCTTTTCCTCTAAAGCTTCACCTCGCAAGCAACCAAATGCAGCTAATCCAGAAAAATGAGATCTGTGTTCTTTCCCAAGTCTGATTGTTTCAGTCTATTACTTCAAAATCTTAATAACCTTTTCCAAGTCCTATTTCATACCCTAAATGACTAATAACCAGGTTACCTAACTCATATACTAAAATATTTCCTTCTTAATCTTTAGTGGTGGGGTTAGAACTGGGTTGACTTTATCATGTCTCTTCACTATGGTTGCTTGATAAAAATTTAGAACTGCTTCTTGATTAAGTTGACCATGGCTCTCCTCTTGAATTCTATATACCCAGTAAGAGATCAGTGTCTGCCACTTAACAGGCATTCAGTAAAGATTTTTTGAATGAATGAACAAAGTATATTAGATAAGCTTTGGTACAACAGCCCATTCCAGCTACAATGATCTGAAACAATCATGCACTGATATATGCCAGAACTCTACAAAATCTATTTTTTCCCCTTGGAAGAAATAGAAGTGTCAATTGCCTTAAATCATTTTTAATGTCATAAAATAGATAGGGACAAGAAATTTTTGCATATTCTGGCGGAGCTGTGAAAATGCAATTTTTAGCCTTTTGCTACCAGATTGGCTCTTGCTGAAAACATTCTCACAGTCTCCAGTCTTCACGTGCTTCTTCGTGCTGTCAGGCACAGAACAACTTTTTTGTGAAAACACAACATTTCCCAGGGAGTATTCCCAGAAAGTCTAAAACACTTTAAAGGGACACCCTAAATCCTAATGTTCTGATGGTTTCACAACTCTTACACGGCTTCCAAGTTCCCCTGTCCCTAATTTGTTCTGGTAGGTTTTTGTTTGTTTTCATTCAGAGGGTTTTCTCAACCAGGCTCTGTAGCTCATGTCAGCAAAGAGAGAGTCAAAAATATCCTTAGTGTGTGCCAACCAAGTGGTAACCACACTCAAGCAAAATACAGCAGCTCTACTGGCTTGTAATTCCATAGGATCAAGGCAGATTACTTGTAGACTAACAGAAGAATTTATAAGATAATTCTATTCTAGGTAGGAAAAGTATGAGTTCAGTTATCTTAAGTCTTGCACATATTAGCAAAGAAAGAACAAGAACGAAACAGGACTTGGTGGGTTTTGCTTCTGGCTGCTCCTGGCCATTTCTGTGAGACATGTCTTATGAAAATAGCATTGGCAAAAACATACCCACAAATATGTTTTGAGAAATAAGCTATAGAGCATGTATACACTATGACACATAATTACTATGTGGGAAAGCCAAATTCCACTGAGAATGTTTTGCATTTACAATGTAAGGGATCGTCCTGTACCTCTCTCTGCCGCCTGCCAAATACATCCACCCCCACGGCCTTCCCACTGTGTAACCCTTCACTTTGGCAATGTTGGATTGCATCCACCCATCAGATCGGTAAAAAATTAGCCATATGAGTCATTCATTTACTAACTCAACAACTATTGATTGAACCTTTACTATGTGAGGATACTGCCTTGTGCCATGTCCACTGAGAACAAGACCCTCCATGATGGCGCCCCAAGGCCATGTGAACCTATGTGGAAATAAACCCAGTAGAGCACAGAGCAGTGCAGGATCAGATGCCCAGCACAGGGTGCGACACTCCTTCTCAAAGGCAAGTTGGGTAAACAAAGAATGTGGTCCATGATTAAAAGTACAATGTAAGATTTCCTAGGCCTTATCGTTTCACTCTGTTTGTGCCTCTGTTGCTTCCTTTTTATTTCTCCTCAATAATGAACATTTAAAAAAATGTTTAAAGATAAGTCAAAAGAGAGCTGTTGACTGGCCTTCTGTGCAGCAAGGCAGGGAAACCAGATTAACTGTGTTCAGTCTTGCAGCCACATGTGAAAACAAGCTACCGAGAAAGAGCCCAGATGGAGAAAGCTCTGAGAAGAGCCTGTAACATTGCGGGTAAGGGGTGATGGGGAACTGGCCCGGACCTCTGTCTCTGTAAGTACATCAGCAGAAAGGTCTGTTCACTTACTCAACACTTAGGTCTTCCTTCTGAATGTTCAAAATGACCCTTTATAATGAATTTTTCCTTTCTTAGCAAGATGTCTTAAAGAATGGGTATTTGACTTTTGAATGAATTCTGAAAAATGGAATACTTAAGAGGAAATTTCTCTATCATATCAAAGTCAATCAACATGCCTTCTGTGTGACAGGCACTGTGTTAGAGACAGGACAGAGAACTCAGGATGCTGGCTCTGCCTGCAAGAAGCTTACCTTCAAGATGGGAAGGCGGGTAGGCAACCAGCACATACATATGATGTGACTCTGATGTCTTCATTTTTATGCCCTGAATAGTTCTCAAATTCAAGTTTTGAAGACAAATTACTTTATGATGTGAGAGCAAAAAGAATGTTTTCTTTAAATGATACATATATTGGTAGTTTGTTATATTTTGAAATTTCTTGAATTATCATTTTTCTGAGAAATTTATGATCCATTTCTCACATTTTCTTGGTGTGGGGCATGATGGAGGAGGGTCATTCATTTTGGAAATGTTTTTGCTAAAGTGTTAAGAAACGGAGGTTGAGAAACTTCAGGCTGGCTTCTTAGCTCCTGACTGCATCTTTTAAAGAGAGAAGTGAGCCTGAATACATTAATTTTCAATGGGAAAGGACAGTTTGGCACAGAAGGGAGAAGAGGACAACCCAGGTGTCCTGGAAAAAGTAGGACCAAGAAAAAGGGAACAGGATAAGGTGGTATGAATAGACTTTCTATGAATACAAATTGAGATTTCAGTCACTCGTGGGACTTGGTACCAGGCCTCTTATGTTTTTGTTATTGTTTGTTTTGTTTTGTTTTTTCTTATGCGAAATTCTTATGCATTTGGGGAAGCTGGGTGACGAGTACATAGGTACTCTTTTGATAATTTTTGTAACATTTTAGTAAGCCTAAAACTATCCCAAAATAAAACTAAAAAATACAGACAAGTAATAAGTTCAAACAGAAACTAGTGGAGCCAAGATCCGAATCTAAATCTGTTTAACTCTCAAACTCTTTATCTTAGCCATTATATTATTCTATCACTCTTTTTATATGATTAAGTGATTCTATTCCCATGTGTTCTTCATTAACAATGTTTTCTACCTGGAGCTCTATTTCCTGGGGACCAAACCTGTAATCATGAACTCCAATTATTTTTATGACTGAGTTGCCTATTTGGGATCTCCTGCCGTCACTTATGACTGATGCTAATTGACGAACCTCTTCAAAGTAATTTCCCTTAATCTTGGACATAGTATTAGTTATCTTATTATACAACAAATTTCCCGTACATTTAGTAGCTTAAAAATGTAAACATTTTATTATCTCTGTGGGTTAGGAATTCAAGAGTGGCTTGGCTGGGTAGCTCTGGCTCATGGTCTCTCATAAGATTGCATTCAAGATGTTGACCAATCATCTCAAGGTTTAACTGGGACTGGGGGATCCATTTCAAGATGGCTCACTTACATAGCTGGCAAGTTGGTGTTGGCTGTTGAAGGTGACCTCGGTTTCTCTCCACATAGGCCTCTCTCCAGGTTCTTTGCCTGTCTGCATGACCTGGAGGTTAACTTCTCCAAGAACAAGTGATCCATGAGAAAGAAAGCCAGTTGAAACTATCTAAGACCTAGTCTCAAAAGTTATATAACATCACTTCTCTCATATTTTATTTGTTAGAAACAAGTCACTAAGTCAAGTCCATAGTCAAAAGGAGAAGGAATTAGATCTGACCTAATGAAAAGAGAATCAGTGTCAAAGAATTTGCAACATATTTTTTAAAACCACCATACCTGTGTTGTGGTCAATGGTACATATCCTAACTATACATCATGCCATGGACATGTCTGGCTACAGCTTAATATTTCTAATTACTGCTCCTGGAAATAATCTGTCCTAAGATTTATTTCCTTATTCATACCTAGGACTTTGTTAAATCTTCTGAATCTTCTGAATAGAATAGAAGATGAAATGATGGAAAACCCAAGCAATACTTGCTTAGGACAAGTGGGCATTTGTTGGCTCATGCAACCCAAAGAACTCTAGGACAATTAAATCCCAGGATGGGTAGTAATTCAGAGAAATAAGTGGGACCAGGAGCTTGAACACTGACAAGACTATACCTTTGTGTCCTGTCTGTGCTCTTCTTGGTATGTCAATTGCAGTCTTTCTCACTTCAGAGAAGTTTTGTATACATGATAGAAACTATAGCTCCTGGCACTTCCAAAATTTACATTCCACAGTCTGACATAAGAGAGAGTCCAGATGATGGTCAGCCTCCTGTAACATGGTAGCTAGCTCCTGGGGTTTCCACAAGTTGGCCTTCAGAAGAAAAGGGTGCCCTGGAGGAGTGAGGAGAGTGATGGAAAGGAAAACACAAGAGTCCTATAAAGGGTTTCTAGAAAAAGTACCAAGAGTGATAAGTATAAATACTGAAGGTAGAAACAGCATTTTATTTTCATGCATTTCTCCATATTCCATTTTAAATTAAAATAGTGATAAAAACAGCCTTTATATGGAAACTGCACACATTTTTTGGTGACTTTCTTCTGTGTGGGTACCCACGGTAATAGTTGGCATTAATATTGACATATTTTAATTAGAACAACATGGCCAGTAGATATGTTCTAAGTTTTTATTTGAATTCTAGAAGAAGCATTTAAGAACTGGCTCTAGTCTTTTCTTGGTTACAAAATAGAATTCACCCCCTTAGGTCTTTCGGTAACACAGAAGACACATTTGCAATATTTTCATCCATGACAGGTGGACACATTTCCCAGAAGGGCAATAGACAAACTGGTAGGACCCAATTCCAAGAAGTAAAAACCATCAAACTTTTGCAAAACAACAGTTCTGCTAATAGTTGTGCATGGTGTGTGTGTGTGTGTGTTTGTGTATGTGTGTGTGAGAGAGAGAGAGAGACTGACAGAGAAACAGAATACTTAGAGAAGCAATGCTAGAAAATTGTATATACACCAATATGCCTATTTCTTTTTGTATTTTAAATAGTCTAATATGACCAAAGAGTTTGACCAAAAAAGTCTAAGATTGCTAGTTCTATAAATAAGTCTTTAAAGAAATACACACATGCACATATTATGTACTTTACATTTTCTTTATAAAATATATTTTATAAAATGCACAAATACTATGTACTTTCTTTATGAAAAGTATATTTACTTTAGACATTTGACTTTGGCAGGCATTTTCTTCAGTTCCCGTCATGGCCTGGTTCATAAAATTTGCCTCTCTAAGATAGTTACTGGTCACCCTTGGAAAGAGTAGTAGTTGTTTTTTAAAAATCCTCCTTTTGTCAACTCATCGCAGCAAACAACTTTTTCTCACTCGCAACTCTCAAACAAGCTTCACACATTCCCTCCTTTGTCCTGGCCTCTCCGTAGGTTCTCCAATGATTGCATTCACATTCAAATGCTACTCTGGGTGCATTCTATTTTGCAATGACATCTCAGCTTCTATTTCTTGTCAACGCTTCTGGTAAAGCAATAGTTCTCCCTTACACATGTCTTCTCAGCAGAATCTACTCTGACAGCCCACATACCCTGCCGCCTGCTTCCTGGCTCCCTCCTTGGAGTGACTGGTGTGTACAAGACAGACAGAGCTTCATTCAGCACATCCCATTCCATTCTGTGGTCCAGTGCTTGCCAGCTCCCATGGGACCTTAGAGTGGCTGATTGCTCTTCCCTCCTCCCTACAAATTTACATTCCTGCCTTCCCCCCCTTCAACTGGAATCTTAAATAGTAAAGCTATTCATTGATCTGCGAGCTTGGAAATAATAGATTAGAAGGGAAGAAACATTAACACAAAGCAGAAGTATCCTGAATGCATCATGCTCCTCAGAAAGGTCACTTTTAGCCATTGGACTATACTATGTCAATGTTGTATTCCCTGGTATCCAAGGAACAAGTCCACTTTAAGAATGGAGTAAGAACCATAGGTCTAGCTGTCCAATTTCCTTTTTCTTACCCTATGCAGAATTGTCTCTTAGAGCCTTTAAGATGTTACAAGGTCCATCTTTTCTAGCCCTTCGCCTTTATTAGCACAAAGAGCCCAGAGCAAATCTGTAGCCATGGTGCCACAAAGACAGTGCACTGAGAACGCTGGCCCATCAGTAAGAAGAGAAGACTCCCATCCTGAAGTCAGGGGCCTTTAATTTCACTTAAAAAAAATTGGCCAGGCGCGGTGGCTCACACCTGCAATCCCAGCACTTTGGGAGGCCGAGGCGGGCAGATCACGAGGTCAGGAGATCCAGACCATCCTGGCTAACACGGCAAAACCCCGTCTCTACTAAAAATACAAAAAATTAGCCAGGCGTGGTGGCGGGCACCTGTAGTCCAAGCTACTTGGGAGGCTGAGGCAGGAGAATGGCGTGAACCTGGGAGGCGGAGCTTACAGTGAGCCAAGATCGTGCCACTGCACTCCAGCCTGGGCGACAGAGGGAGACTCCGTCTAAAAAAAAAATCTACCCAGGGTGGAATCAGGTCTCCCAAATAGCAGCAGTCCCAACCAAATTGTCTCTTGGGTACATTTTCAAGGGTAAGACAGACAAGGCCAGGCCCAACACCTTAGTTCATATTCAGTGGTGTCAAGGGATTCAGCTGCAGGTTTCTCCACTGGTTGCTTGAGGTTGGGGATTGTAATCAACTGCTTCACAAAACTGGCCTTGACGTGCTTAATGGAAGGGGATAAAGGCAGACTTTGCTGGTCACTTCCTGGAATTGTTGGTCAAACTGGAGGGTGTATTTGAAGACCCTGAATAGTATGATGTTGCTGACTGCTGGATTCTGAGCCATTTCCGACTGGCTCAGTAATAGAGCCATATGCTCTGGTCAAAAATTTAACATAAATAAAATTTCTCATTCATTCACATATTTATTTATTTATTTATTTATTTATTTATTTATTTATTTACTTTTAGATGGAGTCTTGCTCTGTCACCAGGCTGCAGTGCAGTGGCACGATCTCGGCTCACTGCAAACTCCGCCTCCCAGGTTCAAGTGATTCCCCTGCATCAGGCTCTGGAGTAGCTGGGACTACAGGCGCCCACCACCATGTCGGCTAATTTTTGTATTTTAATAGAAACGGGGTTTCCCCATATTGGCCAGGATGATCTCGATTTCCTGACCTTGTGATCCACCTGCCTCGGCCTCCCAAAGTGCTGGGATTACAGGTGTGAGCCACCACACCTGGCCCCATTCACTTATTTTTTTAAAAATGTATTGAATCAATACCAAGCGCCCTGCACTGTGCCCCAGGATGGCTTAATCGTTGCATTCAGACTAGCCCTCCTGGATAGAAGCAGCTCTTGTCACTCCCTGAATTCTTCTGTCAGTTCTTTCAGATCAAGGGCTCATTGTGTTCTTCCAATTGCTTCTGCCTAGCGGTCTGCTCAGAGTCTGGGGTCTTCTCCTTGGCAGCCCACCTTGATGCCAACAAAATATAAAAGACAATTTGGGCCAAAACTAAGAATAACATGGCAAAGAGAACTCCCCTTCAAAAAATATTTTTGGTCTGGCCAGACACCAAACAGGTTTACTGACCAGTCAAATGACAAACTTGTTCCTTCTGCTCTAACTACTCAACAAGCCTAAGGTACAGTTTTTCACCTTTGGAAAGTCTGGAAACTTTGTTGACCTGTGATTGAAAATATGGAAATATAAGTCTGTGTCCTTCCAAAGGCCAGTTCTGGGTGATGAATGCCTTTCTGTGGACCTACCAAATAGAAGACTTTAAAAAATGTTAAGAGTTTTTTTTCACACGGTGTTGCCTCAGTAAGGTCATTCAAGTCCTCTTCATCCATTTAACCTTCAGGTTTTAATACCCCATGCTAATATTCAACCATTTCTCTTTCTAAAGCCACCAAATACTCATCAGTGAGATAGTTTCAGTGAAAACATGTTCATAGTTATTGTCAACAGATCCATTTATGGAAATGTCCAAGACACTTAGATAAAATGAATCAAAGAAAAAAAATGTGTTTTTATGATTTCAAGGAGGTTAGAATGCTAGATTGAAAACACCCATAAGGACATAGAGTGTTTGGTCCTCTCTCTTAAGGGGCCCTCAGGGTTTGGCTTAAGAGGCTGGAGCAGGGGATTGTTCTAAAGCTGTGAAAACTGGGAATCTCTAGAGTGTTGAGCCTGAACCAGAGTCCCCTGAGAGCTCCAGAAGATGGGACCAGGATTACTGAAATTAACTGATACATTCATGGTGCAGAATGGATGCAGAAACTGGGGGCCATAACAAAAGAGCAGGAGCCAAACAAAAGGAGAATGAATGGCCACTTAATCAGAGTAAAGCGAAGAGGGCTCTCTGTGCCATAAATGATGCTAAAGTATACAGGGTTTGGTTTCACATGTACAGGTTGCATTAATTTACTGATCAAGGCATCCACCTGTGTTCCAGGCTCTTGTCTTGGTACTGAAGTTATAATATGAAACACTTTAGATTCAGAGACTGCCCAGGAGGCAGTGACAAATGTCATTGGTGTTGTGAGGAGGCAGAATGCTGTGAGAGCCTGTGGGAGCTTCCCCAAACCTAGATTTTGCTGGATGAGGAAAGTTTCTCAACAGAGAAGTTACCCGTGCTGAGACCAGAAAAGCTAGCCAAGTATGCAGATGGGCCAGACTGGATAAAAGTCATAGGATGGGTGGACATTAGTTGCCCAGAATCGAAGGAAGGATTTGTTTTGATCTTTTTCCACTAAATGTCAGAGTTACCAAACACCCACCTTTAAAAATTATGGTATTTTTAAATAATATGATTACACACTAAAGTAGGACAGAAACTTCTGAACTGGTCATGCCAGAATAGGAAGAACTAGGTTGATGAAAATTCTATTAGTTTATTTTAAGGATCTGGGTCTAACTCTGCTGCCCAGGCTGGAGTGCAGTGGCACGATCCTGGCTTATTGCTGCCTCGGACTTCTGGGCTCAAGCAATCCTCATATCTCAGCCTCTTGAATATCTGAGATTACAGAAGCATGCCACCGCATCTGGCTAATTATTTTATTTTTTACTTTTTAACAGGCACGGTCTTGCTATGTTGCCCAGGCTGGTCTTGAACTCCTGGCCTCAAGTGATCCTCCTGCCTCAGCTTCCCAAGTTGCTAGGATTGCAGGTATGAGCCACCACACCTGGCTAATTTTATTAATTAGTTTGAGTTGATAATAACATAACATACACTTTAATATGTAGTAAACTCCAAATCCTTTAAGTATCCACCAGCATGTTGATAAATCAGTTAAATAGGTGTTGGGCTTTCACAGTTTATCTGTGATATGCTCTGTTACCCAAGATGTTACTTGAATATAGTTTTGAAGATTATTTATAATGATAAATAAAATTTATAGATTATAGACCACATGTGCAAGACACCGTTGTGTTTGCCATGTATAAATAACACAATGAGAATGAGCATAATAACAAGAACATATTTAACTACTTACTATGTTCTAAGGGTAGGGGAGTAGGAAAAAGAACTACAGCCTGAAGATGTCCAAAAGCCTCATGGGAAAGAGGCATAGGATAGAATCTAGAGCACTTGTAGGACCTGGAACTTTTGGAAACAGAGTAATTTTGGAAGTAGGAGAAACTCAACAAGTAGGAAGTAGTTTTGGTTTGTTTATTTTTGTTATTTCAGGTACATTTCACTTCATCTCAGCACAACTTTGACATTCATGATGCTAAAGGATGGTGTAATACTAGCCACAGAATGCCGAGGCCTCCTCTAAGACTGTGCTAAATGACTAAGGACAGTTTCCAGGATTTATGGCTATGGAATAAGCCTGAATCTTTCCATAGATGATTCCTGATATTGGTAATGTCTAAGGCTGGATGTAGATTTGGTGGATAGGGCCCAGCAATACAGATTTACATTGACTCACAAATCGTCTTGAAAATGGAAGAGATGATAGATTAAAAAAAAGGAGAAAGTGTAGGGGGAAAAAAACACAATTGGAAGGATAATTGTGTTTCAGATGATGCTGGTGGGTCTATTTTCCTCAATGGTTTTATAACTTCAGCATGCATAAGAAGCACCTAAGGAGGGGAGGAGTACTTATTCAAAATGTATTTTTCTAGCTCGCACTTCCAGAGAATCTGATTCTGTTGGCAGTGGGTAGGGAGTGGGGACCAGGAATCTTTTGAACATCCACATTACGGGATGCAGAAAGTTTAACAAAGACCATAATTTGAGAAACACTTTAAAAGTCTTAGGAAAAAAATAGAAAGAGAAAATAGTCAACACAAAACCTAACAAGGACAGGAGAAACCCAGAATCCAGTCAATAAGAGCCCAATAACAATTATATTACAAAATCACACAATCAATGATGTACTACAATGAGCAATTATGACTTCTTATTGAGTTACTGTTTATTCTCCACCCATTTCCATTAAAATGGCTAGGAAGGAAAAGGTAATATAAATGCTTGATAGAATAAAACATACCATCTATTTTGAGAGAAGCTATCTGGGCAAGGGGAAAGAGTGATGGAAAATACATCGCCTGTTGCCAGTATGAATGGCATAGGCCTTACTGGACTCCAGGCCTGCTTTAATTGCTTACTTATAAGGCTACATTACTGAACAATTTCATAGCTTCCAGGAGCCTGGGTTTCATCTCAGGTGTGTGAGTCTGACTGGATCAAGTCTGATAGAGTAAGAAACACACAAGAAAATGCATCACCGTTGATAAAACTTCATGTTTGAGGAGAAGGAAGATAATAAAGAATTAACTTTGAGGAACACAAATGAGAGAATATCTGTTTTGCTTTTTTTATTACTAGAAATATTAAATCCAAGAATAGCTTTTTAGTGCAAATAAAGTAAGATGAATTATTAGCAGTATTTAAAACATCAAATATGATAAAGATAATGAGCATAATTATTTAATCACTTAACTTTTTAGAGCCTTTCAATACCTATAGCCTTTCCAGCACTGAATCAAACATGTAAAGAGTTAACTGCCCTGAGGAGCACATAAAAGGAATTTAAATGACCTAGTAAAATGAACAAAAAGTAAAGCATGACTTGCTCAATACATCTTAATCTAGCACACTATATCATTCCTTAACCTTAAAATTGTTTTTTAAATTAACATCCCAAATATATATCCTGTTATATGTTCTGTGAAGAAAGCTGCATATATATAATATTTTTTCAGTAGCGTCCTCTTGGATTAATTCACCAAAACATACCATCTAGTTGAACAAAATTCCTTAGGAAGTGTAACCAAGCGTACTTGGTTGAAATGAAGAGGAAATTTATGAAACTATCTTAGAATGAAAAAAAAATAGACATCAGAAAACTGTTGCCTTTTTAAAGCATCATTTCCCCCCCGTAATCCAAAATTCCTTTTCTGCTTTCTGCTCCACAATCCCATGGGCCACTGAGCGGCCGGCAGGAGCCATAATCACGGGCAGCACAAGCCAGACACAGGGTCAGGACAAATGTGAGGCCGGCACCAGCCAATGGAGGGGCTGGACCCTCTCCTGGGAGGAGCTGCCCTCCGCAGTGAAGATCAGCAGAGACTTGGCATGAAGGCCAGATCCTTGTGAGAGAAGTGGATGTCAAGGAAAAAGCTCAAAGGGACATGGAAATAGAAACCTTTGCTGCCATTGCTTTTTATTTAAATAGTAAATACTCAAAAAATTGAAAACAAAACAAACAAAAAACAAAATATCCCCCCCAAAAAAGACAAACCACCACTAACAGACATACATGGTGGAAAGTCCAGGATGACCTGTATCTTAGGTCAAATTATTCTTTTAAAAGGGTTTTATGTAAATAAAGTAATAATGAAAATGCTTAGCTTGATAGTACTAGACACACATGGTTTATGATAGAACAGACAGAGTGAAGTTGTGTAGGAGTTAAATACAACAAAACTTGACCACCACTGAGTTGAAATAACCAAGTAGAAGGGTTGGGCATGGTTTGGGGGTACAGAGAATAGTACTCCAGGGTCCACTCACCCCCAAACCTAGTTGCAAAACCTACTATTAGTGGCAAGTGACAGGGGCAGGGATGGTCAGGAGAAATGTGAGGACTTTTCCCTCAACAGCATATTGGCTACTAATGTTATGTAATTTCCTTTTACTGACCACAGAATTGCTGGTCATTAGAGCTTTTAGGCGCTACGCATTGTTGTTATCATGTGTTACCATACACAATAGAATTTACCACAAATGTGGCAATGGAACTTTAAAAAGCAAAATCCTAGGCAAATACTATGATTTGTGGAGCAATAGTTCAACAGGAGGAAGATGTGTGACTTTCTATGGGAATCTGCAGGAAGTGTGGGATCATCATGATGATTAAGGGTATTTAAAATGTACCTTTGAGTAGAGAAATTCAAAATAAAGAAAAATAAATTAAAATACCGTGGCACGGCACTCTAGCCTGAGGGACAGAGCAAGACTCCATCTCAGAAACTACAACAAAAAATACCATATACAAACATTTTAAATCATTTCACGTAAAAGTACTTATGTACCAATACTTTTGTTTTCTCCTTGCAACTCTGGGTACATGTGTGAATTATGTGAAAGTTTCATTTCATATTCACTGTATCTTCTTTCTCCCTTCACTCTAAATATCCAGGTTATATGAACTGCATCCTCCTCTTCTCAACACATGGATTAAATAAAACTTCCCTTCCAAAAAGGGATCTGAAAGTTAAACCACACTAGGGTGTGATTGACAACAATCTTGATAGTTCACTTTTCAAAATATTGGCAAGTTAAGTTTCAGAAGGCTTAAATCAAAAGATTGATTCAAAAATGCTATGAAGCAAAGAATTCTTGGATAATTTCTCCTGAATCTCTGGATACAGTCCTTGTTGGCTTCTCCTCGCTGCCTCAGGTATCACCATGACAGCATAATTTCCCATTTTTCCATATTAAAATACCAATATGCTTGGGAGAGAACATTTAGTTTGCCTTATTAGCTAATAAAACACCATTTGAATATATATGATCCTTTCCTGTCTGAAAATTAATCAAAAATGGATCTGTTAGGAAACAAGATGGTGACATAAGCTTAAGGGGGAGAGAAGTTCATTTCTTGAGATTATTATACACCAAACACATGCTCTATGTGCGCAGTGCAATGTTATTTAATCTTCTTAAGGGGCATGATGTAAGCAGTTCTTCCATTTTATAAATGAGAACATTGAGGTTCAGGGAGGTAAATTTAATTGTTGAAGCTTACAAGTGACTGAGACTCAACCAAAAGATACATGGATGCAGAGGTCTTGCTATTTTTAGGGAAATCTGAAGGCTGCAAACATAAGTGCCCCACTTGGACTCTGGCAAAGCTGGCCCCGCCACCTGCTCTGAAGACTGGACAAGGAGCAGATCTCAATTTCTGGCTCCCAGCAAGTATTTTCTCCACTAGACCACACAGAAGGCTCCAATGCAACAGTCAGGACCAGGGTTTGGTTCTTTTGCCCAGCAGCCTAAGCTAATCTCCATGAGTCAAGCCAGACCTTTCATTCTGGTTTGGGACAACCAGGGCTAAGAGTCAACCTGCATGGTGCCTCTTGTGGAAATAGTAGGGGAAAGAAAGTATCCGGAATTTGGTTCTCTGTTCCAACATCCTTTTTAAAGTGCCAATTAATCCTTCAAGGGAGTTGTCTTTACATGTGGTGTTGAGGCATGGGGGTGTGATGCACTTGTGTGAGGCACAGACTCACATAGACAGTAAGTCCCCACCAGCCATGAGCTCACAGTCCTGTGTTGGGGGTTTTCTGAACCACCTCAGCATGGCACTTTGGCATGCTGAGTGCTTTAAACCGAAGGACATTGGAAGGGTCTCAGAATCAAAGTCTGTCTCTGACTTTCTCCTGCCTTTCTTTTTCCTGTTCCCCAAGGCAGGCCATAGAAACTAGAATTCCTCTTTCCCAAGGTGGGTCATAGAAACTAGAAATATTGCTCTAAACTTTCTGTGTAGGAGCTGGCCACAAGGAAGCCATCTGACCTACCTTGCTTGAAAGCAGGTCATAAGACCCTCATTCCAGAGGGGTCCTGCTGCATACCCAGGAGAAAGAAATACCACACAAAGAGGCCAAGAAGAATCTGAACAGTCAGGCCTTGCTGGGTTTCCCCTGCAACCTATCACCATTAGATCACAACCTTTGGTCCAATCACATTTCTACATGGCTGTCCATTCTTCATTGATCCTAAGCAAAAAAATAGACAGTTTTCCCTGGGTCTTTAGGTCTTCATTTCTGAAGCCTCCCATGTCATATAAAACTTTGATTAAAGAAATGTGTTATGCTTTTCTCATGTTAACCTGTTTTTTGTTATAGGAGTGTTGGCTGTGACCCTTATGATGGGATGAAAAGGTACCACGCTTTTTCCATCCCCAAACCTGGAAAGAACTGTAGTTGGTGAGACCAGAAAATCTCACAAAAAGCAGGGAGAGGGAGGATTAAGGCTGAAACATTTTAAATAAGCCATTGTGCATCAATTAAAATAAGTGAAAGTCTAGAAAATATCCATTTTTCATTTGTGGGTGTGACAAATCTAGTCCAAAATGTATTCCCATGAATCAATTTCTTCAATCCATCTATTATTACCAAACAATTTAATCATGTTCAGTTTTTATGAAGTACAAATGAAAGGCAAACAAGAGATTGTCCTAAACAAGACAGTTCTCATAATTGTCTTTGAAGCCAACACTTTATCCCAGTTAAGATGACATTGGGGTCCCAGATGACTGTTACTTAAGGGATGATTTTCTCTCTAACTCTGCATTCTGAGGAATTCTACATAAATTTCCATTACTTTAAAGAATCTGTACTTCTATTATCCTTGTGACTCAAAGGAAACTGACAGACCAGGATGATACCATTGCCATTTTTTTCCCCAGTGGGATCTTATATTGCTCCTATCAATTTATGTAAGCCTGCAATATTTTACATATACTAACGATTCTGTGTTACATTTGCGTAGATGTTCTTTCACAATTTGTTACCTTTAACACTGGTAATTTTAATGTAATCAATGTTTTAATGTTTTAGTAATATTTCCAATGATTTCTGAGTTAAAATCCTACCCAAAGATAAGCTAAATATTTATCTATATATAGATATAGATAAATTTATAAATTATTTTCTGTAATGTGTGTGTGTGTGTGTGTGTGTGTGTATGTGTATGTTTAGCATTTCACTCTTAAATAGAATTGGAATTTATTTTTTGGTTAAAGTGATGATATAAAGTAATTTTTTTAAACAAATAATTAACAATTGTTTAAACACTGTTTACTGAATGATTAACTCACCTTTCACATTGTGATGCCAATTTTTATCATATCACTGTATATGATAAGATTTGTTTCTGGGTTATGAGGACTAAGCTCTGATTTTTTTATGTTACCCAAATTCCTACCTAAGGGGTCTAGGGAGTCATGCCCTACAAACCATAAGTTCTCATCAGATGGATTTCATTTGACCCTATATTTTGTGACTTTTCAATCTGATTCTGGCATAACATTATAAGATGAGGAAAAAATATTTAACCACAAAATATATTTCCTTGCCATATCTTGAAATTGCCCTGCAAAGTCCCTTGTGGGAAAAAACCACATTCTGTAGAGAATCCCTTTTCCCCTTTGTTTTCCTTCCTTTCTTTCCAGATCCAGAAGACAATCAGCTAAGAGCCAGGCATCCTTTTAAGTCTGGTAAGAAACAATTTACAACCTGTTCTTTCTGAAGTCTGCTATCTGAGAGCTTCCTCTGCACAATAAAACTTGGTCTCTGCAATCCTTTATTTTTAACGTGAACATTCATTTCTATCCATCCCAAGTCTTAGACAAGCTCAACCAATTGTCAACCAGAAAATGTTTAAATTTACCTGTAGCCTGAAAGCCTCCCACTTTGAGTTGTCCCACCTTTCTGGACCAAACCAATGTATTTCTTAAATGTATTTGATTGGTGTCACATGCCTTCCTAAAATATATAAAACCAAGCTGTACCCCAGCCACCTTGGATGCATGTTCTCAGGACCTCCTGAGGGCTGTGTCATGGGCCATCGTCACTCATATTTGGCTCAGAATAAATCTCTTCAAATATTGTACGGAGTTTAACTCTTTTCATCAACAGTTACATATTTTTCCCACTGGTTTTTCTGAATCTTCTTATATATTAATTCAAAATATGAAGTATTATTAAGTATAAAAAGCCATGTTAACCTTTATTACTTGTTTCCTGGGTTTTATGGTTTTTTTCTCCATAAAAATAAAAATTTGCTTTGCGTATTACTTGATTTTTTCATGCAACACCTAAAAACAATATATATTCAATACAATATTAAGAATATATAACATTTGTTTAGAGTTTGTATATGCCGGGCACCATTCAAAGTGTAAACCAAAAATAAAATTCTGAGCCCCCCAACCTACTAACTGAATGGACCCCATCCTCTCAGTCAAAGGGATTTCGGAGAAATCTAAAAAACTAGTTCTGACCATGATGGGAAGGAGGTTTGAATGTGCCTTGTTATACTCTCCTTCCTTTGGAATTCAGGCACCATCGACTCACATTAACATTAAAACAGAGATCTTAAGACTGAGGAAACAGACTCTTTGTAGCAATAAGATACCAATTTCCAACCTGACTCTAGTATAGCATCACGTGACAGATGGCAGTCCCTGAAAGAAATCAAAGTATTTTACCCCAAAATATATTTCTTTGACATATTTTGAAACGGCCCTGCAAAGCTATCTCTTGTGGGAAGAATTTACACTTTGTAGAGAATCCCCTTCCCTTTCCAGGTCTTTTCCTGATCCTTGAGTGATTTAATTAAGAGTTTGGCACATTTTAAGATCTGATAAGATACATTTACCATGATCACTGTCTTTGAAGCTTGCTACCTGGAGGCTTCATCTATATAACAAGAACCTTGACTTCCATAGCCCCCCTTGTCTTAACCCCAAGCATTTCTTTCTGCTGACTTTAACTCTTTAGATTAGGAGTGTCCAATCATTTGGCTTCCCTGGGCCACACTGGAAGAATTGTCTTGGGCCACACATAAAATACACTAACACCAACCATAGCTGATGAGCTTAAAAAAAAAAAATTACAAAAAAATTTCATAATGTTTTAAGTGTATAAATTTGTATTGGGCCGCATTAAAAGCTGTCCTGGGCTGCATGTGGCCTGCAGGCTGCAGGTTGGACAAGCTTGCTTTAGATAACCTAACTCTTTCAACAAATTGCCAATCAGGAAATCTTTGAATTTACCTATGACCTGGAAGTCACACTCCCCGGCCCCCCTCGATGTCCTGCCTTTCCAGGCCGAACCAATGTGAATCTTATATGTATTATGTTTTTGCCTGTAATTTCTGTCTCCCTAAAGTGTATACAATCAAGCTGTAACCCAACCACCTTGGGCACATATTCTCAGGAATTCCTGAGGCTGTGTCACAGATCATGGTCCTCACATTTGGCTCAGAATAAATATCTTCAAATATTTTATAGAGTTTGGCTTTTTTGGTCAACGAAAATGTCTTATATCAACTTGGCTGGATCATGGTGCCCATATATGTAATCACATTATTCTGGTTGTTACTTTGAGGGTGTTTTTGAGATTAACATTTAAATTGGTGGACTGTGAGCAAAATAAATTGCCCTCCATAATTATTCAATCAGTTGAAGGCCTTAACAGAACAAAAGATTAACCTTCCCTGGAGCAAGAGATAATTCTGCCAGCAAATGACCTTTGGACTTGAGCTGCAACACTGGCTTTTCCCTGGGTCTCCAGGCGCCAGTCCGCCCTGCAGATTTTGGACTGGCCAGCCTCCGTAACGTGTGCCAATTCCTTAACATAAATCTCTGTGTGTGTGTGTGTGTGTTTGTGTGTGTGTATCTCTGTCACACACACACATATATAGAACATATCCAATATTTTATATATATGTTTTTTTCCCTCTAGACAACCATGACATACATAAGGTTAAGTAATTTGCTCATCACAACATCCCCAAGGGGAAGGTATACAATTATCATTTTTATTTTACAGGTGAGGACACTGAAGTCCAGAAAACTTAAATAGCTTGTCCAAGGTCATTCAACCAGTACATGACAGGATGAGGATTCAAACTCATAGCCCACAATTTGAACAATACAAATATACTTTTTAAGATCAATGAAACAGACTTTTAAAAATCCTAGGATAATAAAATTGTAATTCCTCATTTTCTTTAACACTTTTTTCATGGAGATCAAAATATTTTAGAGCAAACATTGTCAAACAAGCCCTTGACAAGCAAGCACTAAGAAGTCATTTGCCCTTCTCACTCTCATTTCCTTATGAGTAGAGTTTTTCCATAGCTATATGAAATATTGAGAGCAGCAGGAGGCAGCCAAATGCCTAAGCATGTAGGGGCGGGTCCCCAGCGAAATCCCACGTCCAAGCCAAAGACAGTTTAAAGCCTGAAAGCCAAGCTACAAGTTAACTCCTCGAACCAGATTGAGAACCCGCTTTCCTGTTTGGTGTGCTTTCCTCTGATTGATCTCCACCCTTCACCCATTTTACACATACCTACCCTTTCCTAATTGATTTTCTACAATGTCGTGCCCACCTTTGAGTGGCATCTTTGCTTTGACCTTTTTTGCATACTCACAAACCAGTCAGCACACACTCCCTATTCTGAGCCCTTAAAAAGCCCTGGGCTCGGTTATATTGAGAACTCTCCTGCCTTTGGATAGGGGGACCATCCCCGTCCCCTTCCTGAAAAAGCTGTTTCATCACTCAATAAAATTTCCTGCCTTGCTCACTCTAAGAGTGCCCAGGTGCCTACTTCTTCCTGGTCATGAGACAAGAACCCAGACCTAGCTGAGCTAAGGAGCAAGAAATCCGGCATCAATATGACGACATCATTGCACTGATGTTAACAGGTAGTATGTTTGTTTTTGTTAATTTTAAATGAATTAGTAAATAAATTTTTAAAAACTCTCAGGTTTAACTTTTAATACAATAAATACATATTGATATTATTTACATGAACAAAAGCCCTTTGGGGTCCTAAGTAATGTATGAATTTTAAAGGGATACTGAGACCAAGAAGTTTGAGAATTGTTTTAGAGGCATTACAAAACTTAGGACATTTTTGTGAAATAAATACTGTTATTAATTTAGCAGATGCATTTTCACAGTTTTTATAGAATTCTTTAAATCTTCTCATACTCAAATCTGGATAAGTGAGGGAAAAAAACTTAAGCTTAAAACTAATCTTCAGTAATATCCTGGATGCTATTATATTTTTCAGCTTTTAATGTTTTTACTTGGCCATCATCAGAATAATTTTGGGCCCTGAGTCTATAGTGCAGTCATATTTTTCTTTCCCGATTTTATCCGACACCAACTGGATAAACGTTATATTCTTAAAATGGTGAATAAAAGACTAACAAAACATTTTGCTGACTTTCTCAAATGTTAAATATCAGGCATTTGTGAGAGGGCCCACTAAAAATGTATGTGGTGGAGAAAGATCTGCCTGCAGGCGCCTGGGCACACAGTGACTCTGCACTTTCTGGTCCAGTTTCCTGTGGCTGCCTAGGGCAGTCCACATCCCCTGGGCATTCTCCCAAGGGTGGGGCAGCAGCCATCACAACCTAATACCACTTTCGTAAGTAGTTTGAAGGGGCAGCAGCAAAGCTCAGGCAGAATGAATTGAGCCTGACCGTCCTCAGATCATTATCCTGAAGATGTGGCCTGGCTTAGCTCCAGTGCAGACAATAGGAGGGTGTTCAGAAAGCTCATCTTCCCCTCCATATTTGGCAAATGTGTGTTCTCTCAGTCCGCTAGGGAATATGCAGCAGCAAGCCACTATCTCAGTGTTATCAGATGAGTCAATGAGATGGAAAAGAGGAATCCCGGACTGATTCCTCTCTCTCACCACTGTTTCTGAAGAGTCTTGTTCTAACAAAATCAATAAGACCAACATTCCTTATGTCCCTATGGAACACTGCAGTTTACAAAATACACTCACTTTCATGATCCCTCAAGGACACTGTGAAGTAGCCCAGGTAGGTACTGTCATCCTTATTTTAAAGATCAGAAAACTGAGAATCCAAAGTGTCGAGCAATTGACTCGAGGTCACAGGGAGCATGACCCTCACCAGGCCTGGAGGCCAGCTTGTGTTTTCAGTCCCACATCAGGCCTCTGACTCTGCAGAGGGCACACACAGAACGCTTCCTCATTATACATGATTATTATTTAACCTCAGGGATGTTTTTGCACAATGCTATTTTAAGGAAGGTAGAGACAAAAAGAAGAAAGTGAAGGCTGAAAGGAAGAGAAAACATATTAGGGGAAATGCTCATTTTTTAATAGAATTCATGAGAACATTGTCAACTCCCAGAGATTAAAAAAAAGAATACTGGATATGCACCAAAGTCATCACTGGAAATAGTATGAAAACACCTGTTGACACCAGTTTTCTTTATAAGTGGCAGTGGTCAAAATGGATCAGGGTGCTGCGGAGATCCCAAGTTTGGGAGGGGGGTCCTTCAGCATTCATCAGAGTGCTCTCTGCAAGTCTGTGAACGTGCAGAGGCAGGAGCCTGGGGTCCAGAGCTCCTGCTGAACCCAGAATGGCCTTTCAGTAGGATGTGCTAGAGTCTCTTTAGCCATTAATTACTTTTACAGCTGCTGCTCTAAAAACAGAAGGGATAAAAATTGCACTGTTTGTTCCATTGAAAGTGCAAAAAGGGATAGCCAAAAGAAATCCATGGACTCTGCCTTGCAAATGAACCAAATAAACTTTCCCTTTAATGTGTTTCTGCTTATCTGAAAATCACTTATAAGAGAGGAGTAACAAAATAACAAGGTGGCAACATTTTTTTAAAACTTCAAAACCATGAATGAGGTTATAAGTAAAGTACTGATGGCCCAGTGAGTGTGAAGTTAATAAGCCTGTCACCCCTGCATGCTGTCTAGTCTTGGGTATCTGGGATATTCTTTTTACCCAGGCATGTGACCGTGCTTCTGTCTTGGTGGAAGAGAGCTTATAACAGAAATTAAAATAACTTTATTAACAAAATTAAAATATATTCATCTTCACTTTATTTTGTGGGTTGAGACTTGTATTTGCTACATGCATATGGACTTGCGCATCTACTCTGAACACCACTACGGTTCTGCACAGTGATCTTTGTTAGTTATTTCTACCTTAGTTCCCATTCTCTATCACTTAGTTTCTGTTTCTTCACTTACCAGCACTAACTTTTTACAGCCGCAGTTTCAAGGCAAATCTCTCCTTCTTCCCTCTGAGGGGCATTCATTTGTATAACCATTGCCGCTTCCAATTACTCCACTGAGTAAGTGCCACTTAAGATTCTCATCAGCCTGTTGTTACCATTATTCCAGTGCAGTAGCAACCATGAATGCCAGATTTGAAAAACATATTTGAAACTAGGAAAAACATAGTGGAAAAAATTAAATGTGATACCTACTCTTTCAGTAATTCCCTCGTGTGTGTTTTTCAAATGAAGAGTTGATTAATGATAATATGAAAAACACTCCTGAAGCCAGCGTATCAATTACTGTCTTTAAATTAATGAGCCCTAGGTACTTTTCTTTCTGATTGACATAGCCCCTTTTAAAAATTTCCGTCTCTTTAATTGAGCATAAAACTATAATTGTTTTTTACAGTCTCTTTATGGGGTGTGCCATAATACACTGACATTCTGTACAGGAGTTTATACCTTGAAACAATTATATGTTTATATCCTGGATAAAAAATTAAGTTATTGAATATGATTCAAGATTTTCTAAATCATACCAAATTCTTCTTCACAGGAAATATGTCATATCCATGTTTTAGTGTAGTGTGTGGTAACAGTCTTTGGATCACGTGTCACATAAATAGTACCACGGTAGCATTTGTATTTGACAAGTAAGTTATAGCTATAAATAAGCCATTATATGGAGGAGAATATCAAACTTTTCTTTACTTCTTTACCCAATTAGCAGATTTTAAGAAAGGAATTTAGAATTCATTATCATACCTTTATCAGTAGTGATGAAGGGTGTGGGCTCTGGAGGAGAGAATCAGGGGAGTAAATATTAGCCTTGCGACTTTTGGCTTGTAGAGAGGAAAAACTTTTCCTATGCCCTCTTATCTTCTGTAGTTGGGGCCTGTGAATTAAATTAATAGAAGACAGATTAACAGAAGAAAAGCATGCAAAATTTACTGGATGTTAATCTTTGTACATGTACATGGGCTTTGAAGAAACAGAAGGAAACAGCCCAAAGAAGTGACTAGACTTGGCCTTATACACCATTTTAACAAAGAGTGATAAATTATGGAGAAGTGACTACACAAAAGAAAGGGGCTTGGCTTTCTAGGAGTGGCAAATTGTGGGAAGGTAAATATATGGGGGAAATTAACTGCTAGATAAAGGTTATGTAGTAAGGTTTGTCTATACAGACTTATTTAGGTGCTGTCTCCATTTCCAGTGGTACAGTTTGTTATCCCTTTCCTGATATGGAAGGTGGGGAAATACTTTCACAAGAAAGCTTTATGCCCTATGTTTAGGCAGATAGGGGAGGGAAAAGAGCTCTTCTTGTGTCTGCTTTTTCTCAATTGCCTTCAACTTAAAATAATTATTATGCCAAAGTGGCATATTTTGGCGTGACATATTCTAATCCCCTTCAGATGTTATGACTGTCAGCAAGTTCTTATACTCCTCCAAGCCTCAGCCTCCTCCTGGGCAAATGAAGACAATAATGGTATCTATTTCTTAGGGTTGTTATGGGCATTCAATAGATAATACATATGAGCAGCTCAGCACAGAAGTAGGTACATAATAAGTGTTCAATAAAGGAGAGCTATCATTCTTATTTTTATCTCCAGAATCCGTTTTTTGCTTTCACCTATAGAGATATAGACAGTACATGCATACCAACTCTGCCCATTAATTAGCATATATATATATATGTATTTAAGAAGTGGAGGAATGAGAAAAAACAATATCAGGATCATTTAGTCTTAAGCGTAAAGTGTTAAGGAGGATTTAAACAGCAATGTTTAAGCTGAAGATAAAAAAGGGAGGAGGTTTAAATTAAGGAATAAAAATATTTAGGTTCAGATTAAATAATTTATCAGATACAACTCCTTAGTTATGGGTGTGTGTATGTAATTAGATCTCCTCATCATCTACTCTTAAAACCAGACTTATCGCTTTTACTCTCCACTCCAATCACCCACCAGGTCATGCTGATGTTAACTGGCTCATGCCCATCACTTCTTTTTAGTTCCCAATGTTACCTCCTAGGCTGAGTTTTCATCTTGTTAAACCTAGATTAATGTAATACCTTCTAAACAGTCTCTTAATCTTTTAATATCTTCCTTATTCTATTCAATCCTGTGTTCTGCCAACCAATTACTATTCCTCAAAAACCACTTTGTTTAATCTCTCTGAATTCCGACTGCCTACATAGTAAGATTCTAATTCTTTGGTTTAGCTTTCAAGATTCTATTCAATCCAACTTTAACCTACCTTTTTTGTTCCATTCCTCTCCCCTCCCCATCCACTCTAGTTAGAGGGATGTGGACTAGAATGGGAATAAGGACGCAGACTCCAGAGCAGACTGCCTGCATGAACTCCAGGTCCCCACCAGCCAGTTCTAAACTAAAAGTTCAGATATTCTGAACCATGGAACAAACATGATGTGGCCTGCTGAAGTAGAAATGTGGACTTTTGGGATGTGAGACCGAAATCACTCATAGATAAGGGTCCTTCCTAAATCTACAGAGTGGGCAACAAACCTAATTCACTTGTTAAAATAATCATTGAGATGGAAATTGCAAACGTTCTGACTCTGGAGAGACAGAGGGTGACTGGCAGGCAAAGGAGAAATCTCAGGCTTCAGTAATGAGAATTTTTCATGAGTCGCCTAATCAAGCTCATGAGACCTGGAGAGTCTATGAGGAAAGGGTTCAGTGATAGAGAAAGCCGGAGATGATGAGGCTGGGAGAGTAAGCTTCTCTTACCATTGTTCTCTATTCTCCCTACTCCCATATTCTTCCAGTGGGACAAAGTGCCCCAAAGTATAAGTCAGTGTGTCCCAAGGGGTCTGGAGTTTAGGTACCTGAACATGGAAGAGGGCCTTGCTAAACTGGTGAGTATCAGAGTTGGGTGGGTGCTAGTGTCACAGGTGTGACAAGTCATCCAGGTTGGATTTGGGCATCAGTCAGAGGACACGGAGGAAAACAGAGAGTTTGGATAGGCTCCCACACCTGTGGGAGATCAGCTCCCCACTATTTCCTTGAAGCCCAAGACGTCATTAATTCCTAGCTTTTTGTGGCTCCAAAGCAATTTGCCCATGCACTGGCTTTCTGAATGGTGTTTGGACTATCACCTACGCAGAATCTTCCATTTTTCCTGGATGATATTTATCCTCATGTTTTTATGTCACCAAATGTTCTTTGGAATAATAACTGTAACATTTTTTGAGTGCCTGCTATATTCTAGAGCCTTTAAAATCTTTATATTCACCATCAGCCCTGCTTTATTAATATAGAAACTAAGCCTATGTAGGTTAAGTGGTACAGCCAGGACCCTAACCCAAGTCCGTCTGTGTCCAGAGCACAAATTATTGTAGCTTTCTTCATAAAAATCTGTAAATTTCTCATCTCTCTCTCTTTCTCTTTTAACCCACAGGTTTGACCTTTCTCTCATCCCCAGCAAAGTTCTGAATGCGGGTTCTGACTCTGAGCTGAAGGCATACTTCATGAAGTTTCCTGCTGCCCTTTCACTACACAGCTGGACTTGGAGGCAAACTTGGAGATAAAAATATAGTTCCCGTGCTATCCCTTATAAAGATTTAAGAGAAAGTATAGAAAGAAAGGCAAAGCTAATTACTCAATATGCATCCGTTAGTTTTAATGCAATAAAAGAGTCAGTCCCATAATATAGCAAAGGTTACACTTAAAACTTAAATGCAAGATATTAGAAAGTACTTCATAAGAAATTAATGCTGTACTATTAGGGCCTTTAAACCAAGCAGTCAATGCATCAACAAATCTTTATAGGGAAACTATTATGTGGCAGACAAGGTTAGGTGGCTGCAATATGTCTGCCTTTGTTGATGAGTTTCATCTTTCCTATTGAGCGGCCTATAAACATGGCAGCATTCCTATGTCCAGTTTACCTATTATAAAATCTTAAATGAATTATGTTAAAAATCATGCTAGCAGTACCAATGAATTTTTTAGAGACAATGCTTTATTGGATTCATTTCTTTTTTTCCAACTATTTTGTCTGGAAAGATGGGATTTTTAAAATGTATAATGACATTTTGGCTAATAATTATAGTTTAGAACTTCATTCTTTCCGTCAAGAACTGTTATTTGAGTGCTGGATCAAATGGCTTTTCTACAGATCTCGTTCCTTCAGATCTACGTAACTAAAGCTCTGTTTAAAAAACAAACAAAAATTCACATGCTAGTGCTGTTACAGAAGTTTTATCAGACTGGCAGTCCAAGTGGTTAAAATTCCTTGTAACGGGTATCAGTTTGAAAAGATTCTTGACTGGGTGTAGTGACTTATGGCTGTAATTCCAGTGCTTTTGAAGGCCAAGGCAGGAGGCTTGCTTGAGGCCAGGAGTTTAAGACCAGCCTGGGCAACATAAGTAGACCCTGTACTTGCAAAAAAAAAAAAAAAATTAATAAATAAATTAACCAGGAGTGCTAATGTGTGCCTGTAATCCTAGCTACTTGGGAGACTGAGGCAGGAAGATTGCTTGAGCCCAGGAGTTTGAGGCTGCAGTGAGCTGTGATTGCACCACTACACTGCAGCCTAGGTGACAGAGTGAGACCCTGTCTCTAATACATAAATAAATAAAAACAAAGATTCTTAATACCCTTTACCTTTTTCATTAGGAAATATTTTATTAGGAAATTTATTAGGAAATATTTCATTAGTGAAGGAAAGTCTCACTTTTTAAACTTGACTTTGACCAACACTCTGTTCTCATGACTTATGTCCCTTTAATACCTAAATCATTTGCCTAGCTAATTGGGCCTGCACCAGTGTGTACTGTTAGATCCCATGGAACGTTGACCTGACAGGTGTTCTATTTGTCAGGCAGGGCTTTCCTTGGCTTCCCTTTTATCATTTCTTCTTCCTGCTTCTTCAAGAGACTTATGACTCTCTGTCATAAGCTCTCAGTTATAGAACAGAGCTATACATAAAACGTGCATATACACAAATGGGTAAGGAGTATACCTGCACTAAATAATTCTTTCTCTCTGAAACTCAATAACAACTGGCCTCTTGTCTGAAAAACATCAGGACTCTTGCACTAAAGACCAGGCAGCCATCCAGCTGTGCCCAGTTGCTATTTTTTGGTATCCATTCTAAGAAGTTATCATTTTCATGAGAATGAAAATGTTGTACCACAGAAATTTTAACTTTGGAAAGCAACTCTTTGGAGTTCTAATTTCTCGTAGGGCAATATTTTTCAGGCTTGTTGGGTTTCTGTGTTTGAACATCTGAGTTCTCACTTTTAGAGGCTTGTGCTTCCTAGCACTCTATCCTATTACACCTATGCCAGGACTTGGTAGCTAAAGTATAAGCTGAAATAATTATGTCGTTAATTCATGCTAAAACCTGTCTTACTCCATTTAGCAAGTTTTATTTTGATATATCCATACAATCACTTCAAATCACTACTTCATTTTGGCAATGCTAAATTGTTTATACAACGCTACTGTTCATGCTCATCCTGCAGAACAGCTAGTGAAGTATGTCTGTAACCATATGGCTTGTTGTTATCATATCATTATACCTCATTTAATAACAGTTCCTAATATATTGGGTATTGCATAGAAGACACTCAAATTTTTTTTTTGTAAGTAAGTACTGTTAACAAGGCAAGCTTCTGTCAGTAGGTTACGCTAATATTCAATTTGTATCATATTTAGATAACATCTTGAATGTGTAATTATTTCTATTTGACTCAATGGCCTCGGTTGCTGATGAGAACCCAAGCTTTGAGAATCAGAGATTGGTTCTTTCTTACTAAGTAAAACAATGCATTATTTATTTTAGAGTTAATCCAAACTGACATTTTTATGACTGCTATGGACAAAATGTTTGTATCTCCCCAAAATTCATATGTTGAAGCCCTAATCCCCTGTGTGGTTGTTTGGAGATGAGACCTCTAAGGAAGAAATTAAGGTTAAGCGAGGTCATAATGGTGACAGGCTCTCATCAAACAGGATTAGTGTCCTTATAAAAAGGGACATCAGAGACCACTGTACTGGCACATTCTCCATGTCCAGCCCCTAAACCAATCCTGCTCACAACTTGATCTTGGACTTCCAGACTCTGAAAGTCCAGCAAAGACAAGTGAGCATTTATAGACAAGAAGCAAGTTGGGGCAGTGGATGGAAAATTACTAAGAGGAAACATGAGGAGTAAGAAGGGATTCTGGTTAAATCAGCTTAACAGGATTCTTGCTGAAGTCAGGGCAGAGTAATCAGATATCATCTGGGAGGTGGTGGGAGATAAGGAATTTGGTCAAATATTGACAATGATCAGATATGAAGGGTGAGAGATTCTGGTTAAACAAATTTGACAGAATTTTTGCTAAAATTGGGCAATGCAAAAACAGACATGGAAACCCACAGTTCAGGGCCTCGGATTGTCTCTCACAGGGTTGCAAAAATAATCTGCTATGTTTTCTTCAAGAGGTTTTAGAATTTTATCTTTTACATTCAGGACTATGATCTTTCTTGAATTAATTTTTATGAATGGTGCAGAGTTTGAGGCGCAACTTTTTTCTTATAAGTAGTCATTTTTTACAGAACCTTTTGTCAAAAAGACTTTTCTTCCCCCTATTAACTTATGTTGATGACTCATTTAAAAAATGATCAAGTGACTGGGTAAATGTGGTTCAGTTTCTGGACTCACTAACGTTTTTGTTAAACTATTAATCTATCTTTACATCATATCATGCCATCTTGATTTTAATAAGTTTTGAAATCAAGTGATATAAGTACTACAAAGTATTTTTCTATTTCAAGATAATTTTGGCTATTCTGAGTAGTCGGTCTTTTCTTTTCTTTCTTTTTTTGAGATAGAGTCTCACTCTGTTACCCAGGCTGGAGCGCAGTGGCATGATCTTGGCTCACTGCAATCTCCACCTCCCAGGTTCAAGCGATTCTCTTGCCTCAGCCTCCCAAGTAGCTGGGATTACAGGCACGGGCTACCATGCCCGGCTAATATTTTTTTGTACTTTTAGTAGAGTTGGGGTTTTGCCATGTTGGCCAGGCTTGTCTTGAACTCCTGACCTCAGGTGATCCACCTGCCTCAGCCTCCCAAAGTGCTGGGAATACTGGCATGAGCCACTGTGCCCAGCCTTGGTCTTTTCATATACATGTTAAAAACATCTTGTCAATTTCTACCAAAATAAAAATACACCTAAGATTTTGTTTGGGAATACTTTGACTCTACAGATCAATTTAGAAAAAAAAAATGCATCTTAAAAATATTGAGTCTTCAAATCCATGAAAATGGTATATATTTCTATTTATTTAAATATTCTTTAATTTCTTCCAGCAATGTTTTTTATTCTCAGCATACAGATCTTAGACATATTTTATTTAAGTTTTCCAAGTATTTTGTGTCCATTGATACTATTTTAAATTGTATTGGATTTTTTATTTAGTTTTCCCATTCTTTGCTAGTGTATAGAAATTCAATGGTTATTTTAATGTTAACCTATGTCTGTGGCATTGTTAAAATCATGTATGAGCTCTAGTAGTATATTTTTTAGATAATTATAGTTTTTACCATACACAACCATGTTATGTTTGAATAAAGACAGTATACTTTTTTTCTTTCCAACATTTATGTTTTTAATTTATTTTATTTCCTGGTTTTATAGCACTGATTAAAACACAAAAAAATATATTTTTGCCTGTTGTAATCCTTGGGTAAAGTTTTATCTGGAGGAAGAGATATGGTCAGATATCCACTAGTTTAAACGGTGTGGCTAAGAGTTTGGCTGAATGATTCTCAATTAAAAGGAACATGACTGGTGACTTGGTGATAATGAGGTCTGGAAAGATGTATGTGAATCTTGGCATAGATCACATCAGGCATAGATCATGAAGATATTTGTGTCCGATATCAAGGCTCACCAAAGAGCCACTTCAGATGAATAAGTGGGCATAGTGGTCCATTCTATGGATATAAATGAACTTGTTTCTGCAGCTACATCTATCTTTGTCCGATTGGCTCATAAACAAAGTGGTCATGGGCAGCAGCGAAGGAAGCTATGCATGGGCTAAGCAATGTTCACTTCCACTCATCAAAGCTGATCTGACAACTGCCACTGCTGAGTGCCCAACCTGCTACCTGAGATGGATACTGAGCCCCCAGGAGGACCAGCTTGTGACTTGGTAGCAAGTAGGTTAATTATTTCTAACATAAAAGGGGGAATGCTTTGTTCTCATTGCAATGGAAACTCATTCTAGATATACATTTGCCTTTTCTGCCTACAATGCTTCTGCCAAAATCACCCTCTGTGGATTTATAAAATGCCCTATTCACCAACATGATATTCCACACAGCATTGCTTCTAACCAGGAAACTCATTCTACAGCTAACAAAATGCAGCAATGGCCTTGTGAACATGGACGTCACTTGTATTATTATGTTCTCCATCACTCTGAAGCAGCTGGCCTGATAGAATGGCCTTTTGAAGACTAAATTATGGTGCCAGATGCATGGCAACACTTTGTAGGGCTTGAGTAATGTCATCCAAAATAGAGCATATGCTCTGAATCTGTGTCCAATTTGTAGTGTTTTTCTCTCATTACACAGATCTGGGAATCAAGAAGTGGAAATGAAAGTGAATGGCTTATCTCCTTGCTTACCCCTAATCCATTACTAACAAAATTATTGCTTCTTATCTATGCAACCTTGGCTCATCTTGTCTAGAGGTCTTAGTTCTCAAGAGAGGAATGCTTCCACCAGGGGACATAGCAATGGTTCTATTACATGAAAATTTGACGCTGTCATATGACCACTTAGGGATTCTCATGGTGGTAAATCAATGGGCAGAGAAGGGGAGGTTATACTGACTGCAATGACTGATTTTGACCATCAAGAGGAAATTAAGTTTTGACTGCACTATGGTGGTAAGGAGGAATGTGTTTGTAATTCACAAAATATCTTGGGACACATCTTAATACTTCCATGCTCTGTGATAAGAGTCAAAGAAAAACTACAGCAAAACTGCAAATGGCTGGGCCATTAGCAGTTTATCTCACTTCAGGGATGAAGGCTTGTTTTACCCCATTAGGCAAAGAATTATGACCAGGCAAAGTGCTTACTGAAGACAAAGGGAATAGGAGTGGGTAGTAGAAGACTGAAGTAACAAATATTAACTGAAATCATGTCACCAGCTGCAGAAATGAACACCATAATATTTGAGAATTTCTTTCTTATTTTTATATGAAGATATTTATACATTTTTTTCTCCATCCAACTATCTTTTCCCTCCCTCCATCTCCCTAACATATAACATAGGAAGTATTAATAGTAACTGAGCTTATATTTCAGTATTTAAGTTATAATATATCTTAGGGGGAGTGTGATTCGATTAGAAGAAAAATAAACATTAACCAAAATTGAATAAAGGGATTTTGTATCATCTTTTCAGAGAGTTTTAGCATGTTTTTAGTTATATATCAGTATTTTAGTATATATCAGTATTGTGCTATGTAAAAAGATAATTTTACTATTGTCTTCATTTAGAAGTTAAGTATTGTTGAAAGGTGTATATGGGAGTGCCAAGTTGTAAGGGGGTGGACTGTGGCAACAGTTCAGTATAGCTAAACTGGAATGTTTCTCAGGAATCCTTTCACTGTATCATTCCAGTTTATGATGGGTCACAACAGAAACTTGTGTGAGATTGGGAAGGTAGAAGTGAAGTAACAGCTGGTCTTTAACACTGTGAAGGTTGGCACGGGGTGAGGTACTATTGTAGCTCATGCATACTGTTACTGATCTACTGGTTTACCTCACTGGTAATGGGGAGCAAAACCTGGGCTTAGTTTTTCTAACCAGAAATACTTTGTTAGATCTTTGAATCCCAGGCCAAGTCATGTATAGTTTCACAGGGAAGAGTGCCAGCTTTGTTTTCAGTTCACTTACATTATCAAGATTGGAGGGAGTGGGACAAATACATGTTCCTATTTGTTCTCGTGGGTTCTAGTTTTGCCTTATAGATTTCACTTTTCCCCCACAAGTTCCCTCAGGGTTCACTCTTGGATCCCCCTTAATTAATGTCTATATTTCCTTGCTGACTTCAGGCCTAATGTTAGCACAGAGTTGATAGCCTTATATAGACCACTTAAGAAGCTTCTACAATTGCCTAAGGTCTAATCCTCAAAATAAATCCCTGACTGTACATCACTTATAGTCGTTCCACTTACCTGATGGAACCCTAATTAATAGGCCCTGGTATGGTCTTCTTTGTGTTATTCCTGCTTAGGCATTGTTTAACTTCTTAAATCTGCTTGCAATTCTACCATAAGTTACTGATAATCCATTACTATTTTTCAGCTGTTTTTTCTTTCTGTGCTTCAGTTTGGGTAATTTCCAAATTGCTCTATTTTCAAGTTTACTGATAGTTTTTTCTGCAGTATTTAATCTGCTGATAAGCTTATTTGGTGAATTTTAAATTTCTGGTTATCTCTAGTATTTCTTATTATAGTTTGTTTCCCAGTTGAGATTTTCTATTTTTCGTTGTCTTCTCTCTTTAAATTCCTGAATATTTTTATAGTAGTTATTTTAAAGACAAGTCTATTAATTTCATTATCTGTGTCATTTCTGGGTCTGTTCTTGTTGAGTGACTGACTATTATTCTGGCAATGGATCATGTTTTCCTGCTTCTTTGCATGACTGGTCATTTTAAAATTATACATTAAACATTATGGATACTTCATTGTTGACTGGATTTCTATCATCTTCCTTAATAAGAGTGTTAAGTTTTTTTCCCATAGGCAGTTAACTTACCTGTAGATGAGCTTGATACTTTCAAGTCTTGTTGTTAAGGTAGGTCAAGAATAACCTTTCTTGTAGGACTAGATTAGCCCTACTTCTAAGGTATGGCCTGTGTGGAGTTTCTACTTGTCTTAGTCCATTTGTGTCGCTTGTCTTAGTTCATTTGTGTTGTTATAAATGAATACTAGGAACTAGGTATTTGTAAAGAAAAAAGGTTTATTTGGATCATAATTCTGCTGGCTGGAAGATTTAGTATCTGATGAAAGTCTCAGGCTGCTTCCATTAATGGCAGAAGGTGAAGGGGAGCTGGCATGTGCAGATATCACACGGTGAGAGAGGAAGCAAGAGAGAGAGAGAGAGGAGGGAGGTGCCAGGCTCTTTTTAATAAGCAGCTCTCACAGGGAACTAATAGAATTAGAACTCACTCACCTTGCCCCCAGGGAAGGCATTAATCTATTTAGTGGAGATCAGCCCCCACGATCCAAACACTTCCCATTAGGCCCCACCTCCAACATTGAGGATCAAATTTTAACATGAGGTTTGGAGGGGACAAAGCTCCAAACTATAGCAATATTGTACCTACAGTGTTTAGTAAGGTGCTTTCACTTTGGCAAGTCAGAATGCAAATATCTCCACACTCTGTCTAGCTCTGAGAGCTCAACTCACAGTTCTCCTGTGTTTGTTCTCTTCCTAATAGTTATACTTTGTCCTGCCTCAGAGAGTTTCAATCTGAATATAAACAGCTTGCTATTCAAAGACTCAAAGGGACCTCTATGCAGATTTTTGGAACTCCTCCTCTGCTCAGCTCGCTTCTCTCTTGATCCTGCAATACAAATTCCAGTCACCTCACTGGCCCTGAATTCTAATCTCTGTCTCCTCTGCTATGTGGCACCGCTGTGTTGGTTTGGGCACCATCTCTGAACCACAGCCTAGGAAGTGACACCAGGCAGAAAGCTGGTACAATTACAGGACTCATCTCATGTTTTTGCCCTTCTTTCAGGGATCATAGTCACGTGGTGTCTTTTGCTGAATGTCTAAAAGCAGTGATTTCACACATTTTGTCCTCTTTTACAATGGCTTGTGACAGAAGGCCTACCATGATGTGAGTTCCTTCCTCATGGCTGGAAGCAAAATTTATCTCTGTACTCTTATTTAACCCTGACAAACAAATCTACTTACATATATTATGTTAACATGAAACCAAATGGAATAAAGTTTACATCAAGCAAAATCACTTAAAATTTTCTTCTCACTGCCCCCCTATTCCTCACCTTATACTGCTGAGGATTTGATAATTATCTTAAAAGCAAAATCATTTGAATGCTTAGACATTTGCATGTAAGTTTTTATTTTGTTCCTTTTGTTCAGGTTAGCGGTTGTCAAAATTTACTGTGCATAATCATTACTATACAAAACAATGATCCCCTACTTGATGGGCTATGTAAAGGTTATTCTAGGATAGTTTTGGCTATACACTAATTCACCTAATGCCTTGAAATTCAATTTTAGCCTCAATGTAGAAAGGTGAATCTATTATATTTCTTTTGTGGATATTAGGGCTATTTTATTGCATTCTAATTTGTTTATCTGTTAAAACTTTCAAATGCAACTCAGTCTTGTAGAAAGGAGATTGTGTGACCTAGAAGGGGAAAAAACCCCACAAATAGAAAGCTAGAACCGAAATAGAGGCCTTAGGTAGAAAGGAAAACATAATCTAGGTCTTAATTTCTCTTCTAGTCTATATTGCAAAAAAGATAGGGGGTGTTAAGCAGTCTTCTACATGTGCCGGAAAAAAATGAGTAATGTTTTATTTTGGACATGCCAATCTGGATATATTTGTATCCTTAATTTTCCTATTGCTGTTTCTCAATAAATTTTTTTTGACTATTCGAATCTCCAGGCAGCTTTTTAATTTTAGACTTTACAGAAAAAGTACAAATACAGCACAAAGAATTATCCTATACTTTCATTTAGATTCCCAAATTAATATTTTATCAGATTTTCTTTGTGTGTGTGTGTGTGTGTGTGTGTGTGTGTGTGTGTGTATGAGTGATTTTTCTGACTTGTTTGAGAATAAGTTGCCGACATAAAGAGCCTTTATCCCTAAATACTTGAGTGCCAATTTTTAAAAACAAGCACATTTTGGAGTCAACTTTGAAGTTTGGGGATTTTCATATGTTGAAAAAGGATGATATTTTTATTTAGTTAAATGTAGCCATATGATAAATGCCAACTCTGGGCACAGTGATGCTTAAACAAAAGACGGAAGACTCAGAGCGATAAAGGCCACTCAACTTGTTTTCTGACTTCATGCTAGACAAGGCACTCTCGAAGTACCATATGCCTAATCTGATGCTGCAATTGTCTCACTGGGATCTTTTTTCCCTGTGTCTGAATTCCAGTGTGTGTGAGATAGCACTTCATAGCATAGTGATTTAAAGTGTGGGCTTAGAAGTTAAAATGGCTTTGGGAACTTGGACAAATAATGTGACATCTCTGTGCCATCAGTTTTTTCATCTCTAAAATGGTGAGAAGAATAGTTCCTGCCTCAAAGGATTAAATGAGCTAGTCAATATAAATCACTTAGCTAGACAGGGCAAATACTGAGAAATACGAGCTATCACTGTTCTGGACATGAATATATGAGAGTTTGTATGTGTGAGACTCCCATCTTCTCTGGCTTTTGGCAGTGCCATATCATTAGGAGATGTCCTTGCCTCTCAGCTGTATGTCAATGCCCATGTCTGGTGGTTTTGTGTCAATACGTAGATGCATTCTCCCAAATATGCTCATTTGAAAATTTAACATCCGTTAGCAGAGAAGCACTGTATTTTAAAATGCTCTGTTTGGGATACAGTAGAAGCATCTGATTGGAAATATGCCAAGTCCTCTGTCATAGGCCCATAATCAACAGCTGGCATTCTTGGCTAAATATTTGTGATGATGTTAATGTGAAGTCTTTTAGCGTTTAGTAAACAAATAAAAAGATATGAATAAATTTGACTTACAGAAGTGAATTTTTCTAAGTAATAAAAACACGAATTTCAATATTATTTTCTGAAATACACACTAATCCTTGAGTTGACACATCGTGCACTGAAGTTTATAGAGTGTAGCTTTATTTCATTCTTCTCTGCTGGAAAGAACATTTGGATATGCTTATTGTTATGCCTTTGGGAAAAATATTTGTCTTCGAATCATGTAAGATTAGAATTTTTACATCGAGTGATTGTAATCTCAGCTAGTTTTATTTGCTTATTAGTTCTGAGAGAAAGGTAATTCTATTTTTAATGGGTTTAGAAGAATTATTTTTGTATACACAATCTTTTTTACTGTTTTTAAAATAATTTTATACTTTTTATAATTCCAGAAACTCGACTGCCATGAAACATTGGGCTCTAAAGGAGAAACAACAAAAGATACAAAGAGACTGTGGTACATTTTCTCGTTTATATTAATTTAAAGGGAAATTGTTTCATATGGTTCTGAAACACTAACAATGCAATTAATTCACCAGAAACAGAAAAAAAGTCTTTGTCTTGCTACCATACTCAATCAGATTGAATAAAGAAATAGAAGGCAAATTTGCTAAAGCAAATTTCTCTTGTCTTTGTGTTGGCAGAAGTCTGTAGTCCCCTTGCTCTGCATGTTCAACAAATGTTAATAGCACCTGGGATAATTACAGAATTCACTATTTTTATTACATCCAAAACATGAGTTACATTAATGAGAATATTTGGTGGAGTTTCGTAGTCCGAATAATTAGTCAACAAAGTTCAAGTTATAAAGAATTTTTATTAATGAATAATTAAGCATTAGTTAGCAGGGTGATAGATGTTCTTCAAAATATGTTATTTTGAGAGAACAAATAAATAGGTTAAAACATGCTAATATTTTATTTTGCTTCTACTATAATTCAGGACAGGTAAGCACAGCAAACCAAAACCCAAATTTCTGGCTATAAATTTGATATTTAAAAATAAATTATCTGGCTCATGCTTGTAATCCCAGCACTTTGGGAAGTCAAGGTGGGCGGATCACGAGGTCAGGAATTCGAGACCAGCCTGACCAGCATGGTGAAACCCCATCTCTACCAAAAATACAAAAAAATTAGCTGGGCTTGGTGGTGTGCACCTGTAATCCCAGCTACTCAGGAGGCTGAGGCAGGAGAATTGCTTGAACCGGGAGGTGAAGGTTGCAGTGAGCTGAGATTACGCCACTGCACTCCAGCCTGGGCGACAGAGCGAGACTCTGTCTCAAAAAAAAAAAAAAAAAAATTACTGATTTCTAAATTTTGTTATTTTAATAAAATAACTCTCCTGAAAATATATATATATGTATGTGTTTTGAAAAAAAATTACCATAGGTGGGATTACATTCCAGTTTTATTGAATATAATTATTATATCCATCTCTTCTAGCCAGAAATAGAAACAAATGCATGATATACGACCTTATGAACCAGGCAAAATATTTACCATTGAGAAGTATGCAAACCATATATTTAATTGCTCTGTGATGACAGTACATTGTGGGGAAATTCCTGTTTGTGGGTAAAATAGATAATACTCCATGAATAGATAGGCTTCAGAGCATACAGACTTTCTCTCTACATTGACACACCTAATTAGTGTAGACCACTATTTCAACCTACAGAATTGGTTTGATAGTGTGAGTGGCCTCTGCATTTTACTACATTCAAAAAGGCTGTGTCAAAAAACCTGAGCTTTTTGTATCTTTAACTACAGTTAAAACAGGTCAACTTTTTACACATGTGATGACAAAGAGAAAACAAACTAAAATAACTGGGATATAATTCATCTACTTAATTTTAGAAATAAAGGGGCTTATAAAATGCATTTGTTAGTTGGGACTCTTTTTTCCCAGGTATGAAGAACATATATTGCAGTACCTAGCATTTGGTTGGTATTTTACATTTTTCAGACTTTCAAAATGTACAACTACATTTAATTTTTATGACAACTTTTGGAGGGAATGATGATATATATTGTTAGCCAGGTTTTATAGATGAGTAAACTGAGGCATCAAGAGGTTAAGCATCTTGCTCCTGATAACTCTGAGACGTGTAGAGCAAGGGCCGGAATTGGGTGTTCTGGCTTCTGGTCCAGGGCTCATTCTCCTATTAACTATGTTTCCAATATGTTAGACATAGGCAAAGGCTGCCACACTTTGTGCATATAAAAATAATAAGTCCATCCTAATTTAAGATTATATCTTTTCGATGTCAATAAAGTATAAGTTTGTGTGAGAAAGGAAAAAGCACGTGCATAGGTGGAATTTTTTTTGCTGCTGGATTTAGGGTTCTGGTTTGGCCATTAGCGTTTTGCCATGAGTAATGTTACTTAAATTGTATATATTCAATAAAAAGGAATAAAAGGATGTTTGTTTCTATATAAATTAATGAAATTATTATTTTAAAAACAAAACAAGGGGTATTTATTATGTATCTTCCAGTTTGTTACATTTTGATATTAAAGACATATTCCAACTATTCTACCACAAAATGTTTTTTTAAACTTCCTTGAAAATTGCTTTCCTGCTTAATTTTTCAGCCACTCCTTGAAATCAGAACCAAGCCACATGACCAAAAACTAAAAACTAAAAAAATACATAATCCATATTGTTCACTCTATTTGTTTCCAGCTGGTTTTTTAGCTCGCAAAATTCAGAATTGCATTTAAAAGTAAACAATTTCCTGACACCGAAGAAACATAAAAGACATAATCTAACGAAACAATACAAACAGAAAAATTGATGACATAAAAACATTGTGGTCAATGGAGGCATCTCTAGAATAAAAATGCTACTTTCCAGGTGACTATCTAAAAGAGATATATTAACTGGAACATTTAAATCTCCTATCATAAATTATTAAAAGCAATTGTACTTTGCCTAAAGTTACATCTTACAGAATAGTCTCTTACAAAAACATCCTTCCTACTTAACATTTTAAACACATTAAAATGTACAATGATTTCAGAAAATCATTTCCTTTTTTTCTTCTTCTTTTACGATTCGATTGTGTCTTCTGACACCTATATCCAATCCCATGTAGACACTGAAAACAAATCAATGTAACTAGCACATGCTCATTTTAGTCCCTCATCTTCTACCTAGTGACAATAATAATAATAATTAATAATATTAATCACTATGTGCCACTGACTACAAGGCGTGAGGTACGTTAGGTGTACTTTTCATATTTAATCCTTCTACACTTTGGAAACTGTATGTTTATAGGTGAGAAGACAGAGTACTAGAAAAATTAAATAAATTTCTGAAGACACAATTATTTAGTACCAGAGCATGGATCTGAGCCTAGCTGACCTAACTCGTGAGCCACTTTAATAACCACCATGTTATTTACAGTTTCTCAGCTCAGATGTGCAGGTCCCTGGACAGCCTCCTTCCCCTGTTCCCTCCCTCACAGGCTGGCTATCATTTTACTCTATTCCCATAACACCTGAAATCCCTTTTATTAACACACTAAACTCCCTGCATTTTAAATTAATTGAGTTAGAATCAAGGAATATACAATGTAAAAAGCCCATCTCTCCCTCAGCCCTTGAACACTTTCAGTTAAAAGTGCATTTCTAGGAACTTCCTCATGTACAGCATAAGTAAATCAGTATTTCCAGTGTTGAAAAATTATTCCAGAAGACATATGCTCCTTCAAAATTCTTGTTTCAGAATTCATGAAAAACATTTCAGAATTACAAATATTTATAGAGTGTGCTAGAGCAAAAAGCTTAATGTGTGGAGGAGAAAAGTTTCATTCTGGTAACTATTTCCTAAACCACCCATAGATTCTGTACCACACTGACATTTGCTGGATGTGTTAGTTTCTTTCTTTTCTTTCTTTTTTTTTTTTTTAATTTGAGACAGAGTCTCAATCTGTTGACTAGGCTGGAGTCCTGCCTCAGCCTCCCAAGTACCTGGGATTACAGGCACCACCATGCCCGGCTAATTTTTGTATTTTTAGTAGAGATGAAGTTTCACCACGTTGGCCAGGCTGGTCTTGAACTCCTGACCTTGTGATCCACCCACCTCAGCCTCCCAAAGTGCTGGGATTACAGGCATGAGCCACTGTGACTGGCCAGTTTATTTCTTAAATTAGCAAAGAATAATGTTATTTAGCTTGAGCACTGTGATGGTTAATTTTATGTGTCAACTCACAGTCCTCAGATATTTGGTCAAACAGAGTTTAAATGTTTCTGTGAAGGTATTTCTTAGCTCAAGTTACCATTTACATCAATAGAGCACAGTAAAGCAGATTACCCCCCCTAATGTACGTGGGCCTCATCTAATCACTTGAAGGCCTTAAAAGAAAAATACTGAGAATGATGGTTTGCTGAGAATGATGGTTTCCAGCTTCATCCATGTCCCTACAAAGGACATGAACTCATCATTTTTTATGGCTACCATCATTCTCAGCAAACTATTGCAAGGACAAAAAACCAAACACCGCATGTTCTCACTCATAGGTGGGAATTGAACAATGAGAACACATGGATACAGGAAGGGGAACATCACACACTGGGGTCTGTTGTGGGGTAGGGGGAGCGGGGAGGGATAGCATTAGGAGATATACCTAATGTAAACGACGAGTTAATGGGTGCAGCACACCAACATGGCACATGTATACATACGTAACAAACCTGCACATTGTGCACATGTACCCTAAAACTTAACGTATAAAGAAAAAAAAGAAAAAGAAAAATACTGGAGTCCCCTAATGAAATGGGGATTCTGCCTTCAGACTGCATTCAGAATGGAGCTGCAGCATTAACACTTCCCTAGGTCTTGCCAGCCTGCAGCCTGTCCTGCAGATTTTGGTCTCGCCAGCCCCGGCAATTTTATGAACCATTCCTTCATTTCTTAAAATCTCTCTCTCTGTTTCTGTGTAAATAGCATGTAAATAACATATACATACTATATACATGTGTAAATAACACATATACATGTACAAAGGTATTACTTGGTTTTGGATTTAAAATTATTATAAAATCCACCAATTGTTTATATTTTAAAGGGAATTGTGTTTTGCTGTGGAAGAAAAATTGACTCATAACTATATAAAGTCTACTCCAAATTAATTTGTGTTCAAAGAGGCTATTTTTCATAGTCCATTTTGTTTTTATAATAATAATTTTTCTAGAGGAACACGAGAGTAGGGGTGCATCTCAGTGTGCTGGAGGACTAGGACATTGAAGTGTAGATGGCAACCACTGGAGGAGAGCATACGAGTTGCTTTCACAAAATATGCCTCACAATCGTTGCAGCTCAGGGGAAAGATCACTGTGGTCGAGAGTGGTGTGTTATGAGTCTACTTTTTTTCTTTTAACCAAAGCTAAAAGGTTGACAAGTGCCCCTTTGTTGATTGTTTTGGATACATTATTCCTCCAAAGTAAAGATACTTGTTTTATTGATCAAAATGAATGACAGCCTTATTCCTAGCAGTTAATAAGCTGAACATGCTGAACAATTACACATACCAATTTAAAAGAACAGGCTGTAGAATATTTGCATCTTGTAAAAAATGATTTAATAATAAATAAGAAAAGAAATAAACTAAAGAATCTCAGGAAATTTTGATTTGTGATTCTACAAATAAGAATTTCTTAAAATTTAGAAGTTAAAGTTTTATTTTTTACTAAAACTAAAAATAATTTTGACAGATTTTTTAAAAACCTGAAGGACAGCTGATTTAAAAAAAAAAGTAAGAAAAAGTGTCTTAAAAAAGGGCAACATTTTGCTTTGGATAATTTCTATTTTTTTTATAAAAGTGGAGTAGAAATAGGCTCACAGAATTTGAGAACTTATAAGAACCTCAGACTATTTATTCCCAAACTTTATACAGATGAAGAGTAAACTCCTTGAGCTAAGTAACTTCCCAGTTCATCAACTGACTTCTGACAAATGCAGAATTAAGACTCAGACCTTCCAGAGTCCAATCCACATTACTGTCACCTCCCCAGTCAACTGGGATCTCATGCTTGTGTTGTTTCTCTCTAGTTCTTCTCTTGGATTCTTCTTTGTGTGGTCTTGAGTATCATCCTACTGTTATCATGCTGGAGACAGAGAGGAATGAAGCTCACTTATGAACCCGAAGTCTTATTGTTTGGGAAAGAAATTTAGAAAAAGCCTTAAAATATCTCTACCATTTAACTGCACTGCATATACACGTGGATTAAGCCAAACCCATGGAGAAGCATATTGAAACAGAATAGTATCAGGAATAAATACATAGCTAATATTTTGGAAGACCTAGCATAAAGAAGTTAGAAATTTTCCAGATTGTTATTGAATAACCTGGTTCATGCTATATGTTATTTTCCTCCTTAGCAGATATGTGTGTGGGGGTGTGTGTGTGTACAAGATGCAAGAAAACGGCAAACTTCGTACTATTGTAGAAATAACTGAGATTATATGATAGGCACTTCTGGATTTTCCAACTTCCACTAACATTAAAAAAATGACTTCATCCCTTACCATTTAGGTTAAACATTCATTACTGAGAAGTCAAAACGATTTTTGTTTATTTCTAGTGGGAATAAAAAAGCCACACACACAACAGACAAAAATCCTGGCAGTCATGGTGCTTGCATTATTTCCGGGTTGGCAAAATTGATTTTCTGGGAAATATGTCTATACTGCATAACGAATTAATGCAAAAAACCTTAGTTTCATAATGGTCATTTTCTCTAACTGGCAGGTCCCCTAGCAGACCTAGTGAGCAAATATTCAGGGGGTAAGAAATAAAACAAACTCCATCCTGTCCATATAAACATGCACATTGATTTCTAAACATGTAACAGAAGAGGCTGAATTTCAGAAATGTCACACCAAAACAGAAATTTAAGCATTAACAATTGATAAATGGTATTGAAAAAATGCTTGCTCTTCCTATACAGTACTTACAAAATAGAGTCTGTGCATGTGGTCCCTCATCCAGAAATACCAGAAAGTAAAAGGTCTGATATTTCCAGATGTTGTGTGAGGTTAAATCTTGTCTCAGTAAAAGAGATAATGAACACGGGCATTGCCTGCAACAATCTCAACTGGACACAGAAATGGAAAAGTGAATGACTGCACTCTTTCCAACTGACTCTGTCATTTGGCTGAATATTTGGGGATATTTTTAAGGTCTTTTTCCAGGAGACTGCCTCTACAATAAAAAAAAAGATTCAAAACATTGAATGAAATGAAAATTGAAGATAAATCTAGTCGGCTTAGAAATGTGCTACAATAAAGGACAAAAATGAAAGAGACCATTTCTCTGATGTTTATTATCTGGCCTCATTTGGGGGCTTTAATCTCTGATATTTATACTCATACATCTTCTTTCCTCCCTTTTCTGCTTACTCATCTTAAACGATTGTAATCTCTCAATAAGAACTAAAAAGTCAGAGAGGAGCAGAGGGGCGATGTCGCCCACTTTAAACCAGGACCACCCAAGCTCCTTAAGAAAGATAAGAATCCAGCCTCATCATCACGATGTTCACAGAAAGCCACATAAATTTTCTTTGCAACCTATAAGAACTCACTAAAGTGGGAAAGTAAACTTTGTAGTTAGCCTAAATTTCCAATTCTATTTATGGAGGCAGAAAACAGCTAGTTCTCATGCTTCACATAAAAACTAAATCACTCTTCTAGCTTCTAGCTAAATAGTCTTGCTTTCTTCAAACTTTATTATGGAATATTTTAGAAATGCCAAAATGTAAAATAGTACTGTAATAAACACCCCTAACACTTGGTATAAAAATATTAATCATTATAAACATAATAAAATATTTCTGTGTTTTTCTCTCTCTGGATATTCTACTCCTCTTTTCCTCCCCAACATAAACACCATTCTGATTTCATGTTTATTGTTTACATGCATGTTTTATTCTTATATTGGTATGTACCCAATAATAAGATTTAATATGCTGTCAATTTTTTTCTCTCAATATAATGTTTTGGAGATATTTGTCATTGAGCCAAATTGCTCTCCAAAGTGGTAGAACCAATTCATACAATCATATCCTTCTTTACGTATTTTTTAAAAAAATTTCCATGTGTCTAATACCATTTGTATTAAACAGGAAAGGATAGGGAATAAGAACTGATAAACAATAAATCCTTTTTCCCTTTTATCTTTTCTTTCTTGATTTAACTAATTTTGGAATGGTGATGGTAGAAAGGTGACTAGGGAATGGTAGCCATTCTTAGTGAATACTCAGTTTCCTGTTGACTTGGTGCTTATATTAGTTATAATTTTGTCTCAGTATCAAAATAAAACAAAACAAAATCAAACAATGACCAAGAATCTTATAATTGAAAGTTATAATGAGATTTCATTTGCTTTATTATTCTGTATTTAGATTATGTATCTTAGAATAACAGAATAATGGTATTTGAGTCTATTGTACCTGGCTACTTGAATCTCCACATATTAGCGATGTGAAGCTGAAGGATGGCACTTCAGTGTTCCATCTGGGAGAAGCACTTGAACCACTCAAGAAGACACAGGATAAATTTGTATTCCTGATTATTTCAGCATTAAGCAATCAGTGCTATCTATAATTTCCAATTTACATCTTACCTAATTCCCTTATTCCATGGTCCTTAAACTGGTTCATTCTTTCTTGATAGGTTACTATCTGAACCAGCCTAAATTCAAAAGATAGTCAAATATATTTTCTAAATTTTGAACACACTGTTTATGACGTGTTGATTGAATAGTTCTTAAGATCTGTCTTTATATTTTCATGTTGCTCACATGCAAGAAAATCACTACCATCTCATATCTTTTAAACAGGATTTTTGACCTGATATTTAGTATGATCAGTTGGAATTTTCATAAGAAAGTATTACTCTATCCTTGGAAACTTTTATTCCTAGTATAGAAACAGAGTAAAATTAAAGTAGCTTTGGGTAAACTTGCACATTTGGAAGCATTTAGCTATTTTTAAAAATCTCAAACATGGAAGCTGATGTATCTCTAATTTTTTGCTTTTTTGGCTCTATGATAAATGGCCCCACTCCATCACTAGCCATGAAAAGCATTATATTCTAATGTTTGTCTTGTACTTGGGTTGCTTCTGAGCTACTCATCAAAACCTTGACGTTGTGGTTTTAATATAATTTTCATAGAACCATTAAGAACAGATGTATGAACCAATCAAAAGGCAGAAAATATGTAAATATGGTAATTAAATCCGCATAAATAAAAGAGTAGTGTGTATTTTTTTCTGATTACCACAAAGAAACATAAAATTATTATTTACTCATTGGTATAGAAATATGTTCTGAAATAAAACAAAAGGAACATGCCTATATTTTTTACAGTTTTACATAATTCAGTGGCATTAATTTCCATCAATGGAAATTATTATAGTTTAACTATATGGTAACTTTTTTGTAAAATGGAATCAGTATCAATTTATTTTACATCTAATTCAATACAAAAATGGTTCCAATGTCATGAATTACATTTCAAATGTTAAAACATATATATCTATATGTATATATACACACACATATATACACACATACATATATATGCCTGAATATAATTTGTCTGGATAATACGATAAATTCTTTGGGTACATTTGCATCAAATATGCAGTTAGAAAACATTTTTGGATGCTCTATAAGGAGGCATTAATTTTGATATTTTTTGCTTCTACTCCACATCACAATTTCAAAGAATCTTAGAAGAGTCTAAGATTTAGTTTGACCACCTATTTTAGAGATTTGACAGTAAGACAGTTGCACAATTAGTTGAGAACAGAAAAATAAAATTTTAGTTTACAGATGTCTGGTTCTTTGGTACCTCCTACATGGTACCTGTGAAGGGGAACCAAATAAAATTCTAATGATTGAGTTTTACTCTTTGATCACAATTCTAATAAGATCTTCGGTCCCAGATCTAATCGCTTCTTATTGATTATTGTTTGACAGTTGTGAGTTTTCCAATTTTTTTTCTTTTCTTTTTTTTTTAAGACGGAGTCTCACTTTGTCTCCCAGGCTGGAGTGCAGTGGCTTAATCTTGGCTCGTTGCAACTTCCACCTCCCAAGTTCAGGTGATTCTTGTGCCTCAGTCTCTCAAGTAACTAGGACTACAGGCATGCACCATCAAGCCTGGCTAATTTTTGTATTTTTAGTAGAGACAGGGTTTCACCATATTGGCCAGGCTGGTCTTGAAATCCTGACCTCAAGTGATCCACCCACCTCAGCCTCCCTTCCAAAGTGCTGAGATTACAGGCATGAGCCACTGCACCTGGCCCATTTTTCTTCTGTTACATGAAATAAGTCGTTTTATAGCCTTCTAGCTTGTATTCAGTTCAGTAATCATTCTTATTTTAGCTCCCCTGTCTATAATGTCTTTTTTCTCTTTATGTTATTAAGATATCTTATATTATTAGTTTTCAAAAAAAATATTAAAATATTCCCTGATGTATTACATCCAGAGAATTTTTCAGTTCAAATTTTTTATTTTTTTTTACTTAAATTATTTTAAGTTCAGGAGTACATGTGTAGATTTGTTATAAAGGTAAACTTGTGTCATGGGGGTTTGTCATACAGATTATTTAGTAATCCAGGTATTAAGCCTAGTACTTATTAGTTATTTTTCCTTATCGTCTCCTTCCTTCTACCCTCTACCCTCCTGTAGGCCCCGTGTTTGTTGTTCCCCACTATGTGTCCATCTGTTTTCATTATTCAGCTCCTACTTGTAAGTGAGAATATGCATTGTTGGTTTTCTACTCCTGAGTTAGCTTGCTATGGATAGTGGCCTCCAGCTTTCTCCATGTTTCTGCAAAGGACATGATCTCATTCTTTTTTATGGCCACATAGTATTCTATGGTATATATGTACCATATTTTCTCTATCCAATCTACCATTAATGGGCATTTAAACAGGATTTGCTATTGTAATAGAGAGTCCTTTCCCCATTGTTTGTTTTTGTCAGCTTTGTCAAAGGTCAGATGGTTTTAGGCATATGGCATTATTTCTGGGCCCTCTATTCAGTTCCATTGCTTTACCTGTTTTTGTACCAGTACTATGCTGTTTTGGTTACTGTAGCCCTGTAGCATAGTTTGAAGTCTGGTAACGTGAAGCCCCCAGCTTTTTTTTTTTTTTATTGCCTTAGCTATTTGGGCTTTTTTTCAGTTCCATATGACTTTTAAAATAGTTTTCATTAGTTCTGTGAAGAATGTCCTTGGTAGTTTGATGGGAATAGCATTGAATCTATAAATTGCTTTGGGTAGCATGACCATTTTAATGATATTGATTCTTTCTATACATAAGCATGGAATGTTTTTCCATTTGTTTGTGTCATCTCTGATTTCTTTGAGCAGTGTTTTCTAGTTCTCATTGTAGAGCTCTTTCACCTCCCTGGTTAGCTGTAGTCATAGGTATTTTTTTATTTTCATGGCAACTGTGAATGGGATTGCATTCCAGATTTGGCCCTCTGCATAATGGTGGTTGGTGTATAGGCATACTAGTGATTTTTACATGTTAATTTTGTATCGTGAGACTTCGCTGAAATTGTTTATGATCTTAAGGAGCTTTTGGGCCAAGGCTATGGGGTTTTCTAGATATAGAATTATGTCATCTGTGAACAGGAATATTTTGACTTCTTGTCTTCCTATTTGGATGCCCTTTGTTTCTTTCTCTTGCCTGATTGCTCTGGCCAGGACTTCCAATACTATGTTGAATAGGAATAGTGACAGAAAGCATCCTTCTCTAGTGCTGGTTTTCAAGGGGAATGCTCCCAGCTATTGGCCATTCAGTATGATGTTGGCTGTGGGTTTGTCATAGATGGCTCTTATTATTAAGAGCTTTAAACATGAAGGAGTGTTGAATTTTATCAAAAGCCTTTTCTGCATCTATTGAGATGATCACATGGTTTTTGTCTTTAGTTCTGTTTATGTGATGAATCACACTTATTGATTCACATAAGTTGACTAAACCTTATCCCAGAGATAAAGCCTACTTGATTTTAGTTGATATTGTTTTTGATGCGCAGCCAGATTTAGTTTGTAAGTATTTTCTTGAAGATTTTTGCATTAATATTCATCAGGGATATTGGCCTGAAGTTTTCTCTTTTTGTTGTGTCTCTGCAAGGTTTTGGTATCAGGATGATCGTAGCCTCATAGAATGAGTTACGGAGGAGTCCCCCCTCCTCAATTTTTGGAATAGTTTCAGCAGGAATGGTGCCAGCTTTTCTTTGTACATCTGCTAGAATTCAGCTGTGAATCTGTCTGGTCCTGAGATTTTTGGATTGATATGCTACTTACTACTGATTAAATTTCAAAGCTCATTATTTGTCTGTTCAGGGATTCAGTTTCTTCTTGGTTCACACTTGGAAGGGTATATATATCCAGGAATTTATTAATTTCTTCTGGATTTTCTAGTTTGTGTGCATAGAGGTGTTCATAATATTCTCTGATGGTTATTTGTATTTCTGTCGGGTCAGTGGTAATATTCCCTTTGTTGTTTCTGATTGTATTTGTTTGGATCTTCTCTTGTTTCTTTTTTATTAGTCTAGCTAGTGATCTATTTTATTAATATTTTTTAAAAACCACCTACTGGATTTGTTGATCTTTTGAATGGTTTTTCATGTCTCCATCTCTGATTTTGGTTATTTCTTGTCTTCTGCTATATTTGGGATTGGCTTGCTCTTGGTTTTCTAGTTTTTTTCATTGTGATATTAGGTTGTTAAGTTGAGATCTTTCTAACTTTTTGATGTAAGCTTTTAGTGCTATAAATTTCCCTCTTAACACTTCCTTAACTGTGTCCAGAGATTTTGATGTGTTGTATATTTGTTCTCATTAGTTCCAAGGAACTTTTTGATTTCTGCCTTAATTGAATTATTTACCCAGAAGTCATTCAGGAGCAGGTTATTCAATTTCAATGTAATTATATGCTTTTGAGTAAATTTCTTAGTCATGATTTCTAATTTGATTGCACTGTGGTCCAAGAGAGTAGTTGTTATGATTTCAGTTCTTTTGCATTTGCTGAGGAGTGATTTATGTCTCATTATGTGGTTAATTTTGGAGTATGTGCCATGTGGTGATAAGAAGAATGCATATTCTTTTGTTTTTGAGTGGAGAGTTTTGTGGATGTCTCTCAGGCCCATTTGATCCAGTGCTGAGTTGTTAATTTTCTGTCTCGATGTATCTGTTGAATACTGTCAATGTGGTGTTGATGCCTTCCACTAATATTGTGTGGTTATCTAAGTCTCTTTGTAGGTATCTAAGAACTTGCTTTATGAATCTGGGTGCTCCTCGGTTAGGGGAATATATATTTAGGATAGTTAGGTCTTCTTGTTTAATTGAACCCTTTACCATTATGTAATGTCTTTGTCTTTTTTTTAATCTTTGTTTAAAGTCTGTTTTGTCCGAAATTAGAATTCCAACCTCTGCTTTTTACTGTTTATCATTTACTTGGTAGACTTTTTCCATCCCTTTATTTTGAGTCTATGGGTGTCACTGCATGTGAGATGGGTCTCTTAAAGACAGCATACCATTGAGTCTTGCGTTTTTATCCAGCTTGCCACTCTGTGCCTTTTAATTGGGGCATTTAGCCTATTTACATTCACAGTTGGTATGGATATGTGTGGATTTGATCCTGTCATCGTGATATTTGCTGGTTATTATGCAGACTTGTTTGTATGGTTGCTTTACAGTGTCATTGGTCTGTGTACTTAAGTGTGTTTTTGTAGTGGCTGATTAGTCTTTCAAATTTAATGCTTCCTTTGGAAGCTCTTGTAAGGCAAGTCTGGTATTAACGAATTCCCTCAGTATTTGCTTGTCTGAAAAGGGATCTTATTTCTCCTTTGCTTATGAAGCTTAGTTTGGCTGGATAGGAAATTCTTGGTTGGAATTTCTTTTTTTTTTTTAATGTTGAATATTGGCCTCCAATCTCTTCTGTCTTGTTGGGTCTCTGCTAAAAAATCCACTATTGGTCTGATGGACTTCCCTTTGTAGGTGACCTGACCTGACCTTTCTCTCACCCTGCCTTTAACATTTTTTCTTTCATTTTGACCTTGGAGAATCTGATAATTATGAAGATTTTCTTGTGAAGTAACTTACTGGGGTTCTCCGCATTTCCTGAATTTGAATGTTGGCCTCTTTAGCTAGATTGGGGAAGTTCTCATGACTGAAATCTTGAAATGTGTTTTCCAATTTGATTCTCTTCTCCCCATCTCTTTCAGGGACACCAGTGAGTCATAGATTTGGCCTCTACATAATGCCATATTTCTTGGAGGTTTTGTTTATGTGTCTTTATTCTTTTTTCTGTATTCTTGCCTGATTGTCTTATTTTTAGAAAGCCAGTCTTCAAGCTCTGAGATTCTTCGTCAGCTTGGTCTATTCTGCTATTAATACTTGTGATTGCATTATGAAATTCTTGCAGTGCATTTTTCCACTCTATCAGGTTGTTTAAGTTCTTTTTAATATTGGCTATTTTGTTTGTCAGCTTCTGTATTGTTTCATTGTGATTTTAGCTTCCTTGGATTTGGTTTCAATGTACTCCTGCATCTTAATGATCTTTGTTCCTATCCATATTCTTAATTCTATTTCTGTCATCTTGGCCATCTCAGCACAGTTCAGAACCCTTGCTGGAGAGGTAGTGTGGTTGTTTGGAGGAAAGAAGGCACTCTGGCTCTTTGTTATTAGGCTTCTTGTGCGGGTTCTTTCTCATGTTTCTGGACTGGTGTTCCTTCAATCTTTGAAGTTGCTGTCCTTTAGATTTTTTTCTTTTATCCTATTTGATGGCATTGAGGGTTTGCTTGTGGTATAAGGTGGGTCCAGTCTACTGGATTCATTTTTGGAAGATTTTAGGGGACCAACAGTCATCTCCCAACTCCTAGACTGTGTGCTCTACCTCTGGAGGATTTATAACAGGCCCTAACTTTGTTCTCTGGTTCCTTGAGGTTAGGAATCCACTGCATGGGGCAGGGGTGCCTAAGTGCTTGTTGGCCACTGTTGATTGCATTCTGATACATGCTGCCAGACAAAGCATTTCATAGGGTGATGGCAGTGCGATCCATTCTCATTCATATGTGCCAGCAGCAGTGGCAGTGTGGTGGGGTGCACACCCGTCGGCTGTCGCAGGATGCTAGTGGATGTTGGGGTGCCTGCCTTCATGCAGGTGTTCACAGCAGTGGCAAAGGTGGTATGATTGGTGTGGGCAGGGGGCATCCTGTTGGTGACTGTATGCATGGTTGCATTGTTGGTGGTGTTAGCACAGAGGAGGGGCACTGGCGGGCACAGGTCTTTGTGTACCCTCTGTGGCCGCTCAGGGCAGGGGAGGGTCTATTGTTCTGTGTGCCTAGTTTCACTCCCAGTGTTGGTGCAGGGGTGGGGCTAGTGGGCTCTGTGCTTGCCAAGGCTCCAACTTCAATGGCAGTATGGTGGGTGAGGGAAGGCAGAGTGCACTCCTGCTGGCAGGGTCCACACATCCATGTGCCCTGGTAGGGCAGGGAAGGCAAAGTGTCCCCCCACCACACATGGTGACAAAGCAATATGGGGGTGGCCATGGACCCTGGGGAAGCTGCAGTGGGAAGGGGGAGTGGGCAGACTGGTGTATGGCAGTGAGGACTGCCCTACTGAAGCTGTCCACTGTTCAGGAATGATCTACCAGTGCAGAAGCTATGATGCAGGCCCCCAGGGCACCAGAGGCTGCAATGCAAACAGGTGCAGCCAGGCTGGGAACCCAGAAGAAACCAGTGGAACAAGGGGTGCTCAGGTCACACCACCCCATCTGAAGGGCAAGACAACACTGCAGAATTTTGTTCCAACAGTTCCCCTAGGGCTAAAGTCTCCTATGGGAGCAAGTTGATCCTGGAGGGATGGGCACCCCTGGCCCTACTCTACTACAAATGCTCCTACAGCAAGCCCTGTAGGCTCTGCATCAGCTGGCCTGCTGCCCCTACCACTTCTCTAAGCAGCTCTCCCTGCCAACTCAAGTGTCCCTAGTGGTTGAGGGGTTTCCTCTTGCTGGGATTCCAGAGGCTCATGGCTAGAGCGAGTTGTTTGCTGCCAGTTCAACTCGCCCATTCCCCTGGAGTAATTGGGGGCCAAGAATGAGTCCTGGTGTGCAGAAGCCCCACACATGGTTCCCAGCTTCTTCCCCTTCAGCCCAGTTTCTGTGTTTTTTTCTGCATTCACTGTCAGTGCCTTCCCTCTGAAGATCTTTTAGGAGTGTGCCAGTCATCCCAGTCCCTCAGTGGCAGCAGTTCTACCTGGCTGCATCTAGTGGGCCATCTTGCCCGAATCCAGACATTTTTTACTTTAGAAATTTCATGATTCTACTTTTATACCTTTCATTTCTTTTAAAGCCAAATAACATTTTTCCATATTATTTTTTCCCAGTTGGCAAAAATGCCTGTCATTTGATAAAAGAATCTTTAAAAATATGCTTATGGTTGCTTTATATTTTGTTTTGTTGTTTATGTATTTGTTTTGCAAATTGGGATTTCTACCTATTAGAGACAGAAAATCTGCCTGTGGTTCCTGGCTCCTACTCTTATTATTCATTTGAATGGACAATTTAATGTAAGTTCTTGGTATGCAAAATAAGTCCACAAAAATCCCACCCTGGTGTACTGATTCACTAAAATAATGCGCATGAAAATGTTTTGTGCAATAACTAGATAAATGCAGACTATTTATTTTTCATTAGCCATTTAATAAAATATTTATAAGAAATAGCTTTCTGTAGAACTTTTTTTACTTGTAGTATTCAGAGCCTGGTTGCTAGCTATCTAACCATTAAGGGGCTGTCTAAATATTAATATTCACATTTCATGCATTGTCATGGGGAAAATGCACATAAAAGAAACTAAGTATTTCCCGAATACAACATTCTTTCCATTGGCACACTTTAAATCTGTATGTAACTATCTTGAGTCTTTTTGCAGCTTCAAAAACTTGAAGCATTTTCTCTGGGTCCAAAGAATACCAAATCTTTCCTGGGGAGTGCTACAAGAGGAAGATTTCTTGCCACTTGAGAAGGTTCTTCAACACATGCAGCTATTTCTCCAACTGGAAGAACTTCCAGATGCTCTTTCAATATTACAGACTAACTGGTGAAACTCTGCAGTCTAGGAAGAGGAGTGACATTGATGGTTTTTTGTTTGTTCCATGGTTCTTAGATATAAGGTATGTGTCTTCAATTTCAAGTAAGAGAAAATGCATATTCAACTTGCTTACACAGCATAAGGATATATATTATCTCATATCCAGGACCCAGATTTTTTCCATTGATATTTTCTACCATTGTCAGCGAGCTCATTTGTCCCATGGGTGGTGTTATAAGCTGAATTGCCTCTCCCCAAAATTCATATGTTGAAGCCCTATCCTCCAGTACCTCAGACTATAACTATTCAGAGATAGAGCCTTTAAAGAGATGATGAAGTTGAAAGGAGGTCATTAGAATGGGTTTTACTTCAATCTTACTGGTATCCTTATAAAAAGAGGAAATTTGGACACCCAAGAAGAGACAACAGGTGCACACGTGCACCAGGAAAAGACCATGTGAGAACACAATGAGAAGAGTCAAGGCAAGAGCCCTCAGGAGAAAGCAACCCTGCCAACACTTTGATCTTAGACTTCCAGCCTTCAGAACTGTGAGCAAATAAATTTCTGTTATTTAAGCCACACAGTCCATGGTACGTTGTTATGGCAGCCCTAATAAACTGATACAGATAGCTCTCCCCAGGGTTGCAAGACAGCTATCGCAGCTCACGTTACATCCACATGGAAGCACAAAGATGCCGTTACTTCTAGCACCTTTGTCTTAAAAAGAAGGAAACCTTTCCAAAAAGCAAAAAAAACCTGCTCTCATATTCCCATGCTGGGCATGGGACCCAACTCTGGGTCAGTGGGGCAGGGTTGGCAGATGAGGATGAGATTACCTATCATAACTGGTTTGTCCCAACTAATATTTGCCCCTGAGGCAAGGATAGGGTCACCTCTCCCCAAGTAACATGAGGCATAGGTGGATACCTGTAGAAAATTGAGATTCTTTAGTAAGTTAGAAAAAGGAATGTTGATTTAGAGTAAGCAGTATCTGTTGCTGACATACTACTATATTCCAAACCAAAGTCACCACAATTTGCAATGCAGTATAGTGATTGTAACCGTTTTTACTACCCCTTATGATGGCTTTTTAAAATCTTGAGGTCTCAGTGCTCATTTTATCATTATAAGAGAAGGTGTTACTCCTAATTTAGACTCCATTAGAGGAATATTATTTGTCAGTGTTCTACTTAACCTTAAAGGACCAGGGACAAAGATGATGGGTGTACTTTTACATTCTAGCAAAAGAATGGAATACAGCTTTCTGAAACAAAGCGAGGCAGTGGGTAAATAACATTTGAGAGGGAATGTCTAAGATCTTCAAGTTATTTTAAACAAACTGTTTTGTGTGCCTTCAAGTAATTTAAAAGCATATATTTACTGACACATAATCTATTTGCTAATTCCAATCTCTTTTATTCATCCTAGCACATGCAGTATCTACAAGGACCTCTTAGTCCATAGATTTATCTAGTTCTCAGTTATTGTACTAGGTTGAAAGCATTAATTTTTATTCTTTTCAAACGAATTTTATTTTGGTCAAGCTATTTAGATTTTACTTGTTAATTTCCTTTGCCCATTTTTTCTCCATTTTTTTCCCTTAAAAAACAATTCTCACCGCAACATCCCAAAGAGAAGATTCAATTTTAACACTTTAAAATGTGATCTCAGAGGCCGAGATAAATGCTATACTAAACCCAGAATTATGTGGTTGGTTCTTTCTGGATGGGAGTAGTTGGTGTTAACTTACCAACTACTATTTGCTAAAGTAGTTTTAGTCTAAGATACCACATTTTCTTTACAAAGTATATATATAACCAGTTCCTCATTGCATTCCCAAGGGAAGAGAAGAGAAATACAACTGAATTATGCAAGACTTTCTAAATCAAACAGAACAAGTATTCATATCAACAAAGAAAATTATTAAGGATGAATTTATTTTTATTTTCATTTTTATTTTTATTGAGATGAAGTTTTGCTCTGTTGCCCGGGCTGGAGTGTAGTGGTACAATCTTGGCTCACTGTAACCTCTGCCTCCTGGTTCAAGTGATTATCCTGCTTCAGCCTCCCAAGTAGCTGGAACTACAGGCACATGCCACCACCCCCGGGTAATTTTTTGAATTTTTACTAGAGACGGGGTTTCGCTATGTTGGCCAGGCTGGTCTCGAACTCCTGACCTCAAGTGATCCACCTGCCTCGACTTCCCAAAGTGCTGGGACTACAGGCTTGAGCCACCACGCCTGGCCAAGGTTGAATTTATATGTGAAAGAAAGAAGCATTTCTCCTTGGGCAACTAAAAGGTGTTTAATCTCGCATAATTTTTACATAATGTATATCATGCCGATTTGTAACTGAAAACAAAACTACACCATTTCCCCTCAATCCCTTGAAGGAGCTCTGAAGTGGAAACATGATCCAAACTCTTAAATCCTTTTCTGAAATTGTACCCTGAAATAGCTTTTCATTTTTACTCTATGTCTTATATTTTTATATTAGTAAAAGTTTCCCTCATTATACCCACAACAAGTTTAATGGAAAGTTTTGAAGAAATCTGAAGTAAATTTGTCTTATAACATTCTTTTCAAGCAAATAAGTAAAAGAAATTTTTCTTTTCTGGTTTAGGTTTATTAAGGCCTGCTGCAAAGTTCAATTTAGCACAAAATAAACACATGTCCTTCAATACTGCTGCTGCTCTTTACATATCATTTTACTTGTAATCTTTAACATACTACTTATAAAGGCTTACCAACTTTAAATTTTAAACAGCTCAGATAATATTTAATACATTGCAGTTTATAATTTTCAAAGCATTTGGAATTCCTTTTCTTGTTTCATCTACATTAAAAAGAAGTAGTGGAATAAACATGTATTACTAGAACAATTTTGGGGGAAAATAACAGGTCTATAAAGGTTACTATTTACCCAAAGTTTCACAGCTAATAGATAGATGACTAGACTAGGCCATGACTAGACTTCAATTTCTCCAATTTCTCATTCAAAAATCATATTTAGTTTTTAAAAAGTAAAACACAAATAAATAAGATTATAAAACTACAATTCCAAAATCAGATTCACTAATATCCTTACCCAGGAATAAGTCTTAATCATTGTGTACAGAGCTTTCCACCTAGAATGTAGAATAAATTGTATTTAGTTAGTAAATAAACCTATAATTAGCCTCTTCTTAGGAAGTTCATGGAGACATAGTTGTGCATTTTGCCTCCGAGTTTTTTTATTCCTTAATATTTCCTCTTCTCTGTCTTACTTTAGAAACTAGAAAAAGAAGAAGGCTACTGTGAGAAGAACATAGGTTTTTGAGTCAGAAGTTTGAGAACAAATGCAAAAGCAAGTTTTACCACTTATTAATGTGAAAGTTAAAAAATACATATAGATGCACCCTTTGAGCCATCTCCTATTTGTAAAATGACTGAGATAATATACTGATTAAGCACCAACTACGTGCCAGGCACTGTTCTAGGTGCCTGAGATACATTAGTGAACAAAACAGACAAATACCTTTATTCATATGAAGCTTATATTCTGGTAAGGTGGTGAGAAGAGGCAGATAATAATCTATTAATGTCTGACATATAAGTAAATTTTCTAATATGTGAGAGGGTAATAAGTGCCATGAGGGGGAAAAAAAGACAGAAGTAGTGGAACTTCACTTCTAGACATGAATGAAAAAACTGGCACCAAATTAGCCCTACCACAATAAACACCTATAAAATTAGACAAGATATGTGAGTCAACTGTTTTTGGGCAATGGAACTCGGGCAAGAGAGGACTGTGACCCCTAGAGAAAGACAACTCACAAGATTAGTTCCATCACTTCCCTGAATCTCTGTTATAAACAATTTCCCAATTGCTGCACAGAGAACAGGGGTCCCAGCATAGCTTAACAGTCTAACTGAACTAAGGAGGCAGAATTCAGAGGGTAGGGCTGCTGAAATAGCTAGAGTCTGTGAAATATGGCATCGGAAAAATAAGGAGATTGCAGAGAGTGGTCCTCAAGGTGTATGTGGAGGTCCTCTGCTGGTTTATGAATAAGGGCTGGACTTATACCTGCAACCAGGCAGGACCATCCGAGGCTTACAATTATACCAAACCCTACATGAGTTAAAAACAAATGAATTCCTTGTTAAAATAAGAATCCACATTCTTTGGAGAAAACTAACAAAATCCAGAATCTTTAAGATATATGATTGCCAATATTCAGTGTTCAGTACATAACTCCTTAGTCATACAAAGAAGCAGTGCTCTACAGTCAAGAAAAAAAAAAAAGAAAAAAATAGATAACAAACCCAAGATGGCCAAAAAAATGGACTTAATAGAAAAAGACTTTAATGCTGCTTTTATAAATATGGTCAAAAATTAAAGAAAAATCTGATCTTAATGAGTGAACACATAGGGAGTTTCCACAGAAAAATGGAAACTATAAAAAAATCATATGGAGACTCTATAAATAAAAAATCTAGTAATTGAAATACAAATAAATTTTATTAGATGGGGCCAGAAGATTGAAGATGGCAGCAAAAAAAAAAAAAAGAGTCAGGAACATTGAAAATCAATCAATAGAATTTATTCAATGTAAGTAATGAGGTTAAAAAGATTAAAGAAAAATGAACAGTATTTCAGGGGTCTGTTGAACAATATCAATGGTGTAAAATACATTTATTTGAGTCCCTGAGAAAAGGAGAGTGTGAATGAGACAGAAAAATATATATTTGAAGAAATAGTGGCTGAAAATATTCCAAATTTGATGAAATTACAACTTACTTAAGAATAAATGTAAAGAGATCTATAGTTATGCCCATAATAGTCAAACTTCTAAAAAACAAAAATGAAAAAAAAAATCTTGAAAGCAGACAGAGGAAAAAAAAAACCCCACATTACCTGTAGGGAAAAAAAGATAAATTTATTACACATTTTTAAAAAATGCAGGCCAAAAAACAATGATGTAAGATATGAAAGCTTGAAAGAAAATACTGGCAATAGAGAATTCAATATCCAGCGAGAATTTTCTTCAGAAATAAGGGTAAAATAAAGACATTTTCAGAATAAAACCCGAGTACATTTTCCACCAGCAATTGCCATGACCAGAAATTCTAAAGGGAAAACCATGAGGCCAAAGGGAAGTTATGCCCCAAGAAAATTTGGATCGGCAGGAAGGAATGAAATACACCAGAAATAGTAAATAAATGAGTAAATACAAAAGACTAGGTTTATTTTCTTTTCAAAAAGTACTTAAAATGTAATTTATGTTTAAAGCAAAAATAATATTAGAAGCAGAAATTTATATGTATATAGAAATAAAAGCTACGATAGCATTTGCACAAAGAATTAGGAGACAAGTATTGGATTTATACCGTTGCAAGGTCATTATATTTGTGAAGTGGAAAGTATATATTGGGAAGTGGAAAGTAGAAAGGTTAAAGTCAAACGTATTGTGTTATATGTTGAAGTTTTAAAAGGTACAATATTAATTCTAAATTAATTCTGGTAAGTTAAGGATGCATACAGTTAGCCATAGAGAAACCAATTAAAATACAATAAAAGAGGTATAGTTAGGAAACTACTAGAGCAAGTAAAAACTGAGTATTAAAAAATGTTGATAAACCGAAAAGAAGGTATGTTAGGAGCAAGATAGGAATTCAGCCATATCAGCAATTATGTTAAAAGTAAATAAACTAATACCCATCAACTGACAGAGATTTTCATACTGGACCAAAAAAAAAAGGTGCCAAAAATATATGCTGGGGTAAAATAAAGTCTCTTCAATAGATGCTGGGAAAACTAGATATTCACATGCAGAAGAAAGAAAGCAGACTCCTGTCTCTTGCCATATGTAAAAAATCAAATCAAACTAGATTAAGGACTTAAATCTAAGACCTCAGACTATGAAACTACTACAAGAAAACATTGGGGGAAATCTCCAGGACATTGGTCTGGCCAAAAATTTCTTGAGCAGTATCTCCCAACCATAGGCAACAAAAACACAAATAAACAAATTGGTTCACAAGGAGTTAAAAAGCTTCTGAACAGCAAAGGAAATAACCAACAAAGTGAAGAGACAACCCAGAGGATTGGAGAAAATATTTGCAAACTATCCATCTGACAAGGAATTAATAACCAGATATATAAGGAGCTCAAACAACTCTATAGGAAAAAGTCTAATAATTGAATCCATAAATGGGCAAAAGATTTGAGTAGACATTTCTCAAAAGAAGACATACAAGTGGCAAACAGGCATATGAAAAGTGCTCAACATCATTGATCATCAGAGAAATGCAAATCAAAAACTACAATGAAACATCATCTCATCTCAGTTAAAATGGCTTATACCCAAAATACAGGCAATAACAAATGCTGGTGAGAATGTGGAGAAAAGGGAAACCTTATACTCTCTTGATGGGAATGTAAATTAGTACAACCACTATGGAAAACAGTTTGGAGATTCCTCAAAAAGATAAAAATGGAGCTACTATATGATCCAGCAATCCCACTGCTGGGTATATATACCCAAAAGAATGGAAATCAGTATATCGAAGAGATATCTGCACTCCCATGTTTGTTGCAGCACTGTTTACAATAGCTAAGATTTGGAAGTAATCTAAGGGTCCATCAACAGATAATGGATAAAGAAAATGTAGATTGTAGCACTATTCACAATAGCTAAGATATGGAAGCAACGTAAATGTCCATCAACAGATGAATGGATAAAGAAAATGTGGTACATATACACAGTGGAGTCTGATTCAGCCATAAAGAAGAATGAAATCCTGTCATTTGCAACAACATGGATGGAACTGGAGATGGTTAAGTGAAATAAGCCAGGTACAGAAAGATAAACATCACATGTTCTCACTTATTTGTGGGATCTAAAAATCAAAACAATTGAACTAATGGAAATAGAGAGTAGAAGGATGGTTACCAGAGGCTGAGAAGGGTGGTGGGGAATGAAGGTGAGACGGGGATGGTTAATGGGTACAAAAAAATAGAAAGAATGAGTAAGACATACTGTTTGATGGCAGAATAGGGTGACTATAGTCAATGATAATTTAATCATACATTTAAAAATGACTAAAAGAGTGTAATTGGATTGTTTGTAACACAAAGGATAAATGCTTGAGGATTTGTGGATGGATACCTCATTGTCCACGATGTACTTATTTCACATTGCATGCCTGTATCAAAACATCTCATGTACCCCATAAATATACACACCTACTATGTACCAACAAAAATCAAAAATAAAAAATTTAAAATCAAAGAAACAAAACCCTAATGTGCCATGTAAAAGGTGTATTTTTAAAATAAAGGCAGAGGTAGGTTAGAAATAAACAGGTAGGAAAGCTACACTATACAAAGAGTAAACATAAGGAAGGTGGAGGAGCTATATTAATATCAGGTGAAGCAGACTTTAAGTATACACAATGATAAAAGCAGCCATTCACCAATAAGGCATAACAATTCTAAATATATATGCAACTAATAACAAAGAGTCAAATTCATGAGGTAAAATGGACAGAAATAAAAATATAAATAGTCAAATCCACATTTATGTAGAGAGATTTTAAAAACCTCTCAAGATAAGTAGACAAAAATTAGTAAGAAAATATAATATCTAAACTATCTTCTCAGTCAACTGTATCTAATGCACATTACAGGCCTTACATCCAAAAACTCAAAATTACACCTGAAATAATAAATCATACATTGGCCCATGAAATAAATCTCAGTACATTTTATTGAATGATTTCAGATTATGTCCACTGCCTGCAAAGAAATTGAATTAGACATCAGTAAAATATGGCAGAAAGCCTCAAATATTTGGACTTTGTATAACACACACTGGATTAAAGAAGTTGCAAGAGAAATAAAGAAGTATTTTGAGCTGAATAATAATAAAAACACAATGTGTTTAAGTTTCTGGGATGCTTATAAAGCATGGCTTAGAAGGTATTTTTCAGACATCATTGTCTATATTAAGGAAGAAAGGTCAAAATTAATGATTTAATATTTAACTTTAAGAAGCAAACAAGTAAATGGAAAGTAAATGGTAAACTGAACATAAGTAGAAGAAACAAATAATAAAGATAAAAGCAGAAATCAGTAAAATAGAAGACAGATAAACAATACATAAAATAAAGCCATAGTTAGTGTTTTGAAAAAAATGACACAATAAGAGTAACCAAGAAAATGAGAGATAAAAATCACATACCAATATCAGAAATAAAAGGACACTACTAATCTCACCAATCTTAAAATAATAAGGAAACATTGTGAACTTTATGTAAATAAATTTGACAACTTAGATAAAATGTATAAATTTTTAAAAATTTATAAATAATCGGGAGGAGCCAACATGGCCGAATAGGAACAGCTCCGGTCTACAGCTCCCAGAGTGAGTGACGCAGAAGACGGGTGATTTCTGCATTTCCATCTGAGGTACCGGGTTCATCTCACTAGGGAGTGCCAGACAGTGGGCGCAGGTCAGTGGGCGCGCGCACCGTGTGCGAGCTGAAGCAGGGCAAGGCATTGCCTCACTTGGGAAGCGCAAGGGGTCAGGGAGTTCCCTTTCCGAGTCAAAGAAAGGGGTGATGGACGCACCTGGAAAATCGGGTCACTCCCACCCGAATACTGCGCTTTTCCGACCGGCTTAAAAAACGGCACACCACGAGATTATATCCCGCACCTGGCTGGGAGGGTCCTACGCCCACGGAGTCTCACTGATTGCTACCACAGCAGTCTGAGATCAAACAGCAAGGTGGCAGCGAGGCTGGGGGAGGAGCGCCCGCCATTGCCCAGGCTTGCTTAGGTAAACAAAGCAGCTGGGAAGCTCGAACTGGGTGGAGCCCACCACAGCTCAAGGAGGCCTGCCTGCCTCTGTAGGCTCCACCTCTGGGGACAGGGCACAGACAAACAAAAAGACAGCAGTAAACTCTGCAGACTTAAATGTCCCTGTCTGACAGCTTTGAATAGAGCAGTGGTTCTCCCAGCACGCAGCTGGAGATCTGAGAATGGGCAGACTGCCTCCTCAAGTGGGTCCCTGACCCCTGACCCCCAAGCAGCCTAACTGGGAGGCACCCCCCAGCAGGGGCACACTGACACCTCACACGGCAGGGTACTCCAACAGACCTGCAGCTGAGAGTCCTGTCTGTTAGAAGGAAAACTAACAAATAGAAAGGACATCCACACCAAAAACCCATCTGTACATCACCATCATCAAAGACCAAAAGTAGATAAAACCACAAAGATGGGGAAAAAACAGAGCAGAAAAACTGGAAACTCTAAAAAGCAGAGCACCTCTCCTCCTCCAAAGGAAAGCAGTTCCTCACCAGCAATGGAACAAAGCTGGGCGGAGAATGACTTTGACGTGCTGAGAGAAGGCTTCAGACAATCAAATTACTCCAAGCTACGGGAGGACATTCAAGCCAAAGGCAAAGAAGTTGAAAACTTTGAAAAAAATTTAGAAGAATGTATAACTAGAATAACCAATACAGAGAAGTGCTTAAAGGAGCTGATGGAGCTGAAAACCAAGGCTCGAGAACTACGTGAAGAATGCAGAAGCCTCAGGAGCTGATGCGATCAACTGGAAGAAACGGTATCAGCGATGGAAGATGAAATGAATGAAGTGAAGCAAGAAGGGAAGTTTAGAGAAAAAAGAATAAAAAGAAATGAGCAAAGCCTCCAAGAAATATGGGACTATGTGAAAAGACCAAATCTACATCTGATTGGTGTACCTGAAAGTGACGGGCAGAATGGAACCAAGCTGGAAAACACTCTGCAGGATATTATCCAGGAGAACTTCCCCAATCTAGCAAGGCAGGCCAACATTCAGATTCAGGAAATACAGAGAACGCCACAAAGATACTCCTCAAGAAGAGCAACTCCAAGACACATAATTGTCAGATTTACCAAAGTTGAAATGAAGGAAAAAATGTTAAGGGCAGCCAGAGAGAAAGGTCGGGTTACCCACAAAGCGAAGCCCATCAGACTAACAGTGGATCTCTCGGCAGAAACTCTACAAGCCAGAAGAGAGTGGGGGCCAATATTCAACATTCTTAAAGACAAGAATTTTCAACCCAGAATTTCATATCCAGCCAAACTAAGCTTCATAAGTGAAGGAGAAATAAAATACTTTACAGACAAGCAAATGCTGAGAGATTTTGTCACCACCAGGCCTGCCCTACAAGAGCTCCTGAAGGAAGTGCTAAACATGGAAAGGAACAACCGGTACCAGCCGCTGCAAAATCATGCCAAAACGTAAAGACCATCGAGACTAGGAAGAAACTGCATCAACTAAAGAGCAAAATAACCAGCTAACATCATAATGACAGGATCAGATTCACACATAACAATATTAACTTTAAATGTAAATGGACTAAATGCTCCAATTAAAAGACACAGACTGGCAAATTGGATAAAGAGTCAAGACCCATCAGTGTGCTGTATTCAGGAAACCCATCTCATGTGCAGAGACACACATAGGCTCAAAATAAAAGGATGGAGGAAGATCTACCAAGCAAATGGAATACAAAAAAAGACAGGGGTTGCAATCCTAGTCTCTGATAAAACAGACTTGAAACCAACAAAGATCAAAAGAGACAAAAAAGGCCATTACATAATGGTAAAGGGATCAATTCAACAAGAAGAGCTAACTATCCTAAATATATATGCACCCAATACAGGAGCACCCAGACTCATAAAGCAAGTCCTGAGTGACCTACAAAGAGACTTAGACTCCCACACATTAATAATGGGAGACTTTAACACCCCACTGTCAACATTAGACAGATCAACGAGACAGAAAGTCAACAAGGATACCCAGGAATTGAACTCAGCTGTGCACCAAGTGGACCTAATAGACATCTACAGAACTCTCCACCCCAAATCAACAGAATATACATTTTTTTCAGCACCACACCACACCTATTCCAAAATTGACCACATACTTGGAAGTAAAGCTCTCCTCAGCAAATGTAAAAGAACAGAAATTATAACAAATTATCTCTCAGACCACAGTGCAATCAAACTAGAACTTAGGATTAAGAATCTCACTCAAAACCACTCAACTACATGGAAACTGAACAACCTGCTCCTGAATGACTACTGGGTACATAAAGAAATGAAGGCAGAAATAAAGATGTTCTTTGAAACCAACGAGAACAAAGACACAACATACCAGAATCTCTGGGACGCATTCAAAGCAGTGTGTAGAGGGAAATTTATAGCACTAAATGCCCACAAGAGAAAGCAGGAAAGATCCAAAATTGACACCCTAACATCACAATTAAAAGAACTAGAAAAGCAAGAGCAAACACATTCAAAAGCTAGCAGAAGGCAAGAAATAACTAAAATCAGAGCAGAACTGAAGGAAATAGAGACACAAAAAAATCCTTCAAAAAATTAATGAATCCAGGAGCTGGTTTTTTGAAAGGATCAACAAAATTGATAGACCACTAGCAAGACTAATAAAGAAAAAAAGAGAGAAGAATCAAATAGATGCAACAAAAAATGATAAAGGGGATATCACCACCGATCCCACAGAAATACAAACTACCATCGGAGAATACTATAAACACCTCTACGCAAATAAACTAGAAAATCTAGAAGAAATGCACAAATTCCTCGACACATACACTCTCCCAAGACTAAACCAGGAAGAAGTTGAATCTCTGAATAGACCAATAACAGAATCTGAAATTGTGGCAATAATCAATAGCTTACCAACCAAAAAGAGTCCAGGACCAGATGGATTCACAGCCGAATTCTACCAGAGGTACAAGGAGGAACTGGTACCATTCCTTCTGAAACTATTCCAATCAATAGAAAAAGAGGGAATCCTCCCTAACTCATTTTATGAGGCCAGCATCATCCTGATACCAAAGCCGGGCAGAGACACAACCAAAAAAGAGAATTTTAGACCAATATCCTTGATGAACATTGATGCAAAAATCCTCAATAAAATACTGGCAAACCGAATCCAGCAGCACATCAAAAAGCTTATCCACCATGATCAAGTGGGCTTCATCCCTGGGATGCAAGGCTGGTTCAACATATGCAAATCAATGAATGTAATCCAGCATATAAACCGAACCAAAGACAAAAACCACATGATTATCTCAATAGATGCAGAAAAGGCCTTTGACAAAATTCAACAATGCTTCATGCTAAAAACTCTCAATACATTAGGTATTGATGGGACGTATTTCAAAATAATAAGAGCTATCTATGACAGACCCACAGCCAATATCATACTGAATGGGCAAAAACTGGAAGCATTCCCTTTGAAAACTGGCATAAGACAGGGATGCCCTCTCTCACCACTCCTATTCAACATAGTGTTGGAAGTTCTGGCCAGGGCAATTAGGCAGGAGAAGGAAATAAAGGGCATTCAATTAGGAAAAGGGGAAGTCAAATTGTCCCTCTTTGCAGATGACATGATTGTATATCTAGAAAACCCCACTGTCTCAGCCAAAATCTCCTTAAGCTGATAAGCAACTTCAGCAAAGTCTCAGGATACAAAATCAATGTACAAAAATCACAAGCATTCTTATACACCAATAACAGACAAACAGAGAGCCAAATAATGAGTGAACTCCCATTCACAATTGTTTCAAAGAGAATAAAATACCTAGGAATCCAACTTACAAGGGATGTGAAGGACCTCTTCAAGGAGAACTACAAACCACTGCTCAAGGAAATAAAGGAGGATACAAACAAATGGAAGAACATTCCATGCTCATGGGTAGGAAGAATCAATATCGTGAAAATGGCCATACTGCCCAAGGTAATTTATAGATTCAATGCCATCCCCATCAAGCTACCAATGACTTTCTTCATAGAATTGGAAAAAACTACTTTAAAGTTCATATGGGACCAAAAAAGAGCCCGCATCGCCAAGTCAACCCTAAGCCAAAAGAACAAAGCTGGAGCCATCACATTACCTGACTTCAAACTATACTACAAGGCTACAGTAACCAAAACAGCATGGTACTGGTACCAAAACAGCATGGTACTGGTACCAAAACAGAGATATAGATCAATGGAACAGAACAGAGCCCTCAGAAATAACGCTGCATATCTACAACTATCTGATCTTTGACAAACACGAGAAAAACAAGCAATGGGGAAAGGATTCCCTATTTAATAAATGGTGCTGGGAAAACTGGCTAGCCATATGTAGAAAGCTGAAACTGGATCCCTTCCTTACACCTTATACAAAAATCAATTCAAGATGGATTAAAGACTTAAATGTTAGACCTAAAACCATAAAAACCCTAGAAGAAAACCTAGGCATTACCATTCAGGACATAGGCATGGGTAAGGACTTCATGTCTAAAACACCAAAAGCAATGGCAACAAGAGCCAAAACTGACAAATGGGATCTAATTAAACTAAAGAGCTTCTGCACAGCAAAAGAAACTGCCATCAGAGTGAACAGGCAACCTACAAAATGGGAGAAAATTTTTGCAACCTACTCATCTGACAAAGGGCTGATATCCAGAATCTACAATGAACTCAAACAAATTTACAAGAAAAAAACAACCCCATCAAAAAGTGGGCGACGGACATGAACAGACACTTCTCAAAAGAAGACATTTATGCAGCCAAAAAACACATGAAAAAATGCTCAGCATCACTGGCCATCAGAGAAATGCAAATCAAAACCACAATGAGATACCGTCTCACACCACTTAGAATGGCAATCATTAAAAAGTCAGGAAACAACAGGTGCTGGAGAGGATGTGGAGAAATAGGAACACTTTTACACTGTTGGTGGGACTGTAAACTAGTTCAACCATTGTGGAAGTCAGTGTGGCCATTCCTCAGGGATCTAGAACTAGAAATACCATTTGACCCAGCCATCCCATTACTGGGTATATACCCAAAGGACTATAAATCATGCTGCTATAAAGACACATGCACACATATGTTTATTGTGGCATTATTCACAATAGCAAAGACTTGGAACCAACCCAAATGTCCAACAATGATAGACTGGATTAAGAAAATGTGGCACATATACACCATGGAATACTACGCAGCCATAAAAAATGATGAGTTCGTGTCCTTTGTAGGGACATGGATGAAATTGGAAATCATCATTCTCAGTAAACTATCCCAAGAACAAAAAACCAAACACTGCATGTTCTCACTCATAGATGGGAATTGAACAATGAGAACACATGGACACAGGAAGGGGAACATCACACTCTGGGGACTGTTGTGGGATGGGGGGAGGGGGAGGAATAGCATTGGGAGATATACCTAACGCTAGATGACGAGTTGGTGGGTGCAGCATACCAGCATGGCACATGTATACATACGTAACTAACCTGTACATTGTGTACATGTACCCTAAAACTTAAAGTATAATAATAATAAATTAAAAAAATTAAAAAAATTCTAAATAATCAAAAGTTACAAGAGAAAATAGAAAGCCTATTCAGAAACTGAATTTGTAGTAAGTCCTATCATAATGATGAAACTTAAAGGCACAGATTTTTTCATTTGCTAACTCAATCATAACTCAAGACATTATGGAAGAGTTGGTAGCAATCCTATACAAACATTTTCAGAAACAAGACAAGGACAGAACGTTTCAGAACTCATTTTACAAGGTTCTAATATCAAAACCAGACATAAATAGCACAAGAGATGAAATTACAGATTAAAGTCCCTTATGAGTCTTGAAGCAAAAATCCTTAACAAAATTTTAGCAAATTAAATCCCATAATATGTAAAAATCATAATACATCATAACTTAGTAAGCTTTATACCAAGAAAGCAAGATGAGGCTAGCAAAAGAAATTCAATGTATTCATCATATTAAGAGAAAAATGGGGGAAAATGATATATCATGATAGATTCAGAGAAAACTGAAAACCATAAAACACTATGGATAGAAACTAAAGAAGATATAAGTAAATTGAGAGAGGTCTACCTTGTTCATGGATTAGAAGACCTGATATTGTTAAGATGTTTATTCTCCCTAGGTTGATCTACAAATTTAACTTAATTCTGGTCAAATTTCCAGAAGACTTTTGTAAAAATTGACATAATAATTCAAAAATTTACTTGGAAATGTGAAGGACCAGAACAGAGAAATAATTTTGAAAAAGAAAACAAAGTTGGCAGTTTCAATGTGTAGTAAAAAAGTACATTAATCAACACAGTGTGGTAAAGTTAAATATAAGCACATAGATCAATGGAATAGAAAGTCCTGAAGTAGACTCACACATAATGGCCAATTGATAATTTGCATGGGCAGCAATGCAATCTCATAAGGAAAGGATACTTCTTTCAATAAATGATATTGAAGCAACTGGATATTTGTATAAGAAGAATAATAAGGTCAGGCGCAGTGGCTCATGCCTGTAATGGAGGCTGAGGCAGGTGGATCACAAGGTCAAGAGATCGAGCCCATTCTTGCTAGCATGGTGAAACCCCATCTCTGCCAAAAATACAAGAAAAAAAAAAGTAGCCGGGCATGGTGGCAGGTGCCTGTAGTCCCAACTGCTTGGGAGGCTGAGGCAGGAGAATGGTGGGAGGCTGAGGCAGGAGAATGGTGTAAACCTGGGAGGCAGGAGAATGGCATGAACCTGGGAGGCGGAGCTTGCAATGAGCTGAGATTGCGCCACTGCACTCCAGCCTGGGTGACAAAGTGAGACTCCATCTCAAAAAAAAAAAAAAAGAAGAAGAAGAAAAATAAAACATAATGCTTATCTAACACCATGCAAAACAATTAATTTAAAATGTAATAATAAACCTGATTATTAAAGCTAAAACTATAACACTTCTAGAGGAAAACAAAAAAAATCTTTTAATCTTGATATATGCAGAGTTTTTTTTTAGATAAGACACAAACAATACTAATCATAAAGGAAAAATTGAACTTTTTTAAAATAAAAACTTTCTGGTCTTCAAAGACACTGTCAAAAAATAAAAAGCCAGCTGTTGACTAGGAGAAAACATTGGAATACATGTATATGATAAAACACATGTATGAAATAAAAGAGAAAATATTGGAACACATATATATGATTAAAGACACATATATACGATGAATAAATAAAGAACTATTACAACTCAATAATAAGACAACCCAATTTTAAAATAGACAAAAGAATATACATAAATGGCTAGTAATACATAAAAAGATGCTCAACATCATTAGATATTAGGGAAAACTAAAAACCACAATGAGATACCACTATACTCCCACTAGAATGGTTAAAATTAGAAAGCCTAATAATACCAAACTTTTAGTGAATGATATGGTTTGGCCCTATGTCCCCACCCAAATCTCATCTTGAATTGTACTCCCATAATTCTCATGGGTTGTGGGAGGGACCCAGTGGGAGATAGTTGAATCATGGGGGCCATTTCCCCATACTGTTCTCATGGTAGTGAATAAGTCATACGAGATCTGATGGGTTTATCAGGGGTTTCTGCTTTTGCATCTTCCTCATTTTCTTTTGCCGCCACCACGTAAGAAGTGCCTTTCACCTTCCGCCATGACTCTGAGGCCTCCCCAGCCATGTGGAATTGTAAGTTCAATTAAACCCCTTTTTCTTCCCAGTCTTATGTATATCTTTATCAGCAGTGTGAAAATGGATTAATACAGTAAATTGGTAACAGTAGAGTGGAGTGTTGCTGAAAAGATATCTGAAAATGTGGAAGCAACTTTGGAACTGGGTAACAGGCAGAGTTTGGAACAGTTTGGAGGGCTCATAAGAAAACAGGAAAATGTGGGAAAGCTTGGAACCTCCTAGAGATTTATTGAATGGCTTTAACAGAAATGCTGATAGTGATATTAATGATAAGGTCCAGGCTGAGGTGGTCTCAGATGGAGATGAGGAACTTGTTGGGAATTGGAGGAAAGGTAACTCTTGTTATGTTTTACAAAGAGACTCTTAGTATTTTGCCCCTGCCCTAGAGATTTGTGGAACTTTGAACTTGAGAGAGATGATTTAGGGTATCTGGCAGAAGAAATTTCTAAGCAGCAAAGCATTCAAGAGGTGACTTGGGTGCTGATAAAAGCATTCCATTTTAAAACAGAGCACAAAAGTTTGGAAAATTTGCAGCCTGACAATGGAGCAGAAAAGAAAAGAAAAAGACCAATTTTTTGAGGAGAAATTCAAGCTGGCTGCAGAAATTTACATAAGTAACAAGGATGTTAATCACCAAGACAATGGAGAAAATGTCTCCAGGGCATGTCATAGGTCTTCATGGCAGCCCCTCCCATCACAGACCTGGAAGCCTAGGAGGAAAAAATGGTTTCATGGACCAGGCCCAGGGTCCTCATGTGGTGTGCAGCCTAGGGACTTGGTGCCATGTGTCCCAGCTACTCCAGCCATTGCTAAAAGAGACCAAGGTACAGCTTGGCCCATGGTTTCAGAGGGTGCAAGCCCCAAGCCTTGGCAGCTTCTACGTGGTACTGTGCCTGCGAGTGCACAGAAGTCAAGAATTGAGGTTTGGGAAACTCCACCTAGATTTCAGAAGATGTATGGAAACACCTGGATGCCCAGGCAAAAGTTTGCTGCAAGAGTAGGGCCCTCATGGAGAACTCTGCTAGGGCAATGTTGGAGGGAAATGTGGGATCAGAGCCCCTACACAGATTCCCTACTGGGGTACTGTCTAGTGGAGCTGTGAGAAGAGGGCCACTGTCCTCCAGACCCCAGAATCGTAGATCCACCAACAGCTTGTGCCATGTGCCTGGAAAAGCTGCAGACACTCAATGCCAGCACATGAAAGCAGCCAGGAGGGGCGTTATACTCTGCAAAGCTTCAGGGGTGGAGATTCCCAAGACTATGGGAATCTACCTCTTGCATCAGCGTGACTTGGATGTGAGACATGGAATCAAAGGATATCATTTTGGAGCTTTAGAATTTGACTGCCCTGCTGGATTTTGGACTTGCATGGAGCCTGTAATCCCTTTGTTTTGGCCAATTTCTACCATTTAGGATGGCTGTATTTACCCATTACCTGTACCCCCATTGTATCTAGGAAGTAACTAGCTTGCTTTTGATGTTACAGGCTCATAGGTGGAAGGGACTTGCCTTGTCCCAGACGAGGCTTTGGACTGTGGACTTTTGGGTTACTGCTGAATTGAGTTTAGACTTTGAGGGACTGTTGGGAAGGTATAATTGGTTTCAAAATGTGACAATAAGAGATTTGGAGGGGCCAGGGGTGGAATGATATGGTTTGGCTCTGTGTCCCCACCCAAATCTCATTTTGAATTATACTCCCATAATTCCCATGTGTTGTGGGAAGGACCAGGTGGGAGATAATTTGAATCATGTGGGCGGCTTCCCCCATGCTGTCCTCATGGTAGTGAATAAGTCTCATGAGATCTGATGGGTTTATCAGGGGTTTCTGCTTTTGCATCTTCCTCATTTTCTCTTGCCACCATCATGTAAGAAGCACCTTTCACCTCCCGCCATGACTCTGAGGCCTCCCCAGCCATGTGTAACTGTAAGTCCAATTAAACCTCTTTTTCTTCCCAGTCTCAGGTATGTCTTTATCAGCAGTGGGAAAAAGGACTGACAGTGAGCTTCTGAAACTTCTACATTGCTGATGGGAGTGTAAAATACTGCAGATATGTTTAAAACACGTTGCAGTTTCATATTCATATAAAATTAAACATATAGTTACCATATTAAGTTACTAACTGGCAGGTATTTGCCCAAGAGAAAAGTTACAAATATCCATTTTTAAAAAACTTGTACATGAGGTCAGGTGCAGTGGCTCACGCCTGTAATCCCAGCACTTTGGGAGGCCAAGGCAGGTGGATCACCTGAGGTTAGGAGTTAGAGACCACCCTGGCTGACATGGTGAAACCCCATCTCTACTAAAAATACAAAAATTAGCCAGGCGTGGTGGTAGGCACCTGTAATCCCAGCTACTTGGGAAGCTGATACAGGAGAATCACTTGAACCCGGGAGGCAGAGGTTGTAGTGAGCCAAGATCCGAGATCATGCCACTGCACTCCAGCTTGGGCAACAAAGAGAGAAACTCCATCTAAAAAAACAAAACAAAACAAAACAAAAACAAACACAAACACAAACAAAAAACAACAACTTGTACATGAATACTCATGGCATCTTTGTTCATAGTAGCCAAGCTGGGTACAATTCAAATGTCATTAATGGGTGAATGGTTAAAGAAACTGTCATATATTCAGACAGTAAAATACTATTCAGCAGTAAAAAAGAATACATTACTTCCTTTTGCAAAACATAGATGAACCTCACAGACATCGAATTGAATAAAAGAAGCCAGACACAAAAGAGTACATATCATGAGATTCAATTTTTCATGAATATGTAGAATAGGCAAAACTATACTACTGCAACAAAAGGAGATTCTCATCTCTGGAGTGGCAGCTGAATGGGGGAGATTAACTACAAAAGGGCATGAGGGAATTTCCTGGGGAAATGGAAGTATTTTATATTTTGATTTGAGTAATGAATGTACAGAAGTATATATTTATTGAGTCATCAACCGGTGCGTGTGAAATGTGTGGATTTTATTGTATGTAGATTATGCCTAAATAAAGTTGATTTTTAAAAAATGGAGTAGGGTAAGGAGGATTTATTTTGGTAAACACTTATAGACTGTCCACAGGCTTCAGTTACTATTTAGATAGAGAGAGAATCAAATAAGAGTCATCTCTCACCCAACTGTCTAGTGGAGGATGCAAGAAAGCAAAGGGATGACTTCAGAAGATTGCCGTGAAGATTGACAAAGATACAGACACTGGCAAATCTGCCTCACTAGAGAAGCTTCCTAGAATAAAATTGAACTTTCACTTGTTGAATTCCGGTACTGTCCGTGAGGGGGAGACGTTCGCCTTTCAAGATTTGAATGGATCATCCAGTAGAACAGTGTTGGGGTTGACTTGAATGAGCAAAATAGGACAAAATCCTCTTCCTCAAAGGATCTCACTGTTGTGTCACAGAGAGATAACCATGAAATTTCAGCTCAAGGTGATTTCTGTTATAGAAATATATGCAGAAATCATTAAGAGATGGGAAGATTAATCCTATAGGGGACAGCTGAGAGGAGGCAGGCCAAGGTAGAATTCATTTATTTTATTTTACTTTTTTAGAGGCAGGGTCTTGCTATGTGGCTCAGGCTGGTCTCAAATGCCTGGGCTCAAATGATCGTCCCATCTCAGCCTCCCCAGTAGCTGAGATTACAGGAGCGAGTCACAGCACCTGGCCAAAAGAATTCATAAAGAAGCTATCTCAACAAATTCTGAAGGATGAATAGGAGTTTCCAAAGGACCAAAAAGCAAGCACATTCTTGGGGGAGGAAAATCCCCCTCCAAAGGCAGGTTATTATGAAGACCAAATGAGCAAATTTGAAGGTAACCCCAATAACACCTAGCATATACTAGGCACTGAAGTAGGGTGCTGTTTTAATGGAAAAGGTTTTCTCCCACCAAACTGTGAAATCCTTGAGAGCAGGGTTTTTTTCTCCTGTTGTTTAATCTCTTTAGGTGATTCTAGCTCTAATATTAGGTAGTAACTCTGATAAATGTGGGCATTTAGTTCTTACAGAAGGAGCAATGCTATTATTCATATCACACTAATAATATTATCAAGTGTTTACATACTCCTTGCTAAATTTCAGGTATGTATTTATCCAACTACAGAACAAATGTAAGATCCAAACTAAACAGCAAAATATCTGGAGGCTTACTTAGTATTAGAAAGATCTGTTATAATGTAAGCTTTGTCCAAAAATATCAATTTATGTTAATGGTATATGCCTAAAGTCAGATTTTGACAGATATAGATTTGGCAAAAAGATATAGAAAGCTCTAATCTCCTAGCATCTAAGATTAAATGTCTAATAATAGTCTTCAAGAGAAAAATGTTCAAGGTATACATTTTAAATTATCCTCTTCTTTTTTAGAGCAATACAGTTTCATAAGTTATCATTTTAGATGTTCTAAATAGCTGCACTTTCTGTGTTAGTACATTACCAACAGGACTTGCCCAAGATAAGTGATCGGGTTTAGCCAACATAGGCTTAAGAAAAATAATTCCACTAATAGCCTACATAAAACCATAGAATATTTTATGTTCCATGTTACAGAAAAGAGTAATGAGTTCTATGTCTGAATGTTTACCTGAGTGTGGTGCCAGGTGCCTGTAGTCCCAGCTGCTCAGGAGGCTGGGGCAGGAGAATCGCTTGAACCTGGGAGGTAGAGGTTTCAGTGAGCCGAGATCACACCGCTGCACTCCAGCCTGGGCAACAGAGTGAAACTCTGCCTCAAAATTAATTAATTAATTAATTAATTAATTAATTAATTAAAATTAAAAAAATGAATGTGTGGCAAAGTGACCCTGTGCTTCATGGACCCTGTGTCTCCTCGGAAAGATCTAAGAAATGATTCCAGCTCAATAGGCATTCATGAACATTAAATGTTATACCATTTTTAAGTCACTAGGACAAAGGCTGGCACACAGTATAACTCCATTCATGTTTCCTCTTTTCTTTCTGGAAAAAAAATTCAAAAATTTTATTTATCTATTTTCGTTTAAATAGTTGCTTTAAAAGCTGGCTTGCATAAGGAAGTAATTCACCTATAAATGGAAACTCACTTAAAATGGAAAAAGAAACAAATAATCATTTACTTAGTAAAAGTCCTTAACACTTTGAATCCCAACCTCCTCAAAAAAGTTTGATTTTATTCTTAAATTTTGAGCTCAAAAACAAAGAACAGAAGTTATTTATAAATAAAAAGCATTAATTGATGACCTTTGGTGAGATCAACAGATTAAAATGCTCAGAAGTACTCAGAGACTTAACCGTTTCCCAAACTCCACAATGCAAAAAGATCTATATTTTCTCTCCTTTAGAAAAGAGAGAGAAAAAAACATACATACAGAGAAATAGAGTACAGCATGTATATGACTTTAACTCTGGAAATGGAAACTAAAATCCACTGACTTAAGTTTTTTTGTCTTCTGATCTTGATGATAGCACCATCTCTTTGTGTTTTAAATATATATATATTTAAAGTAATTATGCTCCTAAGAAAACCTTTACATCAAAATGCATGTATTTTTATGGTTTATCTTCTATATTTTAATCTAAAACTTCCTTTTTTCACCCAATATTTCATGGATATGCTTTGGTGCCCATACATCCTAATCTCACTCTTTGCATTTAATGAATAAACTAAAACCTATTTAAATAATGACAGATATGTTTCATTTTATTTTTTAGAAAACAACATACTGCAATTAATATTAAATATATACATATATCTTTACACATTTTTTAAAGTATTTCTTTAGATTAAATTCCTGAACAGTGAATTGTTAGGCCAGAAGAGGTACACATTTTCATATTTAATAGGTACTGACAAATTGCCTTCTAGAAATAGTATTTGAAAAAAAGTTATTGGTAGCATGGCGCTATATGGAAGTTGATTATCTTTGGCTTGGCTTTTTTCCTCTTAGTTGAAGATATATAGATACAGATATACAAATAGATGTACACAAATATACATATATATACACATATACACATACAAACTAAAGCATGCATATGCATATATGTTCGTATTCTCTAATATGTACTACATGTACTGGAATATATATTGATTTGTATGTGTATACATAGATATGTATGTGCATGTGTGTATGAAATCTCCAAATCTTTCCATTAGAATAGATTCTGCATTCACTTATATATAATTATGAGTCTCTCTTTTGACTGGGAATCTTAAAGATTTCAAACTGTTTTTCTTTATTATGACAGCTTGCATTTAATTGGACAAGGACATTTGAGATGTGGAGGAAACAGGGTGGAAAAGATGCTTCATATAAAAAACATGCTTTTCAAAACTGTTAAAAACATAAAATACCACTGGAATTCTACTAGCCAACAGCCGTGTGTATCATCTGGGGACTGGGGCCAGGCTGGTGTATTAGTCTCCTATTGCTGCTGAAACAGATTACCACAAATTTAGTGGCTTCAAGTAACCCAAGTTTGTTTTTTTGTTGGAAACACCCACAACTCCTGTTTGTTGCTGTCTGTGAACGCTTTTCAGCCATTCTTGTATTTCCAGCCCTCTGAATAGCCATCTTGAAATATGCTAGGATTACAGGAGTGAGCCACTGTACCGAGCCATCGACAAACCAGTAGGTCATACTTGTATGACCTACTGGTTTGTCACAAAGGCATATTAAAACAACCAAATAGCTACTAAAATACTTAGTTGCTCTCTTAATTCCCCTAAAAGCAGAACCTGAGAAGAGACCTTGTGTATGTACAGGTAGTTTATTTTGGGAAGAAATCCCAGGGAATAGAAGTGAGAGAAGGGAAGTTTGAGACAGAGAAGGAAGGAAAACCACTCCAAGGCTACAAATGTTGAACACAGCTCTGCCTGTAAACTCTAAGGAAGCATGCAGACAAAGCCACAGAACTGCCTGCCTGAGACAAGGAGTTCTCAAGAGAGGAAAATTTATCAATCAGTTACTGTCCTACATTAGTCAATGGTCACCCATCCAAGTATGTTAAGTATGTCTTTGCCCTTCCATTTTGCACCTGTGTGAGAATGTCTGGGCAAGTCAGGGTTCTCTAGCGGTACAGAACCAATGCAATACATATATATATATAATATATGTGTATGTGTATGTATATATATGTGTATACACACACACACACATATATATATATGGGAGTTTATTAAGTATTAACTCACACAATCACAAGGTCCCACAATAGGCCGTCTGCAGGCTGAAGAGCAAGAAGAGCCAGTCCGAGTTCCCAAACTGACGAACTTGGAGTCCGATGTTCGAGGGCAGGAAGCATCCAGCATGGGAGAAGGACATAGGCTGGGGGGCTAGGCCAGTCTTTCCTTTCACATTTTTCTGCCTGTTTATATTCTAGCTGGACTGGCAGCTGATTAGATCGTGACCACACGGGTTAAGGTTGGGTCTGCCTTTCCGAGCCCACTGACTCAAATGTTAATCTCCTTTGGCAACACCCTCACAGACACACCTAGGATCAATACTTTGTATCCTTCAGTCCAATCAAGTTGACACGCAGTATTAACCATCATAGCAAGTTTACAGGAGACACACAGATAGTGGCAGAGGAACCCCAAGGTTGGAAAAAAGAGATGCTCTGTGCAGCTGAGACAAGGGACTGTCAAGCCTCACCTGAGTAAAAGTGGTGGCTGCAGTGACAGAGGGTGTGAGCCAAGGAATAAAAAATTAAAAGATGTCCTACACAATTTCTTTCCCATATTGAGTTTCCAGCAAATTCAAAGACAAATCAGAAAAACCTAATGAAGACAGGTAGGAAACTTGTAGACTGATTTGACATACGCTTAGGGCTGTTTTGGAATTAGATGACTGCTCACAACACATACAGAAAGTGCAGGCAGCCATGACATTTGATTGTTTAAAAAAAGATTTCTGTTGTAAAAGTGTTGCTTTTTATCCAACAGTTGCCATCATAACTGACACAGACTCTGTCCTCTCTCACAGAAGAAATAGTCTTAGCCAGAATCTCTCCCTTGGCACCTTTTACTTACTGTGTCATCAGTGGCAAGATTTCCCTTGGTGTGTATTTGAACAGAGTTTGGGCCTTTGAGTTCACAGGAACCCTCAACATGAGAACTTAAGAAAAATCAGCTAGAAAAAATCCTCAGAGTTATAACAAATCTGCTCAGAGCTAAATCAAACATCCCTAAGAAGTTTAATTCCATTTAAAGACAGAGCTAGAAAATATCACATTATACAGAAAGTCAGGCCAAATTCTAGGTCTTTAAAAATATTTGTCACTTTGGGAGGCCGAGCCGGGCAGATCACGAGGTCAGGAGATCGAGACCATCCTGGTTAATACGGTGAAACCCCATCTCTACTAAAATACAAAAAATTAGCCAGGCGTGGTGGCAGGCGCCTGTGGTCCCAGCTACTCAGGAGGCTGAGGCAGGAGAATGGCGTGAACCTGGGAGGCGGAGCTTGCAGTGAGCCAAGATTGCACCACTGCACTCCAGCCTGGGTGACACAGCGAGACTCCATCTCAAAAAAAAAAATTATACAGAGTATAAAACTGCGTTGTGTCTTGCACATGTAGAATGACCCGATTGTATAATAAAATAAATTAATATTTTTCTTTGCATTTGAATTTACATGGTGATTTCTATTTACAATATTGAATCCTAAATACTTCCTACACAAGTTGCATATAAGGGTTATTTTTCTGTTAGAGGCTGGGGTAATTATTTCTATTGGTAACTCTGCCTCTTCCCAACAATTTTCTTTTTCTCGCCCTTTGCTGTCCAAACTCATAAGCCAAAGCTGGTTTTAGGTTTTTCTGTGAAACACTTTGGCGAACTTGTGCAAGTCTGGTTCCTGTACACAGGTGAGGTGCTCGGGATCTACCTGTGGGTTGATCGATTGATTAATGGAGAGTATTCACAGCAGTGACTACAGTTCTGCTACCCTCCTCGCTGTGTGCTTAATCTCCCCAGCAGTGTTATGTAACACAAACTTTGCTGCAGCCCCAGTGGACACATGTCCCAGAAGCTCTCTGCTGGGTACCCTGCCTTGAGATTTGGCATCGAGATCTATATGTAGGTGATGATAGAATCTGTAGGACTCATCAAGATTTCTTCAAAGTTTCTGGCTTTTTGAGGTCAAAGTTATTTGTATGACAGCATCAAGTTTAACATTTCTCTGTTTTCACACTGTAACACTTAAGAAACATTTCTACTTTGACCCCCTCCAACAAAATTCCATTTTTCTTTTGAATTCCCTTGTTCTGCTGCCAGACTAAATTAGATACTTCTGAAAACATTGATTAATAGTGCATATTTTTCTTCTTGTTTTCAAATTGTCCATCAGAGTAGCTGATATATTCCTTTAGTTAACTTTTCTGGTGGTCACTCACACTCCCTGCAATATTTTAATATGGATAAGCAATGAACTTATGAACCCTGAGCATACCTGAGATGAATGTAAACGTGTTATAACAGGAAGCTTTCTGAGTGAATTTGGAACTGTTTTGCTCAAATAATTGGCCTTGGATTAGATTCCATCTGAGCAAACAACATTCCTTTAGTGATCATCCCTCTTATCTCTTTCACCTGGCTCTTCCTAGTTGAAAGAACAACTCCAGGCCTTCCCAGATGTAAAGAACACTCAGTCATGCTTCCCAGGATTCCATCCTTAGCCAGGATTCAGCCTGATACTTCCTTCTTTCCTCCTTTAATCCGAACAACTACAGCCTCAGGAGACCGAGAGGCATTTCTGTCTCTGTCCCAGGGACATGGGACTCCTGTTACATGGACCAACTCAATACAACCTCCCCATCTGGGGAAGAGAAGCAAATCAATGTGTACTTACTGATGTATAGAAAATCATTATTAGTTCCAAAGATTTAGAGCATGAATGGAAAATGACTCACAACTCATAGTCAAAGGAAGCATTATGCTTAGTTGATAGCACGAAGAATAAAATGGAATAGTTCAGGAAGGCATTCTGAGCAGCTTCTGAAGACCATTTTATTCATAACTCAGGGTATTCCAAACAGCAGAGTCTATTTATCTATCTTTCCAAGAGGGACGCCTTTTAGCTCCAGTACTGGTGTAAATGATGGCATCTTTGTCCTACTTATTTTAATGAAAGATGGTTAGTGTTTCACTAGCAGGGAATATGTTGTCTGATAGTCTTTCTGATGTTAATGTTTCTTTTTTTCTTTTTACTAATTTCTAAGAGTTTTTTAAATTAAAGAATAGCTTTTGACTTTTATTAAATGTTTCATGCTTTTTAACATATACTGAGATCATCATATAGTTCTGTTTTTATTTGTGCTAGGAAAGCTAATGGTGTCTATATGTAGATTTGCTGTCAACATATCTACCATCTCACATACTTTTTTGTGACAAGAGCTGCTAAAATATACTTGCTTAACAAAAATCTTTAATACAATACAATTTTGTTAACTTTAGTCCTTATGTTATACGTTAGATCTCGACTTCTTTATCCTACGTGTCTGCTATTTTGTACCCTTTGACCTATAATCTTCCCATTTCCTCTCTCCTCTGCCCACCATGGTAGCCACTGTTTCATCTTCTATCTCTGTGTATTTGAGCTCTCTGTTTTCGTTTAATTCCACATATAAGTGAGATCATGCAATATTTTCCTTTCTGTGTTTGGCTTACTTCACTTAGCTTAACATCCCCCAGGTCCGTTCATGTTGTGGTAAATATGCCTCACATTGTCTTTATCCATTCATCCATTGATGGCCATTTAGATTGTTTCCATATCTCAGCTATTGTGAATAATGCTGCAATGAACATGGGAGTGCAGATGTCTTTATGAGGTAGTGATTTCATCTCCTTCGTGTATACTCAGAGAGGGATTTCTGGGTCATATGGTCGCTCTATTTTAAATTTCTTTAAGAACCTCCATACCGTTTCCCATAATGGCTGTACCAATCTACATTCCTCCTATCAGTGTACTAGGGTTCCTTTTTCTCCACACCCACACCAACATTTATCTTTTGACCTTTTGATAATAGCTATCCTTAAGGATACAGGGTGATATCTCACAGTGGTTTTAATTTGCATTTCCTTCATGATTAGTGATGTTGCACACTTTTTCATTTACTCGCGGGCCATTTTTATGTATTCTTTGGAGAAATGTCTAGTCAGGTCCTTTGCCCACTTTTAAATCGAGTTATTTGTTTTTCTGCTATTGAGGTTGTAAGAGTTCTTTATAAATTTTAGATATTAACTGTTTATCAGATTTTTGGTTTGCAAGGACCTTTTTCCCAGTTTGGTGTTTATATATTCTTGATACAATTCCTTTATCCAATATGTGATTTGCAAATATTTTCTCCCAGTCAGTGGCTTTTCTTTTCATTCTCCTAATAGTTCCTTTCAAATAACATAAGTTTTTAATTTTTAGAAAGTCCAATCTATTTCTTTTTTCTTGTATGGACTACATTTTTTGTGTCCTAATTAAGAAATCTCCTATGTTTTCTTTTAGAATATTAATAGTTTTGTCAAAATTGAAAAGTTTGGACCATTATTTCTTCAAATATATTTTTAGTTTGTTACTCTCCATGCTTCATTTTTTATAGTTTCTATGATTTATGTCTGCTTATCTTATTTTCTGCAAAGTCTAATTTGCCATTAATCCCATAAATGTTATTTTTAATAATTAGTCATTGTAGTTTTTCACTGTAGAAGTTCAATTTAGATCCTTAGGTTTTTCACATGTCTGTATAACATGTGAAATCTTCCTGTTATTTTTGGAATATATGGAATTTAGTTATAATAATTGTTTTAATGTCTTTGTCTACTAATTTTATCATCAGTGTCATTCTGGGTTGGTATCAATTGATTTTTCTCCTAATTGTGGGTTGGATTCTCCTGCTTTTTTGCATGCATGGTAATTTTTTTTATTGGATGCTAGATCTGGTCAATTTTGCCTCTTTGGGTGCTATATGTTTCTGTATTTCTATAAATATTCTTGAGCTTTGTTCTGAGATTTAAAGAAGTTACTTATAAAATGTTTGAGCCATTTAGGTTCTGCTTTAAAGCATTGTTAGGTGGGGTCACAGCAGTGTTTAGTTTAAGGCTAATCTTTCCCCATCACTAAGGAAAAACACTTCTAGGTACTTTAACCAGTGCTCCATGTATGAAGGCTTTCTCCTCTGGCTGATGGGAAGAGGAACAATTCCTGACCCTGTGAGATCTTCAAGAACTGTTTCCTTCAGTCATTCAGAATGGTTCTTTCTGTGGCCTGGGGTACTTTCCTCACACCCATACCTTGATCGGCGCTCAGCTGAAAACTCAGAGGAAGCTCTGGAGTTTCCTCTTTCTGCTACTGTCTCCTTTCTAAGACTCTGTCCTGACCACTCTAGCCACCTTGGCCCACGTGGACTTCCAGCTTTGTCTCAAGTCAGGGAGATCACTGACCTTCACTTAGGTTTTCTCTTTCTGCTCTGTGAGAAGGAAATTCTCTTCAGGAAGTAACTTGGAGCCATCATAGGACTTCTTTAGTTAATGTCTCAATCCACAGGGATCACTATCAATTATGGGTTGAATTGTGTCCCCTAACATTCTTTTGTTGCAGTTCTAACCCCTATAGTTCACAATGTGACCTTATTTAGAAATAGGATTGTTGCAGTACTAATTAGTTCAGTTAAAACAAGGTCATGCTAGCGTAGCTTGGGCTTCTAATCCAATATGATGGATGTTCTTTAAAAAAAAAAAAGAGACATTTGGAGACAGACGCATACAGAGAACATCATATGAAGATGAAAGCAGAGATCAGAGTGATGCTCCTAGAAATCAGTGAGCACCAAAGATTGCCAGCAAAGCACCAGAGGCTAGGTGAGAGGCATGGGGCAGAGTCTTTCTCACAGTCCTCAGAGGAAGCAACCTTGCCGACAACCTGATCTTGGATTTCTAGTCTCCAGAAATGGGAGATAACACATTTTTGTTACTTAAGCCACCAATTTTGTGGTATTTTGACATAGCAGCCCTACCAAACTAAAACACTGGTCTTCACTGGCTGATGTCCAGTGTCTTGAAAGCCATTGTTTCTTTTTTTTTTTTTTTTCTGTTTTTTCAATTGTTTCAGGTTGGACAGTAAATCCAGTGCTTATTAGTCACTCTTAGAAAGAAGTGGAAGCCTGAAAATACTTTTAAATCTTATTTATTAGTATTTTGAGGTTTTGAATATATATTTATATTTCTAAACCACTGTTCACAAGGCAGGAACACATTAATTGTGATAATAAATATATAGAGGAATCTCCTGAATGAAAAAACTTTTTCAAACTAGGCATACACACACACACACACACACACACACACACAGAAAGAGAGAGAGAGAGAGAGAAAATTCTGATTATCCTCACAGGTATTGGAATGTCCTCTTTTGCTCTCTATGTCAGATTTTGGCCTCAGATTTATGTTGGTTTTATAAGACACATTATATAACTTTCTGTAATTTTTAATATTCTAAAAACAAATGGCAAATAAATTTTCAGTTTCTTAAACATGAAATAAATCACTGGTAAATCCTAGGACTAGTTTTTGAAGTAATTATTTGAAATATTAAAAAATTTTTCTTCATGGACATTGTTAGATTTTTGTTTCCTATTTCTTCTTGCTTTTATTTGGTAATTTATACTTCCTCCAAAATTGTTCATTTCAGTAAATTTTTTCTATAATGACAAAGACCTAATATAAATTATTATATTCCAAATTTAGTATACTGTGATCATTAATTTTAGTGTGTCTGGTGGTGCCCAGATATTTTATAAACATTATTCTGGATGTAAGCAAAAAGAACAAAACTGGAGGAATCACATTACTCGATTTCCAATTATACTACAGAGCTATAGTAAGCAAAACAGTATTGTACTGGCATAAAGTCAGACACATAGACCAATGGAACAGAATAGACAACCCAGAAATAAATTCATATACCTTCAGTGAACCCAATTTTGACACAGATGCCAAGAACATACACTGGTGAAAGAACATTCTCTTTAATAAATGGTGCTGGGAAAACTGGATATCCATAGGCAAAAGAATTAAACTAGACCCCTATCTCTCACCATATACAAAAATCAAATCAAAATGGATTAAAGACTTAAATCTGAGACTTCAAACTATGAAATTCCTACAAGAAAATGTAGGGGAATATCTCCAGAACATTATTCTGGGCAAAGATTTCTTGAGTAATACACCACAAGCATAGGCAACCACAGCAAAAAATGGACAAATGAGATCACATCAAGTTAAAAAGCTTCTGCACAGCAAATGTAACAAACAACAAAGTGAAGAGACAACCCACAGAATGAGAGAAAATATCTGCAAACTTTCCATCTGACAAGGGAGTAATCACCAAAATATATAAGGAGCTCAAGCAACTCTATAGGAAAAAGTTTAATAATCTGATTTAAAATGGGCTAAAGATCTGAATAGACAATTCTCAAAAGAAGACATACAAATGGCAAACAGGTACATTAAAAGGTGCTCAAAATCACTGATCATCAGAGAAATGCGATCAAAACTACAATGAGATGTCATTTCATGCCAGTTTTAAAATGGCTTTTATTTCAAAGTCAGGCAATAACAAATGCTGATGAGGATGTGGAGAAAAGGGAACATTTAGATGCTGTTGGTGGGAATGTACATGAGTGCAGCCACTATGGAAAAAAGTATGGAGGTTCCTCAAAAAAACTAAAATAAAACTGCCATATGATTCAGCAATCCTGCGGCTGGGTAAATACCCAAAAGAAAGGAAATCAGTTTATCGAAGAGATATCTGCACTCCCACATAGATTGTAGCACTATCCATAACAGTAGCACTATTCATAAGATAGGGAAGCAACCTAAATGTCCATCAACAGATGAATGGATAAGAAAATGTGGTACATATACTCAAGGGAGTGCTGCTCAGCCACAAAAAAGAATGAAATCCTGTCATTTGCAACAATATGGATGGAACTGGAGGTCATTATGTTAAGTGAAATAAGCCAGGCACAGAATGACAAACATCACACGTTTTCACTTATTTGTGGGAGCTGAAAAATAAAACAATTAAACTCATGGAGATAGAGAACAGAATGATGGTTATCAGAGGCTGAGAGTGGTGGGTGGAGTGGGGATGGTTAATGGGTACAAAAATATAATTAGATAGAATGAATAAGCTCTAGTATTTGATAGCACAACAGGGTGACTACAGTCAATAATAATTTTTAAATAACACATTTAAAAATAACTATTATTGGATTGTCTACAACACAAAGAAAGGATAAATGCTTGAGGTGATGGATACCCCATTTACCCGATGTGATTATTATGCATTCTATGCTGGTATCAAAATATTCCATATGCTCTATAAATATATACACTTACTATGTACCTGCAAAAATTAAAAATAATAAGAAACAAAAACAAATGAAAAGCATTATTCTGGGCATGTCTGTGAAGGTGTTTCTGGACAAGATATATATTTGTATATGTGCTGCCGAAGCAAGCACTGGTTAAGACATATATTTTAATCCGTAGACTAAGTAAAACAGATGGCCCTTCTCAATGTGGGTGGGCCTCAACCAATCCATTGAAGGCCTGAATAGAACATAAGGCAAGGTAAGAGAAAATTTGCCCTCTCTGCCTCACTGATCAGGCTGGGACATCAATCTTCTCTTGCTCTTGGACTGGAACTTACAACATCAATTTTCTTGGTTCTCAGGCCTTTGGACTCAGACTAGAACTATAGCACTGCCTCTCCTGGGTCTCCAGCTTACCAGCTGCAGATCCTGAGACTTCTCACCCTTCATAATTGCATGAGCCAATTTCTAATTTCTTATAATAAATCTCTTTTGACAGACACACACACAGAGACAGACATACACACATACACAGTCATGCATCACATAATGACATTTAGGTCAGCAGCAGACTGCATATAGGACAGTGGTCCCATAAGATTATAAGATTGTATTTTTACTATGCCTTTTCTGCATTGAGATATACAACTATTTAGCATTGTGTTACAATTGCCCACAGGGTTTGGTAAAGTAACATGTTGTACAGGTTTATAGTTTAGAAGCAATAGGCTATACCATATAGTCTAGGCGTGTAGTAGGCTATACCATCTAGGTTTGTGTAAGCGCTCTCTATGATCTTCAAACAAGGACACCATCTAACAATGCCTTTCTCAGAACATATCCCCATCATTAAGTAATGCATGACTCTATATACTATTGCTTATGTTTTTCTATGGAGTCCTGATTAATCTAATATATATAATTTGATTTTTTTTCTTTTTTGTAATTTTTCAGAAATGGAGCACAGACAGCATGATGGAATATGGAAAATATGAAGGTGGAGGGGCAGAGACCAGACTAAGAAAATAATTAAGACTTGGTAAGAAATTTTTCCTTTATTCTAAGAGAAAATGGAAACCATTGGAGAGTTTTAAGAAGATGAATGAATGATGAGGTTTACGATTTGGAAAAGTCATTCTGGCTACAGTATGGAGAGCAGATTAAAGTATGATAAGAGTGATAAAAGTAGACTAACACTTCAGGTAAGAGATCAAAGTATTAATATTTTTTATTAAAGTAGTTGTGGTAGTACTAGATATAAAGAGGAATATAAAAGGTATTTTATATATATACATTTTTTAAAATTTTACTTTAAGTTCTGGGATGCATGTGCTGAACGTGCAGGTTAGGTATACATGTGCTGTGGTGGTTTGCTGCACCTATCAACCCGTCATCTAGATTTTAAGCACCGTATGCATTTGGTATTTGTCCTAATGCTCTCCCTCCCCCTTCCCCCGACCCACCGACAGGCCCTGGGTTTGTGATGTTCCCCTTCCATTTATGTGGCCAACAAACATATGAAAAAAAGCTCATCATCACTGGTCATTAGAGAAATGCAAATCAAAACCACAATGAGATACCATCTCACTCCAGTTAGAATGGCAATCATTAAAAAGTTATGAAAGTTATTTAAAAGTAATAATAATAAAGGCTCATGAGAAATTGAGGTAAGCCAGAAGTGAGGATGAGGGAGAGGGTGGCACCCATGATATTATTTACCATATTTTTATAATAGAAAAAGTCATTTATTTAACAAAATAAGGGATTGGATTACTATTTCATAGGATAAATAAGTCTCTTACTTAAGGTCACAAATAAATTTAGTATCTTATGGTCACACAGCTAGTAAGTGGTAGAACAGTGACTTGAACCCAGAAATTTATGTCCCAGAGACTGTACTCTTAACCACTACACTATGCCACTTTCCATAAACAGAACACTATTAAATCATTAAAGAGGCAAGTATACATTTAGTCATCTGGTTTAATGCTCACAATACACTGTTAACCAGAATAAAGACTTTTTAAAGTTTACAACAATTATTTTATAATACTATACCATTTAATAAAAATATACTAAATTTTTCAGAAAATATGTAGGGAAAATGTCTACAATGATCTACACCAAACAAGAATAAAATATGCAGAAAGTTATTTGCATTAGTTTAAGCTAAATGTAGTGCAATTAACAAATAAGTTCCAAGTCTCAGTAACTCACAAAAACAAAGGTTTATATTTCACTACATTGTATGGGTACATATTGACTGAGGTTCTGCTCCAGGTGCACTTTATTTTGAGATCAAGGCTGAAGTCGCAGCCTCTATCTGTGATGTGCTAGCCTACAGAAAGATAGGACAAAAAAGTTGGAGGAAATCAGACAATAACTCAAAGATCTGCTTAAAGAGCAACATGTTATGTCTACTTACATTTCATTGGCCAAACGAGCTGTGTTGCCAAGCCTGAAGTCAATGGGGCAGCAAGTATTATTTTAGGGCTCAGAAAGGAAAGGGTAGAGAAAGACTCAATAAAAGTAAGCAACATATGAATAATAATAGAATTGACAAAACAATTGCTAGGATTGTCTGACTAATCTGGAGTGTGTTCCTTTGTCTTGGACCCAATTTTTATAGACTGAACCATGAAGGTAAATAGCATCTTAAAGGACATGAACATTATTAAGCTTCTCTTGTTGACTGACTTAATGAAGATCAATTGGCAAAAAGGTGAATTATATGCATTGCAAATATACATTATTATCATAAATTATATATAAACATTGTAAGCGATAATGGAGAAAAATTAAAAATCACAATAGGATGAAATAAACGTTCAAAATGTCTTAAAAAGTAAATGGTAGGTTTAAAAAGTGAAAAATGCACATTATAAAGGGTGTGTCACCTCTTTAAAAGATGTAAAAAATACAGGGCCAGATCTTAGGATGTTCCAAGGTTAACAATGGTTTAAATGTGGTTAAGAGTACAAAAACATACAGCAAAAATGTAGACATATTATCCTCTGAAATAGCCACATAGAATGTTGCTAGTATAATTCAAAGGAGTTGTTCATTAGAAATATTTCATACTGAAACTGCAAAGGGTTTGAAATAATTTATGACACACAGAAAACTATCACACGGTCTTCCGCAAGAATTATGCAAAAAAATCATAACTCGTATGTCTAAAAATACTTTCACTAGATTGTTATCATCCATCAAAATCACCCAACCCTTGATCTTACCTACCAATTGTATTCAAATTTATATCAATATTTAAATATTCAAGAAGAGAGAAAGATTAACTTGTGTTTTAGGAAAAATAGCATGACCTATGAAAATAGTAAGAGATGATTTGGGCTATCAGAGAGATTTCCGATACAGCGATGAGTAGATTCACGTGTTAACCAGGCAGTCAAAGCTACAATACACACTGACATTATGAGAGATGATCTGATATGAGATGTATGTGTGTGTGTATATATACATGCCAGATAATATATAACATATATATTATACATATATAACATATATATTACACATATATAACATATATATACATACACACACACACACACACACACACACACACACACACTGAGATACACATAATACAAGCAGAGGACCAAACTGTGCAAAGCTGAGTGTTAAAATTCAAGAAGAAAGATTATCATGGGCTGGGCTTTTTCACAAAATCCCCAAAACTGACCATATATTTGTCTCCTGTGACTACAGGGGCAACTTCTCCACTGTTCAGACTATAAAATGTGAGGTAACCTCCTATTTCTCCTTCCCATGAGTTTCCAAATCTAGTTTATCCTATTTCTGAGCAAGTTTCTCTTTGGTAAAAGGCTCCTGACTCATATTTTCACTAGCTTAGTTCAGACACTCATTGCCTCTTTCTTGCCTGGACAATTGTGTCTTTATCCAATTCTGGTTCTCCTTTCTCTAGTCCAGCCCTCTCCAATTAAGCCTATACTTTGCTGCCAGAGATGCCATTCTAAAATTTATCTGATTATGTAACTCGTGTCCTTAAAAACCTTTCCTGGGTCCAGACTGCATATAGAAGGAATTCAAATCTTCTCAGTTTAGTGTTCAAGGCTCTCCACAATCTGGCTCGAGGCTATGTTCGTAATTTATCTGTTACTAAATCCTGCCTCACTCCTACACCCTCAACTTCAACCACATGAGAAATCTCACCTTTCACTCCCACAGTCTCATTCCCTGGGCCTCTACGTAGGCTGTCCTATTGCAATGCTCTTGCCCAGGTGCCCACCTGTCACAGTCCTTCTCACGCTGCAAAGGTCTTCTCAGATTGCAAAGAGCTTCAAATCATATCTCCTTCAAATGGTTTCCTAGATTGACCACTAGGGCTCTTTCTTCCCACCTCATACCAATGGGAAAAAACATTTAAGCTTCTGTAATATTTTTACGATAGCTTCAGTTTTTAAAGTTACAGTCATATTTATCCCTTCAAACATGTTGTTAGTTGTTATAGCTCTCAGTGTACATAACAAAGCATTTTGCACAGATCATGTTCTCGATAAATGTTTACCAAGGTGAAAATATGGGAAATAAGGCTATGGACTCTAGAGACAGAATAGTTTGGTTCAAAACTCAGTTCTTAATAGCAGTGTGACTTTGTGCCCCAGTTTCTCTATCTGTAAAATAAGAATAACAATAATAGAACCTACATCATAGATTGTTGTGAAGAAATGAGTTAATATATGTAAAGCACTTAGAATGGTCCTTGAAAATAGTGTTATTTCAGTGCTAATTACTATTATAATAATAGAAAATCTTTCAACAGGATTGATGGAGAGTCCTCGTTCATTTATTTTATCTTTCAGTTTTTAAGCTTTGGTTTCTTTCTAAACACAGAAGTCAGCAATACCAACCCTGCTTATATCACACGGTTTGGGGAGGATTTGAAGTCAGCAATACCAACCCTGCTTATATTACAGGGTTTGGGGAGGATTTGATGTATATGAAAGTCAATTTTAAACCATCTACTGAGATACAAATGCAAATTTTCATTTCCTATATATTAAATGGAAAACAAAATAGCCATGGTTAAAAAGAAATATGAGAATTAGTGTCAGATCATTAGCTATTTGATCAGGGCAATTCAAAGCTATATATGCCATGCTTTGTGTTTTAGGCATGCCTTGTGTTTCATATATAAGCTAATATACCTATTAAGAATTGGAAATTAAATCAGATACGGCTAAGTGCAAGTTTAATACAAATGGTGCCCAGGTCTTGTATTGTGATGAATGCGTTCTCGACCTGTAAAGAGAACATAATTTGAGATCTAGTTAATTAAAGGGAAAAATGCTACATATATAAGCTTCTAGCACGTGAAGAAAAGTTTGAAGCAACAATTACAATAAGTCATAAAATATACATGTGCCTAATGATCAGCATCCTCAAGAGATATAAATATGAATGCCAAAGGCACTGAGTTTTTAGACAGTACCAGGGTCAGGATATGAATTTCTCCTAAAGCTCATTCAGCATGGGCTGAATTACAGTGCCTGGTAAGCATAGGACACAAATGCATTTGCACTACTTGTCATGAGATAGTAATTTGATGCCACTAAAATGAGTTACAGGTCATGTTCAAGTTTAGTGTGACTTAAAAAACAAACAAACAAACAATTAAGCATTGCTGGTTGCTGCGATTGAAAGAATAACCCTATCACTCAAAGAAGATGAAAGAGGAGTCATTTTATTTTCTTAAGATACCAAAATAATGGCCGTGCACAAATATTTGGAGACTCCTTGACCTATTGAAGAGTACTGGGAACAGCAAACTTTTTAAAAAGCTATGTGCGAATAAGGATAATAAGAAAAAAATAGCCCTCCTGCTTGAAGAAGATGTTATTCAATGACAGAGAGAAAGTAAAGCCACTCAATTTTGATTTTGCTTCTTTCTTCTCTCCCAAGGAGATTCATCTTCAAATTGAAAAGGGTACAACAAATGTGGTCAGAAAGGATTTGAAGCACAGCAGAGTAAAACTACAGTAAACATATGTAACAAACCTGCACGTTGTGCACATGTACCCTAAAACTTAAAGTATAATAATAATAAAATTTAAAAAAATACAAAAAAAAAAGCTACAGTAAAGGAAAATCTGATTGCCTTTGAGCATTTAAAGTCCCAGGGAGGTAGATTTCAATTAACATAAGGTAAAATTTCTAACAATTAGTGTTGTCTAAAAGTGGAATGGACTATCTTTTTAGCACAGGTAAATATTCATGTGCAAGATAGACAACTAGAAAAACTACATCTTATCAGAGATAGATTTTGAGCTCTTATTTTGTCAAGCATGTTGAAATAAATGGCCTCTATGTATCCTCATGTTTAAAAGTCTACGATTTTATGTAGGAAGGTAAAGGTTTTAACAAAGTGTTAATTGATAGGTTCTGTACGCCTTTTGTCAATGGGTTCTCTTCCAGAATTTTCTTACCCAAATCAAGCATAGATATGGCAATTAGACAGGATATTATGAATTCTCCTGTGGACTTATCCAGCCTCCTAGCATAGCTTTCAAAAGAATATCAAGTTCTAACTGGGTTCAGTTACATTCTAACTGTGGCCTTGGGAAAGTCAGACATTTGGGGTCACCATTTCCATAGTACTTTTCAGGTATACGTTTTTTGTAAGAAACTAATAAAATAATATGCACGAGGTTGCTATGGAGACTGTCCTGTAAGCTTTTCAATATCAGTATATCTGGCCTTCTTACTGAGCTCTTAACCTACATTATTGCTTCATATCAGTATAATGGAAACAATTCTACTTTGACCATTGGTTTAATTTTAGAAAGACAACCTACAAATTATCAGAGAAGTCTAATGATATCTGGTTTTAATAGTGAGGCAAAAGTATAATGAAATTAAGTAATGTCAAAGTCAACAGAATTGTATTATATTTATAAAGAGAATGTTTTAACAGAAAGATTGTTTATTATATAAAATTGGATATTGTTGTATTTTGGTATTTATCTTGAGGTAGTTTATTAATAACTCTAGGCTAAGCTTATATAAAACGACTCTAAAAATGTATAATACCTCATACCTTACAGAAAAATATTTATATCTCTGATGAATGTTCTGACACCCTCAAAATGAGGCTTCCAAAGTTTGTATTGTTGTTTCCACCACAATCAGTTGAAGGAAGAAAGTTGCAGGAAAGAGAACATGTAGGGTGCATTTTATGAGCCAGGCCTGGAAATAACATATATCTCTTCTGCTTACATTTCACTGGCTAGAACTCAGTCACATGGCTGCACCTTACTGCAAGGGAGACTTGGAAATGTGGCATAACTGTGTGCTAATTAAGAAGAGGAAATATGTTTTGATGACTAACTAGTATCCTCTTCCATCATTTTACACATTTTCCAAATAAGCAGATTTTTTTTCTATAAAAAAGATACTTCTTTAAAAGGTCTCATATCATAATATTGAATCAATACAGGAATTTTTAAAGTCGTGATGAAAAGGTAGGTAAATGGTGATTTAAACAAGAACAATTATGGTAAAAGGAGAATCTAATAACAGAAATAGATGTGTTTCAAGCTGAAGCATATGCTGTCTTTAGATGGAAGCAGATACCAGCATCATTTGAAAAAGTCAAATATTTTATCAAAATGTAATTTAATCCAGGATTTTAAAAAACAATCTTCCTTATTTTACAGTTTATATTAGAGAATTTCTTTCCAACATGCAGTTCTGTTTTTCTTTTACTTTACATATACCAAGTTTCTGAATTCCAAGACCATTTATAAAATGTAAAGATAATTTTTTTACTTTACTTAATTCTGCCTTTTTACCAGAAATAGTGTTTTATCTTGTAATTCCATGAAAGTTCTACTCATTATAAATTAATAAACTAATCTTTGTCAGCATTGTATACATCTTACGTAAAATATGGTTTCAATGGGCATTTTTCAATGCATACACAACATTATTTTCTCCTACGATAAAGGGAAAACAAAAAAGCTTACCCAAATTCATATATCTCATATTCCCTAAAATATTAGCATACATTAACCCTCCTTCTGCTCTTCATCCTATCGTTGGAATATAATTTCCCACCCTCTTGAAAATTTAATTTCATTCTGAGATAAATAACTACTCTTCAGGATGCTGAGGTTTTCCATCTTCCTTCTTGTTGCCAGATTTGCTTAGCAAATATACTACATCATTAATTTTTGTGTTATTAAAGTATAGTTATACATTAGTTCCCCCTCCCCATCTGCGCTTTCACTTTCTGTGGTTTTAGTTACCTTCAGTCAACCAGAGTCTGAAAAAGTAAATGGAAAATTCCAGAAATAAACAGTTCATACGTTTTTCCATTGCACGCCATTCTGAGTTGTGTAATGAAACCTCATGCCATCTCACTGCATCCTGCCTGGGACATGATTCCTCCCTTTGTCCAGTGGATCCACGCCATGTACACCACACACCGGTTAGTCACTTAGTAGTTGTCTCAGTTATCAGATCAAAAAGTCATAGTGTCGATGGAGAGTGAGGTACTCTCTGTGGTTTCAGGCATCCACAGGAGTCTTGGCACGTATACTCTGCAGATAAGAGGGGACTACTCTACATACTTTGAATCACGCCAGAAGGAAAACAAAATACTCTCTTTTGAATAATCCAAATATTGAGCACAGCTGAAAACTGTGCTGAACAAGAAAATACATTGCTTCAGGAACCTTGACAATCCCTTAAAAATCAAAGAAGACTGAATAACCACAAGAATATTAGAGAGAGTTCTGAAGTTGGAGAAAGAACTCCCTAGAAAAATAAATAATGAAAATGACCTTAAACATGTGTTTCATTAAAAATGAAGTATTGAGGAACATAGAGGCAGTAAGAATAATTAAAAAATTAGCTTAGAAGCCAGATATAAGAAAGAAGAGAGCACTTTCCTAGGTAGGAAAGTGATGCCAGAATTTTGTCTCTTAGGCTTTCCTTCACCCCATTTTCTTAAACTACCTCCTGCTTTTTTTTTTCTCTGAGTAACATGTGTCATGATCTAATTCCCTCTCTTCTCTCCGTCTTATTTTTCTTGCCAAAAGCTGAAGTGGAAAGTTTCCTTCAGAAGTTTCAGGTTCCATGTGCTCCATAATGTCATGGTTAAGGTTCTAACCCTCTGTGTACCAACCATAAACTTTGCCTGAAAACATAACCTTGACAGGTGCTTAGTTAATACTGAGAAGGGAAGAATCCTACTGACTCTGTCTGGTGCTCTTCTAACAAAGTTAATGACTTGAGCAGAGAAAAACATCACCCTGTACACCATACTCCCTAGAAAGATACAGGAGTGAGGAAAGAGAGTGCTGAATTATCTTAGGGAAAAGAGCCTTCTAAGAATAGGGAAAGAGAAAAGGGCTATTTGGAGAGGGACAGGTAATTGACAAGGGAACAAGATGAAGGAGCCAAAGGCAAAATGAACGTAACATATATTTTTTTAAAATGGTGCCAAGTAGCTTTTCTGAGTGTGTTGAACAATGTGTTTATTGTTTCATTTTATTTTCTATATGTATCTTTTGATCCCAAAATGCATACACATCATTAAAATTCCTACAAAATATACTTACAATTTTAAGTGGATAAGCTATTTCCATGGCTAGAGTTTTTATACACCAAATAATTACTAAATATTTAACGGCTCACATTTCCCTCTTTAGTTGGCCCACCCTGCCACATGGGGATGGTCTGACTGTAAAATGAACGAGCTCACCATTCTTTTCTACTTGCTCAATAAGAAACATTTATTTCACATCATCTGATGGGCAGCTGACTTCTTTAGTAGGTGCTTTCTCTTGTTAAAACGCTATCTGTAACTGTGTGCCTGATTTATAAGTCAATTTGTTGTAAGAGGCTTCCTAAGTGCTTATTGTTCAGATTTGCAAAGGCATCTTTTCTCAAAAGCAGGCACCATAAATGCCAGACTAGCTTGCAAGAATCAATTAGCCCAGAGTATAGCTCAAATTCGGTTTAAAAAAGCCTAGTTTAAGTCCTCGCATAGCAAAAAAGACACTTGTCTTGGGTGAAGATAGAAAGAAGGCAGAAATGAAGTAACAAAGAGCTTGCTCTGCGTGTGTGTGTGCGTGTGTGTGTGTGCGCACGCGTGTGTGATTCTTATTCTCATTCTCACTCTTTCTCTCTCCCATCCTAATCAAAATCCACCTAAGGCAGAATTTCGATACAAACACTTGTCTGTCACTACCCCATGTCTTTTCCTATGCCCCAATGCTAGTCTTTTTCTGCTACCCAAAGACTTTTATAGCAATATCTTTTTACCACCCCATTCTCTGTGTTCTCCCTTTCCCTCAAGTTAATCTCATTCTTTCAGTGAATGCCCTAAGGTAGGAATTAAAAGAAATCAAAGGCTTAAAATAGTTTGTATTAATTTACAAATGACTCTATGTTACAAATGGTAAAATTGCAAATACCATCAGTAGTCAACTGTAACAGAATAAATGTAAACAAACATATTTATAAATATTAATATAACTTATAATTTCTAATATTAATACAACATATTTGTAAATGTAAATTATAACAAAGAGTTACAATTGACTTTACTGATGGTATTTGCAATTTTAAAAGGAATGATTATTGATATGGTTTGGCTGTGTCCCCACCCAAATCTCACCTTGAATTGTAACTCCCACAATTCCCACATGTCATGGAAGGAACCCGGTGGGAGGTGATTGAATTATGGGGGAAGGTCTTTCCTTCACTGTTCTCATGATAGTGAATGAGTCTCATGAGATCTGATGGCTTTAAAAATGGGAGTTTCCCTACACAACCTCTCTCTTTGCCTGCCGCCATCCGCGTAAGATGTGACTTGCTCCTCCTTGCCTTCCACCATGATTATGAGGCCTCCCCAGCCATATGGAACTGTAAGTCCATTAAACCTCTGATTTCTTCCCAGTCTCAGGTATGCCTTTATCAGCAGCATGAAAACAAACTAATATAATTATTAGTTGAAAAGGTTTATCAATTTGAGAAATTTCAACTGAAAACAGAAACTTCAAAATTTCTAAGCATTTTCAAGAAGACATTAATCTCACCTTAGAACTGGAAGGAAAGCCTCTATCAGGATGGGCCTATGGACAGAATGCGGGTAACCTAATAGTGGTCTTTTGAAAATATATGGAGTTAATAGATAAACAGTAGTTTTAATTGTTTTAATATAAATACCTATATGCTCTGGAAGCCTTTTTTATTGGCACTTTATAATAGAGGGGAAAGAAATAAGAGTTAAAGAGGTTTTCTTCTAGGACAGTAATATTTCTTTTTTTTTTTTTTTCTTTGAGATGAAGTCTCGCTCTGCCGCCTAGGCTGGAGTGCAGTGGCATGATCTCAGCTCACGGTAACCTCTGCCTCCCGGATTCAAGCGTTTCTCCTGACTCAGCCTCATGAGCAGCTGGGATTACAGGTGCACAACACCACGCCTGGCTAATTTTTGTATTTTTAATAGAGACAGGGTTTTGCCATGTTGGCCATGCTGCTCTTGAACTCCTGACCTCAGGTGATCCACCCACTTCAGCCTCCCAAAGTGCTAGGATTACAGGCTTGAGCCACTAAGGACAGTAATATTTCTGCTGAAAAGGAAGAACTAGAGTTCAGGGAAAAATATAATCAATGAGATTGATCTTCTAGCCTTAGAGATGGTTGCTTACCTTTTCAAGGAAATGTTTACAGAACTTCTAGAACAGGCTAATATAAAAGGAAATAATATGATGAGACAGACTAAAGTAAGTTGACTGAAAGCTAGATTGATTTTAGGTCTCAGGCTTAAGGTTCAGCATTGATCATAACCATATGCAATTATAATTATGGCCTGTCCCATTTGATTTTTGAAACTATATTTCTTGCTTCCAGACCTCTATTTCTGTAGGTTTTTTTTTTTTTTCAATAAAAGGCATATCTGTGTTAAGGAACTGATGAGTATTAGCTTCTCTGGGAAATACATATTGTAATAGGAGCTAAAGTGGTCAACCAAAGTGATAAATTTCTAACAGTAGAATTCTAGGACTCATGGTGTTTGACCCACTCAGTGTGGTGGCACCTAAAATCATCTCACCTAGGTGGCTTCATATTTTATCCACTAGGAGAATATCCAGGCTGTAGCATTGACCATTTTTATAGCATAATTTGGGTCAGTTACCAACCATGCATGCTGTAGCTATGTTATGCCATTTGCCAGGGCCTTCTGGCTTTAATAACTTCAACTAATTAACCCCTATTTGGTGTTAGACATATCCTTTCATGTTGATTCTCTGGAGTGCAAGAACAATAAAACTCAGTCAATATGGAAAGTTTCTCTACTCTGTGTTTGTCTTGGTCTGTTGAGGCTGCTACAGCAAAATATCCCAGACTAGGTAATTTATCAACAACAGAAATTATATCTCATAGTTCTGGAGTCTGGGAAGTCCAAGATCAAGGAGCCAGCAGATTCAGTGTCTGGGGAGGGCTTGTTGCTCATAATAGCAGCTTCTATGTGTCTTCACAGAGTGGAAGGGGTGAGGCAACTCCCTTCAACTGTCCATAAGAGCACTAATCCCATTCGACAGCAAAGCCTTTATGACTTAATTGCTTCCCAAAGGCCCTATCTCTTAATACTATCATGTTGGGAATTAAGTTCTAATGCATAAATTTGTGAGAACACCCATATTCAGACCATAGCAGCAGTCTTTGTAGTTTACTTTCAAATGTCTGCCTCCCTAAATGTAAACATGAACCTAATGTCATTTATTCCTAACAGCATAACTAATTAGTTATACATTCATTTTACTTGTACTTAAAATATGATTAATCTGGTAGATTTTAATTAAGGAAAATTCATCTCGCACTTGCAAATTCCATTGATTGCTGGAAATGTCAGCTCACGCATCTCTGCTGCCACAAAAACTTTAAGACTCTTAGAATACTTTCAATTCTTGTGTAAGGAGCAAGCTTATTTCCTTGTTACATTTTTCTACTCTTAGTAGATTCTCTTCTCCAATGACTTAGATTTCAGAGAACCCTGAATCAGGGATATAAGGTAAAAACCATAGTATTTGCCATCACAGTTCAGTATAAGTTTATTACACTCACTGATTTGTTTATTTTAGTAATTATAAGCAAAGTTCTGGAAAATTGCATTTTGTTATCTAATATTAAGCAAAGAGAAGAAAATTAGTATCACTCTTTTTTAGGAGATTATTTCATGAAATTTAAATCAAAAAACAATTTCTAAATCTTACCATCATGATTTTCTTTTCCTGCTAGGGAATCTGTTTTTTTGTGGAACAGAAGTAGAACTACATTTCAAGCCTCAACTAGTTCAAGTCAATTCTAAAAACATGGAGCACTTATTATGTGTAAGGTACTATGCAATACCCTGCAGGGGATTCAAAGACAAATAAGATAAAATCCCTGCAGCCAACGAATTTACCATCTACCAGAGAGAACTAGAAAAGCACAAAAATAATAAAGCACACAACTGACTGCAGAGAGCCATTTGGCTTAATGGAAAAAGCATAGTTTTTATATCCAAACACAGCTACTTTCAAACCTGGCTCTGACATTTATTAATAGTGTACCTTTGCATAAAATACATAAACATTTTGAATGTAGTTTTCTTCTTCTGAAAAACAGAGACGCCAATAACTGCCCTAAAATCCTATTGCAAGGTTTTGGGAGGTAATAAGTGTAAAGTGCCAAGCAAACAGATGTTCCAGGTGAGCTTCCCTGTAAAGCAGATGTAGGAAGTTTACTAGGGTGGGCTCTCAGGATTGACAGCTGTAGGGGGAAGGAAAGAACCATGATCAGACAGAGGGAGAAGGTGGGTCGTGAAGAAGTTTTAAGAAAGCCCACAACTAATTGCAGAGTGAAATCTGAAGCTGGATGGCCCTGTAGCATTCTCTCAAATTGGGGTAAAGGGGATAGGAGTTTAGAGTCCTATAACTACAGTCACTAGATGCAGACTTCCTGTGGGAAGGGCATGTGACCTTGGAAGAGGCAACTCTCTCCAGTGGCAGCTTTGCTCAGTGAAGGGCAGTTGCTGGATTGGAGAACTGGGTCTCAACACGGGGAGGTCAGCCTTCAGTCCTCCAGCAGCAGGTGAATGAGAGCCTACGTCTTAATAGATGAGGGTAGAGAAGAGAGGAGGAGGAACCTGGGCAACATATCATGTAGTCCATTTGGATATAAATTATAAACAAAATGCACACATATGAAAATTTTGAAAAGATAGAAAAGTAGAACTTTAAAAAAATTCGTATCAACCACAATCTCACAAAACCATTAATAGCATTTTAAATGTCTTTCTAATATTTTCTAAGCACATTTATTTTCCTCTGAAATAATGACATTATGCTAGAAAAATTGTTGTATGTCCTGTTTTATTTTTCATATTGTGAACATTTTCCCATGTAAATAAATATTCTTTTATAAAATGATTTTGGTTTTGTTGTCTTCTATTATAGATATGCTAAGGTTTGCTGAGCCAAAACTAGATTATTGGACACAGGTTTTTACAGGTTTTTTTACTTTTACAAAAACATGTTATAATGAGCAATATTGCACATATCTTTGACTATTTCCTTAGGAAAAATTCATGGAAATGGAAATTGCTGCACCATGGACTAATTGCATATTTAAGGCTTTGACACATGTTGCCAAATTATGCTCTAGAAATTCCTATCAAGAATTTTTGAAACTTTCTCTTCCCTCACCTTGCCAAGATTGGGAATTATCGTTCTTTTTAATCTGTGCCAATTTTAAAGACAGTTTTTATTATTAATGAATACAAATGCAATGAGAGTAGCAGAAATCAGACAGTGTCTCTGAAGATTCAAAAGTGGAAGAGATTACATCAAACCAGGAAGAATGAGAAAAGACTTCCAAGAAAAGGAGAGAGATGATATAGTTCTTAAGTAATGGACAAGAGTTCAACAAATAAAAGTGGAAGGAATCCCAGGTAGAGAAAACCTCAGGAACAAAGGCAATATTATGAAGCAGTTAACAGTTTGATTACAGTGGAGGAGAAAAATACGACTGAAAGTAAAATGAGACCATAATGTAGCCTCAGAAATGGTAAACAGAGTTCAAATTTGCCCAATAATCAATAGTGACCTGACTTTCCTGTTAATAAGCATTTGAAAGCTATGATTAGGTTGATCCGTTTGTTCAAGAAACCTTTATTCACCACCCATAACCTGCCAAGCACGAAAATCATTGTTGGGAGCATATAGAAATCCCTGTCATCCTCAAATGCATGGGAAGAAAGCATATAGAAAGAGGTCACAACAACAGTATGTTCACAGAGTGGGAGAATAAAAAGCTAGATAAGAAGCAATGAGAGTGTAATAGGAAAAAAAAAAAAAACAGGACAGTGAAATGCCATGGACAGCAATGGAGGAGTATTGACATAGGTGCAGGGATCAATAACGACAAGTAACGCAGAGAAATTGAGAATGATTAAAACTGAGAAAAAATTATGCAATTAGGCAATTCAGGTATCATCAGCAACATTTTAAAGAATACTTTTTCTACAGTGTCAGGAAAGAAAGCCATATTGCAAGGGAATATAGCAGGTGGTATGAAAATGGAGAAAACAGACTCTCCAAACAGGTCATTCAAAAAATGGACAGTTTAAGAAATTAGAGTGTCAGGATTAGATCAAGAGAGAGGATTGACGTTAAAGGAATGTTTTCTTTTTCAGTTAAATCTTAAGTATCTAGGAATAAATTTAACAATGACAAGAGGGTTAAATCTTTGTGGATTCAATGATACAGCATTCCTGATGGGCATAAAAGAACACTGGAATAGGTGGAGAGGTTAAGATGTGTGTAGGTGAGAAAATCCACACTTTTAAAGATGTGAATTTCCTCTAAACTAATGCATGAATTCAACACAATATCAAACAAAAGTCTCAACAAGATTTTTCGTGGAACTTTACAAGTCTATTCTAAAAGTTACACAGAGAAGTAAGTTACAAGAGAATATAAGAAATTTGTGGCTGCTTTGCCTATTCTTTTATTCCTCTGCTTTCTTAATAAACTTGCTATCATTTAAAAAAAAAGAAATTTGTGAAAAATAAGTAAATGGGAGAACTTGTTCTACCAGATATCAAAACATTTAATAAAGCTATAGTAATAGTGTAGCATTGGTGCCATATTAGGTAAATTGTCCAATCAAATAGAATAAACTCACATATAATGGGTATTGGTCTATGAGAGGGGTAGCACTGGAAATAAATAAAAGATGGACTATTAATAAGGACAAAATTAAAATTAGATTTTTTACATCATAGTATACAGAAAAAATAATTTCGGAAAGTTTAAAAAGTAGAGCAAAAAATTTTTAAATCTTTAAAAGCATCAGGAAAAGATTTAGTTTAGACAGACATGGTGGCGCATGCCTGTAATCCCAGCTACTTGGGAGGTTGAGGCATGAGAATAGCTTGAACCCAGGAGGTAGAAGTTGCAGTGACCCAAGATCGCACCACTGCACTCCAGCGTGGGTGACAGAGTGAGACTCTGTCTCAAAGAAAAAAGAAGAAAGAAGAAACAAAGAGAGAAAGAGAGGAGAGAAAAAGAGAGAGAGAAAGGAAGGAGAAAGAAGGGAAGGAAAAAGGAAGGAAGAAAGGAAAAAGAAAGAAAGAGAGAGAAAGAAAGAAGAGAAAGAAAGAAAAAGAAAGAAAAAGAAAAGAAGGAAAGAAAGAAAAGAAAAGAGGTCTAATATTCGTTAATGACCCCAGGATAAGGAAGGCCCTGCTAACTAGGATAAAAACCCAAAAATGGTAGTGTAAAAAAAATAGATAACCTTGATTATATTAAAATAATTAAAATATATAAAAAATACTTATTCATGGTTGAAACACAAGTGAAAGACTAATAAAATTGTGTTGTATAATAACAAATGAAGAATTAGCAACCAGAATGTATAAAAATTCCTATCACTCACTGAGAAAGAAATAAACAGAAATGAGTTCAGTAGTCAATTCACATAAATGAAAGGCAAACAAACAACAAATATGAAAAACATGCTTAGCCACATGAGTCATGATAGAAAAAAATACTATACCAGTTTAAAGAGTAAGATATTATTTTTTACCCAATAGGTTCCCCAAAATTTAAAAGATGGATGATATAAAAAACAGACGAGATAGAGAATGCTTTTTCAGCATCAATTGAAATGATCATATGGTTTTTGTTTTTCATTCTGTTGATATGATGTAGCCCATTGATTGAGTTGTATATGTTGAACCACCCTTGTAAGTTCCACTTCCCAATCACTTATTTCTCTAATGGAACAAGAGTTTTATTGAACAAAGATTATTTTTCTCAGTGTGGTTTTCATACCAGCAGCATCAGTATCACTCGGAACCCGTTAAAATGCAGATCCTCAGGCCCCATCTCAGACCTACAGAATCAGAAACTCTGGAGGGTACGATCTACACTTGTGTTTCAACAAGTGATTCTAATGTATGCCAAAGCTTGAGTGCCACTGGATTGGAAAATCAGAGGAGCAATAAGGAACTGAAGTAGAAAAGAAGGATAACTATTTGATTAGTAAAGTTAAGAAAATGAATGGAGCAGTAAAACAAAACTTTGTGGAAGAAAAAAAGGAAATGTTAGAATTTAGGATGTTAGCAATAAAGTAATCTTGACTGATGATTAGATTTAAATTATGGCTATAAACATAGTGGCTAAATTGGAATGGAGATGGAAACCGTGGTTTTTGTAACGATCATAGGGGTAAGCCAGAGAAGGAAAACCAAGAAAACCAAGAGTAGTGTTGAAGTCACTGGGTTGGCAAAAAGAATGACGAATAGGCACATGCTTCAGTATTGAAGTTATGGAGAAATGTGGAGCGTTCCATAGATATCAGCTAACTGTGACAATGAAAGATGCGTATTCTGTTGTTGGATGGTATTTACTTAGAAAAGTCTGGAATATTTAACGATGGGGTGGAGCAGGGTATTAATGAAGAGCATGAGAGCACATCCCCACAGATCACAAGTCTATAGAAAAGAGACAAGAGCCTACCATTGGAAAGTTTTTGCACTATTCTATAATAGCACTTTATTTCACACATTTTGCTTATTTTTTATCTATTGAACATCAGTAGTGGGGAACTACATTTAACATATAATGAAACACATTAACCAAACATATGCCTTCTCTCATACATTGCTTCTGATTCCCTGTATCTTAGATTTTTCAATAGTTACATGTTTAGGAGAAAATTGTTTTTTTGTTTTTTGTTTTTAAGCTGAAAAGTTGAATTATTTTCACTATTAAGTCTTGGCCTGCAAAACATAGTGAAATTACCAGATGTATCTTCAGGGAACCCCTTCTTCTTCCATATGTTGTAGATCCTTGATTTTTGTCTTTCTTTTTGTTTTTTGAGACGGAGTTTTGTTCTTGTTGCCCAGGCTGGAGTACATTGGCTTCACTGCAACCTCCGTCTCCTGGGTTCCAGCAATTTTCCTGCCTCAGCCTCCCTGGTAACTGGGATTATAGGTGCCTGCCACCATGCCCGGCTACTTTTTGTATTTTTAGTAGAGATGGGATTTCACCATGTTGACTAGGCTGGCCTTGAACTCCTGACCTCAAGTAATCTGCCTGCCTCGGCCTCCCAAAGTGCTGGGATTACAGGCGTAAGCCACCACACCTGGCCCTGTCTTTCTATACATGTGTAAGTGGCCTCATCAGAATCCTCTAATAAGAATCCTTATTATTGACTTGGAGGAGGCTAATATTCTTCCCACTCTTCCTAGTTCTTAAAAAGATGTCTTTTGGAACAATGCTCTTTATCCTTAAGAGTTGACAGTTCATAATGAAAACTTCAGTAGTCTATATGGTAGAACTTGATCAATCACCAAATGAGAAGCAGTGAGTGAGTTGCAGCAAGGGGGTCGCACCCCTCTCCTATCAATGGGTTAGTGAACAGGACATTCCAATGTATAAAACTCCACAAAATGTCACAGTTCTAGATAAAGTTCTCCAAAATCAAAAACTGGCTGCAGCTGATTGTAAAGAACTTTTTTAAAAGGGAGAACCACTACGTGGCTTCTTTGGTCAGAGAATATGGAGGCAAGCTTCCAATGTTCACCATGAACCAGTGTGTGTAATGACTGCAACGATCAACCCTGAAATTAAAAAGTAAATAAGCAAAACATTTTATAGGGTCAAACTCAAAAGGACTGTACTGTTCTCTGGATAGAAATAAGCCTGCAGGCTGCTATTTTAAAAGAACCACAAATTCTGCATCTGTCCCAAATGGGAAATAAGAATTTTATTGAATAATAAATTAAAAATGAATCCACTTCTTTTTAACTTATAACTTAGTAAGTACTTATGATGTGGTCTTTGTAACCAGAGTGCAATTCTTCAGTTAATGAATGAAAGAAGTGTGTGTAAGTTTATGTGCACAATTATCCAAAATGAAAGTGTAAAGGCAAAATGAAAGAAAACTTAATTTTTGAATAAATGACAAACCAATGCCCTTCAGGGTTTCAAATGTCTGGGTGATGTTGACATTTTTCCCATAAGATTTTTAGGCTTGTTAGGCAAAGAAGCACAGAGCAGCTTTCAGCCCCTCTCTATCTCCATTCACAAGAGGAAAATGTAAGTCCATTTATAAAGGTCATTTTCAGGTTACGCTGCTTTTGATCAAAGACCATGTGAAGACTTACAGAGTAAGACGTCAGTGTTATATGGTGATTTAAGTAGGGATCAAAAGAAAGCAAAGTTGAATGTTTATTCAGTAGGTAATGTTTCAAAATGTATTTCATAATGAGGATTTTTAACAGAAACACATCATTACACTAGTCAACTTTAATGTGAAAATTTGAGTCTTAATTTTGAATAATTCAGGATGTATTAGAGAGTTTTGGTAGTAAGATACAGTTCTTATCAAACAAAAAATAACTTACCTTTTCTGCTGTCATTTCAAGTGGATACTAATTTTATTTACTCCCATAAATATTCTGGCTTTAACCCAAATGCTTTCACTGTGAATGGCCCATGAGCCAAAACAGTTTATATATGCACAATCTTTGAAATGAGGAGCCTAGAGACACCGACTTTAAATTGTCATAAACAAGATTTAGAACAGGTTGCTGCAAAGTACTTTTGCTTAGGTCTTGAGGATCACAGAGCACTTTGAGAATTTTGTGAAAGATGTGGATCCCCTTCCATCAGCAACAATATATACAAACACATACAAATTATTCCACAGGGTACACAGACTCTTTGACACCCATTTATGGGCATTCGAGGAGCCCAAATACTCTAGGTTAATAATTCTACAATCTACAATCTGTTTATGTAGATTGTTCTCCATAAATATTCTAATATTTTTCACACAGATAATCTGTCTTATTTATGTTCAGAACAATCTACTGAACAATCTATACTCATTGTAGAAAATTTGGGAAATATTAAAAAGCACAAATAAAAATATTAAGTCACCAGATCTCATAACCCACAAATAAACCTGCTTTAGATTTTGATCAATATTCTTTCAGTCTCTTTTCCAAGTGTTAATATATTTTTCCACAAATAGAATAATATTGCTTATAGTATTTGACAATAGCTTTTTAGTTCAAATATTGTGATCATAGTCCCATGATATCTGTATTAGTCTTGTTTTCATGCTGCTGATAAAGACATACCTGAGACTGGGAAAGTTACAAAAGAGGTTTAATGGACTTACAGTTTCATGTGGCTTGGGAGGCTTCACAATCATGGCAGAAGGCAAGGAGAAGCAAGTCACATCTTACATGGATGGCAGCAGGCAAAAAAAAAAAAACTTGTGCAGGGATTTAAAACCATCAGATCTTGTGAGACATATTCACTATCATGAGAATAGAACAGGAAAGACCTGCCCCTATGATTCAATTACCTCCCACCTGGTCCCTCCCAAAACATGTGGGAACTCAAGATGAGATTTCAGTGAAGACAAAGCCAAACCTTATCATTCCACCCCTGGCCCCTCCCAAATCTCATGTCCTCACATTTCAAAAACCAATCATGCCTTCCCAACAGTCCCCCAAGTCTTAACTCATTTCAGCATTAACTAAAAAGTCCACAGTCCAAAGTCTCATCTGAGACAAAGCAAGACCCTTCTGTCTATGATCTTTAAAATCAAAAGCAAGTTAGTTACTTTCTAGATACAATGGGGGTACAGGCATTGGGTAAATACAGCCATTTCAAATGGAAGAAATTTGCCAAAACGAAGGGATTACAGGCCCCATGAAAGTCCAAAATCCAGCAGGGCAGTCAAATATTAAAGTTCCAGAATGAGCTCCTTTGACTTCATGTCTCACATCCAGGTCACACTGACGTAAGAGGTGGGTTCCTATCTTGGGCAGCTCTAGTCCTGTGGCTTTGCAGGGTACAGCCTCCCTCCTGGCTGCTTTCATGGGCTGGGGTTGAGTATCTGCAGCTTTTCTAGGTGCATGGTGCAAGCTGTCAGTGAATCTACCATTCTGGGGTCTGGAGGATGGTGGCCCTTGTGTCACAGCTCCACTAGGCAGTGCCCCAGTAGGGATTCTGGGTGGGGCCTCCAACCAAACATTTCCCTTCCACACTGCCCTAGCAGAAGTTCTCCATGAGGGCCCTGCCCCTGCAGCAAACTTCTGCCTGGACATCCAGGCATTTCATACATCTGAAATCTAGGTGGAGATTCCCAAACCTCAGTTCTTGACTTCTATGCACTCACAGGCTCAACATCACATGGAAGCTGCCAAGGCTTGGGGCTTGCACCTCTGAAGTTGTGGCCTGAGCTCTACATTGGCCCCTTTCAGGCATGGCTGGAATGGCAAGGAAGCAGGGCACCAAGTTCCTAGGCTGCACACAACATGGGAACACTGGGCCCAGCCCACAGAACCACTTTTCCCTCCTAGGCCTTCAGGCCTGTAATGGGAGGGGCTGCTGTGAAGACCTCTGACATGCCCTGGAGATATTTTCCTCATTGTTTTGGGGATTTACATTCAGGTCCTCATTACTTAAGCACATTTCTGCAGCCAGCTTGAAGTTCTCCTCAAAAAATGGGATTTTCTTCTCTGTCACATTGTCAGACTGCAAATTTTTCATGCTTTTATGCTCTGCTTCCCTTATAAAACTGAATGCCTTTAACAGCACCCAAGTCACCTCTTGACTGCTTTGCTGCTTAGAAATTTCTTCTACCAGATACCCTAAATCATCTGTCTCAAGTTCAAATTTCCACAAATCTCTAGGGCAGGGGCAAAATGCCACCAGTCTCTTTGCTAAAACATAACAAGAGTCACTTTTGCTCCAGTTCCCAACAAGTTCCTCATCTCCATCTGGGGCCACCTCAGCCTGGACGTTATTGTCCATATCGCTATCAGCATTTCTGTCTAAGCCATTCAACAAGTTTCCAGGGAGTTCCAAACTTTCCCACATTTTCCCATCTTCTTCTGAGCCCCCCAAACTGTTCCAAACTCTGCCTGTTACTCAGTTTTAAAGTCCCTTCCATATTTTTGGGTATCTTTTCAGCAGCACCCCATCTACTGGTACCAATGTACTGTATTAGCCTGTTTTCACACTGCTGATAAAGACGTACTAGTGACTGGGCAATTTACAAAAGAAAGAGGTTTAACTGACTAGAGTTCCACATGGCTGGGTAGGCCTCATGATCAGGGTAGAAGGCAAGGAGAAGCAAGTCACATCTCACACGGATGGCAGCAGGCAAAAAAGAAAGCTTGCGCATGGAAACTCCTCTTTTTAAAACCATCAGATCTTGCAAGATTTATTTACTATTACTAGAACAGCACGGGAAGACTTGCCCCCGTGATTCAATTTCCTCCGACCAGGTCCCTCCCACAACACATGGGAACTCAAGATGAGATTTGGGTGGGGACACAGCCAAACCATATCACTATCCAACAGTCAATGACATCATGTTTTATTGAAATGTAGGAATTTAACCAAGCTTTTATTGTGAAATATTTTTGCTATTTCTAATTTTTTATTCTATAATTACTACTGCTGTGGAAATAAATTTTTGTATAATCCATGTTTATTTACCATAATCACTTTAAATTATCCTACATCTTTTAAAATTACCTTGTCCAAAATCGCTAACATATTGACCATTGAGTTTTAATCAAAGTGTTTGTTATAAGCTCATGAAATATTGTGTAAATGTAGGAAAGTAAAGTAACTAAATTTGTCTGCAGTAATTTTAACTTAAGGACTTAATAATCAAGATATAGTATAAATTTGGTAGATAATTCTTATAGGTCACTTTGGTGGGTGGGAGGGCAGGCTGTTGGAGTGATTTAGTTTGCTTTGATTTGCTGTGGTATGTTTGGATTTTGAATTTTGTAATTATTTATCTATAGGTTCTAATTGAGGGGAGTTCAAACTCTATACAAGTTCAACTCTCTGTGATGCTGAGAAAATAGATGTTAAAGGGTTTGTTTTTCTTTACCACTTTTCATACTCTCCATATTTCCAGCCTGGTTTATCTTTTCCAACCTGTAATTTCCTTAATTTTTTAAAATAAGGTATTATGAAGTAATAGAAAGGATAACAGACAGGAAGATGAGAGTCCTGACTTAGAGTGAGCCTGAGAGGAATTCTAAGAGCTCTCTCAGTACTGAAAATCTTTTATACCAGCTGGAAAGGAAATGAAAATGCTAAGAGATGACCTGGTTGCTTCTGGATACAAGGTATATGAGGTATTTTCTTCCTCTTTACATTGTATATTCTTTCTACATTTTTAAATGAACTTGTATTAAATTGATAATAAGAAAAGCACAAGCAAAATACTAAAGTGTACCCTATGATCCTACTCAGCAATAGTAATCTCAAGTTCACCTGGTCTTTCAGTCCTAATGTTTCCTAGTGGTTTGTTGCCCCAAACAATAGGGTTGCCTTCCAGAAAACTAACACTGTAGACTCTTACAAACAAGCAGAATCAAGAGATCAAATATCTACTCCCAGCTTCAAATTCCCAAGATGGAACTAACTGGGAACCATTAAGTAAACACAATACGTCCATCCTTTCTTCACTCTATGAGCATTTAAGTCCGAATGAAGATGTATAAGAGATGCCAGTGATGAAACTGAAAACTCTTGAACATAAGAAGGGAATACAATTTCTCTTGGGGGGTCAAAGGAGGCTCTTTGGAAGAAATGGCATTCAAGTGAGGCCTGAAGTGGGAAGAGAAGCGTATTAGTCCATTTTCATACTGCTATGAAGAAATACCTGAGACTGGGAAATTTATAAAGAAAAGGGGATTTCATGGACTCACAGTTCCACATGGTTGGAGAGGCCTCACAATCATGGCAGAAGGTGAAGGAGGAGTAAAGTCATGTCTTACATGGCTGTAGACAAGAGAGCTTGTGCAGGCAAACTGTCCTTTATAAAACCATCAGATCTTGTGAGACTCACTCATTATCATGAGACCAGCATAGTGGAAACCACCTCCATGATTTAATTACCTCCACCTGCTCCTGCCCTTGACACATGGGGATTATTAAAATTCAAGGTGAGATTTGGGTGGGGACACAGAGCCAAACTATGTCATTCCCCACTTGGCCCCTCCCAAATCTCTTGTCCTCACATTTCAAAACACAATCATGCCCTTCCAACAGTCCCCCACAATCTTAGCTCATTCCAGCATTAACCCAAAAGTCCAAGTCCAAAGTCTCATCTGAGACAAGGCAAGTCCTTTCTGCCTATGAACCTGTAAAATCAAAAGCAAGTTAGTTACTTCCTAGACACAATGGGGGTGCAGGCATTGGGTAAATACACCCTTTCCAAATGGGAGAAACTGGCCAAAACAAAGGGGTGACAGGCCCCATGCAAGTCCTAGATCCAACAGGGCAGTCATTAAACCTTACATTTCCAACATGATCACCTTTGACTCCATGTCTCACATCCAGATCACGCTGATACAAGAGGTGGGCTCCCACAGCTTTTGGCAAGGAGTCAGCAAGACTAGCTAGATGGTAGGAAACATTTAGTCATGTAGCATTCAAATTATCTCTGACCTCAGGTTGACCCAAGTTAATTATTTATAAAGAACTGATTTGCCTTACGATACAGCTCTGAGATGTATTAGTCATAATGAGTCAAGAGGTCTTAGCTTCGGAGCATTCTTTCATTCTACAGTTGCTGAGCTTTAAAACAGTATGCTCTACCAGGACACTCGCTTACCCGAACCCCAAGCAGCCACATCCTCACTAACTTGGTGCTGGGACATTGTGAGATCAAATCAGAAATCTCCTACATTAACTGACAGTCAAAATCTGTCAGCCTAATGTTCTGTATCCAGCCCAGCACACCCACTCCTATGCTGCAGGTTCTAATAAATATTTGGAGTCAGGGAGGGGAAAAGGGGATTTGGATGATGATGTTCTGTAGGAAAAACAAAATATGTCAAATACTCATATCTGTTGAGTATTCTCATATCAAAGAATTTAGGAATGCCTTTATAGAGCTTTATAAAACAAATAAGTTGTTATGTATGAGACATATATATAAACATTGACTAGGAAATGATCTGTAATCTTTTATATGCTCTCTCTCCAAATGAAAACATATTATTCACCATAGATCACAGAGGTCCATCACAAACCACCCAATGTTAAGTAATCAAAGGTTACAATGTTAAATGCCATGAGTCTACTGTACATACTGTAAAAAGCAGGTGTGTCCTACTTTTTCCTTCACTAAAAACTATTTAGTAAGCATTTTCCTGCATCAGTCATATTCTAAAAATTCTATCATGTGGTTTTATCTCATTTAATTTTCAATTATTCTATTATTGTACATAATGATTTATTCCTAATTTTCATTTATAAATAAAAAATTAAAATTGGATCTTGTGCAAAAGTCTTGGGATATTTTAATTTTTTATTTGGGTTAGATTCATATTGAGTCAAAATGTGTGACTTTTTAAAAGCTACCTTTTGGGAAATGATGTGCCAACTTCTAGCTGCCATGTAAAAAACAGACACGTTACTATGATCTTGAATTCAGTATTATTATAAACACTTCTTTTTTTTTTCGAGATGGAGACTTGCTCTGTCACCCAGGCTGGAGTGCGATGGTGTGATCTCCACTCACTGCAACCTCTGCCTCCCAGGTTCAAGCAATTCTCCTGCATTAGCCTCCTGAGTAGCTGGGATTACAGGCACCCACCACCACACCCGGCTAATTTTTGTAATTTTTAATAGAGGCGGGGTTTCACCACGTTGTTCAGGCTGGTCTTGACCTCCTGACCTCGTGATCTGCCCACCTTAGCCTCCTAAAGTGCTGGGATGACAGGCTTGGGCCACCATGCCCAGCCAGAATTTCTTATATTAATAGTGAAGAACAGTACTTTAGTGTCTATATTTTGCTTACTAGTGAGCATATTTTCCACTTTTCATTGGTGTTTTGTATTTCTACTTTGTGCCTCTTTTTGCCTTTTCAATTCTCATTTTGTAAATTTGTATTTCCTTTTATTATAATTTATAGATATTTGTCTATTTCATGTTTTTCTCAAATAACCAGTTTTTTAAGTTATACTTTAAGTATTGGGATATATGTGCAGAATGTGCAGGTTTGTTACATAGGTATACACGTGCCATGGTGGTTTGCTGCACCCATCAACCCGTCATCTACATTAGGTATTTCTCCTAATGCAATTCCTTCCCTAGCTCCCCACCCCACCGACAGGCCCCGGTGTGTGATGTTCCACTCCCTGTGTCCATGTGTTCTCATTGTTCAACTCCCACTTATGAGTGAGAATATGCTGTGTTTGGTTTTCTGTTCCTGTGTTAGTTTGCTGAGAATGATGGTTTCCAGTTTCATTCATGTCCCTGCAAAGGACAGGAACTCATCCTTTTTTATGGCTACATTGTATTCCAGGGTGTACATGTGCCACATTTTCTTTATCCAGTCCATCATTGATGGGCATTGGGTTGGTTCCAAGTCTTTACTATTGTGAGTGGTGCTGCAATAAACATACATGTGCATATGTCTTTACAGTAGAATGATTTATAATCATTTGGGTATATACCCAGTAATGGGATTGCTGGGTCAAATGGTATTTCTGGTTCTAGATCCTTGAGGAATCACCACACTGTCTTCCACAATGGTTGAACTAATTTACACTCCCATCAACAGTGTAAAAGCATTCCTTTTTCTCCACGTCCTCTCCAGTATCTGTTGTTTCCTGACTTTTTAATGATCGCCATTCTAACTGGCATGAGATGGTATCTCATTGTGGTTTTGATTTGCATTTCTCTAATGACCAGTGTTGATGAGTTTTTTTTCATATGTTTATTGGCCACATAAATGTCTTCTTTTGAGAAGTGTCTGTTCATATCCTTCACCCACTTTTTGATGGAGTTGTTTTTTCTTGTAAATTTGTTTAAATTCTTCATAGATTCTGGATATTAGCCCTCTGTCAGGTGGATAGATTGCAAAAATTTTCTCCCATTCTGTAGGTTGCCTGTTCACTCTGATGATAGTTTCTTTTGCTGTGCAGAAGCCCTTTACTTTAATTAGATCCCATTTGTCAATTTTGGCTTTTGTTGCCATTGCTTTTGGTGTTTTAGTCATGAAGTCTTTGCCCATGCCTATGTCCTGAATGGTATTGCATAGATTTTCTTCTAGAGTTTTTATGGCTTTAGGTCTTATGTTTAAGTCTTTAATCCATCTTGAGTTAATTTTTGTATAAAGTGCAAGGAAGAAGTACTGGCTAGCCATTAGCCAGTATTCCCAACACCTTTTATTAAATAGGGAATCCTTTCCCCATTGCTTGTTTTTGTCAGATTTGTCAAAGATTAGATGGTTGTAGATGTTTGGTGTTATTTCTGAGGCTTCTGTTCTGTTCCATTGGTCTATATATCTGTTTTGGTACCACGCTGTTTTGGTTACTGTAGCTTTGTAGTGTAGTTTGAAGTCAGGTAGCATGATGCCTCCAGCTTTGTTCTTTTTGCTTAGGATTGTCTTGGCTATATGGGCTCCTTTTTGGTTCCATATGGAATTTAAAGTAGTTTTTTTCTAATTCTGTGAAGAAAGTCAATGGTAGCTTGATGGGGATAGCATTGAATCTATAAATTACTTTGGGCAGTATGGCCATTTTCATGATATTGATTCTTCCTATCCATGAACATGGAATGTTTTTCCATTTGTTTGTGTCCTCTCTTATTTCCTTGAACAGTAGTTTGTAGTTCTCCATTAAGAGGTCCTTCACATCCCTTGTAAGTTGGATTCCCAGGTATCTGTAGCAATTGTGAATGGGCATTCACTCATGATTTGGCTTTCTGTTTGTCTATTATTGGTGTACAGGAATGCTTGTGATTTTTGCACATTGATTTTCTATCCTGAGACTTTGCTGAAATTGCTTATCAGCTTAAGGAAATTTTGCTCTGAGATGATGGGGTTTTCTAAATATACAATCATGCCATCTATAAACACAGACAAATTGACTTCCTCTCTTCCTATTTAAATACCCTTTATTTCTTTCTCTTGCCTGATTGCCCTGGCCAGAACTTCCAATTCTATACTGAATAGGAGAGGTGAGAGAGGGTATCCTTGTATTGTGCCGGTTTTCAAACGGAATACTTCCAGCTTTTGCCCATTCAGTATATTGTCTGTGGGTTTGTCATAAATAGCTCTTATTATTTTGAGATACATTCCATCACTACCAAGTTTATTGAGAGTCAAACAACCAGTTTTTAACCCTATACACTCTATTGCTTTTCTCCATAATTTATTGTTCTTCTTTTCTTTATCTTTCTTATCTCTTTAGCTTTGCTGATTCTTTAAACTTTTTGAATATAAAGTTTAGTTCATGAAATATTAATTCTTTATTGCTTAATGACAAAATCACTAATGCTTGTAAATTTTTTAAATTACAATGTATCTATAGTCTATAAATTTTAGTGTTCTGAAACATATTGTTTTTTGAAAGACCAACTATAGTTTTTATTTCATTTTTGAAACAATAGTTTTTTTGTTTTTTGTTTTTTGTTTTTGAGATGGAGTTTCACTCTTGTTGCTCAAGCTGGAATGCAGTGGTGTGATCTCAGCTCACTTCAACCTCTGCCTCTCGGGTTCAAATGATTCTCCTGCCTCAGCCTCTCGAGTAGCTGGGATTACAGCTGTCCGCCACTATGCCTGGCTAAGTTTTGTATTTTTATTAAAGACAGGGTTTCACCATGTTGGCCAGGCTGGTCTCGAACTCCTGGCCTCAAGTGATCCGCCCACCTCGGCCCCCCAAAGTGCTGGGATTATAGGCCTGAGCCACTGCACCCAGACACAATAGTTCTTTAAAAGAGTGATTTTTAAAAAATTTCTTAGACAAACTATTTTGTTTAAAAATTTATTAACTTCTAGATTTATTGCTTTATGGAAAGAAATATATGTATAATTTTTGATTTGGGGAATTTATTGAGATTGTATTTGGGGTGTTAATGGTGTTAATACTTGAGATGTCCAAGAGAAAATGATATATAACATTAATGTATTAATTATGGTATTCAAATAATTTGTGTCATTATTTATTCTTTATTATTTTAATTCTGTTAAAGGGTGAGGTAGAAATGTTAAAATCTCCTACAGAGTTTTGTTTCTCTTAATTTCCATGTATTTGTCTGATAGCTTGATGATATGCTACAATTCATAATTTATACCATTCTGAGCCATAACTTTTGATAACATAAAATGACCCTCTTTGTCTCATTTTAATGCTGTTGGCTTCATTTTACTTTGTCTGAAATTTATATTGCTCCAACTGCTTCCTGTTGATATTTGCCAAGTAAACATATCCTAAGCCTTCATTTTTAATCACGTAGTGGGGCCCAAAGCGGAGAGCAAGCCTACGACCACAGTCCCAGCAAGAGCTTTGCAGTCCTACAACCTGTTCTTCACATTCTGACTCTGTGACCAGTGTTTCATTAAGCAAGTTATTTAGCCTGTGTACGCCTCACTTTCCAAATCTGTAAAATCAGCGGAAATAAAAATAACTTGTATGAGAACAATTATTGGTAATATAATAAAGGGAATTTCTTAACCTGATAAAATTTGTAACAAATGTACTTAAAACTGAACTATTAGCAGTGTTCTTTTTAAAATCTGGAATAACACAAGAATGCCTCCTTGGCCGGGCGCGGTGGCTCACACCTGTAATCCCAGCACTTTGGGAGGCCAAGGTGGGTGGATCACGAGGTCAGGAGATCGAGACCATCCTGGCTAACACGGTGAAACCCCGTCTCTACTAAAAATACAAAAAAGCATTAGCTGGGCGTGGTGGCGGGCGCCTGTAGTCCCAGCTACTCAGGAGGCTGAGGGAGGAGAATGGCGTGAACCCGGGAGGCGGAGCTTGCAGTGAGCCGAGATCGCGACGCCACTGCCCTCCAGCCTGAGCTCCAGCCTGAGCTACACAGGGAGACTCCGTCTCAAAAAAAAAAAAAAAAAAAAAAGAATGCCTTCTTGCACTGCTTCTGCTCAACATTTAAATAGAAGTAATGGTCATCCAATAAGAATAGACTAGGAAGTAAAATTTATAAAAATTATAAAGAAACATGACTATTAGTTTTTGCAGAAAATGTAATTATATCTTTAGAAAAACCCAAGATAATCTACAAAATAATTATTAGAATTAATACAAGAGAGTTTTGGAAGATAGCTGGATATAAATCGGTATAGAAATTCATTACATCAATAGAAATCACCAGCAACAACAGAAAAATGAACTGTTGGAAACAATATAATTTGCCCTAATGAATTATATGAGACTTAGCAATCTGTTAAAAAAGTGAGCCTGATCTTTACAAATATAATTATAAGTTGTTATTGAAAGCCATTAAGAAGATTTAAAATAGATGTTATGGGGATCAAATAAAAACCACAGGGAGGGTTTCTTGAAGATGCTGTCCAGCATGACCACTCTGTCTTACAGCTAGTATGTTTATTATATCAGGATGGTTGTGATTTCAATTAAATATTTAAAGTTTTTTATTTTATTTGTTCCTTGTAAGCAGCAAATAGTTGTTATCTCTTTGTTTTTTGGTTTTACTAGCTGTGAATTATTTACTATTTTATGCCAAACCGTTTAAACAAATGGAATTAGTTACTGTCCATAAACGTATTTAATAAAGTTCTAAAACCTGTAAACAATAGCTTCTATTGCTTAAAAATACATATAAGCGTGCAATAAAAATGGAAAACAATGTAGGTTAGTGGTAACCCTATGTGGCAAGAAAGAAACAGCACAGAGAAATATACAGGAGAATGGGCAGAGTTTTCTTTTATAAGCTGTGGGTGGATGTGGTATTTATTATTTTACTCTTTTTTGCTGTTTTGAACACTCAACATACATCATAATAAGTAAACTGGTCCTTATAATGATTTATATACTTTTCTAAAGGTTGGGGAATTCCTTTTAACTATAAGCTAGTATGAGTCATCAATAATATACAATTTTTAAAAAACAAAGGCGTTTTTAGGCAGCACCAAGAAAAAGATTGCCTCAGTCAAGGATGACACTAGGAAGTCTCTATTATTTATAGATTCTCTATTTTCTTCTGCTGGAATGTAGGTTTACAAGGGCAAAGATCTCTGACGTCTCAAGGTGTTATGTTGCTGCTTGGCATACGTCAGATGCTTAAAAATATTTGTTAATTGAAGAATGATTTCGTATGTGTGCACACAATTCAAGTATATTTTTCGTTGGATTCAATTTGCTAATACTTTGTTTAGGATTTCCTCATATAAATCATGTTGTGCCTTTCTTACTCTGTTTTCCACTAGTGTTGGTATTAAGGTTATTTTGGCTTCCTAAAATCTGTTGGAGGAATAGTTCCTCTTTGTCTATTCTCTGGAATAATTTACATAAGATTGGAATGATGTGCCCTTCAACATCTGGTAGAAGTTGTCTTTTAATTATCTAGGATGTGTGTGTTTTGCAGTGCGGAGGTTTACAGCAACAGCTATTACAAATTTCCCCCAAATTTCAATGGCTTACTACACCGAAGGTTTCTTTCTCATTCATCACTCAGCAGCCATTGGATGTGTGTCTAGCACCTTTCCTGGTTGACTCTTTTGCAGCTTTTTCTTTTGTAGGAATCCACCACATGAAATTTCTTTACCTTCAGCTGCAAATGAAAGCAAGCCAAAGATTTTAAGAAAGAAAGATTTTGGAGGATAGTCCTATAATTATCTTTTTCGCCCTCATTCCACTGACTAGTACCAAACTTGTAGCTTCAATCTAATGGCAAGGCAGATGTACTTCCGGGAAGAGGAAATAGCATTGGTAAGCATCCAATAATCTCTGCCCTGTAACTACTGTCAGTTGCCATATTCATTATAGTTCCATTTAGGTCTTCTATTTCTTCTTGAATCAATTCTGTAAGCTATACTTTTCTAGGATTTTTTTTCTCATTTTTAAAATATATTGCCACAAAGTTGTTTTTAGTATTAATTCTGAAAGAGTAAATTTGTTCTGTTTTTGTAGTTATGCTGCATATTTTATTCTTAATAGTTTATTTGTACCTTTCCTTTATTTCTTTTGCTCAAATTTACTATAGCTTTATCTATTTTATCAGCTTTCTCTATAAAACAGCTTTGACTTTGTGTTTCTCTCCTTTGTTACATACTAAATGAGTTTCTCTTCTTACATTTATTAATTCTTTCAACTTTCCCTGAGGTTTTATTTTTCTGTTCTTTAAGAAAAATTCTTAATTTGTATGTTTATCTCATTAGTATTCACTTTTCTTCTTTCCTAATGCAAGTATTTAATACTCTAGCTCTGCCTCACAAATTTCAATATTGTGTCTAAAAAAGCATACGGTTCTGTTTCCTAAGTTCCATTATGATTTTTTTAACTCATAAATTAATTATAAATTTTTAACTTTAATTTCTGAATAGATTCATTTAAGTTATATTCTTGTTATTGATTACTAATTTGAGTTGATAAGGTAATTGAGTCTATATAATTTTTTGTCTATTGCAACCTATTTATGAATATAAATGGTAACACTTTATAAATGTTTAACGTGTAATTGAGAATAATATGTGTTTTGTGATTTTGAGTTTAGCTTCTCTGTAGGTCTATTATCTCAAGCTTGTTAACTATATTGTTCAAGTTACTTATTAATTTTTCTGCTTGAACTGCCATTCATTAAGAAGTATTAATACTTTCAAGTACAACAGTTGACTTATGAATTGCTCTTTGAAATTTGTCAAGATTTGCTTTGGGAATTTTCAAAGTACTGCATGTTATTAAGACATGTGAAAGTTTGAAATGATTGTATATTTCTTTAGATTATACTTTCTTATCATTATGTAGTAATCCTCTTTGATACTACTAATATTTTTACTTTTAAATGTTTGATCTGCTTTTAATCTAGCTATACCAGCCACATGCTTTGTTAGTATTTTCTAAGCATAATTTTTCTATAACTTTGCCATTAGTCTTTCCATGTTCTTACACTTTAGGTATGTCACTTATAAAAAGCAACAGCTAGATTTTGATGTTTTTACTCAATTTGACAATCTATATTTTTTAACTAGTGAGTTGAATATATTTTTATTTTATCATTACTACTGATTTTTTGGAATGATTTATACTACCTTATTTTATTATTTCTATTTCATCCTGCTGGTCGAGTACTTCTCACATTGCATTGACTTTGACTTCACCTGTAGTCACATCTCTCTCTAACTGACTCTGTTTTATGTCTCTCTTTTCCACTTCTGAGACCCTTTTGGATCTTACTGGGCCCAGGAGATAATCCACAATAATCTCCTTATTTTAAAGTCAGCTGATCAGCAACCTTAATTCCATCTGCAATGTAAATTCCCCTTTGTCAGGGAATGCTTATACATTCCTGGTGGGAATTTCAATTAGGTCAACTTCTATGAAAAACAATATGAAGATTTTTTAAAGAACTAAAAGTAGATCTACCATTTGATCCAGCAAATCCACCACTGGGTATCAACCCAAAGGAAAAGAAGCCATTATATAAAAAAGACACCTGAGTGCACATGTTAATTCCAGCACAATTCACAATTGCAAAGATAGAAAATCAACCTAAGTGCCCATCAATAGATGAGTGGATAAAGAAATATGGTGTATGTGCCATAAAATACTCCTCAGCCATAAAAAAGAACGAATTAAGTGAATTAACTCAGAAACAGAAAACTAAATACTGCATGCTCTCACTTCTATAAGTGGGAGTTAAGCTATGAGTATGTAAAGGCATACAGAGTGGTATCATGGACACTGGAGACTCGGAGGGAGAGTGGGATGGGCTCAGGGATGAAAAATGACCTATTGGGTACAATGTGTACTACTCAGGTGATAGGTACACTAAAAGCCCAACTTCACCACTATACAATTCATCCATATAACCAAACACCACTTGCACCCCTAAAGTTATTAACATTTTAAAAAAATTAATTAAGCAAATGAAAAAGGAGGGACTGCTTAGAGAAAAATAAGTAAATAAATTTCCCTTTGTCATATAACAACATTCGCAGATTCTGAGAATTAGGACATGGACATCCTTGGGGGTTCATTATTCTGCCTACCATGCTGTCTTATATTTTTTAACCTTCCAAGATTGTGCATATTATAACATGTTTGTTTAGCTGTGCCTACAAACTTAGAGATTTCTTTGTTCCCTATTCTTGCATCTCAGACTTTTCCTCTGGAATTACTTTTCCTCTTTCAGAGAAATATCTGTTATAAGGTATCATTAGTGATAAACTTTCAGTTTGGATTTACTTGAAAATGTCTCAATTTCTCCTTCGATCTTGAAAGTTGGTTTTCTAGGTATAAAAATCTAGTTTGACAATTTTCCTCTCTAGATTTGGAAAGTATTATTGGACCACTTTTGGCTTCCATTATCGTTATTGAGAAGTCAGCTCTTGGCCTAATTGCCATTCTTTTGCAGATAATCTTTCTCACTGTTCGTAATCTGACTTGTGTCTGTGATAGTCTGCATATATTACCATAATATTTCAATGTGGTGTGTCTTGTGTGCATTTCTTTTAGTTTGTCTTATTGGGATTTGTTCTGCTTCCCGAATTGAAAATCAAAATCTTCACTGCCTTTTCTAAAGGCCTATTTTTTGAACTACTGAGACATTTATTACACCATATCCTTTATTATTTATGTCCTTTAATCTCTTTTTTTGGTTCTTATGTTTTAGTGTCTCTCTCCTATGCATATTGGGAAATATATTTAAATTTATATTATACTTCATTAATTCTCTCTTTAGCTGTATCTTTTCTGTTTATCCCACCCAATGGAAAATTCATTTCGACATTTTTGTTTTAATTTCTAGAAGATCTATTTGATTCTTACACATCTATATATCAGTCTTTTTTATTCTGGTTGAGCATCCCTAATCTAAAAATCTAAAATTCACAATGCTTCAAAATCTAAAACTTGTTGAGTGCCAACATAATGCCACAAGCGGAAAATTCCATTCCTAAGTATTTAAACTTTGTTTCAGGCAGAAAATTATTAAAAACATCACACAAAACTATCTTCAGACTATGTGTATAAGGTATATATAAAACATAAATGGGCAGGGCACAGTGGCTGATGCCTATAATCCCAGTACTTTGGGAGACCGAGGTAGGAGGTTAGCTTGAGCCCAGGAATTTGAGACCAGCTTGGGCAACATAGCAAGATCCTGTTTTTACAAAAAAAAATTTTTTTTAATTATCTAGGCATGGCAGTGCATGCCTGTAGTCTCAGATACTCAGGAGGCCGAAGCAGGATGATTACTTGAGCCCAGAAATTTGAGGCTGCAGTGAGTTATGATCACGCCACGTGGCACTCCAGCCTGGGTGAGACTGAGACTCTGTCTCTAAAAAAAAATCAATAAAAATAAAACAATTTTCTAAAATGAATTTTTTGTTTAGACTTGGCTTCCATACCCAAGATACCTCATTAAGTATATGCAAATATTCAGTATTGAAAACAATCCAAAATCCAAAACACTCTGGTCTTAAGCATTTTAAGTGAGGGATACTCGATCTATAGTACTCTTTTCCTTGCTAATGTTATTAAATCTCTGCATCACATATTTATATATTTGAAATATATTTAAATTTTGGATATAATAAGTCCAGTATCTGAAGTCCTTGTAGTCAAATTGTGCTTGAGCAAACAAGCTCAAGGTTGCTTATTCCTCAGAGTAAGCTTGCTTTTTTATTGCTAACTCATGTTTTTCTGGGCTTTATCTCTAAATCCTGCAAGGTCTTAGCAAGCCTATTTCTCCACTTCAGGTTTCCAAATTGCCCTACAAGGACAGTCCTGCAGTTATCAATTTTTGAAGGAGATTTTCACTCATCCAGACCCCCTGTGAAGAGAAATACATTTTCTTGTCTTCCGTGTTCCTAATCTATATTTTTTATTTGGGGGTTTGTTTTGGTAATTCACCATTTCACTGGCTAAATATTAGGTTGGTGCAAAAGCAATTGTGGTTTTTGCCATTACTTTTGCACCAGTCTAATGTGTAGCTTTTGAAGAATTCTAGCTTTATACAGGGATATACTTCTTCACTTTGCACATGCCAAAGGCTTTGGCTCTTGGTCACATGGGCACCCATTTCAAATCCAAGACTCTAGTTTGCTAAGAGTGACTTATTTTCCCAGGACAGTTTTATGCATGGTGTGGGGTCATCTTTTTGGTTTCAAGATCCCCTTCTCATTCTCTCTATTTAGAAATTTACATTATTTTCACAAATTATTAACTGTGCATTTAAAAAGATGTTTGTCATAATTGTATCCAGCTTTTCTAATGTATTGTGTGGAAAGTTTTTAGACGATCTCATCTATCCTGTTGCTAGAAACAGAGGCCCCCTAATCTGTAATCTCCTATGACTGTTCTTGTACCATTGTTGTAGTATTTATCATATGCTGGCTTGTGCTATAATTACATCTTCATACATCTTTACATTCCTGTGCAGTTGTTAAGTTTCTTTAAAAGGAACAAAATAAAAATCAATGCTCTTCATTTATTTACTAATTTCATCTGTGAGCATGGAGAAGTGAATATTTGCATCTGTCTCTAAGAAGTTAAAATTTCTACATTTTATTATTGTATTCTTGGGCATTTTAGTAGAATTGTTCTGCTCCGTAATTCAAATGATGCCAGAGTACATATCTCTAAAGAAGAAATCCTACCAAAGATGAGGTCAGGATGTGGAATAATGCCACAGAAGGGACAGCCCTTTATTCTTTCAAAATATTATTAAAATTTTATATGATACAATAGTTTGAACAAAAAAGTTTGCTCTGATAGCCTGGAGGCAGGGGTGAAGGGTAGGATAAGCTTTATTACACATGCCCCACAGCCAAGCTGCAATCTAATTGCTATTTTTGTTCCTCTCTCACATAGAAATGTGATCATTATTCCATAAATATTTAAACATAATTATATATACATATTTGTATGAAAGATGTGAGTTAATCACACACACTCTGCTTGTGCACAGAATGGTTTTTTGCTTCAATGACAGAGTCCTCCTTTCTGATAGAACATACAAGACAATTGTCAGCATGTTTTAAGTGAACTAGAAAATGGGCAGGAATTTGCGGAACAACAGGGGTCCCTCAAATTACTGGGATTTGAGCCATTGGTGTCAGTGTGTATAAGCCAAAACATTTTCCCCTCCTTAGCCCCAAAGTGTAAACACCCAGCTGGTAGGCACTTAGCCTGACAACTTCAGGAGAGTGGAGAAAGTGAATGTGAAATACACTCCCTCAGCACGGTTGCCAGGTTGCCCGAAAAACATGTTCATTCCTCTAATTCAAGGCATTGTCCATGTTTACTTGATGCGTAGCGTGTAGCAGAGAGATAAAAATATAAACAAAGCAACTCTTAACACACATGCAGGCTGGTCCTGAGAACCAAAAGCTTGATGCAAACTGGCAAGACTACCTTTATTAGCAAGCGTAATTGGTTCATTTCAATATTCACGTATTTTCTATTACTCTTTCTGCGTTAACATTTTAGGATGTTTATATTTAAAAGATGGATATATTTCACTGCTTCTACGGAGCCTGCCATGATTTTTTATTTCTTGTAGGATTTTTATTCACAGCATTATCTTTCTATAGGAAACTCACAGTAAGAAACCCTTGACTTGTGGTTTGTTGAAGTACAATGCAGATTACATCAAATTTGCAGATAACCTTATATAAGAATGGATCACAGGAATCAAAAATTAAATGAGTTGCTGGAAACCTAGAAGTATTACTTAGGAATGAGGATTGAGGTTCCAATCCTCCTGCCAATTTCAAAGCCCTTTAGATGTGGAAAAGGCTTACTCTATCTACAGAAGAACATGAGAACATTACCAATGGGCTTTCTCCTCCTCAGCCAAGTTGTACCTCCTACAGCCACCTGCACTGTTGGGAATGAACTGAAACCTAGCGTGGGAAGGGGAGTAAGAAGAAGGCAAAGAGAGAAAAGCTTAAGAATGGGACATTTCATTTACTACAAAGCTCCTAAGGGAGAAGACATTTCTTCTCCCTTCCATATGAAGAGAGAAAATATATTTTGTATTTTCCATATTTTTGTCCTTGTTATAATTAAAATGCAAATCTCAAAGCATTTATCAGCTAAAGGATTGTGAGACAACCAGGCTTAGAATTCTGTTACCATCTCACAACTCAGAATTCTTACCAGCTGAAAATTATTGGGACTTTGTGGAAATAAATATAAAACTCTTCTTATTAAATATGCCAACACCAAACCTCATATACATGGGCAGGCCATTGTATGAAGGATCATAACATCCTATGGATGCTACTCTGAGAAGCTCACAAGCTCCAGAGTTAGGCTGAATTGTGCCGGAATCCTGGCTCTGCCTTTTACTAACTGTAAAACCTTAGGCAAACCAGAGACTTGCTCTGCTATTTAACTTCTGATCTGTCAAATGGGAATAATGATGCCTGGAAGCATTAAGGTGTGGATGGAGAAAATGCACGTTATCCTCTGGCACATAGTATACAACAATAAATGATAGATTTTATTGTTATGTTATATACCAAAGATTAACAAGTTACTCAAAGTGCTGAATGTTTTGATATTTGAAACTCATCCCCATCATGCAAGGGCCCAAACACCTAGAGCAGAGGTCCCCAACCCCAGGGCTGTGGACCTGTGCCAGTCCGTGGCCCGTTAGGAACTGGGCAATACAGTAGGAGGTGAGCGGCAGGTGAGCGTTCATTACCGCCTGAGCTCTGCCTCCTGTTATATCAGCAGTGGCATTAGACTCCCATAGGAGTGCAAACTCTATTGTGAACTGTGCATGCGAGGGATCTAGGTTGCATGCTTCTTATGAGAATCTAAATCATGCCTGATAATCTGAGGATTCAGGAATCTGAGAATCAGGAAGTTTCACCTTGAAACCATCCCCCTCTCCCTGCCCCATTGTGGAAAAATTGCCTTCCATCAAACGGGCCCCGGTGCCAAAAAGGTTAAAGACCTCTGATGTAGAGGGTTAAGCAAGCAACCTAAATTCCCAGTCTCCATCTTAGGGATTCTGAGTTAGTGGTCTGGGGTGGTGGCCAAAGCTCCACAGTTGTTCCAGCTGATAAACTAAGTTTGGGAACACCAGGATAATGAATCTACATGAAAAGTGAGTTTCAAAACTTGGTTTTCAGACACACAGAATTCTAGCAAGTGATCTGGGGTTATATGTTAAAGTTAAATCTTGATTAATTCTGTGAGAAAGGTAATTATATTAATCAAAGTGACTTAATTCTTCTCAAATGGCTCCTTTCTAATTAAGCCCTTTTATTAATATAATTATTTTTCTCAGTTGTGATGGTCTGAAGACAAGCATACATGCTTCACTCTCACTTCATGAAAGCTATTCTAACCCTTTGAAATTCCAAGAGAATGGCATATAACCTAAGCCCATCACGAGTACTATATTATTAGTGTCTCGTATGACTTCCAAGCACAGTTACGATTGATGAGAATATCAATGTTAAGACATTATCAGTTGTTGTTAGAACTCCTGGAATGTTACTCCTGGGATTGTGTTAGATCCAGATCTCTTTTTATATTTTCATCTCTCTATTTCTATTTCTCATAACCTTTCTCATCCCTCCTTGGTTAAAATGCCCCTTCTACTTTTATGTCCTGGATTTCCCAATTGCCATTTCCATTTAAAAGATCCCCATCTTTGGTCACAAATCTGGAATTAATAAAGCTCTTTTACTCTGAACATCTTAAAATGTTCTGCAGACATTAACATATCCACATACTCTAAATGGAATAAGTAATGGAAGAATGGATAATCACTCTGTTAGGAACAGATTTGGCTTTCATCCCAGGCCACAGTTGCCAAGATTGGATGTAAGAACCAAGCAGATCATATAAAAATTTGACTATATGTGCATCTACATGAAATGCCGAGTAATTACAATGGAAAAATTAAGTAAGTGTATACAAGAGAAGGAGTTTTATTTTAAATATCTAGATTCATCAAATTCTTAAAATTTAGAAGAGCATTCTTGGGCTCATAATTTTACGTTTCTGATTCCTAATCTTTTTCCAATAAAGAATTGTTTTGGAAAATTTGAGTAAGATCTGTTTAGCAGCTTTCAAATCTGCAGTGAGCCAAAACAAAAAGTGAAAAGGGGATGCAAGAGTGTGATTCAAAAGCATGTTTTTTTTTAAATTACATTTTGAGTGGAGATTATTTCTCCAAAGAAAATACCTTTATTTTTGAAAAGCAGAGAATTTTCTTTTAAAAGGTGAAATTTCAAGAGCGAAATCCCATATCTGAAAGCATGATGTATGATGCAATGATGCAGAATAACAATGCCTCTCTTATTCCAAATTGGCCTTGAGGAAAATGGAAGGTGTTTTTTTTTCAGGAGTGTTAGCATACATACCCGTTTGCTATCAGCAAAGTATTGCTGTTGGTATAGACATGAATATGGATTAATAGTTGTATTAGGCTGTTCTGCATTGTTGTAGAGAAATGCTTGAGACTGGATAAGAAAATAAGTTTAATGGCTCATGGTTCTGCAGGCTGCATCCTTCCTAAGATGATGCCAGCATCTGCTTCTGGGGAGGCCTCAGGAAGTTTTCATTCATGGTGGAAGGGAAAGTGGGAGCAAGCACTTCACATGGTGAAAGCAGGAGCAAGGTGGTGGGGAGAGAAGCCACACACTTTTAAACAACCAGATCTCATGAGAACACACTCACTATGGTGAGGACAGCACCAAGGCATGAGGGATGCACTCTCAAGACCCAAACACCTCCCACCAGGCCCCCTGCCTGTCCACCCACCAAGGAGGATTACATCTCAACATGAGATTTGGAAGGGACATCCAAACCATATCAATAGTACATTATTATATCCAGTAGCAATTTCCAGGAAGTCTTACAGCAAATAAATATTCCAGATGTACACCTGAGCAGTTTTCACTAAGCAAGAAAACATCTTGGATTATTTCTTTTAAAAAATGTTTTAAATTTTAATTTAAAGAACAAAATTGTGTCCTTTGTAGCAGCATGGATGCAGCTGGAAGCTGTTATCCTAAGCAAACTAATGCAGAAACAGAAAACCAAACATTGCATGTTCTCACTTATAAATGGGAGCTAAACCTTGGGGTCACAGAGACATAAGCAAGGGAACCATAGACACCATTGTGGACTCCAAAAGGAGGGAGGGAGAGAGTGGGGCAAGGGCTGAAAAACTTTCTATTGGATCCTATGTTCACTATCTGGGTGACAGGATCTATAGAAGCCCAAACCTCAGCATTATGCAAAATACCCTTGTAACAAACCTGCACGTGTACCCCCTAAATCTAAAATAAAAATGGAATTTAATAAATAAATAAATAATAAAGCAATACACTAACACATACAACTATGCACTTAATATAAAGTCTACTTGACAATTACGTATAAATATCCAAAGATACTTGACTGCCTCTTTTGACTTTAATTCTCCTTCACTATAAAATGCCATAGGATGGGAATTGTATGAGTTGTCCTATGGTTTGCATTCTATCTAAGTCAGTGCTATCACAATTGATCAAGGTAACAAAAGGAAAAAATCAGATTTCATTTTTTTACTTTTAACCCAAGAAAGTACTTTTTAACAGATTGTCATATATTATCATTCAAACAAAATAGGAAAAACATATATTAATAGACATTTGCTCTTTTTTAAAATCACTCCTGATACTACCAGTTAAAGTATATGGGAAGTGGACCTAAGTCACTAGAAATATCACAGAAAGACTAGATACTCTTAGTTTTAAAAGACTACCCTATTTCTTTAATTTTTTTCTTTTGAAAATAATTGTGATATTAAAATAATTACAGAAAAGTACTTAGAATGGCAGAAAAAATCCACATTTTCACAATAATTGAAAATTGATAACAATTTCTTCACATCTGTATTGTTCCTTTCAATAAACACTGTAGGTAAAGTCCTCTTTGCCACCTCCCTTCCCCACCCTTCCTAGAGGCAAGACCATCATGAGTTTGATGTGCACAGTCTGGTTCTCTGGGTTTCAGGGCTCTAAACCCACCCTGAAATTAGAACCTGAAGGCTACTGCTCCACCTGAATTGTGCAATTTGGGGCCCCATGCAAGTGATATGGGCCAGGCTCCAGCCCTTCATGGGTTATTCTTCCTCTACATCGATTGGAACTAACTCAACACCTCACCCCTGCCCACCTCCAGCCTTCCACTGGTGGCTCCACTGTGGTCCTCCACCTTGGCCAACACACCCTTAACTCCACCTCCTGAACAGGCACTGAAACCTCAGTCCCTTTTTTCCTAATTTGGTCCTCTTTGCCATTGGGCATGACACTTTAACCCCAACTCTGATGGACTTTCTCTGTTCTAGCCCCTGGGAATTTCTCTCTCTCTCTCTCTCTCTCTCTGTCTCTCTCCCTCTTCTCTCTCTCTCTCCTTTTTGAGTAGAATGGTTTATTTTTAACATTTGCAAAATTCACTGTCTATGATTTTTTCTGTTTTTGGTGTGTTGCAGGTGGTTTTGATATATCCTCCCACTTTATCCTTGACCCTAAAGCCCACTATTATCTAAAGAATTAGAATTTATTTAAAAACAGATAAACTAAAAATGAAGCAAAACGTCTTTTTATTTTTATTTTTTTATTTTTATATTTTGAGACGGAGTCTCACTCTGTTGCCCAGGCTGGAGTGCAGTGGCGCGATTGCGGCTCACTGCAAACTCTGCCTCCCAGGTTCATGCCATTCTCCTGCCTCAGCCTCTTGAGTAGCTGGGACTACAGGCGTGCGCCCAATTTTTTTTTGTATTTTTAGTAAAGACGGGGTTTCACTGTGTTAGCCAGGATGGTCTCGATCTCCTGACCTCGTGATCCGCCCATCTCGGCCTCCCAAAGTGCTGAGATTACAGGCATGAGCCACCACGCCTGGCCCAAAATGCCTTTTTATAAAAAAATATTGTACAACTATTAAGGATAACACCACTTATTTATCACACAAATACTTACAAAACACCTCCCACCCATCAGGACTTAGCTCTAGGCACTAGGGATATAGAAATGGATAAAACGGAAAACAAAGGAAAAAAACATTGCTCATATTTTATTGGGGAAATATAAACAACAGATAAATAGAAAAATAGATAGATGATAGGTAGATAGATAGATACATAGATACATAGGCAGATAATATAGAGAGAAAAATAAAGTTACAAAGAGAATTGGAGGGTACTGGGGTTGGAGGGAGCTTTGCAATTTCAGATAGGATAGTCAGGAAATTCCTCACTCAGAAGGTGGGGAAGAAGAGCTTGGCAAACCTCTGAGGGAAAATCATTTCAGGCAAAAGCAGCAGCAAGTGCAAAAGCCCTGAGACAGAAGTTTCCATGAATGTTAAAAAAAAAAAAATTAAGTGACCAGTGTGGCTGAAGTAGAGAGATTGGGTAGGAGAATAACAGCAGAGAAAAATAAAGAATTGTTATGGGACAGACCCTGTTAATCATTTGGGATCATTCTAAGAACTCTGGCTTTCACTGAGTGAGATAGAAAACCAGTAGAGAACTTTGGGCAGAAGAGGAACATCTGATTTCCATTTCACTCTGATCACTCTGGCCGCTTTTGAAAGTAGACAGTAAGAGGGAAAATACAGAAACAGAGGGACTGAGCACTGAAACTGAGACCGCTGCTCTTGCGTCATCTGGGCAGGAGATGATGGGGGCTGAACCAGACTCTTAGTGGTGAAAGTGGTTAAAAGATAGGTTTCAACATATTTTGAAGATAGAACCAACAAGATTCCTGATAGGTTGAATGTTGGATGTAAGAAAAAGAAATCAAGAATACAGTTTTTGACCTTAGCAACTGAAAAAACAAGTGGAGTTGCCATGTTAGTGAGTTGGGAAAGACCACCCAGGAGGAAGTTTGGTGAGGGAAATCAGGAGCTCGATCTGGATTTACTAATTTTGAATTGACTATTAGACAACCAAGAGGAGGTAGTCAAATATGAGTTGAGACTTCCAACTCTAGAGTTAATATATACATCAGAATTATGTATAGATGGCATTTAAAATCAGAAGGCTGGATGATATGACAAAGGGTAATGTAGACAGAAAAGAAAAGCACTACAGAGATTGAGCCCTGGAACATGACAGCATTCAGAGATCAGAGATGAGAAGAACTAATCACAGAGGCTGAGTAGGAGTGGCCGGTGATGTAGTGTTCATTGCAACCTCCAACTCCCAAGTTCAGGTTTCTCCCTTGGATGTAGGGCAGAGTTCACTGTCCTGCATGAGTTCTTGTTTGCAAAGGGCCCTGAGAGCTTTGGGGAAGTAGAGAAGAGCTGGGTGTACTGGGGTTTGAAGACTGTGGGCCCAAGGGCCTTCTCAGCCCAACCTCCTGCAGCCTCCTAACCTCAAGCAGTGCAACTGAAGGACAGTTCCATCAACACACCAAGTTCTATGAGTCCCTGGCATTGGGCTGGTAACTTTGGTCACATTTTGCCACTAGAAAGTGAAGCTCAACAACTTTTCCTAGGTCAAAAGGTGGTAAGTCTCAGTCTAGATTAAGCTCCAAATCTATCATTCCAAAGCCTTCTCCATTGAAATATCATTTTTAAAACTCTTGATGCAAAAGGGTAAAGAATAAGCATGTCGAAGATTTGCTCTCAAGTGACAATTAGACATTTTCAATAATGTCTATTGTACTTTGAGAGGTTATGAATTATCATTTGCTTAATTGAGACATCTTTTAGTACTCTACAATGTTCTAGGGAATGAGAGAGTGTTTTCTTGCAGAGAAACTTATTACTCATCCAGGAACCCAGAGCTTTACAGTGCCTGGCATTTAGGAAGTGCTAGTTTCTTGAATAGATGGGAAGACTGGAAAGATCTCAATCAATGAATCTGGTGATATGAAACCAGGGTTTCTGTTCTTGCTCTGCCAATTACTGTTTTTCACTCTCTGTTATTTATTTCTGAGCCTCCATTCCACCTGCTGCGAATTAAGGATGAATTAGACAAAATGGTCCTTTCTAGTTTCAAAGTCTTATGACTTTCAGTATCACTTTGATTCTACATGCTGGTTGGATAATTTAAAGACCGTAGCTAGAACTTCAAGGATACAGATAATGAAGATCTACTTGGTTGGGAGAATGACCAACACAAAAATCTTACTTATAACAAAAATTCTATCCAACATGACTGAGGTTAATTTGCAATCAGGATGTTTACCCAAAGTGAGTATTTGGGAGAACAGAGAAAGAGATCTTTTTTTCCCCCTACCTTAAGTATTATCATTAGTTCAAGAATGAGGTTAAAGTGGGAGTCATGAGCATATAAAACCTCTAAAATGATTAAAATGTGATTCCAAATTAATATATTTTAAGCATTTATAGCTTTTTCCTCCTTGGGCTGTTTTTTTTTGTGTGCGTGATGTCTATAATTTCCTTTGCTCCCAATTATGCAATATTTTTGTTTTATAATAATTATTTTGACTCATTTCTCTCATCCTCCTCCCCAATCCTACCCCAATCCCCAGAGGCCATCTGGCCACACATGCTGTTCTCTTCCAATCAATCTCTACCTATTATTTCTTTTCACTTTTTTTCCACTAAGCAACATCTAAACTTACCTTCTCGATTTACCTGTTTATTATTTTCTCTCATGTCTCCCTTCACTTTAATACAGTCTGCCAAAGCTCCGAGTCTTTTTGTGCATTTATTCTATCCCTGCTCTACCTTTACCACTGAGATAAGCACTTGCCCTTTAGAAGGAGTTACATAAATAATTAATTGAGTAAATGAATGAATGAATTTCTCAAGAGAAGTCTCCTGACTCATCTTTGTATTCTGGCATTGAGCACAGTAACTGATGCATGGTAAGGCACCCAATAAATGCTTGTAACCTAGAAGCATTTATTCCATATTAGGAAATAATCTTCAGGGTAATTTTAGATAAGGATAAACACGTGTTGAACCAAAGAAATAATAAAATGCTATTTTGAAAATGCTATTTTGAAACTTTTTCAAAATCCCTCTCTAGAAAAAAAATTGATTTTGTTTTTTCTTAGGTAGGGGAGAATTAAAAGAGAGAAATGTGAAATTCACATGATCAACTTTGCAATATAAACAACAAAAATAATACCATAATTTTATTTTATTTAAAAAAATTGCATTGATGGCTTTTCTTGAGTGTCATTCTTCTAGGTCTTCAAAAATAATAACAACTTATATTTATTGAGCACAAACTACATGCAAGACACCAGTGGGCACTTTACATATATTATGTAGAATTATCTCATTTAATCCTAAAAACTCTTTAAAATAGATATCATTAACCTCAGTGTATAACTGAGAAAAGTAATGTGGCCAAGGTCACAGAAATTAGGTGAGCTTGGATTTTAACTCAGGTCCCTTTGTGCAACAGGTCATTCACCCTCACGCAAAGCTCAGGACTCAAAGAGTCAGAGTCTCCGAATTCTGTACATTCCACCCAATGTGATTTCCATAGTTTTCCTTAAAAGGTATTCTGTTTCATCTCCCTACATACAAGTAGATGAATGGTTAAACTGTGTGCAAGAAACTAAAGGAAAAATTCCAAAGAAGTAGCACACAACAGTATTTAATGGCAAACACTGTTTCTTCCTCTTTTATCCACTGTTTAAAAATCAGTGCAGGCTGGCATGGTGGCTCATGCCTGTAAACCTAGCACTTTGAGAGGCTGAGGCATGTGGATCACTTGAGGTCAGGAATTCGAGACCAACCTGTCCAACAGGGCCAAACCCCATCTCTACTAAAAATACAAAAATTAGTTGGGCATGTGCCCATAGTCCCATCTACTCAGGAGGCTGAGGCATGAGAATTGCTTGAACCTGGGAGGCAGAGGTTGCAGTGAGCCGAAATCATACCACTACACTCCAGCCTGGGCAACAGGGTGAGACTCTGGCTCAAAAAAAATAAATAAATAATTTTAAAAAGTGAGAATCAGTGCATTCAAGGACTGGACCCTCTCCCCTAGCTTTGGAAAGTCTTTCTGACCAATCCCACCTCTTTGCATAATTCCAGCTATTACCTATGTGCCATCAGTGACCCCCCCAAACCCTGATTCCAATTTTATAAGCCCTAAAGACATGCCCCAAATGAAACTTGGCATCCTCACTCATAAACTGCCACACCCCTATTTTTCACACTTTGGCTGATAGCATTGCTATACAATCAGTCACTGAAGCTAAAAACTTTAGTAGTTCTTGACTATTTCCTGTCCTTATAATATCCAATCAGTCACCAAACCTAACCCATTCCACTTCCTAAATGTCCCATTTATTCACTTAAAAATATAACAGATATTTACGGAGCACGCACTGCATGTCCAAAATGTTGCCCTGGTTGTTCTATCTGCCCTTTGCTGTATCCCCACCGTCCCTGCCCAAATCAAGGCCTTTCCCACCACTTCCTCCAATTGGTAAAATACCATCCTAGCTTGTGTGCAAGTTTCCAGTTTCCTGACCCACCCCATGCATATTTTCCACTATCAAAAGGATCATGTTCCTAAAATACAAGTCTAATATTATAACTATTGGCTTTAAAGCATCCTGTCTCCCTTGGAGCCCATAAGATTACATCTTAGAACAACACTCAAAGTCCATTACATTTTGGTTCCACCTTTCTTTCCTGGCTGTCTGCCTCCACCCGCCTATGTTCAAGCTTCTTTAAAAGGTCACTAATCTTCAAACACACCACCCACCCACCTGCTTATTATTTTTTTTAATGTGGTCATCTCTGGTAGCAATTTCTTCTCATCTTCTTTTTGCCTCAGAATTTAAGGCAACTTCAAATATTAGCTTCACTGTAAAGGCTTCTCGGATGCTCCCAGGAAGACTGGGTCACTCTTTTCATTATGCTTTCAGAATGAATTGGGTATCACTATATCATTTATTACTGAGGGACTGAATATACAAACTGACATGAACTAATCCATGTATAAAAATAGAACTTTGACCATCAACCTCCAGAATCTTGTCCAGAAAGCCAATCTGTTAACTTCAATAAATAGTCCAGGAAGCCAGCCTGCTATAAGTCAGGCTGCTATCTGTAGAAACAATATAGGAAGCTAAGCAAAAACTTCTGTAACAATCGGCTCAAAATGGCCAGGACTTGATTCATAACTGACAGCTTTCCCAATATCTGTCCCCACTCCAAACTTAGGACAAACCAGAGAAAGCCAAATATGCACCCCTAAGCAATCACAGAGGATGTTCTGCTTCTGGTTAGCCTACCTCCAACTTCCCCAAGACAACAGCCTCCAGTCAGGGTATGATTGAAGCCTTCCCTTTATTTCTCACTATGAAGCTTCCCACTCCTCTGCTTGCCTTTGATTCTCTCCCAAAACACAAGTGACAGTGGCAGACTCCCCTTGCTATAGCAAACACTGAATAAATAATCCTTGCTTTTCTTCTTTAGTTGGTTTTGGTTTCTTTCCACTGTCTTTAACCAGGACCTGCCACATAAAATTGGTTAATGAATGATGTGTTTTTGTTATTGTTATAGTGGCTTTTGTTGGATGGCTACTTACTGCTACCACAGGATGCTTTTCCCAACAATCCAACTTTGTCATTATAAATTTGTTACTAATATTCCCTTATTATCTGGGTAAAATCTATAGGATAGTTAATGATGTCCCCTCTTTAATTCTTGACTGATAATTTTTTGTCTTCCCTTTTTTTCCTGTATCAGTTTTGCTAGATATTTACCAATATTACTGATGTTGTCAAAAACCCAGCTTGGGGTTTCATAAATTTTCTCAGTTTGTCTTGGGTTTTCTATTTTTGTTATCATTTTTATTCTCTTCCTTCTGCTTACTTTGGTTTAACTTTTCTTCTCTTTTCCAGCCTCTTGTGGTGGGAATTTAGACTCTAATAAATTTAGATCATTGATTGTTGATACTACTTCTTTTCTAATATAAGTATTTAGTTAGATGGTTTTGAGACTTGCTTTTAAGTTGTGCTTGGGCAGGGCTAGAGAAACCTTTCCTCTAGGAATGGGTTAGCCCACTACTGCAGAGTAGTCCTTCTGGATGGAGTCTTTACTGCATTCTCCAAGTAAAGAGGCTCAATGAGGGCTCTCCATGCTATCTGGTGGTAATGCAAATGATTCCGCAGTCTGTGTGTATTGTGGAAATACGCTCCTCTCATAACTCCACAGTTGTTCTTTGCCCAGCCTTGTAGCATTTCACGCTGTGCATTGTCTTGATATTTTTCAGACTCATGGGACCCACTGTGTATATTTCTCAAGCCCGTTTTCTGTGTAGCTCCCTACTCTGTAGATCTCTGCCTCACCATTTACAGACACCAGACTTCCTAAACTTCAAGTTCTGCCTCCTCAATTATATAAGACAACTTTTCCTTGCTTGGAATCTCCCTCTCTGCTCTGCAGTCTAAAATGTGCCTCCAGGCGAAAATCCTAGGCAATTGCAGTGCAGGGCTCACCTCACTTACTTCTCTTCCCCCGAGATTCACAGTCCTTCTTGTGCTGCCTATTGTCCAATGTCTGAGGAGAAGTCTTCTTCATGTAATGTTAGAGTTGATCAAGACATGAGGGTAAATCCAGGCCCTTTAACTCCATGGCTGCAAGCCCTGTCCTCACTCTTGAATCCTTGTTCTTCATCTCCCATGCTTCCAGAAGGATCATTCGAAAATGTAAATTTTAGTGTGTCACTTCCCTGCTGAAAGTTTCCAATAATCCCACAGTGTGACAATGTTCATAGCCTTCAGGATAAATTTTAAACAGTAGCACGACATGCATGATATTTATACTTTGCACTCTTTCTTTCTCACCCTCTCTTTTAACAGGGACCCTCCTCCTAAGTTCCACCATTACCATAAACTTCAACTACGTTTCAGATTCTCATACTTCTTTTTGCATTGTACTTATTTGCTTCTCCAGTAATTTAGAATACTCTATACCTACTCTTAAACTAAAAATTCGGACTTATTTCAAGTATCAGTTCCACCAGGAAGGTATATCTGACTCCTTAATGCTACATTCAAAGTCCCTCCTATGTGTTTCCACAGAAGCCTGTGATATTGAACCAAAATACCTTTCACCCTGTCCCATGATTGTCTATTTTCTCTTAGACTTCCTCACAGGATTGCAACTTTCTTGATGGAAATGTTATTATCTCACTCATTTTCCTAGACCTGGTACCCACAGGTCTAGAAAATGCCGTGATGATCTAAATTTTGTATCCCCCAACCCAACAACAAAAAAAATTGTATGTTGAAACCTAATTCCCAAGGCAATAGTTTTAAGAGGTGGGGCCTTTGGGAGGTGATTCGGTCATGGGGCTAGTACCTTTATGAAAGAGGACAAAGAAGTTTGTTTGTCCTTTACTATGTTAGGGTGCAGCAAGAAGATACCATCTATGAAGTAGAGAATGAACCCTCTCCCGACACCAAATCTGCTGCTGCCTTGATCTTAGACTTACTGGGCTCCAGAACTGTGAGCAATAAATTTCCGTTGTTTGTAAATTACCTAGTCTAAGGTATCTTGTTAGAGCAGCCTGAACAAACTTTGACACACGCCTCACAAATATCAAGTACTCAATAAATATCTGTCAAATAAATGAAAACATGAATGATTTTATCAATTAAAATAGGCATCTGGTTTTCAGGAGGCAGCCTAGTCTGATATTACAGAAGAAAAAACTGCACTAGAGTGGCAGTCAGCAAACATGTTCTCTAAAGGTTCAGACAGTAAGTATTACAGGCATTGCAGGCTACAGATGGTCTCTGTCCCATTTTTTTAACAACTCTTTGAAAATGTAAAATAGTTTTTAATTTACCAACTTGCTGTTCTAGACTTACACAGATCTGGGTATGAATGTTGACTTTTAATCATATTAGCCATGCAAAAATGGTCACTTACGAAAACTGCCATGTGGGAATGATAATATTTATCCTCCCACTGCTGTTGTAAGGAATGATTAAAATTATGTATACTAAGGGCAAAACATAGTGCTTGACATATAGTGATAATAACATCTAATGTTTTTTGAACACTTATGATGTGTCAAACACTGTCCCAAGCTTTTTATATTATTATTTTTCACTGCAAAGCTATTTTTTATTTTATTTTAATTTTATTATTGTTATTTTTCTCTTTTTTATTTGTATATAATCATGGGGTATAAATGAAATTTTGCTACACTGATATATTGCATTGTCCAAGCCTTTTATATTATTAAATCATAGTCACCAATACAACCATGTGATACAGGCACAGTTATTATCCCCATTTTAAAAATGAAAAGCAAAAGGCAGAAATTTTAAAACTTGTACAATGACAAGTAATAAATTGTAAAAGAGGCATACAAACCTAATTAATCTTATCTTCTAATCTTTTTGTAATCAATCATTTATAAAGTAAAAATTATTTTGGGAAACACTTTAACCTTTCTTTCTTATAATTATACATGACAATACTTTCAGTTCCTATCAAATTCCTTCAAAGGTCCCTCCTAGTTCTCTAACGACAGGGAGAAGTAGCATTGTTTCGTAGAATGACCACTGATTATGTATGATTTTGCATACCTAGGTTCTAGCCAGCCATGCTGTAACTTTGAAAAAATTACTTTACTTGTATAAACTTCAATTTTCAGAAATCAGTATGTGTGTGATACATATAGCTTTTATTGATAAACATGAGTGGAATATATCTTAATAGAAAATAACATGGGTGTACCATTAGAAGCATTCTATTTAGAAGCATTAAACAGAAAGCTACTTAATCTACACTTACGGCTTTAATGCTAATCATGATCATTTTCATCCATTTCAATGAGAGTTTTTGTATTTAACAAATTAGAATATTTTGGTGAATTCTGGGGTAAACTCAGGACATCCTCAATTCTGAATTCAGTTTTGCATTACTCACAGTGGATCTCAGAATAAAGCTTATCAGATTCATAAGCAAGTGTGCATTTTCACAGACATAGGGTTCACCAAAGTTTGCCCAGATTTGGAAATATAATCAGAAATTTCCAGTTGGTTTCAGATAATATATCTTAAAAACTTCAGCAACTTTGTGTTATTAAATCAATCAATACATCTTGAAATAAGTTCCATGTTTAGGCCGATGATTTGGGCACTTTATTAGGTTTGTACCACAAAAATATAAACAAAAACTTATTTATCCTCATAAAAGAATCTGTGAAATTCTAAAATCGGCTTCATTTGTACCAAAGGCCACAAAAATTTTTTGAAGTCTATAATTTCCTTGAAGCTCAGGGAGATTCACTAATAAATAATATGTGTAATACTCAATTAGCTTTTACATGTAATATGTAATGAATAATATATTTGTATAATATTATATATATTAATACATACTTCTAATTTGAGACTGAATGCAGGAATTTCTAGAACAAACAATTAACATTTTGTGGTGGTAATTGTCTTCTAGCTGCAAGTTAATTGTGTCTAATTATCTTATCACACCACTTGGAAAATATAGTTTGAGCCACTGAATTTCCTATAAGTTGGGTCGCTCAATCTTTAAATTTTAAAAGTCCTTCCTGCTTAGAAGCAGTCTGATAAATCTAATCAGCATGCATACATGACCTCATTGGGACTAAACTCCATGCTTTCATCATTAAAATCATTTGCATGTCAGAAATTCCCAGCATTGATCCCTGTCTCAATCCCATTGTAAAAACGGGTTGACTAGTAAAATTCACTGAAGAAACTCCACTGACAGATAAGCAAATGAGAGCAGAACATAAATTTTTTATTTAAAGCCCACTTTCCCATAATAAAATTGATACATGTTCATTGTAGAAATCTTGAGATGTAAAGTATAAACATAATAAAAGTAGCCTAAATAAACTACATGCCTATTATGATATAAATATTTTGATGTATATTTACCTAGTGTCATATATTTCCACCCCAGCCTCCTTTTTGAAAATGTTGAAATAACCTTCTTTAAAAAAAAAAAAATCTTTCCATTGCAGATGCCGTACCTGACTCCAGCAAGTGACCTCAGCATTTCCATGTTTAGGCCAAGCTTTGCAGTTAGCTTCCAGAAATGTGTTTAGGTCTTCAGAGTTTACGCGTACTTGCTAATTCGTTTTTTTTTTTTTAATGAATTTTTCTGCATTTCCCACCTGTATGGAAAGATGCTCCTGCAGTCTATCTCTGCAGTCCTTTCCCTTGATAACATTCTGTGAACTTGTTCTTTTTTATGGGATGTGCTCCAATTCCTCACATTTTTCACATATTTAAAATACCATATACTAACCAGGGTCGCAGTCTATTTTCACAATTGAGATATTTATATCATTCTTACGTTGGCATTTTTTAAATGTTAAATTCTTAGTTGCAGTTCAACTTGTATTTTTATTTCTTGTCATCACCCTGCCCACTTTCTAGTAGAGGTGTTAATGAGCAGGGAAACAGCGGGAAGACAGATGGAAGGAGACGCAAAGAACATAGATAGCATGCACAATGCATCACAGAGCAAAATATAATTTGATTTTTATTCCAAACTATCATAATTTGTATTTGCAATATGGGAACTTTATTCTCTTTTAGACTGGCTGGCTTTCTAATAGATTTGGCTCACTATAAGTACTATTTACATATTGATTAGTCAAACTTTCATCATTGTTATTATAATTATAGCACTCATAAATGTCATTGAGAAATAGAATAAGCATATGCCTCTTTCCACATGGGCAAAACCATTAAATAATCCTGAAACAAATATATATATATATTTAGTACTATACACAAAATACAGCAGTATAAGTAGTTCACCAAATAATGGTCATCCACTTTCTCGGTGGTGATAAACTTCCACTCAGAGGTGGTAAACATCTTCCCTGTCCCATAATCAGCCACTGTCCTCTCCTTGCCCCACAGTCAGACCCGCTTCATTCTCACCTTTCACCCATGCTTTGGCCCAGTTCCCAGGTCCCTACCTTAAACACTGGAGATGAATTATCTCCAAACCATCAGTGTGGGGCTCAGCATAATTTCACTCTTCTAGGTAGTCTTAGACTTTAGTCCTGATATCTAGATTTTTTCTTATTCTCGAGCCTCAATTCCCACCTTGCTTCCCATGCCAGACACCTACATTGCTATCTTCTTTCTGTGTATGGCTGAATCCTTGTCTTGGGGATCTGCCTTCTGCCTTCTCTTCTCCAGGACCTCCCTTCCCTTAAAACCCACCTTGATGGCTAAGACGCTATTTCATGCTTGCCAGCTTCCCTAAAGCTAATTGTTTGCTGTATTAGTCTGCTCTCACACTGCTAATAAAGACATACCCAAGACTGGGTGATTTATAAAGAAAAGAGGTTTAATTGACTCACGGTTGCACATGGCTGGGGAGGCCTCACAATCATGGCGGAAGGGCAAGGGACGTATTACATGGCAGCAGGCAAGAGACAGTGTGTGCAGGGGAACTTCCCCTTATAAAACCATCAGATCTTGTGAGACTTATTCACTATCATGAGAATAGCACAGGAAAGACCCATTCCCATTATTCAATTACCTCCCACCAGGTCCCTCCCACAACACGTGAGAATTGTGGGAGCTACAATTCAAGATGAGATTTGGGTGGGGATACAGCAAAACCATATTATTTGCCAAGAAAAAATATGATACGCCTCTGAAATTCTACACCACAGACCTAATTTCTCTAGTTATCCTATTCAGGACAACTGCCAAATATTAGAAAACAGCTTTCCCTGGTACTAATATAAAGAGGTATTCTCCTGACCAGAGTGTCCTTTCTGGCCTTGCAACCAGTTCCCAGTGGGCTATTGGGGTTCTCACATCTGCTGCTAGGATGCACGGGAAGGACTGGGGAAGACATATTTGGGATTCCTGATATGCCACTCAGACACATATTAACAGGGACACACTGTTATTAAATATCATTACATGTCATTGACATAGCACCATTCCTCCTATTCTGAATCATAAATACATAAGTATGGAATTTGTAATAAGGCTCAAGAACCTAACCAATATTTAAGGTATTGTTTTAATGAAGTATCATTTTGAATTCCAAATAACCAATTCAAAACTAACTTTAAGACACTTTCCAATTCTGCTTCATAGGGAGCCAAAATTATTTTAGAAGTGATAGCCGTGTGTATGTATTCTTGGGGAAAAAAATGTAATTAAACATTACAAATGAAAGCAGTAGCCCCTATGTAGGCAGATATGAAATGGCTAATTTGATTTTGCCTTTTTAAATTGAAGCAAGTTATCTTATAGACCGTGTTAGTCTCAATTGTCCCATTAGGGCACCAAACCTAATCATCAGCAAAGGTTTCTAAGTAATGAGAATGAGGAAGAAAACTCTGGTTTAGCTTTCAGTCATCAAGATGGCATCTCTCCACTAAAAGTCATGGATGGTACTCAGTAATACTTATTATCTCTATTTCACAAACGAAGAAAACTGAGAATAAACTAGAAATATCTGAACCAGAAACAAAACAAACATGGTCAGTGCAGTATTTTATACTTCGGTAGAGTGTAAAGCATTAAAAGAACCAATTCAGTCAAATTTGAAATGTAAAAATCAAATTATGATGGTACTAAAAGAAACCTTAAGAGGATTCTTAGTAACCCTAGGAGTGGGAAGACTTTCTAAGAATGATGCAAACCCAGAAACTATAAGAGAAAAAAACTGATAAATGTGACCACAGAAAAATATTTTTTAAAATTACTACATGGAAAAAGAAAAAGAAAACCAATAAAAAGTCAAAAAACAAATGGAAAAAACACACTTGAAAAAATACGTGCCACTCACACTCTAGATGAAGAGCTAATTTCTTTTAAAAAGAAATAGATTTGGAGGTACAAGTGCAGTTTTCTTACATAGATGTATTGCATAGAGGTGATGTCTAGGGTTTTAGCATACCCATCACCCAAATAGCGTACATTGTACCCAGTAGGCAGTATTTTATCCCTACCTTTCAGAGTCTCCAATGTTTATTATTCCACTCTGTCTGTCCATGTATACCGATTCTTTAGAAGAGCTAATTTCTTTAATCCTAAGGAACTCCCACTCATCAGTAAGGAAAATAAAAACCCACCAACTCAATATAAAGACGGGTAAAGATTAAGAACAAATAATTCATAGTAAAGCAAATGCAGATGATTTTAAGCATATAAAAGGAGGCCCAACCTCATTCATAAAGATAATAAAAATTAAAACTGCAACTGCAGACCATTTGTGCCTACCTAATTGGCAAATATCAAAAAGTGGGTAACCTATTGTACTGCCAAGGGTTGAAGAAACAGGCATTCATATTGTAGTGAGAGCAAAATGGTAAGCCCTTTTGGAGAGAAATTTGTCAATATCTGTCAATGTTACAAATGAAGAAGAATTCTACTCCTGTGTGAGAAATGATGAATGTGCAGAGATAGTCATTGCAGCTTTGTCCATAGTAACAAGAGACTGGAAACAACCTAATGTCGTCTGTCAATAGATGACTGCTTAAATAAATATAATGCAGTACTAGACAGACATTTAAAAAAAGATAAAGCAGGTCTATATGTGCTATTGTAGAAGTCCTTGAAGATATACTGTCCATTGAAAAAAAGCCAAGAATAAAACAATGCATACAGTATTTTATTTGTGGGAAAGAAAAAATATGTGTACATATATGTTTGTAAGTACATAGAATACTTTCTAAGGCTACATGAGAAATCAGTAAATCGAATTGCATTCAAAGAATCAGAAAAAAAGAAAATGAGGGAATCTTATTTTTGAACCAGAAACTTTTATACCTTTTAAATTTTGTGCCATGTGTATATATTAACTATTCTAAAAATAGGATAAAATCTGTTCAGCTATTATTGAGCAGAGGTATCCAAATTACACAGGACACACAATTTGTCGCTATTATGCTATGGCTCAGAATAAATGGATAAATGAAGTAACATCTTTGATAAGTTTTTTCCAACAAGCCCTTTTCCTACTTGATCGTGATAATTTCTGAATGCTGGGATTTTATTACAGATGAGGCTGCTGTTTGCAGAATGAGATATTATCCAATATTCTGTCTCAGCCCATGTCTACACCTTGTGAAGTTCACCTATATGTATTGTGGTAGTTTTTAAAATGTCCGTAAATACTTTGATACCATTTTTTCAAGAGGTTCAGCTTAAATCCTCTTACTTTGAATGTGGGCTGGACTTAATGACTTGCTTCTAATGAATAAAATACAGTAGAAATGACAGTAAGTCACTTCCAAGACTAGGTCATAAAAACATTGCAGCTTCTGTCTTAGTCTCTCTCTTGGGTCTTTCACTCTGAGGGAAGCCAGTTCCATGGCATGAGGAAAGTTTCATGTGGAGAGGAACTGAAGCCTCCCACCAATAGCCCTATAAGTGAGCCATCTTGGAAGTGTAGCCTCCAGCCCCAGCTGAGCCTTCCAATGATAGTAGTCCCAGATGACATCTTGGCTGCAACTCCATAGGTCACCCTGAGCCAGAACCAAACTAGCTAAGCCATTTTCAGATTCCTGACTCTCAGAAATTGTGTGAGATAATACATATTTCCTGTTTTAAGCTGTGAAGTTTTAGTTTAGTGTATAGTTTAGTTTTGTGTATAATTAATTATACAGTAATGGATAGCTAATATACACATCTCCCGTCTTTGCTTTACCACCCACCCACTCCCCAGAGAACAGATGCCTCTTGAAGCTCACCACACAGGCACTGCTTATTCTTCTATTTGGTCCATCTCCAGGGACAATGAGCTCAGGTAGCCTCTACAGCAATAAGTTGGGGGGAAGAAGAGGTCAACAAAGGTGGTAGAATTGCTACAGGCAGAACAGGGAGAAAATGAGAGAAAAAGCATGTCAGTACACCCCTTACACATTACTCAAATTACTAAATAACTCAAAATACTAAATAACCTGCTGACTTGAACATATCTAGTTGGTTTCTTTCAGGATGCTTTTTACCATTTACTTCCCCAATTTCATTTCATCTTCCTCTCAACCCAGGTGGTACACATTCTGGCTTTTAGATAAGAGCTGGAAATGTGGGAGGATTCAGTGCTTATATAACATTGCAGCATCAATGAAGAAACAAGATGCTAGCATAACTAGCTATTTTCTAAAACTGCATCCTTTTTATAAATGTGCAAATTCTGTTTCAGTAAATTCCATCATACACATCCTGGGGCCCACAGTCAACAGAGCACGTAACATTCAACACTTTACCTTATATGGCCTTCATTTTCTCTCTCTCTCTCTCTCTCTCTCTCTCTCTCTCTCTCCTGAACTCACTCACTCTCCTGAACTCACTCACCACCCCCACAGTCCCATCCCATGATTTGGTATATTACTTCTGAAACTTCTTTTTCTCTCACTGGAATTACATTGTTAAAGATTAAGAAAGTCTTTGGCAAACAAAGAGAAAAAAATAAACAAATAAATCAATGGAGAAGCATAGAGAGCCCAGAAATAGACCCACCTACATACCATCAACTGAGTTCACCTCTCACTTTTGTCTGTGCCTCCACTAACTGACAGTGGTTGGCACATAAAAGGTGTTCAACAGGCATTTAGTGAAGGAATAAATGAATGGATGGATGGATGGGTAGTGATACGGTTTGACTGTGTGTCCCCACCCAAATCTCCTCTTGAATTGTACTCCCATAATTCCCACGTGTTGTGGGAGGGACCTGGTGGGAGATAACTGAATCATGGGGGCAGTTTCCCCCATAGTGTTCTTGTGGTCATGAATAAGTCTCATAAGATCAGATGGGCTTATCAGGGGTTTTTGCTTTTGCTTCTTCCTCATTTTTCGCTTGTTGCTGCCATGTAAGAAGTGCCTTTTGGGGCTGGGCATACTTGTACATGCCTGTAATCCCAGCACTTTGGGAGGCCGAGGTGAGTGGATCACCTGAGGTGAGGAGTTCGAGACCAGTCTGGCCAACATGGCGAAACCCTGTCTCTACTAAAAATACAAAAATTAACCAGGCATGGAGGCAGGAACCTGTAATCCCAGCTACTTGGGAGACTGAGGCAAGGGAATTGCTTGAACCCTGGAGGCAGAGGTTGCAGTGAGCCAAGATCGTGCCACTGCACTCCAGCCTGGGTGACAGAGTGAAACTCCATAAAAAAAAAAAAAAGGTGCCTTTTGCCTCCCATCATGATTCTGAGGCCTCCCCAGCCATGTGGAACTGTAAGTCCAATTAAACCTTTTTTTGTTCCCAGTTTCGGATATGTCTTTATCAGCACCGTGAAAACAAACTAATACAGATGAACAGATGAATGGTGAGGAATAAGAATTTGTCAGGGTTTCACAAAGGGCTAGACACCATGCTAGATTCCATATTAATATTTTTACACACACATTCTCAGCAAGAAGATAAGGAAATGAGTCTGAAAGAGGTACAGTAACGTGCTGAAGTTCACACATCAGTAAGTGGTAGATTTGGAATGACTTAAACCTGGGTCTGCAAAGTCCATGATTTTCCCATGTCAGCATGCTTTTAAAAAATTATACTGTACATAAAAATAATATATTTAACAGGACATTTTAAAACAGAAATATCCTGAGAAGAACAATTTAGGGAGCTACCACACCTTAAAGGAAATGGTTTGTACTTAAATACCTTTGCTTTGTATCTATACACACCAGTAACCTGCTGAACTACAATGTGGCCTCCTGAAAAACTTACCTGTTAGGATATTATACCTGGAAATAATTGGTATCTAGTTTATCTCTCACTACGAATTCATGTGGGCCTTGTAGCCAAGCATACACAGATTATTAGTTTTTAAATCAGAATTGCTTACCACAGACTGATTGTCTATAAGGCCATAAACCCTGTGCGAACTGTGAACAGAATGAGGCTGCAAGGAGAAAGCATTGCCTGGTCTCCAAGCCTGCAGAGCTAAGGTTTGTGCTCAGGATCTACAGCAGTGGTCTAAGAAGGAAGCCAGTGGGCATCTTTCTCTTTCAGATGCAAAAGCCTTTTAGTAGGGACAAGCTGGAGGTCCATGAAGCAGTGGTCAGCTGCACTACAATTTGCTTCTGAGATGACAAAGGACACAAAGTACAAACAAGGCAAGGTTGGAGACCTCAGGGAGAGGCATTGGGTGACCCCAGTGTTGTCGGGCGCCTGAACTAGGTTGTATAACGTCTTTGCTTGGAAGCCCTCAATCAAGCAGGACTTCTGAGGCCTACAACTGTAATTTCAAACCACAAAAGGAAGCAGAACCCTCTCAAACTTTTATTTTGCTGAGGAAGTGGATGATTTAAATAAGTCTGCTTGACACATGCCTATCTGATTTCCCAATTCCCTTAGGTTTCTTGCAAGTCAGCCATAAAAGCTATTCCCCACTTGTTCTGACAGGATTTATGCATTCTACATCTGGTATTCAGCAAGCATATTTTTCTTCCTTTTTCATTGAACTTCTGCCCATACACACATACAGGGTCTCATTTTAATAGCGGGATTATTCCCTGTGTATTTAAATACACAGGAAACAGGAAATCATCTAAAAGAACACAGTGATCTCATGGTTATATCACTTTTCCCCACAAGCCCATTTGGAATTAGAGACAAAGACAAGATTCTGGAGCTTATAGCTTAGAGTTACTCAACCTGAGAGACAGATTGACCTTAAGTTCCCTCTACTGGTTCTTAACATAGTACAAATTAAGAAAACGAAATAGTACATTTATTCCAAGAGACAGGAGGGAAAAGGATTTTTTCCCAAATAAACCTCTATTCAGATTTCAGAAATGTAAGAAAATTCTTTCATATAGTTGCTGACTGAGGGAACTGTCAGAGGGTCTAGGGAAAACCTCTCCCTGGGTAGCAAGGGAAGGTTCCTAGGCATTTAAACATTGTGCACAGGTGGTCATAGATTCTTTCAAAGATGTGTGCAGAATGCAGAAACCTTAGCTCTGCAGGCTTGGGGACCAGTCCATACTTTCTCCCCACAGCCTCATCCTGTTTATGGCCTTGTAGACAATCAGTGTCTGTTAAGCAATTCTGATTTAAAAATTAGTAACGGTGTATGCCTGGCTACAACGCCTGCACTAATTTGTAGTGCTCATTCAAATATTGAGCACCAATATTTCTTGACCAAGTTTCATTTAATAATCACCAAAACCATATGAGATTGGTATTATTAGCCCCAATTACAGATGTGGAAATGAGTCTGGGCTTTTAACCACTCAATGCACTACAAGGCAGAGCATTTCTGCCAGTTAGAAATTCTCTCCAAGGGAGTCAGTTTCTTAGGATGCTCTCATTCTACAGCCCTAGAGAAAGACTTGAAAATACACTCTTCTTACAGGACACTGCAAACAAAACTTTGCAGGCTCCATCACAGAACCCTACCAGAAGGGACCAAAGGTGCTCAAAGCCATGGCTCTGAGACATGGAAGATCTCAAAGTCCTTTCTTCATCAAAGAAGAAAGAAATTAGGTTCTGTGTACTCTAATATATTCTATTACTTTAAACATTGGCATCTCTTTTTGGTACATATGTCAACTCTCTGTTAACCTGGATGTTTGATTAATCTGAATATGTTATTCCTCAATCATGCCAGAGAATAAAACATTTGTGAAAGCAGGATGCCCTCATTCTGCTGGACCAATGACTGTACTCCCAACTCTTTAGGAATTCCAAGTTTTCCTTCAATTTTGTTTAGCATCAGACATTTTGCTAGTGTTTATCCCACTTCCTTTTCTGTGCGTGTTCTCCTTTCCCACTCATCCAAACCCATCACAGTCCAAACCGGGTTCAGATCTTCCCCAAAGGCTCCATTATTGGCCACACACGTCTTTTAACTTCTTAAACATGCCCTCTCATCAGCCTATATAGCCTTGGAACTAGATTATTTTGCACCTATTCTGAAAACTTTGTAATTAATCTTGTCATTTTTTCCTGTGACATTCTTATTCTCCCTCACCTCCTGAAATCCTTTGCAGAGTGAAACAGCTATGTTGTGGGATCTTGAAGGTGCATGTACTTATACTTATGTAGATCAGTGGTGTGCTGGAACTGGCTTGTACCTGGTTGGAGAGCTAATTGTGGGCAGCGTGCTGAATGTCTCTTCCCAACTCCATTTTCAATGACATCACGTTGGTAGCTTGAATGTGGTCTTTGTGGGAACATTTATATCATGGAAATTAGCAAATACTACAAGCCAAGGCTTTGTTTTCCTCCTTTGGAGAACGAGTTTACCAGCACTGTGTCCTTGCTACTCAAAGTGTGGTTCACAGACCAGCAGCATGTACATCACTTGAGACCTTACTGAAATATGAAGTCCAGCATCTCACTTAAAGCCTCCCAAATCAGATTTTTGCATTTTAACAATAGCCTGGGATGATTTTTATATTAAAATGCGAGAAGCAAGAAACTTTTAAAAAACTCCTGCACTCTAGAATTCATTGATTTTAGACTGTGCTCAGTAACTTTGTTACATTGATTGAAATCCACAGTGTGAAACTGTTTCAGTTGTCAAGGCTGCTTGCCAAAGGGCTGAGATATATTTGTCCTATTTACATAACAATTACCATAAAATTCTGATTAATTTGTTTTTAAAAGTTTGAAGTGGGACAATGTCCCATAACTGGAAGAAATCTGTATTTTTAATATAAAATTAAAGACATACCAAACTAATAAGGGAAATCAAAGGGATTTTCAGGCACATAAAGATTTGGAGTGGAGAATCTTTTCTTCTTTCTACATACCATCTTGACGGACTTGTGGTGCCTAACATATTTACAAATCAAAAACATTTTAAAACCGTGGACTAATATCAAGAAAGCAGCTGTAGCATCTCTGTAGTAATTGCTTCTCCAGTGCAGTCAGTTGTAGTAGGGTGAAAAATCCACCAGTTTTATTTCTTTTTTTTTTTAATAAATTTCTGGGTAAAACATGAAGAATAAGTTCAGAAGTGCAAATGAAACTTGCAATACCAAATTCCAATCTGCAGTAATATAAATTTATGGAAAGCTGGGTCAGTTGAATATTTGTCTGAAAAAAAAGGCTAGATTATTAACAGAACATCATCTTTAGGGTGGGACTGTTTTGAGTTCAAATCCCAGCTCTGCCACTTACTAGCTGTGTGATCCTAGGACACTTTCTCTGTACCTTGATTCTTTACCTGTAAAATGGAAGTGTAAGAATATCACCTATCAAATCACATCTAGTAGTTTTAACAGCCACATTGCTGGTCACCTGTGGTTAACTGGTGACTCTGGAGCCAGAGTGCCTCATTTGAATCTTGGCCCAAACGCTAAGTGTGTAACACTGGGAAATTTTCTCATCTGTAAGATGTGGCTAGAATAAATAATTCAATCTATGTACAGTGCTTACAAGAGCCCCTGGCCCAAAGTACAAGGGCTCTGTAAGTACATTACCAAAGACTTCTATTAAATTTTTTTTTAGGTTTTTAATAGTATCTATCTGCCATTATATAAATGAGCTTGGGTCAGAGCTGGTCTGTAGCTCTGTAATATCAACTAAAGAAAATGCAGATTCATGAATGTCTTAGGTAAATATTGAGAGCACTACAGCCTAAGGCAATGGTTCACAGTGTCTTCTGAGGAGCTTTAAAGAACACTGATAACTGGGTACTACCCCCAGAGACTGATGTAATTAGGCATTAGGCATCTAAAATGCTCCCCAGGTGATGCTGTTGTGTACCCAGGATTGAGGAAAAACTGATCGAGGGACGTGAATAAGCAGGCGTGTAACCCAATGAAGAAACAAGAAGTGCAGTAATTTGGGAGAAGCAAATTGACAAGCTGTAATGACCTGGACATAACTGTTGCCTTTTTTGTTTCTAGGGTTGGCCTACTAGCTCTATAGGTCTGTTATCTTAAGGACGGATGGCGTGATCAAACTGGGGAGATGAGATATGTCTACCACCCACTGTTTAGACTCATCAAGGACTAATTTGACTAGGAAGTCAATTAATTATTTATAGTGAGTACTATCTCTTTCCAGGAAGAATACCTACTTGGGAAAACAAGTCAACATTAAAAAAACAAACAACAACAATAACAAAAACTGCTCAACCAACCTATGAAATCAGGAAAAGTCCCAAGAGCTGGAGGAGAAGTATAATATTGAAGGAGTAATACACTAAATTCTAGATTATATAATGATGGTTCTCACTCTATGCCACATGTTAGTATCACCTGGCAAGGGCCACACTGCAGACCAAGTAAATTAGAATACCTGTATCTTGCTTCTCAAAAATTTCTCAAATGGCTCCAAAGGGCAGCCAAGTTTGAAAAGTGATTAGATTATTTTTCCCACAATGATACCAAATTCCTCTATTTAATGTTCCAGTTCACTTGATAACACATTTACACTAAAAGTACCTGATTGATATAGAAAATGTGTTAACATGCCTTAATTCCTCCCCAATGTCTGCAAGTTTTATTTTTGATAAATATTCTTCTTGATCATTAGAATATAATTAATTATTGAATTTATGCAATTAACTAGTCATAATGGAAGTACCTTAAATATCAGAGTTGTGGAAAGTATTAGATCATGTATGTATAAAGACAGGAGTTATTTATTTGATGTTAGTTTGCATTTGCAGCACATATCTTACAGAGAAAAAGCAAACGAAGTCACAAAGTTTTATGACTCCTTTTATGACACCATATTGCAACTGTAAATTATCAGTCAATTCATATGTACAATTAGCTGTGTAGATTGTCACCTAATGATAATGGAAATGTTTTTTCCTTCGAAGAATTGGTGGAGAAAAGAGAGTTTCTGCATCTCCCTCTAGTTTATTACCAAGTGCAGTGAATTGCAAATAGTAAATACTCAGTAATGCTTTTAGAACTAAATTGCCTTAAAACCTTGCCTTCACAAAACTAAAATAACAACAAAACAGGTCTACAGTGTAAAGAATTGGGTTTTGCCTCTTGAATATATCATAAATGTTACACGCTCACATTATTTGAGTGATGCCAAGAATGTACATTTGGATTCAAGTTTTAGAGCATTCCATATTGTCCACAAGAGAGAACTTCCTTCTCTCAACTTCAATATTGGTGACTAAACTGTTACAAAATATTGAAATTACAGTTGACTCTTGAATAAGATGGGTTTGAACTGCACAGGTCTACTTATTCACAGACTTTTTCCAAACAAAAGCAGATCAAAAATACTACATATATATACACATACATATATATACACATACATATATACATATATGTATGTGTATATATGTATATACTGTATATATGTATGCATATATACACATACATATATGTATATATATATACAGTATTTTTGATCTGCTTTTGTTTGGAAAAAGTCTCTGTGTGTGTATATATATATACACATATGTGTGTGTATATGTATATATATACATATATGTATGTATGTACATATACACATATATACACACACATATACACATTTGACTTTTCATATACCTGGATTCTAAAGTCCCAATAGCACGACTTAAGTATGCATGGATTTGGGTATATGTGGGTGGTCCTGGAACCAATCCTCTGTGGATATCAAGGGACCACTCTACAGCCTTCTAAAAGTTACCCCCTCTACTACCTGCTCCTCTCTTTGTTGCTTCTAGTCTTCCACGCCTGATTCATTGATTCAAGAGAATTCAGGCAAGTATTGGTGGAATCACAGGAGCCAAAGCAGTGACTTCCCATTCTCAGGTCCTCAACACTCTTGACTGTGTAGCCATATTTACTGAGAATAAAAGTTATTGGGATTCCTCTTGTCACTGTAATTATTGCCCTTTTGAACACTTGCCTTGGTGATGGTATCTGCTTTCTCCTCTCATTTTCTGAAATTGCATAAATTGGTATAAATAACCTTACATGTATGCACAAGGATAATTTATTTTTTCCCATTTTTATTTTCCCCATTTTTAGCTATGTGGAACTAAATAAACACCACCAAAATGAGAACAAACAGAAGCTATTGATTCAGAGCTTGCCATAGCAAGTGAGTCAGCCACCATCACCTGTATTTGACAAAGACTCAAAGACAGATGGGAATGGGAACGTTTTACAGTAAAAAAAAAAAGGAAGGCTTCAGGGAAGCTGGAAGTGCACTAACTAGAAGTGGGGCATCCTAAGTGATTGTTTAGAGAAGGGTAACATATTTGGCTTTCTCTCCTTGGTCCTGAGTTGGAAGCAGAAGCCAAAAAAAAAAAAAAAGAAAAAAAAGGAAAGCTGGCAGTCATTGACCAAGCCCTGACCACTCTGGGCTGAAGGCCACAGAAGTGGGGTTTTGCTTCCTGGGCTGGTGGCCACAGAGATTGTGGGTCAGGGTTCTGTTGTCATAGGTGGTCTGGTCATAGTTCATTTGCATTTTCAGTCTCTCACTTAGAATTAGGAAATTCAGACAAAAAACTTCTTAAACCTGATTGGCAATTTGAGGCAAAATGACTACCTTTAGCTACTTGTGATTTTTGTGAAAATAGATAGAAATTATAAATAGGAATATTATTTCTCATTTTCCTTTCTTCTTATCCAACCATTTCTTTTGCATTAATTTGTCTGGCATTAGCAAAGAGCAAGAAATGCCTTTGTGGACACTGATCTTCAGCCTTAAATAATTATATAATAAATATACTTTATACTATATTTATTATATTTATTCTGTTATAATTATATTTATTTTATAATATAGACTATATATAATAAACATATATATTTAGTAAAATGTGTTGGATCAAGCTCAGCCAAACCAATTAATTTCAGAATCTTGGGATGGGAAGAAAGAGTAGATTGGGAAAACTTAGAAATCTGTACTTTTATAAGCTCCTCAAGGTGAGTCTAGTTTAGTAAAAGGTTGGAACCTTTGTTATAATTTAATGTCTTGCTTATTTTATTGTCTAAGAGTTTGAATGAAGCACTTTGGCACCAAGATTCTTGATTTTTCCATTAGCATGGAGTATTTTTATTCATAGGAATCAGAAAGTCTCTTCATTTTAAAAACAAATATTGGAAAGGCCTAAATTTTACATTTGGAATAGAACCATAAATAACAGCAATGGAAATTTGGAAGGAAGCTTAAAACAGTAATCAATTTGTCCTCGACTACCCCATCTTGAGGAAACAGGTGAAAAAAATTGGAGGGACCTCTAGTGAAGTTTTTAAAACCTTTCCCAGTAATACATTCTTTAGTGAAGAGAATTTAATTTTAAAAGGTTTATTTCTATCCAACTTATTTATTTATTTTCTTACCCAAAATTCTCTCAAGTTTAAAACGTTGTTTAAAACAAACAAACATAAAATCTAATATCTAGGCACTTATTGAAAACAGGGGGAAAAAGTATTGATTTTATCTTTCCCTTAAGCAAGTCTGTTCTAAATAATAAAATACAAGCTTTTTAGAAGTGATGGTTTCCAAACTTCATTCTTTTTCTTTTGCTTGTCAAGATTTAAGTATACAACACTATCTCTAAAAAAAAAAAAAAAAAAAAAAAAAAAAAATTGCAAACCGGGGCTCCAGGCACATAAGATCCTTTGCAGTGTGCCACTAGATAGCCAACAATAGGTGCTAGGCTTACAAGAAGATGAGTTGGGTTAGAGGGTGGACTGAGAAAGTGTAAAAATATACAACTGTGATGAACCAGCTAGTGGTGGGTTTTGGAGTCACTAGCTTTATTTTTACATTTAATCCATATTAGATTGTCAACTTTCAGAGTGGCCAGTATTCAACCTTTTGTATGTAGGATTAGCGGTGATAAGCGAGTGTCCAGAAAAAGAGGCTTAGAGGAAATTTATAATCAAACCATGACACAATAGGAAGTGGTTGAGTTTAGACAGCAACCAGGTGGTGATAAGTTAACCAACACTACCACGTTTCCTTCTCATCTCAATAAAATATAGATTCCCCAGGAGAACTCTGGACAAATACATATACACATATATATATACACGCATATATAAACATACACACATACACACACTTTAGAAGACATATACATATATATTTGTCTTCTGAAGACATATATGTTTCTAGATACATATATTCATGTTTCTACTTTAGAAGACATACATATTTGTAGACATATATATTTAGAAGGCATATATAGATATATAAAATATAGAAGACATACATATTTGTAGACATATATATTTAGAAGGCATATATAGATATATAAAATATATATATATGTAGATATATATATATGTCTTCTAAAGTAGAAACATGAATAGAAAGGAGGCCTAAAGACAACAAAAGCCAAAATTGACAAATGGTATCTAATTAAACTAAAGAGCTTCTGCACAGCAAAAGAAACTATCACCAGAGTGAACAGGCAACCTACAGAATGGGAGAAAATTTTTGCAATCTATCCATCTGACAAAGGGCTAATATCCAGAATCTACAAATAACTTAAAAAATGTTACAAGGAAAAAAACAACTTCATCAAAAAGTGGGCAAAGGATATGAACAGACACTTCTCAAAAGAAGACATTTATGCAGCCAACAAACATATGACAAAAAGCTCATCATCACTGGTCATTAGAGAAATGCAAATAAAAACCACAATGAGATACCATCTCATGCCCGTTAGAATGGCGATCATTAAAAAGTCAGGAAACAAAAGATGCTGGAGAGGATGCGGAGAAATAGGAATGCTTTTACACTGTTGGTGGGAGTGTAAATTAGTTCAACCATTGTGGAAGACAGTGTGGCAATTCCTCAAGGATCTAGAACTAGAAATACCATTTGACCCAGCAATCCCATCACTGGGTATATACCCAAAGGATTATAAATCATTCTGCTATAAAGACACATGCACACGTATGTTTACTGTGGCACTGTTAACAATAGCAAAGACTTGGAACCAACCCAAATGCCCATCAACAATAGATTGGATAAAGAAAATGTGGCACATATACATCATGGAATACTATGCAGCCATAAAAAAGAATGAGTTCATGTCCTTTGCAGGGACATGGATGAAGCTGGAAACCATCATTCTCAGCAAACTAACACAGGAACAGAAAACCAAACATTGCATATTCTCACTCATAACTGGGAGTTGAACAATGAGAACACATGGACACTGGGAGTGGAACATCACACACCGGGGCCTGTCAGTGGGGTGTGGGGCTAAGGGAAGGATAGCATTAAGAGAAATATCTTATGTAGATGACAGGTTGATGGGTGCAGCAAACCACAATCACACGTGTATGCCTATGTAACAAACCTGCATGTTCTGCACATGTATCCCAGAACTTAAAGTATAATTAAAAAAAAAATACAAAAATGTGTATTAGCATATTAAAGGTTTTGAAGGAAAAAAAAGGAGGCCTACAGAAATTTCACAGTAGTTTAAGACTACTCTTTTGACTTTGGTAAATTAATTAACTCTTCATCTCAGTTTTCCCCATCTGCAAGGGAAGAATAATAACAGCAGCAACACCATAGGGTTATCTGGGTATTAGCCCATTTTCACAGTTATAAAGAATACCTGAGACTGGGTAATTCATGAAGGAAAGAGGTTTAATTGACTCACAGTTCAACATGGCTGGGGAGGCCTCAGGAAACTTACAATCATGGCAGAAGGGGAGGGAGAAGCAAGGCATGTCTTACATGGTGGCAGGAGAGAGAGAGAGTGCATAGGGGAAATTGCCACTTCTAAAACCATCAGATCTGGTAAGAACTCCCTGACTATCACAAGAACAGCATGGGGAAACCGCTCCCATAATCCAATCACCTCCCACCAGGTTCCTCCCATAACATAAGGGATTACAATTAAAGGTGAGATTTGGGTGGAGCCACAGAGTCAAATCATACCAACATATTAGATAATTATACGAACATAGCTTGGCATTAGACAATCATACAATAAGTGTTAGCTATTTTTTTATTAATGTAATATCCATCCAATAGATATAAAAATCTGGCTGGAACTGAAAAAAAAATGCACTATGAGTTTCTACCAAGAAATTATGGGATTGGGGCAGGGAGCGGGAATGATATGCCCAAAGTACTTGAATTTCGAGTTAAATGTCATTCACATACACTTTTATGACTGGAAAGGATGTAACCTCACCTGAATTGTATTTTCTTTATAGACTCCGTTACTATAAAAAGACACCCCTTAAATTTCTACCAAATTACACATCTAGGACTCCTTAGAATGTATGTTTATTTTTAATTTGAAGGTGCCCTTGGGTGTTCCCATGTTCACAGGCAAAGCTAAAGACTTCAAAAGTGTTCAAGGATTGATTGGCTGGTTCAGTGTTGAAATGTAATTTGCATCCCATACCTTCCTAAACTCCCATGAACTGGAACTCAGAAACATTTCCCTGTGAAAGTAGCTCTCAGAAGTAGCTGTTTGTTTATTCATTTACTCAGGACCAAATACTAAGCAGACACCCACAAAAGTAGCTAATTTAGGAATCTCAGGAAACACATTTTCTAAGGTTGCATCTGTCATATTAATTTTATATTGCTTGACATAAAATCTTTCAGTTTTCCTTTAGTAATCTAGGATCTTATATGAAATCTCTCTGGCCTTATAAATTCATGAATCCTGAATAAAATGAGTAAGCAAAATTTAAACAAATCCTGTTTTCCTAGGTGCTTGGACCCTCGTAAATAAAGTCTAAAACATTTTAAATTACTCTATCCTAGTGTGTCTTTCTTTTCTGTTTTTCTTCCATTAGGAAGAATTTGTTGTGAGACCAGGTGAAGAAATTCAAGAAGCTTAAGAAATGGCCCCAAATTTCAAAGATTTTATAATTTCACAAGAAAACAAATAATAGCCATATAATAATTATAACAGAAAATGATTAAGTGTCAAATGGATGTCAAAGGAGTTCATAGAAGACCCTTCCTAGGGGTTAATTTGGTCCCTGGAGGAAAAAAGCATTACCTTCAGTGACTCCTCAAGTCCTGGAAGAATGAGTGAATTTGCAAAAGGCAGAGAGCATTTGGGAGATTATTCAAAATGGAGAGAACGAGAGAAATAAGAACTACATATTCAGACAGTCAAGAAATAACAGGATAAGATGGAATTGAACACAACATTTCCAGACATTTAGATATAGGGATTAAAAGCATTTTTTTACATATTAAATATATAGCAGAACACAAAAGCAAGAAAGGAAATCTCCAAATGCTAGAACATAGAGCCAACATGACAATGTATCTGGAACTAAGGGAGATTACAGGTCTCAAAGTCTGGGATTTTCATGGCTATTCAAGGCCAGAAGCTGGCCAGGAAAATATGTTTATAGAAGGAATAAGAACTGGGCTTCCTGTGCAGAATCAGAACCCTAGAAAGCACTGCACTAACCTTGAAGGAACCAGATCATCTCTGCCTGCATACCCAAGATAACTGCTGGAAATGAGCCAATAGCCCCACCATGTGGGTAAAATAGGAGTCTTCTAGAGATATAAGAACCCCAAGACTGAACAACAGGTGGGAGTAGGAATAGACTCAGAATTCCAGGCTGAAAAACTAACACAAAAAATAATTCAGAATCAGTGTGTCTTGAAGGTGCTGACAGGAACACCAGTGGAAACCACCCCAGGTGGTTATCCGGATCTCTAGAAAAGATACTTCCTTCTGAAGTAAACTCGTAAGCAAAATAAAACAGAATTTTAAAAAATAGGACACTTAGCATCATGAAAGACAGCTTACAGGACATGAGGAACCAACAAGAATAGAACAACATGAAAGAGAGCTGACAATAAGTATGTTTACAGTATTTAAAATATAAAGGAAGAAATGGCATCTGTAAAATAAAAACAGCAAGTTATGAAACAGGCTCTTAAAAGTCAAGTGTAAGTACAGTCATTAAATCTCTTTAGAAATCTAAGCAAATGGATTATACAAGACAAATCATGCTTGAAGATGAGTTAGAAGATGGAACAGAACATCTCTGTGACATGGAGGACAAAAATAAAGGAATGGAGGATATAAAACAGAAGTTAGGAATCATAAATGCTCTAGTATCTGCCTCAGAGAAATTCCAAAGACATAAATAAACAAACAGCAAATAAGCAATATGCTAAGATATAATGGTACAGACTTTTCCAAAAATCCGAAGGTACAAATCCTCTGATAGAAAGCATTCACCAAAGGCTAAGAAGAATAAATAGAAATATGAGGGGAAAAGGTTTAAATAAAGCAAAAAAAAATCTGTGAAAGATTAGTGTGTAATGTGGTTGAGAAAGTCAGTTGGGTCAGATTACAGAGGCTCTGGAAATCAGGCTAAGGAGTTTTGACTGTATCTTGTAGGAAGTGAACACCATGAACAAATGTGTAGTGGAGTTGCTGCAAAAAAAAAAAAATGTAATGCTGTAGGACATTTGAAACAGGAATAATGCAGTGGTGTTTTCCATGAAAGAAAGAATTTTTATCTAAATTATCGTTTTATATCTTTACTATACTTCATGTTTCATATTTTGTTTTAAATAGTCAAAAAGTATTTCCAAATACTCTGAAATGTTACTTTTAAGTATTATATTTATAAAGGCTGTGAAATTCTAAAGGTGTTAAAAAACAAAAAAATCAAAAATAATATAGACAAAAATCTTAAGGAGCCGTATAGTCTATATTCATAGACCAAAGCTTTTCAAATGAATAAAGCAGATAAAAAACCATTATTTTAATGATTTCCAGAAAGGAGGACACTCATTTCTTGTTTAACAACATGGTAGAGGGTCAAGTGCAGAGCCAAAGTCTGAGGAGATAGAGCTGATGAGCCAGTCCGTTTCCTGAAGGCAATTGCTGATTATCCAGTAGGGAGATAAACTAAATATCAATTAACACAAGACTGCGGGCAATGTGCTGTCAGAGGGGTACACATTCTTCATGACAGGAGCCCCAGAGGAGGACTTCTAACTAAACTACTGGAAGCTGGGGAGTCTTCTAAGATGTCATTATGCTGAAGCTGCAGCTGAGAAGTTGGATTCACTAAACCAAAGGCCTTCTATACCTTCAGCGCACTGCAGGCATGAGTTGTTGTTTATGGCTGAGGCACAAGGAACAAAAGGGGACATCCTGAAAAGGGGGCTGGAGAAAGGTAAGGGAAGGCCAAATCATGAAATGCTTTCTTGGGGCCATTCTTTAGAGTATAACTTTCTACAATTGGTGATAGGAAGTCAAAAATGCCCCAGAAGCCAACATCAGATTTGGATTTGTGTTCGAGAATGATCACTTTGGGAACCATGCGGAGGGTGGATGACAAAGGGACGAGATCAGAGGCAGCGAGACAGACCCCCAGGGAAGAAAAATACAACGATCCAAGCAGGAAATGATGAAAGCCTCAGCCTAAGGCTTTTTAACATTGGAGATGGAAAGGAAACTTTTTGTTTTTGTGGTGCAGAATTTTTTCTCCAATGAAATCTTATGTGAAACATTACAATATAAAACCAGTAACCGCAGAGCTGATGGAGGGAGAGGTGGAAGACGTGAGTCACTCTGCTCTGCACCAGCTCCTGGCATCCTGCAGCAGCCCCTGAGACCCCCCTAAGAAACACAGTTTGACAACCCCTGGACCAAAGAGATATATTTAAGATGTAGAATCAATGCTTCCACCCATTTTATTTAATAAACTCTTGTGGTGTCTAATAATCTGTAGTGTCAAGCTGTTCTTCGCTATCTAAAGTAAATCTCTGCCAAGAGTTCATAAGAAGGCTTGTCTTATTTCTTTGGATGTCAAACAAATATTGCACTCGATAAATCTCTCAGTGTGTCTCTAGCCTCTGCAAGCATACATCAAAACCCAGTTAATTATAGACTTGTGGAAGCTGACCTTCTGACCCTCCATTTCTTGAATCCATCTGGGTGCGATGACTCTGGATCCAGACTGCACGAGCAATTCAACTTTTTAAACTCTCACCTAATCTTATTATACATTCTCTCCTTTGGGAGACTCATTCACCTACATGTTTTCAACCTCTGCCTATAACTGGGTGATGATGTCCAAATATCAATAGCTAGGCCTGACTCTATTTTGCACTCCTGACTTGCAGTTCCTAGTGGACATGTTTTTGGGGTTTTTGTTGTTGCTGTTGTTGTGGTTTTGTTTTGGTTTGTTTTGTTTTCGAGACAGAGCCTCGCTCTGTCGCCCAGGCTGGAGTGCAGCGGCATGATCTCAGCTCACTGCAACCTCCGCCTCCTGGGTTCAAGTGATTCTCCTGCCTCAGCCTCCCAAGTAGCTGGGACTACATGCATATGCCACCACGCCTGGCTAATTTTTTAATTTTAATACAGACGGGGTTTTACTGTGTTAGCCAGGATAGTCTAGATCTCCTGACCTCATGATCCGCCTGCCTTGGCCTCCTAAAGTGCTGGGATTACAGGCATGAAGCCACCGCGACCGGCCGTGGACATGTTTAATTAGGCTTCGCAGATAGCAGTGCTGGTCAAGATGAGCCTTATCTCTACCCTACACCTACTCTCTGCCAGTTTTGCTCACTGAGTATGCTGCCACCAGTGAGTACCCAGCAATCACCCTATGCCACTCCTCTCTCACCCCCACCAAATTGCCTCAGTCTCTGTGGCCTGATGTTTCTGCCATCTTAAAACCACTCAAAGCTGATGGTCTCCTCTCCTGCCTCCTGTGGCTTCCATCTAGCTACCTGAAATTACCATGGCAGAGACTGCAGTGCTCAGCAAGCACCCATCTGCTTCCCCCCCACCCCGTCTTCCAGCCTCCTGTGGTTAGGCAAAGCTACGGAATTGGCTGTGACTACAAAAAGAAATGGCATGTGTTACTTCCATTGTGAAGCATAAAGGAGCCACTGCAAACCCTTGCAGTTGTCTCTCCCCTGATGTGGTGACTAAAAAGGTCGTGTGTTGGAGATAGTGCAGTCAAAAGATGGCAGAGTCTGGTCCATGAGTGACACTGTGGAACAGACCCACCCCACCTCCCGCTGTCTTCTGTAGGGCATCCAGAAAGAGTGAGAGATACCCTCCTGTTGTGCTAAGCCACTGAAATGTAAGCATTGTTTGTTACTGCATCATAACCTAGCTTATGCTGACTAACATACTTACTGAGTTGTCTCCTCTTCTTCAAGACAGCCTTGCTTCAGTACGCTACACCACCTCAGACACCACAGTCTCTGCCATGGTAATGGAAGCCGCAGGAGGCAGGAGAGGAGACCGTCAACTTTGAGTGGTTTTAAGATGGCTGAAACGACATTTTATCATGTCACAAATACTTCATCACATGTCTTGCACAAAACTCTTCAGTAGCCCCTCATGTTAGGCAAACCATAAACCTGGAAGTCTCTTGCAGGTCTATGAAGGGCTTGTGATGGTCTGCCACAACTTGCCTTACAGCCTCACCTCCCAGTGGCCCTCAGAGCATCCCCGGCACTCTCTCCCCAGGCCCAGCTGTCTGCACATCCTGTAGGGAGCCTGTTTACTCACTTCTAGGTCCCAAAGCAGGCTGTGGCCTGTCTGTAACATTCTCTCCATCTTCACTCTCCTCTGTGGGCAAACTCCTGTCCCTCACACAGGACTGCAAGTCTCATCTCAGGTACATTTTATTTTACTATTTTATTTTATTGTGGTAAAAACACTTAACATGAGACTTACTGCTTAACAAATTTTAAACAGACAATACAGTATTGTTGACTCTAGGTACAATGTTGTACAGCAAATCTCTAGAGCTCATTCATCTTGCTTGACTGGAGCCTTATGCCTGTTGATTCATAACTCTCTATTCCCCCCTCCTGCTATTCCCTGGCAAACACCATTTCATTCTTTGATTCTATGAATCTGACTATTTTGGATACTTCATATAAGTGGAATAATGCAGTATTGGTCTTTCTGTGACTGGCTTATTTCACTTAGCTTGATGTCCTCCAGGTTCATCATGTCATTGCATATTATAGAATGTCCTTCCTTTTTAAGGCTGATAATATTTCAATGTATATATCGCATATTCTGTATCTATTCATCTGTCAATGGACATTTAGGTTATTTCTGCATCTTGACTATTGCGAATAGTGCTGCTGATATCTCTTTAAGATCCTGGTTTCAACTCTTTTGATAAATATCCAGAAGTGGAATAGCTGAATCATATATATGGAAGTTCTATTTTTAATTTTTTGAGGAATCTTCATAGTATTTTCTGTAGCAGCTTCACTATTTTGCATTTCCACCAACAGTGTGCCAGCGTTCCTATTTCTCCACATCCTCATCAGTACATTTTGTCCTTTTTTTTTTTTTGATGATATCCATCTGGACAGGTGTGAAGTAAAATCTCATGGTGGTTTTTATTTGCATTTTCCAAATGATTTGTAACATTGAGCATTTTTTCTTATATTTGTTGGCCATTTGTATCTTCTTTGGAGAAATGTCTATTCAAAACCTTAGCTCATTTTTAAATCAGGTCATGTGGTTTTTTTGCTATTGAATTATAGAAGTTCCTTATATATTTTGGAGATTAGTCCTTTATCAGATAGATGGTTCATGGATATTTCTTTCATTTCATCAATTGCCTTTTCACTCCGTTGATTGTTTCCTTTGCTGCACAGGAGCTTTTTAGTTTGATGTAGTCTCATGTTGTTTTTGTTTTTGTTGATAGTGTTTTTCGTGTTATATCCATGAAGTCATTGCCAAGACAAAGTCATAAAGTTTTTCCCTATGTTTTTCTTGGAGTTTTACAGTTTTGGGTCTTAGGTTTAAGTTTCTAATATATTTGATTTGATTTTGTATATAATAGAAAGGTACAATTTCATTCTTTTGTGTGTTTCCCAGTACCATTTGTTGAAGAGAAAAGCCTTTCTCCGTTGTGTATTCTTGGCACCCTTGTCAAAGATCAGTTGACCATATATGTGTGAATTTATTTCTGGGTTCTCCATTCTGTTCCACTGGGCAGTATGTCCATCTTTATGATAGTATATACTCTTAATTACTGCAGCGTTGTAATGTAATTTGAAATCAAGAAGTGTGAGGCCTCCAACTTTGTCCTTCTTTCTTGGGATTGCTTTAGCTATTGGTGGTCATCAGTGGTCCCATATGAGTTTTGAAATTGTTTTTTTCTTTTTCTGTAAAAACAGAAAATTGGGATTTTGATAGGTATTTCACTGAATCTGTAGATTGCTTTGGACATTTTTCAGATACATTTTTTTTATGTGGATGCCATTCCTGACTCCAATAGGCAGAGGTAACTCCACCTAAAACCAAACTCCACAGTACTCTGTACTGAGCTCTAGAACATGTCACATGAAAAGTCTCATAGTTCCTTTTTTTCTTCTGTTCCCTTCATTCTTTACTCCCCTGTATTTTTGTCTATTGCATTGTTACCACTAGCTTCCAGCAACACAAAATGCATCATAGTGAATACCACAGAAAGAAACAACTAACAAAACAAATTAAAGACAAAAAGCAACACTAAAGCTTTTACTAACTGCATTTTACAAAATAATTCAAAAAGTTGCATTCTTTTCTTTTCAACTCAACTTATTGAAAATAGGAAATGTGCTTCTTGTAGATACAACAGAGTAATTCCATGTATATTAAGATATTGAGTTCATTTCTTTTTAATGATTGAGTATAATTATACAGGAGAAAGGACCTGCAGGAAAAGAGGAATTAAGTTAAAGTCTAAATTTGTATCTGACTATCATTGCTACTGATGTGCAGGCAAAGCCCAAGCAATTACCATTCCCTACATCTAAAATTAACGTCTTCAAAATTTTCATAATGATGTTTTAAGCTTGATAGTGTGGAATATTACTGGCTTTATTTTAACTTGAATGCTTTCTATTTTCTTAATTATCATGATTGTTTTTATTAAAGAAAAAACTTAGTTTAATAAAATAAATTAAATTTTGTTAAATTTTGATCCATTACAAAAATATTTTATACTTTTTAATGAATATGCATAGAAAGTGTCATGTAAACATTTTAAGAAATGGATTAATTTTTTGTATTGTTTCTGATTAAATGATTATGGAAACTATAACAAAGAAATCAATTCTTCCTCTGCTTTAATTTTCTGACCAGGCACTTCTAGGAATTCTTATATAGGGATTCTTAAAGTTGATTGCTTTCAGCTAGAAAATGGAAAAGTCTCTGAAACTAAATGACTTTATAACTTGAAAAATGTTTAAAGACTCAAAGAGCTGTGATTTTTAAAATTTCTTCTCGTGTTTGGCTCCAAAGCAAATGCACACAAAACTTCCAAAATCTAAAGAAACAGGGAAAAGACCAATTTATAAATTAAAATTGGTCGATGTCCATTAATCAGTCTAGAAATGAGCTGATAAGTGATAGGACTAGTTAAAATTAAATCATATCAGAATATGTGGAAAATTCTAAACTTTACTGTGGGGAGGAAGTGGGGCAGGAAGTAGACTCAAATGGTAAAGTTGCCCTTAATTATTGGTTCTGCAATCTAAATGTGTCTATTTATTTTTGTAGACACCTATTCTTTCATTAAGCAGAAATTTATTGATCATCTGTATTATATAAAACATTGCATTAGTTGTCAGTTTAAGTAACACCCGATCTAGTTCCAGCTTAAATGTATAGGAATTGATGAAACTTTACTCTATAAATGCTTAAATTTTTGAATACTTTGACTAAGATCATGCAAAAATATGTATATATATTTTTTGCACTATATATATAGTGCAAAATATGTATATATATTTTTTGCACTATATATAGTGCAAAATATGTATATATGTATTTTGCAGTATATATATAGTGCAAAATATATATAGTGCAAAAAAGATATATATATTATATATATAATATATATTATATATATAATATATATATATATATATACCAGTAAAAAAGCTAGTGATGCTCAGTGATTCTATTTGCTGGGTGGGCATGATATTCCTTGTCCTCCACGTCTCATCCATTGAACTGTAATTTACAAACCTTCTCATTAGCTTGGACCATTTTGGCAAGGATTTGATTTGGCAGCTTCACATACAGCCTTTTTCCGCCCTTGAAAATATAATAGAGCACTCTGTAGCCATAACGTTACCAGCTTTCACAACCCACATGAAATACGCGAGTACAAATGTAAACAAGGTGGAAGGAGCTGGAAGGGCAGGGGAGTGAGTATTGGGAAGAGCGTATCCCTGGGTTTCCTCTGTTGTTCAGAAGCGCAGGCACAGGAAAGAGCCTCAGGCAGTGTGGAGACGGAGGGAGGGTGCCAGTTGGCCTCACAGTTCAAGTGTGGAGTCAGAGGGTTCGTGGAGATCTACATCCTCTGGAATCCCACAGCTCATTATGCAGTCCCCTCACGTGGCTTTCCTTATGCTCTGTTTTCCTCATTTCAGTGTGAAGGAAACCAACGCTAAAAATGTGTGCTGCATATCACATAAACTTTATTTCTTCCTGATTTATGCTCTTTTCTCTCTGAGGAAGATGGAATGTGGCTTGGTTCTCTGATTCATTTCCCTTAAACTCTCTGTTCTCTGCCAGGTTAACCCCGGGAAGGGTCATGACAGGTGCAGCTACACTGGTTCATGTTATTCTGTACCTTGTCACCTTCATTTCCCTTTTGAGTCGTGTTTTGTTGGTTCCACTTTAAATTATGAAATGGATTGCTCCCTGGAGTGCATGACATCATTAACTTTTAATGGATGTGACATGGAAATTAAATGCTTTTAAACCCTTCTGAAACGTAGTCAGACAGATCCGTTACCACATTGAATCCATTTCTAGTAAAACATTTAATTTAAAAATTTGTAGCAATGTGTCAGTAAATGGCAGGCTTCCAGCTAGTTCTTGTGGAAACCACACATTTTGGGGGGTAAAAAATGTGTGGACAGTAATACAAGATGCTCTTGTCAACCTGATCATCCTCCAGTTGTATACAACATACTCACATCTGGTTCTGGAGGATAGAAAATGGTATCTCTTTTCCTTTTTCATAGCTCTAACATCTGGCGGAGTATCTAGGGTACAGTGGGTGCCTAGTAAATGTTGACTGTAAGAATGAACTACTAAATGATTGAACATATAAATTTGAATACTCACTTATAGATGACTGAAATGATAAAAGATTCTCTTTTTTCATATTCTCAAGGTAAGCACTGTAAAATGATAAAGTGTTTTCTTCTTCCAGAGAATGAGAACACACAGTTGAATATTTGCCATCTCTCTGGTCTCTCTGGATAAAACCTCCTCTGGCTACCTCTCTGATTTAATCTCCTGCTGCTTCCACCCCAACCCCTTAACAGTTCCAGGTCCCCCCACCTCTATCCTATTCCCTGTAAATATGCCAAAGACTTTCACACCCAGAGCCTTTGTCCTCCAGTTCTCCTGTCTGGGATGCCCTTCCTTCACTATCTCCCTGCCATGCTTCCTGGCTTCAATGAGGGCTCTGGTCAACCGTAACCTCAAAGACGTCATCTTTAATCATCCTAATTAAAAAGCACACTTTTCCAATCCTCTTCTTGCCAGTAGTGTTGCCATGTGACATCATATATATTTATTTGCTTATTTTCTGCCCTTCCGCTAGGGTATTCACACCATGAGAACAAGAACTTGTCTATTTTCTTCATTGTGTATCCTCCCTCAGTGTCCAGAAGAGTGCCTGTCAATAAATATTTGGAAAATGAATAAACAAATTTAGAACATATTTGGCTAGCAAGAGGTTTAATTGGAAGGTAGAGCCTATGGTGGAAAGAAAATTAGCTTGGGGTGAAAAGGATTCAGTTCTATAATGTCACTTACTAATGGAGACCTTGGACAAATTATTTGACTTCACTAAGTCTCAGCTTCCCCCTCAATAAAAAAGGCATGGTAGCCTCTGTGTTGAGAAAACATAAGGAAACAGCAGCTTCAGAAATGATCAAGACAGAAACAGACAGCTACATACATTGATCATGAAGCTAAGGAGCATGCAGCCATGATTAGCTGGGGTTGAAGAATACTAGGTTAGTTGAAGAGTGACATTTCTAAAAGTCTGTATCTTATCTACAGTTTGGAATCTATTTCTCAGTTTCCTTCAAAGCAATTAATTATTATAGCAAATTAATTCAAATTGTCAATGAAAATTTAAAAATTGCAAAGACATTCAGAAAACTTCAAAAGGTCCTTGATTTCACTTAGAAACAAGAATTGCAGGACAAATTTTTCCCTTGCTGTCTCCCCTGAATCCCTTCTCCAATTCTCCTACACCTTTCCATGTATTCTGGAGGGGTTTCCAGTCAAGGACTTCCTTTTTCCACTAAGAAACTGGCTTGTGACCCTGGTTGGCCAGCTGGCATCATTTAATCTGGGACTGATTTAATCACTGGTAAAAAAGCAGGTTTCTTTCCTTCCACGATGACTATGCATTCAGTTAGCCTTATTTTTCACCACACGGAAAGGACCAGTTTAACTAGAAATGATGCCAACACAGAGAAGTAGAGTTTAGAGACACAGAGAGAAAACGTCCTGATGACATCTAAACGTGTCTGAAGTTAGCTCCTCTACCTTTTATACCTGGACTTTTCAAGGAATGTGAACCAACAAATTATCTTGTCTTTAAGTAAGCTAGTTTGAATTGTAAGAGGTCTAACAAATATAGGAGGATATGGGGAAACAGGAGAGAACAAGACAGGACTTGATCCAAAACACAGAAGCAAGAGGGTGAAAAAAATGTTGCACTAATCCCTGCATTTCATAAAAGAAAAGTTTTTCACACCTACCTACTCATATCCCAAGTCCCTATTTTCATCAGGTTCTTACCTCCAACCCTGGCCAGGGGAACCCCAGTAGTAGCTTGGGGCTGAAGAAATCCCAAATTTCACTAACAGGTAAGGAGTGATGCGGGGATAGAGGTTCCAGCACCATTACTAGTCAGCAAGAAGGGAGTCATGTTCCTGTCACCCAGGTTGGACTCTCTCTATATTTATACACAGAATCACAAATACCTAAACAGATGGGTTCTGAAATACTATTAGTACAAGTCAATTGGGCTCAACAAGCAAACAGGATACTTATAAGCAAACAATTGAAACACTTCATTCCTAAATTGAAGATTGTTGATAATTTTTACCAGTATAAACGTGTGTATGAGTGTGCACGTGTGTGTGTGTGTGTGTGTGTGTGTGTGTGTGATGTATATGATTATTCATTCTTAGTTACAAAAGAGTAACACTTTTCAAAGTGTGGTACAGGGAACCCTGGGGGCCCCTGACACACCTTCAGAGGGCCCATAACAATTCTAAGACATTATTTGCCTTTTTCACTCTCATTTTTAGGGAGGGATATTATCCATGTATTTTAATTGAGATAAAATATACATGACATAAAACTTACCATTTTATTCATTTTAATTGTACAGTTCAGTGGCATCAAGTACATTCACACTGCTGTATAGCCATGTGATTGATTTTTAATATCAGCTTTACTGAGGTACAATTTATATAGGCTAAAGTTGACCAACTTTAGGTATACGTCTGGTGAGTTTTGATCAATGTATGTAGCTGTGCAATCACCACAACGACCAAGGTATAGGATATTTCCATCACCCCCCAAAGTTCATTTGTGCCCTTTATAGGTAACCCCTTCTTTCCTGGCTGTGAGCATCCACAGACCTGCTTTCTCTCACTATACTTACACGCTTTCTAGAATTTCACATAAAAGAATTATACAGTACGTATCTTTTACGTCTGGCTTCTTTCACTTAACAGAAATGAAATTTATCCATGTTGTTATGTGTATCAGTATTTTGTTCTTTTTTTGTTACTGAATAGTATTCCATTGTATGGATTTACCACAGTTTGTTTATCCATTTATCTTCTATAAGACATTTGAGTTGTTTCCAGTTTGTGGCTAGAATGAAGCTTCTGGAACAAACTGTTGTACAAAAATATGCTTTCATTTATCTTGGATGAATACCTAGAAGATGGATGACTGGGGCATATGGTAAATATATGTTTGACTTTATAAAGAACTGCTAAACTGTATTCCAAAATAACTGTTCCATTTTGTATTTCCACCATCAATGTGTGAAAATTACATATGGTCTACATCCTTCTCAACACTAACTAGTTTTTTTAATTTTTTAATTAATTTATGTTTTTAATTGACACATAAGAATTGTACATATTCGTGGGGCACATATTGATGTTTTGATATATACAATGTTTAGTGATCAGATCAGGGCAATTAGCATATCCATCATCTCAAACATTTATCACTTCTTTGTGTTGGAAACATTTAATATTCTCTCTTCTAGCTACTTCTAAATATATATTATGGTTAATTATAGTCATTCCACAGTGCTATCAAACATTAAAACTTATTCCTTCTTTCTAGCTGTAATTTTGTATACTTTAACAAATCTCTTCTCATCTCCCCTTTTCCCCTACACTTCCCAGCTTCTAGTAACCTCTCTTCTACTTTTTACTTCCAAGAACTTTTTTTGTTGTTCCCATATAGAAATGAGATCATGTGATGTTTAACTTTCTGTTTCTGGCCTATTTCACTTAATATGATGTCCTTCAGTTCCAGCCATGTTGCCATGCATGACAAGATTTTATTCTTTTTAAAGGCTGAATAGTATTCCATTGTGTATATACCACATTTTCTTAATTTATTCATCTGTTGTTGGACACTTGGATTGACTTTATATCTTGGCTATTGTGAATAGTGCTACAATAAACATGATGGTGCAGAAGTCTTTTCAATATAATAATTGTCTTTCCTTTCAATAAGTACCCAGTTGTGGGCTTGCTGAATCATATAGTAGTCCTATTTTGATTTATTAGAAGAACCTCCATACTGTTCTCCGTAGTGGCTGTACTAGTTTACATTCCCACCAACAGTGTGTAAGAAATCCCTTTCCTCCACATCCTGGCTGGCATTTGTCATTTTTTGTCTTTTTGATAACAGTCATCTTACTTGGGATGAGATGATATCTCATCGTAGTTCTAGTTTTGTTTCCCTGATGATTAGTGATGTTGAATACTTTTTCATGTATGTGTTGGTCATTTGTCTATCTTCTTTTGAAAATTATCTATTCAGATAGTTTGCCCATGTTTTGATTGGAGGTTTTTTGTTTGCCATTGAGATCTTTGAGTTTCTTGCATATTCTGAATTTCAATCTCCTGTGAGATGAATAGTTTGAAAAAATATTCTCCCATTCTGTTGGTTGTCTCTTTCACTCTGTTGATTGTTTACTTTGCTGTGCAGAAGGTTTTTAGTTTGAGACAATTCCATTTGTTTACTTTTGCTTTTGTCCCTTGTGCTTTAAAGGTCTTATTCACAAAATATTTTCCCAGACAAGCATCCTGAAGCATTTCCCCTGTTTTCTTCTAGCAGTTGTATAGTTTCAAGTTTTACATTTAGCTCTTAACCCATTTTGAGTTGGTTTTTGTATATAGTGAGAGACGGGGATCTGATTTTATTCTTCTGCATATGGATATCCAGTTTTTCCAGCACCATTTATTGAAAGAGTGTCTTTTTCCCAATGAATGTTCTTTGCACCTTTGTCAAAAATCAGTTGGCTTTGTATATGTCAATTAATTTCAGGGTTCTGGGTTCTGTTTCATTGGTCTATGTGTCTGTTTTTAATGCCAGTACTATGTTGCTTTGGTTACTATAGCTTTATAGTATATTTTGAAGTCTGGTAATGTGATGCCTTCAGCTTTGTTATTTTTGCTTAGGATTGCTATGGCTATTCAGGGTATTTTGTGGTTCCATACAAATGTTAAGATTTTTTTTCTATTTCTTTGAAGACTATCATTGGTATTTTGATAGGGATTGCATTAAATATATAGATCACTTTGGATAGTATGGTCATTTTAACATATTAATTTTTCCAGTCTATGAATTTGGGATGATTTGGGATGTCTTTCCTTTTTTGAGTGCACTTCTTTAATTTCTTTCATCTGTGTTTTATAGTTTTCCTTGTGAAATCTTTCACCTCTTTGGTTAAATTTGTTCCTGGGTAATTTGTATTTGTAGCAATTGGAAATGAAATTACTCTCTTCATTTGTTTGTCAGCTAGTTTATGTGTGAAACACTACTGATTTTTACATGTTGATTTTGTACCCTGCAACTTTACTGAATTTGTTTATCAATTCTAAGAGTTTTTTGGTACAGCCTTTAGGATTTTCTATATATAAGATCATGGCATCTGCAAACACAGGCAATATGACTTCTTCCTTTCCAATCTGGATGCCCTTAAATTCTGTCTCTTGCCTAATTGTTCTGGCTAGGACTTCTAGTGCTATACTGAATAAGAGTGGTAAGAGTGGCTTGTCTTGTTCCAGTTGTTCCCTGTCCAGTATGTTGTTAGCTATGGGTTTGTCACATATGGCCTTGATTGTATTGAGGTATTTTCCTTCTATTACCTAGTTTATTGAGAGTTTTTATCATGAAGAAATGTTGAATTTTATTAAATGCTCTTTTGGCATCTAATGAGATGATATATGGTTTTTGTTCCTCATTCTATTATTGTAATGGATCATGTTTATTGATTTGTGTATGTTGAACCATCCTTGCATCCCTGGGATAAATCCTACTACATCACGGTGTTTGAAATTTTTGTGTGCTGTTTGATTCAGTTTGCTAGTCTGTTGTTGAGGATTTTTACATGTATATTCATCAGGGGTATTGGTCTGTAGTTTTCTTGTTTTGTTGTGTCCTCATCTGGTTTTGGTATCATGGTTATGCTGACCTCATAGAATGAGTTTGGAAGAATTCTCTCCACTTCAAATTTTTGGAATAGTTTGAGAACAATTGGTATTTGTTCTTTAAAAGTTTGGTAGACAGCATTGAAGCTCTCTGGTTCTGGGCGTGTCTTTATTGGGAGACTTTTTATTATGGATTCAATCTTGTTACCCATTATGGGTAAGTTTAAGTTTTCTCTGTCTTCTTGGTTCAATCTTGGTAGGTTGTATGTGTCCAGAAATTTATTCATTTTCTCCCTCTTTTCAAATTTAGTGGTATATAGTTATTCATAATAGTTTCTAATGATCGTTTGTATTTCTGTGGCATCAGTTGTGATGTCATTTTTTTCAGATCTGATTTCATTTATTTATTTGGGTCTTCTCTCTTTTCTTAGTCTAGCTAATAGTTTGTCAATTTTGTTTATCTTTTCATAAAGCAACTTTTTGTTTCACTGAGTTTTTTTCTATTTGGTTAGTCTCGATTTTATTTATGCTCTGAACTTCATTATTTCTTTTTTTCTGCTAATTTTGAATTTAGTTTGTTCTTGCTTTTCTAATTCCTTGAGGTATATCATTAGGTTGTTTACTTGAAATCTTTCTTTTTTATGTAAAAATTTATTGCTATAAACTTGCCTCTTAATACTATGTTTGCTGTGCCCCATAGGTTTTGGTATGTTGTGTTTCTATTTTCGTTTGTTTCAAGGAATGTTTACATTTCCTTCTTAATTTCTTCCTTCACTCATTGGTTGGACAGGTGCTTTTTGTTTCATTTACATGTATTTGCACAGTTCCAAATGTCCCATGGTCCTCTTATTATTTATTTCTAGGTTTTTTTCATTGTGGTCAGATAAGATACTTGATGCGATTTATTTTTAAAAAATTTTTTGAGATCACTTTTATTCTTTCACAAAGAATGAGTGGAGTTTTCCAGGGGCCTAATGAGGTGTAATAGCACAACAGTTAAATAAAGAAGTAATATGAGAATTTAGCTATCTCCTATCAAACTAGATGTTAATGAGATTTTTTCAAAAATGCCACTCTTTGAAAAATATAGTTATTTTCACAAGAGATATGTTATTGATATTTATATAAAATGGTTTATTATTATTTTAAAATGCGTAATACTTTTTTAAATTCTCTCAATTTTAATTTCTGAAATATTGATAGATATAACCTATAAAAATAAAATTTCTTTGAGGCCCTTAATAATTTTTAAGAGTGTAAAGGGCTCCTGAGACTAAAAAGTTTGAAAAGATTAATCAGCTTAAAATATACTTAGGCACATGTTGTAATAACTGAAAATTGCAAAAATTTGTTATCAAATCTAAACTCTATTTCTTAAAAGTCTGAAAACAGTGGTAATCCCCAGAAAGGAATTCTTATTATAATGTAGTAAAATGAATATTTGATATGATTTTACATTGATTTCAAAGTGTCTACAAGAGAAAATATTTATTTGCTACACAATGTTATCGTTAGTACACTTATACTCATCAAAAAAGACACTATGTTATCATTATCATTTCCCATTTGAGGAAGCCAGGCCTTTTTATTTGGTTGGTGCAAAAGTAATTGCAGGCCAGGCACGGTGGCTCACGCCTGTAATCTCAGCACTTTAGGAGGCTGAGGCAGGTGGATTACCTGAGGTCATGAGTTCGAGACCAGCCTGGCCAACGTGGTGAAATCCCGTCTCTACTGAAAATACAAAAATAAGCAGGGTGTGGTGGCGGGTGCCTGTAATTCCAGCTACTCAGGAGGCTGAGGCAGGAGAATCGCTTGAACCTGGGAGGTGGAGGTTTCAGTGAGCTGAGATCGTGCCATTGCACTCCAACCTGGGCAACAAGAGCGGAAACTCTGTCTCAAAAAAAAAAAAAAAAAGTTGCGGTAATCGAATCGCAGTGTGCTCTAAAGTAGGTGTTGGCAAACTTTTTTTTAAAGGGTCAGATAATAGATATTTTCAGCTTTACAGGCCATGTGATCACTGTCTCAGCTGCCAACTCTGCCCTTATAGTATGATCGCTGCCAAAGGCAAAATGTAAACCAAGGAGTGTGATTGTGTTCCAAAAAAACTTGACTTATAAGCACCGATATTTGGATTTTACAGAATTCTCATGTGTAATGAAATATTCTTCTTCTTTTGGTTTTAAACATGTAAATACATAAAGACTGTTCTTAGCTTGTAGGCAGTACAAAAACAGGTGGCAGGTTGGATTTAGTCTGCAGGCTATAGTTTGCTGACTCCTGTTCTAAAGTATGTTCTATAGAACTCTAATCATTTGAGACACAGAATTTCCTGAGTAAATAAGCTTGAGAAATGTTGCAGTGGAGGTTCAAACTGCATATTATGATATAAAGCCTCTGTAATATCCTCCCCCCAAATTTCTTTTGTTTCACTGTTTATCATGCCAACGCATCACAGAAACTTTTTTTATTTTTTCAAATAATACCTGTTAATCATTCTTACATTACTGTTCCATGGAATTTATGTTGGGAATTATTACTCTTAAGGATTCCAGACTCAAATGCCTATAGATACTATGCATAACACCTCTGTATTATCTTCTCCATGTGAAAAAATAGCTGCTAACTGCTCACACCTGCCCAATAACATTGCCTTTTAATCATCCACAGGACAAACAAAATAACCAACAAAACATATCTTCTGTCTAGACACAGCCCTCAGATACCAATTTGCAACTGTTAGTATGTGGTATATTATAGGAAATGACATCACTGTTTCAAGATTCAATACAAAAAGGAAGGTATTTTGGACAGGTTGCTTCTCTTTACATGAATGATTCCGTATTATATGCAGCTGCATCCTCAGGGAATAATCAGAGAATAACATAAAAAAGAGAAGGTACCATAAGTTTGCTTTTGCTTTTGCCATTACATAGCTGATCCTACGTGATTTTCAGGATGATGTTTCCCAAATTTTGTACAAATGAATTCCCTCTGGAATCTTGTTAAAACGCAGATTCTGATTCTATGGATCTGGAGTAGGATCCGAAAGTCTGCCTTTCTAACAGGCTCCAGGTTATGCTGGTATCTGTGGATTCAGGTTCAGAAAGGGACTTTTTGCATTGCACAAATTCAGTGAAATTAAATGACCTACAGGATAGAACCTGCATGTTCACAAGATCCCCAGGGGACTCGTATGCATACACAAGTCTGAGAAACACTGCAATAGAGCCAATTTCCATGAATGAATGTTCCCAATGCATTGAAGAATCCATCCAGCTTTACTAAAGAATTCTCTAGTAATAGTGAAATACAATCTGAAAGTCTTTGAATAAATAAGGAAAGGAGAGAACAGAATTCCCTTCTAAGACTGTCTGTGGGCATTGCTTCACCTTGAAGAGCCTAGAAATGACTGATAAGTTAGCCTTTGCCTAACATCTACCAATGAATCCACATTCACATCCAGGAAACAAAAGGAAATGCAGAGCGAGAGTTTAGAGGTAAGTTATTTAAAAAACTGATTTCAGAGACTGGCAAAAAGAACTACATAATAGAGCCACAACATTTCATTTCAAAAATGCTAAGATTCGGTGACAATATTCTCATTGATGAAAACTATTAGGATCACCGTAATGGGTAATCAGTTAAGCCACACCCTACACCCTGCAGCACATCCTTTAGCAGCTGACATGAAATGAATAAGTTTTACTTCATTTTTCTAGTGAACTCATGACCTTCTTTGGGTGATGCCTCTCTTTATATCCCTCCAGAAGTGTTTGGTACTTATCATCTGGTCCACTATTTTAAGAGGGTCAACACACTTCAGATCCGAACAGTAGAGAACATATTTAATGGTCTGATCATTATCCTTGGTTGACCCTGAGCTGTTATTCTGCATGAGATCGTAATTTAAAGGCTTGGTGCTCTCCCTCCCAACTAGAGATTATAAAATAGGGACACACACCCAGAATGGCTTATGGATATTATACATGGCAAATGTATGTAAACCAGAAACCATATGAGGATACTTAATATTTATCAAATGAGCTCAAGAATATCAGATTTATGTTCTGAATAGAAGAATTGTAATTTGTGTGATTATTGTCCTAATTTTGGGGGTGACAACTGTAACAATCCTTGGACTCAGGAATGCAGTATCTTAAATTTTTTATTTTATTTGAGGGGAAGTAAAAGGGAGATTGAGAAGGGCATTATGTGTATAATCCAAGTATTAAAAATCATCAAGAAGTGTTTGGGACACCATGCTAAGGCACTGAGGGGAAAATGCGAAAACAAAACAGGTTTTTGTTGATAACACTGAAAGTTCAAGAGTGGAACCAAGAAGACTGAGCTCTTTAAAAGTGGTCACTTATGTTAAACAAAGGCACCTACTTGAATGGAAGAGAGCAGCACAATTACATTTGGCTCTGAGTCCAACCTGGCAGAGTGATGCCTTTAGAGGGCACTTGAGCCCTGGAAAGTGTTCCCTGGGCACCGCATGAAGGGAGGAACCTGGTACATTCCCTTTGTTCACAGACCTAGCTTCCTAAATCACCCAACTCTATTGCTACCTTTGTCTGTATTTCCTTTTTTTTTTTTTTCCATACTTTGGCTACAGGCCTAGCTTCCTCTCCAACCTCCCATCACAATTACATTTTTATCCTTAAACTTAAGGCACATTCAATCTCTTCTGGCTATTACTGTGGCCACTCATGACAACAGTGTTACTTCATTTTTCCAGTGAACTCATGACCTTCTTTGGGTGATGCCTCTCTTTATATCGCTCCAGAATTGTTTGGTACTTATCAGCTGGTCCACTTTTTTAAGCAGGGTAAACACACTTCAGATCTAATTAGAAGAGAATACATTTAATAGTCTGATTAATATCCTTGGTTGACCCTGAGCTTACGTTCCACATCTTTTCATGAATATTTTCAGCTGTGTTTCTGTTCTCTCCAACACTAGATCCTTTCTTATTTGGGGGAAGATCTTCTTTTGCTTTTTTAACTTTCACAAAAGTTAAAGTCCTATATTTACCAAAAACTTCCCAAATTTTGATGATTGAATGACTCTTAAGAAAGAAAAAATGTATATTGAATGCCATCCATGTGCCCAGATTGATAATAGTTGCATAGGCTTTATGACTTCAAAATATACTACAAAGCTATAGTAACCAAAACAGCATGGTACTGACACAAAAACAGACACATAGACCAATGAAAAAGAATAGAGAACTCAGAAGTAAATCCAGACATGTACAACCAAATCATGTTTAACAAAGGCACCAAGAATATATAAGGGAAAGAACAGTCTCATCAATAAATGGTGCTGTAAAACTAGATATCTAAATGCAAAAGAAATCAGAAATTTGAAATCAGATTTCTTTCTCTCATAATATATAAAAATAAAATCAAAATGGATTAAAGACTTAAATGTAAGACCTGAAGCTGTGAAACTACTAGAAAAAACACTGGGGAAAGGCTTCAGGACATTGGTCTGGGCAAGCATTTCTTGGGTAAGACCTCAAAAGCACAGGCAACAGAAGCAAAAATAGACAAACGGGATTATACCAAACTAAAAATTTTCTGCACGGAGAAGGAAACAATCAACAGAATAAAGAGACAATCTATAGAATGGGAGAAAATATTATCAAACTATATGTCTGATATGGGGTTGATATCTAAAATATTTAAGGAACTCAACTCAGTAGCAAGAAAACAAATGACCTGATCAAAAAGTGGGCAAAGGACCTGGATGAACATTTCTCAAAAGAAGACATACAAATGGCCAACAGGTATAATAAAAAACGATCAACATCACTAATCATAAGGAAAATGCCTATCAAAACCACAATAAGATATTATCTCACCCCAGTTAAAATGGCTATTATTCATATGAAAAAGACAAATAATAACAAACGCAAGTGGGATGCAAAGAAAAGGGAACTCTTACACTGTTGATAAGAATGCAAATTAGTACAGCCATTATAAAAAACAGTGTGATGTTTCCTCAAAAAACTCCAAATAGAAATACCATATGATCAAGCAACCCCACTACTGGGTATGTGTCCAAAGGAAATGAAATCAGTATGTCAAAGAAATATTTGCACTCTCATGTTTATTGGAGCACTATTCACAATAGCCAAGATATAAAATCATCCTAACTGTCTATCAAAGGATGAATGGATAAAGAAAATGTGGTATATATACACAATTGAATAATATTTAGGCATAAAAATAATAAAATCTTGTCATTTGAGGCAGCATGAATGAGCATGATGGAACTCATGCTGAATGAAATAAAGCAGGCACAGAAAGACAAACATCACATTTTCACTTTACATGTGGGGGCTAAAAATTTTTTTAAGCCTTTCAGGTTTAAAGATTACATTTTCAACCTTAATTACAAAATCCTGTATACACAAGAAAGTTTTTCCCTATTAGTCAATATATAATGTTTTATACAATCTCACACAGCTTCAGCTTATTTTAAAGAGAAAGCCAGTTATTTCTTATAAGAAGCAAAGCTTTATATGAATAAGTCAGCTCTAAATATGTGAATTAATAAAGATAGATTGCTAAGGCATATATTGCTCACTTACTGCTTTTGGTTTCACCAAAACAGCATATTATGCATTTTCCAAAACCCACAGAATGTACAACACTTAGAGTTAACCCTAATGTAAACTATAGAACAAAGCCAACTATGAAACTGTTTTCCCATTTCATTTGTAACCTAGTTGAATAATGTCAGTACTCCAACTTCACTCAATATTTTGTTGTCTATTTCAGGTTATTTGCCTCTCCACAGAAACTTTGGAATCTGTTTGTTGATACCTGCAAAATAACTTGTCAGGATTTTAATTGGAATTTCATTGAATCTGTAGATCAATGTGGGAGGAAATGACATCTTAACAATATTGACTCTTCCTTGCATGGACATGAAATATCTCTTAATTTATCTCTTTTTTTTTTTTTTTTGATGGAGTCTCGCTCTGTCACCCAGGCTGGAGTGCAATGGTGCGATCTCGACTCACTGCAACCTCCACCTCCCGGGTTCAAGCTATTCTCGTGTCTCAGCCTCCCGAGTAGCTTGGATTACAGGTGCACACCACCATGCCCAGCTAATTTTTGTATTTTCAGTAGAGACGGGGTTTCGCCATGTTGGTCATGTTGGCCTTGAACTCCTGACATCATGTGATGCACCTGCCTCAGCCTCCCAAAGTGCTGGGATTACAGATGTGAGACATCACACCTGGCCTTCTCTCCATTTATTTAGTTCCTTGATTTTTTTTTCCATCAGAGTTATGTAGTTTTTTTTCATATAGATCTTGTACATATTTTGTTGGATGTGTACTTAACTATTTCATTTTGGGGATGCACTAATCTGAAAGGATTTTTGTCTTTAATTTCAAATTCCACTTTTTCATTTCTGGCATATGGAAAAGACATTAAATTTTGTACATTAACCTTGTATCCTGCAATCTTGCTATAATCACATATCAGTTCCAGGAATTGTTTTGTTGATTTCTTCAGATTTTTTACCTCGACAATCATATTATCCATGAACAAAGACTGTTTTATTTATTTCTTCTCGATCAATATATCTTTTATTTCCTTTTCATGTCTTATTGTGTTAGCTAGGATTTCCAGTAAAATGTAAGAAGTGGTGAGAAGGAACATCCTTGTCTTGTTCCTGATCTGAGTAGAAAAGCTTTTAGTTTCTTGCCATTAAGTCTTATGTTAGTTGTAGGGGTTTTGTAGATGTTCTTTATCAGGATGAGGGAGTTCCCCTCTAAAATTCTAGCTGAGTTTTTATTACAAATAGGTGTTGTATTTTGACAAATGCTTTTTCTGCATCTCTTGATATAACCATGTCATTTTTCTTCCTTAGTCTGTAGATGTGATGGATTGCAGTAATTGATTTTCAAATTTGAGCCAACCTTGCATACCTGGGATAAATCCCACTTAGTCATGGAATATAATTATTTTTATACATTGCTTGATTCAGTCTGCTAATATTTTGTTGAGGACTTTTGTGTCTATATTCATAAGAAATATTGATCTTTTCTCATAATGTTTTTGTCTGATTTTGACATTATGGTGAAGCTGGCCTCATAGAATGAGTTAGTAAATATTCCATATGCCTCTATATTTTAGAAAAGACTGTAGAGAATTGATATAATTTGTTCCTTAAGTATTTGGTAGAATTTACTAGTGAACTGATCAGGGTCTCATGGTTTCTGTTTTGGAAGGTTATTAATTATTAATTCCATTCCTTTAATAGATCTAGGCCTATCTGGATTGTCTATTTCTTCTTGTGTGAGTTTTATCAGATTTTATTTTTCAAGAAATTCATCTATTTCCCCTAGGTTATCAAATTTGTGGGCACAGAATTATTCATAGTATTCCTTTATTATCCTTCCAATGTCCATGGGCTCTGAAGTGAAATCTCCTCCTTCCAAAAGTAGTAATTTGTGCCCTTCTTTTTCCTAGCCTGGCTAGAAGCTTATCAGTTTTGTTATCTTTTCAAAGACCCAGCTTTTGGTTTCAAAAATTTTCCCTATTGATTTCCTATTTCAATTTCTTTAATTTCTACTCTAATATTTATTGTTTCTTGTGCTTACTTTGGATTAATTTGCCCTTTCTCTAGTTTTCTATGGTAAAAGCTTGCATGATTGATTTTAGATCTTTCTGCTTTCCTAATATATGCATTCAATACTACAGTAGTTTCCCCTTATCCACAGGCGCTATGTTCCAAGACTTCCAGTGGATGCCTGAAACCTTGGATAGTACCCAGCCTAAATGCTGTAAATCAGAATATGTTTCTATTTCTGTCTTCCAGCCACAAAATGTAACGCTTTTTTCATCTTAACTAGGCACTTACAGTGGCCATACTTTTGCAGCATGAGGTGTGACAACAAAACTAGCATGAATTTTTTTATCCTTCTTCACAATATCGTGGATAGAAGATTCATTTTTACCGTAGATGTTAGCAAGTTCAGCATATAATTTTTTTCTTTTCTTATTAAGTCAAGAATGTTCACCTTTTCACTTAAAGGAAGTACTTTATGGCTTCCTTCATATCTGAATTGCCAGCATTTCTACTTTTGTGCTTTGGAGCCATTAAGTAAAATAAGGGTTACTTGAACACAAGCACGGTCATATCACAATAGTCAATCTAATAACCAAGACTGCTCACGCCTGTATTCCCAACACTCCAGGAGGCTGAGGTAGGCAGATCACTTGAGGCCAGAAATTCGAGACCAGCCTGGCTCACATGGTGAAACCCCGCCTCTGCCAAAAAATACGAAAGTTAGCCAGGCATGGTGGCCTGCCTGTAATCCCAGCTACTCAGGGACGGTGGGGGGCTGGGGGGAGGGGGGCAGAGCTGAGGCAGGAGAATTACTTGAACACAGGAGGTAGAGGTTGCAGTAAGCCAAGACAGTGCCACTGCACTCCAGCCTGTGTGACAGAGTGAGACCCTGTCTCAAAAAAAAAAAAGACTGCTACTAAATGACTAATGGCCAGGTAGTGAATGTATATAAGGTGAACAAAGGAGGATTTACATCTCATAGGGGATGAAGTGGGAAGGCAAGAGATTTTATCATGCTACTCAGAACAGTATTCAATTTAAAACTTAAGAATTGTTTATTTTTGGAATTTTTCACTTAATATTTTCAGACTGTAGTTGACCACAGATAACTGAAACCACAAAAAGTAAAACTGCAAATGAGGAAGTACTACTGTGTATATTTCCCTTTACGCATTTTAAAAACTTGTGAGATGTTTGCTGCATCCCACAAGTTTTCATAAGTTGTGTTTTCATTTTCATTTAGTTCAAAGTATTTAAAATTTTATCTTGAGATTTCTTCTTTGACCTATGTGTTACTTAGAAGTATGTTGTTTAATCTCTAAGTATGTGGGGATTTTCCAACTACCTGTTTTTGATTTCTAGTTTAATTTTATTGCAGTCTGAGAGAAGACATTGATTGTATGATTCCTATTCCTTCAAATTTGTTAAGGTATGTGTTTTTTGGCCCAGAATATGTTCTATACTGGTGAATGTTCCATGTAAGCTTGGAAGAATGTGTATTCTGCTGTTGTTAGATGAAGTAGTCAATAGATATCCATTATAACCAGTTGATTGATGGTGTTGTTGAGTTCAACTCTGTTGTTACTGATCTTCTTGCCTACTGGACCTGTCCATTTCTAATAGAGGGGTGTGTTAAAATCTCCAATAATAATACTGGATTTAACTATTTCTCCTTGCACTTGTATCAGTTTTTGCTTACATATTTTGACACTCTGTTTTTATGTGCACGTATTAGACTGCTCTAACACTACTGATAAAGACAGACCTGAGACTGGGCAATTTACAGAAGAAAGAGGTTTAATGGACTTACAGTTCCACACGGCTGAGGAAGCCTCACAATCATGGTAGAAGGCAAGGAGGAGCAAGTCACATCTTACATGGATGGCAGCAGGCAAAAAGAGAAAGCTTGTGCAGGGAAACTCCCCTTATAATATCATCAGATCTTGTGAGACTTATTCACTATCACGAGAACAGCATGGGGAAGACCTGCCCCCATGATTCAATTACCTCCCACTGGGTCCCTCTCACAACATGTGGGAATTCAAGATGAGATTTGGGTGGCGACACAGAGCCAAACCATATCATTCCACCCTTGGCCCCTCCCAAATCTCATGTCCTCACATTTGAAAACCAGTAATGCCTTCCCAACAGTCCCCCAAAGTCTTAACTCACTTCAGTATTAACTCAGAAGTCCACAGTGCAATGTCTCATCTGAGACAAGGCAAGTCCCTTCTGCCTATGAGCCTGTAAAATCAAAAGCATGTTAGTTACTTTTTAGATACAATGGAGGTATAAGCATTGGGTAAATACAGCCATTCCAAATGGGAGAAATGGGCTAAAACAAAGGGGCTACAGGCCCCATGCAGGTCCAAAATCCAGCGGGGTGGTCAAATCTTAGAGCTCCAAAATGATCTCCTTTGACTCCATGGCTCATATCTAGGTCACATTGATGCAAGAGGTGGGTTCCCATGGTCTTGGGCAGCTCTGCCCCTGTGGCTTTGCAGGGTACAGCCTCCCTCCCAGCTGCTTTCATGGTCTGGTGTTGAATGTCTGTGGCTTTTCCAGACACATGGTGCAAGCCGTTGGTGGATCTACCATTCTGGGGTCTGGACGGTGGCCCTCTTCTCACAGCTACACTAGGTGGTGCCCCAGGAGGAACTCTGTGTGGGGGCTTCAACCCCACATTTCCCTTCCTCACTGCCCTAGCATAGATTCTTCATGAGAGCCCCGCTCATGGAGCTACAATTCAAGATAAGATTTGGGTGGGGACACAACCAAATCATATCATGATGTTAAGAGAAACCCCACCACCACCTATAATTCTGTACCTTGTGAAATTATCTTTCAAAAGTGAAGAATTAAAAGAAAAGAAAATGTGAAAGAGAAATCAAGACTTTCTCAGCAAACAAAAATGGAGTGCATTTGTTGCTAGGAGTGCCTTGCAAAAACATTAAGAGAAGTTCTTCAGAGAGAAGAAGATGATATAGTTCAGAAACTCTCATCTATGAAAAGAGAAAAACAGCATCAAGAAGAAATAAGTGGAAGTAAAATGCAAACTTTTATTTTTTCTTATTCTTAATTGATCTAACATAGTAGTTTGCTTAAAAAATCTATATATTTTATTATGTATGCTTATGTGGGTACATATGTATAGATATAGATATATTTAAGCTTATGATACTTATGTATGCTTATGTATAAGTAAAATAAATGACAACAATAATATAAGGTATGGGAGAGAGAAGTTTGGAATATTTTATTACAAAGTACTGGTAATAATATGAAGTGGTAAAGTGTTATTTGAAATTGGACTTGGATTAGTTGTAAATGTATATTACAAACTAAGAGAATCACTTTAAAAAGTACAAAAAGAAGTACAAGTGTTATGCTAAGAAAGGAGAGAAAATGAAATCATATAAAATGCTCACTTAAAACCACAAAAGGCAGAAACAGAAAAGAAGACAAAATAAGAACAAGGTAAATGAATAGAAAACATTAACAAATATGGTAGATATGAGTCCAGATCCATTGACAATCATTTTAAAACTCAATGGTCTAAATACACTGATTAAAATATATATATCAAAGTGGATCAAAAAAGAAGGCCAAACTATTGTTGTCTACAAAAAACTCATCTTAAATATAAAGACACATATAGATTAAAAGAAAACGAGTGAAGATAATTATGCTAACACCAATCAAAAGAAAGCAGGAGTAGCTATGTAATTCCATACAAAGCAAATTTCGGAACAAGGAAAGTTATCAGGGATAAAGAGGGACATAACAAAATGATAAAAGGGTCAATACCCCATAAAGACATGACAATCCTTAATGCACTGATATAGTTTGGCTGTGTCTCAACCCAAATCTCATCTTGAATTCCATATGTTGTGGGAGGGATATGGTGGGAGGTAATTGAATAATGGGGGCAGGTCTTTCCTGTGCTGTTCCCATAATAGTGAATAAGTCTCACAAGATCTGACCATATTATAAGGGGAGTTTCCCTGCACAAGCTCTCTCTTTTGCCTACTGCCATCCATGTAAGAGGTGACTTGCTCCTCCTTGCCTTCCACCATGATTGTGAGGCTTCCCCAGGCACATGGAACTGTAAGTTCATTAAACCTCTTTCTTTTATAAATTGCCCAGTCTTGGGTATGTCTTTATCAGCAGCATGAGAACAGACTAATACAGCAAATTGGTACCAGTAGAGTGGGATGCTCCTGAAAAGATACCCAAAAATGCAGAAGTGACCTTGGAATTGGGTAACAGACAGAAGTTGGAATAGTTTGGAGGACTGACAATGCAATAGGAAAGAAAATCCCATTTTCTGAGGAGAAATTCAAGCCAGCTGCAAAAATTCACATAAGTAATAATGAGTCAAATGTTAATCACCAAGACAATAGGGAAAATGTCTCCAGGGCATGTCAGAGACCTTTGCAGCAGACCCTCCCATCATAGGTCTAGAGTCTTAGGAGGAAAAAATGGTTTTGCGGGTGGAGCCCAGGGCCCCTCTTCTGTGTACATCCTAGGGACTTGGTGCCCTGTGTCCCAGCCATTCCAGCCGTGGTTAAAAGGGGTCAAGGTATGGTTCAGGTCGTGGCTTCAGAGGGTGAAAGCCCCAAGCCCTGGCAGCTTCCACATGGTGTTGAGCCTGCGGGTGCACAGAAGTCAAGAATTGAGGTTTGGGAACCTCCGGTTAGATTTTAGAGGATGTATGGAAACTCCTGGATGTCCAGGAAGAAGTTCCCTGCAGGGATGATCCCTCATGAAGAACCTCTGCTAGGGAAGTGCAGAAGGAAAATGTGGGGTTGAAGCCCCCACAGAGTCCCCAGTGGGGCACTGCTTAAGGAAGCTGTGAGAAGAGGGCCACTGTCCTCCAGACCCCAGAATGGTAGATCCACTGACAGCTTGCACCATGTGCCTGGAGAAGCCACAGACACTCAACACCAACCTGTGAAAGCAGCTGGGAGGGAGCCTGTACCCTGTAGAGCTATGGGGGCAGAGCTTCCAAAGACCATGGGAACCCACATCTTGCATCAGTCTGACCTGGATGTGAGACATGAAGTCAAAGGAGATCATTTTGGAGCTTTAAAATTTGACTGTCCTGTTGGATTTCAGACTTGCATGGGGCCTTTGGCCCCTTCATTTTGGCCTATTTCTTCTATTTGGAATGGGTGTATCTATCTAATGCCTGTACCCTCATTGTATCTAGGAAGTAACGAACTTACTTTTGATTTTACAGGCTCATAGGCAGAAGGGACTTGCCTTGTGTCAGATGAGACTTTTGAGTTAATGCTGAAATGAGTTAAGACTTTAGGGGACCATTGAGGAGGCATGATTGGTTTTGAAATGTGAGAACATGAGATTTGGGATGAGCCAGGGGCAGAATTATATGATTTGGCTGTGTCCCCACCCAAATCTCATATCTTCAATTGTAGCTGTCATAATTCCCCATGTGTCATGGGAGGGACCCTATAGGAGGTAACTGAATCATGGACACAGTTTTCCCCATACTGTTCTCATGGTAGTGAGTAAGTCTCACAAGATCTGATGGTTTTATAAGGGGAAACCCTTTCACTTGGCTCTCATTTTCTCTTCTCTGCTGCATGTAAGACATGACTTTTGCCTCCCACCATCACTGTGAGGCCTCCCTAGCCACATAGAATGTGAGTCAATTAAACCTATTTTTCTTTATAAATTACCCAGTCTTGGGTGTGTCTTTATCAGCAGCATGAAATGAACTAATACACACCATAAATAATTTACTCTACTCTCTTCATGCTTGCATGCATTCCTGGAGAAAATTGGATGTAATTCTTACTTTTGATTCTCTAAAGATAAGGTATTTTTTTCCTATGACTTCTTTCAAGAATTTGTCTTTGATTTCTGTAATTTGAATATGATATGCCTAGGTATAGGCTTTTTTTTGGTTTGGGTATTTTTTGTTTGTTTGTTTGTTTTTTGCATTTATCCTGCTTGGTATTCTCTCTGCTTCCGGGATCTGCGGTTTGATATCTGTCAGGAATTTGGGGAAAACTGTGTCCTTATTGCTTCAATTATTGCTTCTGTTTGCTCTTTCTCCTCTTGATATTTCCGTTACATGTATTCACACCTTTTGTAGTTTTATCACATTTCTTAGATATTCCATTTCATTGTTTTTGGTATTTTACTCTTTGCTTTTCAGTTTTGAAAGTTTCTACTGACATATCCTCAAGCTCACAGTTTTTTTTCTCGGCTATCTCCAGTCCACTAATGAGCTCACCAAAGTCATTCTTCATTTCTGTTACAGGGTTATTTATCTCTAGCATTTCTTTTTTTAGTATTTCTTTTTTATTCTGTCTTAGAATTTCCATCACTCTGCTTACATCATGCATCCATTCTTACATGTTCTCTATTTTGTCCAGTAGAGTCCTTAACACATCAATCATAATTTTTTAAAATTCCTAATCTGGTAACTGCAACATCCTGCTATATCCAACTCTGGGTCTGATGCTTACTTTTTTCAAACTGCACATTTTGCCTCTAAGTATGCTTTATAATTTCTTTGTTGAAAGGTGAACATGGACTGGGTAAAAGGAATTGCAGTAAATAGGCCTTTAGTGATGTGGTGGGACAGTGTGGGTCAGGGTAGATTTCTTTAGTACTGTGATGAGCACTCAATGTTTTAGTGAGCCTGTGCCTCTGGACTGTGAAGTTTGTATGTGCTTCTCACTTTTCTCCCCTTTTAGGTAGAAGAGGATGGCTAGAGTGGGGTAGAGTTGAATATTTCCTTTCCCTCAGTCAGTTGGGCTCTGAAAAACTCCAATAGGTTAGGCTCTGGTAAAAATAGTTTCTCCTGAGGACAGGCCTTGTTAAGAAGAATGGCATGCTCTGGTATACTTTTAAATGATTACTTTCCCCCTTCCCCTGACAGAAGCATGAGAGGATTTTTCTTCAATATCTACTGGGAGAATAGGGTCAATCTCTGAATGGTAAACTCATGAAGGTGTGTGGGTTCCCATATGACTGGGTTCCCATGGTGTTTTAACTCTTAGATTTCTCTACACTAAGGCTCTAAGAATTTGTCAATTAGAGTTTAGGTTTATATAGCCCAGCACTGGTTCCTGTGGAGGTTTCTGCTTGTGGGTTTCTTCTCCTTTAAGTTGTAATTCTCTGTATTCAGTCTCTCTAATTTTTAGGACAGTAGTTTGCCCTGTGACCTCACTTCTCTGATAGATCTGAGACAAGTTTTTATTTTCCAGGCCCTTTTCAGCTTTTTGTTTGTTGTTAGGATGCAGTAATGACTTCCAAACTCCTTACATGTTACAATGGAAACCAGAGAAGTTTTTAGTCTAGGTTTTTAAAGTAGAAGTAGGTCATTGATGGTAAACCTTTCTTCTTTTTAAACATAAGCATGTAAAGCTATAACTTTCCATGTAAGCACTTCTTTAGCCGCATCTCACCCATTTATAATGTTTTCTATTATCAATCAGTTCAAACAATCTTCTAATCCCCAACATAATTTCTCATTTGACACATGGGTTATTTAAAAGGATATTGCTGAATTTCTAAATGTTGGGGATTTTCTACTTACATTTATTACTAATTTCCACTTTAATACTGTTGTGGTCACAAAATATACTATGTATCACTTCAATCTTTGATATTTGTTGAGATGTGTTTTTTGATGCAGCACATGTTGATCTTTATGAATGTTCCATGAGTACTTGAAATAATTTATATCTGCATTTGTTAATTAGATCAACTTGGTTAATAATGCTGTTCAAATCTTTTCTATATTTACTGATTATATTGTCTACTTAGACAAAGCGATGTTAACAGCACTATGTAAGTCAGGGTTCTCCAAAGAAACAGACACAATAGAAGATATACATATCTATGTATTAAGACAATTATTTAAAGGAATTGGCTCATGTGATTTTAGGAGCTGTCGAGTCTGAAATCAATAGGATAGGCCATCAGGCTGGAAACTCAGGTAGGTGTTAGTGCTTCAATCTTTTTTTTTTTCTTTTTGAGACGGAGTCTCGCTCTGTCGCCCAGGCTGGAGTGCAGTGGTGCGATCTCGGCTCACTGCAAGCTCCGCCCCCCGGGGTTCACGCCATTCTCCTGCCTCAGCCTCCCGAGTAGCTGGGACTACAGGCACCCGCCACTACGCCCGGCTAATTTTTTTGTATTTTTAGTAGAGACGGGGTTTCACCATGTTAGCCAGGATGGTCTCGATCTCCTGACCTCGTGATCAGCCCGCCTCGGCCTCCCAAAGTACTGGGATTACAGGCGTGAGCCACGGCGCCCAGCCAGTGCTTCAATCTTGAGGCAGAATATCTTCTGTTCCAGGAAACCTGGTTTTACTCTAGGGTTTTCAACTGATTAGGTGAACCCACACCCACATCATCAAGTAATATCCTTTACTTTCAGTCAACTGATTGTAGATCTCACCACATGGACAACATATCTTCAAAGCAACACCTAAATTGGTGTTTGATTAAATAACTGGGCACTGTAGCTTAGCCAAGTTGACATATAAACCAAACCATCACACTAACTAAATGAGAATTTGCCTATTTCTCCTTTTGTCCTATCTATCACCTCTTGTTTTATGCTCTGTCATTAGGTGCACAGTTAAGATTGTTATGTTTTCTTGATGAATCAATCCATTTATCATCATGCATATAGTTCTCTATCTCTGGTAATAATCTTTGTCTTGACATCTCCTTTGACTAATATTTATATAACCACACCAGCTTTCTTATACTTCATTTTTTCATGGTTTTTTTTCCCCAACCTATTGCTTTCGATCTGACTGTGTCACTTTATTTAAATACATTTCTTTTTTTTTTTTTTTTCCCCAAGATGGAGTCTCGCTGTGTCGCCCAGATTGGAGGGCAGTGGCATGATCTTGGTTCACTGCAACCTCTGCCTCCTGGGTTCAAGTGATTCTTCTGCCTCAGCCTCCCAAGTAGCTGGGACCACAGGCGTGCACCACCATGCCTGGCTAATTTTTGTATTTTTCATAGAGATGTGGTTTCACTATGTTGGCCAGGCTGGTCTCAAACTCCTGACCTCGTGATCTGCCTGCCTCAGCCTCCCAAAGTGCTGGGATTACAGGCGCGAGCCACTGCACCCTGTCTTAAATATGTTTCTTATAAAGAGCATATAGATAGGTTTTTCTTTTTTCCTATCTGACAATCACTTTTTTTGGGGTGAGCGCTTAGTTCATTTATATTCAGTGTAATTATTAATATGATTGGGTTATAACCTACCATTGATTTTCTATTTGCAAAATTTGTCTCTCATTTCATCCCTTTTTTCTTGTCTTATTTTGGGTTAATAGAGTAGTTTTTAGTATTTAATTTAATCTCATCCATTGAATTTTTAGATATGCTTCTTTGTTTTTTATAGATTGCTCAGTATAGAATATATGATATCTTAAAGATATATATGATATATAGAATATATGATATCTTAAAGATATATACCTTTAAGTTATCCCAATCTACATTAAAATAATATTATATTACTTCACAAACAATGTAAGAACCTGGTAAATATATAATTCTATGTATCTATGCTTCTGGTCCTTGTGCTGTTATTTTCCCACATTTTACTTCTACATATGCTGCAGCTCAATACATTGTTATTATTTATATCTTAAAAAGTCAATTTTTTGAAGAAGTTAAAATTTATAGGTACATATGTATTAAAAATAAAGATGTTAAAATAGTCTTTAATCTTCGCTGTTTCTAGTACTCTTCATGCTTCATTTAGGTTGCAACTGGTATTTTTTTCTTCAGCCTGAAAACCTCCTTATGGCATTTTGTGTAGTACAAATCTACCAAAGACTAGTGCTCTCAGCTTTTGCCTACTAGAAATGTTTTTATTTTGCCTTCTTTTTTAGGATATTTTTATTGGACATAGAATTCTATGTTGACTTTGTCTTTCATTCAGTACTGCAAAGGTATCATTTCACTGTCTTCTGGCCTGCAAAGTTGGCTATCATTTAGATCATTGTTTCCCCATGCGAGGTTTCTTTTCCTTCTAAGATTTGTTTTTTGTTGTTAGTTTTCAGCAGTTTGAATATGACATGTCTAGATGTGGTCGCCTTTGTATTTGTCCTGTTTGGTGTTTGCATGAGTAGTAGGCAGAATTCTTCTAAGAAATGTATTGCACAATCCTAATACTTGAACACAGGATAATGTGGAAGATTTTCTGGTCCAGACACTCTGCGAATATGGGTTTATTTTACTAGAAGGCAAAAAACTCTTATGCTCAATAGACCTTGGGAGAACCTCAGGCTGTTTCTGTCTTAAAACATGGTGGCTGCTAACTTCTGGAAAACAAGTTGTCATTTTGGAAAACATAAGAACAAACTTTAGAAAGGTGTCAATCTCTTGGATTATGGTCAGGAAAATCTCAGGTCAGACAAGTAATTTAAAGTAAATACAGTTGACCTTTGAACAACACAGGTTTGAACTACATGGGTCCATATTTATACGTGGATTGTTTTCCGTCTCTGCCACACCTGAGATGGCAAGACCAACCCCTTCTCTTATTGCTCCTCTTCAGCCTACCCAATTTGAAGATGGTGAGAATGAAGATCTTTATGATGAGCCATTTCTATTCAATGGAGAGTAAATATCTTTTCTCTTTCTTATGATTTTATCCATAACATTTTCTTTGCTCTAGCTTACTTTATTATAATACAGTACCTAATACATATAACATATAAAATATGTGTTAATAAATCGTTTATATTATCAGTAGGCTTCTAGTCAACAGTAGGTTATTAGTAATTAAGTTTTAGGGGAGTCAAAACTTTTGAATTTTCAACTGTGCCAGTGATCAGCACCTCTACCCTCTCTGTTGTTCAAGGGTCAACTGTAATTTGCATATCTGACAACCTTGTTGGGATTTTGTTTGTTTGGGTTGTCACATGTTCATATCTTGGAGCTAGAAAGAACAAAGCATTATATTTCCAATGACTTGGTTGGTGTTCTAGTCAAAGTACCCAACAACTTGTGTAGTCAAGTCCAGTCATCAGCAGAGAGTTGGCCATGGGCAGTGGTCAGGCACAGGAGTCTGGATCTATAATCTGTGGAAAGAAAGGGAAGACTAAATGAAGACAGAGAAGACCTTAAAATCCATGCCCTTTTCTACCTCTGATTTTAGATTCCTCTCTAATAAATACCTACCCTGTTTTTCTAAAATAGAGTGAGAGAGGGAAAAAAAATCATGGATCACATCAGGAATTTAATTTTTAATCATCATGCTTGGAATAATTATCGATCAAGTCTTAACTTTTTTTGAGATCACTAGTCAGTCTAAAGGATTTCAAGCTGACATAACAATATTCCTTAATTTTGCCAGAACTGCTAATTAATAGTAATAATAGAAAGTCTTGGTATGGATCCAGTCTGGAAGGATTGAAGCCAAAGTGAACATCCTGTGGGCTATAGATGAACAGCTCATTTACATCTGGATGCTCTGATTGAATTTCAATAGTGTGTTCTTCTATCTCAGGAGAAAAGAGCTACATTCATGTCTATGTTGGCTTATATCCAAACAAAAATAAATAAATATTAATTTTGGCATATGCATGTATTAAAATTACATATTTAAGTATTTTTCTTTGTGGGAAACACTGATTTCAAAATGTCTTTTTCTAAATAATAGTAAGAAAAATAAAACTATAAAACGATCTGTGTATGATCTTTGTACATTTTTAAATTATGTCCTCCAATATTTAATAGCACTGAAATATTCAACAGCTGCAGTGCTAATCTCAAGTTAATATTTTTATTTGGTCTTATAAATAAATGGGAAGATTTTTCATGCTAATTAAGTCACAGACTATTAGTATAATTTACAATTTCATGTTGTTATTTTGCTGCATATCAAAACTTATTTAATCACATAAAACTTACAACATACATGAGATGGTAGACTAGGCAACATTTTTTAAAAAGGTATTTCAAATGCTAAGCAATTTTGCTTATAGTAAAAAGTTCAACTAATAAAAAACCCTAAAATTAGAAATTCATATTTCTTTTATGTAATGAGTATAGTAATTTTATTCCTAAACTTGAGAGCAATAGCATGAAAGAAGCAAATTAGTGAATTTAATAATTCATTTACTCATTTGTCCCACCAATTGTTTTTATTGTGTGTTAATGCTGGAGATAGGTGGTAAACACAGCAAATGCACTCCCTGCCTTTCAAGAGCAATCAGAGTTGCTTCAGGGATAGATAATAACCAACAAACTGTGCAATTAGAATTGTGGTAAGTGAAATTAGGCAGAAATACACAGTACTAAGGAACTTCTTGCTTCTCTGAGGAAATGACATTTAAACTCAGATCTGAAGGATGAGTAAGAGTGAGATGAAAGGAGTGGGAGGTGTATAAACAGAGGGAGGACAGCGTGAGGGAGCCTCTTAAAAGAGGGGATTGATAAGTCTTCATGGATGGAATACAATAAGGGAAGGGAGAAGGCAGAGAAGAGGTTAGCAGGGGATGATCACGCACATCACTGTATGTCCTATTAAGGATTTTGGTCTTCATCTTAAGAGCAATGTGCTGGTAGTTATTGAGAAGTTTTAAGCAGGGAGAAACGTGATAAGATTTGGCAACAAAGTAGAGAATGACTTGGACTGGTTTCATAGTAGATAACAAAGACCAGTTAAGAGACTCTTCTGGAAATTCAGCCCTAAAAAAGGGAATAGTTTGATTCAGAGTGGTGGGGATATAGAATAAGATTCAATGTTGTGACATTTAGTAAACAGAATCAACAGGAATTAGAGACTGATTAAACATGGAATAGGAGGTACAGTTAAGGGAAATGAGTAAAGAATGATGTCCAGGTTGCTGGGGTGTGCAGTTAGTGGACATTGGTGCCATTTGCTGAGGGGAACAACACTGGAAGTGGCTCACAATTTTCTTTTTTGCATGGTTGGGGAGGGAGTAGAGACACAATTGAGAATTTAAGTTTAGGCATTCTGAGTTTGATGTGCCTATGAAATGTTCAAGAGGAGATGGCGAGTCAGCAATTTTAAATCCAGAACCAACAGGAGACATAAATTTGAAAGCATTAGATAACTGAAGCCATGAGTGTAGGTAAGATTGTCTCAACAAGTTTTCTCAACAGAAGTTCTACAGAATCCTAGTGGGCTGCTAAATGTCTCGAGAGCTTCCATGTGAAATACTGATTGCAGAGATATTAAACATCAGATTTTGTCCTAATGTACATAGGACAATATTTATTTAGATACATCCATTCTCAGATATTGATGCCAGGTGAGGGAGGCCTTGGATATCTGTTGAGTGTTATGCTGCACAAAGGTGAGGAAGGCAGGAAAATGATGTCCACCTTCTCCCTCCAAGTTACCTTTCCCACCTCCCTTTATATACAACCTACTGACAAGGAAAAAAATAAGCTCTACAGGTGTAACAGACAATCAGTGGGACCTTTTCACCCTAAAGAAGATACTTATACATACCAAGACTCATCTGATCCCTGCTGCTTGTTGTTGTAATAAGTGCTGAATGTGAATTCGGTAAGTTAAAAATAGACTGTATTGTAGGTTTTGCATTTCTTGAGATTTTCTCAGGTATTGTGCCTTTCTGTTTTGTTTTTTGTTGTTGTTATGTTTTGTTTTGTCTCATTTTTTTGAGGTGGAGTATGGCCCTGGCGCCCATGCTGGAGTGCAATGGCATGATCTCAGCTCACTGCAATGTCCCCTCCCGGGTTCAAGCAATTCTCCTGCCTCAGCCTCCGGAGTAGCTGGGATTACAGGTGTGTGCCACCACACCCAGCTAATTTTTGTATTTTCAGTAGAGACGGGTTTCACCATGTTGGCCAGGCTGGTCTCAATTTCCTGACCTTGTGATCCGCCCTCCTTGGCCTCCCAAAGTGCTGGGATTACAGGCGTGAGCCACTGTGCCCTGCTGTACCTTTCTGTTTTATATTTTATCTGCATTTGTGTTTCACAAATATATCTGAACATTGGGTTGATGATTTCTGAAGATGAAGTATGAGATAGAAAAGAAAGATTCTAGGCTTAGGCTTCTGGACAGTTTTGATAAGGTTGGATAAGGAAATAAAATCTTTTGAGTCAATTCACTCCCCCAGTGCAGAGAATCCAAAAGAAAGTTCACCTTTACAATGAAAGCTACTTAACAATGAGTTTTACATCCAAGTTGATCTATTCTATTGTGCACAGTCAATACCAAACAACTAAAAATGCAGCAATAACTAGCAAAATTGAAAAGACATTTAACTACAAATTACAGCCATTTAACAAATAAAGATACTGATTATTTTAAACAATAATTTGAATCTCAAACAAACAAAATAAATATTTTGTTCTAAAAAACAGTCACACTCAAGGAAAAGGCTCTGAAAACAAGTTATTTTGGAGTTATCCAAAGCACAAAGTGTAGCCTAGAAAAGGAAAAGTTGCATAGTTGGTGAGAACTTAATAATGATAGCAGGTAAGGTCATAATTAGGAAAATGCTAGAATGAGATTCCATACAAGCAACTGAAAAAGTCACGCTCTCAATCAGCATAATAAGCTGACATACTGATGGCATGCCACATGATGCTGAAGGTATTTTTATAATACATTGAAAAATTACAGCTTCTTTGTCCATTTTGATGAATAAACAAATTTCACCAATAAACATCATGCTGTAGCACTTGTAAGATTTATAAATAATGTTGAAATTTAAGAACATTTTTTTTCTACTGCAGGATGTTGCCCAAAACAAGTAAAGGACAAGATACTTTTTCTCTTCATCTTTATATCTGAAAACAGAAAGTCTATTTTGCAAGAATGGCACTGGCATCTGCGTTGATGGTGCCCCAAGAAAATTCACCTTCACACTGACATCACAAGACACTGACTTATTTCCAGAGAGCTACTGGTGTTGAAAACTCTTAAATACAAAATGAAAAAAAAAAATCTGAGTAATGCTACAAGGATGATTACTATTAAACACAGACCAGTTCACTGAAGATGGCTTGAAGATGGTATGAGAATATTGGAGGCCACCTAACAAACCTTATTCTACATCCAGTGAGTTAGCAGAGGAAGAGTTCTCAACAGGGTGTTTGAACCGAAAGGTAGCACTTTCAAGAAATTAGTAGGTCAGATTTTGCTAGAGGGTTTCAAGATAAAGAATGGCTGCAGAAACTAGGCTATTTAGCAGCCATTTTCCATCACCTTATCCAGATGAACAAGTCTTTGTATGGCCCAGAAACTTTTTTTTTGTTTCAAATGACAGGATTCTTGAATTTAAAGAAATTGAATCTTTAGGAAAAAACAAGTCACAGAAGGAAATTGTGAAATGTTTCAACTGCTGCTTGGGCTTGAAATTGAAGGAGGATATGAGCATATTGAAAACCATCCAGAGAACTGCAGAGCAACACTGAGTGTACTTTTCCCTTCAATCCAAGTGTCTGACTTGGTGAGGGATGCTTTCTCTAGATTTTCTCCTCACATGAGAACTTGATTTTCAGAGAAGAGGAAGAACTTTGAGATGAAGTCTGATTATTCTTACAAATGACAATAAGAGTTCTGCCCCTATATGAGTTCTGGGTTTCTGTGAAGACAGAGTATCCTGCCATTTACAGTGAAGCAGTGAATATTTTGCTGTGGTTTTCAACTTTTTTGATTTATGAGCAACATTTTCTTATTTAAGAAACACCAAAAACAAGGACAGAAATTGTCTGATCATAGTTGAAAATGAAGTAGTTGAATGCTTACTTCATATATTTGACCTAGAATTGAGTATTTTTGCAGCAAAAACCAAGTTTGAAATTACATGTGTAAATTTCATTCTTTCCTTTTGGTTCAAATAATACTTTTAAAAATATTTAGGCCTATAAAAGAGATTGGAAAACCAACACACATCTGCATAACAATTTTGTAACTTCTAGGTCTATATTTGAGCCTAATCATGTCACTCACAAAGAAAATGATTTGTTACAGCTTTATACTAAAGACTTTGACTTTTTTTTTTATGGATATATCACATTTTATTTATTCATTTATTAGTTGATAAACAATTAGATTTGTAATTTTTGGCTATTATAAATACTGCTGCTATAAACATCATGTACAATTCTTTTGTGTAAACGTATGTTTTTGCTCTCTTGAGTATATACCTAGTGGTGAAATTGTTGGGGCACATGAAAACCTATATTTAATTTTTGAGAAATTGCAGAACTGTTTTCCAAAGTGACAACACAATTTTACATTCCAACAAGCAATCTGTAAGACTTTGACTTTTATATATGTCCTAAGCTGTATTTTTATTTCCACTGCTTTGACTTATTATTTTAAGAGGTTTACTATTCAGCATTCCCAACAAATCTTTGTGTTGTAAATAATATTAATTAAATTCAACTGACAAATTTTATTTAATTAAATCTATCAAGTTTACCTTTAAAAAAGTAAATCTCAGTTGTAGTTCATTGAGCTGCATAAAGACAATGCCAGGGCAAGTGAGAACCAGATGGGCACTGGGTGATTCTGGATAATTCTGTGCCTTGCTGAGGAAAAATAACTAAACTTGGGCAAAGGAGAGCCTAAGAAGCCAAGAGGCAAAATATCTTCACAGCATTCTTTGTGTAAACTTGCTGGGAGGAGCAGAAGAAGAAGCACCCAAATGTTCGGTCAATTTCTCAGAGTTTTCTAAGAAGTGCCCAGATAGGTGGAAGACCATGTCTGCCAAGAAGAAAGAAAAATTTGAAGACATGGCAAAGGTAGACAATACTCGTTACAAAAGAGAAATGAAACCCATGTCCCTCCTAAAGAAGAAAGAAAAAAGAAGTTCAAAGATGCCAATGCACCCAAGAGGCCTCCTTTGGCCTCATTCTTTTCTGAGTATCACCCAAAAATCGAAAGAGAACATCCCAGCCTATCCATTGTTGCAAAGAAACTGGGAGAGACATGGAATGACACTGCTGCAGATGACAGGCAGCCTTATAAAAAGAAGGATGCAAGGCTGAAGGAAAAATACCCAAAGAATATTGCTGCACAGTAAGCTAAAGGAAAGACTGATGTAGCCAAAAAAAAAGGGAGTAAGAACAAGAAGGAAGAGGAGGAAGATGAAAAAAAGATGAAGAAGATGAAGATGAAGAAGAGGGAGAAGAAGAAGGAAGAAGGAGGAGGAGGAAGAGGAGAAGGAGGAGGAGGAGGAGATAATGACAATGTTAATAAGTTGGTTCTAGTGCAGTGTTTTTCTTGTCTTAAAAGCATTTAACCCCCCTGTACACAACTGACTACTTTTTAAAGAAACAAATTGAAATGTAAGTCTGTATAAAATTTGTTTTTAAATTGTACAGTGTCTTTTTTTATATAGTTAACACACTATCCAATGTGTCTTTAGATAGCCCTGTCCAGGTAGTATTTTCAATAGCCACTAACCTTACCTGGCACAGTATGGGGGTTGCAAATTGGCATGGAAATTTAAACAGGTTCTTTCTGGTGCACTGCACAAATTAGTTATATGTGGAGATGGTAGTTCTTTCATCTTCAGTTGTCTCTGATGCAGTTTATACAAAATAATTGTTGTTTTGATAACTGAATACAACTCTATAATTGTAAAAAAAAAAAAACAGTTGCAGCCATGTTGTTGACATTTTGAATGCTTCTAAGTAAATACAATTTAAAAATTATTTTGGCTTAAGCCAGTTATTTATTAACAGAAATTTACTATGTTAACCCATGGGTTTTAAGAATTATTGAAAATAAAGGAATTAAATTTTTAAAAGACAAGCTAAGCTTATTGCCTTTCTTTTTTCAAGAAAGGTTAGCTAACAAGTCATCTTTAGTTGTAAATAGGGAAAAAGCACTCTTGCCATTCACCATGTACCACATACCATACCGTGTTTGCATTTTTTATAGTAGAATGTATGGGTTTGGGGGGGTTTTTGGTCATTTTTTGTTTTTTTTTTTTTTTTAGATGGACTCTTGCTCTGTCACCCAGGCTGGAGTGTGGTGGCACAATCATAGCTCACTGCAGCCCCAAATTCCTAGGCTTAAGTGATCCTCTGCCTTAGCCTCCCAAGTAGTTGGGACTACAAGCAAGTTCTACCATATCTGGCTAATTTTTTTTTAATTTGTAGAGACAGGGTCTCACTATGTTGAGCAGGCTGGTTTTCAACTCCTGGTCTCAAATGATCCTCCTTTCTCAGCCTCCTAAAATGTTGAGATTACATACTAATTACATAGTAGACATTTGTAATAAGAATTTTAAGTCTAATTGGATAAGGTTTTAAAAATCCAGAAGAAATTTTAATTTAAAAAAAAAAAGAAAAACTAAAGTTTGCGCTACTCATACTATTGACTTACATTCAAGTTGATATCCTTAGTGGGAGGAGAACCACACAAAATGAGTGGGCTGATAATATTAGCCAAAATAAACATATCCATAGAAAACTATCATTCTATCTCCAAAAGAGTATTAATAGTATTTTTAGTTTATTATGTCTGCAACTTACTGATCATGCTGATATACTGGAAGTTCAGCAATAATTTTTTGTCAAGGATTCTTTAAGACCCAAAAGCTATTGAGAAATCTTGGTCTAAGGAGAAGAAAAGAGAGCCGAAGATTGAAGCTTGAAGAAGTCCAGCGTTTCAGATCAGATGAGGAGCACTGGCTGGTAAATGAAGAAGGAGAAGGAGCAACTGAAGAGGCAGTAGACAATCCAAACGGATCTAGTATCATGGAAACCAAGTCAGTGGAGGATCTACTGGAGTGGCATGGTCAGCTTTGTTGTGCTTTGATAAGAGGGTAAGTGATAAGAAACTTATTAATGTTTGTCGAACTTAGCTTCAGGGAGATGATTGATAACTTTGGTTTAGCCCTTTCAGAGGAAGATTAATTAATGAATGAGAGCTAAGGAAATGGAGCTGTTGAGTAAAGACAAGTGTTGCCTTGCTGTGCTACTTCTTATGCACAGGTAAAGATGGAAAGGATTAGGGTGGTAACAGGAGGGGAAAATAGGATAAAGAGATGTTTATAAATTAAAAGACTTCCATATGTTTAAATGCTGATGAGGAAAATCCAGTAGAAAGAGAGAAGGAGAAGATATAGAAGAGAAGGAGGATGATAAAAACATGATAAGAAAGAAGTGGGCTTCTGATGTTGGTAAGAGGATTGGCCCAATGGCAAGGAGTGTCACCTCCAACCAAAATGGGAGGGGGAAACAATGGGTACAGAGGCAGGTAGGCTTGTCGTTAGGAAGGTACTTTAAGTTTAGCCTGCTTGGAATCCCATCATTTTAGTTTTTAATTCTGTGCCCTCTCCATTACATACAATTCCTTGAATGTAAACTAAAACAAGAGGGTTTAAAATAACAGCATTTTGCATATTCATCTCTCCTTGCTTTCCTTTTTTATGCCTTCCACTACCTTGCCTGTGCTCCCCCATCCCCAGTGGGACCAACAACAAGGAGCTCTCTTGTTTACTGAGTAGGGTCAATAATTCAAAGCCCTTTGTGGACTTGTATAATGGTGAACGTTTTTGCCAGGAATCATACCATAATTGGGCTTTGAATAAGAACAGAGTCCATATGCCACTACTCTTTTCAGGCATTAAATCAAAAAGAACGGGGGAAAAAACTCTGAATTCAAGCACATAACATGTCACCTCTCCTACATCATGTCAGTGTATACTGTGAATGCTATGAAATTTAGGAGGTTTCTGGTAAGGAAAATTATTTGTGCTTTTGAAAGAGAGTAGGTAGAAATACGGGAAGTTAAAGATTAATTACTTCTTCCAAGCAGGAACAAAACTGGGCTACTGTTCAACTTCTCACTTCAGTTTTGATTCTAAATTAGCTTTAAAAATCACAACAAAATGGACAAATAAGTAATTCTTGATGATACGGCACGGCGCAAGGATGAAGAAATCATTTATTACTTTGGATGCTTCATGCAGAAAACAAACTCTTCTAAATGAGACCTTGCATCAGGGAAATAACTTCATTATACTGAAATATTTTCATTGTATATTTCATTATATAGAAATATTTCTGATCTACAGAATTTTAGAATTCCATGGCCACAAAATTTTTAATGAAGTATAAAAACTTTTAGAGGCATTCTTTTTTTATACACCTAAAACCTTATATTAGATTGAAAGCTCTTTAAAGGGGACTTGTTTTTGAATAAGTTGAACTATATCAAATTTCTGACTTTTGAGTTAAAAAGGATAGAATACCCACAGTGGCATGGGGTTCAATTTAATACTAGAACCATGTAGCACATGATAGGCACTTGATAAATTATTTTTAAATGAACAAATAAACCTGAGAACTCAGGCATGTATTCTTTTCTATGTGGAAAATGCATCCTAGAAAAGGACATCAATAGCAAGCCAACTTCAAACATTCAACAAAACAGCACATGATTGCAAATTAACTACTATACAAACACAAAAACTTATAATTATCAAATGAGTTCTTGATGGTTTCTGATAGCTTCAACAAAAATCAACTGTGGAGAGTCTAAAATTTACTCGGTTGGTATTCTAGAAATGCCAGCCTTGTAGAGGTCAATGAAACATTAGCCAAACGGGGAAACAAATCCACGCTGAAGGATGTAGGTCCAATTACTGAAACTAACTTTTTTTCCCAATTTCATTTTCATATATTAGGAAAACATCAGAAAAAGTTCATAAACTCTGAAAATAAACAAAATACAACTTTTCGCAATTATGTTGAATTTAAACTTGAATGTTATCGTAAACCTTCTGGAAACTTTTAGGTTGAGCACACTTAATAGAAGTTGCAATTTTCAAGTAATTTTGGAATTTAGACATTAAGACTAGTGCCCAATCTAAATTTCAGAACACTACAATATCTACAAACACACACAGCCCAATCCCTATCATATCCCCCATTAGCACTTATCATTATTTAAAACAAATATGTATTTAATAAATAGGTGAATCTATTCATTTTGTAATTATATATTGAGCTCCTATCTTGTAAAAACAAGTATCTTTTGTTTCTTAGTCATAAATATTTTTAACAGATGATAGCTCTAATTCAGGATGCAGGAAATCTTTTTCTTTTCGTCTCACTAATGAAAACATAAACTGTTCTATGTGATAAAAGCCAGTTACACTAGTCATGTATTTTAATAAAGCCATCATAAATTACTAACTTTTAATAAAAAATTTTAAAAAGCCATGTGTGCCCATTTTTGCAGGCAATTCAATAATAAACACAGCTGTTGCACTGAGACGCCTCAGTAACTGCTCTAATTAGTCATTTTTGAATCTGTGCTCCCATAAAATATTTCTGGCACTGTGTGCTAAACATTGTACATGGCACATCTCACTGAATTCTCACAAAAATCCTTTGTGATAGGAGCTAATATTGTCACCATTCCTTTACATAAGGAAACTGAAGCTCAGAAAGATGAAGTAACTCTCCCAGGGTGACATGACTAGCAAGAAATAAAACTGTAATTCATATCCACACCTCATCCAAATCCCTTGTCTTTAATTTCTATGTTTATATGGTCTCTCACTTGGGAATAAGAACTTCTTCCTTTTTCAAACACTTAATATTGCCCCACCATCACAAGAAGTCACCAGCATCAGGAGAGGTGGCAGGCCATCTTAGGGAGGCCACAGAAACTATGGTCCTCTTCCCATGCCCTACAAGAGAGATACACATTTAAATAATTTAAATATTTAAGGCTCACTCTACTTCTTAAAATATGCAGCTTTATACAGTGTTTAAGAACTTCAAAGGTAAACCTAAGTTCACGGCCCTGGTTAACAAATCATTCTCTCTGCTTCAGAGCTGTGATCGACAGCAATTCCCTTTAACTGGAATGATTATACCCTTCCCTCCACTCAAAGCATAACTTTATGCTTTTTCTCTTGGACTCTCTTCAAGACTGTCCTTCTCAATGAAGTGATTCCTGAATGACCTTAACTGACCCCAGGGCAAAAAAATAATGTTTGCTTATTTCCACCAAGGGCACCCCATGCTCCGGAAGAGCTGGGTGTATCTTTGTTTCTCTCCCCTGAGTAAGTCAGTATCAGTCCTGTCTACCTTATTACACTGGTGCCCCAAAAGCAAAGATTCTACAGTGAGTGTGTTCTCAGTAGTTATGACTTAAATCCAGACTAAAATGCTACAGATGATTGTGTCATTCTGCTGAAAAGCAAAGTTCTGTTCACAGGGTCACCAAATCCTTTCCCGCTTTAGGTGTTTGCTATTACTGGCTGCCCCGCAGTCCTGTGCCACCTCCCAGACCAGGAAGCACATGCTGTTTCCTATCCCTCCTGCTACTCTGCAGGAAATGCTTGGCTTTGAGTAATCAGGGATGCATTGGCTGGAAATGCTAGTGGTGGAGACAGAGCGGAGGCTGACACCAAATCCAGACAGCGTAAGGACTTTTCCCTAGCCAGGTGTTTGACTTTCTACATTTCCTCCTGCTGTTCCGCCTCTAAGTCCTGTCTACACATAAATAGTCATCTAGTCCAGTTAGATGTGAAGTCTAAATACTAAGTGATATTAAGTATTTTTACTAGTAAAATACCCTGAATCATCATATTAAAATGATTTTCTGGTCCCAAATGCTGTTTACAATTCAATTCTAAATTGTTACTATCCGCCTAAAATCAGGAGGCATTTTGTAACTATCAAACAGCAAGAACGTTTCCATGGTTCCGTTAGGAAAAACAACATAAAATTCTAACTCACTTTAATTCTATATCCACCAACAGTAAACAAACTATTCACAGGAAGAAAACAAATTGCTTTTGAGTCACAGAGGAAAGAGTAAGAGAAAATTGCTAATATTTATTGTGTGTTTATTACTAGGTCAACTCAGATTCTCCAAGAAGCAGGCACCAAGACAGAATTAGATGTGAAAGAAATACACTCAGAGAAATGCTCTTGAAGGATAAAGACGCCAAGGAGCAAGAGGAACTGTAAAAACCTCCAGATCATGTTGCTGTTTTCAATAGTTCTTTATATAGAACTAAATGAAATTGTCTGAGTTTTGACAATTATAATATTTTATTTCTGATTAATCAGAAAATAGTTTGCCATAAAAATTTATCACTTCTGATATTAGCACATAAATTTGTTTTTATTGTAATTTCAAAACTAATGTCAAGACTGAGCAAATCATAAGATGGAAGCACCTGTGAGTGCCTGGGACCCTCAAGATCATCAAATCCAGCTTTCCCTGCAGAGATGGTCTTTCAACTTTTGCCTGAACATCATCCTTGTGAGGGAAATCGTTTCATCACAAAGCAATCCAGTTTACTACTGGAACACTGCAATTATTTGAAGGTTTGTCTTTTTATTTCTTTTTATGTAGCCTTTAGGGAAAATCTTCCTACAGCCTTCCATCTAGAGCTATGAGAGGGGATACTGGAAGAAAGTTACTGAGTGCCCCCTTCTTCTCTGGCCTGGGCTAATGAACCCTAGTTCATCTCATGTTTTCTTCTATACAATTGTTTCTACAATAATAAACACCTCAGTCAACTTCCTCTAGATCTCCTATAATTTTTTTAATATCCTTCAAAATATATGGCAACCATAACTTGATTGTCCAGCCAAATGAAGCGACTACACTGAATACAGTAGGATAATCTAGTCTCTGTATTTCTCCTAATGAATTAGATTTTTGGCATCACATGTCACAACATTGCTTCATATGAATTGGTACTTAAAAGAAAACTCGACGCCATAGAACTACAAAATTAAATCCAGGAAGAACCTCAGAGACGATCTTCTTCCAACATCCTCTTTCTCAGATAAGGAAATTAAGGTTTTAAAAGATCTTGTGCCAAAAGTCACACAGTTGACTTGTGGCAGTTAAGATTAAATTTTAAAATTCCTAATGCAATGTTTTGTTTTGTTTTGTTTTCCTGCAAAGTGTGACTGAGCTTGTTCTCCCTACCCATCATCCACTTGTTTCTTAAGCTAAGTGCAAAATTTTACATTTATCCTTTTGTACATGCAATTTAGACTTTGTGAGCTCTCTGAATCACCAGCCATAGGAGTCTTTATAATGATTAGGTGAAGAGAATTCGAAAGTGGGCTAGTAAAATACCCTGAATCATCATATTAAAATGATTTTCTGATCCCAAATGCTGTTTAGTCCCACTTTTCTCCCAAGGGCAGCCCCTGTGTTCTGCTCTGACTGGGCCCGTTCTTTTGCCTTACCTACTTTCTTGATCTTGACAGCAAAACATCTGGATCTACTGGATAACACTGCTCACCAACACTGGTCATCTTTGTCTTTACCCAAGGCAAGTATGCCACCTTATAAAGGACTTTGCACTGGACATGATGGTTTACACCCTACTCGAGAGGCTGAAGTGGGAAGATCATTTGAGCCCAGGGGTTCAAGACTGCAGTAAGCTATACTCATTCCACTGCACTCCAGCCGGGGTGACAGAGTGAGATCCCCAATAATAATAACAAATAAATAATAAAGGAGTTTGCTTCTGTTGATCTCTGAGTCTTTAAATATGATTACCACTTACTCAAATATGATTACCACTTACTCATTCTCCTTAGCTGAGACCTTAGCTAGTGTTCTGACTAAACAGCTTATCCTAGCAATGGTTGATCATGTCATTTTACTAGCTCACTTTACCTCCCCAGACGGCAGAGCCTCGTTCCCCAAGTAGAACCTGAGATTTTGGTGCCATTAATTCATAGGTTTTTCTCCACCTATTCATGTCCATCTACATTTACTCAATTATTTCTAGCACGTCTGCTATGTGTAAAGCACACATGAGCTTTCACTTTTTCATTTGGTGGCTTGTTTTGGCTCTTTAAACTTATAGTTAAAGCCTACTGATTTCTTCCCAGGTTTGAGTATTTCACCTTATTGTTAAAGTCTACCAATTTTTTCTAGTTAATGTACAAATGCACTTTAAATCCAAGGAAACCAATGCTCTGAAACCAAATGTAGCATGTATACATCTTAAATGTGTAAATTAGATATCTTTTGCCCTTAACTGGCAGGTATGGATTTATTGGTTTGCTAAGAATTTAATAGTACTTTTGCTATAGTTATTTGCTCTAAGATACTCACTGGAACCACAATTTAATAACATGGCCTACACAGCCAATATATTAAGTTGCTGTTATAGAGGACTCAGTCATTAACTCAGTAATTTCATTTTAGCTTCTCTGTGTTGGTGGTGGTGGTGTTATTTTAGCTTCTGTTCCTCCTTATATTCCTGGCCCCCACCAAAGATAACATGGAGATTAAATGATTCCATATTCTGTGCTAACTGTGGTCAGGAAGAAAAAAGAAAACTATCTATAGAGCACTCCCTCTCTCAATAGCTTCTCTTCCCTACCTGCCTATTGAGGCTTAGCAGGAGACAATGCCTTGGAGGAAGACTAAGTCATTTAAAGACTGTCATTACTTCCTGGTAACAAAATGAAATATGGCAAGTTACAATTTTATTAATATGAACTTTATTTTTCTTTCTCTCAATTATCCACTTATCCATCTATCCAAAAGCAAAAGCAAACAAGCAAACATATTTCAGAAGCCCCTCCTATGAGCTCAGCAGTTTGATCTAGTTAATTCAAGGGAACATTAGGGTGAGAAAATCTTTGAATGCTCTGAAATTTAACATAAATTCACATGAGAGGTATGAGAGTTTTAGACTTGGTTTCAGAAAAGAGAGATCCCCATGAAAACTTTGAATTGTTGGAGCATGATATAGTAATCCCAGCTCAACTCACTCTGCATTTGGTTGACATTGACTAGTACACCCTGATATATCCTAATACACCTACTGTGAATTCCTTATCTTGACTTAACTGATCTTCTAGATAGAAGCTTTGCTGCCCCCACACTGGTGCTCCCCAGCAATCATGAAAAAGAGTTCTAAAAGTTTAGGGGAAGTTAATCAAACATACCAAACACAGGAATTATAGAGGCACATGCCACTGGACTACTTCTGAAATTAGTAATCTGATTAATTATTAACTCCTTGCAACAACTCAAGGCAGTCTAGTACAGAGTAAAGAGCTAACCTACCAACATCTAAATCCTTCTCTGATTATTACAAGTTGTGTAACCATGTACACTTTTCTTAACATGTTTTGTCTCAGTTTACCTATAAAACAAAGATGTTAACAGTACTTATCAAGAAGGTTAAATAAATTAATACATGTAGAAAACTTAGTGTGTAGTAAGTGTTATAATTGTTAGGTATTATTTTCCTAATCTCAACCTTGTAATAATAAAATCTCAACCTTCCAATAATAAAAAGGATAACACAAACATATTCCATTATGTTTAAACTCCATACCATGTGAATCCTTAGTAGGAATTCCAATTGTCTTAGTCTGTTGTATGCTGCTCTAACAAAATACCTAAGACTGTGTAATTTATAAAAAAAGAAATGTATTTGGCTCATGAATGTATTTGGCTCAGGCTGGGAAGTCCAAAATCAAGGGGCTGTATCTTGTGAGGACCCTCTTGCTGTGTAATCCCATGGCAGAAGACAGGAAGGCAAAAGAGCATGACAGAGGGGGAAGAAGGGGACCAAATTTATCCATGTATCAGGAACTCACTCCTGTGACAACTAATTCACTGCTGCACTAATGGCATTAATCCATTCATGAGACCAGATGTGGTCTTATAACCTAACCATTTCTTAAAAGTCCCACCTCTCAAACCTATGGCATTGAGAATTAAGATTCCAACACATGAACTTTGGAGGACACATTCAAACCATAGCACTGATATACTGTCTACAGGCCTTTGTTTACCATTCTTTGACATATCTGACCACAGACCATACACACTGTGACAAACCGAAAGATTTTCTTCTGTTGGTGAAACTCTGTCATCGGGCCAGTGAAGGCATGAAATTGAGAGGTGAAGCTGCCTGGGCTTCTGGGTCAGCTGGAGACTTGGAGAACTTTTCTGCCTAGCAAAAGGATTGTAAACGCACCAATCAGCACTCTGTGTCTAGCTAAAGGATTGTAAATGAACCAATCAGCACTCTGTAAAAATGCACCAATCAGCTCTCTGTGTCTAGCTAAAGGTTTGTAAACGCACCAATCAGCACTCTGTAAAAACAGACCAATCAGCGCTCTGTAAAATGGACGAATCAGCAGGACGTGGGCAGGGCCAAATAAGGGACTAAAAGCTGGCCACCTGAGCCAGCCCTGGCAACCCGCTGGGGTCCCCTTCCACGCTGTGGAAGCTTTGTTCTTTCACTCTTTGCAATAAATCATGCTGCTGTTCACTCTTTGGGTCTGCACTACCTTTATGAGCTGTAACATTCACTGCGAAGGTCTGCAGCTTCACTCTTGAAGCCAGCGAGATCACGAACCCACTGGGAGGGACAAACAACCCTGGACATGCCATCTTTAAGAGCTGTAACACTCACTGCAAAGGTCTGTGGCTTCACTCCTGAAGTCAGCAAGATCACGACCCACCCGGAGGAATGAACAAGTCTGGATGCGCCACCTTTAAGAGCTGTAACACTCACTGCAAAGGTCTGTGGCTTCACTCCTGAAGTCAGCAAGACCACAAACCCACCAGAAGGAAGAAACTCTGGACACATCTGAACATCTGAAGGAACGAACTCCGGACACACCATCTTTAAGAACTGTAACACTCACTGCGAGGGTCCATGGCTTCATTCTTGAAGTCAGCGAGACCAAGAACCCACTGGAAGGAACCAATTCCGGAAATAAAATGACTGAAGTAGCCATTACATGACCACGATATTTATTATTATATGTAAATAATTAAGTATATAAATGTCTCTTTTTTCAGGGTTCAAAACTAACTTCGGTGCTAAATGGAGAACTGAGACAATCATACAGGCTTGGCAGATTAGTGTAGGGCAAACAAGAGAGGGAAAAACATGGTTTGAATTAGCCTATGAATTGTTTCTATATCTTCTCTCACTTGAGCATGATTAAATAAACATTTGCATATTCACAATAGCAATTAGAAGAAAACATTTTAAACATGTTGCTTTAAACTAAAAAATCTAAAAACATGCAAACAACCATTCCAACCACTACCTTGAACCTACAAGTACTATTTTATCCTTCGGGATCCCAAGCAACACATAAATTTAAAGCAGAGAGCACACAAGAACCCCAGTAGAAAGGAAACAGCTGGTTAACAGCTGCATAGTGATACCATACGCCAGTTTTCAATGAAAAATAACACGTTTGATTAGAGCCTATAAGCTAAACTCTTATCCCTGGTTATCTCGTGGCTAAACAAGGTTCTCTCATGTTTTATTCCCTTCACATTTGGGCCCCATCCTGCAGCCCTAGATTAAAGGCAAAGAAGAAACATGGATTTCAGTCACATTATCTGCTTTCTAAATCCAAATTCAAAACTATTATTCATTCAAAGTAAATATGCATAGCATATCATGAGAGAGAACATTTTGTTCAAGGAGACCCAAAGAAAGCATGTTAATTATAACTTGTATTCACGTAGCACCTAACTTAGGAGGAGTTCAAAGCAAATGCACGTGTGGAAAAGGTCAAACCCACCAGTGAAACAGGAAAGCCATGGAGCTTCTTTTCCATTCCATGTCATCCATATAAGGCGGGGTTTCCTTTTATGTCTAAGTTTAGACATCATCAGAAAAGTCAAACCACAAGAGAATGATGAAAATTGTGCTAAAATGTGGTTGATGTTTATGTTTTCTGTACCAACACAACCCTTTGGTGGAAAGTCTGAATCAGCTTCTCTGAGAACTTACTTATGACACATAATTAGAAGCGTTTACTCTTAAAAAAAATTTTAGCACTCGATAAAGCTCATCATATAGTCTGTATAAGCAGCATACAAGGTTATAGCACTATGGGAGTTAAGAAAATAAATGAAGCTTTGGTTCTGTGGTGGGAGAGGTCAATTATATCCACAGGTTGAAGGCAGTTGTTACTCAATAGGCAGAAATAAGGAAAAAAATTGAGACCTACATACAAGGAGAATAAAATGACATAAAACATGATAATGAAGAGAAAAAAGTGAGGGATATAAAGGGAGTGGTGAGTAGCCCCATACGTCTAAAGATGGGTTAGAGTTAGAAAATTTATGACATGGGGAGTATTGTATAGGGCTTAAAAGTGAGGGTGTGAATCCCAGATCTACCACATGGTTCTCTTGTGACCTTGAATAAGTTACATAAACTCTTCAAGACTTTGTCTCCTCTTCATTAAAATGGAGTTAATAATATTACATAGCTCATATGGTTTCCACAAAGATTAAGTGAGATAATCCCTGTGATAATCACAAAGGGAGAAAGTAGGTTCTATTCTTCATCTTTGTATGTTTGGAAGTAAGCACAGTGCTTGTTATATAGTAAGTGCTCAATAAATGTTAGCTTCCATGATGATTAAGAATTTTAAGATAAGAAAAGAAAGGTAGATCCAGAGCAACAAGACATTGGGCTATCACATTAAGGGACTTGGATTGTATATAATGATAAATGGAGAGACAATAGTAAAGTTTGTGATCAGAACATTGCTTAAGTTAATCTAGAAAATAAATTGTAAGGAGACTAGAGTTAGGATTACTACAGAGGAGGCTAAAGAGAGCCCAAGCTAGATGGGTGACTGTGCTTCTGGAAAGAGGAGAAAGAAGAAATATCTTGGAGGAAGCTTAGGAGCAACCCACAGGAAAGCCATAGAATATTTTCTTTAGCTGGGTGTGGCGGCAAGTGCCTGTAGTCCCAGCTACTGGGGAGGCTGAGGCAGGAGAATTGCTTGAAACCCGGAAGCGGAGGTTGCAGTGAGCAGAGATCGCGCTACTGCACTCCAGCCTGGGCGACAGAGCGAGACTCCGTCTCTACAAAAAGAAAAGGAAAAGAAAGCCATAGAATATTTTCTACATCTTCATAAAAACAAAAGGGCTGAATTCATAAATGACTTAAGCTCAACATTAGACTGACCACTGGGACAATGAAACAAACTCTAAGACTCAAATATCCTGAAGATACAAATTCCAGATAAATTAGACATTTACTGGCAGGAAGTTAGAACTTTCATCTTAACGAAGAAAAATTCAGGAAAACAGACCATTTCTATGACTTAGACCTCAATCAAAGTCCCGAGGGAGATATTTATTTAATAAAATAGTTAGGAGTGCTGACTGGGTAGCCAAACTGCCCGAGTTCAATTTCAGCACCGCCACTTTCTAGTTGTGTAGCAAGCTACTCAACCACTCCATACCTGTTTGCTCCTCTATACAATGCTCACCCCTGCTGGTATCTAATTAATAACAGTATTTATTTTAAAAGGTTTTTGTGAGGATTAATGATTTAATACACTTTAAACACTTAGAACTGTGCCAGGTACATAATTAACCATTGATAAATGTTAGCTTTTTTTTTTTTTTTTTTTTTTTTTTGAGATGGAGTCTCGCTCTGTCACCCAGGCTGGAGTCCAGTGGCGCGATCTCGAATTACTGCAACCTCCCCATCCCAGGTTCAAGCAATTCTTCTGCCTCACCCTCCCAAGTAGCTGGGACTACAGGTGCATGCCACCATGCCCAGCTAATTTTTTGTATGTTTTTTTTAGTAGAGAGGGGGTTTCACCGTGTTAACCAGGATGGTCTCGATCTCCTGACCTTGTGATCTGCCCACCTCAGCCTCCCAAAGTGCTGGGATTACAGGCGTGAGCCACCGTGCCCTGCCAAATGTTAACTATCTTAATTCCTGTGCTATTTCGATTTGATTTGGGCCAAGATTTACTGGTGGCATGTGGATCAATCCCAAATGCTATGCCACTTTCCCTGTGATTCACAATGATGACCCATACACCATGATATACCACTGCCCCTAATAAAACAGACTCATTTTTCACTTCCCCAATCTCCCACATACCAAAGATACAAGGTTTGACAATTTTGCACATAGTATGAAATGTTACTCTTCCTTGCATGCATCATGCATGTTCACATCATAAAGTGGAATGGCTCTAAAAACCAAGTGTTGTGGCTTCAGATGACTGATAACAGATGTTAAAACAAATTCCTGATTTAGGTTAAAAAATCTCAAATACTTTCAATATTTGTATGATTTTTTTAAAGGAGACATTTTTCAAATATGAGTTACAAAAACAAAATCCATATTCAAATTACATTCTGTATAGGGATTTAAAAGAAAATTAGCCGGGCATGGTGGCTCATGCCTGTAATTCCAGCACTTTGGGAGGCCGAGATGAGAGGATCGCTTGGGCCTGGGAGTGTGAGACCAGCCTTGGCAAAACAGTGAGACCTTGTCTCTCCAAAAAAAAAAAAAAAAAAATTAATTAGCTGAGTATAGTGGTGCATCTGTAGTCCTAGCTACTTGGGAGGCTGAGGTGGGAGGATCACTTGAGCCTGTGAGGTGGAGGTTGCAGCAAGCCAAGATTGAGCCATTGCATTTCAGCCTGGACAACAGAGTGAGACCTTGTCTCAAAATAAATAAATAAAATAAAATAAACCAATTTTGTGTTATATTTTTAGAAAGTGAGTTTAAAAATAATAAAAAGTCTTCTGTTTATCATCACAGAGTAGGCAATTTCTCCATAACTACTATGTAAAATATAAAATGTAGACAATGAACTCATAAAAAATAAAATAATTATACTGTTTATCACCACATAATTGCTATATAAAATTATGAAATATATATTAATTCAAGTGTCTTATTCTAACACACAAACTTTCTGTTGCACATAATGGGCCATTTCAAGCCTTTGATGTTTAATTACTATTTAATGATAGACTACTAATTCCAAACCAGTTCACAAGGTTGAAACTGTTTCTTGGATCAGTTCAGCATCCACTGCAATTTTAACTACCCTGAATTACTAATTTAGTATCATCATGGACATGCTAAATTAATTATTTCACTTAATATTGAGCATAAGCTAAGTGCATTGGAAATCCGCATTTCTTGATATCTGAAAGAAATAAGAAACTAAGAGCTACAGATTTTTAAAAGAGCATTCAGAAAACTTCAGAATGAATCAGTGCAAGTAATCACAAGTCTCTAATTTCTAGGCAATACTTTATTTCATTAAACATGGAATCTTTGAAATATTCCTTTAACACAGAATAGAGTTTTATGTATCCCAACTTGTCCCATACTGATCAGAAAGTGACAATCATGAATGCCTAAAGAAACCCTTTAAAAGTCAAGATGACCTTTCCAGAATGTACACTCCCATTTTGTGCATAATTATTCTACATGGCAAACAAAAAGACCATGATTATTTTATAAAACCACATCTGTCTAGATAAAGCAAACCATATTTTTATGTCACTCCATAATATTAAGCAACGTGATTAAGTATTCACATCTGTCATCCTTTTATTCTTCTCCTTTATCATCAGCTAAAAAGAAAACATGAAAGAAGTGAATTGATCTTTAACCAGAGGAAAAAGGAAAATACCCCACCTTTGGCTTATCAACACTGGCAACTGTTACCAAGCTCTGGGCTCAAAAGACCTAATAATTACCTTCAGGGTAAGGGACAGTAACAACATCCAAATTCCTCCCAACAGACCTTCCATGCAATTTATCTTATTGCCTCCTGGAAACAAGATGTATATGTTAGGTTTGCAGTGTCAGTGTGATCCTTTCCATTCTTCAATGTGAGAAATAAACAGGTAGCAATATGTATCATGGCTAAAAACTCAGGCTTGTATTAGAATGCCGAGAGTTCAAATCTCAGCAACCCCACTTACAGAATGTATGATGCTGGGCAAACTATTTCTCTAAACTTCAGCTTTTTTATCTATAAAATAGGTCCACATAAAGGGCTTAGAACAAACCCTGGTACAATGTAAGTCCTCAATAAATAGTAAACAATAAAATTATTATCACAACTTAATTAAGAGTGACAGATACATTCTGCAGCAAAGGCATGAATGATGACTGTATTTGTGTGACTGGACAAGGGCTTTCTGTTTGTTACTTTCAGTCAGAGGAGACAGCATTAGAGAAATAAGTGAGGCCAGGATTCAGTTCTTAGAAGCATAGAATAAGCCCTATTTTGGCTCCCTTCTCCCATTAGAGACAGCCGCATTTTCTTGTGCAGCACAGCGCCTGCCACATCCCTGAGACACAATGGTGAAGGTGAAGGCCAGAGTCAACGAATTTGGCTATACTGGGTGCCTGGTCACTAGGGCTGCTTTTAACTCTGGTAAAGTGGATATTGTTGCCATCAATGACCCCTTCATTGACCTCAACTACCTGGCCTACATGCTCCAGTATGATTCCACCCATGGCAAGTTCCATGGCACCATCAAGGCTGAGAATGGGAAGCTTGTCATCAATGGAAATCCCATTACCATCTTCCAGGAGTAAGATCCCACCAAAATCAAATGGGGCGATGCTGGCACTGAGTACGTTGTGGAGTCCACCAGCATCTTCACCGCCATGGAGAAGGTTGGGGCTCATTTGCAGAGGGGAGCCAAAAGGGTCATGATCTTTGCCCCCTCTACTGAAGCCATCATGTTCATGATGAAAGTGAATTATGAGAAGTATGACAACAGCCTTAAGATCATCAGCAATGCCTCCTGTACCACCAACTGCTTAGCGCCCCTGGCCAAGGTCATCCATGACAACTCTGGTATTGTTGAAAGACTCATGATTACAGTCCATGTCATCACTACCACCCAGAAAACTGTGGATGGCCCTTGCAGGAAACTGCGGCCTGATGGCCACAGGGCTCTCCAGAACATCATACCTGCATCTACTAGCACTGCCAAGGCAATGGTCAAGGTCATCCCTGAGCTGAACAAGAAGCTCACTGGCATGGCCTCCCATGTCCCCACTGCCAAGGTGTTGGTCGTGGACCCGACCTGCCATCTGGAAAACCTGCCAAATATTATGACATCAAGAAGATGATGAAGCAGGCTTCAGAGGATCCTATCAAGGGCATCCTGGGCTACACTGAGCACCAGATTGTCTCCTCCGACTTCAACAGTGACACACAGTCTTCCACCTTTGATGCTGGGGCTGGCATTACCCTCAACGACCACTTTGTCAAGCTCATTTCCTGGTATGACAATGAATTTGGCTACAGCAACAGGGTGGTGGACCTCATGGCCCACATGGCTTCCAAGGAATAAGGCCCCCGGACCACCAGCCCCAGCGAGAGTATAAGAGGAAGAGAGAGGCCCCCAGCTGCTGGGGAGTCCCTGCTGCACTCAGACCTCACAACACTGAGGATCTCCCCTCTTCACAATTTCCACACAGACCACCTGAAAAGGGAGGGGCCTAGGGAGCTCCACCTTGTCACGTCCTATTACTAAAGTCCCCTGTGCTCAGTCAAAAAAAAAAAAAAGAAAGAAAAAGGTCCTACTTTATTGAGCAGCCATTATTTTTTAAACCAGGCATGTAAATAATAAAAATAATTCAAGCAGTGAGGGTGGAGTATGCAGTCAATGAAGAAGAGATTGGTATGCTCAGTAAGAAATCAATTGTAATAGGCTGGGCACAACAGCTCATGCCTGTAATCTCAGCACTTTAGCAGGCCAAGGCAGGTGGATTACCTGAGGTCAGGAGTTCAAGACCAGCCTGGCCAACATGGTGAAACCCCGTCTCTACTAAAAATACAAAAATTAGCTGGGTGTGGTGGCAGGTGCCTGTAGTCCCAGCTACTCAGGAGGCTGAGGCAGGAGAATCGCTTGAACCTGGGAGGCAGAGGTTGCAGTGAGCTGAGATCGCGCCACTGCACGCCAGCCTGGGAGACAGCGAGACTCCGTCTCAAAACCAATAAATAAATAAATAAAAAGAAATCAATCGTAATAATTTAAACTAGAGAAGCTTAGGACCTGAACTAAGGTAATGGAAGGAATTTACATTGCAAAAACCTTGATGCATCTCCAACATTCCAGTTGTTATTACATTCTGGGTTTTTAGCCTTAAGCTTGCAAGGAGGGTTGGTCTGTTTTATGGAGCAGGAAAAAAAGCATTGCCCATATTAAGGCTCATTTTAGCTAGAGTTTTTATCCTAAAGAGATAACCAAATATTAACTAATTTTATAGTTAATTTAAGACCAGTACACAATAGTTGTTTTTTTAATAATATGAATAACAAGACTAGGGCAATAAAGTGATGTTTTTGTTATGTATTCTGTAAAATTAGAATAATAATGGTACCCACCTTATCATGTTATTGTAAGAATTAAATAAATTAATATATGTAGAATGTCAATACCTGACACATCCTAAATAGTTTTAGTTGGTAATAATAGTAATGGTAGCAGTGTTGTTTAGAATATTATGAACCAGATAAGCCCATATCTAAATATTAGTTTTCTGACAACCTCAACTCTTCAGAAGTAAGAAAAAGGGCAGCAGGTTACCATAGGTTTTATCTTAGCACTCCTTCCTTTAAGACCTTTGTTCTTTTTTTATTTAACATGTGATTCTTAGGAAGCTTCTAAATTATCCTACAACTTAGTAAACTTGACAGATTAAAGGAGTGCTAAACATGAAACCTAAGGGCCTGATACTTAGGAAATGGATAGGAAAGCTAAAAACCAAATGCCACAGGGAAAGAAACATTTGTTAGGTTCAGTTGCTTAGTGTACATTAATTCATTTAATCCTCATAACACTTCTTGACGGTAGTGAGAATTCTATCCATTTTCTAGATGGCAAGCCTGAGATGCTGAGCAACTAAGTAAGGAGCCCATATGTAAAGAGAGCCTTTGAACATAAGTCACTCTGCCTTAGAAAAAGACTCCATCACATTTCACAGAGCATCTTGCCAACAAGGACAAGATGTTTTGCTGAATAAATAAATAAATAATAAAGGCTGCATCCAACCAGATAAGGACATAAACAAGCATACTATTCTACTATCAGTCCTCACCAGAGGACTGTGGCCGTAAAAAGAGCTCAGAAATTTGTAAACAACTCCATTGGGCCCCTTTCCCAAGCTTCTCCCTCTGTGCTATCTCTTTCCTACTTACTGGTTCCTAGGAGCTCCTCTTTTCAGTCCTGCAGCCAAAAAGCTGGGGTTTTATTTACCCCCTTCTCTGCCACCTACTTCCTGCCGCTGCATCCACACTAAGTGATGGGAGGATGGAGATAGAAAAACAGCATGAAAGTTTGCTCTGCCATCTTGGGACCAGATTTCCTCAAATCAAAGTTCTCTTCCTTCAGAATTTAAAGCCTCTGAGAGCGTTCACTGCCACCACTGCCACTAACAAGAGGTCACTTTCATGCTCTTTGAGTCTGAACTAAATGGCGTCTGCAGCTGTGTGTCTATGACAAGGTGCTCTCTCAGGTGTCAGGCTGCCTTGAGTCTAAGCCAGAAGATACCAGAGGAAAAAATGAACAAATTCTGGTCTTCTTCCCACTACATCTGCTATTATTTATTTTTTAGATTCCTCAAATATCTGCTTTATGTATTCTGTCCAGGATGCATAGTTTCACTCAGTGGGAGAGACAGAGTAAAATGTATTTTAAACAACTCTCATCCTATTTACCCCTATTCCAAAATACGGCAATAAAGAATTGTGCTTCCATGATGTCTCTTAGTGTTGTTAAATGATACTAAATTTTCATTTTAGAGAGCAGAAAAAATGTGAATATTCATCAAGTACAACCAGGTACAACAGTAATTAAACTATCCCCCCAAAATACTTCCTATGCAATAAATTATATATATATATTTTAGAGAGAGGATCTCACACTGTTGCTTATACTAGTCTCAAACTCCTGACCTCAAGTGATCCTCCTGCCTTGGCCTCCCAAAGTGCTGGGATTACAGGCGTGAACCACCACACCCAGCCCCTATACAATAAATATTTCATAAAGAATGATGGGTGGACTATTTGGAGGTGGGAGGCAAATCATCAGGAGTTCATAATTAAATTCTTTTCAATTGTCAAAATTTAGTTCAATGGCTGTTAAAAAAATTACAATATTAGTGATTAACCTGTATACTTTGTCCTTATAAAACGTCAAGTTGTTATAGTTGTGTTATTAATTATTATTATTTTCTGATGCCTTGGTGATCCTCCTGAGAAATAAATTTCCAGATAATTTAATATGTGATTTCTGTGACATAAACATTTAGATTGCTGGAAATGGTAAATTGCTAAATGTCACCCAAGTTAAAAAAAAATAGTTTAATGGTCAAAATATAGTATTTCACCTTGTTATATAATCAGTAATACTATAGTTATTTTCACAGTAGGACTTGTTAATATAGTGAAATCCTCTAAACTGGTGACATTGATACATAAAATAATGTTAAAGTCACTGCTCGGTCAGTAAATGCTTCTAGGTGCCCCCTTCACCAACAAATAACAATGTTTGTTTGGTTTTGAGTCGTAGAGCAGGATATTTCGAGTTCTAGAGCAGGATTATGAGAAAGAGGCCGACAAGATCTGAGGAAGATCCTCCTCATGTACATTTTCCAATTTAGGTAACAGGCAAGAAAGACTAAAATTTTCCTAGTGGAGAATCATCTGTTTTGACTTACACTTCACCCCCTCTCCCCTTATTGGTTGATAACACAAAATCCACGAGGCTGATACGCTGAACACCCAGTGGTTCACTGCCCAGACGGCCACTTTGGGATGAAGTCCTCATCTTACCCAGCTACTGAGCATGTCCACTGCCTTGCCCAAGGCACCCTATACCAAACTAAGGACTGGTCAATGGGAGTGGCAGGAGGAAGTTGGATTCAGAGATGTATTTCAATTCAAGAACACTCTGAGGGTCCTTCTGAGCTCCAGAGCTCCCCTTGGGATGGCTGGAGACCTTCCTGTTATTGCACCCGAGTTCAGCCTCTCCTGCTCAACCCCCTTCCCTTACTCCCTTAATTGTATTGTTGCTGACAACATTCCCCACTAAATCTCCTGCAAATAAACCTCTGTCTGTGGAGTCTGCTTCCCAAAATTGGTCTAGGACAGCTGAGCAAGGGAAAGGGGCAGGAAAACACGTACAAGTTAACAACACTGTATATAAATTAGTTTTTCAGATCACTTTCTTACTTTGCAGAAAGAGATTAAGGCAAGCAAAAGGTACTAAATCACATAAGAGAAGGCAGAGTGTGGGAGGAGATGTGAATCTTTTTACTCAGTGATTTAACTCCAAATGAAGTATGTAAGGCAGTTAAGAGAAAACCCTATGATTATTTATTTTCAAAAATGTTCATCACATCATTATATATAACAGTGAAAAATATGAAAACAATCTAAATGTCTAAGAATGAGGAATTTATTAAATAGTGAAAACATCATATGATGAATTTTCCACTAACCATTAGATTATACATTATTGTTAAGAGACAAGTAGTAAATGAACTTATAAATGATCCCAATTCCATTAAAAATTATTGTTTATAGACATGTACTTTTAAGATAACAATGATTTGCTGGCTATGAAAATATGGATGATTTTTATATTCTATGTATTTTTCTGCTTTATAAATGTTTTTAATGAAACTGCATCATTTTATAACCAGAAAAACACAATTTTATTAAAAAGTTTCACCAAATATATACCTATACAAAATTCCTTGACTAATAAAAATTACTCAAATGGAAGGTAAAAATATGTGCTTTTATAAAGGATTATGTTTTCATATTTTTAATAGCTAAAGGCATAGAAACAATTACTTAGGCAAGATAACACATTTTTAGAATATTCAATGATTGAAATTCATTATTTGCACAACTTTATCAAGAGAAGATACCTCATTTTGCAAGGCTAAGTAGGAACTAACTTTATTTTGAAATTGAATCCTTCAAAAATGTGGTCTGTCTGTGTGCGTTTTTTAGTTCAAAAGATTCTTTGGTGGATAGAGATGTTTGAGATTCATGATTTTAAAATACAGAGGAATAAATATCCCAAGTAATCCATTACAAGACTATATTAGGAATATCAAAAGAAGATGAGCAGGGACTAACTACTTGTGAAATTGTTCTTTATAAGATTGGATAAGCAAATATAAATAAATATACATTTAAAAGTTGTCCAAAGAAAGTATAAACTATCAATAAACAAAAAAGGTACAGAGATGAATGTGTATTCTTTGTACTCAGGACAAGAGAGTACAGGTGACAAAATATAAATAAATGATGAAAATCAAGTATTATACAGGATTTATGACGAACCATCACTTAATAGATTCGAACTTACAAAGACAGTATACATGAGCACAATGCTACAAAGTGTGAAAGACACAGGGAAAAGAAAATTGCAAAATGTTATTCAACACAGCCAAATGAGTTTTGCCTGAAGTTTAATCAATGAAAAGACAAAAAATAATAGTGGATTTAAGAAAAAAAGCAAATAATACAGTTGTATCTTAATATATAACTACTGTTGTTTTTACTAAGGAAATAAATTGGCACCCCCAAAATGGCAAGCAGAATCAAGAAGGGACAGAAAATAGAGTAATGGGGAGAAGGGACTGAGTCCCACTTCACTGAGACCCGTAGATGCTGTAACACAACCAGTAACATTACTAATTCTATCAACCCTAACTAATTGTACATGATCTCAAGGTGATTCCAACAGTACAGGCAGGATAAATATTCATGGAAGTAACTGTGAGTCACACAGAGCAGACCTTTCCTCAGGAGTGGCAAAATGGACTGATTTTGGTTGGGAAGTGCTGAGAGACAATGAAGCGCCTCACACATAATCACAAATCCCACCTTGAAAAATGGAATTTTAAAACTACATTTTAGAACAATGGCAATACATTTGCATTTCTAATATTTTTTAAATTGGCTTAGCTAGAAAAATTTGGCTCATGGCTAAAAAATAATATAAAAGGTAGGAGAAGGGTTATGTCTTATCCAGTTTCACATAAAAGCAATTTAGCAATTTTGTAGAACACCACAGAGCATCAGCAGATTAAAGCCACTTTTACATCCATGATAACTTTGAGAAGTTAGTAAATCCAGATTAATGACAAAAATTGATTTTGATCACTAAAAATGTGTAGCTATTTCTAGGTTGTTTGTCACTTCTAAACTTTCAGTCCTCTCAATTTGCCTTCTATAGAGTGTTTTTTCTTTTTTTCTTCCAAAGTTTGCAAATATATAAATACTCATGAAATTATCTCCCATGCCAAGATACTAAAATAGGATATATAAAATAGGGTGACTGGCTGTTATTCAAAATTATTTATTATACACATGCAATGTGCCAGACACTTTTCTTGACACTGTGACTATGACAATGAACAAAGTAGATAATTTCTGCCCCCGTGGTGCTATGCTCATGGAGCTATGATGGGGTTGACAGACAATAAACACATAAGCAAGTGAAATACATAGTATATTAGCTACTAAACAATGGTAAGAGGAAATAAGAATAAAAGAAAAATAGGGATTATCAGTAAGATTGACTTTTAGATTGGCAGACAAGGAAGTTGTACAAATGCATAGCTAAGTCTCAGCTCCAGAATTTTCTCTAGAACCTTAGGATGTAGTTAAAACTAAGAGTTATACAAAAACCAAGCCCTATGAGAGTCCAATCCTCGTGAAGGCCACATAAAGAGCTGCTTCATTTATACTCAGGGTGTTTTGCTTGAGCTTTCTGCTAATTGAAAATTAGCACGTATTCACTACCTGAATTCAAAATAGTCTACAAATCTATAGTAATCAAAATAGCATGGTACAGGCATAAAAACAGACACAACAAGTGGAACAGAATAGAGAGCCCAGAAATAAATCCAGGCTTTTCCAGCCAACTCATTTTCAACAAAAGTGCCAAGAACACACAGTGAGGAAAGGACAATCTCTTCAATAAATGGTGTTGGGAAAACTGAATATCCACATGCAAAAGAATGAAAATAGACTCTTCTCTCACACCATATACGAAAATCAACTCAAACTGGAGTAGAGACTTAAATGTAAAACCTGAAGCTATGAAACTACTGGAAGAAAACATAGGGGAAAAGCTCTATTACATTGGTCTGGGCAATGATTTTTTGGATATGACCCCCGAAGCACAGGCAACAAAAGCAAAAATAGACAAGCAGTATTACATCAAAGTAAAAAGCTTCTGCACAATAAAGTAAACAATCAACAGAGTGAAGAAACAACCAACGCAATGGGAGAAGATATTTGCAAACTATACACCTGATAAAGGGTTAATAGCCAAAATATTTAAGGGGCTTAAGTCAAGAAAACGAAAAACCCAATTTAAAAATGGGCAAAGGACCTAAATAAACATCTCTTAAAATAAGACATACAAATATCCAACTGGTATGTGAAAAAAATGCTCAACATCACTAATTATCAGGAAAATGCAAATTAAAATCACAATGAGAGATGATATCTTTATGGAGTGATATTGTTCTGCCTCTACACATGTCATTCCCATGCCTTGGTATCACAGGGACATTCACAAAAGGCAAGTGAAATTGTAATTACAACAACCCTTGCCCCCACTGAAATATCTGGTAATTGTGTTCTGCAGCAAACTGAAGTTTGGTAAATGTGTATGAGAAAATCCCATTAGTGTCTATTATCAAAAAGACAAAAGATAAGTGTTGGCCAGGATGTGAATGACCCACCTTGCACACTGTTGGTGGGAATAAAAATTAGTACAACCATTATGGAAAACAATATAGAAGTTTCTCAAAACAATTACAAATAGAACTACCATACAATCCAGCAATCCCACTGGTGGATATAATCATGTATATATCCAAAGGAAATGAAATCAGTATGTCAGAGTTATTTGTACTTTCATGTTCACTGCAGCATTATTCCTAATAGCCAAAAAAATGGAATCCACCTGACTCCATCAGTGAATGGATAAAGAAACTGTCATATAGAAACATAATGAAACACTATTCAGCCATAAAAAAAGAAGGAAATCCTGCCATTTTTAACAACATGGATGAACCTAAAGGACATTATGTTAAGTGAAATAAGCCAGGCACAAAAAGACAAATATATGATCTCCTTCATATGTGGAATGTAAAAAAATTAATCTCCTGGAACTAGAGAGTAGAGGAGTGGGGGCAGTTGCAGTTGCAGGTGGGGTGCTTGGGGTGACATTGGTCAAAGGGTACAAGATTTCAGTTAAATAGAAGGAATAAATTGAAGAGTTCTATTGTACAACATTGTAACCAGAGTTAATAACAATATATTGTATTCCTGCAAAATGCTCAGAGAGTGGATGTTAAGTGTCCTCACCACAAAAACGTGATGATTATGTGAGGTAATGCATACGTTAATTAGCTACATTCATTCATTTCACAATGCATATGCACTTCAAAACATCACGTTGTACAGATGAAGATATACAATTTTGTCTGTCAATCTAAAAATAAAATAACAAATGTCTAGAAAAAAAATAGCAGAAGATGAAATATTTCCAAAATAGTCTCAGGGTAAGCCTGAAGTAATGGAAATGCCAGTTGCTGAGAGTATGCTCTGACATACAAGTGACTTAATTGTTTAGTTAGAAATGGATCAGCCAGACAGCATCAGATATTCCTCTGTGTGGTAATCTCCATTTACAATGAAATAAAATGTGGTCAAAGGAATGATTTAAGGATTAGAGGCTCACCGAGCCCTTCTTTACATAAAAATCCAATCGACTTCTTTGTGACAGCACACTAGGGAGAGTCTCTAAAAGTACACATTAGGTAGTAACCTTAAAACAGCAACCAGAAGCAGCTGACCAGATTAATCCACTGATAACTGCCCGACACCTGCCTGGAGGTCTGGATTTACAAGGTGAGTGCAAAAATGAAACTGATCATGAAATTATTTCAGCCTAGGCAGCGTGTTAATGGAATTTTTCCAAAATACACTTTGAAGGTTCTGTTAGAGAACAGAATGAAGAGTCCCAGGAATATTTAGTTGAGATTTTTAGTCCATCACTCATATCAAATATTTATTTATTTATTTATTTATTTATTTATTTATTTATTTATTTATCGAGACGGAGTCTTGCTCTGTCTCCCAGGCTGGAGTGCAGTGGCACAATCTCGGCTCACTGCAACTTCTGCCTCCTGGGTTTAAGCGTTTCTCCTGCCTCAGCCTACAGAGTAGCTTGGATTACAGGCACCCGCCACCATGCCTGGCTAATTTTTGTATTTTTGGTAGAGACGGGGTTTCACTATGTTGGCCAGGCTGGTCTTGAACTCCTGACCACAAGTGATCCACCCGCCTAGGCCTCCCAAAGTGCTAGGATTACAGGCGTGAGCCACCGCACATGGCCCAAAAATTTTTATAATGCAAAAATTAAAAGAATGATTTTTGAAATTATATCATTCTATCATTATCAGCAAAATCATTGGAGGTGGATTTCCACTTTAAACAGGGTGATATATTGAATCTTTGCTTGATTATTCATCGCAAATGTTGTAATGTATTCTCTAATACATAATGGATGCTTTTAAGAAAGCAACTCTAGGCTGGGCACGGTGGCGCTTGCCTGTAATCCCAGAATTTTGGGAGGCCGAGGTGGGCGGATCACGAGGTCAGGAGTTCGAGACCAGCCTGACCAATGTGGTGAAACCCCGTCTCTACTCAAAATACAAAAATTAGCCAGGCATGGTGGCACACGCCTGTAATCCTAGCTACTCAGGAGGCGGAGGCAGTAGAATTGCTTGAACTCAGGAGGCGGAGGTTGCAGTGAGCCGAGATCACGCCACTGCACTCCAGCCTGGGTGACAGAGTGAAACTCGGTCTCGGAAAAAAAAGAAAGCAATTCTAGGTTCCTTATAATGCAGTGACTCTTGGGTGTTATGGGAGTGAGATCCTACCACTGCCATCTAGAGAACATAGATACTAGGCCAGCATATAAACCCCTTGTAACGCAGGGTCATCACTTGCTTCTCTAGTAGGAAAATTATTCCGGACAGTGCTTCATTTCTGCTCCTCCAGAGTTAAAAATTATCCAAGGCTGGGCGCAGTGGCTCATGCCTGTAATCCCAGCACTTTGGAAGGCCGAGGCAGGCGGATCATCTGAGGTCGGGAGCTCGAGATCAGCCTGACCAACATGGCGAAACCCCGTCTCTACTAAAAATACCAAAATTAGTGGGGCGTAGTGGCTCACGCCTGTAATCCCAGCCACTCGGGAGGGTGAGGCACGAGAATTGCTTGAACTTGGGAGGCGGAGGTTGCAGTGAGCCAAGATCATGCCATTGCACTCCAGCCTGGGCAACAGAGCAAGACTCTGTCTCAAAAAAAAAAAAAAATCTGAAACTTTACTACTTGGCGGTAGATTAGAATGAATACATGAAATATATTTACATGGTATATAACTGTGTTTATTTTACAAATATTTTATGATATTACATCAATATTATATATGTTATAAAGTCAAGTATTTAAATATATTTCATCTTGACATGAAGACCAAACATGAATAATTGTTTAATTAACATAATTAATAGTATGTTACAATAGCATTATGTTGTGGATTTACCTAGATTTTTTACTATTCCCTGAACAAGTTTATGCTTTTCCACTGCTCTGCCTTTGTTCATGTCATCCCCATGCCCTGGTGTGACAGAAACATTCACAAAAGGCAAGTGAAATTGTAATTACAACAAACCTCATCCACATTCAAATATCTGATAATTGTGTCTTTCAACAAACTGAAATTGGTAAATGTGCATAAGAAGACCGTGATCAGCACACTGCTAAGGCACATGTACACCTATGTAACAAACCTGCATGTTCTGCACATGTACCCCAGAACTTAAAGTAAAATTTTTAAAAAAAGAGAGAATATGAGACCACTTACTAAAGTTATAATTGCCATTTTAAAACAATTTATTGTCAGAATTTCTAAACGTTTTCTGCATAGTTACCTCATTTAATCTTTATAATACCCTTAAGATATAGGTTCTGTTTATATCCCCATTTCACAGATGAGGAAACTGAGGCATAAAAAATTTATCTTGCTCAAGGTCACATAAGAAGTGGTAAAGCCTGGAGTAATATCTAAGGATTTCGACTCCAGGGCTGTGCACTAACCACTGCGCTGTGTCTCCTCTTTCATGTGGAGTATTCATCATCTCACAAATGCTGGAGCTGTTTTGAAGACATCAAGTTTGCTACATTCTCAGTGGAAATTTTTACCATCCTACCCCATTCACCCTGCTACAGAGAAGAAAAACAACGCCTCCAGTGCAGGTGAAGAGGCACTGTGTCTACTGACTAAAATCCTTCATATGTTGAATAAGTCCTCTAAAAACACTTAATAATAAAATTTCATAAATGTTAGATAATACACATGAATCTTGTCTTACTGTATGCTGTTTTGTAAAAAAAGATACCTTCATCTTTTTTGCATTTTTATTATAAAATATTTTATGGGCAGAAACTCACAAAAAGAATGAGGAAAACAAATATCACCATTTCTCAATCCAGAGATAACCTAATTTAATGTCATAGGTTCTCTAATTCCATATATGATTTTACATAAATCAGAGATGTCAAAAATTATAAGCTCTCCATGCCACTTACAGATGACAAAAACATACTGGTAGATATATGAAAAAAAGTCACCAGGACACAATTTTTCATCAGCAATATTAGTAAAATAATGTATAATTCAATATTAGTAAAATTTGGCAGTATAAGGATTATTTTAAATTGATGAAAGAGTAAATTAGTACGACAATGTCATTAATAGGAATCTTTCCAATGGAAATTATTAGAGATGAATGCAATTACATATGCACCCAGATGCTCATTTCAGTGTTATTTTAAACAATGGCGAAGATTCGGAAATATCTTAAATGTTTTAAGTTCCTTAATAACAGAGGAAATGGTTAAATAAAATCTGCTGTGTGTATATATATTCACATAGAAAAATAACACAATTATTGTAATTTTTTATTCTTATTTATTTTGATATGACGAGATATGAAACAAAATTTGAGCCAGGACTCTTCTTAAAATGCCTGTTTTTCATAGACTCTCAGGCCCCTCAAGTAATAGATCCTTGAAGGTTCGATGTGGGTTTTTGGACATGTCTCAATCCACAGAGAGGACATCCCATTTAGGGAAGCCTCAGGAACTTACACATTTTCCCCACCCGCTACCCCTAATCCCAATAACTGTAATTGAACTGAGCAAATATTTTTAATGAACATACAGAATCTATAGAAATTTAGTGCACTTGAGAGGAATATAATATACACAAAGACCAATTTAAAATCAAGAATACCATTGAGGTTTTTTGTAAACATAAAGAACATTTATGCTTGCAATGCTACAATGTTCAAATTATAGGTCTTTAATATAACTTTTAAAATTATAAATATATCATTTATTAAAACCTGCTAAAAAAGAAAAACACAGAAAGCAATTTGTATATATTCTCCACACCAATCTTGTAAAATTGCTAAATAAAACTTTCACACTATTCTGAGCACTTACTGGTTAGAGTTTGTCATTATTGGACATATTCATACATAGTGCTGCTGTTTAGAGATCAATCATTTCTAATAATGGCAGCTTCAGTGGAATCATTTTAAAATACTATCAATTATACACTACAACTTCTCTGGGTTGGAACATGTACAAACATAGAGAACCACACAGCCTGGTCAGATAAAAAGTACTTTAAAGAAGGAATAGAAGGAGGAGAAGCAGGACTAGGAGTTAGGCATACCATCTCGTGGGCAGATTGTTGAAACCCTCTGAGTGTCCATTTCCTAATCTGGCAAACAATGGTGCTGATATTTACTCAGCCTAGGTAACAGGATTGGTGTGATGACTGAAGCATTTTGTGCATTCTTACACCTACCAGGAGTTAATAATCACTAAAATAGAGCAGGAGTCTACTTTGAATCTGTTTCTTCATCTACACACTGTGGAGATGGAACAAATTAAAGGTTTTCAAAACTATTTTTGCAATAGAACTCATTTTTCACGCCAACTCACACAGAACATTGAAATACAAAACCTATGAAATTAGAGCTACAGTGGAGGATGTGGACATGGGAGCCAGGAGCCTCCTCCTCTTCCAACCACCACCCTCAGTGGGCCCCAAGGTAATGTCATGGAACCCAAGAGGCTCTGCAGAGCACCCTCTGCAAACCACTAGTCTTGAATCCGCAAAACCTGTCATTTAAATTATGGATGTTTCAATAAAAATCAAAGAGTTCTTTATTACCTGCATGCCTGCTCCCACTCCAATAGTCTCTCATTGCTTTGAAAAATTAAATAAAATTACCTGCTGCTGCTTATGATGGCTGATTAAGCTCTAAATTAATTTTCTTACTGTGTATTCAAAAGCAGAAAAGATTTAGCAGATCCTCACAGTATATAAGCAACATTATTTTTAGAGAGTTTTATTTTTAGTATTCATTAGTTTGTTAAATGTCTGCATTAAAGAGGAAACGTTCTATATACCTTTGGTTGATAATGACTCTCATGCTAACAGGAGGGTCCTTCATTAAAGTCATGTGACAAATGAAAAGTATAATGAGAAACAGTAATATTTTCTGACTTCTAACAATGTTCCATTCATCAGATCAGAATCACTTTTTTTATTAAGCATGAAAGAAAGTATGACAAATGTGTAATCCTTTCCAAACCAACCTTCTGTACTTCCAAAATGATTTTGCCATAAACTCTGAAATATTTCCTCCTTTTACAGAACCAAGCAAGCACTATTTTTACAGAAAGCATGGCTGGGTGTACATGTGTATATAAACAGCATAAAAGTATCCATGCCTTTCTTACTCATATTCTATTTTCTATACATTTGAGTTTCCCCTATTAATTTTATTAAGTTGTGTCTCTTTGCTCAAAAGGGAAACAGACATCATTTATGATATGACTAGAGAAGTCTTTCCTTTAAGACTCATAGCTATTTTCTACGGAATGTTTTGACTTTGTAACAGAGTATTGTTACTCATACGCTTTCCTTGAAACTAATTACAATTAAATTCTCAATATCACTTTTCAAAAATAGAAGTAGACTTTCTGTCTTTTAATGGTCATAAAAAGTGCCTGTTAATGCATGACACTACAAATAAAACATTAAAAAGCACAATAAGAAAATAAAAGCACCCATAATTTTCCACATAGAAATACCCTGATAAATACTTTTTCATATATTTAATGAACATACAACCATATATATTATTGAAACAAGCCCCTACCTTACATTTAATCATTATGGCATGGATTTCTTTCATGACAATAAATACAAGCATCATTATCTTAACAGTTGTATAGCAACCCATTGTGTGGATGTACCAACATTTATTTTTATCAATTTTATATTAATGGAACTTAGAAATTTTCCAAATGTTTACTATTATAAACAATCTAGTGATTAATATCATTGAACTCAGAGGTGATATTTAAAATATATAACAGGCTGAAATATCAATCAATCAATCAAAATTGATGTCAACTTTTTTAAAAAGTATAGCCTTACATGTGCAACTGTTACAGGATCTTTGGGGTGTCACTTTTCTGGCCAGAAACCTCTGTGGCCAGTGATGCCTTTGCCTTGAGTTTCACTCAGGCCCGCTGGGCTCATTCCGCCCACTTGGCCTGGCAGGATGCGCTCAGCTCACACTACCAGCCTGGATCCCACATCTGCCAAGGGAGACTGTGTGGAGCACAAGGGATATGTGAGTGAGCATGGGGTCCAGCCACTGTGCAGTCAGACATGCCAGCTGCTGCAGCAAGGCAGGAAGCTCCAGGTGCCAGCATGAGAGTCGGCTTTCCACAAGGCTGCGGCTGGACCAGGTGCACCGAAAGCAGCTTCCGCAGCTGGCACCAGGGAACATGGTGATGCCCAGTAGCTTGGAAATGCCGGGAACCCAAAGAGGGAGTCACAGCCCTGGCTTGGGGAGCTCACAGGTCTGGGCTCTCTGAAAGGCTGCAGCTCTTCTTTCCTTCTCTTTGTTTGCAATGTGGTGAGCAATGGGGCATATCTCAGCCTCATTTGTGTTACAGCTCTTTTAGCCTCATTCAGTGGGTCCCGAGTTCTTGTCCTACACCTAAGAAGAATGAGGTATGCAGCAAAGTGTAGGGTGAGCAAGGTGAAGAGGAGGTTTACTGAGCAATAAAATGGCTCAGAGGAAACCCTCAGAGGGCAGCTCCTTTCCACAGCCAGGGTTTCCCCAAAGTGTGTTCAGCTTCTAGCAGAGAGGGTTGCTCCTTTCTGCTAGGCAAGTCATCCTGACAAGTATTCAAGGCAAGTCATCCTGACAAGTATTCAGGTATCAGCAGAGAAGGTAGCTCCTCTCTGCAGCTGGTCGTCCCATTGTCTGTGCAGCTCTCAGCAGAGAAGAGGCCCTAGAATGGGGTGCTCCTCTCTGCAGGCAGGTAGTCCCATCATCTCCCTGTCATCTCTCCTTCATCTCTGTGGCTCTCAGCAGAGAGGAGGCCCTAAAGTGGGTAGCTCCTCTCTGCAGGCAGGTCATCTCATTGTCTCTATAGCTCTCAGCAGAGAGGAGGCCCTAGAGTGTGTTGCTCCTCTATGCAGCTGGTCACCTCAATATCTGCTAAGCTTTGGCTAAGCCAGGGGTTTTTATGGGCCTCAGAGGGGAGGAAGTGTACACCAATTTGTCCATGGGTGGCCATGGGCAGGCCCGGAAAATGCACCACAAGTTTCCACTCCAGTCCGGCGGTACTGGCAGCCTAGTCCCCAGCCTTCAGGCTCTCTTTGAAGGCTGGGACCTCACCTGTGACCTGCCCCCTTCCATCCAGTAACCTGTCTACCTCAATCTGTCATTCAGGGCACCCAGGCTGTAGAAGCCAAGGGGTACCTGCAGGCCAGCACTGAGCTGCACTCAGCCTGCCTCAGCTTTCCTCCTATGCTCATCAGTGCCCAAAGTCTGGAGGGGGCTAAGGTGACCAGGGGCTGGCATGTCAGCACTGCCCCAAGTGTGCACACACCCAGCTGGGCTGTGACAGTGCCTGGGCTTGGCCCTATCTTTGCTCCAAGAAAGAAGCAGGTGCTAACAGCAGAGAGAAACCAGGCAGTGGGAACAGGTACTTCTGAGCCCGTAAGATCAGTGGGGGCCTTCTCAAGACCGCCTAAGAGTGCACAGATGCCTGGGTCTACAGCCACGGTTTGGGTAGCTGCAGCCACACTCTGGGGGATGGGGCTCCTGCCTGCTCCATGGAGCAGGAGGCATGGGCCTGCAGCCACAGTTTGAGTGGCTGCAGCTATGCCCAGGAGGGTGAGCCTCCCGCCTGCTCCTGGGCCCAAAGAGCACAGGAATGCCCAGGTCTACTGCTGTGGCTTGGGCATCTTCAGTGGCACCCAGGGAGCTCCTGCCCCAACTCAGAAGGGGCAGGGCTCCCACTTGTTCCCAGTTCCCACCAGTTCCATGAAGCATACAGCCAAAGCCACACCTCTCTGCTGCAGCCAGGATTGATGGCAGCCGCTGCTCCACATGGCCTCCTGCTGCCATGACAACTGGCTCTATATTAACCAGGTTTATACTTATACAACCTTTGCACATTTGCCTAATTATTTTCCTGTAGTAAATTCTTAAAAATGGAAGTATTGAGCCCAAAACACACACCTTTAATAAAATTTTGAAACACACACTCAAATTGTCACTCCAATTAGCCATTTAGACTCCCACCTTCAGCAGTGTGTGGGAGTACTCATTTCCTAACACTCTTGACGACACTGACTATTACAAGCAAGGTTAAAAAAAAAAAAAACAAAAACAAAACACTTCTACTAACCAACGTGCAAAAGACGGCATCTGGTATATTGTATTAATGGCCCCAAATCTTTGCACTTGCTTGTATCCATGTCCTTTATCATATGACTTTTTAGTTTGTCCTATTAAAAGACAAGATATATTTCCTTTCCCCTTGATTCTGAGTTTGGTCATGTAATTGCCATTTAGCCAATGGGATGTTAGCATATGTGACACAAGCAGCAGCTTAAGAAACACTTGTCCAGCTAGGCTTGCACTCTTGTACTTCTGCCATTTCCACAAGAAGGACATGCTTGGGCTGGCTCATTGGTCCCAGAAAAAGGATGAGAAATACATGGAGCCCTTGCAGAGTATGAAAGACAAATGGAGCAGGAATGCCCCAGCTAAATTGTCCCAGGAAAGCCCAACTTAGAGACAGGCCCCCAGCCTGCATACAGAAACAAGAGCAAGCTCAGTTAAGCTCATCCTAAAGCAGCCAACAAACCCTCAGACAACAAAAAGAAATGTAAATTATTACAACAGATAATTGCTGTTGTAACCATTGAGTTTTGGGAATGTTTGTTACACAAAAATAGCTAACTGATACAAGATCTCCATTAATTTCAGTGTATTTGGTTACTTTTCATGTTTTTTGTGCCTTTACATTTCTTTTATGGCTTCCCTGCTCATGCCACTGATCATTTTTGTTAGAATTGTAAACTTTATTATTAATTTGTAATAACTCCTATTAATGATGCATCTCATCTGTTATATACCCTGAAATATTTTCTTAGCATATTATTTGTATTTTATCCTTATATGCTGATTTTAGTGCAAAGATTATAAAATCATTCAGTTAAATCTATCAATATTCTTATTAACTTTGTCCTTGATCACCTACGTTGAAAGACCTTCCTCCCATCCCAAGATTTTAAAAATATTCACCTATATTTCCTTTTAGTACTTACATTGTTTCTGGGTTTACACTTAAATATTTATTATATCTGGAATATATTTTGGAGTAAAAATATGAAGTATAAAATTGAATGTTATTTTTAATAGCCAGTTATTCCAATACATTTGCTGAATAATTCATCTTAATTCCACCAATTTTAAATAATATGTGCATCATGTACTAAATTCTCCCAAAATGCTTGCATTTGTTCCTATATATTGTGTGTCACTGAGTTATTAGTCTTTTTCTATGCAAGTGCTCCTGTGAGTTATTTTTTATCAGATAAACTTTATGAAATTTTAAATTTTAGTGAGGAAGTCTACACTGATTATTTGTTTTAATTCAAAAATTGTGTATGACATTTTAGAAATTTATTCTTGCAAATTAATTTTAAAAGCATTTGAGTTTTGAAAAAAATTCATTTGGATCTGATTTAGAGAAAATAGATATTTTATGATATTTAGTCTTCTTATCTAGAGATATGACATATATTCTAAATGATTCAGGTATTAGATATGACTATACCTAGGATCGTCATGGCAGATGGGAGGCAGGACTAGATTGCAGCTTGGACTCGCATGGATACAGCAGCATGTGGAGGCTTGCATCATGAGTTTTAGCTCCAGAATGACTGCAGGAATAAATCAGGAATCCCAAGAGGACCCACAGACCTTCTGAAGGAAACGGACTGCTCCTGCAGGACCCAGAAGTCACCCCACATACTGTGAGTGCCCAAACTGCGGAAGTGGGAAAGGGAGATCCTCCACCCCTAAACTCACACCCACACTGGGGAAACTAAAAGTCTAGTCTGTGGGAGAAGATTCCAACCTTAACTGGAGCTGAATCAATTTAGAGAGCCCAGTGAAATACAGGGGTAGAGGAAGCAGCAGGAAAGACCATGGGAGTGTCACAGGGATACTTTGGGAGGGGGTCCAGTGGCACGGGATAAATGCCACAGGGAGAAGGAAGTCTCCAGCTGAACTTCGTAACAATTTGAACCAGTTGAGAAGCCTCCTTTTCTTCTGCAGCTTGGAGGCAGGTAGTCTGGGACAAGCTCTCAGCTCTGCTTCCCCACTATCTGGAAACAGACCCAGTGCTCTATCAGGGGCAAAATGGGAGTGAGACTGGCCCTTCAGATTGCATGGGAGCTGGGTGAAGCCTATGACTGCCGGCTTTCCTCCACTTCCCTGACAACTTGCATGACTCAGCAGAGGCAGCCATAATTCTCCTAGGTACACAATTTCATTGACCTGGAAATCTCATCCGCATCCCCCACAGCAGCCACAGCAAGACCCGCCCAAGGAGAGTCTGAGCTCAGACATGCCTACCCTGCCCCCATCAGATGGTCCTTCACTACCCACCCTGGTAGCTGAAGACAAAGGGTATATACTCTTGGGAGCTCAAGGGCCTGGCCCACTGCCAGTTCCTCTCCATACTACTACAGCTGATGCTCTCTGGAAAGCACCACCTCCTGGCCTCGGAGGCCAACCAGCACAAAAACAGAGCATTAAACCATCAAAGCTAAGAGCCCTCACAGAGTCTGTTTCACCCCCCTGCCACCTCCACCAGAACAGGTGCTGGTATCCACGGCTGTGAGATCCATAGACAGTTCACATCACAGGGCTCTGTGCAGACAACCCCCAGTACCAGCCCAGAGCCTGGAAGACATATTGGTGGCCAGACCCAGAAGAGAAATAATAATCTCTACAGCTCTGCTCAGGAAGCCACACCCATAGGTAAACGGGGAGAGTACTACATCCAGGGAACACCTCGTAGGACAAAAGAATCTGAAAACAGCCTTCAGCCCTAGACCTTCCCTCTGACAGAGGCTACCCAAATGAGAAAGAAACAGAAAAACAACTCTGGTAATGTGACAAAACAAGGCTCTTTAACATCCCCCAAAATCACACTAGCTCACCAGCAATGGATCCAAACTAAGAATAAATCTCTGATTTACCTGAAAAAGAATTCAGGAGGTTAGTTATTAAGCTAATCAGGGAGGCACCAGAGAAAGGCAAAGCCCAATGCAAGGAAATCCAAAAAACAATAAAAGAAGTGAAGGGAGAAATATTCAAGGAAATCTATAGCATAAAGAAAAAACAATAAAAACTTAAGGAAACATTGGATACACATATAGAAATGCAAAATGCTCTGGAAAGTCTCAGCAACAGAATTGAACAAGTAGAAAAAAAGAAATTCAGAGCTCAAAAGTCTTTGAATTAACCCAATCCAATAAAGACAAAGAAAAAAGAATAAGAAAATATTCTTATTCCAAGAAATCTGGGATTATGCTAAACAACCAAACCTAAGAATAATCACTGTTCCTGCAAAAGAAGAGAAATAAAAAATTTGGAAAATATATTTAGGGGAATAACAGAGGAAAACGGCCCAGCCTTGCTACAGACCCAGACATCCAAATAAAAGAAGCCACGAAAAGCACCCGGGAAATTTATTGCAAAAAAAAAATCATCGCCTAGACACATTGTCATCAGGTTATCTAAAGTTAAGGCAAAGGAAAGACTCTTAAGAGCTGTGAGGTAAAAGCACCATGTAACCAATAAAGGAAAACCTATCAGATTAACAGCAGATTTCTCAGCAGAAACCCTACAAGTTAGAAGGGATTGGGGCCCTGTCTTCAGCCTCCTCAAACAAAACAAGTATCAGCCCAGAATTTTGTGTCTAGTGAAATTAAGCATCATATATGAAGAAAAGATACAGTCTTTTTCAGACAAACAAATGCTAAGAGAATTTGCCACTACCAAGCTGGCACTATAAGAACTGCTAAAAGGATCTCTAAATTTTGAAACAAATCCTGGAAACACATCAAAACAGAACCTCTTTAAAGCATAAATCTCACAGGACCTATACAATAAAAATACAATTTAAAAAGCAAAAACAAAAACAAAAAACCAAGGTATACAGGCAACAAATAGCACGATGAATGGAATGGTAACTCACATCTCAATATTAACATTGAATGTAAATGGCCTAAATGCTCCACTTAAAAGATACAGAACTGTAGAATGGATAAGAATTCACCAACCAACTATCTGCTGCCTTCAAGAGACTCACCTAATACATAAGGACTCACATAAACTTAAAGTAAAGGGGTGGAACAAGTCGTTTCATGCAAATGGACACCAAAAGCGAGCAGAGGTAGCTATTCTTATATCAGACAAAACCAACTTTAAAGCAACAGCAGTGAAAAAATAGGCAAAGAGGGACATTATATAATGGTAAAAGGCCTTGTCCAACAGGAAAATATCACAATCCTAAACATATATGCACCTAACACTGGAGCTCCCAAATTTATAAAGCAATTACTAATAGACCTAAGAAATGAGATAGACAGCAACACAATAATAGTGGGGGACTTTAATACTCCACTGACAGCACTAGATAGGTCATCAAGACAGGAAGTCAACAAAGAAACAATGGATTTAAACCATATCTTGGAATGAATGGACTTAACAGATATATACAGAACATTTCATTCAACAACTGCAGAATACACATTCTATTCAACAGCACATGTGGCCTATTCAATAGGCCACAAAATGAGCCTCAATAAATTTAAGAAAATTGAAATTATATCAAGCACTCTCTCAGACTACAGCGGAATAAAACTGGAAATCAACTCCAAAAGGAACCTTCAAAACCATGTAAATACATGGAAATTAAATAACCTGGTCCCGAATGATCATTGGGTCAAAAATAAAATCACGATGGAAATTTAAAAATTCTTTGAACTGAATGACAATAGTGACACAATCTATCAAAACCTCTGAGATACAGCAAAGGCAGTGCTAAGAGGAAAGTTCATAGCCCTAAATGCCTACATCAAAAAGACTCAAAGAGCACAAACTGACATTTAAGGTCACACCTCAAGGAACTAGAGAAACAAGAACAAACCAAACCAAAACTCAGTAGAAGAAAGAAAATAACCAAGATCAGAGCAGAACTAAATGAAATTGAAACAAGAAAAATACAATAGATAAATGAAACACAAACAGCTGGTACTTTGAAAAGATAAATAAAATTGATATATCATTAGCAAGATCAACCAAGAAAAGAAGAGAGAAAATCCAAATAACCTCAATAAGAAACAAAACGGGAGATATTACAACTGACACCACAGAAATACAAAAGATCATTCAAGGCTACTATGAGATACCTTTATGCACATAAATTTGAAAACCTAGAAGAGATGAATAAATTCCTAGAAAAATACAAACCTCCAAGGTTAAATCAGGAAGAAATAGATACCCTAAACAGGCCAATAACAAGCAGCAAGATTGAAATGGTAATTTAAAAATTACCAACAAAATAAAGTCCAGGGCCAGATGGATTCACAGCAGAATTCTACCAGACATTCAAAGAAGAATTGGTACCAATCCTATTGATGCTATTTCACAAGATAGAGAAAGAGGGAACCCTTTCTAATTCATTCTATGAAGCCAGCATCACCCTAATACCAAAACCAGGGAGGGACATAACCAAAAAAAGAAAGAAAAAAAAAAAAACTACAGACCCTGAAGATATCCCTGAAGAACACAGATGCTAAAATCCTTAACGAAATAGTAGCTAACCAAATCCAACAACATATCAAAAAGATAATCCACCATGATTAAGTGGGTTTTATACCAGGAACGCAGGGATAGTTTAACACATGCAAGTCAATAAATGTGATACACCACATAAACAGAATTAAAAACAAAAATCACATGATCATCTCAATAAATGCAGAAAAAGCATTTGACAAAATCCAGCATCCCTTTATGATTAAAATTCTTAAAACTCTCAGCAAAATCGGCATATAAGGGACATACCTCAATGTAATAAAACTATCTATGACAAACCCAGAGCCAACATAATACTGAATGGGGAAAAGTTGAAAGCATTTCCTCTCATAATTGGAACAAGGCAAGGATGCCCACTCCCACCACTACTCTTCAACACACTACTGGAAGTCCTAGCCAGAGCAATCAGACAAGAGAAAGAAATAAAGGACATCCAAATTGGTAAACGGGAAGTCAAACTGTCACTGTTTGCTGATGATATGATCCTTTACCTTGAAAACCCTAAAGACTCCTCCAGAAAGGTCCTAGAACTGATCAAAGAATTCAGCAAAGTTTCTGGATACAAGATTAACATACACAAATCAGAAGGTCTCCTGTACACCAACAGCAACCAAGCAGAGAATCAAATCAAGAACTCAACCCCTTTTACAACAGCTGCAAAAAAAAAAACTTAGAAATATACTAACCAAGTGGTGAAAGACCTCTACAAGGAAAACTATAAAACGCTGCTGAAAAAATTCATAGATGACACAAACAAATGGAAACATATCACATGCTCATGGATAGGTAGAATCAATATTGTGAAAATGACCACACTGCCAAAAGCAATCGACAAATTTAACGCAACCCCTATCAAAATACCACCATCATTCTTTACAGAATTAGAAAAACTATTCTTTTTGGTTTTTTGTTTTGTTTTGTTTTGTTTTTTTGAGACAGAGTCTCATGGTTGTCACCAGGCTGGAGTGCAATGGTGTAATCTCAGCTCACTGCAACCTCTGGCGCCTGGGCTCAAGCTATTCTCCTGCCTCAGCCTCCCCAGTAGCTGGAATTACAGGTGCCCACCACCACACCTGGCTAATTTTTGTAATTTTAGTAGAGACAGAGTTTTGCCATGTTGGCCAGGCTGGTCTCAAACTCCTGACCTCAGGTGATCCCTCTGCCTCAGCCTCCCAAAGTGCTGGGATTGCAGGTGTGGGCCACTGCACCTGGCCAGAAAAAAACTATTCTAAAATTCACATGGAACAAAAAAAGAGCCCACATAGCCAAAACAAGACTAAGCAAAAAGAACAAATCTAGAAGCATCACACTACCCGATTTCAAACTATACTATATGACCATAGTCACCAAAGTAGCATGGCACTGGTATAAAAATAGGCACATAGACCAGTGGAATAGAATAGAGAACCCAGAAATAAACCCAAATACTTACAGCCAACTGACCTTCAACAAGGCAAATAAAAACATAAAGTGGGGAAAGGACACCCTTTTCAACAAATGGTGCTGGGATAATTGGCTAGCTACATGTAGGAGAATGAAATTGGATCCTCGTCTTTCACCTTATACAAAAATCAACACAGGATGAATTAAGGACTTAAGTATAACTATAAAACTATAAACTATAAAAATTCTAGAATATAACATCAGAAAAACCCTTCTAGACATTGGCTTAGGCAAAGATTTCATGATCAAGAACCCAAAAGCAAATACGATAAAAACAAAGATAAACATCTGGGACTTAATTAAACTAAAGAGCTTTTGCACAGCAAAAGGAACAGTCAGCAGAGTAAACAGACAACCCACAGAGTAGGAAAAAATCTTCACAACCTATACATTTGACAAAGGACTAATATCCAGAATCACAATGAATTCAAACAAATCAGCAAAAAAAGAAACAAACAATCCCATCAAAAAGTGGGCTAAGGAATGAATAGACAATTCTCAAAAGAAGATATGCAAATGGACAACAAACATATGACAAAATGCCCAACATCACTAATGATCAGGGAAATGCAAATCAAAACTACAATGTGATACCACCTTACTCCGGCAAGAATGGCCATAATCAAAAAATCAAAAAACAATAGATGTTGGCATGGATGTGGTGATCAAGGAACACTTCTACACTGCTGGTGGGAATGTAAACCAGTACAACTGCTATAGAAAACAGTGTGGAGATTCCTTAAAGAGCTAAAAGTAGAACTACCATTTGATCCAGCAGTTCCTCTACTGGGTATCTACCCAGAGGAAAAGAAGTCATTATATGAAAAAGATACTTGCACACACATGTTTATAGCAGCACAATTCGCAATTGCAAAATCATGGAACCAACCTAAATTCCCATCAATCAACGAGTGGATAAAGAAACTGTGGTATATATATTTATACGATGGAATACTACTCATCCATCAAAAGGAATGAATTAACGGCATTTGCAGCAACCTGGATGAGATTGACGACTATTATTTTAGTGAAGTAACTCAGGAATAAAAAACCAAACATCGTATGTTCTCACTGCTATATAGGAGCTAAGCTATGAGGACGCAAAGGCATAAGAATGATACAATGGACTTTGGGGACTTGAGGGGAAAGGTAGGAGGGGAGAAGGGATAAAAGACTATCAATAGGGTGCAGTGTATACTGCTCGAGTGATGGGTGGACCAAAATCTCACAAATCACCACTGAAGAACTTACTCATGTAACTAAATACCACCTGTACCCCAATAACCTATGGAAAAATTAAACGTATTTTAAAAAATTATTCAAGTATTATAATCTCATTATTAACATTTTGGAATTTTTAACTGTATAGGGCCTCTATATCTCTATTAAAATTTGTTCTTAGGCATTTTATAATTTTTGTTGCTACTACAAGAGGATTCTTTTTTATTAGAATTTCTAACAGGTCATTCTTTGTATGAGGAAGGCAATGATGTCATAACTAACCATTTTATAAACTGTGTTATTTATTCAGTAGATTTTTTTTATTGATTCTCTTGAGTCAACAACTATATTATATTTGAGCAACTTCTCTCAAATAAAAAAAGTATACATAGTTAAGACAAGAAAATATTTTTCTTTTAAAATATGGAATGCTTTATTTTGCATTGCATATATTCTCAAAATCTTTTATGCAGAAATTGCAAGCAGAGATCCGATCAAGGATTTTCAGCAACTTCTCAGTTATAAATTTTCAAACTATTTTTCATGATGTTTATACCTATCCAAAATTGACAGAAGTTTTATTTTTTTATTTTATATATTTATATATTTATTTATTTATTTTTTGAGACAGGTCTTGCTCTGTTGCCCAGGCTGGAGTGCAGTGGCATAATCACAGCTCAGTATCGCCTTGAACTCCAGAGCCCAAGTGATCTTCCCACCTCAGTCTCCCAAGTAGCTGGGACTATAGGCATACACCACCAGCTATTTTTTTAAGGGTGCAGTTATTGTAGAGACGGGATTTTGCCATGTTGCCCAAGCTGGTTTAGAACTCCTGGGCTCAAGAGCTCCATCTACCTCAGCTTCCCAAAGTGCTGGGATTACAGGTGTAAGCCACTGCACCTGGCCAAAAATTGAGAGGATTTTTTTATTTACAAGTAGATGAAGCTTTTGGTGACAAATTTTACAAATTCATGTAATTCTATTTTAGATAGTAAAACCTGCTGGTGAATAATGAAAAGCTCTTCTTTCAGAACCTTAATAATACTCTGTCTTCTCAATCAAGAGTTCTAGCCTATATAATCTGGTAAGATTTTTCCTCTAGTTGCTAGAGAATAACTTTAAAAATTCAGATCCACCCACTGTCCACCCACTGTCATCCCTAATGTTAAAAAGAGATGAGGGTTCAGGTTGCATAAAGAATGTAAGTAAATGTGTAAAATATCTTCTAAGTCATTTTTTTTTCTTTCTAGTTGCTAATATAGTTTATAAATTAAGAAATACAATAATATATTTATACAATTCAAATGTTGTTATTTAACAAAAAACTATGATTTTGTATGTTTGTGAAGTTAAACTTTAAGCCTTTAACAAACTAAATTTAAATAGTAATATAGAACAGAATGGAGGAAACTAATTTCTACTATTTTTTTCCCTGAACAGAATTAGAACTGTGTTTTCACCTTGACTATACATTGTCCATATGAGAAACATTATAATAAAAAATAGGTGAGCTATGTAAAAATCCAAACTCTCTTTAGATAACTTTGTGTTCCTGAACTGTTCTATGTACAGAGAATTTCCATAATTGAATAATATACTTCATTGACTCCAGGGCATATTTAAAAAATTTTTAACATCTTTAAAATTAGATTAAGTCTTCTCATAATTAGTATCTCATTATTTAATTGGCAACATTTCTTATTTCTAAAGAGCTTCTGCAAAGCAAAAGAAACTATTAACAGAGTAAACATACAACTTACAGAATGGGAGAAAATATTCACAAACTATGCATCTGACAAAGGCCTATTAACAGAATCTATAGGGAACTTAAATCAACAAGCAAAAAAAAACCCCATTAAAAAATGGCAAAGGATATGAACAAACACTTCTTAAAGGAAGACATTCAAGTAGCCAACAAATACATGGAAAAATGCTCAGCACTACAAATCATCAGAGAAATGCAAATCAAAACCACAATAAGATACCATCTCACCCAGTTAGAATGGCTCTTATTAAAAAGTCAAAAAACAACATATGCTGGTGAGGCTGCAGAGAAAAGGGAACGCTCATATGCTCTTGGTAGGAATGCAAATTAGTCCAGTCACTGAGGAAAGTAGTCTGGAGATTTCTCAAAGAACTTAAAACAGAGCTACCATTCAATCCAGCAATCCAATTATTAGGTATATACCCAAGGAAAAATATATCATTCTACCAAAAAGACACATGCAGTCATGTGTTAATTGCTGTGCTATTCACAATAGCAAAGACATGGAATCAACTCAGGTGCCCATCAGTGGTAGATTGGATAAAGAAAATGTGGTACATATACAAGATGTAATACTACACAGCCATAAAAAGGATGAAATCATGTCCTTTGCGGCAACATGAATGCAGCTGCAGGTCATAATCCTAAGCAAACAAATACAGACACAGAAAACCAAATACCATGTATTCTCGCTTATAAGTGGGAGCTAAACATTGAGCACACATGGACATAAATTTGGAAACAATCGAAAGTGTAGACTACTAGAGGTGGGAAGGGAGGAAGAGGAATGGGGGTTGAAAAGCTACCCATTGGGTAAAATGCTCACTATCTGAGCCACAGGATCCATACTCCAAACCTTAGCCTCATGCTATATTCCTGTATAATAAACCTGCACATATATCTAAAGTAAAATCTGAAAATTCTTAAAGAAAAAATTAATTGGTAGCAAGAGAGCATGTTCTCACTTATAAGTAGGAGCTAAACAATGTGTACACATGGACATAGAGTGTGGAATGATAGACAATGGAGACATGAAGGGTGGGGAGATGGGAGGGTGGGTGGATGATGGGAAATTACTTAGTGGATGCAATGTACATTATTCAGGTGATGGATATCCTAAAAGCCCTGACATCACCAGTATACAAGCCGGTATACAATCTATCCATGTAACAAAATTACACTTGTATCCCATATATTTATACAAAAAAACATTTTAAGAAAGATTCAATTAATAGCTATGAACCACAACCTTATGATTGTGCATACACTCAAAATTCCCACATCATTTCACTAAGTTCATACAATGATAGTGTTCTTTCCTGAATGCCCAGAATAGTGGTTTTTTACATCAGCATCTGCTATAAAAATATTAAGACTACAGAGGCACAGGAATTACAGCCTTAATGATTTGCATGGGATTCTAATCCTGTACACAATCAGGGCTAGTACTGCCTTCTAGCCAGACCAAACTCCCATCTGTGGATTATATGCATTACAATCACATGTTGTTTCTGTTAACATGCAGATTTCTGGACCCCGTGTTAGATACCATGAATCCAAATATATGGGTGTCTTGGCCTTTGTATTGGTAATTTCTAAAAGCTCTCTCTCCTTGCTATTCAAATTATGGTCCACAGACCAACAGCATTGATATAGTCTGGATATTTGTCCCTGCTCAAATCTCATGTTAAATTGTAATCCTCTATGTTGGAGGTAGAGTCTGGCGGGAGGTGTTTGGATCATGCGGGAAGATCCCTCATTGCTTGGTGCTGTCTTTATGATAGTGCTTTCTCACAAGATCTGGTCATTTAAAAGTGTGTGTCGTCCCCCTCCCCCACCATTCTCTATTGCTTGCTCCAGATTTTGCCATGTGATGCATCTGCTCCCTCTTTCACCTTCTGCCATGACTGAAAACTTCCCAAGGCCTCCTTAGAAAGCAGATGCCAGCATCATGCTTCCTGTAAAGCCTACATGATATAGTTTGAATATTTGTCCCTGCCCAAATCTCATGTTGAATTATAATCTACAGTGCTGGAGATGGAAACTGGTGGGAGATGTTTGAATCATGGGAGTGGATCCTTTATGGCTTGGTGATCTCTTCATGATAGTCAGTGTAAGTTCTTCTGAGATCTGCTCATTTCAAAGTGTGTGGCACCTTCCTACCTATTCTCTCTGTCACTTGCCCCTGCTTTCACCATGTGACCTGGCTGCTCCCCTTTCGTCTTCCACCATGACTGTGAGCTTCCTGAGGCCTCCCTAGAAGCTAAGCAGATGCCAGTGCCATGTTTCTTCTAAAGCCTGCAGAACTATGAGCTAATTAAACCTCTTTTTAAAATAAATAAATAAATTAATTACCCAGTCTCAGGTATTTCTTTATAGCAGGGCAAGAATGGCCTAATAAGGAAAATTGTTACCAGGAGTGGAGTATTACTATAAAGATACCTGAAAATGTGGAAGCAACTTTGGAACTGAGTAACAGGCAGAGGTTGGAAGTGTTTGCAGGGCTCAGAAGAAGACAGGTAGATAAGGGAAAGTTTGGAATTTCTGAGAGATTGGTTAAATGGTTGTGACCAAAATGCTTACAGAGATATGGACAGTGAAGGCCAGGCTGTCAAGGTCTCAGATGGAAAAGAGGAACTTAATTGGGAACTGTAGCAAAGCTCATGTATGTTATGCCCTAGCAAAGAGCTTCGCTGCATTCTGTTTATACTCTAGGGATCTGTGGAAGTTTGAACTAAAAAGTGATGGTTTAAGGTATCTGGAAGAGAAAATTTCTAAGCAGCAAAGTGTTCAAGATGTGGCCTGGTGGCTTCTAACAGCCTACACTCTGATGTGGGTGCAAAAAAATGACCTAAAGTTGGAATTTATATTAGGTTGGTGCAAAAGCAATTGCAGTTTTTGCAATTAAAAGTAATTGTTTTTGCAAACTGTGATTGTTTGGCATCAACCTAATATTTAAAAGGAAATCAGAGCATGAAAGTTTGAAAAATTTACAGCCTGGCCATGTGGCAGAGAAAGAAAAAGCTTTTTAGGGAGAATTCAAGCAGGCTATGGAGCAACCACTTGCTGGTTTAATTTGATGCAAAATTAAAAATTTGCATAATTAAAAGGGAGCCAGGTGCTGATAACAAATACAACAAGAAAAAAGCCTCAAAGGCATTTCAGAGACCTTCACAGCAACCCCTCTCATCACAGGCCCAGAGACCTAGAAGGGAAGAACGGTTATGTGGGCCAGGCCCAGGGACTCTGCTCCTTATATCCTGGCTGCTCCAGCTCAGCTCCAGCTGTGGCTCAAAGAGGCCCAGGTATAGCTCCAGCTGCCACTTTGGAGTATATAAGCCTTGGGGTGGCTCCCATGTGGTGTTAAGCCTGTAGATGTACAGAATGTGAGAGTGTGATGAACGCTTGGGGGCCTCTGTCTAGATTTCAGGGGATGCCTGAGAAAGCTTCCAGGCAGAAGCTTGCTCCAGGGGCAAAACACTCAGAGTAAACCTCTACTGGGGCAGTGCCAAAGGGGAAATGTGGGCTGGAGCCTTCAAACAAAGTCCCCACTAGGGCACTGCCTAGTGGATCTGTGAGAAGTAGGCCACCACCCTCCAGACCCAAGAATGGTAGCTCTACTAGCAGCTTGCACCCTCTGTCTAGAAAAGCTGCAAGTATTTAACAACCTGTGAGAACAACCCTGGGAGCTGAAACCTGCAAAGCCACAGGGGTGGAGCGGCCCAAGGCCTTGGGAGCCCTCCACTTGCACCAGTGTGCCCTGGATGTGGAAAATGAAGTCAAAGGAGATTATTTTAGAGCTTTAAGATTTAACAACTGCCCTGCTGGGTTTCAAACTTTCATGGGACCTGTAGCCCCTTTCTTTTGGCCGATTTCTCCCTTTTGGAATGGGAATACTTGCCCAATGCCTATACTCCCATTGTATCTTGGAAGTAACTAACTTTTTTTTTATTTTACAAGCTCATAGGTGGAAGGGATTTGCCTTGTCTCAAGGCAAGACTTTGGACTTTGAGTTAATGTTGGAATGAGTTAAGGACTTGGAATGAGTTAATGTTGGAATGAGTTAAGACTTTAAGGGACTGTTGGGAAGGCATGATTGTATTTTGCAATGTAAGAATCACATGAGATTTGGGAGGTGCAGGGCAGGATATAGTTCAGATATTTGTGCCCAACCAAATCTCATGTTAAATTGTAATCCCCAGTGCTGGAGGTGGGGCGTGGTAGAAGGTGTTTCGATCATGGGGGCAGATCCCTCATGGTTCGGTGCTGTCTTTGTAATAGTGAGTTATCATGGAATCTGGTTATTTTAGAGTGTGTGGCACCTCCCCTGGCCCACTCTCTCTCACTTGCTCCTGCTTTTGCCATGTGATGTGCCTGCTCCCCCTTCACCTTCTGCCATGATTGGAAGCTTCCTGAGGCCTCCCTAGAAGCTGAGCAAATGCCAGCATCATTCTTCCTGCAAAGCCCGCATAACTGGGAGCCAATTAAACCTCTTTTCTTCATAAATTACCCAGTCTCAGGTATTTCTTTATAGCAATGAAAGAACAGGCTAATCAAGCATCAACATCACTTGTGAGTTTGTTATAAACGCAGACTCTCAGGTCCTACCCCAGAAGTCCTAAATCAAAATCTGCATTTTAACAAACTCCCTAGATGATTCACAAGCACACTAAGGTTTGGAAGCCCCATTCCAGGAGATTCTAATGTGCAGCCAGGGTTGAGGGTCATCACAATAAGCAATACATCTTCCCATTCTATAATTTAATAACAGAAATTATTGATTCTATGTAAGTTTGTTTTGCTTTAAAAACAATTTTTTTTTATTTTACTATTATTATACTTTAAGCTTTAGGGTACATGTGCACAATGTGCAGGTTAGTTACATATTAAAAACAAATATTTTGCAGTAAAAGAGAACAAGAAAGATTCACCTTGCTCCTTAAGATAGAATTTTCCATAAAGAGATAAAGGGAGAAAGAAGTAGTTCCATAAAGTGGAATATCTCTCACTAAAATCTTAATTTCTTTCAGAATATTAAAAGATTTTGAGATTGGGAACAACTAATTTACTACATTCATTAGAATATTCCTTCAATTAACCTTATCAGGAGATATTTCTAAATGTTCTTGAATTACTAACAGATTTACAACTTAGATCACTTATCTCTGCTGTTTTAAGGTTTCAATTATCTTTCTCTTTTTCCACCAGTTACAACGAATTAAAGACATACAGTGTATTATATTATCCTTTCTGGCATCAAAAATAACACAAAATATTCTCAGGCTTTAGGAAAAGTACAGCTTAAAAAAATACTTCTAAAAGAAATAAAAGCAGCAGGTACAATTGAAGAATATTTTATATATTGGTTGTTTTCTCCATAAGCTCAAGAGTATTAATGAATGATGGATCGTTAAGCTAATGAGTTCTAATTTTTGTTTGTTTAGTTGGTTGGTTTTTGTTGTTGATCATTGAAGGGCAAAGTAAACTTGCAAGGTTACTTTGCTAAGCACCGGTATTTTAGGGGAGTTTTACCTAGTTCTATATCTGCAAAGATAAGCTGACCTATAACCTTTTGCATGATATGTAATTCTCCAGGACCTGTAAGAAAACCACAGAAACAACCACATTTACGCACATCAGCACCATAGCAAAACCACATGAGCTACAAGGTGGAAATAACAGCTTGGGCCAGTGCCACTGGAATGCACTTGTGATACAAACATCCAGAAGAGTGACCCTCCAATTAAAGCCCCATGAACAGCAAACAGCGTTTAACCTGTGTGTTATGCAGTGTGTTTTCTCAGTAACAAGTGCGAACAAGAAGCTGGTTTCCATGTCATCTCTTTTGTATTCTTTCTCCTCCAGGATTTCAATATAGGATTAACTATCAACTCAGCTGATAATTATCAGAATTAACCTATTAACTATCAAACTGGCCACAGCCGTACTAAGCTTCTCCAGGTCACTCACAGACTAGTCTCCTGTTTACTATGCAAGAAAGTCAATTCTGTTGCTTCTGCCATCTTTATGAGTAGTTAATAAAACCAGTCTTACCAAACAAACCAGTCTTACCATTTGTCTTGTGAGGTTGGTCTTGGAGCCTCACCAACAGAAGGGGGAATGCCAGGATATCTTTTGATTATTTTGTCTAGATAAAGCAATCTGTGATTCGTGCATTCTCTGCCTTGAACAGCCTGGTTCTAGGTTGTTGACTGCAGCTCTGTCAGTTCCCTGTATCTGGGATGCTCTTTCACTGATTTTACAGCAGTGGTCCCTGCTTGCCATTCCAGTCTTCTTGGATTACTCACTCCAAAGGAGCCCCCAAGTCCCTCCCTATCATCAGACTCTGCCTTATTGTCATCAGAGCACTCATCACTATCTAACATATTCCTCTTACATTTTGAATACTGTCTCTCTTTCCTCATGAGAATATTCACTCCACAAGAACAGTGATCTTTTTTGTCTTGTTACCAACTATATTCCCAGAATCAGAATAGAGTTTGGCTCATTTAAGGCTTTCGATAAATATTTACTGAATAAAAGAATGATCCATGATAGCCAAAGGAATCAAATGTTATGAATATCTAATAATCTGATGTGTCAAATATCAATATTAGTGTGCAATGAAAAACATGGGGTCAGGCAGAATAATTTGTTTAAAATTAAAACCAGAACATTTGTAAATTATATCATATTAGCTCTAGATTAGAACAGGTTTATTTATCTTGTGTTGCTCCTTGTCATTTATTCCTCACGGTGAGAAAGAAGTACCTAAGGCCCCACCATTAGAATCTGACTCTATGGTTCTGATGCTTCAGGCCAAGGAGGAAAACACTGTACTTAAAATGCTTGAGGTAATTTTTTTCTTGCAAAATACTTACTGTTCCAAGCAAGTGGGTTTTCAGATAGAATAAGAAAAGCATTCTCGTATTTTTGGTGCTTACCTTATTGCTCTATAACCCTCTACAAGTGTATCTATTTCCAAATTTAAATAATATTTATTTGATTCCAAAACAAATGTATTCACTGCACAACCTTTCAATCAAGGAGGTCTACAAATGTCAACTGTTAAGAATCTCTGTGGTAGTATTTTATGTTGTAGAAGTGTGAAATGTAGCCTCCCCAGAGAAAACGATTTGGAAATAGATACACTTGTAGAGGGTTATAGAGCAATAAGGTAAGCAGCAAAAATAGGAAAATGCTTTTCTTATTTTATTTGAAAACTCACTTGCTTGGAACAGTAAGTATTTTGCAAGAATAGAAATACTGCAAGCGCATTAAATACAGTGTTTTCCTCCTTGGCCTGAAGCATTAGAAACACAGAGTCAGGTTCTAATGGTGGGGCCTTAGGTACTTCTTTCTTCCTGTGAGGAATAAATGACAAAGAGTAACACAAGATAAGAGAGAAACGATGTTGTTAAGACACAATTATAAATCAAGTGCCTATTCTACTTAGTTTAGGGATCAGAATCTCTGGCATAATATTTGATATGGTCCATTTGGTCCAAGTATCCACAAATATCAGTACCTGAAACTACTCTATAGGATAAATTAAGAAAACAGAACCAAAAATTCTGTTGAAGATGCTGAATCCACACTCTTAAAATTTTCTCCACTCAGTCATACTATCTAAACTCTAAGGAATATACAGTGGTGGTTTTTTTGGTGTTTTTTTTTTTTTTTTTTTTGAGACAGTGTCACGCTCTGTCACCCAGGCTGGAGTGCAGTGGTGCAAACTCGGCTCACTGCAACCTCCACCCCCTAGGTTCAAACTATTCTCCTGCCTCAGCCTCCCAAGTAGCTGGGATTACAGGTGCACACCACCACGCCCAGCTAATTTTTTGTATTTTTAGTAGAGATGGGGTTTCGCCATGTTGGCCAGGCTGGTCTCAAACTCCTGACCTCATCATCCACCCAACTTGACCTCCCAAAGTGTTGGGATTACAGGTGTGAGCCACTGCACCCAGCCTACAGTAGGTTTTAATAAATTAACAGTTGCTCCTAACAGAGATGTGATGATGCTCCTCACAGAGATCCGTCAGTTTGGAAAAGAAGTCTATGCAGTAATTAACATCTCAGACTCTGAAGTCAGATATCTCAGCCTGAATCTGGCCCTGCCAACCATTTGCTGTGGACCTTAAGCAAGCCACTTGGTCATTCTGCACTTTTCTCAATGAGGAAAACAGTACCTACCTCATAGTGTTGTTGGAAAAATTAAATGTACCCAAGGCATATAAACTGCTCAGCATTACCTGGTACATATCCAGAAAGAAATGTCAGCTGTTTTGTGACCAATATGCTCCAAATTTGTAGTTAACCTTTTAATCATATTGATTATAGCAGCAATATACTAAAAGTATTCTTTTGTGTCATGAGATCTACACATGTACTTCACAATTTCTCAGGGGTAGGTGGCTTCCAGATAGCCATTATTGTCAACTGAGGGATTAGTGCTGATGTCCTTTGGATCCTTTCTGTGCATCCCACTACCCCTTGTTGCTCTTGCCACACTTCATTTTTTCTCTCTCCATTCTAGTCTTTGATCCCTCATTTTCTGAATCATTAGGCGGTGAGTCTGTATCAGCTGATTGCTGTGGAAGGTTCTGAATCCTGTCTACACACTCAGCACCGTACTCCTATTCAGTCTCTGCGATCTGCCCTCTCACTGTGGTCAGATCCCTCTGTTCCAGCCCTATTCTCTCTGTGGGATAAATGTGGCTTTCCATACACTGCAGTAATGGAAAGGGGATATGGTAGAATGAAACTTCTTTTGGTACTGCTACATTAAATAAGCAGAAGGCCATTAGCCTGAGGCTGTCTGTATACTTGAAGTTCCTACCTAAAGAACTGCAACCTGTAGGGCAATCTAATTTAGGAGTTAAAATAGCCGGATCTCAACCAATCACAAGCAGCAGAGCTTCAGCAAATGACAAGCAGCCAGTTATTCATACCATGTCCAAACAAGGCAAAAGCCTAGCTGTAACCAATTAAGGTATTTCTGTGCTTCCATGGTCTTCTGTCTATGAATACTCACTGCCCACATTGTAGAGCAGAGCTCTCTGAACGTCTTCTGGTTCTGAGTGCTGACCAATACATGAATCAATCTTTGCTCAAATAAATGCTGTTAACTTTAGTAAGTCTAGAGCTTTTCTTGTTAACAGTAGAGACATTTCCTGACTGAAGTTAGAGCTGAAAACAAATCCTCTCTGCCCCCACTGTCCACAAAAGTGAGTAATAATATTTTCTGTGTAACTCATATAAGTGTCTATCTGCCCCAATATTAGGCATTGCCAGTGAATTGCTTCTTGCTTAATGTTATATAATCTGTGTGAGCACATATTCAAGATTATAAATAAGCATGAGCTCATGAGTAGCTTCCACAGTCATTGATGACTCACATGACCAAGAGGTAAGAATTTTGTCTTTCATATTTTAAGAGTTTGCAAAAAAGACCGAGAAGTATTAATTTTATAGTATAATATTATTAGCTAAGAAAATATCAACAAGATAAATTTAAGTGTTTTAATCAACTATAACTCCTATTAGGATAAGGTTTATAATAGTAAATGTATAGTACCATTTCTATTAGGTTAAATGTAATAATAATAACCATAGTAATACTAGTCACAGATACTCATCATTGACTTTCAGTAGTGTTTTTGCCTTGATGATATTCCTCTAAAGCAATGCTTATAGTTTTCTGATTATAGAGGTAATACATATTTGTTGTAAAAAATTTTGTTACATGTATGAAAAATAGTACAAATAAGAAAACTTAAGTAACCTAAGTTTCCTAGTCTCTCTCTTAGTGTCTCTATCTAGAAAGCCACTGTCAATACTTCTAACTACAGGTCTGAATTATCAGGCTACAAATTTGAGAGTGGATATTTTCTTTGTTTTCTTGATCACTGAACTTATTTTTTGTCTCAAGCCTCTCTGGTGGTAAAAACATAATATTAGTCAATATATGGTGAATGTGGTTTATTCTAATTTTTTCCTCAGTGAAATCAAGGTTTTCCTACATACTTCCTTTTTTTCCAGGATTTTAGCTTCATCTCAGAGGTTTAGGTAAGTCCAAGGCATCGGGAAAGATGTGGAGCATGTAGGTACCTGGTCCTCCATCACCATAACCCAGGATGAGACTGATTGATGCCACTGCTGATGTCAACATGATACTGTCCTCTGACATGGCTGCCACAGAAAACTGCTGCCAAGGAAGTAGCTCTGAACTTTTCCCCATCCTTGTCCCATCCTTATATCCTTAGCTCAAGATACAATTGGGAAAATGAGTTTTTCTGTTTCAAATTCTGCCTCCTCAGGAATGTCCTTTCTAAACCAATCCTGAATGGAGCTGAACTTTTTCATAATTATTTTGGCCAGTTATAGCAGATGATGCCATATGATGCAGAGCCATCTGTAAAGCAGACTCACAGCCATACCTCCTCAGCCAACTAGTCATTGGGAATGTCCACAGGCCACAGGAGCAAACTGAAGGGTAATAAAGTGAAGGCACACTGGACATGTGAATGTCCTATTCAGGAAAGGTACTTTTGCCTTCAGGAACAATTGAGCCCTGTTGAGAATATCTACGTCCACTTAATGATGGAGCATAGTTAGCACGTCCCGACCTTATGGCCAGATGGATCATATAGCACAGTTCATGATGGGCAGCTGTTTTTCAAAAGGGGAATACTATTTAGAATATTGTTTGTGTTCCTGAAAGAGTATCTCAACTTGAGTTACCATGCCTACAGAAGGCTGAAGGTATAGACTGAGACAGAGTGAGAGGCCAGAAAGAATGCAACAGGAAGGATGAAAAGCCATTATAAGAGGGTATTCTTGAAGCTATTCCTTCCAGAAAACCAGTGGTTCTTGAGAGAGAGAAAAATAGCTCTTAACTGATAAGAATAGCCTGGAACTACCAGCTAGACTTTGGTTTTGCTAAGAGCTGGCCTGGCATTCACAGCTAGGTCTCAACATTCTCCTGTTGGATGTGAACAATTTTCCTAGAACATCAACATCAACAAGGCCACACCACAACTGTAATGAATTAGAGCAAAAATACCACTTCGTAATCACATCTGAACACAGATTAAAAACAACATTATCCAAACCATACAAATGACCAAGCGTCTCCCTAACCTTGCTAATATGATTCTTTATCAATTAGATTTACCCTCACTTTAGTCTTCTCACCTTGTAAAGATTTAAGACACCCAGTCAGAATTATCCTCACTTCCTGACAGCATCTAATCCATAACAAAGCCCTGCATTCTTGAACTCTCCTCAAAATACCTGGCATAGCTAAAAATCCTATACGTCCTTTTAACACCATCTTACAGAAATGTCCCAAAGATCCCTATGAGGGGAGTTCTCCCTTGTTGCAATGAACCTTGAGCCGAACTTGTTCTGCCACAGATGTGTTCTTAGTGGTATTTGGCTGTAGTATATTAATGCACTGTTCTGTTGAGGGCTCCTGAGAAGTTTCCAGATACCTCCCTGAATTTTCTATCAGAAGGAGGGAAACAGGAGAAGCATTTATCTATCTGCTTTCTTCCCCCAATTAGTCAAAAGTTTTCCTTGGGGGTATTAACTCACTCACACTTCTGAGCTGTGCATGGGTTCAGACCAACCAAGTTATTACCAGCTTCCTTGGTGATGGAGGAAACATGAGGCAGAAAGTGAAGTGAGACAAATTTCCATTCCAGCTGCATCTCAAATCAAAGATACCAGTCTCTTCTGCAATCCTCTTATAGGACTTGCCACAGCATTCGTATCTTCCATAGACACTTTAAGCAACATGGGAGCCAAACAGTTTAGCTGTTTACACTGCAGCCTGGGCCATCAGGAAAGCCCTCCCTTGTTCTGGGCCTTAATGGGGAAGCTTTTTAGGTCATTCAGTTAATAAATTAGGCAGCACACACCTATACATGGGATAAGTTGCCTACAAAATCTAAAAGATACCCTAAACATTGAAGGATGGACAAGGTTCAGCAAATCATTGCTGTAGAGCATGGTAGCTCACACCTGTAATCCCAACACTTTGGGAGGCCTAAGTGGGAGGATCTATTGGGGCCAGAAGTTTGAGACCAGCCTGAGCAACATAGTTGAAATCCAATCTCTAAAAAAAAATAAAAAATAAAAATAAATAAAAATAAAAATAAATAAAAAACAAAAAATAAAAAATTTTAATTAGCTGAGCATGGTGGCATGTGTCTGTAGTCCGAGCTACTCAGGAGGCTGAGGTGGCAGAATCACTTGAGCCCAGGAGTTCTAGGCTGCAGTGAGCTATGATTGTGCCCACTACACTTCAGCCTTGGTGATAAAGTGAGACTTCATCTCTTTAAAAAAAAATTAGTTACTCTAATAAAGATATCTATCTTTCTTGACCAAGGCTCCTAAATTCCAAAAAATTTAATTAAGTGTCAGGCTCCTGTATTTTCATCAGTACATGTACTCTAAGGCACCTAGCACTCTCTTTCTTATTCTATCCAAGAATCTATATGGTATCTTCAATGTAACGGATGAGTATGATGTCCTATAAAATAGGGAGATGATCACTGCCCCAGGAGCTAACTGAATCAGTTAGTGAAAGACATGCTGCTGGTTCTTCTGTTTTGAATTTTTTTTTTAAAGAGGAAACATTTGTAGGATTTCAATATGGAGATGGTAGTTGGAACAGTTGCTATTATTAGAGTGACTACTTGATTAATCTAACATCATTCTCCAAGATAGCCGTCTTTCATTCCGGTCAAACTACAGAGTTAAATGGGAATTTTAGAGGATTGCTATATCTATATATTTTATAATGGCATCTCTGTGATTGTTTTCTATTTTCTACTTTGAGACAGGGAAGAAATTTAACAAATTTTGTGCAACACCTATACAAATATCCTTGAGAAAAATTAAATGATATACACAAAAAGATAAGGCATACATGTTTATGAATTAGAAAACTGAAATTGTCAAAAGGTCAATTATATCCAAATTGGTCTGTAGATTCAATGCAATCCTAATCAATATTCTCACAGGCTTTTTTGACATAAATTTTCAAGCTGATTCTAAAACTTATGTAGAAATGCAAAAGATTCAGCATAGCTGAGGGAAAAGTGGAAGATTTATACTTGTTAATCTCAAGACTTACTATAAAGATACAGTAATCAGGAGAATATGGTATCAACATAAGAATACATACATAGATCCATGGAACCAAACTGAGAATTCAGAATAGACCCACACATATATTGTCAATTGATTTTCAAGATAATCAAAGTGTCAAGATAATTCAACAGGGTTAAAAATAGTCTTTTCCACAAGTGATCTAGACCAACTGGATATCCATACGGTAAAAATGAAGTTTAATCTTTACCTTGCACCTTTTAAAAAATTAACTCAAAATGATGGATTACAGACCGTAATATAAATACTAAAACTATAAAACTTCTAAAGGCTAAAAATTTTTAAGGCTACAATAGCAAGTACATCTTTCCTATATAGTTGGTGGGACTATGAAATGACATCATCACGTTGCAAACAATTTGATAGTCTCCTAAAAAGTTAATAACATAATGAAATAGCAAAAATGAGTATATTTTCTAGAAGAATGGTGAAATACATCAAATTATTCATGTAATATTACAGGTAGCAATTTTTTTTCATTCTTGAAATTCAGAAATAGGGAAATTTAAAAAAAGATTCAAGCATAGTTTTGAATGTGAAAGTGATCACTAATAGAATTGGACCTAAGCCTTACAGATGCCTTCTAATGCAGTAGGCAATTTATAAAAGCAAACAAAATATGCTCCATATAAGCAACAGCAACACACATACCCATACATAAACTAATAGTCCCTAAAATTTAGAATACGAAAGTATTGGCATAGAAAATGAAGCCTTAGACAATATAAAACAAAATGACAGGAGACAGACTAAATATATTTGTTATAACTAAATTCAAGTTGCTTAAATTCAATTCAAAAAGAGACAAACACAGAATAATTCAAAAAGTAGCATTCAAACTATTCCACCTTAGAAAAGGTATGTTAAATAAATATATTATAAATATTACAAATGAAGAAAAAACAGTAGCTAATTAAGACAAAAATCAGGTAAAATAAATAAAAATAGCAATATTGATTTCAGGTAAAGTAAATTTCATGGTAAAAATACATTACAATAAAGAAAAATGTCAACATTTATAAAAAGGCATAATGAATAAAAAAAAAAACAGTTATGAATTTTCTGCCCTAAAGAACTTCCTTTAACATTTCTTGTACAGGTGTACTTTTGACAAATTTTCTCAAGAGAGCGTGTGTGTGTGTGTATGTGTGTGTGTGTGTAAAAAGTCTTCCTTTTGCATTTGTTTGAAACATATATTCAACAGTACAAAATTCAAGTTTTTTTCTTTCAGAACTTTAAATTTGTCTTTTAGTTTGCACAGTTCCTGACAAGAAATCTGTGACAATTCTTTGTTCTTCCGTATATGATAAGATTTTTTCCCCCTCTGGCTTCTTCTCAAAATTTCTGTTTATAATCAAATTGGAATCATATTTGGCCATTTTTTGTTGAATATTTTTATGTCTCCCACCTCTTTATCTCCAATTAGATGTAATAACATGTTAGACTGTTTGATATTGTCCCACAGGTCACTGATGTTACGTCCATTTGTCTTAACCATTTTTTTTTCTTTAGGCTTCATTTTGGATAGTTTCTACATCCTAAAGTTCACTGATCTTTTCTTCTACATTGTTTAATCAGCTGTTGACCCCATTCAATTGCATTTTCCCTTTCAGATACTGTGTTTTTCAGCTTTAGAAATTCCATTTAGGTTATTTATCTCCTTGTTACCTACCTTATTAAACATATCGAGCATATTTATAATCACTATTTTAACATCCTTATCTGCTGGTTTTATTATTTTTTTCATTTCTGGGTCTATTTTGTAGATTTTGTTTCTGTTTTTTATCTTACTAGAATCATATTCTTTTTTTTTTTTGTATGCCTGGTAGTTTTCTGTTGGATGCCATTCATTGTGATTTTTACGTTGTTCTTTACTGAGTTTTGTTGTATTCCTTAAAATAGCATTAGACTTTGCTTTGGCATGCAGTTAAGTTGCTTGGAACCAGTTAAATCATTCTGATGCTTGTCCTTAAGCTTTGTGTGTGTTGAGAGCAGCCTTTAGCATAGAGCCAGTTTATCCCCACAACAAAGGTGACAGTTTTCTGAGCATTCTACCCAATACTCTTTGTATGACAAATTATTTCCACTTTAATGGTGAAAACATGAACTATTTCTAGCCAGTTTGAGCTCTGAAACTGTTCTCCTCACTCTATTTGTGGTGTTCCACCCACTCCAATCTCAGATAGTTTCTTCTCATGCATTATAGAGATCAGTATTCATCCAAAGACTTGTGGGAACCTCTCTGCAGATTTCTAGAGCTCTGTCTTTGTGCTGTTCCTTCCCCACTGGTAGACTGCTTGCAAATTCTAACAAATTTGGCCTTTGTGGGTTAGTTCCTCTTTTTCTTCAATTTAGCAGAATCTCTGGTCTCTGAATGCATCCTCCCTGTACTACCTGCTATGCAAAAAAAAAAAAATGCAATTTTAGAGCGCACTTTCTTTTTTTTTTTTCTTGAAGCAATCACAGGCCTATGATATCTTAGGCTCAAGGTTTAAAAACCAGACGTATATATCTTGGTTTTCTAGTTGCTTCTGGTAGAAAGTCCTTGTTACTCCATTTTCGATAGGAGTGGAAGGAACACATTTATCTCTAAAAAGTTTTAAAAACATGTTAAAAAAACTCTTATTTGCCTTGATTTAATTTCACTGGTAAAGTGTAAGAATAGTAACAAGTGCAATATTTGAAGGCCAAGGAAGTGAAATACATTGAGAAATGAGAACATGTTATACATGGTAAATCATCCCTTCAAAAATCCCAGTATCTAACAAATGGGTATGTTGAATCTAATTTTACTTATTTAAGGTAATAAAGACATTTCATATTATTGTTTTTTCTCTTTAGTCACATCACATTTTTCTTCAAACTCTGAGTGCATACTTATTAGAGAAAACCTTTCCTGAATCAGGAATAAGAACTAATTCAGAGATTTAAAATGAGAAATCCTTCCCTGATTATCTCTTCTCTCCTAGAAGGAGAATGAAATTTCTAGAAAGTCTCTTTTGTTCCATCTTCCTCATGGAATCAATTAACTGTTCTACCATGACAAAACAAAAGTCATTAATATAATACTACTATGCCCTGTCTGGCTTCCAGTGCTCCTCTTACATTAAAATTGCTTTCTAAAAGCATTGCATAATTTCTGCCTCTTTTAAGTAGGCTGACAATTTCACACTTGTGAATTAACCAGATTTAGACCCCAGAGACTTAAGTGCCTACATGTTCCCAAAGAGTCATTAAACTCAGCAGCATTTTTGCTCAGCGTAACTCATCCTTCTTGCCAAGTTCTTGATGAGTAACTCACTCTGCTGATCCATCACTGTATTTGTTCAAACATAAAAATTGCTTTGAGAGGTACTCAACTCTAAGTCTGTTCATGAAAATAGTGCCACAGCTGATGCTATAGCAATAACACCATGGGATGGCACTTACCCTCATCCCATCATCACTGCTTTTTAATGTAAAAGCTTATGGCTTTTAATGTATTATAGCATTGCACTTTTCCCACAAAAGCCCCATGTGCACAGGGGGCCAATAACGTTTATCTGTCTACAATTGCAACAAATAGAAATTTAAAAACAGAAAAGGTATATTATAACCCTAATATGTTTGTGCAAGTAAATATCATTTGAGTGTGCTTCAATAAATGACTGGAGTTACTAACAAAGAAATATGCTGACCAATTAAAAAAAGCTGGTTTTAAAGGATGAGTTAAATGCAACCACAACCACTCCTCAAACTCACAAACCTTTTTTAAATGTTGTGCAAATTATTACATTGGTTATCAAATTATTTCTTCAAAGTAAATGCCAATGTAAATTTCAGCTGAAGTGCGATGCACTAAATCATGAATTAGTCATAATTTTACCATAAGCGTTTTCAAATATTCAAGATGTTGCTTTTGAATATGTAAGGAAAATACATTTTAATAAGATACTAATTCATCTTCTTAATTACCATAAAGAAATTATATTGGAATTCAACTTCCAAACTTATCATTGAAAATATACTTGAAATAATTTAAACAACTATAAATAATCAATCTGTCTTTGTTGTATAAAGTAGTAGTTCCCTGTCTCATTAGAATAGGTGAACCCGGTAGAGGGCTCACAGAGTCAATATTTTGTATTGTTGGATCATTTTTATTGACATACTATAAGGAAACTGGATTTTGAAATCAGGCAGCCCTTGGTTTGCATTACTGATACACTTACTTACTATGCTGAGAACAGTGCTTGCCATATAATTGAAGCTCAGTAAATATATGTTAAACAAGTAAAGGAATGAATTGGACAAGTAAGAAAACATTCTTTTCCAATAAATTAAAGGCAATATTCATTAATTCTCAGAGTAAGTATGATAGGTTTAAATATTAGAAATAATGCGGAAAAGAGCTCAGTAGTGTGCCTGACATTGTTAGTGCTCAAAAAATGATTTTAAAGATCCACTTGTTTTTGAACAAATATCTCAATTGCACCTACTATTCCCACAATCACCTCACCTCTCTTTTCACACCACTCTCATGCTACCAAGTGCCATTCAGTCTAAGCAAAGTTGCCTCAAACTTCAAATAGAAAAAGAACCCATCACATAGGAATGCCCTCACCATCTGCATCCAAAACTATAAATGTAGGCTCATACCTCTCCTTTGACTCTTTTCTCTGATCACAGTAGAGCATCTTTCTCTTTTCTCCTGACCACTCCTCTGCCAAGGTCCTATTTCTTCCTATCTTCTCAGGGACAATTTATTGTCAATCACTTATCTCTTCCCTCTCTCTTATATCTTCAATAAGTCGCTCCCACTTTGCGTTCTTTAAAATACACTCCCTCATATTAAATAAACTGTTTCTTGACATGGTTTCTCCCTTCTCTCTTGTTGTCATTATAGCCACACTTCTTGAAAGATTCGCTTCTCAGCTGCACTCGGTGGCTCATGTCTGTAATCCCGGCACTCTGGGAGGCCGAGGCGGGTGGATCACCTGAGGTCAGGAGCTCGAGACCAGCCTAGCCAACATGGTGAAACCCCGTCTCTACTAAAAATACAAAAATTAGCCAGGCATGGTGGTGGACGCCTGTAATCCCAGCTACTTGGGATGCTGAAGCCAAGGGAAAAAAAAAAAGATTCATTTCAGGCACATTTGAGGAGCAGTTCCTCCAAAGTGTCATGGGCCTCTCTTCTTGAAAGGAATCTGAGAAGAGGAAAGCTGGTGGGATGCATGATGGTTGCGTCACTGCAGGTGGTTTTAGGGATGCCATGGGCACTCGTCCTCTCCTTTCATCGTTATTTACTCAGAATTCCACTAATCTTCAGCTGTCACCTCAGAAAGTCTTCAGGCTGACCTGGTGGTTTCACCCAAAACTTTGCTCTTGAGGAGCCTGAGCTCTTTCTAATCAGAGACTTTTCAGGTTAGGATTGCTGCATGTGCCCACTCACAGTTACACTGGGCAGCGCGGTACCCAGAGGACCACCTGGTTCCACATGAATTCCTTCCTGCTCCCATTGTGGGAAAGCAGTCTTACCTTCTCTTGCCAACTGCCCCTGCCAAGATGGTGCCTCCTGTCCCCAATTTCTGGTCCTTGGACACAGGAAATTAAAAGTGGTCTGGCAGTAGCTGTAGCTTATAATTCAAGGAGACCTTTACTGTGTCTCTTTGCAAGAATGACTCCCTTTGGGGACATAGACTTTGTGATGGTTAATTTTATGTATCAGCCTGACTGGTCCACAGGGTGCCCAGATATATGGTTAAACATTATTCTGGGTGTGTCTGCGAGGGTCTTTCTGGATGAGGTTAACATTTGAACCAGCAGACTGAGTAAAGCAGATTGCCCTCCCCAGTGTGGGTGGGCCTCACCCAATCTGTTGGTGGCCTAAGTAGAATACAAGGCAGTGTGAGGGAGAATTCACTCCCTCTGCCTATTTTTAGACTGCAACATCAGTATTTGCTGGCATTCAGACTGGAACTTGCACCACCAGCTCTCCTGGTTCTCAGGCCTTCAGACTTGGACTGAAACTATACCGTTAATACCAGATCACCTGGGTCTTCAGCTTACTGACTACAGGTCATGGGACTTCTCAGCTTCCATAATTTTGTAAGCCAATTTCTTATAATAAATCAATCCCTCCATAGATAGAAAGATAAGAGATATACAGAGATATATTCTTAATATATATGTCCTATATAGATTAAGGACATATACATTTGTATATTTTCATTTTTCATACTAATTGTTGTTTGTCAGGTTTAGTCTTCTATGCAGCCATCATTAATTTATTCCCAAACTTCCCACAGGACTTCAGATCTTCTCTCATCTCTCAATATGTTAAAATACAACTAAAAAATAAAAAAAACTTATTAAAAAAACCATATATATTTGTATATGTCCTTTATATAGTACATATATACTAAGAATATACATATAGGATATGTCTCTATACATATAAATATATAGAGAGATATAAAAACATATATTCTTAATATATGTCCTATATATTAGGAAGTATATCATATACTTTATGTATTTAATATGAAGGTACCATATAATGTATATATATTTAATATAATGTGTATATATAAAGTGTAAATATATAGGACTATATATTGTATATAAAAATATATACTTCTAAATATATAGGACATATACATACTTCTAAATAGATAGAACATAAGATTATATATATAAGTAAATAAATAGTATATATAAATATATAAGAAGTATATATGTACTTCTAAATATATAGGACATATATTATATATAAAAATACACATACACACACACATCTTACCAGGCCCAGCACATTCCCCATGAAGCTGTACTGGGATTTGGCCCTCAGGAATGGAAGGGGTGTGTGTGTGTGTGTGTGTGTGTGTGTGTGTGTGTGTGTGTGTGTATCCTATTGGTTCTGTTTCTCTAGAGAACCCAAACTAGTACAGACTTTCAATCATGCAGAGCCCAAAGTTGCAAGATGGAAAGTACAAAGGCCCCCAGCAGATCACTGGGATGGAGCTATTTCTGGTTCCACCTCCTTGGTACCCAGATCCATGTATTCGTCCTCCTGGGGTCACAATACAATATGAAGTTCTCCAGTCTAATGCATATGCTACATCCTGAATAATGATACACCATCCTCACAGAGTATTGCCTCCTAACTAGGACTCTCACTGTGCCTTTAGAAAGTCATCCCAACCCTCTATGGAGCAGCTGCTTCTAAATGATGCAGTAGGTGATAGGATCAGTGAATCCCATGTCATAGCCCTACTCCCACACCTACATCACTGTGAAGTGAGTCCCCTGTCTGATGCTATGCTGTACAGGATTCCATGCCTATGAGTCAAGTATTCTTTAAGCCCCCAGAAAACAGTGTTAGCTGAATCTCAGTGGGCAGGAAATCATACCCAGAATAGGTATCTGTCCCAGAGTGGACGAACTGCTGGTCCATCCACCAGATAAGAGACCCAATTTGGTTGGTTTGCCACCAAGTGGTTATTTGGTCCCCTAGAGCAATAATGCCATATCAGGGCTCAGTGTTGATCTTGGTTAATGACAAACTGGATGTTCAGAGGCAGCAGTAGGTAGATTGACCTTGGTAAGTGGGAAAGTTCCCACTGTTGGGCCCATGTATATCTTTCATCTCTGCCACCATGATGACCACTATGTTATTATTCCTTTCCCATTAGTACCAGAGTGACCAATCATGAAGACTGGATAATGCCAAATGACCAAGTTATTTTGTCAATTTAGTTGTTCAGTGCCTCTTCCATGGTGTATGCTTTCTGGTAGGCATTAACATCTGATTTAAAGTCTTCACTCTTTGCCTGATTCCCTTAGCCTTTGTAATTCTTCTGATGTCTGGCATTTCCACTTCATTCAGACCATTGCTTTTTCCAGGTTTCAAAGGTCCATGCTGGCAACAAGTTTGTTCCATCACTTGGGGTCCTTGCCAGGATCCTATGTCCCAAGAAAGTACCCCCAAGTCAATAAATTTTGCTTATACAATTTCATTTCTCGGTCCCCTTGATCAAGCCTTTTGTATTAGTTCATTTGCATGCTACTGATATAGACATGCCCGAGACTGGGCAATTTACAAAAGAAAGAGGTTTACTTGAACTCACAGTTCCATGTGGCTGGAAAGGCCTCACAATCATGGTGGAAGGCAAGAAGAAGCAAGTCACATCTTACATGGATGGTGGCAGGCAAAGAGAGCTTGTGCAGAGAAACTCCTGTTTTTCAAACCATCAGATCTTGTGAGACCCATTCACTATCATGAGAACAGCATGGGAAAGACCCACCCCCATGATTCAATAGTCTCCCACCGGATCCCCCCAACAACATGTGGAAATTATAGGAGCTACAAGATGAGATTTTGATGGGGACGCAGAGCCAAACCATATCACCTCCTCAAAATCCAATCACTAATATACTCCCCTGGCTTCTGCTAGTTCATGCTAACTAGTTCCTGCTGTTCCTTTAGTACATGGTTTCTTTCCTTTCTTACCAGGCCCAGCACATTCCCCATGAAGCTGCACTGGGATTTGACCCTCAGGAATGGAGGCATTCCTGAGGCGGCGCTTGCCTGATTGGGAAGAGGCCTCTCCAGCATCTTCCAATTAGAGGAAGCAGTAGCCCTTGCTATGGAAAAAGGAGATGTCTCCGTAAGCTCTGAGGGTTCAGGGGATCTGTAGTGTCAAGACCCTTGGCCAGGCGCGGTGGCTCACGCCTGTAATCCCAGCACTTTGGGAGGCCGAGGCAGGCGGATCATGAGGTCAAGAGATCGAGACCATCCTGGTTAACATGGTGAAACCCCATCTCTACTAAAAATACAAAAAATTAGCCAAGCATGGTGACAGGTGCCTGTAGTCCCAGCTACTAGGGAGGCTGAGGCAGGAGAATGGCGTGAACCCAGGAGGAGGAGCTTGCAGTGAGCCGAGATCGCACCACTGCACTACAGCCTGGGTGACAGAGCAAGACTCCGTCTCAAAAAAAAAAAATCTCAAGGCATTCTCCTAGATGTCTCTATCGCATGTGTCAGGGTTCCAGAACCTGCCTCAGCTGAGCATTTAAATGTTTCTGAGGCTTTGTGACTTTAACTATAAAATCCCATGTCTGCTTCTCAGCTGTGTATGTTCTTCTACTGTGGAAGATAAGGACCTATTTGTGAACTACCAACAGTCCCTCTGGCACTTACATTTAGCCTTTCACTATTTGTTAATCACTCTCAGTTTTTCATTATCCTTTGTAGGACATCAATATAACTTAGCAATCATCAGCCCTCTGGCTGTTTTCCCAAATCACCACAAGTGAGATTTAAGTAATTGAGCCTCCAACTGTACCAGGTTCCATTGACCTCATATTACTCTCAGGATGGGGTCCTCCTTACCACCATCAGGGCAAAGAGTAAGCCAATCCACATGTCCATCTTAGAGCCTGCTTTCTCAGACTCCTCTCAGGGCCCCGTTTTGAGAAGCAGGTGCCAAGATGAGATTGGATGTGCAAGAAATTTACTGGGGGGAATGTCTGTGAAGGATAAAGGGGGCCAGACCAGGATTAGGCAGGGATAACTGTTTGCAGATATGACCTTTTGAAAGGAGAGGGAAGGGAGGATTGGGTAGAAAAGCCCCAGACCACAGCACAGTTCTGAGAAAGTTGTAGCCAGGCCAGTGGAGAGGGGAGTCCCACACAAAAGTTGTTCATTGGTACTAGGACAGGACTAGGCCCTAATACCCCAGCCATGTTCAGTCATTGGCCGAGAACAACCTAGGGGAAGCATGTTCTAAGCAGCTGTAGGAGCAGCAACTGAAGGCAATCCCCATGTGTCCTATAGCAGACTCTGTAAGGAGATCTGGGCTGCGCATCTTCATGGCCCACATTTGGTGGACTTTTTTTTTTTAGTTAACTTTTATTCTAAGTTCAGGGGTACATGTGCAGATTTGTTATGTAGCTAAACTTGTGTCATAGGGGTTTCTTGTGCAGATTATTTTGTCACACAGGTATTAAGCCTAGTACCTATTAGCTTATTTTTTTATTTAACTTTTAGGTGTATTTTAACATATTGAGAGATGAGAGAAGATCTGAAGTCCTGTGGGAAGTTTGGGAATAAATTAATGATGGCTGCATAGAAGACTAAACTTGACAAAAAGCAATTAGTATGAAAAATGAAAAGCTGTATAAGAAAGAAATAGGATCATAATTCACTATGGCTCAGTGGTGAATTATGTTTAAATAATCATAATAAGCAGGGAATTTAACCAAGAAAAATGTACCAAACTGATTTCATCAAAAGTCGCATTGGAAGGATAGGAAAAGGAAAGTGTGAACAGAGAAGTGGGCAGTAGAAGAGACCAAAATTCATATCTTCAGTAATATGAAGTCATTAGATAATTTTTATGAATTAAAATTGAAGAAATAATAGTATAAGATTATTTTAAAATATTACAGTAAACAATAAACATAACGACTACAATAATTGAAAGTATCTCCAGGGAACAGGAATCTGTGATGGGAAGGGTTTTAGCAGAGGACTGCTGGTTTTCTTTTTAAAGCTATGGTACTGTTGGAGTTTTTTAACTTTGTCAATGTTTGATTACAATATTAAAATTAAATTTTAAAAGGCAAATCAAGATCGTCCAATATTTAGTTGTACATCCTAATGAATGATACCAATTTTACGCAATTCTCAGGAATCCTGCTATTGCAGGAATATATTAATACTTAGGTTGTATATCTAGCTCATATTGATTAAAGGGACATGCTTTTACTCTCAGATTTCACTGGAAGTGTTTTAGCACGCAGAATTAAAAATATTACCTACCATGTCATTAAAATTTCAAGAGGAATGTTTTCAAGTCAGACAGTGGGGAGTTTTATGGGTTTTTAACTCACTTTCTGATAATACACACTTGGCTTTCGATTCACATGTGTCAGCTGTTATCAGCTGGCCATGTGCGTCACTGAGTTAGCTTTGTGGTATTATCTGTAGCCAAAGGAAACACAGAGGAAATCATTGCAGCAGCTCCACATATTTTAATCAGTTAGAAAAATCTGCTCCCCCACTGGTATTTTCACACATTTCCTCAACAGCAAGCCTATTCTATTATAGAAAAAAAGAAAAAGAAAAAGAAAACAAAAAAATTGTAATGGATTCTGATAGCTGCTAATTCAGCCTTAAAAACAGAATTTGTATAAACTCAATAATTCTGGAAAACCTTCGAGTTTCAAAATGTGCATAGATCTTTTCCATAATAGTGTAACTTACACTTTTGCTCAGAACCAGTTCCACGGTCTTCCCCTCTTTCTCCCACACTTGATCCAGGGAAAGACTCATCTTCCTGTAGGAAAAATCAAGCCCCCCTACCCAACCCCCCAAAAAAACAGGTCTTGTGGAAATCAATTTTATTAAAAAATGGTAGGCAATATCCATCATCATATATAACATGAATAAGTTCCTGCATAACACAAGGTGCTAGAATTGTTCAATTTAGTTTTCTATATCAAATTACTCTGCAATCTGAGCCCTTGCTCACCTAGGTAGGAAAGCAGCTGATCAATATCAGTCATTGGTACATACTTACTTCCACTCCCTTCAAGGGAGGGACTTTACAAGGATCCTAGGGCTGACAAGGTCCAGAGAAAAAGGGTGGGGGAGGGCAGGTTCTTATTCCATTGTGGTTGCCATCTTACCGTTCCTCATTTGAGTGCAGAACTCAGCCTGAGCACAATTCTCTTCCCCCATCTTTGAGAACTGGTAACATAGCAGCCCATAGAGAATCAGAGATGGGTCTGTCCCAGGTCCCTTCAGTGAGACATCTTCTCAACTACAGGTGCCAAGACTGCAGCTTCAAAGTTTTACCTTTACAAATGCCCTCAGGACAATCTTCCATGGGAATAATCAGCTCTTATTATTTTTTCTTTTTTCTGATAAGACTACTCCAATGGGGCGAGGAAGGGATTGTGTACAGGGATATTGCTCCTGTAAATTATTAATACCTTGCCCTGCCACACTTATTAAAATGCTTCCAGTTACTTGTTCAGTTTTTCTTAAGGTAATGAAAAGTAAGTGTATAAATGCTTATTTTCATGCCTGAAATAATTACAGTGATCCCTTGCCAACCATGGGGAGAAAAAGTTGCATGTGAAAAGTTCTGGGGCTGGCAGAATGGTTGGTTGACAATACTTCTTCGTGGAAAATAAAAGGTTTGACAGGAACAAAAAATTAAGGGCTAAATATATATAATACTTAAAAGCAGAGTAAATAAAAGTCTAGAATACGTCTTATCCAAAACAGGTCATATTTGTCATTGAAAACTTGTTCTGGCAGGAAGTCCTCTACCAGAGCACCTTTTGCATTTGTTCTAGAACTCATGTTGCTGTTCTGTGATCTGCTGGGGCATCCAGTTAAAAGGATTGAGAACCATTATCTACTGGCTTGAAATTTAATGTTTTGCATTTGCATTCTTTCTATACATAAACCCAAAGGCTCTGCCCTACACAGGTCTGGAAAGGCAACTGGGGGGCAGGCCCAAGATGGATGACTAGAAGCAGCCACAATTGGAGGCTTGCATCAAAAAGAAACAAAACAGCCTGCAAATCCTGTGCTGGCAACCGAGGTATCCAGGTTCTGTCATCAGCACTGACTAGGCGGCTGGCATGACCCACCAAGAGAAAGGAAGACCAGTGTGGTTCTGCGGCCTACCTGAGACCCACAAGGGTCAGGGGAGCCCCCACCCACCAGCCAAGAAGGCAGTGAGCAAGCATGCTACTCAGCCTGGGAAACCATGCTTTTCCCATGGAACTGTGCAATGGAAGATCCCACTCATGAGCCCATGCCACCCAGGTCTAGGGTCCCAACCATGAAGCCACATAGATTTTCAACAGCCACTCAGCTAGAATCTGCCTAAGCCTGCAGAGTTATTGGGGGAAGGGGCGGCCAGCACCACAGCTGCGGCTTCCCGCTGTCTAAGCCATTTGAGCTCCTTGAGGGAGGGATGGCAGCCAACACTGGGACTGCTAGCTGCCTAACACACTAAGCCCCCAGGGCAAGGGAAGGGCAGCAGCCATCTCCATAGCTCCAGGTCATGCTTTTCCCCTGCTGGAGCCAGGGAGGCTGGATGGCTTGGTCCCAAGAGGTATCCCCCACAGCCCAACACACCGGCTGTGGCAGACTACAGCCAGAGTGCCTCTTCAGGTCTGACCCTGACCCATCCCTCCTCACTGGGTGGGGCCTCACTGCAGGAACTCCAACAACTCCAGCCAGGGGCTCAGGGACAGAACCGTAATCTCCCTGGGCCTAAGCCCCTAGCAGGAGGGGTGGCCATAGTCTCCATGAACCAGCAGACTTAGTGTTTCCTCCTGCTAGTTCTGAGGAATACAGGAAGCCCAGATGAGTGGGTTTCCCCCACATGGCAGCACACCAGCCCCCTACCAAGGGACAGCCAAAGTGCTTCATTAATTGGGTCCTGCATTCCATACCACCTAACTGAGTGAGACCCTCCAACAAGGGTTGTCAGACACCCTGTACAGGAGCATTCCTACTGGAATCAGGTCAGTGCCCTTTGAGGTCAGAGATCCCAGAGGAAGGAGCAGGCACCCATCTTTGCTGTCCTCCAGCCTCCTCAAGTGACATCTCCAGGCATGGAAGTGAACCAGATGAATAGGGCCTGAAATGAACCCCAGGAAGCCACAGCAGCCCTACAGAAGAGGGACCTGACTATTGGAAGAAAAACAAACAAACAGAAAGCAAAACAACAGCATCAACCAAAAAAAATGTTCCCACAAAAACCTCATCCAAGGGTCAGCAGCCTCAAAGACTGAAACTAGACAAACTCATGAAGATGAGAAAGAATCAGTGAGGCCAGGCAAGGTGGCTCACGCCTATAATCCCAGCACTTTGGTAGGCTGAGGTGGGTGGATCACCTGAGGTCAGGAGTCCGAGACCAGCCTGGCCAACATGGCAAAACCCCGTCTCTACTAAAAATACAAAACAATTAGCCGGGCATGATAGCATGTGTCTGTAATTCCAGCTACTCAGGAGGCAGAGGCAGGACAATCACTTGAACCTGGAAGGCAGAGGTTGCAGTGAACCAAGATCATGCCACTGCACTCTAGCCTGGGCAACTGAGTGAGAGATTTTGTCTTAAAAAAAAAAAAAAAAAAAAAGAATCAACAACAAAAAAAAACTGAAAACCTAAAAAGGCCAGAGCGCCTCTTCTCCTCCAAATGATTGCAATACCTCTCCAGCAAGGGTGCAGAACTGCATGGAGGATGAGATGGATGAATTGACAGAAGTAGGCTTCAGAAGGTGGCTAACAACAAACTTCACTGAGGTAAAGGAGCATGTTTTAATCCAAAGAAAGAAGCTAAGAACCTTGATAAAAGGTTGCAGGAGCTGCTAACTAGAATAACCAGTTTAGAGAGGAACATAAATGACCTGATAGAGCTGAAAAACACAGCATGAGAACTTTATGAAACATACAAAAGTATCAATAGCCAAATCAATCAAGTGGAAGAAAGAATATCAGAGATTGAAGACCATTTGTTGAAATAAGACAGACAGACAAGATTAGAGAAAAAAGAATGAAAAGGAATAAACAAAATCTCTAAGAAACATGGGACTATGTAAAAAGACTGAACCTGTGATTGATTGTAGTACCTGAAAGAGGCAGGGAGAATGGAACCAAGTTGGAAAACACACTTCAGAATATTATCCAGGAGAACTTCTGCAACCTAGCAAGACAGGCCAACAATCAATTTCAGGAAAAACAGAATACCACTAAGATACTCCATGAGAAGATCAACCCCAAGACACATAGTCATCAGATTCTCCAAAGTCAAAATGAAGGAAAATATGTTAAGGGCAGCCAGAGAGAAAGGCCAGGTCACCTACAAAGGGAAGCCCATAACACTAGCACGGATCTCTCAGCAGAAACCCTAGAAGCCAAAACAGATTGAGGGCCAATATTCAACATTCTTAAATAAAAGAATTTTCAACTCAGAATTTCCTATCCAGCCAAACCAAGTTTCAGAAGCAAAGGAGAAATAAAATTCTTTTCAGACAAGCAAATGCTGAGAGATTTCGTCACCACCAGGCCTGCCTTGCAAGAGCTCCTGAAAGAAGCACTAAACACAGAAAGGAGAAACTTGTACCAGCCATTGCAAAAAAACACACTAAAATATAAAGCCCAATGACACTATGAAGAAATCACAGCAACTAGTGTGCAGAATAACGAGCTAGCATCATGAGAACAGGATCAAATTTACACATAACAATATTAACCTTAAATATAAATGGGCTAAATGGCCCATTTGAAAGACTCAGACTGGTAAACTGGATAAAGAGTTCAAGACCCATTAGTGTGCTGTATTCAAGAAACCCATCTCACATGCAAAGACATACCTAGGCTCAAAATAAACAGATGGAGGAAAATTTACCAAGTAAATGAAAAGCAAAAAAAAAAGCAGAGGTTGCAATTCTAGTCTCTGATAAAACAGTCTTTAAACCAACAAAGATCAAAAAAGACAAAGAAGGGCATTACATAACGGTCAAGGGATCAATGCAACAGGAAGAGCTAACCATCCTAAATACATATGCACCCAATACAGGAGCACCCAGATCCATAAAATAAATTCTCAGAGACCTACAAAGAGACTTAGACTCCCATACAATAAGAGTGGGAGACTTTAACACCCCACCGTCAATATTAGACAAATCAACGGGACAGAAAACTAACAAGGATATTCAGGACTTGATCTCAGCTCTGCATCAAGTGGACCTGAGAGATATCTACAGAACTCTCCACCCCAAATCAACAGAATATACATTCTTCTCAGTGCCACATGGCACTTATTCTAAAATTGACCGCGTAATTGGAAGGAAAACACTCCCCAGCAAATGCAAAAATACTGAAATCACAAAAGTGAGAGGACCTCACTCAAACAGTCCTGTTAAGAACCTCACTCAAAACGACACAACTACATGGAAATTGAACAACCTGCTCCTGAATGACTCGTGGGTAAATAATGAAATTAAGGCAGAAATCAGAAAATTCTTTGAAACCAATAAGAATAAAGAGAAAACGTGCCAGAATCTCTGGGACACAGCTAAAGCTGGGTTAAGAGAGAAATTTATAGCACTAAATGACCATATCAGAAAGCTAGAAAGATCTCAAACTGACATCCTAACATCACAATTGAAAGAATTAGAGAAGCAAGAGCAAACAAATCCAAAAGCTGGCAGAAGACAAGAAATAACTAAGAGCAGAGCAGAACTGAAGGAGATAGAAACAAACAAACAAACAAAAACCCTTCAAAAAAACCAATGAATCCAAGAGTGGCTTTTTGAAAAAATTAACAAAATAGATAGACCACTAGCTAGACTAACAAAGAAGAAGAAAGAGAAGAATCAAATAGACACAATAAAAAATGATAAAGGGGATATCACCACTGACCCCACATAAATACAAATTACCATCAGAGAATACTATAAACACCTCTACACAAATAAACTAGGAAATCTAGAAGAAATGGATAAATTCCTGGACACATACACCCTCCCAAGACTGAACCAGGAAGAAGTTGAATCCCTTAATAGGCCAATAACAAGTTCTGAAATTGAGGCAGTAATTAATAGCCTACCAACCAGAAAAGCCCAGGAACAGACAGATTCACAGCTGAATTCTACCAAAGGTAAAAAGAGGAGATGGTACCATTTCTACTGAAACCATTAACAATTGAAAAGAAGGGACTCATCCCTAACCCATTTTATGAGGCTGGCATCATCCTGATACCAAAACCTGGCAGAGACACAACAAAAAAAGAAACTTCACGCCAATATCCCTGATGAACATCAATGTAAAAATCCTCAATAAAATAATGAAAAACTGAATCCAGCAGCACATCAAAAAGCTTATCCACCACGATTAAGTCAGCTTCATCCCTGGGATGCAAGGCTGGTTCAAATACACCAATCAATAAACCTAATCCATCATATAAACAGAACTAATGACAAAAACTCCACGATTATCTCAATAGACGCAGAAATGGCCTTCAATAAAATTCAACATCCCTTCATGTTAAAAACTCTCAATAAACTAGGTATTGATGGAATATATCTCAAAATAATAAGAACTATTTATGACAAACCACAGCCAATATCATATCAAATGGGCAAAAGCTGGAACCATTCCCTTTGAAAACCGGCACAAGGCAAGGATACCCTCTCTCACCACTGCTATTCAACATAGTATTGGAAGTTCTGGCCAGGGAAATCAGGCAAGAGAAAGAAATAAAGTGTATTCAAATAGGAAGACAGGAAATCAAATTGTCTCTGTTTGCAGATGATATGATTCTATATTTAGAAAACCTCATCATTTCAGCCCCAAAACTCCTTAAGCTGATAAGCAACTTCAGCAAAGTCTCAGGATACAAAATCAATGTGCAAAAATGACAAGCATTTCTATACACCAACAATAGACAAGGAGAGAGCCAAATCATGAATGAACTCCCGTTAACAATTGCTACAAAGAGAATAAAATTCCTAGGAATACTCCTAACAAGGGGAGTGAAGGACCTTTTCAAGGAGAACTACAAACCACTGCTCAACGAAATAAGAGAGGACACAAACAAATGGAAAAAAAATCTATCTTCATGGATAGGAAGAATAAATATCATGAAAATGGCCATACTGCCCAAAGTGATTTATACATTCAATGCTATTCTTGTTAAACTATCATTGACATTGTTCAGAGAATTAGAAAAAACTACTTTAAATTTCATATGGAACCAAAACAGAGCCCATATAGTCAAGACAATCCTAAGCAGAAAGAACAAAGCTGGAGGCATCACACTACCTGACTTCAAACTATACTACAAGGCTACAGTAACCAAAACAGCATGTTACTAGTACCAAAACAAACATATAGACCAATGAAACAGAACAGAGACCTCAGAAATAGCACTACACATCTACAGCCAACTGATCTTCAACAAACCTGACAAAAACAAGCAATGGGGAAAGCATTCCCTATTTCATAAATGGTGCTGGGAAAACTGGCTAGCCATATGCAGAAAACTGAAACTGGACTCCCCTTCCTCATACATTATACAAAAATTAACTCAAGATGGATTGAAGACTTAAATGTAAAATCCAAAATCATAAAAACCCTAGATGAAAACCTAGGCAATACTATTCAGGACATAGACATGGGTAAAGATTTCATCACAACAAAGCCAAAAGCAATTCCAACAAAAGCTAAAATTGACAAATGAGATCTAATTAAACTAAAGAGCTCCTGCAGAGCAAAAGAAACTATCATCAGAGTGAGCAGGCAACCTACAGAATGGGAGAAAATATTTGCAATCTACCCATCTGACAAAGGTCTAATATCCAGAATCTACAAGGAACTTAAACAAATTTACAAGAAAAAAAAAAACCCCATCAAAAAGTGGGCAAAGGATATGAACAGACACTTCGCAAAAGAAGGCATTTATGCAGCCAACAAACATATGAAAAAAAGGTCAACATCACTGATGGTTAGAGAAATGCAAATCAAAACCACAGTGAGATACCATCTCACATCAGTCAGAATGGCAATTATTAAAATGTCAAGAAACAACAGATGATGGCAAGGCTGTGGAAAAATAGGAACGCTTTTACACTGTTGGTGGGAATGTGAATTAGATCAACCATTGTGGAAGTCAGTGTGATTCCTCAAGGATCTAGAACCAGAAATACCATTTGACCCAGCCATCCCATTACTGGGTATATACCCAAAGGAATATAAATCATTCTACTATAAAGATACATGCACACGTATGTTTATTGCAGCACTATTTACAATAGCAAAGACATGGAACCAACCCAAATACCCATCAGTGATAGACTGGATAAAGAAAAAGTGGCACATATACACCATGGAATGCTATGCAGTCATAAAAAGGAATGAGATCATGTCCTTTGCAGGGACATGGGTAAAGCTGGAAGCCATCATCCTCAGCAAACTAACACGGGAACAGAAACCCAAACACCACGTGTTCTCACTCATAAGTGGGAGTTGAACAGTGAGAACACATGGACACAGGGAGGGGAGCAACAAACACTGGGGCCTGTCATGGGAGAGGTGGAGAGGAAGAGCATCAGGACAAATACCTGATGCATGTGAGGCTTAAAACCTAGATGACGGGTTGACAGGTGCAGCAAACCACCATGGCACACATATACCTATGCAATAAACCTGCACATTCTGCACATGTATCCCAGAACTTAAAGTAAAATAAAAATTTTTTTAATGAAAGGCAATGGAAAAAATAGTAATATATATAATATATATTTCACACACACACACGCAGACATATATATACTTCTACAATGCTTGAAGTGGTAGGACTGTCACATTTCTTTATTTTTCTAAATCAAATACCTGACACTAAACTTCCACTCACCAAAGATGGCAATAATTACATCTTTTATTACTGGTCCTCCCTTATTCCCTTTTATAAAATGCTTATGCATTTTTATAAATTATCAAGGTGATTAAGAAGTATTATTTCCCCAGACTAGCCTCTCATACATTTGTTGAAAGGATAAAATTTAAAAGATCTTTTCTCTGCATGATCCCCAAGAGGCCTACCCCCAGGTCTAAAGAGGGAAGAGTAATTTGGGTGTGGGGGGGCACTTGTATTTTTTTGCTGCATAAGGGTCCTCTGAAGCACCTGTTAAGATGTGAATGTTTGGCATCTATCCCTGGAGAGTATGATTCAATAGGTCTGGGGCAGGGCCCAGACATTTGTATTTTGTGTGTTTATGGAGTTTAATAAGTAATTTTAATAGACAACTTTAGGAACAACTATAAAGGACTAAACTAAATCTTGTGTTTGTGAAAGATCTCAGATTTTTTCAATTGCTATAAAAATTTAAATCACTATTAATGAACTCTAGTGGTCCGAAAACTGTGGTTGTCAGATTACTGTAATTTTATGAAATGTATATATTTTTGAGCCCTCCACTTGTTTTCATTGTGGTAAAATACACATAACAAAAAATTTGCCATCTTAACGATTTTTAAGTATACAGTTTAGTGGCATTAAGTACATTCATATTACTGTGCAGCCATCACCATCTTCCATCTCTAGAACTTTTTAATCTTCCTGAGACTCTGTATCTATTAAACACTACTACCTTCCTATTCCCCCTTCCCCTGGACCTTGGCAACCACCATTGTATTTTCTATCTCTATGAATTTTGATTACTTAGAGTGCATGGAATTATACAGTATTTATTACATGGAATATAATTATGATTACATGGAATCATACAGTATTTATCATTCTGTGACTTGCTTATTTCACTCAGTATAATGTCCTCAGGGTTCATCCACGTTTTAGCATGTATCAGAATTTCCTCTCTTTTAAGACTGGGTTATATGCCATGTACCACACTTTGTTTATCCATTCATCTATCAGTGGACACTTGGGTTGCTTCCACCTTTTGGCTATTGTGAATAATGCTGCTATGAACATGGGTGTGCAAATATCTGTTCAAATCCCTGCTTTCAATTCTTTGGTGCATATACCTGGAAACTGAATTACTATAATGCTCACAATACTCTTAAGAAGATAGAAGAATGCCTATTTATTTTATCCTAAAATTCCTAAAACATAAATTTAATTCTGATTTTCTAAAGTGACAAATGTAAAACTGACCTTACATTTGTGAGTTTCTGCTCTACTTGCTCCTTCCACTCAGGTCTCCACATCTAAGTTTGTTTCTATTTCTTCCCATCTTCAACATGCTTTTCCGTGACAAGTACACCATCCCCATGACTTCAATCATTTTCTCTTCCTTGTGGTTTCCAATTTCACCATCAAGGGTTGTTTCCTTCAATTCTTATTGCCTGATCAGCCATATCTTCATTAGTAGGTAAACTATCTCCCAGGAATGTTGTTCTCCCAGGAGAACCATTTTTTCTTCTCCTAGACCTTCGATGTGTCTGGTTCTATAGACTCTTTCTACAAAGGCTATAACTGCTTAAGTCACCCCTACCTTTAAGACCAAAAACGCTCAAGCCCGTGTCCCTTTTAATGGCCCACCAGACCTATTTCAAATGCAGAACACTGGCATGTGCAGGCACATGCACACATAGAGACTTGGCCTTTGCTCTAATTCACACACAGGAAGGTATGTTCTCCCTACACTTCCCTAAGTAGTAGAAACAGTAACCAGGAAAATGGTCCTAGTTCTCAACCCAGAGAGAAAAACAGGCCTTGAAGGAAAACACTGAAAACAAAAACAGGGCTATCTCATTTCCCTTGCCCCTACATTACCTAGATAACAAATGTAGTCCTAAACACCATTACTACCCCGGCCAATGAACTCACATGCAGACACACACACACACATACACCTTTCATGGTAGCAGGCTGTTGCAGTCTCTCCTTCCTGTCTCAACTGCAATAAGTCCTTGGCTAGCTCCTTTTGTGTCCTGCCTGCTACCTATTGCAGAAGCAGTTGAATCACCTGCTCTAACTGACCAAGAGCCAAATGGTCTGAGGCTGTTTGAAGTCTCAGGACTTCCACGTACCAGACATTATTAAACATACTTCAAAAAAATCTACTGGAGTCCCCAAAGACAGACTATAGAATCAAAAGTTTCCTCCTCAGTAAACTGTGCCCAGAAATTAGTTGTTGGACTTTCCATGGCTCTAGAGCTGTGATGGTGGTAGGGACTGCACAGTTCCGTCCAGATTAAGCTTCACATGAGCCTCTGTCTTCAGCTGACACATGCAAAACAAGTGCCCTTTGGAACAAAATAGTACATTTCTTATTAAAGTGGCAGGTGGTGGGGATTTTTTCTTTACACAGTCATAAGGAAATAGGAGAATAGGCCAAATTTTTAAAAAGTAGGAGAAAAACCCTAGATTTTTAAATAGGAACCCTTCTATACTTCACCACGCACCCAGATGAAATGGCTTCTTTCTCACACTCTCTGCACCTTTCCTGCTAAACTACACCAAAAAAAAAAAAAAAAAAGTCTTGAATTTCTTGCTCCATGACTATATTTCCACAGCAGCATTGACCCTATTCTGCCAAGGCATTAATTTAAAACAAAAGAAAACCAAAAAAACCCAGGAAGGTATTATTAAGTATTAAATCTATTAAATAGTTTATTGAAGAAATCATGTTTTGATGGTGGTGCAGTGAAACTGGCAGTTTTATACATTGCTAATTGCATTCTAAATATGTACAATCATTTCCAAAAGCAATTTAGCTATATGTATCAAGAACCATAAAAAATATGTTACACTTTAACTTTGAAATCATGCTTCCTATTAATATAATCTAAATTGAGTAAAAAATTATTTTCTATGTGTATATATATGAATATATATTTATAGTAGTGATATTTTAATAGAAAATAAAAGAATATCCAACATAAGAGTAATGTTTAAGCAAGTTACACTACAAATATGTAAAGATTGTTGCTATTTCTACCTTTATAAATAAAGTTGTAAAAATGCAGCCAATGCAAAAAGGTGCTTGAATTATACAACTACAACTATGTAAAAAATCTGCACAAGGCAAATACCTGTAAGGATGGACAGAAAAATGTACACAACGGTGTGTTAAGGTAGTCACACTGTGTTCTTCCTTATATTTGAATAGTTTGTAACATTTTTGCATTATTTTTACAATGAAAGATATCTAGCATGTTTAAGTAATTGGCATCATGTGGCCATATAAAATCATTATTAAAACAGCTTTACAATGACTATCAAAATATTTACTCTAACACATAGAGTTTCTCTAATACGTTTTAGTTTGCTTTAAATGCATATATATTATTTTTCTCATTTGGAACTCATCTATGATGATTCTAAATGCTCTTAGATTCTAAATGCAAAAACCTAATGCATTTACTCCATTTAGTCTGCTAAGCCAGCTATTTTATAGTCTGGTGCCCCACTGGATGTCTCAAATGTGTGCAAATACAACGGATTTCCAAGCTTACTCAATTTCTAACCATACATCTTGACAGAGGCTTGATACTAATGAAATGGTTCTGACTGTGTAATTTTCAACAGGGCCAAACGAAATCTTCACAAGCTATATAGCTGTGATGCTTTTATCTCTATATACATGTGAGAACAAATACTAACCAGCAATGGAAAATATGAAAAATTTAAAAAGAGTCTAGTGCAGAGGCTAGAGATTTAGTTTCACTGATCATGTTCTGGACAAAGCAATGTGAAAGATGTACACTGGTTGAGAAGCACTTGTATTTATTTGCAGATAGTTTTTAAAATTAGTATCATTTCAGAACAAATGCATGCAATGTCTCATTCCTGTTTGCAGATATTGCTAATGAAAGCTGCATCCAGATCAGAGCATTACATAAGGACAGCAGATGAACCAAAGTTCCATGGGGTAGCAATTTAGGGAGAAGGGGAAAGAGTTGCAAAAGCATGGCAATATGAACTCCCTTTTATCACCTACTCCTTCCCCATCTCCTACCTGAGCTAAGGAGGAGCTCAGAGAGTGAGGAAAGTTCCCTATAGCCTGTGAATGAGTTTCAAAGCTCTCTGGTCACCTTTCTCTTTTGTGAATGAGTTGTCACTCACAGAAAAAAAAAAGAAAAAAAAACAATAAGAAATGTTTGTGTCCAAAACATGCTGCAGGGGGAGTTTCAACAAGTTCCCGTCTCTTTCCTTTTTGCTAGTGAGAAGCTTGGTAGAGACCAGTTTGATATTTCCAGGCCTGCTGATGCCCTACCTTCCGTTCACACAGCCGTTGAATCACCAGGCCTCAGACAAAATGAGGAAGTGTTCTTTCTCCATGTCGTCTCAGCAGTAGTCACTGAATTTTTCTGCCACTTCAATCTGTATATTTTGTGGTTTTATGATGTTTAATATCATGGTTTTATCTAAAATCCTGTTGTTGATTGTTTCTAGAATTTTTCCAGGAGCTAATTTAAATTTGTTGTCAAAAGCTTCCCATCACATGAAGTCAATACTGATCAATAATCACAGTTGGAAGGGACTTCACAAATAGCTAGCAGAAGACTCGTCATGTTACAGATAACAAATCTAAAGTCCGAAGAAGTCAGACAGCTGGCTTAGTTTCTGTAAGTTATAGTATCTAACTTAATAGGGTCACAGGATCTGAGAGTTAAAATTATCCTTACGTTAATCAATTTGATCAAATAAATATTTTAAGTTTCTGTAGAGCAAAGAAAAAAGAAACTCAAAGACAAATTCAAGAGGTAAAAACATTTCAAGAAATAATTTGCAACACAACAAAGGTTTATCTCCTATAATAAAGAGTTCTTTAAGTCAATAAGAAAAAGACCAACAGCCCAGTAAAAAATAATGGGCAAAACATTTAATTTAGCAACTTGCCATCATACTGGGAATTCCCTTTCCTGCTCCTCTGTGGTGAAACTCCTGTTCCCTGGATCCTCTTTCTTCCTTATTTCCAAGGAGTACATTCTCCAACAGGTTCCTGAGAAAGTTTTTAGACCAATTAGAAGAGAGGTAACTGTTTTAAGATCTTAGGGGTCTAAAAATATCTTTTTTATGCCATATATTTGATTGAGGGTTTTGCCGGGCACAGATTTCCATGCTTGAAAGAAATAATACACATAAATTGAAATATTATTTTTATGTCATTCTTAACCAAATTACTTATTAATGGGATCTGTTTAATGTTGGGCACTGCACAATTTCTCAAGCCTTGGACTTAGAATGAATACTGCCACCCTCGTTTCCTGTTCCCAGATAATTTTCACAGGGTATTTACTTGCTTTTAATTTCATCAACTCAGATTTGCAAAGATAACATCATTGAAAGGAACATAGCTCAATCTAAAGACAGAACTATAAAATGAACTACTTCCATTTAGTATCTCAAAAAGTATCTAAAAGATATCAATGTCACTATATTTTTGTTTGTTTGTTTGTTTGTTTTATTATACTTTAAGTTTTAGGGTACATGTGCACATTGCACAGGTTAGTTACATATGTATACATGTGCCATGCTGGTGCGCTGCACCCACTAACTGGTCATCTAGCATTCACTATATTTTTCTCAATAATTTTAAAATTCCAGGGGTTAGGGTTAGGGTTAAGGTTAGGGTTTGGGGTCAGGGTCAGGATCAGAATTAGAGAAAATAAAGAAAAAACTTTTTTCAATTCCCATGGCACCCACCCTATGAATTTGCTCTTGTGCCCTAGGGCTGACCTCTGTGCAAGGTTTGAGAACATCAGCTCTGACCTTTAGGGAAAAAGCAAAGTTAGATCACTTTATTACGTATGTATAGTATGAGCACATGTATGTGTATATATATACTAAGTACACATATATGTATGAATGTGTGTGTATACACACACATGCAAATATCTGCCATTTATCTGTGTATGTGTGTATACACACTATATATACAAACATGTGTCACATAAATTTACATACTTTAAAAATTACAGTCTTATATACATCAAAATGATGGTGATTATCTCTAAGTGGTAAAAATTATGGGTGATTCTTGCTTTCTTCTTTATGCTTTTTATGTTTACACTTCCCATGAGGTTCAATTTTATAACCAATGAAAGCAGTGAAGCTCCATTTTGAGCAAAAGCTCCATTTTGCTTAAAAATTAAGCACACAGACCCAAGTTCCAACTAGCTTCTTTTAATAAGGAAAGCAAGTTTGGAACTTATTCAAAAAAACAATTTTTCTGCTGAAAATGCATTTGAACCATTGTAAATAATCATATTAGAGACAGATTAGGGTAAAATAGCACTATTCTATAGTTCAACTAAGAGCTGAGAAAAAGACTTTCTCTCATTCAAAGATCAGATATTTTTTAAAGCATGAGATCAAAGTAAAAACACTCTTAAAAAAGAAAAGAAATACAACCTCTTCCAAAAATAGATACAAGCCCACAACACATACCTCAAATGTATTGTCATGAAGCTGATGAAAACTTTAAACTGTCCTCCTGGATAGGAGAACTTAATGAAAGAACCACCTCTGTAAATGCTAGAACTTAGGTGGAAATGGAAGGGGAAAATAAGACCATCACAAAAATGAATGTCACATTTAGATATCACGGAAAGGAGGACAGATAGAACAAATTCAAGGACCTGAAGAACAAGCTTGAGAATACTGTGCCAAACCAAAAGAGTTTAAAAGGACTAGAGAGGAAAGTAAAGCTATGGAAGGAAGACAGACAAAAGAAATGAAGTATACATTTATTTAGGGTCCATGAAACAGAAAACAATAAGACCCAGAAAGGTACTCAAAAATATAACTTAAAAATCATTTTTAAATAAATATTTGAATCTACAAATTCAAATGTCACATGATGTTTCAGCAAAAATGCATGAAAGCGATCAAACTGGTAATGTATCTTTTCTGGTGAATATATAAAATTTCAAAGATAAAGGAAGAATCTGGTCATCTATAAGGGAAAAAAATCAGATAAATTTCAACTTTCTGTCAAGTCTTCAGGGAAATGATTATGCACTTCAGAGATTTTTATAGTTCTCCAGGCATAAAGTTTTCCCCAGGCATAAAGTGTTCTCCAGGCATAAAGAGACAAACAGTAGACATTTTCAAACATGGATGAATTTAAGAACTATGGTCCCGTGAAGACTTCTTAAAGAAACAAACTTCAACCATTCAATAAAAGGAAGAAGAAGCTATGGCAAAAGTGGAGGCAGTGAACATGAATCCATTTGAATGTAGAACTGCTGTGGCCATGGCAGTGACAGGTCAGTCTGTGGACTCCATTGGCCATGCCATGTACAGAGGACTCATCCAAATAGGAAGGTGGTTGTGAGGGAGGGTGAGGGGTCAGGGGAAGAAGGGATAATTGTTGTTTAAAACAAGTAACTCATGTACAGTCTAAATAATGCTCTGTGTAGCTATGTTATGCTATTAAAAATACCTATTAGAAACCAAAGACTATATCTTTTAGAGAAAATAAATAGAAAGGTAATAAAAGAAAAAGAGATCACAGAGTAAAACATGGTGTACTGAAAAGCTAAGTTTGAAACAAAGCGGCATGGGAAAGTTGAAAGAATCAATAAAGACCTACCTGGCAAATACAAAATGAAGCAGGGTCAAGATAGTGATATCAGACAATGTGGAATTCAACTCACAAAGTGCAAAATATGACAAAGAGAGGTACTTTGGAACAATTCCTACAACCCACAATAAAAATCTAACAGTTATGAGTATTTGTGCACAAATAATAAAAAAATTCATAGAAACAAGAAATACAAAAAGAAACACAGAAACACAAGTAAATATGGGAGACGAAGTCATCTCTTCATGATACAGATTAAGTAGAAGAAAAAATAATGAGCCAAATGACCTAATCAATAAGATAGATACATTAATTTAAATCAAACTCAACGCACTTTTCAATTACACATTAAACATATTCAAAATTGACCATATGTCAAACCACAAAAAAAAGAATAAATTCCTGAAAGTAAAAATCATGTAGATAACATCCTCTACTACAACAAATATAGAAATTAATCACAAAATTAGAAAAACAAAATATACTGCTACATGTAAGTTTAATTTCTCTCTAACACAACTTTTGCATCAAAGGAAAAACTCTAAATCAAAATAGTAAGGCATCTAGGAAATACCAGTAGTTCAAATACCACATAATAGAAATAATAGGATATGGCTAGAGCAGAGAGAAATGTATGTATTTAAATACTTATATATCTAAATAATTAAGATTACAACTAAGTTTATAAGACATTTAAATTAAACAGTTGTAAAAAAACATAAAAGAAAGGAAACAAGAATTAAAACAAAAATAATGAAATAGAAAATAGCAGAACTAATAGAGAAATAGAAGAGTTCAGTCTTTGGAATAAAAAATACATTTCATAAACTATTAGCTAAGCTAATTAAGAAACCTAGAAGGAGGCATAAGCAACAAATAAAAATGGGTGGCAAGTTTTACCACAAGGTCTTGTACATAAAGATGTTCAGTGAATATTTGCTGAATGATTAAAGGAAATAATTAATGAAGCCATCTCAAGGCTGCAGTGAACTATAATTGCACCTGTGAATAGCCACTGCACTCTAGCCTGAGCAACACAGCAAGATCCATGTTTTTAAAAAAAAGCTCTATTCGATTTTAAATTTTTTCACATTACTATATTTCATTCAGTTCTAAGATTCACATTTTAATAATTCATTCAATTCTAAGTTTCACATTTTAATATCTTTGAAATTGAGGCTTATCTTGCTATTGATTGTATCTGACAACAGCTGCGGATAAATTTGGTTATTTCTGGTGACATGACTGCATGACCACAATCCCTTCACATTTCCCGCAACAACTATTTCAAAACCATTTCAGGAAGAAATATGAATCTTGCTCGTTGACTGAGCATCTTCCATGGCCACCTTCTGATAAGCTAAAGACAGTGTCATCATCAAAACTTGGAGAACAGGTATCACTGATTTGGAAGAAAATCCAGAAGGCAATCGTATTGTTTTAGGAAGTGCCGTATGTTATCTCTTGGTTGGTACAGGCAAAAATATTGTGGAGAAAAACATGGTATCAATGACTTTGCCTTGAAAAGTAAATTAGAAAATTCAGACATTGGATGTGTAGTCTCCAGAGACTATCTGCATTTCATGGTCTCCAGTTTGTTAGCTTGGTCTCTGTTGGAACATTTCTGATGTGTTAATGTGCCTCCTACAACAAGAACACCAAGTGGCTCTTCTATTCCTCCTCCCCTATTCTATAGCCCTTCTCTGACACTCAGCTCTGTGGCTGGCACTCTGCATCCTCTTAACAGACCCCAGAAACTGACGGCCTAAGCCCAGGATTTCCAAGTCTCACCAGGCTTTGTGTCTCCATAGCTGAGCTCCACTCTACTGGTGTAATAAATTACCATTTCATTGATGTTCTTATATCAAACTGTTTTCCAGAATTGTGATTGGAGATGACAGTATTTGGGGGGTACCAGTCCTAGCCACACCTTCTCCATGATCTGGACTCCTCAATATTACACTAGATGAAATTCACTAGTCTTGTGAATTTATCAAGACATGATTCTTTGCTCCAGCAAACAGAACAACAGGAAGGAATCCACGTTTGACACACCCACACATCACGGGGGTGAAAAGAAAGCCCCCAAAAAGGATTAAAGCTATTTGGGTTTTCTAGTTCTAAGCACTGATACTTTGGATCATATTTTTTAGCATTTTAAACAGTAATCAAACATTAAGTTTTTAACATATATTTCAATTTATTTTGAGAAGTTGAAACCAAAATAATGGGTTATAAGGGCTGTAATTTTTATGGCAAACATCAAACAAATAATGAATAAAGCTGAACACTTCGGTAACAATGTGATTAGCATTTAATCATAAACTCCATCTGGAAGAAGTCCCAAATCTTAGCAATAAGCTAAGATTTATTAACAAGAGCTCTATGGAGGACAAATAAGTGTATATTAATAAAACAATGGTAACTATTCTTTGATTATTACAGGAATTATTGTGCTGGCATAGTGTCATTAAATACACTATCAGTGTAGTCTATTTAATTCTTTCTATGTAGGAATTACTAATCTAATTCATATGTTTTTAGTGGGAGGGAAAAAAATTTGATGCAGCATTTTTGCATTTGAAATGTCTGTTATAGTTTAAAATGATCACACCTTTTGGCTCAACAATTCTATCCCTAAAAATATACCCAGCAAAAAAAAAAATACCCAGCAAAAAAAATTACTTACTGTACAAAGATATATGTTCAATGACATTCACTGTAATATTTCTTGTAAAAGTAAAAATTTAGAAATAACCCAAATGGCACTCAATAAGGGATTGGTTAAACAGATATAGCACATTCATTCAATGAAATACTAGGCAGTAAATAAAAAAGAATTAGTAGGTCTTTATGTTCTGACACGAAAAGGTGTCCAAAATGTCCAAAAGAAAACAAGGGATAATAACAGAACAGTACGTATGCTATGATTCACATTTTTATTAAAAATAGATATTCCATAGCTGGGCTCAGTGGAGCGTACCTGTAGCCCCAGCTGCGCGTGAGGCTGAGAGGCTGAGGTGGGGGGATTGTTTGAGGCCAGGAGTTCAAGGCTGCAGTGAACTATGATTGCACCTGTGAATAGCCAAACGGCACTCTAGCCTGGGCAAAGTAGCAAGACCCATATTTTTTAAAAAATAGTCCTTTTAGATATTTAAATATAGACATACTATTACTGATAAATTGGGTTATGAGCAGTATCATAACTGAGCAGTATAATACCTATTTTGCTTTCTGTGTTTTACAATGTGTTAGTGTTTTCTACATTTACATTATCATTAGAACAAGAAAAAACAAAGATTCACAAATATTTTAAGATTCTGTCCCATTTGCCTTCACTATAGCATTTTCCTATAACTGATGTCCCTGAGAAGAAAACTGGGCAATGTTGCCAGCATGGAACAATTCAGAAAATGTCACTGCTCTATGCAAACCCCCTGTTACAGGTGAAACTGTCTGCCTCTGACATATTCATATGTTGAAGTCCTTACCCTCAGTATTTCATAATGTGACATTATTTGGAAATAAGGCTGTGGAAGCTATAATTAGTTAACATGAGGTCACTGGGGTGAGCCCTAATCCAATATAACTGGTGTCTATAGAAAAAAATGGGGAAATTTATACACAGACAACCACAGAGGGAAAACATCATATGAGATGAAGGCAGAGATAAGAGTGATGTTTCTACAAGGAACGCCAAAAATGATCAGTAAACAACAAGAAGCTGGGTGAGAAGTATGGAATAGATTGCCTCTCACTGCCCTCAGAAAGAATTCTGCCTCCAGATGCAGAAGAGTTTCCAGACTTAAGATTGCAATATCAACTCTGACCTGAATCTCCAGCTTGCCCGTCATACAAATCTAGGACTTGCCAGCTCCCTCAATTGAAAACTAAATCTCTCTCATCTCTCTCTCTCTCTCTCTCTCTTTCCCTCCCTCCCCACCCTATTGATTCTGTTTACCTGGAGAACCCTATAATACACCTGCCTCCATTTCTAATGAATTGATTCAAACTCTGTAACTTTCCATTCAAGATCTCTCTCACCTGGCTCCAGGACCACCCTTCCCCTAGACATTCACTGGCCTATACAACCTAGCCAGGTAGAAATATACCATGCTTTGTCACCTTCGTATTTTTGTTTACACATTTATCTCCACTCAGCACATAAAACATCATAGTATGTGAAATTAGCAAGACAAATCATGAAACAATTATGGTCCTTTTGTGCTTTTAATAACCATAATATTGATTTCACAGAATTTTATCCTCTCCTTAAAAAGTTGGTAAGAACGTACCCTCTAAAAACGGTAGCCCTTTAAAATATGCCTTACATAGTATAAAAGAATTATCCAACTCTTCAGGTGTCTCTCTTTCCCCCTTTTTCAACAAATGTCCATATGGCTCTTCTCAGTCTGCAAAAACCCTGCCAATCATCCTAACATACTCAGATCTTTCCTCCTTTCCTGATTACTTTATATCAGAGTCTCTCAACCTTGGAATTATTATTGACATTTTGGGCCAGATAACTATTTGCCAGGGGCTGGGGCTATCTTCTGCATTGTAGGATGTTTAGCTTCATCTCGCTTCTCACTAGATGCCAGTAGCATACCTTCCACCTTACCCACCTCACCAGTTTTGACAATCAAAAATATCTCCCAAAATTGCCAAATAGCCCCTAATGTGCAAAATAGCCCGATTGAGAACTGCTGATGAATATAGTACTCACACTTTCCCTTGGGCCACAATAACATCAAGGGCCTCATTCTGCATTGCCAGCAAAAAGCTGTCACCATCGTTTATTTCCCCACCTTGCTTTTTCCACCAGGTGAATGACGGGAAAAACCAGTATCAGAAATATCAGGAGATTTTATAAATAAATAGAATAGATTAATCTTCTTGTTCTTTGGTTGAAGAAGAATTATGCAGTATAGCTGTTATGTTAATACTGTTATGTCTTAGAGGAGGGAAACAATTATAAAAGATAAATGTATTTTTGTTCTATTATTTCACTGGTTATATGTTAAAGAAAATGAACTTAGTATGAAAATCGCTCTCCCTGAACTTCAAGAGCTCCATAATGAAACCCAGTGATTCACCCTTTCTCAGTGAAGAATGGACTTCATAATCAAATGAAGAAAAAGCAGTTCTTCAAAATGAACAATAGTGCATTGCAGTGAAGCAAAATCCAGCACATGAAATGCAGATAACCTGCTCTAACACTTGCATGCCATTGGCTGCTGGTGTGCAGCCAAAATTTAACTGTCACCCTTGGAAGAACTGAGGAGTGAAGTCAACTCTTGATTTTCCACACTAATGGAAACAAATGTGTCTGACCTAGAAGGTCATCAATCTCCATCCATGAACGCAAGTGGGTGAGAAATATTTTTATTTCATTCAATCTAATTTTTCTGTCAAACCCTGATGCTAGGGCAAGGGTAGGAGGTTGTGAACATTCTACTGCTCTCACAACACTGTCTGGGAATTTTGCCACTTCCCTGGGTTTCTGCCAAGAATGGGCCCTCCGCCCATTGGTCACAGGGAACGACAGAGGGAGGGATAGGAACACAGGCCCGCGGGCCAAAGCCTGTGCCCCCTCCACATGCCCGCACCACTATGGCCCCCTCAATCTTGCTGCCCTTGCCACATTCCTAAGGACCCACCCTCCACGGTGTAGCCACACTTAAGCAGAAGTGGGAGCAGCCCCAGGAAGCTTCCTTCTAGGGCTGATCCAGCAGGGAATCCAGGTGGGATTGAGGGGACGCCTCTCCTTGGCCCCACAGAACCCGAGGGAGAAGCCTCCAGGGGCTCCAAGGTCCTTGATGGAACTGGGGCTCCCTCTTTGAAACCCATCCAAACGCACTGCCACCACATCCTCCCTGTTCCCTCTTTTCCCCTTCCTTTTCTATATAAACCCCTGGGAATCTTTTCCTCTCCAGAAGGCGAAAGCAACAGTCACCCTTGATGTTTCTCTTATATAATTTGGCTCTACCCAGAGACTCTCTATTGTCCTAAAGGAGTGAGCTTTTTGCCAGGAAGTTTCCTGAATTTGGGGAGTGTGGGGGAGTTGTTTCATTTGTTTTCTGTTGTCTACCATGTCATATCCTTTCCCTGAGATACTGAGTGGAAAGCAGCTTTGCTGCTTAAACAGCAAGGAGATTAATCAGTAGGAGGGAAAAGAGATGTATGTTTCTAAAAACATCATAATCAAAATATTGTAGGTGTATGTATTATTATTTGATTATGAGTCTATATTTGATAATGACTGATGTTCAGAAAATAGACAGAATAATGAAACATTATTCATTACTAAACTTTTCTATTACTTCTACCCAAACATCTTCATGCATTTCATTTGAATTAAAAAATATGGTAGTGCTGCTATTGTGTACATAGAAATTGAGAAGTCTATAGGCAATAAATCATATATTATGTGGGTAATTCCAATAAGAGGATATAAAAATCCTGAGTACTGCATTCTCCCAGTATTTATGCCAAGGGAAGACACAGATGTGTGCTGTTAAATGAAGATCCTAAACACTAATTGCATCTCCTGTATTCCTGATCTTCTAGGATTTCTACCAGAGCAGGACAAATTTGGGTCCTAGAAGGCACTATTAAGACAGATTTCCTATCTTCTGCCAGGCAACTGCTGTTGCCACCATAAGGCAATCATCTTGGGAACTCATTAATTCTGTTCCCTGTATACCTGGAGTAGGATTTCTTCCAAATGACTTTATCAGTTAAGTTTCTTTGGCTGTAAGCAACAAAGATCTTAAAATGCTAGCTAATTTAAGATTAAAGAAAATGTATTGATTGGCACAGCTGAAAATTCTAGAGTTGGAATGGTTTCAATCAAGCTTGATTACGACCTCATCCTTAGGGGCTGCCTGATGCTTCCTGACATCCTCAGTTTCTCACCTGAGGCAGCAGAAGAGCTAGCTAGCTAGCTAGCTAGCTAGAGCTAGCTTCCCAAGTAGTTCAAAGAAAAGACCAGACGTTTAAACCTGGGTCTTGTGCTGAACCACCCACTGTGATCATAGGACTCTAACCACAGCGACAGTCTGAGGTGGAGGCTGGCAAACTTTTGCCATAGAGGACCAGATAGTAAATATTTATGGCTTTGCAGGCCACATGGTCTCTGTCACAACTACTGACCTCCACCATTGTAGAGCAAAAGCAGCCATGCATAAATGGATTAGCATGGCTAAGTTACAATAAAACTTTATGGGCACTGAAATTTAGATATTATTATTTTGATTTTTGTTGAAGCCACTTAAAAATATAAAAATCATTCTTAGTTCACAGTATTTATAAAAATAGGTGGCATTTTCTTCAGTACATATTTTACTTGAAACACACAGAGTGAGGGAGAAATGGGTCCTTCAGAACAAAGTTAGGATAGTGAGTACCGAGCAAGCAACACAATGAGTATTCACCCCAGCACCATCATGCTTCATAGTTTTAGATCATGAGGGCTCAGGAAACTCATAGAACTTGTCCTGAAGCTAGAAACCCAACAAACAGCCACTCCCAGCTCCTCAGTGCTGTTCATAACCCCTACCACTCACCTCTAGAGTTATCCAGGTGGCAGAGTCCATATAGCTGTCTACTTTCTTTGACATCCACAAAGCAAGAAGGTCACCAGCGAGGATAGCTGTGCATATTCTGCATGTGGACCACGTGGTCAGTGCCCACTCCCAGTGTTACTGACACCAAGAAACATTATGGTTTGGGATAATACACATATTCTTTCATTTATTCAGCAAGGAGCTAGTTCTTAATCACCACTTATTGTTCTAGGCACTTACTGTTCCTGTAGCAGAAAACAAAAGAGAAAAAGCCCTGCTCTCATGGAACTTATGAATGAATGAATGAAGAAAATAGAAAAATAAAGCAGTGACATGGGTTAGGAAGTGTTGGGTGTCACTTTTTTTTTCATGAATTTTAATTTTTTTAATTTTTTTAATTTTTATTTTAGTTTTGGGGTATATGTGAAGGTTTGTTACATAGATATACATATGTCATAGGGGTTTGTTGTACATATTATTACACCACCCAGGTATTAAACAGAGTACCCAATAGTTATCTTTTCTTCTTCTCTTCCTCCTCCTACCCTCCCCCTTCAAGTAGACCCCAGTGTCTGTTGTTTCCTTCTGTGTGTTCATAAGTTCTTATCATATAGCTCCCAGTTATAAGTGAGAATATGCAGTATTTGGTTTCCTGTTCCTGTGTTAGTTTGCTAACGATGACAGTCTCCAGCTCCATCCATGTTCCCACAAAAGACATGATCTCATTCTTTTTTATGGCTGCATAATATTCCATGGTGCGTATGTGCCACATTTCCTTTATCCAGTCAGTCACTGATGGGCACTTAGGTTTATTCCATGTCTTTGGTATTGTGAGACAATAAACATTTGCGTGCATGTGTCTTTATGGTAGAATGATTTATATTCCTCTGGGTATATACCCAGTAATGGGATTACTGGGTCAAATGGTAGTTCTGCTTTTAACTCTTTGAGGAAATGCCATACTGCCTTCCACAATGGTTGAACTAATTTACACTCCCACCAACAGTGTAATAAAGTATTCCCTTTTCTCCACAACCTCCCCCGCATCTGTTATTTTTTGACTTTTTAATAATAGCCATTCTGACTGATGTGAGATGGTATCTTATTGTGGTTTTCATTGCTTTTCTCTAATAATCAGTGATATTGAGCTTTTTCTCATATGCTTCTTGCCCATATGCATGTCTTCTTTTTGAAAGTGGTCACGTCCTTTGCCCACTTTTTGATAGGGTTGTTTTTTCTCTTGTAAATGTGTTTAAGTTCCTTATAGATGCTGGATATTAGACCTTTCTCAGATGCATAGTTTGTAAATATTTTCTCCCATTCTGTAGCTTGTCTGTTTACTTTGATGATAGTTTCTTTTGCTGTGCAGAAGTTCTTTGACCTAATTAGATCCCACTTGTCAACTTTTGCTTTTGTTGCAATTGCTTTTGGTGTCTTTGTTGTGAAATCTTCGCCCATTCCTAGGTCCAGGATAGTATTGTCTAGGTTGTCTTCCAGGGTTTTTATAGTTTGAGGTTTTACATTTAAGTCTTTAATCCATTTTGAATTGATTTTAGGGTATAAGGAAGAGGTCCAGCTTCAATCTTCTGCATATGGCTAGCCAGTTATCCCAGCACCATTTATTGAAAAGGGAGTCTTTTCCCCATTGCTTATTTTTATCAGTTTTGTCGAAGATCAGTTGGTCATAGATATGCAGCCTTATTTCTGGGGTCTCCATTCTGTTCCATTGGTCTATTTGCCTGCTTTTGTACCAGTACCATGCTGTTTTGGTCACTGTAGCCTTGTAGAATAGTTTGAAGTCGGGTAACATGACGCCTCCTGCATTGTTCTTTTTGCCTAGGATTGCCTTGGCTATTCGGGCTCTTTTTTTGGTTCCACATAAATTTTTAAATAATTTTGTTTAGCCTTGTGAAAAATGAAGTTGGTAGTTTGATAGGAATAACATTGAATCTGGAAATTGCTTTGGGCAGTATAGCCATTTTAGAGATATTGCTTCTTCCTACCCATGAGCATGGGATGTTTTTACATTTGTTTGTGTCTTCTCTGATTTATTTGAGCAGTGTTTTGTAGTTCTCATTGTAGAGATCTTTTACTTCCCTGCTTATCTGTGTTCCTAGGTATTTTATTTTGTATGTGTGGCAATTGTGAATTGGATTGCCTTTCTGATTTGAGTCTCAGTTTGGTTGATGTTGGTGTGTAGGAATGCTAGTGATTCTTGTACATTGATTTTGTATCCTGCAACTTTGTTGAAGTTGTTTTTCAGCTGAAGGAGCTTTTGGGCTGAGACTATGGAGTTTTCTAGATATAGAATCATACCTTCTGCAAACAGAGATACTTTGAATTCTCTTTCTATTCGAATGCCCTTCATTTCTTTCTCTTGCCTGATTGCTCTGACTAGGACTTCCAATACTATGTTGAATAGCAGTGGTGAGAAAAGGCATTCTTGTCTTGTGCCAGTTTTCAAGGGGAATGCTTCTAGCTTTTGCCTGTTCACTATGATGTTTGTTGTGGGTTTGTCATAGATGGCTCTTATTATTTTGAAACATGCTCCTCCAATACCTAGTTTTTGAGACTTGTTAACTTGAAGGGATGTTGAATTATTTCAAAAGTCTTTTCCACATCTATTGAGATAATCATGTAGTTTTTGTCTTTAGTTCTGTTTATGTGATGAATCACATTTATTCATGAACCAACACTGTCTCCCAGAGATGAAGCCTACTTGATCATGGTGGATTAACCTTTTCAGGTGCTGCTGGATTCGGTTTGCAAGTACTTTGTTGAGAATTTTTCCATCAATGTTCATCAAGGATATTGGCTTGAAGTTTTCTTTTTTGTTGTGTCTCTGCCAAATTTTGGTATCAAGATGATGCTGGCCTCATAGAATGAGTTGGGAAGAAGTCCCTCCTCAATTTTTTGGAATAGTTTCTGTAAGAATAATACCAGCTCTTCTTTATGTATCTGGTAGAATGCTACTATGAATCCATGAGATCCTGAGGCTTTTTTAGTTGGTAGGCTATTTATTACTGATTCAATTTCAGAGCTCATTATTTATCTATTCAGGGAATCTATTTCTTTCTGGCTCAGTCAGATGTCACTTTAAATCGAAATCGGTGGTCAAGGAAAGCCTTTCTGCAAAGATGACACTCAAACAAAGATTTAAAGGAGAAGAAGAATGAGCTCCCCAAAATATATAGGGAAGAGTATTTTAAGCAGAAAGACAAGCAAATGCAAAGGCCCTGGGGCAGAAGTGTGGACCAGTAAGAGGAGATGAAGTCAGAGGAGTAGGGGAGGGGACACAAATCACAAAGGGCCTTAGAGGCCATGGTACTGACCTTGACTTTCAGCCTGAGTAGAGGAGCCATAGAAGGGTTTTTGAGTAGAGAAGACAGAGTTTGATTCTCAAGTGATCATTTCTATTGTTTTGTTGAGAGTAGAGTTGTGAGGGGCAAGGGTGGAGGCAGGGAGACCAGTTTGGAGGCCTTTTTAATAAGCTAGATGCCTCAGCCGCCACTCTTGGGCAGAGAATATTCCACTGGTTGTGCCACAAATCTGTCTTCAAAACAACACACCTCCAAGTGCAGCCTATAATACACTAAAGTATCACATAGCTTTGAAGTACAAATGCAGGTAGGGTCAGCCCAGCTGTCCACTGACTCAAGCTGGCTCCTGTGTGAGTAGACATTATCAGGGGACCCCCACTCATATACACTAGCACTGCACAGAGGGAGTTGAGAGAACAGTGCTGTCTGTGACTTGTTACTTAATGTTGCTCTCAGCCTCTACGGTTGCAAACCCACTATTCCTTTCATTCTTGAATGTGTCCACCCCATCCTTTGGCTCAAAAGTCTACTGTTAACATTGTATATATTGACTCAGTTTCCCCACTCAGCTGCCTTTCCCACTCCTGCAACTGAGCAAGGTAAAACTATAGGAATCCTATTTATGTCAAGACATAGCAGAGATATCACCAGTATACTGTCATTATGGATGAATATCCACTTTCTTACCCAACATATATATGCCCTGTTTGAGCTTAAATGCTCCACACAAACATGTAGGCACCAACTTTAGGCTTTTTTTTTCTATTTTTGGCCTTGCAAAAGCCCCATACTCTTTGTGAAAAGAAGGGAAAAGTTCCACTCTCTCTACCAGCGTTTTCAAACCAAGATGTGACCACAAGTACAGCAGCACCACCTCAGGGCTACCCTGGGAAATGTGTATCTGAGGGCCTGGATGTGAAAGTTGTGTATCTGTCTTTTATATCCAAACACCCATAGGAGGCCAGAAGAGAGATCTGTTATCTTAGAATGAGAGGATTCCAAGATGATCCAAGGTGTTTGGTAAATCCTAGGGCTTATCATATGATGGCAGAAATTTATCCCGCATTTCCCTACCATATCTGCCCAAATAAATGGTTTCCCCTAAGAGGCCAAGTGTTTGACTGATGCTTTGCTTCATTTGTAGCCTTATAGGTGCTGCAGTTCCTGTTTTCTGCTGACCAGCTGTTCATCTGCCCTAACCCTCCCTGACCATAAGCCCATTTTTTTAAATAAACTGCACAGTAGTATCATGGAGACAATGGATAAAAAATACCAATGCTCATGCTTCTCCATAGCAAGTTAATCAAACTTCTGTGAGTGTGGCTAAGGCATTACTTGGGGTGATGGCAATGTGCAGACAGGATTGAGTGAAAACTCCATTCTTAGCCATCAAAACTAATGTCTTTATTCCTTAAGTGGAAACCATCCTCATTCAAGAAAATACTGGAAGAGAACAAAGCTAACTTTATCCGTGAACCTAATTCTACACAAAACTGATCCCAGACAAGGTGTGATGGTTAATATTGAGTGTCAACTTGATTGGATTGAGGGATGCAAAGTATTGTTCCCGGGTGTGTCTGTGAGGTTGTTGCCAAAGGAGATTAACATTTGAGTCAGTGGACTGGGAAAGGCAGACCCACCCTCAATCTGGGTGGGCACAATCTAATCAGCTGCCAGTGCAGCTAGAATAAAAGCAGACAGAAGAACGTGAAGAGACTAGACTGGCCTAGCCTCCCAGCCTCCATCTTTCTTCTGTGCTGGATGCTTCCTGCCCTCAAATATCAGAGTCAAATTTCTTCAGCTTTGGGATTTGGACTGGCTTTCTTGCGCCTCAGTTTTCAGACAGCCTGTTGTGGGACCTCACCCTGTGATTGTGTGAGTTAATACTCCTTAATAAACTCCCCTGTATGTATATACATCTATCCTATTCGTTCTGTCCCTCTAGAGAACCCTAATACACAAGGTCAGTTCTCCTAGCGGGAATGGGAGCTTTTGGACACCAAATTTTCCTTTGACATGTGGAGGTACTATTTCCCTTTGCTTTTGCTCTGTAACACCAAAGCTAAGGCAAAACACAATCCAGCATCCCAACTCCCCCATCCCCTAAAAACTGATTCAATCCCTCTACCTGCTTCTTGACAAACAGCCTTGATGGCTTTGCATGTGTAATTCTCTCTTCTTGGAATAATAACTTCCCTGCATCCCACCTCAATTCATTCCCATCTCCATCTGACTGACTTTTGCTCAAGGTAACAAACCTTGATTATGAGATATGACCACCACCTATTTACTCCATAGCATCTCCCACTTCTTCCTATTATAGCACCTATCACACTGTATTATACTGTTTTTCATCAAGTCTATGCCACCATCAATTATAAAACACACTATTAGTTTATGTAACATCAAGGAACAAAAAAAGCTGCCAGTAAAATTATTACACAGCCTTATCACTTAGAATTTTTATTTTATATGTATTGAAAGGGTTCTTTTAGTGTGATTCTGAGACATATCAAAGAGCCCATGGTTTGTTAGCATTTTTTATTCAATAAACTGATCGTTTTCATTTTTCTTCAATCAAAATACATGTCACACGAAGTTAGGCAACTGCTGTTCAAACTCAGCAGGAAGTTTCTGATATTGAAGTTTGACACCTTAATGATAGTCCTGCATGAGTGAATTGGTCACATCAACTCCTTGTTGTTTTGAAATTTCTTTCATCTCTTCAAAGGCAATTTTTCCTGACTTTCATTGAATTGCTTGGCATGTGACATAATTATTTATCAGACTTTTATGTCATATGAACCATTTACGGACTTTAAAATGAAGATTCTGATTTTGTAAGTCTGGTGTGGCGCCTGAGATGCTCCAAATCTAACAACTTCTCAGGTAATGTTGATGCAGAGACTGTACCTGATCCAGAGACCACACTTGGTTGTAGCAAGGTGATAGACAATCCTTTGACACATAGCATAGTCACCACATTTTACACAACTTATTCAACATGTATTTTCCTTTCTTAGAACCCATAATTATTATTTTATTATGGGTTTGCAAGAAAATAAGAAATGAGAATCATCCTTCCAATGGTAAATATTTACCTCAGTGACATTAAATATACATCCCACTGCACTGTTTCTAGCCCTTCTTGCACATACCACAATTTTTTTTCTAATACTGAATTATAAGGTAACATTTAAAGCATTTTAAATGGCAATTCACTCAACTCATGCATTATCAACAGTGCACATACCTCAATGAAGGGAAGACAAGATCAACAGCTATGACCAAGTTTGCACCCACACAAACCAAGACTGCTTATGACAGCAGCCTAGACATGGCATTTGCAAGATACCATCAATTGTAAGATGCAACCTGATTTCCAAGAGGTAAGACAGCTGGGGGTGGGGGTGCTATGCATGCCTTAGTACTGATGCAATACTGTAGTTGTCTGTGTTCTTATCTCTTTTCTTCAACTGTATTGTGAGTTACCTGAGTGCATGGACTAGAAAAGCCTTTGTCCTAAATACAGAACACAGTGTCAGGCACAAGGTAAGTATGTGGGTTGCAAATGCCAGCTTAATACTCTTCTGACAATGTAGTTTCAGCTGGACTAAAAGTCGGTGACTCACACTTATTCATAACCCATACATATTTGAAATGTTCTCTGGTTGTGCCTACCCAGGGCTTAATGTGAGTAAACGGGAAAACCAATGTGCCTTGTCAGCTAACACAAGCCCAGAGTAGTGGAGTAGGTGGTGGTGGTATTTTAAAAAGACTCATTGTATGATTCTTTGAGATTCTGATTACTATCATTTGCCTTTTGATGCATTGTGACTGGTCTATTCCTACCCTCCTGGCTAGCCTGTTTCATTTTTCCTTCTTTATTGCGATATGGCTCAAGTCAAGTAGAAATTCATTATCTGTATATTATTATTCATTTGGGCCTTCAAGTTCATGAGCATCTCTGATAAAAAGTATATGAGTCTCCTACCTCCAAAAAGACATGAGGAAAGAATTATGTTAGCATTTTACAAAAGCACTTCATGAAATAGTGTGTTCATTAACATAGAGGTTGTAAATATAAAAAATTATTGCTGAGGAAATAATGCAAAAATCTCAGTAACTGTAAACAACTAAATTTTAATTATCTGATATTTAACTCCCAAATCGTAACAGGACAGCTATTCAAATAAGAAAAGCCCTCCACTTAAAGTTATCTCATTAAAATAGAAATGGGCTTTTATAGTCCAAAAGCATAAGAATTTAAGGAAAGTCATTACATTTTAGGACTAGAAGGGATGATTCCAAAATCATCTTGTATAAATCCTTCATGTTCATAGGGTTGAGATCTTTCCAGGTTTTTCCATCCGTATAATTAAAATGTTATTTATAATTTTAACACTCTATATTCATATGAAAACATAAAATTGTTCAAATGCTTGATTCACAATAACACTTCTCTCTTTATATATGATTAAATCACAATATTTTAAGTTAAATATTCCCCGTAGAGAAGGGAAGTGGAAAGATCATTAGAGAAGTCTTTGCCTATAACCTCTGCCCTATGTAATAGAACCTATTAAAAATGTAACATGTGACCCTTGCTAAGAAAATATATAGCCAATAATCTTACTAGTCAAGAATGCTAAAAGTGGCATTGTTTCTTCTGAGATTTGAGAGATGGAGAAATCAAGGTAAGATTCCCTTTTTATATTCAGGCAATATTTTTCTAAGGGGAAGAGAAAATTCTTCTAAGGATGGGCGAAAATATTCTCAAATTTTAAGCCGATTTTTCTCTAAAACACAATTTTAAATGTCTTGTTAAAAAATATTTATGTTTTCTGTGGAGAAAATAGAGATTGTTTCTAAAATATCAGCTTTGTTTTAAACCAAATTCTTTACAGGAATCTGCCTGCTTGAGTCTAAAAATCCTCCAAAGAAATAGATGTAGCAGCAATTTTCCATTAATGAGGGTACCTCTAGCATTTATTTATTAGATCTTCTCTAAGGAGATATTTACTGAGTGCAGGCCTCTTTTAGATGTCTATTCTATCATTCTGGTATGTGCAGAAAACTGGAATGTCAACCCAGGGCCTGAAAAGTGGTAATGTGCCTTTAAAGGGGTCTACATTACAGCTAAAAGAGTTTAGTTATTGAGGTCAGAAGGTGCCTGGTTGTATTTCCTTTTCAAGTATAAATTGTGGTAAGAAATGCTCTGAAGTTCACGTGATGGATTTGAGCAACCCTAGATGGCTACAAACTTCCATAAGTAAGCTGCCTTGCCCATGACTAAGCCCTAATTCTTGACTACCTTCATGTCAAGTTGGAACAGACTGGGAAATAGAAAACCGGGAAACAGAAAATTTTTTGCAATTCCTTTGCAGGAAGGAGAAAAAGTCAGAAAAATCACACATCAAAAAAACCGGAGCTTTAGCGACCTCTTGTGGGATAATTTACTAGCAGCCCATAATAAAACACTTGCAGATTGAAATCTGAGACAGGTTTTCATTGCAGGTGCAGTACTCCTCTGGTGGGCCTACTGAGAGCCAATGGATTGTTACAACCTAGAAATGCTTATACATACATACAGTTATCAATAAAGTGTTGGCCAGATGTGGTGGCTCATGCCTGCAATCGCAGCACTTTAGGAGGCAGAGGCGGGCAGATGGCTTGAGCTCAGAAGTTCAAGATCAGCCTGGGCAAGGTGAAACCCTGTCTCTACTAAAATACAAAAATTAGCACGGTATGGTGGCATACACCTGTAGTCCCAGCTACTTGGGAGGCTGAAGAAAGGGGATCACTTCATCCTGGGGGATAGAGGCTGCCGTGAGCTGTGATCCTGCCACTGCACTCAAGGCTTGGCGACAGTGAGACCTGGTCTCAAAAAATAAATAAATAAAAAATAAATAAAGCATTAATAGTTGCACTGGACTATATGTTCAAGAGAGCCTACCTATATAATAAACACACATCAGAAGTGATTTAAATGAAGAATTAAATATATTAAGACATTTAGAGCCTTTTATCCATAGGATAAGAAGGAACCTTCCAACCACTCATCATATATTTAATGGTCCTCTGCAAGGAATCGAATCACAGGGGAATTTGGGAAGAAATTATGGATTAATCCTACCTAAACTACAGGCATAATGTAAGTGACTCAATAAATGACTTAATGGAAAATAAAAAAAAATCATCTTCATACTTAATAGTTAACATTAATATTGTTAGAGCTATAATGAATAATAAATTGGGACATCTTCTAGCTAGATTCCTAATATATTTACGGTTAATAGGATGAAGAACAAGGGCAGAATTTTTGGCCAAATGGACCAGGGTCCTCGCCACAGTGGTTTAGTGGTTGATGAGTCTACATACCTCAAGAATGACAACTGACTGAGGAGATAAAGTCATTGTGTCATACTTGGAAAAATATTTGAATAAATACTAGAGGAAAAAATAGGGCTGTATTTCACTATCAGATGAGAGGTAAAGTAGTGAGAAGATAATTGAATTATAGCATCAAGCAATCAGATCTACGGTTATAGTGGTTTAAGCATAGTCACTTGGACTTTCATAATGGACATTTCCTCAGAATGTCTTTACTTTCCATATACTCTGGAAGATCATTTTTCATAATTCCAAAGACATGTTCCTCTCAACAGTGTTTTCTTAATAAACAAATTTGTCTGTAATTCTTGTTTAGGAAATCTAATATATAACTAAAGTTCAGATAATTAATTCATTCCTCTTTGTTATTTTTTCTCCTTGAAATCCAGTTATGTAATCAGTCTCATGATTGTGAGTGTATTAGGCTAAAATCCGAAATTTGAGTATTTTAGGAGATAGGCAAATAGACATAAAGGCAATTGAATACACATTGCAAGGCTACAAACCAGGTTATCTAATAATATAGCTCTGTAGATAAATTTTCTTTTGCTTATAGTTGATTCTAAAGTAGATTATTTAAGAGATTGTGCCTTGATTGTAAGTCATAAAATAATATTTTCTGTGTTATAAGAATGGGAAGCTAGGGTCTGGTAATAAATTATGGCTAGGTTTTATAATTAAGATGTCAGAAGAATAATTTGGTAAGTCAGTAATTGCTTTTCTCTTGCTTGGAGCATTTATCTTGGTTTATATATTTTTAATATTCTGATACTGATGCTCATAAATCATTTAAAATAATTTAAAATTTTTAATTATGTAAACTTCCAAAATTAAAAAAAATCAGTAGATTTTACTGCCCAAACCTAATTATATTCATATTTGCATACTACCTTATACCTATTTTTTTTTTATTAGCCCTTATCCAAAGATAGTCTTACATTTTCTTAGCTATAATTATGGAATTAGATGCATGCCACATTGGGCACTTTATTTCTATTTCCTACAGTCTTCATAAGCCTTACTGTAGAGATAAATAATATTTTATTTATCATATTGGTATAACATCACTCATCATTTACTTTATGATCTCATAAGTTATTTGTAATTATTTGCTATTGAATATAATGTTGCAATAAACATCTCCATATAAAAGTTTTAGAGGGGCTTTATTGTTACCAATAATTTGTTCCAAATCTCTTTGAAATAGTGTAAGAGCTGTCAGCGTCACAGCAAAAAAAAGAGATGGCACACTCTGAAGGGTTTTGTCTATTATGATTTCATTTAATAAATGTTCCTAAGGTTTCTAATGTATCCCCAATAGTACTGTACTATTTACACCAGCAAATACTAAATTACTATCTATGTATTTAAGCAGGTATGACCTCCTATTACAATACAGAGACTTCTGTTACCCTTGGTTTCTGGAAAGTAAAAACTCTTAAATCCTGTTTCACACAATATCGCTGGGCCTCAGCAAGTCTCACTCAGGACTCATGGGGGCCCCTTCATTCCTGAACTCAGAGACCTTAACATGCCAAAAAGTCCTGCCCTTCTCAGCAGTTGTCAAATTATGAGAAAGGTTCAAGCCCCAGTGGCATTCATGTTTAACCTCCACACATTTTCTAGGTCCTTTTAATCTCTTTTAGTCTGCACAACTACCCTGTGAGAAATGCATTGCTATCCCTTGAATAGTGCGATATTAAAAATTAGATGTTAAGTAGTTCTCTCGAGGTCACAGCTATGAAGTGGCACAGTCAGGATGTAACCCAAGATCTTTCTCTTTAAAAAGTCATGTTCCTTACACCACTTCACCCTGCTGTGTAACACAGATGTCTAGTAAATCAGCATAAAATGTGTGAAGTTCCAACACAGTGCTGGTATGCATTAGGTGTTCCCCAAATAATTACTTGCCATGATGTTTGTTTTTCTCCAATATGGAATTAACTTTGGTTATATATTCCATTTAACTCTATTCTGTTTAGTTTAACATTTGTTGAATGCCTATGGTGTGCTGGGTAGTATCCCAGGTACCAAGGCTGTAGAATGAGTGAGGCAAGGTGTTGGCCACTGAGGTGCTTCTGGCTACATCTGGGCAACAGGACTGCAATCAATGTGGTAACTGTTGTGAAGAGAAGCATGGGGCACCTGGCAGTGGGCAGCACCTAGCAGTGGGCAGGTGAAGGTATACCCATTAAGGATTCAATCAGGGGAGTGATGTTATGGGATTTGCCTCTTCTTCTTCTTCTTCTTTCTTCTTCTTTTCTTCTTCTTTCTTCTTCTTTCTTCTTCTTCTTCTTCCTCTACCTCTTCTTCCTCTTCTTCTTCCTCGTCTTCCTCTTCCTCTTTTCCTCCTCTTCCTCTTCCTCCTCTTCCTCCTCCTCTTCCTCTTCCTCCTCCTCTTCCTCTTCCTCCTCTTCCTCTTCTTTTTCCTCTTCTTCCTCCTCTTCCTCTTCTTCCTCCTCTTCCTCTTCTTTCTTCTGCTGCTGCTTCTTCTGCTTCTGCTTCTTCTGCTGCTGCTTCTGCTTCTTCTGCTTCTTGTCCTTCTTCTTCATCTTCTCCTTCTCCTTTTTTTTTGTCATCCCTCTGCTACAGGAGGATGTGCCCTTTAAATGGACAGCCATGATGGAAGAAGGAGGATGGACTGTGAGTGCAAAGCCAGAAAAGATGAGGCAGACAAAGGAGGCCAAAACAATAATCAACATGAGTGAAGATGAATGCCTGAACTAGAGGAGTAACAGCAAAGCTAAAAAGTAGGAGGAAAAGCAGAGGAGCAATATTTAGAAGTGAAATCAGCAAGATGTAGTGACTAAATGAGGTGAGCATGAGGGAAGGCATTTCAAGTGACTCCAAGCGGTCTGGCTTTGGTTTCTAATGCATGCTGGCACCATCATGTGAGGAAGTATGTAGAGTGGCAGGGGAACCTGGTGTAGAAAATTTTCAGTAATTGGAGTATGTTTATTTCACTAAGTTATGGTCCTTCCAATTGGAAGCCTAAGTTGCTGAGCAGATCTGAGGCGTCAACTTATAGGTGATAATACATACTGTGAAATTAAATGAGAACCACATCCTGTCTGCCCCTATCTGAAGAAGCATATGCAGAGTAATAAGAGCAATGGGCTGAAAAAAGACCTCCAAGAGTACCAGCATTTTGAATTATGCAAAGAAAAAAGATAGAAAAAGGGGACAAGGAAGCAATAGGCAGAGAGTTTCGATGACAGAAGAGGGCATTAATGAAATAAAGAGGTGGTTTCAAGAAATGGGTTAGTATGCTAAATAAAATAAATGGATTTAAAAATAGTAAGATCAATTATGGTTAGCCAGATATTGTCAGCGCAGAGGATAGAGGAGGAAGCCCGATTTTAATAGGTGAATGAATGGGGAATTCAAGAAGTGGTGGTGGTCAAGTGCAGACTATTCTTTCTGAAAACAGCTGATAAAGGTTAGCTGATACAGACATGGCTAACATTAAAGGGGCACACAAATTCAAAGATTTTTTAAATGGGAGTTCCATAAGCCTTAAGAAAAGACAGATGAAGAGAAGCAGAAAAGTTGAAGGCATATAAGAAAATTGGAGAACAGACAGAATAGTATCCTAATCAAGATCCTAACTGGAAGGCCTGGCCTTGGGAAGAAGGCAAGAGAGCTTCCACTGAGATTGGTGGGAGAGAGTCAAGGATGATTCTGGTTCAAAATTTGAGGGAAGGTATGGGTGTTTGAAAGTTTTCATTCTTCAACATCTCAATATTGTCAGTAGAATAAAAGGCCAAGGCACCAAGAAAAAGTTAAAAAGGATCTTAAGGGGGAATGGCAGGAATCTAAAGAAGTTCTTGGGAAGGGTGGCAAGAATTACTAACCAAGAACAAAGCATAGGACAGTCAAGCATTGATTAGACTCCAGCTAAGTTAAATATTATATTGGCCCCTAGCAAATACCAAGTGACCTTTTTCTGAGACTGTTCAACAGCCAAGGTATATGCATAGGAAAGTCCAAGGTTTCAGAGATTTGGGGATGTTGGTACAAAAAAGTGGTTCCATCAATAAGTTATAGGGTTCAAGCTGGGGAGGGATATAAACAAGAACAATGTGGTAGATAAACTGGGGTAACAGAGCCATGAGATAAGAGATGTCTGTGGTGTCAGAGAGACATCTATGGAGAGTAAGGTCTGAGGAGAGAGCTGGAAGTAAGAGGGCAGGACAATTGTAGGGAATAACAAAGTTCAGAGTATATCCACAGTTGCCAGTATTTTGTGGGGTGACAAAGGTATGTGAAAATCACTGGAGTTGGAGAGGTGGAAGAACCTTTGAAGTCAGGGAAGATAATAACAGGATTTAGCAGAGGATGAAATTGTGACCCAGGTGTCAGAGTCTTGAATGGAGAAAGTGAGTGACCTAGAAGAATTGTTTTCCAAGGAGAACCAAGCATCTGTCATTACCAGGTAGTCAATGGAGCCCTCTTTTAATACACACAGGATGTGCCATGGGCTTCCAAGTTGCGGCTAAAATATTTGGGGCAGTGGAGGGAGTACCATTCGTGTTGATCCAGAGAAGACAGAAAACCATAAGAGTAAGAGAGAATAATGTTTCAGAGGGATTTCTATTTTAGCCCATTATCCTAAGTGACCAGAATGGAAGGTCATTGAAATTAGTCTAAAAATTTTTTAAGGGATCTTTAGTATTAGATTTCAACACATGAACATTTGACTTGGAATGATCTAATTCATATCCACCAGGGAAGTCTGGAATGGCTCAGGCAAAGCTTGCCTTGGATTTTAGATTGGTAGAAATTACAATTTCACTATACTCCAGCCACATCATCCATCTTTACCTTCAAACTGGCCAAGTTCATGTCCTCCTCACCCGTCTAGTCTCAGCTGAAGTTTAACTTTGTGGTAGGGCTTTTTTCAACTACCTACACTAAAGTGGAAGCCACTGCTGTCATTCTGAATCTCACTACTGTTTTCTATTTTCTCAATCACCTCTGTTACTTCTTTGCTGTTTTCTTGCACTTGGATTTCACTTCATTCTACTCAATAAATATTTATTGAATGAATGTTTGTACTCTTTGGCAGCAAAAATATACCAAGGGATTTACAGACCATTTTGTTTATTTCAGAATAGCCGTTGACTTTACGTGGCCAAATCATTAATAATAGAGTTAATCTAACATATTAGACGTTTAAGTACAATAAGCAAAAACAAGTGAGTCAATCACGTTGACCCTATTTAACCCTTAAAAAGTAAAAAAAAAAAAATTATTGCTATATATCATAGTGCTATTATTACTACATTTTTATTAAATGTGAGCACCAAACATTTATAGGTCTCTACTGTGCCCAAGGCAAGTAATGGAACATAAAGATTAAAAAAAGATGGTCTTTCCTATCAATGAAGAGTTAACAGGGAAGATGAGACATACTTGTACAAGAAAGATATAACTAAAATGATACTGAAGCAGAAGTTAAGTTAGATTACCCAGTTCAGGTCCCCGGTTCCCCACCTGGTAGCTGTTCGTCCTTAAGCATGATACTTTTCCTTGAAGCATCAGCTTCAGCAACATTTAAATAAGACTAATAATGATACATATTTCATAGGGTTCATGTGAAAATTAAATGACACTTAAAAAAAATGAAGTGCTTAGCAAAATACCAAACATATAACAAATATTCACGGAATGCCGACTGTTAGTGCTTATGGTCCAACTAAAGGATTCTTTGATTTAATTAACTGTTATGAAGGTCTCTTTATAACTTGTAAAGTTATAAAGTTATAAGTTTGTAAACTTGAAAAAATATTTTCTGGGATTACCTCTGATCATTACAACTCATTCCTATTTAACTAATTAGTTGCATTGGACAAATAGTAATGTACATCTAAACATCATGATATACGCCTCAACAAATAAGAAAATTATTATTCATAAAATAACATTACTGAATAAAAAGTGATGAATATGGGAATGAGCAGCCCTCTGAACTAACTTCTCATCAGCCTAACTATCAGGAAAGTAGGGCTTTTAATGAAAATGGAGAATTGTTAATAAAACTGAGAACTTTTACTAATCTGTGGAAATTTAACCATAAGTTTTAACCACGAGAGTTAAGCTCACTTATCTGCAGAAATATCTATCGTGTAATATTAGTTACACTTACTTGCTCCTGGCACTATTCAAAAACAAATGCTTTCCTCTACAAGGTAATTATCATTTGATCTATAAAATATGGACTTTAGCCATAAATATCTGGGTCAGAAAGTCTTCTAAAGCAAAATACTGTAGGAAATATGTTGGAATTATGTCAGAATTATCTAAAACTTGGATCATTTATTAGTTACTTGAGCAAGATTTCTTCCTGGAAAGTTATAGCCATATAGATTTTTATGTTCACAGATGTAACATTTGAAGTGTAAGATCAAAAGATTGGTATTTCTAAGTCAAACATGATCATACAGATATGTAAAATCACCAAAGAGATTTATCTGGTACATTCCACATTTCAGTCTGTTTTCTTACTAACACATATTTGAAAAATAAAACCCAAAAAGTCCTAGTTGTTCAAGCATGTGATTAAAATTCAACATTAAACACTTTCTGAAAGAAATCTGATAGTGACACTGTTGGCCTGGTAATCTTATCCTATATACACATGACATGAGAAAAATTACCCCTGTGTTTATCTTCATTATAGTGAGGACATTAGAAAATGTAAATGTATGTTGTAACTACTAAAACTCTGGAACAACACATGTAATCTGAAAAGTCAAAGCTGATTTATTCCAGGCACCATTTAACAGAAATGACACATCAAAAAGTAATACAATATTATGAGATTTTTATTGCAAATAAGGTTCAAATATATTTTCAAAGGGAAGAGTTAGAAAAGTGAACATCTTTAAATGTCTTCAAGATTAATGGTAAGACATTCTGAATTGGCCATGTTACAGAATAGTGGAGGAATTATATAACTTACTTACAGTCTGCACATACAGATGCTATGGGTTTTAGAGACAGTTTTCATGTTGGCTATTTATTTAGACAGTGTTATATTCCCACAATAATAATGTTTTATTTCATCATCCTGTTTGAACCAGGTTTAAGCATGCAGCTGCAGCATGTTGAATTTTTAAGAAGCAAAGTCAGTCCAGTTTCATGAGTTTGGGCTTTTTATTCCATATTTGAATTTATTTTTCCTGGAAAGGAAAAATAGTTATAGCAGCACCTGGTATAGTTCCATGAACATAGTGGAGGCTTAATAAATATTTATCACTGTTGAAGTTAGAAGAAACACTGATTTGCACGCTGCATGATGTTGAATTAGGACCATATTGCTGCAAAAAGCATAAACATTGGGTGCGGCATCTGAATCTTAGACAATTTTTGAAAATGACTATTTTGCAGGAGGCCTAATCTGCCACAGAAAAAAATAAAATGTTACTTATAACTATTATTGAGATGCATTAAAATCTAAAGAACTGTTTAGAAAATCAGACTCTACAGAATGCTGGAAAGTGTTACTTTTTTGTATTGCGATCTGATTGGCCTTGGCAGGAGAGCCAGAAGAGAACCCCAGCTGTAGATCTGTAGGAGAGAGAGAAGTAAGCCAAGACTGGTGGGGATAGGGGAGGTCTGAGGTATATGACTATAAGCTCCCCCAAGTCTCAGCATCTAACAGGACATACCAAACCTGAATCCAAACCAGATTAATGGTGACAGTCACCATCTCAAGCCAGGTGGGAGCATGGCACCAGGAACTGGTTATGTGGGAAATGTTATTATCCAACAGATGACAGTTTTATGTTCGGAATGGGAGAGGTTGTCTGGGTTGTAATAGGGCCTTAGCCAGTGGGCTGCAGAGGGGAGAAAATTGGGATAGGATCCAGATCCCCCAGAGAGAAGAGGTTGGCAAGACTAGTCAATTCGTAGGCCCAGACAATTTGGCTGGAGTTCAGGGCTAGAATCCGTTACCAGCAAAGAATAAAGTGCAAACAAAGAACAGAGGCAAGAATCTAGAAACACAGTGAGGTTAGGGTTGGGATTGAGGGGCTTACTATTTATTGGTGGCCACATAAATGTTTACATAGGGCTCCCTCAATAGCAGGCTTAGGGCGATGGATGAACTCCAGACTCTGATTGATAGAAATGGACCTCCTAACATCCCGTCAAGCCTAGGTCTCATTTGAGTAACAACTTGATGGTGCTGTGTTGTAGGTTGACATTATGTAGTATTGGCTGCTGGGCATGGCTATGCAAGAGTGGTCAGTTTGGGGCACTATTTTTTTATTCTGTAATAAGCTTAAATAAACCCAAAACTATATTAAAATTGACCATTTGTTTATATGCTAGATGTCAGCCCCACAAGGGGAATTTTTTCTTTTTTTTTTCATTGACATATAACATGTACCTAGCTGACATATAGTTAGTATTTAACAGGTGTTTGTTGAATTGAAAATGAATTAATCAAATATATTCTAAACATTACCAAAGGGTTTGCAAAATTTGGATGTGATCCCCTAATTACACTGTATTTTAGTTTCTTTAATCACAATGATACTGCAATTCCAGATCAACAAAAGACAGAAACTGATCAAAGCGTTTTCCATACCTTTATTCCACTAAAACAGAAGATAAATATTATTTTATTTATCAAGAAACCAAAAGTAGGGGGTTTTGACGATTGGTTAACTTTATGTGTCAAGTTGACTGAACCATGGCATACCCAGATAGTTGATCAAACATTATACTGGATGAGTTTAACGTTGAAATTGATAGACTGAGCAAAGCACACTGCCCTTTCTAATGTTGTGGGCCTCATCAAAACAATTGATAGCCTAAATAGAACAAAAAGGCTGACAGTCTCATAAATAAGAGGGAATTCCTCCTGCCTAAATGCCTTCAAGTTGGGACATTGGGTTTTTTTTTCCCGCCTTTGAACTTTAATCAGCTTTTCCTGGTTCTTGGGCCTGCTAGCCGTTAGACTACACCGTCAGTTCTCCTGAGTCTCCAGCTTGCCAACTGCAGATATTGGAATTTGTCAGCCTCTGTAACTGCATGAGCTAATTCCTTATTATATACTTATATATACATTCTATTGGTTCTGTTCCTCTGGAGAATCCTTACTAATACAGGGAGTTGCAGCCCTGGTTAATTCAGTAGCTCAACAGCATCAAGGACAAGATTCTTGCCATTTTCTTATTCTGCTGTCTTTAGCATCTTGGCTTGCTGACTTACACTGGTTCTCCTCATGGCCTAAGTGCCTGTAGTAGCTCTAGGCATCACTTCCTCCGCCACACACATAAAGAGTCAGAATAAAGTTACTGTTTCTTCAAATATGTTTCTGTTTAAGAGCAGCCTTTCTGAAGCAACTCCAGGCTGGCTTCCCCTTATCTTTCATTGACCAGAAAGATCACATGACTCTTGTTAAACCAGTCTCTGAAAAGCAGAATAGAATCACCATGATTGGCTAAGAGTAACTAAATTTATCCCCTTGAACAAGGGATCTGATTCACTTTCCCTGAGCCAATGGCCACTAGCAGGTGAACAAGTGAACATGTTTTAACAGCCTGAAAGAAGAGGGAAATGGGCTTGAAAGAAAATACCTTCTTGCTATTCCTACCCTGCATTTAGCCCTCCATTTGAATGAGGCAGGAATCTTGAATTTTCCTAATGGTCCTGAGCCCCAAAACTGACTTTCCCAATAAGTGATGAGGAGGTTTAGGAACTTAGAGTCCACAACCAGGATCTCTACTTGCAGTTTCAGAACTGAAACACTCACTACATGTCTTAGGCCATTCCTGCTACTGCAACAAAATACTTTACACTGGGTAATTTATAAATAACAGAAAATTATTGCTTACAGTTTTAGAGGCTGGAAGGTCCAAGATCAAGGTCCCAGGAGACTGTGTCTGGTGAGGGTCTGTCTCTGCTTCCAAGATTATACCTGGTTGCTGCATCCTAACATGGAGGACTGGATGAACTCTGTTTCCCCATATGGTGGAAGGGATGAAGGAGATGAAAGGGGAAGCAGATCTCTGAAGTCTCTTGTGTAAGGGCATTAATTCCATTCACAAACCTGGAGCCCCCATGACCTAATCACCTCCCAGAGTCCCCACCTCCTAATACCATCACCTTGGTGATTAGGTTTCAACATATGAATTTTGGAGGGACACGTACACTCAAACTATAGCACTCCCCCAGTACTCATCTGATTCCCTTCTTGGGAATTGACCACAGTTGAAGAAAGGGCCCTCATTCATCAAGTTGCAGTTGGGTAGGGTTGGGAGACTGGTCTGTGCAGGAGCATAAAGGCACAGCCCCCTTTGCCTCTCAAAGCTGGGGTCATCCCAGCCCCAGTCTTCCCCATAGGATTAGTTGAGGTGTTTATTATGGCAGCGTTGTTATTCATTCTCTCCCTCCACCCAATTCTGTATTTTTTTACTCCGCTCTATCCCCATCTGTTCACTCCCACCCCAAGGATGGATCCCAAGAGCCTTCCTAAATAAATCTCCATATTCAAACCTTCTCCTTAGAGCCTGTTTTCTTGGAAATCCAACCTGAACAGGGGCAGACCACAGAGGGGCCTGACCTGCAGTTTATGTGACTATCAGGTAACTGCTCCCCTAGATGGAGACCACGATCTGACCCCTTCTCCAGGGCAGAAATTGTGGCCTGTGGTGAAATATATTACAAATTCTACTTGCTTTAATTGGTGTATAAAAGTTCAAATTTAGGCCCAAATTTCTCCCTAATCTAGCTACAGATCTATAGAGATATATATATATATATATATATATATATATATATATATATCAAAAAAGGACATGTAACAGATTTCTAAATAAAAGCTTCAAGCAAATAATTTGCAAATGTTATTATTCTCCCTTTGTGCTAATCTTTTATAAAAAGGCATAGCCACCTTTGCATAAGTCACTTTAAAAACAATAAAAAAATACCGGGCGCGGTGGCTCACGCTTGTAATCCCAGCACTTTGGGAGTCCAAGGCGGGCGGATCATGAGGTCAGGAGATCGAGACCATCCTGGCTAACATGGTGAAACCCCATCTTTACTAAAAATACAAAAAATTAGCCGGGTGTGGTAGCAGGCGCCTGTAGTCCCAACTACTTGGGAGGCTGAGGCAGGAGAATGGCGTGAACCCGGGAGGCGGAGCTTGCAGTGAGCGGAGATCGTGCCACTGCACTCCAGCCTGGGCAACAGAGCGAGACTCTGTCTCAAAATAATAATAATAATAATAATAAAATAAAAAATAGATTAGATCCATCTGCTACCTCATGAAGGAAAAATTATTACTAGGCAATGTCTAGGATCTTAGGACTCACTTGGAGATTTTTCAGAGGATATCCCATAAATAACATCTATAATATGCAAGGCACAGTCTTGGAAATACAAAAATGAAAAAGGCATATTGCCTTAAGAAGTTTATACTCTAGTGGAGCAGACAGAGAAGTGAAAGGTGTAGCATGATAAATGCATGAGAGAGAAGGGTATTTTGAGGGGACCCAGCAAGTCACCTAATTCAGCCTAGGTAATAGAGAAGGTTTACCAGAAGTAAGGCAGTAGCGCACTTAGCAGAATTTATACTTTCAAGGAAGAGGAGAGTTCCCGGGAGAGAGAAAAACATATGCACAGGCCCAGAGATAAGAGATAAGGCCCAGGACTTATTCTAGAAACTGAAAGTATTACCATTATATTGCAACACTTAAACAGTGCCTGACAATGTTGAATGCTTAGTCAATATTTGCTAAGTAGATAAACAAATGAAGTAATTGCATCATTTGACACATCTAGTATAAGGCAGGACAGCCGTGAGAGATGATGTTGGAAAGATTACATAGGAATTAGGTCATGAAGCGTCTTCCTAATATGTCAAGTTAAAGGGTTCCTTATTCTGAAACATGAGAAATTTAAAAATTTAAGTATGGTGGCCATGAACAGAGTTGCTGACAACCATGCACACTACAGATTACAGAGGCATGATTGAGGGCAGGGAGTCTAGTAGGAGATCATCACAGTAATCCAGGGAAGACATACACTGTCGTGAAGGCTTGAGAAAGCGCAACAGAGATCAAGAAATAATAAAGATCAATGCATTCTGGAGATATTTAGAAAGCACTATGAACAAGACTTGGATAACAGTTTGGATTTGCATCCTTGGTGAGAAACAGACACCATTTGCTTTAAAAAATCTTGGGAATTTCATTGGACATTTTGTATCCACCATGCAGTGTGAGTTATCAGTTGTCAAGATGCTTTTAGGTGCCTTAACTGAACTTACCTCTGCAAGAAACTTTTTCACAAAGTTATTATAACCCCCAATATTGCTACATCTCCTTTGGTTTTCTTTGTTTTCCAATTTCTTTTGTTTCCTTGGTAACGCATGTAGTAAGGTAAAAGAAAAAAATGCTTCTAATGTCTATATTGTTCAGGGCTGTTGTTTCATTATGTGATACTTCAAAAAATAGCCTTTCACATCAAATATTAAATTATTCAGAAGAAATAAAAGGTTAACATTACCAATGAGGAAACATATTCTGTACCCTTTCCAATCTATATTCCTCAAGGGGAGGTGTAGCTGGACCAAAGTAGAGATACTTATAGATCTTCATCGTGCTCCTAAGAGTGACAGGCTGGGATATACAGAAGCAACAGCAAGGCCAGGCTGGCCACTCAATGTTTCACCTCCTTGTGAGGAGATTATTTCAGAAAGCAAAGAGATCAGGGGAGGGGAAAGATTAAAAGCTTTATTCTTGGCCAGGCGTGGGGGCTCACGCCTGTAATCCCAGCACTTTGTTGGCCTCCAAAGAAGTGATAAATTGGGAAGCTGAAGGGGGTGGATCACGAGGTCAGGAGTTCGAGACCAACCTGACCAACATGGTGAAATCTCGTCTCTACTAACTATACAAAAAATTAGCCAGGCGTGGTGACATGCGCCTGTAATCCCAGCTACTCAGGAGGCTGAGGCAGGAGAATCACTTGAACCCAGGAGGCAGAGGTTGCAGTGAGCCGAGATTGTGCCACTGCACTCCAGCCTGGGTGACAGAGCAAGACTCTGTCTCCAAAAAAAAAAAGCGTTATTCTCTTCCAAATTTACCGCAGTTGTTCTGTTTCAATATGAGATCTTCTTATGATTAACATCAGCCCTCTATACTCAGTCTCAGGAATCTGCAAACTTAGTTTTTTGATACTCCTATACAGTGCCATTCATCAATAAGTTTGGAATGGGGGCAGGAGATAATTTCAAAAACAGTATAATATTATCTAGGAGAATACAGCATCATTACATTATTCACATAAATTATCCACTTTTCTCACAGATGGGTTCACATTAAAATGAATGGTAATAGGAGGAATAAAAAAATTCAATCCAAGGCAAATCTTTTATCTGTTAATATTTTCAACCCCTTTTATTTAAAATGTTAATTCTAATTTGTGAAAAAATTTGTATTAAATGAAGTTGAAACATGTGGCATAGAAGGCATCAGGTGACGTCATCAAGCAGATGTGTGCTACATCTATGAAAAGCAGTCAGATCTATCCAGCAGCAGCTGACTGGACTCTATGGCATTTCTTCCAAGTGCCCTGTTTCCTGTGGTCTTGTCTGCCTTGCTGATTTTTATTATTTGAGCCCAGTGTCTTTTCTATTTGGCCCTTGGCAGTGCTTCTTCAATAGCATAGTAATTGCCCCTGAATCCACCACACTGACACTCTCCCCTTACATTATATTTAAGGGCACCACAAGACCTCCAGGATTGACTGCTACACATCTTGGGCCTGATATTGGTATAGCCCGTGCAGTACATGATACTAGGATCCATCAATGGCCATGGAAAATACACACAACAAGATTGGGCATGCAATCTAAGACTGGATTGGGGTGATGGTTATGTAATGTATAAACGTACTAAAAATCATTGAACTATACACTTAGAATTGGTGACTCTTGTAATATGTAAGTTTTACCTTAGTAAAGATTAAAATAAAAAGATTCATCAGGCAGTAGAAGTAGGTAGGACAAGTTTAGACTGACATTGATATACCCCTAAGTATAAATCAATACAGGGGGTTCTATCATCATGACAGGAGCTGACCACACAGAATCAATTTGTTGGGAAGAAAGCACGAAGCCTGTTACATCAGTTCCCAGTCTTGGGAAGAGTAGAAACTATTTAACCCAATAAAAGATAATGTTTTTGTTAGTGTTGGTGATTCATCATAGTTGACACTAAGATTCCAAGACCGGGTCCCAGCTGCTGAGAGAGCACTGCAACAAGGAATTTACATTTGTCAATTTGGGTTTTAAAATGTAAACCAACCCTATCTAATTTAAGGGCACAAAAAATAATTTATTGGAAAGGTATGGAGTCTTTCACAGAACTAAATAAAAAGCTAAACAATCAAGCATTAAGTAGAATACTACAGGAAACAGGACGACCCCAATAATCTGGTATTCAGGACTAATGAATAGTCTCTTTAAAGAGCTGCCAGCACACGCTAACCATCACTAACCATCTTAAACAGTTAATTACCATGTTCTGGGCTAGGTTCTATATTTAAGAAATCCCATTTCTTAAACAGTTAAGATGGTTAGTGATGGTTACTGTGATGGCAGCTCCCTAAAGATGGTTAACCATCACTAACATCTTAACTGTTGAAGACCATTTCAGATTTAGTTTGCAGAGAAATAATGGATTGTTCTTGCTTAGGCCAAGTGTCAATGCCTTGGGTAGGGCTCTTTCACTGACATCCCCTGTAAGACCACATGCAATGGAAGAGGGTGAGGGGATTATTTTTCATATTAAAATGAACGTATTTTTACCAAACTAGAGGAAAGGGATGCTGGGCAGAAAACACACACACACACACACACACACACACACACACACACACGTCCACTATGCTATTATCAATGCAGGCAATTTGAAGTTCTTTTTCTAGTTAGTGTGTCCATTAAAGGCAGGAACTTGGCAACTAAGCTAAGATTGGGAGAATTTCTGTAGTTTTACAGAAAAGAGGCTAGAAAGAACACAACAGGGGCTCAATTCTATAAGAGGTCTGAGATTACTAAAATAAATAAATAAATAAATTACAAGAGATTGGAGATAAAACAGAAGTTTAGCTTTATCAACAGGGTAAATAAGGCTTAAAGGAGGGAGATTCAGATGCGAGAAACACAAGTGGGAAAAAAGGAGTAGCTATAACTCATAGAACAAAGCCCAGAACATGATAATTATTCTGGGACAGCAAGGGCACCCTAGGAATATTGAACCAGTGGTCAGCCCAAGAGTACCTTCTTCTGTTCTCTCTTGTTATTCTCTGCCATCCCACCCAAGTCTCACAGTTGGTCTAGGTCAGTTTAATCAAATCTTAATTTTGTTAGAATTAGCTCAGTACTTAGATATCAGCATTTATTAGCAAACCCAGTTGTGGTTTCTCCCCAAAATATTTTGAATTTTTCCAAGAAATCCCATTTCTTAAAATTTTGAGAACTGCTGATTAAAATAAAAACCTAGTGGGAGGGAGGCTTTGTGTTTCTATGGCTTTGATGTTTTCTGAGTGGTATAGAAAGAATGAAAGTCAGTTAAGGTATACAGTAATTAGTTAGTGCCTACTCTGTGCAGAGTGCTGTGACAAATACTGAAAATACAAAGATGGACAGTGCTATGCTTTGAATGTTTTTGTTCCCTCCAAAACTCACATTAAAACCTAATCCCTAATGCAACAGTGTTGGGAGGTGGAGCCTAATGGAAGGTGTTTGGGTCATGGGGACTCTGCCTTCATGAATGAATTAATGCCACTATAAAAAAGACTTTGGAGAATGGGTTCACTCTCTTCTGCTCTTCTGGCATGGATACAGAGTTTAAGGTGCCATCTTGGAAATGAAGACCAGGTCCTTACCAGACACCAAACCTGCTGTCACCTTGACCTTGGACTTTCCAGCCTCCAGAACCATGAGAAATAAATTTCTGTTTGTTATAAATTATCCAGTCTCAGATATTCTGTTACAACAGCACAAAACAACTAAGACAGATACCCATCAGCAGTGTCCTTAAGGTGCTTATCATAAAAAAGGGATATAAAATACCAGCATTCATTGTATATATAAATGTATTGTGGCATGTGTGTTCAAAGGCCATTAGAGCATAGCATAAGTATTAATACCTAGTCTACCCTGGGGAATCGAGAATTGAATCTCCTTCAAAGGAGAAATGGTATTTACAAGGAGACTTGAAGGAGAAATAGGATTTTGGCAAGTGGACAAGGAAATATGCATGATTATGAGAGCATATGGCATAACTCTCCTTTAAATATGAGAGAAACTTACGTCTTGGAGGAGCTTCATAAAGTACAGTGTTTCTGGGGAGGAAATGGAAGAGGAATGATGAGGCTGGAAGGCTGACTGTAGATCACATGTATCTGGTCATTGAGGCAAGTCATTAAAGAATTCTGAGCAGGAAAGTAACATGATAAAGAGCCTTGGAAAGCCATGAGAAAGATAAAGAAGGGTGAGACCTTCTGTTTCCAGGGACTTCTGCATCATCCAGGTAAGGCATGATGAGTGGCTGTGGAGAGAATGGAATGGATATCTAGTTGATAAAATGTACAGCAATTAATATAACAGTTAACGTTCGTAACATCTATCTGTCAGGCATTGACACTGTGCAGTGACTAGGAATCCAGGCTCTGAATCCAACTGCCTGAGTTCAAACATTATGTCTCCATCCATTACTAGCTATCATGGGCAACTTGCTCAGTTTCCCTGTATCTCAGTTTTCTTATCTATAATTAGAACCTACTTCATGGGACAGTAAGGATTATTCAGTATTCCCACAAAATACATGATCTTGTTCTTTTTTATGACTGCATAATATTTGTTTATATGTATGCACCATATTTTCTTTATCCAGTCTACCACTGATGGGCATTTAGGTTGATTCCATGTCTTTGCTATTGTGAATAGTGCTGCAATAAACATTTGCATGCATGTGTCTTTATGGCAGAATAATTTATATTCCTCTGGGTAGATATTCAATAATGGGATCCCTGGGCACAATGGTAGTTCTGCTTTTAGGATTTTGAGGAATCGCCATACTGGTTTCCACAATCATTGAACTAATTTACACGCTCACCAAGTGTATAAGTGTTCCCTTTCCTCCACAACCTTGCCAGCATCTTTTTATTTTTATTTTTTAGTAATAGCCATTCTGACTGGTATGAGATGATATTGTGGTTTTCATTTGCACTTCTCTAATGATCGGTGATATCAAGCTTTTTTCATATGCTTGTTGGCCGCAAGTATGTCTTCTTTTTCAAAGTATCTGGTCATGTCCTTTGCTCACTTTTTAATAGGGTTGTTTTTCTCTTGTAATTTTGTTTAAGTTCCTTATAGATGCTGGATATTAGACCTTTGTAATATGCATAGTTTGCAAATATTTTCTCCCATTCTGTAGGTTGTCTGTTCACTCTGCTGATAGTTTTTTTTTTTTTTTTTTTTGGCTGTGCAGAATCTCTTAAGCTTAACTAGATCCTATTTGTCAATTTTTGCTTGTGTTGCAATTGCTTTTGGTGTCTTCATGAAATTTTTGCTTGTTGCTCTGACCAGAGTGGTATTGCTTAGGATATCTTCCAGGGTTTTTATAGTTTTGAGTTTTACATTTAAGTATTTGATTCATCATGGGCTGAGTTTTTTACATGGTGTAAAGCAGGGGTCCAGTTTCAATCTTCTGTATATGGCTAGCCAGTTATCACAGCACCATTTACTGAAGAGGGAGCTTTTTCCCCATTGCTAGTTTTTGTCAGCTTTGTCAAAGATCATGTGGTTGTAGGTGTCTGGCATTATTTCTGGGCTCTCTATTCTGTTCCATTGGTCTATGTGTCTCCTTTTGTAAAAAAGTACCATGCTGTTTTGGTTACCGTAGTCCTGTAGTATAGTTTGAAGTCAAATACTGGGATGTCTCCAGCTTTGTTCTTTTTGCTTAGGGTTACCTTGGCTATTCAGACTCTTTTTTGGTTCCATATGAATTTTAAAATAGTTCTTTCTAGTTCTGTGAAAAATGTCATTGGTAGTTTGATAGAAATAACATTCAATCTGTAAATTGCTTTGGGCAGTATGGCCATTTTAATGATATTGATTCTTCCTATCCATAAGCATGTAATGTTTTTCCATTTGTCTGTGTCATCTCTGATTTCTTTGAGAAGTGTTTTGTGGCTCTCACTGTAGAGATTTTCCATCTCCCTGGTTAGCTGCATTCCTTTATATCAACAACAGCCAAGCCTAGAGACAAATCAGAGAGGCAATCCCATTCACAATTGCCACAAAAACAGATAAAATATCTAGAAATAAGGCTAACAAGGGAAGTGAAAGGTCAAGTTTATTGGGAACATAAATTCTTGAGTCAGAGTAGTGAGAGCTGATATATAAAGTAATGGATAGAGCCAAAGGCCTTTTTAAGGAAGAATTTATAGTACTTGGTAATAGATAAACTATAGAAGGTAAATAAAAGATGAGAAGTAAACATGACTAAAAGATTTTGAATTTAGAGTGCAAAGTACGAGAAATACCAAACCTAAGGGGCAAAGATGTTTTTAGGGCATTGAATTAAGATTTTTTGATGGGTTGAATTTTGGGTAATGATGTAACGTTTAAGTGGAAATATCTAGTTGGCTGCTGGATATTAAAAGTTTTTAGAGTTGTTAAGTATCTTAGGAATTACCATAGTCCAATTGCCTTATTGCCTTAGCAAGAAAACTGAGATCTAGAAGGATAAATAATTTATCCACTATAACACAAGTAATTAATATAGAACAAAAACTCAAGCTTTTTTGCACCCAATCTAGTGCTCTTTTGACTATATTGTACTGCCTTCTCTAACTGCTTGGTTAGAGCAGAAGCAATGACAAAATTATAACTATGGGAGAAAACTGTAGTGGTAAAATATATTCGAGTCATGAGATCTGTGAGGTAGAAAGTTTGGAGCATAAACAGCAAGCAATTTTCAATTTACATGCCAGCTCCAATAAATTGTTATGCCTCCTTAATATTGTATAGAAAATAATTTTGAACCTATATCCAGGCTTACCGAAAATGAATTATATAACCAATTAGTAATCACGGACAAGAGCAAGTTGGAGAAGTGGGTAGCATATATGCCACCTATTCCTATCACTGGTCAGAAAGTTGCAACCAGAAACATGGGAAAGAAGAGAACGTATTTGTAAAGATAACAGACAGCCAAATGTCATAATGGTCAGCCTTGCATACATTAATGACATTTTCTTTCTATTATTTTTTTCCTATCTTAAATGGAAGGTGTCAGATAAACTGCCGAATACTTACTGTTACCCTGGAAACATGAAGGACTTGAATATTTGTGGAATCATGACAGAACAGGTTGAAAAATATTAAGAGGCGAGAGCTAGAGAGAGAGAGAGAGAGCAAGAGAGAGGAGAGATACATAAACTGCTAATTAAATTAAGCTCTTTTACATAACCTAACTTATTTGTTCTGTACTTTCCCAGACTTTAGCTTAATTTGATTTTATTCAGAGATTACCTAGTAAAAATTCTTTTGAAATAAACTATATATGTGAAAGTCAAGATTGTGGACTAACCACACACATTTATATTATTTTATTCCTAATAACCCAGTAAGTGGTTATAAAGGATACATACACACACACACACACATTCACATACACAATTATTATATATATTTACATATATACACACATATTTTATATTTGTTGTTATGTATATTTTATATATATGTGTGTATGTATATATATTTGTTGTTATATATACTTTATATGTGTATGTGTGTGTGTGTTTCTCCATATATATGGAGAAAGAGAGAGAGAAAGAGCAAGAGAGAGAAATACACAAAATCAATAAAGAATAAAAAGGACAGAAAGCAGGCCATTAGCAAACAAGAAAGGTCATCAAATTTCCTAAAGAGATTAAGCAGTTAGAAGAGTGGTGTAGTGAGTTGAATGGTGGTAATCAAAGAGATATGTCCATGTCTTCATTCCTCAGCCTGTGAATGTTACCTTACTTGGAAAGAGTCTTGCAGATATCATTAAGTCAAGGGTCTTGAGGTGAGAAGATCACTCTGGATTTTCTGGGCAGCCCTAAATTCAACAATAACTGTCCTTATTAACAGTGAGGCAGGGAGCAGATTACATAGACAAGGAGAAGGGCCTGTGAAGACAAAGGCGGAGATTTGGAGTGACACAGCTGCCAGCTGAGGAATGTCAACGGCTGCCAAAAGCTGGTCAAGGCAAGGAACATATTCCCTGCCGAGCCTCTGAAGGGAGGGCTGCACAGGTGTGGAGGCCAGAAGTCAAAAACTCTAGGCTGCTGACACCTTGATTTTTTTGACTTCTGGCCTCCAGATCTGTGAAAGAATACATTTCTATTGTTCCAAAGGCTGCTAAGTTTGTGGCAATGTGTTACAGGTAGCCACAAGAAATTAATGCAAATGGTTTCTATGGAAGCTGAGTAAATTGGCCTTGCAGAAATACAGAGAAGCTCAGAAAACACCAATTGGAAGCATATAGTAGAAAATGAAGGTATTAATTGAAAATTAGTGTTGGTTAAAATTGCCCCCCAACTCCCTTACCCCAAGAAGTGGGAACCCAGGGATTTACCACTCTAGCAAAAAGGCAGAAGATTCTTCTCTATACAAACTGCATGTTATGGACAAAAGCCGGGCAGTCAGTATGTTTGTTTCCCATCCAAACACCCTAAAGGAAAGTTGATCAATGGACAAGCCCAGCCCACAACCAATCAACTTTTCATTCCCTTATTTTTAACAAGTAACTAAGGAACCCTGGACACTTTTTAAAGGCTCCAGAATTAAAGGGAGGCCAGTAAAGATAAACCAAGATTAAAAAGTCCACTGAGAAAGTTGAAATGATTCAAGGATTTGAAGGAAACAGTCTATTTATTGAATATTTTCACAGATAGTTATGCCAGTTAATAATCTATTACCTTTCAATTCCAAACCCATCCTCTTTTCTCTAGTTGTGACAGTGGAACTTGTCTTTGCCGGCTGGTTCCATGTAGGCTCTGTTAATAGAGGTCACTGGGAGAAGAAACTGCAAGGTTGGACACTGAGGTCAGAATTGGAGGGGGTGTTTTTAATTTTATTTCAAACTACTTTATTGAGGTATGATTGATATATAAAAAGCTATACATATATAATGTATAAAACTCAGTGAGTCTGAGAATAAATATATACTTGTGAAACCATCACCACCATCAAAGCCATAAATATATTCATCACCTTGGAAAATTTCTTCTGCCCTCCACTCCTTTTTTTTTTGTTCTAAGGACACTTAACATAAGATCTACCCCCTTAGCAAATTTGTAGTATATAATACAGTGTTTTTAGCTATAGGCACTACGCTGCACAGTAGATCTTCAGAACTTATTTATTTTGCATAACTGAAACTTTATGTTCTTTAATCATCACCTCCCCACTTCCCCCTTCCCCTAGTCCCTGGAAACCACTGTTCTAATCTTTGCTTTTATGAGTTTGACTATTTTAAATTCCATACATAAATGAGATCATATTTGTCTTTCTGTGTCTGGCTTATTTCACAGCATAATGCCCTCTAGGTCTATCCATGTTGTCACAAATGGCAGGATTTCCTTCTTTTTTAAGGCTGAGTAATATTCCATCGTATGTATAGACCACATTTTCTTTATCCATTCATCTGTCAGTAGACATTTAGGTTAACAACAAACCCTTGAACAACCAATAGGTCAAAGAAGACATCAAAAAAGAAATTTTAAAAACTTGAGACAAATGAAAATGAAAACACAGCATACCAAAACTTATGAGATGCTGCAAAATTAGTTTTAGGAGAGAAGTTTATAGAGATAAAGCCTGCTTTAATAATAATTTAGAATTTTGTCAAAGGCCTTTTCTGCATCTATTGAGATAATCATGTGGTTTTTGTCTTTGGTTCTGTTTATATGCTGGATTACATTTATTGATTTTCATATATTGAACCAGCCTTGCATCCCAGGGATGAAGCCCACTTGATCATGGTGGATAAGCTTTTCGATGTGCTGCTGGATTGCGTTTGCCAGTATTTTATTGAGGATTTTTGCATCAATGTCCTTCAAGGATATTGGTCTAAAATTCTCTTTTTTGGTCGTGTCTCTGCCCGGCTTTGGTATCAGGATGATGCTGGCCTCATAAAATGAGTTAGGGAGGATTCCCTCTTTTTCTATTGATTGGAATAGTTTCAGAAGGAATGGTACCAGTTCCTCCTTGTACCTCTGGTAGAATTCGGCTGTGAATCCATCTGGTCCTGGACTCCTTTTGGTTGGTAAGCTATTGATTATTGCCACAATTTCAGAGCCTGTTATTGGTCTATTCAGAGATTCAACTTCTTCCTGGTTTAGTCTTGGGAGAGTGTATGTGTGGAGGACTTTATCCATTTCTTCTAGATTTTCTAGTTTATTTGCATAGAGGTGTTTGTAGTATTCTCTGATGATAGTTTGTATTTCTGTGGGATCGGTGGTGATATCCCCTTTATCATTTTTTATTGCATCTATTTGATTCTTCTCTCTTTTTTTCTTTATTAGTCTTGCTAGCGGTCTATCAATTTTGTTGATCCTTTCGAAAAACCAGCTCCTGAATTCATTAATTTTTTGAAGGGTTTTTTTTTTTGCTGCTATTTCCTTCAGTTCTGCTCTGATTTTAGTTATTTCTTGCCTTCTGCTAGCTTTTGAATGTGTTTGCTCTTGCTTTCTAGTTCTTTTAATTGTGATGTTAGGGTGTCAATTTTGGATCTTTCCTGCTTTCTCTTGTGGGCATTAAGTGCTGTAAATTTCCCTCTACACACTGCTTTGAATGTGTCCCAAAGATTCTGGTATGTTGTGTTTTTGTTCTCGTTGGTTTCAAAAGGCATCTTTATTTCCGCCTTCATTTCGTTATGTACCCAGTAGTCATTCAGGAGCAGGTTGTTCAGTTTACATGTAGTTGAGCAGTTTGGAGTGAGTTTCTTAATCCTGAGTTCTAGTTTGATTGCACTGTGGTCTGAGAGACAGTTTGTTATAATTTCTGTTCTTTTACATTTGCTGAGGAGAGCTTTACTTCCAACTATGTGGTCAAGTTTGGAATAGGTGTGGTGTGGTGCTGAAAAAAATGCATATTCTGTTGATTCGGGGTGGAGAGTTCTGTAGATGTCTATTAGGTCCGCTTGGTGCAGAGCTGAGTTCAATTCCTGGGAATCCTTGTTAACTTTCTGTCTCGTTGATCTGTCTAATGTTGACAGTGGGGTGTTAAAGTCTCCCACTATTATTGTGTGGGAGTCTAAGTCTCTTTGCAGGTCACTCAGGACTTGCTTTATGAATCTGGGTGCTTCTGTATTGGGTGCATATATATTTAGGAGAGTTAGCTCTTCTTGTTGAATTGATCCCTTTACCATTATGTAATGGCCTTCTTTGTCTCTTTTGATCTTTGTTGGTTTAAAGTCTGTTTTATCAGAGACTCGGATTGTTAAAAACTCTCAATAAATTAGGTATTGATGGGACGTATCTCAAAATAATAAGAGCTATCTATGACAGACCCACAGCCAATATCATACTGAATGGGCAAAAACTGGAAGCATTCCCTTTGAAAACTGGCACAAGACAGGGATGCCCTCTCTCACCACTCCTATTCAACATACTGTTGGAAGTTCTGGCCAGGGCAATTAGGCAGGAGAAGGAAATAAAGGGTATTCAATTAGGAAAAGAGGAAGTCAAATTGTCCCTGTTTGCAGACGACATGATTGTATATCTAGAAAACCCCATTGTCTCAGCCCAAAATCTCCTTAAGCTGATAAGCAACTTCAGCAAAGTCTCAGGATACAAAATCAATATACAAAAATCACAAGCATTCTTATACACCAATAACAGACAAACAGAGAGCCAAATCATGAGTGAACTCCCATTCACAATTGCTTCAAAGAGAATAAAATACCTAGGAATCCAACTTACAAGGGATGTGAAGGACCTCTTCAAGGAGAACTACAAACCACTGCTCAAGGAAATAAAAGAGGATACAAACAAATGGAAGAACATTCCATGCTCATGGGTAGGAAGAATCAATATCGTGAAAATGGCCATACTGCCCAACGTAATTTATAGATTCAATGCCATCCCCATCAAGCTACCAATGACTTTCTTCACAGAATTGGAAAAAAACTACTTTAAAGTACATATGGAACCAAAAAAGAGCCTGCATCACCAAGTCAATCCTAAGCCAAAAGAACAAAGCTGGAGGCATCACGCTACCTGACTTCAAACTATACTACAAGGCTACAGTAACCAAACAGCATGGTACTGGTACCAAAACAGAGATATAGATCAATGGAACAGAACAGAGTCCTCTGAAATAATGCCGCATATTTACAACTATCTGATCTTTGACAAACCTGAGAAAAACAAACAATGAGGAAAGGATTCCCTATATAATCAATGGTGCTGGGAAAACTGGCTAGCCATATGTAGAAAGCTGAAACTGGATCCCTTCCTTACACCTTATACAAAAATTAATTCAAGATGGATTAAAGACTTAAATGTTAGACCTAAAACCATAAAAACCCTAGAAGAAAACCTAGGCATTACCATTCAGGACACAGGCATGGGCAAGGACTTCATGTCTAAAACACCAAAAGCAATGGCGACAAAAGCCAAAATTGACAAATGGGATCTAATTAAACTAAAGAGCTTCTGCACAGCAAAAGAAACTACCATCAGAGTGAACAGGCAACCTACGAAATGGGAGAAAATTTTCGCAACCTACTCATCTGACAAAGGGCTAATATCCAGAATCTACAATGAACTCAAACAAATTTACAAGAAAAAAACAAACAACCCCATCAAAAAGTGGGCAAAGGATATGAACAGACACTTCTCAAAAGAAGACATTTATGCAGCCAAAAGACACATGAAAAAATGCTCATCATCACTGGCCATCAGAGAAATGCAAATCAAAACCACAATGAGACACCATCTCACACCACTTAGAATGGCAATCATTAAAAAGTCAGGAAACAACAGGTGCTGGAGAGGATGTGGAGAAATAGGAACACTTTTACACTGTTGGTGGGACTGTACACTAGTTCAATCATTGTGGAAGTCAGTGTGGCGATTCCTCAGGGATCTAGAACTAGAAATACCATTTGACCCAGCCATCCCATTACTGGGTATATACCCAAAGGACTATAAATCATGCTGCTATAAAGATACATTCACATGTATGCTTATTGCGGCACTATTCACAATAGCAAAGACTTGGAACCAACCCAAATGTCCAACAATGATAGACTGGATTAAGAAAATGTGGCACATATACACCATGGAATACTATGCAGCCATAAAAAATGATGAGTTCATGTCCTTTGTAGGGACATCATGGATGAAATTGGAAATCATCATTCTCAGTAAACTATCTCAAGGACAAAAAACCAAACACTGCATGTTCTCACTCATAGATGGGAATTGAACAATGAGAACACATGGACACAGGAAGGGGAACATCACACTCTGGGGACTGTTGTGGGCTGGGGGGAGGGGGGAGGGACAGCATTAGGAGATACACCTAATGCTAAATGACGAGTTAATGGGTGCAGCACACCAACATGGCACATGTATACGTATGTAACTAACCTGCACATTGTGCACATGTACCCTAAAACTTAAAGTATAATAATAATAATAATAATAATAATAATAAATAATAATTTAGAAAAAAGAAAGATCTCAAATAAGCAATCTGACTTTACACCTCAAGAAACTAGAAAAAGAACAAACTAAGCCCAAAATTACTAGAAATTAGGAAACAATAAAGATTAGAGCAGAAACAAGTAAAATAGACACTAGAAAAGAAATAGAAATTATTAACAAAACTCAGAGTTGCTTATCTTTTGAAAAGATAAACAAAATTGACAAGACTTAAACTGAGGGAAAAAGTGAGAAGACTCAGATACATAAAATTGTAAATGAAAGAAGAGATATTAAAACTTAACACCACAGAAATACAAAGGATTCTAAGAGACTACTATGAACAATTAAATGCCAACAAATTGGATAAACTGGAAGACAGAGATAAATTCCTAGAAACATACAACCTACCTAGACTGAATTATGAAGAAACAGAAAATCTGACAGACCAATAATGAGTATGGGAATTGAATCGGTAATCAAGAGCCTCCTAACAACAACAACAAAAAGCGCAAAGCTCTTTCACTTCACTGGTAATTACTGTAACAGCAACTCTTGTCAAACTCTTCCAAAAAATTGAAGCTGAGGGAACACTTGCAAACTCATTCACAAGGCTAGCATTAGCATGATATCAAAGCCAAACAAGGACATTACAAGAAAAGAAATGACAAGGCCCAAATCCCTGTTGAACATAGATGCAAAAATCCTCAACCAAGGACAAGCAAACCAAATTCCACAGCACATCCAAAGGATCATAAGCCATGATCAAGAGGCAATTTTTGTTCTGGTGTTCTTTTCCTCTTGTCAGGCATGCAAGGGTCCCTCCGGTGTTTCTCACAGCAGCAGAGGGGCATTCCTGCGGCAACCATGCCCACTCAGGCCTGAATCTCTGCCTCTGGAGATTCCAGTTTCCTTCCTTATTCAATTTTTCCTCAATCCTAGGAGTAGCAGGTACTTTTTGCAGCTACTACCTCGGTATATTTTACAGTTCTCTCTTAGTAGTTAATACATCCTTTACTTAGTTCACAGTTATCTTCCCTATCCAAATTATGGGTGTGGTCATTTTTGCTCTTTGACTGAACTCTAACACAATAGTCAAGAAAATACTGAATCTTTAAATTCTATAAAATTAAACATTAGAAATAAAACTCTCAGAAATTATAAATGTTATTGCTAAAGTAAATTTTTCAATATATGGTTAGAAGATTAAGTTTAAAAAAATCTCCCAGAGAATAGAAAAGCAGTTAGAGATGGAATAAAAGGTGAGATTAAGATGCAGAAGAGGGCGGGAGTGAAGGGAAGAATAAAGTTGTCAATATCTTCTTACGATGGGAGGTATCAAGAGATAATACATACAGGGCTCAAAAACAAAGGGGCAAGTATGTTATTTAAACATGCAAAGAGAAATTAAATGTAGTAATAGTAATAGTAACACTTGTTTAGTGCTTTAAATTTATTGACACATTTATCCTCACAATAATCCTCCAAGGAATTGACTATTATTATCCCCATATTACACATGAGAAAAAAAAGAGGCTCAGAGAGCTTGAGTAACTTGCCTAAGATTATACAGCCAGCAAGTGGTGCAAGTAGGACTTGAGTCTGTGCTCTTATCTATTATACTGCTGTGCCTCTTTCTATGACTTTATTGGGAAGAGATGGATAGGGACAGTAGAAGGCAATGCTAATGAGTTAAATCACTGCCCATCTCTCTCCACAATAGATTAAGACAATATTTAAAACTGATGAATCAAGAAATAGTAGTAAGAGATGGGTAATCATCAGAAGAAACAAAAACAGAAGCTATTTAAGCCAATTTGGTCTCAGGAACAGTACTGTGGCAAGGAATAGGTGAAGCAGGGATTTGGAATTTTTCCTTGTAAGCCCTTTATTTATCTATTTTTTTTTATTATTATTATTATTATTATTATTATTTTGAGACAGGGTCTTGCTCCGTCACCCAGGCTAGAGTACAGTGGCACAATCTTGGCTCACTGCAACCTCTGCCTCCTGGGTTCAAGCGATCCTCCCACCTCAGCCTCCCGAGTAGCTGGGATTACAGACGCACACCACCACGCCCAGCTAACTTTTTGTACTTTTGTAGAGACGGGGTTTCACCATGTTGGCCAGGCTGGTCTCGAACTCCTGGCCTCAAGTGATCCGCCCGCTTTAGCCTCCCAAAGTGCTGGGATTACAGGCATGAGCCACTGTGCCCAGCCCCCTCCTGTATTATTAACATGTACTTTAATAATTTATTCTAAACATTTTAAAAGAAAAAAAATTATAAATGATCTGAGTTAACAAGAGAAAAATGGAGCCATCCAGTTAAATTATACATTAAAGTTATGTCATTTTTTCTTTTTTACATTTTAAATACTAATTATACAATCAAATGTGATAAGAAGGAAATTCCTTTCTCATCTGTGACAGAGATATCTGACCTGAGTCCTTTAGAGAAGAAGACCTGGTAACTACCCACAACAGAGTTTGGGAGGCCCCTATTTTCACACTTGGTAAGAGATACGAAAGTGGTTTCCAATCTAGTAAAGAGATGCCATTTGAATAGTAAGATGAAAAGTTAAACATTAGCGGCCACAAAAGGTTTGAAACTCAAGACAGGAATGAGTGTCCAAAATGTGCTTTTTGTCCAACCAGAAGACCTCTTATCATAGATGAAAGATAAGCTCTCTGGAGGGTGGCCTTTAATGACAGGAAAGGGCTCTGAATTCTTGCATATTTTGCTAGACAGACTGGTGGTACCGGCACCATCCTGTATATTTATTAATCTAGAAACTCTATTTTCAAACCTGGTGTCAAATACATCTCATCAACTATTATAAGTTCAAACCAACAGATTAAACAGTAAAGTAAATAGTTCAGGATAGCAAACTGGTGCATGGTAAAACAGCAATAAGACCTTACACACCCTTAAAATGAGGTCTTTCAGGCACAGGTAACGATACACATTGATATGCTGCCATCTAGTGCTCATTGCTTTAGACAACTGAATTAATCATATGCTGAAATGGATTTTTAAATTATTACTATTTTTTAACTCTTCCCCTTAGTCTCTGCAGAAGTTACTGTTTTTCATGGGACCTTCTGAGACCTAAACCAAAACATTTTCCTAATAAAATGGTATTTATACACAGCCAGTAAATCTACAGACAGCTTTATACATAATGGAAAGCTCAGTGGGTTCTACCTAACCCATGTATACAGGTTGATCGAGTTTTCGTGGCATGCCACCCACAGAAAGGGTATAAGGAAGGTTTAATTACTTCAGTAAGTCATCTGCTAAATTTGAGTAACAATCACTATTACAAAGCCATTACTATTACTCATAAAATTCCTTTCAACATGTATTAACAGTTGAGAGAGAAGGAATTCCTCTTTTCCCAATATGTCACAAAGATACTCTGAAAAAAAAAAAAAAAACCTGAAAACCAGCTAGAAATGCTGACTAAATTGCATCATTGAATTCCTCGGGGGCCAAAGAGAAGAAAGAACTAAAACAAGAGTGGAAAGTAGGGGCTGAGGGCATTTTTACTAGAGGGGCACTTGCTGATGCCAGGAATGTAGTCTTAGAATGCAATGGCCTCCCAAAGCATAGGATTCAAGGCCTTGCTCAGTGTGAGAACTAAGATGTTTGCATAAAAGTGGAACCCTTAAAAGATTACAGCAGCAAAGATAAACAAGGAAGTTTGTTTGTAGGGGCTAAAGTTCAGGTAGAGAAAAAAAAAATCTTCCCTCAAAATTATAACCATATCCTCTGTTTCATAGGATTTGGGTTCGAACCTATAGTAATCTGATAGGTTGGATATGGGGTATAAGAAAAGGAGAAAGGTCAAAGGTTATGATAAAAGAAAAACTTTAACTGAATTAAATTTAAAGGAATTTAATTGAGCAGTGAATGATTTGCAAATCAGACAGCCTTCCCAGACAGAGTAGGCTCGGAGACTCCAGCGCAGCCATGTGCTGGAAGATTTATGGACAGAAAAAGGAGTGAGGCACAGAAAATGGAAGTGAGGTACAGAACCAGCTGGATTGGTTACAGCTTTGTGTTTGCCTTATTTAAACATGGTTTGAATAGTTGACGACATTTGATTGGCCAAAACTTGGTGATTGGCCCAAGTGTAGGCTACATCTGGTTACACTTCTACTTGTTATAGTTTAAGATGTACAAAGAAACATTTAGGCTGAATTTAAAATATGTAAGGAGGTAGTTTTAGGCTAAGCTTGATTTAACAGTTACTCCAATGTATTTGGTGTTTGGCTTGAGTAACTGGAAGAATGGAGTTGTCATTGCTTGAGATGGAGAAAGTGGGGATTTGAGGAGGCAGATGAGGAATTCAGTGTTAGAAAAGTTAAGTTTGAGAATATGTCGGACATCTAAGTGGAGACATGTAATATACAGTTAGATTTATGAGTCTGAAGTTCAAGGAAGAATAATGGGCAGAAGGGATATATTTGGGAGTAGTCTACATGACAGTGGGACTATAGAACTGTAAGAAATCACTGAGTGAGTACGTGTAGATAGAGAAGTCCAGGAACATACCTCTGGGACATTCCAATATCAAGAGGTCAAGGTGATAGGCATGAACTAGTAAAGGAGCCCTAGAAAGAGGAAAAGCAGGAAAATGTGCAATCACCGGTTAGAAAATGTAATAAGAATTGGATGCATTCAAAATAGCACCAAAAATCTATAAAATGCTGAGGAATAAATAATAATATGAGAGACTTATAAGAAAAGTATCTTATTTTTTAAAAGCCACCATATCACCTTTTGACACTTTCACTATAATTGCTTAAAAACACTTTGGATTAGAAGTGATATAGCATAAAGCCATTAAAATGAATGGGGTAGATATATGTTACTGACATAAAAAGCCTTTTAGAAATAATAATACTTGATAAAGGACAAAAACAAGATGACAGGACAAAATCTATGGTAAGAAGTTATCTTTATAATTTAGTATATTTAGTATATGTATGAATGGAAGTATGAAAGAATGTATAGAAGACTGATCAGTGATTAAAAACACGGCTGACTTTCGGTTACCACATTATAAATATCTGAACGATTGTTTGAAATTTTTCCACGTGCACATAAGAACATTACTAACAAAGTTAGAATTTCCAGTGATGATTAAGTGGTGATATATACAGCATCTCCTTCTTATCTGCATGGGATATGTTCCAAGATCCCCAGTGGATGTCTGAAACTACAGGTAGTAGCAAAGCCTGTATTTACTATACTTGCATGCCTTTCTCAAAGTCAAATAAAACATAGAGTCAAATTTCCACATTTCAAACATTTTATTTGGGAAATGAGAATTGCATTTCCAGGCAAACACACAGAATGGGTGGTCTTCAGTATGTCTGAAAAACAAAGATCAGGTTGGAGGTTTTATAAAAAGGAAAAATGTTACCCATTGTTTTGCAAAGAAACAATGGGTAACATTTGGGGAGCTGGCGAGCTCTGATTGGCGAGTGATGGCAGTGGGTAAAACTAATCTTAGTGTCACAGCAGGTTATTTCATTAGCTATCAGATAAAACTGATTTCAGATTACAACAGGCAGTTTCAGTAGCTGGGCTTGTGGAAAATTTAATTCTTGGAGCAGATGCTATATGCCCCAAATGCTTTTTCCCCTGGGCCCTTCACTCTGATTTAGTTGGGTACAACAAGAATGACCCAATTTCTATAATCAACTTTCACACCTCTCATAAAGTTTAATTTATAAATTAGGCCCAGTAAGAGATTAACAGCAATAACTAATAACAATATAAAGTTTTTATAACAATATACTGTATTAATAGTTATTATGTAAATGTAATCTCTTATTTTCTCTCTAAAAATTTTCAAACCAAGCTTGTTGAGTGAAACCTCAGAAAGCAAAACCATGGTTAAGGGGGCACTATTGTAATAGCATGGAAATGAAATTGCAACATAATGTTCATTCAAGTAAGCAGAAATAAACATTTTACACACAACATGACCAAAATTAAAATACGCATGGAAAACAGACTGAAACGAAATTTGTCAAAAAAGTTAATTTAGATTCTCTTGGGTAGTGGTATTGAGTATTTTTTCCTTTTTTTCATGATTCTACATATTTCAAATTATCTATAATACATATATTCTTACTTTTATTTTTCCTGCTTATTATAAAAATTTCCAAACACACAAAGGAAAAAGTATAATGAAATACTAGGTACCTACCAGCCAGCTTCAACAACCATCAAAATTTAGATATACATGTGTCATTTCCTCTCACCTTTTAAAAAAATCTAGAATATTTTAAAGCAAATCCTGGACACCTTATCATTCTGTTCTGTGCACGTAAGTCATACTCTACATAACCACACCAACATTATTTTACCTAATGAAATTAATAAACATTTCTTAACATCTTCTAAATATTTAGCCCATAACAAAAAATCTGATTGCCTAAAACATGTTTTTCTATAGTTGGTTTATTTAAATTAGAATCCAAACAAGGCCCATTCATTCCATCTGTTATGGCTCCAGAACCCTCTCCAATAGTGTCATGGACTCAGTTATGCCCCAGTTCCAAATGCATATGTTGAAGTTCTAACCTTAAAGTACCTCAGAATGTGCCTGTATTTGAAGACAGAGTCTCTAAAGAGGTAATTAAGTTAAAAGGAGGTCATTAGGGTGAGCCCTAATCCAATATGACTCTGTCCTTATAAGAAGAGATTAAGATACGGGCAGGTACAGAGGGAAGTGCAGGTGAAGACACAGGGAGACAACAACCATCTACAAGCCAACAAGAGAGTCCTTAGAAGAAACCAACCCTGCAGACATCTTTATCTCAGTCTTCTAGCCCCCAGAATTGTGAGAATATAAATTTCTGTGGTACTTTGTTATGGCTGCCCCAGCAAACTAATACAAGCAAACTAATACAGAAAACTAATACAAGCAGTAAAGCCAACATCTGTTCTGATTGGTAAATGCACATCCTGTAAGGGATTTAAATATTTTGCATATCAGTCACATTTAGGCATTATATTATTCAAGAAATTCACTATTCATTATGTATTAAATGTGTCGAATACCCTAAATCTATTTTATTCCTAAACGGTTCAATTTATATACATACATATATATATACACACACACACACACATACACATATATGTGTATATATATTTATACATATATGTGTGTATATATACATATATGTGTGTATATATATACATATATGTGGATATATATTTATACATATATGTGTGTATATATGTTTATACATATATGTGTGTGTATATATATATATATACACACAATTTTTTTCATGGATACTCAGCCAATTTTTAGAATTATTACCATACTACCACTCTTAATTGTTTGCCTCTCCTAGGATAGCGGAGTGCCCTTGGTCTTGCACTCTCGACTAATGAGAGCTAAAGCAACATATCTGCTTTATTCAGTTTGAATGGGGCTCATTAATATGTTTAGTATATACTCAACTGCCTGCTGAACATCCCACTCCATACATCCCATTGCAACTAAACATCTTTTCCTCCATGCTTGCTCTTCCTGATTTTTTGTCGTTAACTGATTAGCCATTCTCCACCCAGTTACCTGAGCCAGAAACCTCGGCACCTTTCAAACTTCTTTTATAGTTTTAAAATAATTATAAACTTACAGAAAAATTGCAAGAATAGTATAAAGAACTTCTGCTTTCGCCCAAATTCCCTGTTAACATTTGCTTTATCATTTTCTTTATGTATATTATTTATGTTTATATTTATTTACAGTATTTATGTATACTTTTTTCCTGAACCATTTGAATAGGTTGCAGATATGAAGCCTCATCACCTTTAATACTTCAATATGTATTTTCTAAAACCAAAAATATCTATGTCACTATAGTCATCAAAATCAGGAAATTAATATTGTTAAAATACTACCATCTAATCCAGAGACCCCATTCAAATTGTTAGTTGTCCCAATAATATCCTTATAGCAAAAGGATTCAATTCAGAATCATGTATTCCACTTAATTGTCATGTATCTTAATTCTCCTTCAATCTAAAAACGTTCTTTAGTTGTTCCTTTGTCTTTCATGACCTTGATCTTTGAAGAGTACAGGTCTATTATTTTGTAGAATGTCCCTCAATTTGGGACATTTGGGTTGTCTGATTTTTTCCTCACGATTGATTCGGATTACACATTTTTGGCAGGAATGTCACAGAAGTGTATTCTAAGTGCCTCTAACCAGGACATACACGATGCTGATTTGTCTCATGACTGCTGATGGTAACTTCGCTCACCAGTGCCAGATTTCTACACTGTCAAGTTTTCTAATTTTTCTCTGTGTAATTAATAAGTATTTGCTGGAGAGATACTTTGAGACTATATAAATATTATATGTCTCTTAATACTCTCACCCTCTAGTTTTAGCATACACTGATGATTCTAGTCTGAATCAACTGTTACTATCATGACTGCCAAATAATGATGTTTCTACATATAACACTGTCTACATTCATTACATTTAGTTGGCATTTTTATGTAAGGCAGAGCTTTTCTTTATCCTGATTTTTCAAAAAAATCATTTATTCATTTTAGTATGGGCTCAAATATTCCTATTTTATTTAGCGGACTATAATCCATTAACATTATATTGGTGCTCAGATTGACCCAGATGTGGCCAGTGGTGGCTCCTTCAAGCTGGCTTCTGTGACCTTTTGATATGTTTCTTCATTCTGTATTAACTTCCTTAACTTCTGGTGCAACAAGAATTTTCCAGGCTCCTGTTCTAAAATCAACCATTTCTCCAAGGGACCCAGTTACTTTTAGTGAATAATACTGTTCAGAAACCAAGATCTAGGCACATGTGCTCATTGCTTCTAGTATACCATTACTCTGAAACCCTTTCAGCAGATAGAGCTAGGAAGAGCATAATAGATAGATACGCACACACATACAGACATACTTTCCTCTATATTTATTTTTACATATGTTTATGTATATATTGAAAACTATGAGTTGACACTGACATATTCAATTCCAATTCAACATCACCACAAAGGTCACTGTGGAATTCTTCCTCTCTCAATTTGTAACGTCCTTCTCTGTCAGTGAGAAACCTGGCTCCCATTAGACCCAACATATTTATTTCCTCACTCCCCTTTCATGCTTGCCACCTCTTTACTTGCCAAGGGGAAGGCAAAACAGCTGGTCATCGTTTTTTATTATTTCTTATCATTCACTCTTCCATCCAATCAATCACTAAGTCCTGACATTTTTACCTCCTAAAAATTTCTCAAATTGGTCCATTTCTCTCCATTCTGATTTTTCTTAGCCTTGACCATGCCACCTTTGTCTCTTACATGGCTTACAGCAACGGCATCTTAAATGGTATTCCCAGATCTAGATTTGCTTCCTTCCTGTCTGTTCTCCACCCTGCAGCCAGAGTTATCTTTATGATATTAAAATTTGAAAATTTCACTCCATAAAATTCTATAGTGGTATTCCACTGACCAATACTGTCTGGGTCTCTTCATAGCTTGTTTAACTCTCTTGTTTTGTCTCCTCCAAAAGCCCCTAGTCTCATTCTCTACCTTTTAGTTAGCCAACTTGAACTTTTTTTTTTTTTCTTCCAGTTCTTGTATTATACCAAACTTTCTTGTAGTGAACACTATACGCCACCTTCTTCTACCTGGAAACCCTTCCTAACCTGGACAACTCTACACATTATTTTGGTCTTTACTTAAATGTCACTTCTGCTATGAAATATTCCCTGACCTCCCCCACCCCACTGCACCTCTGCATGCTACTGTAAATGGAGAAGCAAGAGATGATAACAGGGTTACACATCCGCTAGTCTGGGGATTGTATTCTGAAACTAACACCCTACTAAGAATGAGCAGTCAGAGTTATAACTTCCCTTTGGAAAAGCAGGTACTTAAATGCAGTTGTGAGGACAGATGAAAAGTACATAAAACACCTACAATGCATACCTCCTAGAAGGAGCTCAATATATGTTATCCATTATTCATTCAACAAATGTTCATGAAATGCCAACTATTTCATAGACACTGTGGTAGATGCTGGGGATAGAGAAAATACAAAGTAAACTATGAAACTATAGAATGAGCATCCAAAGTCTAATATATAGAATGAGTATCCGAAGTCTAATAGGGAGTAGGAGTGTTTGAAGGAGTCAGTCAACCTGCTTAAGATTCAAAGGATGGACAACATTTGGCTGTGATGCAGGAGTGTAAAAGGAGGAATTTTCAGGAAGAGAGGACAATATGAGTAAGGACGGGGCGTGAAAGGCTATGGATTGTTTTTCATGGTACACATAATTCAATGTTGCATAAAACTGCATGGTACACATGATTCAATATTGCATAAAATTGGAACAAGAAGCTAACGAGAGATGAAACTAGTCAGGGAGATGGAGAATCTTGTATCCTAGGCAAAGTAATCATTTTCTCTTACAGATTGCCTTTCAAAAATTTTCAGCAGGAGAGTGCCATTATCCGATTTACATTTTTAGTCAGGTCATTCTGATAGCAGTGTGGAGAATTTAAGAGTCAAACTGGAGTCAGAGAACTGGTAAAGGGCCCATCTGAGGAAGTTAAAAAGAGAGAATGGATATGCTTTGGCATAAGATGCATTTAGGATACTCTACTGTTCTTACTAAAACACTGGGAGGATTGTGGTGGCTTACAGCAAGATAGAAATCTAGGAGAGTATGTTTAGAACGGAAAGTTGAACAGCTCAGTTCGGTACGCATTGGATTAGTAATCTTTCTCGTTGCTTCCTCACAGGATTTAGGGAAGCACAAGACATATAGTTTGTAAGGTGTGGCAATGTCAGTAAGAATGGAAAAGCTGGCCTCCATAAACTCTTACTGTACAAATGAAGCAACAGCTTACAGCGGGTGGCTGTAGGTACAGGAAATGGCCTGTATTCACGAGTGTATTCACGAGTCCACGAGTAGCGCATCTAGTATTTTTCCAGCCCTGGTGACTCAGAGCTGAAGATGGCGCCTGTGGCAGAAATCAGAAAAGTGGGAGGGAGCATTAGGTGTAGAAAAGGATGGCGTTTTAACTTTTGTTTTGTTTTTCACACACAGGGAGATAGCTCTAAAGGAACAGTGGATAATTTTTTCTTAAAATTTTGTCTGTAGTACAACTTCATTTTCCACGCCTTAAAACCATGTTTTCTTTTGTGGGCGCGATCGCGTGGGGAGTGACAAATCTGTTTCTTTGCCTCATTCATTCATTTTCTTATTCTGGGCGGCTTCCATGACAGCCTCCCCAGTTTTCCTTTGCCCAGTCAGTTTTTCCCTGCGCTAGCTACAATTCTAAGGCGAAAAGAGCATTTTCGGAGGTGAGGGCGGGGAAAACTCAAGACTCTGTAGGGGCACCCGCGCATTTCCGGGTCCCTTACCGCTCCGAGTGGAGGAGACTGTTCCCGCTCGCGTGGCCGGGGAGGCGGGAGCCCCCTAAGTTCCCTGAAGCTCGCGCCCGCCTGCGGCCTGAGGGCCCCCGGGCAGGCGCCGCACGGCCCCTCCTCCTGGAAGAAGGCGGTGGAGGCGCGGGGACGGGGCCGCGGTCTTCGCCTAGAGCGCGGGACGCATCGGTCGCCATGGGAACGGCGGCGTAGGCAGGCGCTGACGTCAGCAGGCGGCGCGCTGTCCGCACTGCGGCACAGAGCCGCGGCTTGCTTTCAGGACACGGGTCGCTGGCGGGTTAGGTGGCTGCGTGGCCGCCTCACTTCGCGCACGCGCCGCTAGGCTGGGGGAGTTGATTTGCACTGCTCCGGGTGTCGGCTCCGGCGGGACGGGCGGTTCTGCGTACCCCTCTCCGTGAGTACATCATGGGTGCGCTGGTGGCGGGAGCGCGGGCCGGGGTGCTCGGCCTGCCCGGCCCTCTCCTGGGCGGCGTGTCGGGGCTGCTGGAGTCCGAGAGCGCGGAGGCTGATAGCGTAGTGACCGACGAGCGTGGGCCGGGTGTCCCGGGGGAATGCGATTTCTGAGAGTCCTCACCGTACTTTTGCGCTTCTTTCACTGGTCTCCGTGTCCCCGGAGAGTTGAGCATGGTGCTCTGATAGAGAATTCAATCTTTGCCTTTCCTACTCCCGATTCTTATTTAAATGCTTTTAAATCAGATGTGTACTGAGTGTGTTTATTTCCTTTTAGAGTGTCAACCTGGGGCTGAATCTTCAACCTGTCAAAGCCTTCTTAATTATGTCTGAGAAAAGGTGATCAATTTGTTATATTTATAAGAGCCAAATTATATTAATAGGGTTGTTTCGAGATGCATAAAAATAGAACAAAAATGTAGACCATTTAAGAATCCTTATCAAAGGTTGTGCTGCGTTTAGCATTCCTGTAAAAACATCTATTGTGAAAATAAAGCTTTCCCCTTTCTTTTGAGAAAGAGATGCCAACGATTTTTTCACCTGTTGCATTAACAGTTGCTGTTACTGCTTGGGCGTTAGGAGGAAGATTGCTTCTTATGAGTACTCTGGGAAATTTTTTAAAGAATGCTTGAAAGAAATTCAAATACCAAAAGTGTTTTTAAACCATACCTAGAATCTTGTTTATGAGGAATAATATTTATGAAGTTAGAATCTTGTTTACTTATGAAGAATCTTGTTGATTTATTCATTGAATTTTGTATACAGGATTTTTGTTTGTCTTTTTTTCCCTTGCGATAACATTTGGTTAAGGAGCGAATTATCAAGCCTCTCAGTTTTTTCTCCCAATGATATTGAGCCACATATTGGCTGATAATCAGGTTGTCTGTAAAATAAAATGAGATGAAATGTAATCCATTTAATTTTCCTGTGTAATATCTCTTAGACGCTCCTGTGAAAGGGTTTGTGAGGGAGAAGTTGTAAAATAATGGAATATATAAGAATCAGAGGTGTCTTTTAAAGTCCTATCTGATTTTTTGCAGAGGTTACTAATCAAATATTAGCCGTTAATTCTATCATGTTTGCTGTAGTACATATTAAGATTTAGAGATGGCTGAGCGCAGTGGGTCACGCCTGTAATCCTAGCACTTTGGGAGGCTAAAGTGGGTGGATCACTTGAGGTCAGGAGTTCAGTATCAGCCTGGCCAATGTTGGTGAAACCCCATCTCTACTAAAAATACAAAAATTAGCTGGGTGTGATGGCCCACACCTGTAGTCCCAGCTACCAGGGAGGCTGAGGCAGGTGAATTGCTTGAACCCAGGAGGCGGAGGCAGCAGTGAGCTGAGATTGTGCCACTGCACTCCAACCTGGGCAACAGAGCGAGACTCTGTCTCCAAAAAAAAAAAATTAGAGATGATTTCTGTACTGTATTTGCTGTGTTATCATTACATAATATTAGTATTTATTAGTTTAGTTGTGTATTAAGCTGTTAATAGTAAATAAGTATATGATTTATATATTTTATTTGTAATTATTTACTTATTTTTAATACAATAATAATGGACATAAAGTAATTTTATTGCAATGTACTGATTACTTTGCTTTTTGGTATTTTCTCTTCTCCTTACAGTACTAAAATAGGTGCCATTTTAAATTCCCAGACAAGGAAAAACCAAGGATTAGAAATTAAGTAGCTTGCCCAAGGCCACACATCAGTAAGTGGTGACACTAGAGCTCAAGCCTGAGTCTTTTTTACTCGCTTTGCTTTTGCTTCTCTTCACTTCGCTTCTCTCTTCTTCTCCTCTCTTTTCTTTCATAGTGGCAGATACATAACTATAAGAGAGCATTGGCTTGGTCCTCCAAAGCTAGCAGTTTGGTGGGAGTTACAGAACATTTTACCAGGGTGAAAATTCAAGGTTGAGGTAGAGGGAGCTACAAAGATTAAGGCACCCTGGAAGCACAGAAGAGAAGTTCTTAAATGCCCTTCAAGGTGAGAATGCTCTCTAGAGAAGATATCATTTGCCTTTAAAGGATAGTGAGGAGTTTGTTAGAGAGACAAAGGAGGAAGCACATTTTTCAGGGGAGGGGATATGTGTGTAATGATACAAAAGCAAGAGAGAACTTGGCACACGTGAAGGCCTGCAGGTAGTTTCACATGTCTGGAACACAGTGGATGTGTGAAGGGGACATTTCATAAATGGCCTTGGACCTCACTGGTAAGGACTTGATATTTTTTTCAATGTGCGATTGGGAGCTAGTGAAGAATTTTAAGCGAAGAAACGACACCATCACATTTGAATTTTAGAAAATTACACTAGTTGCTGTGTAGATGATGATTTTTTTTTTAAGGGAAAGGTGATAGCGGCGTGGAAACAATCTTAAAACAAAAAGCATAATCCTTCCACAGTGTTTTTGTCCCTCAGAGTTACTGTCTCATGTCACTGCCTTTGGGGGTGATGGGAAGACAGTTGGAAGAATTCTGTAAAGAATTGTCTACATGTCCCTTCTACAGGTGTCACCTTCCATTCATTCCTTAGCCCCAGCCTGCTAAGTTTCTGCCCCTCTATAAACAGCTTTGACACACGTGACTTCCTACTTGCAGATTCAGTGGACTTTCTTCAAAACCTCCAGCCCCTTTTGATGCCACACAGTATATAGGCAACATCTCCTTTAAAACTTGGGTTTGCTTCTGTAATGCTTCTATCTCCCAGTTTTTCACCTATCTCCCTGATTTTACTTTATATTGTAGGCTCACAGGATTCTCATTGGCTTTTTATTTTCTTGGAACTATCATATTTATAAATAACTCCCAAATCTTCAGCCTATTGTCTCCCTGCTGGATTAGTAGATTGCCTAACAAACATAATATGATTATATACGTAAACACACACACACGTGACAGTAATAACAGTTGTTGTTTTTGAAGGGCTTGCCATGTGCTAGGCATTGTGCCTAGTATTTTATTTGCATATTCTCATTTAATCTTTATAAAAACACTGTGAGTGATTTACTCTTATTATTGTGAAAGATTAGGAAGTTGATATCCATAGAGGTGAATCTGCTGGCAGATAGAACTGGTATTTGGATCCAAGGATCTGAAAATGGAGCTGATGCTTGTAGCTGCTCAGTGCCCTTCAGATACCCAACTCAACATGACCCATACTAAGCTCAGTGACTGCACCCTAACAACCTGTTACAGTTATAGCTAACATTTATTGTTGCTTCTTCTGTCTACGGTACTGTTCTAAATCATTTAACCCTTACAACAACCCTTTGAGTCGGCACTGGTAGGGTGTTTTTATAGATGAGGAAACAAAAGTCACGCAAGTGACTATGGAAACTAATTCTAGGACATGGATTTTAAACTACTGCCCTGTACTGCATTATATTACAGTGTAATGATACTACTAATCTACTTATTCTAGTTCTAGAAACATGGGAATTATCTCCGATTCTTTCTCCTGCCTCTTCATTAGTTATTTAATCTTTCTAAAATATTACCTCACTCCATCACCTGGAGCGCACTGGTGCAGTCTTGGCTCCCTGCAACCTCCACATTTCAGGTTCAAGCGATTTTCCTGCCTCAGCCTCCCCAGTAGCTGGGATTACAGGCACCCACCACCACGCCTGACTAAGTTTTGTATTTTTGGTAGAGATGGGGTTTTACCATGTTGGCCAGACAGGACACAAACTCCTGACCTCAAGTGATCCACCCGCCTTATCCTTCCCAAGTATTGGGATTACAGACATGAGCCACGGCGCCCAGCAGGCTTTTTTTTGATGAATCATAGTCATAATATAGGTCAGCTTTTTCCTGGCCTATTAGATGACCATCGAGTAGTATAAATATTAAATTTTTATTTGTTTTATGATTTTTCTACTTCCGTGCTCTCAGGTTTCAATTACTCATGCTGTCATTGCACTTGCCTTTGCAGCTTCTCTTTTCTAATTTAATATAGACTAGAAAGTAGAAGACTAGATTTATTAAATTTATAACTGCTAGAAGGAGTAAATACAGGCTCCTATCACTAAAGTATAGGAATTTTTACTCCATGGATTTAGTGATGTCTGTTTTGACTGGGTGCCACGTAGTTGTTGCCTAAGTTAACTGACATAGTTAGGTATGTTTACATAATCATTCCTTTCTTTTTAGAATTTCTTAGACATTTCTGCAAGAGGAACATGAATGTGGATGTCCAGGGAATTGGAGCATTAACCAATAATGCCTTGGGCCCAGTGTGGTGGCTCACGCCTGTAATCCCAACACTTTGGGAGGCTGAGTCGGGCAGATCATATGAGGTCAGGAGTTCAAGACCAGCCTGGCCAACATGATGAAACCCTGTCTCTACTAAAAATACAAAAATTAGCTGGGTGTGGTGGCGCACACCTGTAATCCCAGCCACTCGGGAGGCTGAGGCAGGAGAATCGCTTGAACCTGGGAGGCGGAGGTTGCAGTGAGCCGAGATCACACCACTGCACTCGACAAAGGGAGACTCCATCTCAAAAACAAACAAATCAATAATTCCTGAACCAGCTTTTTTTTTAACACTCTTCAGTTTTAGTCTCAAAAACATGCATATTACATTCTAAATGTTCTAATGTGAGAATATGTTCATTTTAGACATACACCGATTTTTTTAATAAAATGGGCAATTTAGTAATATACATACTGAGTTGAACCATGGTTTTGAGTAGTTCTGACACAGTAATACACATCCAGGTTTTATTAAAGAAAGATGGTGCAAATATTTGTACTATCCTTCTCTATTGTAGCAGAATTTTCAGTGGCAGACACAGAGGTATTTAAATTCACTGTGAGTGTGCTACCCACAAGCATGCTTTAATGTAATATTGAATGCTCTTAGGAAAGTCAATCCTGAGATGGAGTTTGGTTTCTTAAAAGTGCGTTGAAATGTTCATTAATGTATTAAAACACTTTAAAAAGTTTATTAACATACCACATTAGATGTGCACTGCCTTCAAAATGTTTTTTTTGTTTCAAATATATAAATACTTTATTCAGATATGATCTAGTTTGTTTCCCTTGATTTTAGAGCCCTAAACTGATTCAAATGTACCCAAGTCATTTGCATAAGATTGGGTTAAGGGAACATAGCTTTATTGGTATAAACTTAATGAAGTAGTGGACATACAATGGCATGATCTTGTGTGAAGAACGTTTTATAATTTTTATTTGGAAGTTCCATATTACAAATACATCTCCTTTGTTTCGATAGGATCCTGATTGAGTCAATGCTTTGCATTCTCAGTCCTCTGCATAAAGCTGAGAGATGCCTACAGGTAAGACTTCTATGAAATTTATGTATAAAATTTATATTTTATACATTTACTTTTAAGTTTGGTTTATTTTAAGGGATTCTTGAACAGATTAATGAATACAGTAGATGTCATTGACCAAATATACTACATTTAGAGATACTTATTGGTTTTGTATTCAGTTTTCTATTTAATATTGTGATTAAGGTTAGTATGTATTTAATGGATGGTAGTTTGGGACTCAGATGGACAAGGTAAATAATGATTACAACATAGGGTTAGTTTTTATTCTTTATCATCAAAATTGAATGTTTTACTCCACCACAAGCATTGGCAATCTTTTCTAAAAGGGCTAGCTAGTAAATATTTTAGGCTTAGTCTCTGCTATAACTGCTCAACTCTGTCTCTCTGTCTCTTTTAAAGCATGAAAGCAGTTATAACAATTCTTAATCAAATGGGTATGTCTGATTTCAATAAATCTTTACAAAAACAAGTGACTAGCCTGCAGGCCATAGTTTGCCGACACTTGCTCTAGAGCACCCATTCATTCAGCATTTATTAATTTAAAACATAATGACTATGTACACTATGTCAGACCTCATAATAGTAGCTGGGGATGTAGTTATGGGGGAAACAGAAAATATGTTTCTTTATATAGATATAAAAATAATTATATAATTTCCATTTGGGTTGAGTGCTGTGAAGGAAGAGAACAACCTGCTATGTGAGAAAAGGGAAAATTAGATGAGTTTGTCAGGAGGTGTTTTATTTACAGGCAGCATTTAAACAGACAGGTTAACACCAGCCAGGTGAGGAATTAGAGGAAGCTTGCCTCAGAAACAGCTTCATGTGGGAAGGAGCTTGCTGTGACGGAGGAGCTAAAGGAAGGGTATTATAGCTAGAACATAGGCATCTAAGGGGATATTTGTCTTGATTTGAAGCCCTGGAGATAGATCAGGAGGTATGGAGCCCTGTAGGGCATATAAAAGACTTATTTTATCCTAAATGTATTGGGAAATTTTCAGGGGCTTAAGCATTATCTTCTTCATGTTTTAAAGGAAAAACCTGTTAATATTTGTGGAATACTGATTACAGGCTAGGCACACCTTAGCCATTTTTCATGCAAAATGATCTTTGGCATAAGATAATTGTGATTTTACAGATAAGGAAAATGAAGTTTAGAGATCTTGAGTAACTTGTCTAAAGCCACATAACACGTAACTAACAGTGGTAGATGCTACTGTTTATCAGAAATAAAAAGTTAACTTAGCAAAGGAGACTTTTAGAGTGAGTGGCCAAAAAGGTCAGAGGGATACAGGTGAATGTTGTGTCACTAAAGTCAAAATAAAAAATATTTTAAGAAGGAAAGATAGGTGAGTTTTTCTAATGTAGCTAGAGAACTCATGCCGATATTTACAAGAACTTATTTCTTAACATCCTAGTAGTGTAGGTTGTGTGTTATGATAGAGTCATTTACAAAATCACATGGCTGTATCTTTTGTAGCTGAGAGTGAAGCAAAAGTAAAAACCAAAGTTCGCTTTGAAGAATTGCTTAAGACCCACAGTGATCTAATGCGTGAAAAGAAAAAACTGAAGAAAAAACTTGTCAGGTCTGAAGAAAACATCTCAGTAAGTAAATGATCATTGGGTAATAGTGATTTACATATGCGCATAAAATGCAGATATGGCTGCATTTTATGTTAAAATTCTAAGGAATTTTGAAAATTAAAAACAGTAACACTATGTCATGGTCAATAACATGTGGTAAAAATAAAGTTTATATTAGAATCAACATCACTGTGAGAATATTGACTTCATTCTTGAGTGCTGTCCTACAGGAAGAACACACACACAGTGGGGAAAATGACCAGAGATAGTGGGGAAACTCAAAACTAGCCATGATAACATTTTTGAAGAAAATATTTTTAACCCAGAATTGTGAAGAACTTAGGAAGTAGTATCTTAACTTCAGATATTGAATAGCTTGTGCTTATTTAAACTATTTCTGTGTGATTCTACCCAACAGAACCAGGAGAAATCAATGGCCGTATGGTAATAATTATCCTTTTATGTTTGAGGCACACTTTCAAATGATAGAATCTTTGGCAGCACACTTGAAGGAATTAAAAATACAGTGCTCAAAGACTAAGCAAATCAGCAACTAACTACAACCTGATCCCCTTGGAATCATAAAGAGTCTGTATTGGCATCCACAGTTAATGCTCTATGCCCTCTTTATACCTATCTCCCTACTTGAGTTGCACTTTTTACTACTTTGACCATTATCTCTTCTGTCCTCACAGAAAAAAATAAACAGGCTCTTGTGTAAATGGTACATAGTTTTTTTTTTTTTTTTGGCAGGAGTTTTATAATGAGTTATAATCCTACATTTTGCTTGTAGTAAGATTTACCCCATTTTTTCTTAAGACCTGTTCATTTTAGTATTCTGTCTGGCAGATGTCAATGTAACAATATAAATTCTGAAGTGAGGCAAAAACAAGTAGTAAAATTGACCAAAATCCAGCTGCACATATGTGAGGGTTCATAGTGTATACACTGGTGTACGACTGCACAAAAATTTCGAACTACTGACAGAATGGACAGATTAGCACTCCCATAGTGATTGCTGCTCTGAAATAGCATGTGCTTTTTCTGGTGGTACTAGTGCACAATATGGTAGGGAATAGTGACATGGAGGATGAAACATTGCTTATTGATATATGCGCTCCCCTCAGATGGAGTGGTTTATGTTGGGCAAAAGCAAAAAGAACCCTGGAAACAGTTGTCTGCAGAGATGTTTTATGCTCAGAGAAGAACCTCATATTGTCTCTTAGTATTAAAGAACTGGGAGTTGTGAGCCATGAACAAAATGCAATTTAGACCAAGGTTTAAATTAAATGGATAATCAGAATAGGCAGAGGCTATGTCCATTTACCTAAGGTCCAGTTTAAATGTTGAGGGGCACATAAGTGTGAGGTGACTAAGCATAATTTATCCAGCCTCTCTTTGCAAACACCAGGACTGAATAGGCTTCTTTTCTTTCAGAAATAAGTACACTAGGAACAAATATTTGGGAAGATATTTCGCAGCTCAAAAGAACAGGAATATTTCTAAAGGACTTAGAGGAGAACAAAATATTTTTGACATGATTAACTTGAGGAAGTAAAAGAGGAATAGCTGCTTTCATTTGCTAGATGCCTTAATGCTTTCTATCTTTAGGCACTCTTCTAAACACTTTATATATATTTAGTCGTTTAATACAAACGACGAAATTACAGGGTTTTATTTCTGTACAGGAGAAAACTACATCAGAAGTTAAGTAACTTGCTGAAAGTTACATAGTAAATGGTAGAACCAGGATTCAAACACTGAGTGGAAGTGCAGAATCCACTGCCTTAACCACAACCCAATATTATCTATTTTAATGAAATTTGAAAAGATAGGACTTCTTCTTGAAAGAAGAACAGGGAGTCCTATGTACAGAACAGGCTGAGATGAGAAATGGAGCAGTCTGAAATAAAATTAAGCGAGGAAAAAAGTCAAAATAGGGATTCATAATAATGGCAGGTTCATCTTATATTCCAGTTATATATAAGGCACAATAATAAGAGTTTTACAAATATTATTTCTAAATCTCATGTTAATCATGCAAGATAGATATTGGGATTCTTTTTTTGCACATGAGAAATTTTATAAACAGACAAACAGACATGTTAGGTGATTTCCTTAGGTCATTTAGTCTAAAATAGGATAAGTGGGATTTAAGACCACAGTCTCTGCAATTTTAAAGTTCATGTTCTTCAGTTGCTTCCTTAAAACTATATCTCAGGCCTAAAATGATGGAATTGACACTACGGAAAAATCTAATCAGTGAAGTGGGAGACAAATTCGAGGTGGGAAGAAATGACCAAAACTAAAATGAAAGAAATAAATGATGAGGACATAGAAAGATATTTGACCCACAAATAAGTATCCCGGGACAGTACTAGTGGAGCAGAAACAATAATGAGCATGATGAAGAAACCTTGCTGAGATTTCTGAAGAGATGAGTCATCCTGCATTCCAGGCAAAATTTATGAGATGAGAACTATATCTAGAAAATTCTTTTGTTTGTATCTTAAGAGTCAAATATTGCAGACACCTAAACACAAAAACATATAGTACATTTGAGACTTCTCTGTAAAAACACTAAATCCAAAAGACAATGGAGAAATATTTAGAGCACTAAGAGAAAAATTGTAGCCTGAGGAATCTGGTCACCTAAGTTGTCAGTCATTTGTGATGGTAGTTGTAAACATATGTGCATTATTAGAGAAATATCAGTGTTCCCTCCCTGGAAAAAAAAAAAGATTTAAGATTTATTAAAGATGTAGTACCATTTCTAGATATGAATCAAAGTTAAGAATTTAAGAATAGAACATCTTAAGATCTTAGAGGAAGGGATGAAGAGAAGTTGGTTAAGGAGTACAAAAATATAGTTAGAAGGAATAAGTTCTAGTAGTCAGTATTACAGTAGGGAAATTACAGTTAATAATTTATTGTATATTTCAAAATAGCCAGAAGAGAAGATTTATGTTCCCAACATAAAAGATAAATGCTTGGAGTAATGGGTATCTCAGATGCTCTGATTTGATTATTATACACTGTATATGGTGTCAGAATATCACATGTACCCCCAAAATATGTACAACTATTATGTATCAGTTAAAAATTTTTTTGATGGGAAATTTATGATCCAAAAATACCATTGGATGAACTTTGAAATCAGTTAAATATGTAGAACTTTCTTAATTATTATATATGTCCAGAATAATTCCTGAAGATTTTACATTAGATATATGTATATGATAATGTGAGAGAACAGAACCAAATTGTTTTCAAAGATTGAGCAAAGCATCCTAGCTTAGGAAGAAAAAGTCACGTAACCATTACTCTTGTCCCTAGCGTATAGTTAAAAGTTATTATTTCATCCTAGAGTTTGAAATAAATAAAACAAGTATATATATAAAATAGATTATTACACTTTCTAAGTTGTCAGAGTTAAAAAAATTAAGTGAGTTTTTTTAAAAGAATGTAATGAAATAAGAAATTTAAGTAAGAGCAAACTGAGTCATGACAATAAATGTAAATAGTTTAAGCTTCCTATTTTAAAAAGTGGGTTCAAAAATAGACTTTTAAAATATCAGGACCAGGCATGGTAGCTCATGCCTGTAATCCCAAGACTCTGGAAATCCAAGGTGGGAGAATTGCTTGAGTGCAGGAGTTCAAGACTAGCCTGGGCAACATAATAAGATCCTGTCTCTCAAAAAATAAAAACTTACCTGGGCATGGTGGCATGCGCCTGTAGTCCTAGCTACTTGGGAGGCTGAGGTGGGAGGATTGCTTGAGCCTGGGAAGTCGAGGCTGCAGTGAGCCATAATCATGCCACTGCATTCCAACCGGAGTGATAGAGGGAGATCCTATCTCAAAAATAATACTAATAATAAATAAAATAAAATATCAGGTATTTTACTTGCAAGATTCACACATTAAACAAAATGACATAAAGTTTAAAAGTAAAAGTGTGCAAAAATATAGACAGTTGTCTATGTTTTTCTTCCTGAAAAGAAACTTATAGCTGTCTCATTTATGAATGTGTGTTGAGAACAAAAAACTCTATATAAATATATGAACACATTGAAATTAATCTTGTTAAAAGAATAACCTATCTCAGCCAGATAGTTCCCCCCAAGAACTGCTTAATAATTGGATATCAGTCAATATTAAGATGTTAGTGCAAATAAATTGAATAAAACCATATAATATAAAAATAACAAGGAAAAAAGCTATCATATTTTAATTGGAAATAGGATAGTAATGGATTTTTTAGAACATTGGTGTTCATGTGTGTTAAAACCATACATGTGAGCAACAAACCTAGAGCATGCTGTGGGGTTCTAGGAAAATTTAAATCCACAGTATACATGGTATATTATGTATGATTTCGATAGTTTTCCATGGGTCCCTTTGGAAAGGGAGACACCTAGCCTACAGGTTCTTCCTTTAAAATCAGGACCTGCAAGGGAAGATGTCTTTTCATCGTAACTGTTTAATAATCTTGAAGTAAATATGTTAAGGCATGAAACATAAAGATATGATAGCTTTTTTCAATAGGTATTTGTCCATATTTGTTGCATAGCAGGCACCATAATAAGTGCTTTACATGTATTAACTCATCTAATTCTCACATGCATCCTATAAAATCAGTATAAACTGAAGAACTGAGGCACAGAGGTTAAGAAATGTACCCAGGATCATATAACTAATAATAGTGAATCCAGGTCCTACTGATTCTATGGTGATGTGCCTGCCTTGGCCTCCCAAAATGCTAGGACTACAGGTGTGAGCCATAACAGGCTCCCTGTTATGCCAGTGTGTAGTGTACAGTGTGGACAAATAATGTGACACTTAGTGAGGAGAACAAATGATCATTATTGATGGTTTGAATGCAAATATTAGAAAACCTATGTGAATCAACCTGTGTGAACAAAATAAGTATACAAAATTAAAGATTATAGCTAGAAACAATAAGAAAATATTGGAGAAAAATACAAAAATTAACAGATAGATATCACCTACATAGAAACTACAAAAGTCCTGAAAGATCTTAAAAGTAAATTTTCCAAAAATACAGATTCAAATAGAAAAAATTTATTAGTAGATATTACACATAGGTTGCACTTTATATATACCAGTTGTTTCCAGATTAATTTTTAGGTTTAATCCAATTGTAATGGTTTCCAGTGGATGATTTCTTTAGTTGCAAAATTAGGCTAAAGTTAATGCAGAAAAATACAAAAGGAAGATTAACTGAAATATTTAAATATTTAAAACAAAAGGCCAGGCACAGTGGCTCACACTTGTAGTCCTAGCATTTTGGGAGGCCAAGGCAGGCAGATCACTTGAGGCCAGCAGTTCAAGACCAGCCTGGCCAACATGTTGAAACCTAGTCTCTACTAAAAATACAAAAAATTAGCCAGGCATGATGTTGTGTACCTGTTATCCCAGCTACTTGAGTGGCTGAGGCATGAGAATTGCTTGAACCCGGGAGGTGGAGGTTTCAGTGAGCCTAGATCATGCCACCTCACTCCAGCCTGGGCTACAAGAGCGAAACTCTGTCTTAAAAAAAAAAAAAAAAAGAAATTGTACATATAATTAATAAATATTATTGTTAGGTTGCTTTAGCTTTTGAGGGAAGGAATTTTATCTCACAAACTAAAAATTACATTTCAGATAACTAACAAACTTAAATGTAAAAATCTAATAGGCAGATATTTCCATAAGAAATTAAAAATGGCTGGCTGGTTTAACATTCCAGTGTGGAAAGATATTCTGTTCTTAAAAGGGATAAAAGACCTCCCAAATAAAGACAGCATTTTCTGCCTGCACACAGAAGACTCAATAAGTATTTGTTGAATGAATGAATAAATCTAATGTATAAGTTTTTTTTTTTTTGGTCAAAAACCAACTCACTGAGAAAAATATGTAATATTTTTATAGTCATAGCATTAATAGTCTTACATATAGCTAGTGATAATAATTGCTAATACTTATTGAGCAGCTACATAATGTGGAATAAGAAGGACCTTCTGAGTATTTTATAATTATCCTATAATCCTTGGAACAAAATTATGAGTAAGTTTCATCCCTTTTGTTAACTTGTAAAGAAGTTGCATAAATTGATGTCATAAATATTAAGATAACAGCTAAGTGAGCAAAAGGAATGAAAAAATAAAACCAGATACAAGAGAAAATAACATTGACTAATAAAATGTAGTAATATTTTAAAAGAGATTCAGATTGGAATACCAAGATATTTTTGCTTATCAAAAAGGTATTTAAAAGTTTATTAGTAGTAAGGTAGCGAGCAAGGCTTTTTGGTAGAATGCTGGTAGAAAGGTAACAGTACAACATGTGACATGGTTTGGCTGTGTCCCCACCCAAATCTCATCTTGAATTGTAACTCCCAAAATTCCCGTGTGTCATGGGAGGAACTCAATGGGAGGTAATTGAATCATGGGAGCAGGTCTTTCCCATGCTGTTCTCATCATAGTGAATAAGTCTTACAAGATCTGATGGTTTTAAAAATGGGAGTTTCCCTGCACAAGCTCTCTCTTTGTCTGCCACCATCCATGTAAGATGTGACTTGCTCCACCTTGCCTTCCACCATGATTGTGAGGCCACAGCCATGTGGAACTTTAAGTCCATTAAACCTCTTTCATTTGTAAATTGCCCAGTCTCAGTTATGTCTTTATCAGCGGTGTGAAAATGGACTAATACACTGTCTTTGAAGTGGTTCAGGTTTTTCCAGCAGTATTCAATAGCCTGGTTATAATTATGGAAGTAAAGTTCACTAAATTTGAACAGTGCCTGCAGTTTTACCAGACAAGTGTATGGATAGGAAGTACATGAAAATGGCGGGTGATGATTGAAGTGATGGATTGTGGAATCAAAGCATCAGGAATTAGATAAGAGGGGCTTGATAAATAAAGAGAATATACTGGGCTCAGAGCATAATAAACTGCTTATTATTTTACACTGCTAAGTCTGGAGTGGTTTGATACTCAGCAATAGTAACTGGAACAAATAAATATAAATTGTTAAGAGTAAGCACTCAAATTGTAGCTATAATTATTTATGAAGTTGCGTATACATTCTTTTAAAAGGGGATAGTTGAGCCAAAATTTCCTCACTTTTATTGTGTATACCGTATTATCTTGATTTTATCCTCTCTCACTTTATTTTTATAATAGTTCTTTTGTAGAAGTGATAGCTTCTTCATCTTATGAATTACATTCTCTCAAACTTTTTGTTTTGTGCAGTGAATTGATTTTAAAAGGGTAGAAAATCTTCATGGTTTCCTAGGTATTAATAATATCTTTCATGTGTTCATTCACCTATATAAGTGCTGGCCTGGATTTAGCTTATAAATCTGTAATTACCTTGGCTGTGTCAAAAACAAGTTTAGAACCCTAGTGTTTTCAGGGGGTAACTAAATTTAAAAAGCCTTAAATGGGCTGGGTGTGGTGGCTCACACCTGTAATCCCAGCACTTTGGGAGGCCAAGGTGGGCTGATCACGAAGTCAGGAGTTCAAGACCAGCCTGGCCAACATAGTGAAACCCTGTCTCTACTAAAAATACAAAAAAAAAAAAATTAGCCAGGTGTGGTGGCAGGCAGCTGTAGTCCCAGCTACTTGGGAGGCCGAGGCAGGAGAATTACTTGAAGCCGGGAGGTGGAGGTTGCAGTGAGCTGAAATCTCACAACTGCACTCCAGCTCAGGTGACAGAGTGAGACTCTGTCTCAAAAAAAAAAAAAAAGCCTTAAATGGATTATACTGGTTGAAGTCATTTAACTGTATCCCAGAGCAAAGCCCAGCAGTATTTAAAGGATTCCCAACAAAATCCAGCCACCAACAATATAAAATTGATAATGTCAGATATTCAGTCAAATCTACCAGGCATTTAAAAAAAGAAAGATAACCCGACCCATTACCAAAAGATAAGTCAATCAATAGAAACAGACTCTAGGAGAGGAATAGGAAAACATAAAAAAGATGTAAAAGAAAGAAATAGAACATATTTTCAAAGACCAAATTATACTTCTACAGATTAAAAAAATAAAAGTATTCAAAATTTTAAATTGACTGTATGCAATTAGCATACTGGACAGTGCATTAAAATGATCAGTAAATGTCAAGAAATAACAATATAAATTACTCAAATCAAACAAACAAAAAAAAAAACAGTGGTGGGCTGGCATGGCCTGTCCAGGTTTATAAGAGCTGGTTGTTAAATATTAGGGAATTTTGTAAACTGGTTGTTAAACCATTAGTAACTTGAAATTGGCTATTTATGTGAATACTTACATCATGGAAGTTGGTAAACACTAGACTAGGCTTTTTGTTTATACTGCCCTATCCTTACTGGAGAGTTTAACAGCATACCACTAAAAAAGGCCTTTGGAATAGGAGTTGGAGAGGAGGAGGAAGAGAACACCAATGACCTATAGGACAATATTAGGCATTTTAACTTATGTGTACTTGAAACCTGAGGAGTGGGGACAGAATACATTGGAAGAAATAATGACTAAAAACTTTGTAGACTGTGTGGAAACAATACACCCACAGATCAGAGAAGCTCAACAGGTCATAAATGAAGAAATATGAAAAAATCATACTACAGTTTCTGAAAATGAAGGATAAATTGGAAATCTTAAAAGTAGCCAGAGAAAATAAAGACATTTTATATAGGAGAATAATGACAGCAGACTTCTCATCAGAAACTATTCTAGCTAAAAGACAATGGAACAATATTTTAAAATACTGAATGAAAAAAAAATTGTCAACCTAAAATTCTCGGTCCTCAAAAAGTTTTTATTTCGCCTTCATTTTTGCAAGATATGTCTCCTTGCAAAAATGAAGGCGAAATAAAAACTTTTTGAGGTGCACAAAAGCTGAAAGAATTTGTCAGTAAACCTGTAGTATAAAAAAGTGTTAAAAAAAAAAAAGGACAACAATACCAAGTGGAAATTTTGATTTACAAAAAAGAAGAGCACAACAAATAGTAAACGTGATATAGAAGGATTTTTCTCTTACTTAAAAATCTCTTTAAAAGATATTTTATAAAAGCAAGAATAATTAGGTTTTTTTAATAGGATTTATAATAAACGTTGAGTGTCCCTAATCTGAAATCCAAAATGGTCAAGAATCCAAAACATTTTGAGCATGAATATGCTCAAAGGAAATGCTCATTTGAGCGTTTTGGATTTTGAATTTTAAATTAGGGATGTTGAACCAGTAAATATAATGCAGATATACAAAATCCAAAGAAATCTGAAACACTTTTTGTCTCAAGCATTTTGTATAAGGGATATTCAACCTTTATTTGTAGAAGTAAATGATTTAACAACTGTCTTAGTTTTCTGTTGCTTATAACAGAATACCAGAAACGTAATTTATAAAGAAAAGGAATTTATTTCTTACGGGTTTTAAGGCTGAGAAGTCCAAGGTCAAGGATTCACATCTGATGAGAGCCTTTTTGCTGGTGAGGACTCTACAGTCCCAAGGCAGTGCAGAGCATCATATGCCAAGGGGGCTGAATGTGTTAGCTCAAGTCTGCTTCTTATAAAGCCACCAGCCCCACCGTTATGATGATCTAATCCAGCCGTCCCCAACCTTTTTGGCACCAGGGGCCAGTTTTGTGGAAGACAATTTTTCCATGGAGTGGGCCGGGGGGGATGGTTTCAGGATGAAAGTGTTCCATCTCAGATCATCAGGTATTAGTTAGATTCTCATAAGGAACGTGCAACCTAGGTCTCTTGCCTGCGTCATTTGTAATAGGGTTGTTGCTCCTATGAGAATCTAATGCTGCTGCTGATCTGACAGGAGGTGGAGCTCAGCCAATAATGCTCTCACCCACCACTCACTTCCTGCTGTGTGGCCTGATTTGTAAAAGGCCATGGACCAGTACTGGTCTGAGGCCTGGGGCATGAGGACCCCTGCCCTAATCTGTTAGCCCATTAATCCATAAATTGGTTAACCCATTGATGGATTAATCCACCCACGAGGGCAAAGTCCTCATTACTCAATCACCACTAAAAGGCCCCAACTTTCAATACTGCCAAATTAAGGACTAAATTTTAACGTGAGTTTTTGAGAGGACAAATGTTCAGACTGTAAGACCCACGTAGCACAAAGTATGGGAGGAAATAAATAGAAGTATACTTTTGTGAGTTTCTTTCTTCTTTTTTTTTTTTAAGACAGGGTCTTGCTCTGTCACTCAGGCTGGAGTGCAGTGGTGAGAGCACAGCTCACTGCAGCCTTCACCTCCTGGGCTTAAGCAATTCTCCCACCTCCACACCCTCAGTAGCTTGGACTACAGGTGCACACCACCACATCTGGCTAATTTTTGTTTTTTTCTGTAGAGACAGTGTCTCACTGTATTGCCCAGGCTGGTCTTGAACTTCTGGGTCCATGTGATCCTCCTGCCTTGTGTTCCCAAAGTGCAATTACAGGCGTGAGCCACCACGCCTGGCTGAATTTCTTAAAATGTATGTGAAGTGGCATTATTTAATGGTAGAAAATTGTATTAGTCTGCTCTCACTGCTATAAAGAGCTAACTGAGACTGGGTAATTTATGAAAAAAAGAGATTTAGTCACCTCACAGTTCAGCACGCTGTATTGGAGGGGCATGGCTGGGGAGGCTTCCAGACACTACAATAATGGTGGAATGGGAAGCAGGCACAGTCTTCACATGGCCAGAGCTGGAGAGAGAGTGAGCAAAGGGAGAAGTGCTACACACTTTCAAACAACAGGATCTCAGGAGAACTCATGAGAACAGCAAGAGGGAAGTTGACACCCATGATTCAGTCACCTCCCACCTGGTGCCTCTTTCAACATGTGGTAATTCATCATGAGATTTGGGTGGATACACAGAGCCAAACCATATCATTCCACCCCTGGCCCCTCCCAAATCTCATGTCCTTCTCACATTTCGAAACACAATCATGCTTTCTCAACAGTTCCCCAAGTCTTAACTTATTTCAACATGAACCCGAAATTCCACAGTCCAAAATCTCATCTGTCACAAGGCAAGTCTCTTCCATCTATGAGCCTGTAAAATAAAAAAAAAGTTAGTTACTTCCAAGATACAATGTGGGGACAGGGTTTGGGTAAATGATCCCATTCCAAAAGTGAGAGATTGCCCAAAACAAAGGGGCTATAGGCCCCATGCAAGTCCAGAACCCAGCAGGGCAGTCATTAAATTTTAAAGCTCCAAAATAATCTCCTTTGACTCCATGTCTCACATCTAGACGACCCTGACACAAGGGGTAGGCTCCCAAGGCCTTGGGCAGCTCTACCCTGTGGCTCTGCAGGGTACAGCCCCTGCAGCTGCTTTCACTGGCTGGCATTGAGTGCCTGTGGCTTTTCTGGGTGCATGGTGCAAACTATCTGGATCTACAATTCTGAGGTCTGGAGGACAGTGGCCCTCTTCTCACAGATCTACTAGGCAGTGCCCCTAGGCAGTGCCCCAGTGGAGACTGTGTGGGGGCTGTAACCCCTCATTTCTCTTCTGCACTGCCCTAGTAGAGGTTCTCCATGAGGGTTCCACCCCTGCAGTGGACTTCTACCTGGACATCCAAGCATTTCTATACATCCTCTGTAATCTAGGCAGAGGTTTCTAAACCTCACCTCTTGCCTTCTGCACACCCACAGGCTCAATACCACATGGAAGCTGCCAAGACTTGAGGCTTTCACCCTCTGAATTAATAGCCTGAGCTGTATCTTGGCCCCTTTTAGCCACAGCTGGAGCCAGAGCAGCTGGGACACAGGGCCCCATGTCTCAAGGCTGCACAGAGCAGTGAGGCCCTGGGCCTGGCCCATGAAACCATTTTTTCCTCCTAGGCTTCCAGGCCTGTGATAGGAAGGGCTGCTGTGGAGGTCTCTGAAATGAATTGGAGGCATTTTCCCCATTGTCTGTGCTATTAACATTTGGCTTTTCTTTATTTGTGCACATTTCTGCAGCCTAGAATTCCTCCTCAGAAAACTGGTTTTTCTTTTTAACCTCTTGATCAGGCTGCAAATTTTCCAAACTTTCGTGCTCTGCTTCCCTTTTAAATATAAATTCCTGCTTCAAGTCATTTCTTTCTTTATGCAAATGAGCATAGTTTTTTAGCAGCAACTAGGCCACATCTGAACACTTTGCTGCTTAGACATTTCTTTCACCAGATACCCTAAATCATCTCTCTCAAGTTCAGTGCTCTGCATATCTCTAGAGCAGGGTCACAGTGCCGCCAGTCTCTGCTAAAGTATAGCAAGAGTGGCCTTTACTCCAGTTCCCAATAAGTTCTTCATCTCCATTTGAGACCTCGTCAGCCTGGCCATCTCTGTTCATATCAGTATCTGCATTTTGGTCATAACCATTCAACAAGTCTCTATGAAGTTCCAAACCTTCCTGTCTTCTTCTGAGCCCTTCAAACTGTTCCAACTTTTGCCTGTTACCCAGTTCCAAAGTCACTTCCACATTTTCAGGTATCTTTATAGCAATGCCCCACTTCTCTGGTACCAATTTTCATATTAGTCCGTTCTCACACTGCTCTAAAGAACTACCTGAGGCTCGGCGCTGTGGCTCATGCCTGTAATCCCAGCACTTTGGGAGGCCAAGGTGGGCAGATCACCTGAGGTCAGGTGTTTGAGACTAGCCTGGCCAACATGGTGAAACCCTCTCTGTACTAAAAATAAAAAAAAAATTAGCCGGGTGTGGTGGCAAATGCCTGTAGTCCCAGCTACTCAGGAGGCTGAGGCAGGAGAACAACTTGAACCTGGGAGGCAGAGGCTGCAGTGAGCCAGGATCACACCACTGCATTCCAGCCTGGGCAACAGAGCGGAGACTGGGTAATTTATGAGAAAAGAGGTTTAATTACTCACAATTCAACAGGCTATACAGGAGGCATAGCTGGGGAGACCTCAGGAAATTTATATTCGTGGTGGAAGGTGAAGGGGAAGCGGGCATGGACTTCACATGGCCAGAGCAGGAGAGAGAGAGAGAGAGAGTGCGAAGGAGGACGTGCTACACACTTTCAAGCAATCAGATCTTGCAAGAACTCCATCACGAGAACAGCAAGGGGATATCCGTCCCCATGATTCAGTCACCTCCCACCAGGCCCCTCCTTCAACACATGGAAATTACAATTCAACATGAGATTTGGGTGGAGACACAGAGCCAAACCATATCAACAATGAGAAGCTAAATATGTGTATTATAAAACCTAGAGTCTTCATAAATTTGTTTTAAAAGGATAGCTAAAAAGCCAATAATGATAATGGAATCACAAAAATCTATTGAGAAAGATAGTTGGAAAAGAGGGCAGAGAGGGCCGGGCATGGTGGCTCACGCCTGTAATCCCAGCATTTTGGGAGGCCGAGGCGAGTGGATCACGAGGTCAGGAGATAGAGACCATCCTGGCTAACACAGTGAAACCCCGTCTCTACTAAAAATACAAAAAATTAGCCGGGCGTGGTGTTGGGCGCCTGTAGTCCCAGCTACTCCAGAGGCTGGGGCAGGAGAATGGCATGAACCCGGGAGGTGGAGCTTGCAGTGAGCCGAGATCACACCACTGCACTCCAGCCTAGGTGACAGAGCGAGACTCTGTCTCAAAAAAAAAGAAAAAAAAAAAGAGGACAAAGAGACAAAAAACAAATAGGACAAACAGAAAGGAAATAATAGAATAGTGTATTTAAACTCAGCAATATCAAGAATAATTTAAATGTGGATGGTCCAAATAAAAAGTAGAAAGTGTCAGATTGGCAAATAAGACCCAACTATATGTTGACTATAAGAAACTTGCTTTCAATGTAAGGGCATAGGTAGGTTAATATTTAAAGAATGGAAACATATACCATGCTAACACTAGTAAAAAGAAAACTGGAGTTGTTATATTGATAGCAGAGAAAGTATATTTTACAATAAAGAATATTGCCAAAGATGAAAAGGAATCTTTTTAATGATAAAGGTGTCAGTATCAAGGATATAACTGACTGTGTATGAAACTCATAACAAAGCTTCAAAATATGCAAAGCAAAAACCTATAGAAATGAAATGAGAAATAGATAAATCAGCAATTACAGTTAGATATGTTAGTATCCTCTTTCAGAAATTGATACAACAAGTAGTCAAAAAATCAATAAGAATGTAGATTTCAGTAACTGACAAATTTGAGTTGAGTTTTATGGGAACATTGTACCCAACAAACACAGAATACTCATTGTTTTCTAGTGCATATGGAATATTCACCGAGACAGACATCATTCTGGCCCATAAAACAAGTCTACATAGCTTTATTTTATATATAAAAATTAAATAAAAATTTTAAATGTAAAAGAAAATTTTAAAATAATACAAAATGTTTTCTTAGGCCACAACAGCATCAAATTAGAAATAGTTAACCAAAAGTTATCTGCAGTATCACCAAATATTTGGAAGTTCAATAAGACCCCAGATCAATGTATTGAAGAAGAAAACACAAAAGAATTAGAACATATTTTGAACTAACTAAAAATGAAATTACAGCATATCAAAATTTATGGAATGCTGCTGAAGCATTACTTAGAAGGAAACTTGTAGCATTACATTAAAAATGAGGAATGGTCTGAGATCCATCATTGAAGCTTTCACCTTAAAAAAGTGTGAAGAACAAATTAGACAAAATAAACACAGGATAGAAATAAGAAGAGTATAAATCAGTAAAATAGAAAACCTTCAGTAAATCCAAATGTAATTTTTTAAAAGAGTAATAAAATTGGTTATCATATGTGTTGGGGGTTTCCATGGCCACCCCCGGGCTTGATAATTCACTAGAGAGACTCACAGGACTCAAAAGCTGTTATACCCACACCATTTATTACTGTAAAAGGATACAGATTAAAATCAGCAAAGGGAAAAGGTGCATGGGACACAGCCCAGGAGAAACCAGGTGCAAGCTTTCAGGTACACCCCCCAGTAGAGTTGCAAGGGACTCACTTAATTCCTCCAACAACATGTGACAAAATGTGCAAAGTGTTGCCACCCAGGGAAGCTCAACCCAAGCCTTGATGTTCATGGTTTTGTGTAGAGGGCTATGTGGGCTTTGTGTAGAGGCAGAGCATTCAGTGCCTGTGTCACCGACCTCAGCTGCTCAGACTCCAAACCCCCAAAGCAAAAACACATGTTCACCATAAATCACATTGCTAACATAAGCTTTCTGGCAAAACTGTTACAGTGTGGCCCAAGGCTTCAGGCATTTAGAAACACTCTTATCAAGCACAACATTTCAAGGACTGGTCCTAAAAATATGCCCTTCTTGGGATTTGCAGCTTTTTAGCAACCCAGGCTCATGAATTAACTGTTTTCTGTACTACCTGTAACCAGGCTGATTGGGAAACAAGGAAAGAAGACGCAAATTGCCGATATCAGGATTGTAAGAGGGTATTCACTTTAGATGCTACAGACCTTAAAAGGATAATAAGAGTATTATGAGTAACTTTATGACAATAAATTTAGCAGTTTAGATGAAATGTGTAAATTACATGAAGGGCACAAACTACTGAAGCTCACTCAAAAAGAAATAGATAACTCGAACATTATATATCTTTTAAAAAAACGGAATCTGTAGTTAAAAATCTTTTGTCAAAGGAAACTACTCCCAGGTGGCTTCATTAGTAACTTTTCTCAAACATTTGATGAAAGAATAATGCCAATTCTATACAGACTCTTCCAGACTGTAAAATAAGAGGTGATCCTTGTCCACTCCTTTTTGTGGGCAATAATTACACAGCTGCCAAAGCCAGACAAAGATTGCAAGAAAAATACATACCAAAATCCTTTTAAATATAGATGGCAAACATCTTCAACAAAATATTAGAAAATCAATCTTATGAAAAGGATAATACCCCATGTCTAGCTGGAGTTTATGTCAGGAATATACTGTCAGTTCAGTGTTAGAAAAAGCATCCAATGTAATTCACCATATCCAAAGATTGAATTAGAAAACCATGAGATCATCTCAATAAATGGAGAAAAAAGACTTGACAACATTTATTACTCATTCTTAAACCAGCAATAGATGAGACTTGTCTAAGGTAATGAGTTATCTCAAGGGATTTTTCACAGTCAGTTACAGATTGAACTCCTTGTTCTACTCATACTCTCAGTACTGCATTTGACTAGTCTAAAAAAAAAAAAAGAATAGACAGTAACTTCCTCAACCTAATAAAGGGCATCTAAAAAATATGCAGCTAGCATCATGCTTAATGGCACAAAACTGAATGCTTTTGCTCTAAGCTGAGCATGTGTCAGTCACTGTGTGTATTCACAATTGTACTGGAGACCCTGACGAATGCGGTAATGCAATTTTTACAGGCATACAGATTGTAAAGGAAGAAGTAAACTGTGTATTCACAAATGACATAATCGTCTATGTTAATATCCCAAAAAAATCTACAAAAAAAGTGCTACTAGAAGTTACAGGTGGTTCTTATGATGGGATTATGTCCTTTTTAAACGGAAAGTATTGTAAGTTGAAAATATATTTAATACGCCTAAGCAACCAAGCATCAGAGCTTGTCCTAGCCTACCTTAAGTGTGCTCAGAACATTTACATTAGCCTACAGTTGTGCAAAATTAATACCAAGCCCATTTTGTAATAAAGTGTTGAATATCTCACATAATTTATTAGATACTGTACTGAAAGTGAATAACAGAATAATTGTATAGATACTTGGAAGTATGGTTTCTACTGAATGCGTGTTTATGCACCATCATAAAGTAAAAAAAATCATACGTTGAACCATCATAAATAGAACCATTGTGATTCAGGGACCGTCTGTATTAGGGAGCTTAGCAGAATATATGGTCAATGTGTAAAAACCAATTGTATTTCTATACCAGTAATGAATCACTTGAAATTAAATTTTAAAATTATAATAGAAAAAATGTGTAGCATTCAGGGATAAATTTATCAAAAATGTGCAAGAGCTGTACACTGAACCCCTCAAAGTGCTGAATATAAAGACCTAAGTAAATAGATATTCATGTTCATGGATCAGAAGAATCAACATTGTCAAATGTCCGTTCTCTGACAAATGATCTGTTAAATTCAATCCTAATCAATGCCAGGAGACTTCTTTTTCTTTAAAATCTAGATGAGAAATAGACAAATCAGCAATTACAGTTAGATATGTCAGTATCCTCTCTCAGAAATTAATAGAAGTAGTCAAAAAACCAGAAATTTATTGGGAACTGTAAACAACAGACCTAGAACAGCCAAAACAATTTTGAAAAGGAACAAAGTTGGAATTACACTTTCTGATTCAAAACTCATTATAAAGCAATAGTGATGAATACAATCTGGAATTGTCATAAAGATAGGCATATAAATCAGTAGAGCAGAATAGGGTATAGAAATAGATTCAAATATATATGTTCAATTGACTCTTAACAAAGTTGCCAAGGTAATTCACTAAAGGCAAGGATAATCTTTTCAACAAATGGTCCTGGAACAATCAGATATTCATATATAATAAACTTGGGATCATGTCATGTTTAAAAATTAACTAGAAGTGGATCAAAGACATATTTAAGAGCTAAAACTGTAGAACTTATAAGAGAAACATAGGATAATTGTAACCTTGGGTTGAGCAAAGATTTCTCAGGATACAAAAACATGAACCATAAAAGAAAAAAGGGCTAAATTGGACTTTGTGAAAATTGAAAGCATTGCTACAAAAATGAAAATATTTTATAGCTATAGGTTTAGATAAAATATTTTTAAAGCACTATCTGATACAATGTTGTATCTAGAATATTTTAAGAGCTCTTACAGCTCACTGATATGAAAACAAACAGCCTAATTAAAAAGGGCAAAAGATTTGGACACTTAACGAAAGGACAGCTATAGATAGCAAATAGACACATGTAAAGAGTCTTGCTGTCATAGTAATTAGGAAAATGCAGTTTAAAACAATACTGAGGTACTATTGCACACCTAATACAACAGCTACAAAACAAAAATTGACAGTATTAAGTGCAAACAAGGATGGTAAGTAACTGGAACTCTCTTAGAAATTGCTGATAAAAATGCGAAATAGTACAGCCAGTTTGAGAAGCTGTTTGGCAATTGTTTAATAAGTTAAATATCTGTTTACCATGTAGCACAGCAATTCCACTTCTGGGTATTTACCCAACAGAAATGAAAACATATCTAATACTAGCACAAAACTGGAAATAATTCACATCTATTAATTGGTGTATGGAGAAACAAAATGTGGCATATAACTGTACAATGGAATACTACTCCACAAAAAAGGAATAAACTGCTATGAATAAAGCAACATGGATGAATCCTAAAAGCTTTGTGCTGAATGAAGGAAACCAGACACAAAAGGCTATAGATGGTATAATTTCATTTATGTGAAAGTCTAGACAAGGCAAAGCTATTGTGATACCAGATCAGTGGTTGAGTAGGGTCAGAGCATGGAGGGAAGGCATTGACTGTGTAACAGGACATGTAGAATGATGGAAATGTTCAATGTCATGATTATGGTGGTGGTCACATGACTGCATACATTTGCCAAAATTCATTTAATTATACAATTAAAATTGGCAAATTTTATTGATGTAAGCTATATCTTTTTTTTTTTTTTTTTTTTTTTTTTTTTTTGAGACGGAGTCTCGCTCTGTCGCCCAGGCCGGACTGCGGACTGCAGTGGCGCAATCTCGGCTCACTGCAAGCTCCGCTTCCCAGGTTCACGCCATTCTCCTGCCTCAGCCTCCCCAGTAGCTGGGACTACAGGTGCCCGCCACCGCGCCCGGCTAATTTTTTGTATTTTTAGTAGAGACGGGGTTTCACCTTGTTAGCCAGGATGGTCTCGATCTCCTGACCTCATGATCCACCCGCCTCGGCCTCCCAAAGTGCTGGGATTACAGGCGTGAGCCACCGCGCCCGGCCTGATGTAAGCTATATCTTAATAAAGCTGATTTTAATAGCAGATAAACCAAAGCAAAAAAAAACCTGAATCATTTAAAGAGGTAAAAAATTGGCAAAGGTATAATAGGAACATGAATGAACAAATGTATTTGGGACGTTTCAAAATTCAAACATAATTTGATCCATGAAACTGCTGAATTCCACAAAGGAGACTTTTTTAAAAAAAATAGTACAGTACAACTAGAAGTTAACAAAAGTTTATAATTTACAAACTACTTGGGAATTTATCCCATAAAGCTGTTAGAGGGAAAAAGGAAATCAAAACCACAAAATCAGGCTATTTAAAAAGTAATGAAAATGTCAGTGTAATGCTATGAAAGGTAGAGATGCTACTGAAGATACTCTGGAAACTTCATTCATTGCTGTATTTAAAAAACAGAACTAAAGAAAAAGACAAATTAATAATAAAGTCATAAAATTAATGTTATTAGTGCAAAGGCTGACAGATCAGTGGTAAATAAACAAAAAACAGCCTTTTCTGATTAGTTTGCCTGGAGTTTCAATTTTAAAATTTTTTCCTTGAGACCATAAATCTTTCTTCTCTTTCTAATTCTTGATTAGCTCTTTTTTCTAATTATTTCTTTCAGGAGTATCCTCACAATTTGTATATATTGGTGCTACATTATTGGTACTCACTGAAAAAGTAGAAACAAAAATTTGCATATGCCCCATTTTAACATAATGGAAATTCAAGGTTATTGAGGTATGAATAAAAGTCATAAAAAACAAAAAGAAGATTCTGAAACAAATAGCAATTTTTTCAAATGTTATTTTATGTTCCAGGATACATGTGTAGGACTTGCAAGTTTGTTACATAGGTAACAAACCTCTCCACCCATCACCTAGGTATTAAGCCACACATGCATTAGCTATTTATCCTGATGCTCTCCCTCCCCCAAACTCCCTGACAGGCCCCAGTGTTTGTTGTTCCTCTCCCTGTGTCCATGTGTTCTCGGTGTTCAGCTCCCACGTACAAGTGATAACATGCAGTGTTTGGTTTTCTGTTCCTGCGTTTTATCCATGTCCCTGCAAAGGACATGATCTCGTTCCTTTTTATGGCTGCCTAGTATTCATTGGTATATATGAACCACATTTTCTTTATCCAGTCTATCATTGATGGGCATTTGGGTTGATTCCATGTCTTTGCTATTGTGAGTAGTGCTGCAGTGAACATACGCATGCATGTATCTTTATAATAGAATGACATATATTCCTTTGGGTATATACCCAGTAATGGGATTGCTTGGTCAAATAGCAATTCTGGTTCTAGGTCTTTGTGGAATCGCCACAGTGTCTTCCACAATGGTTGAACTAATTTACATTCCCATCAACAGTGTAAAAGCTTTCCTATTTCTCCATAGCTTCACCAGCATCTGTTGTTTCTTGACTTTTTAATAATTGCCATTCTGACTGGTGTGAGATGGTATCTCATTGTGGTTTTGATTTGCATTCTCTAACCATCAGTGATGTTGACCTTTTTATCATGTTTGTTGGCCCCATAAATGTCTTCTTTTAAGAAGTGTGTGTTCATATCCTTTGCCCACTTTTTTGTGGGGTCGTTTAGTTTTTTTCTCACAAATTTGTTTAAGTTCCTTATAGATTCTGGATATTAGACCTTTGTCAAATGGATAGATTACAAAAATTTTCTCCCATTCTGTAGGTTGTCTGTTCATTCTGATGATAGTTTCTTTTGCTGTGCAGAAGCTCTGTAGTTTAATTAGATCCTGTTTGTCAATTTTTGTTTTTATTGCAGTTGCTGTTGACATTTTTGTTATGAAATCTTTGCCTGTGCCTGTGTCCTGAATGGTATTGCCTAGATTTTCTTCTAGGGTTTTCATAGTTTTGGGTTTTACATTTAAGTGTTTAAGTTATCTTGAGTTAATTTTTGTATAAGGTATAAGGAAGGGGTCCAGTTTCAATTTTCTGCATATGGCTAGACAGTTTTCCCAGCACCATTTATTAAATAGGGAATCCTTTCCCTATTGGTTGTTTTTGTCAGGTTTGTCAAATACAGGATGGTTGATGTGTAGTCTTATTTCTGAGATCTTATTTCTGTTCCATTGGTCTGTATGTCTGTTTTTGTTCCTGTACCATGCTGTTTTGGTTACTCCAGTATAGTTCGAAGTCAGGTAGTGTGATGCCTCCAGCTTTGTTCTTTTTGTTTAGGATTGTCTTGGCTATACAGGCTCTTTTTTTGTTCCATATGAATTTTAAAGTAGTTTTTTCTAATTCTGTGAAGAATGTCAATGGTAGTTTAATAAGAATAGCATAGAATTTATAAATTACTTTGGGCAGTATGACTGTGGATTTGTCATAAATGGCTCTTATTTTGAGGTATGTTCCATAAGTACCTTGTTTATTGAGAGTTTTTAACATGAAGCAATGTTGAATTTTATCAAAGGCCTTTCCTGTGTCTATTCAGATAATCATATGGTTTTTGTCTTTAGTTCTGTTCATGTGATGAATTATGTTTATTGATTTGCGTATGTTGAACCAGCCTTGCATCCCGTGGATGAAGCTGACTTGATGGTGGTGGATAAGCTTTTTGATGTGCTGCTGGATTTGGTTGCAAGTATTTTATTGAGGATATTTGCATCAGTGTTCGTCAGGGATATTGGCCTTAACTGTTTTTTCTTTCTTTGTTGCATCTCTGCCAGGTTTTGGTATCCGGATGATGCTGGCCTCATAAAATGAGTTAGGAAATAGTCCCTCCTTTTCAATTATTTGGAATAGTTTTAGTAGAAATGGTTCCAGTTCTGTTGTGTACCTCTGGTAGAATTCAGCTGTAAATCCATCTGGTCCTGGGCTTTTTTTGCTTGTTTGTTTCTAGGCTGTTTATTACTGCCTCAATTTCAGAACTTGTTATTAGTCTCTTCAGGGATTCAACTTCTTCCTGCTTCAGTCTTGGGAGGGTGTATGTGTCCAGCAATTTATCCATCTTTTCTAGATTTTCTAGTTTATTTGCATAGAGTTGTTTATAGTATTCTCTGATGGTTGTCTGCATTTCTGTGGGGTCGATGGGGATATCCCCTTTATCATTTTTTATTGTGTCTATTTGATTCTTCTCTTAAGTGATTCTTGTGCCTCAGCCTCCCACGTAGCTGAGATTACAGGTGTGCACCGTCACGCCTGGCTAATTTTTGTATTTTTGATAGAGATAGGGTTTCACCATGTTGGCCAGGCTGATCTCGAACTCCTGACCTCATGTGATCCACCCACCTCGGCCTCCCAAACTGTTGGGATTACAGGCATGAGCCACCATGCCCAGCCTCATTGATTTTTTGAAGGGTTTTTTGTGTCTCTGTATCCTTTATTTCTGCTCTGATCTTGGTTATTTCTTGTCTTCTGCTAGCTTTGGGTTTTGTGTGTGTGTATTTTCTGGGGGTTTTTTTCCTTATTTATTTATTTTTACTGTTTTAAATTAAATATTGCTTCTAAAACAGAACATGTGAATATAATTAGATTTGATTAGTGAATTTTTTTGGAGGCTGTGGCACCATAATTTACCCTCAAAGAACAGATAGAATTTGGAAATATATTTTAGGTGAGCAAAAGAGTCTTAGAGTTGGTAAAATCTTAGATATGTATTGGGATACTAGTTCTTTCAGCATTTTTTAAATCACCTTTTTATATACATTGGATATTTTTTAACTACTTTTAAAATATGGGGAGTTTCAAAGATCAAACCCCAGTATGTATTGTTAAGTTTATTCATTTCTGGCACATTTCTTTATTTTGATTTTAGATTCATCTTGTAGCACCGAATGTTAACATGTAAGGTGCATACATTACAATGTGACATTGTGCATGACAAAATGAATCCAAAGTGTTAATCCAAAATGTTAATCTGAAGTTACATTCAGAGATTATTAATGAAATTCTGGAAGCATAAATTATGAGAGTACTCATCAAATGCTCTAAGATAGTATCACTATGTCCAGGTAAAAAAACTAAATAATTTTCCCAATAATTCCACATAGTTGAACATTAATTATTGGTTTTTCTTGATACAACTAATCTACGCTTAGCTGAAACTTTATTATGTCTTCCTTTTTAGCCTGACACTATTAGAAGCAATCTTCACTATATGAAAGAAACTACAAGTGATGATGTAAGTACTGCTAACACTAACAGCCTGAAGAAGAGCATGAGAGTCACTAAAAACAAATTGAGGAATACACAGTCAGCAATGGTTTTTGTCCATTCTGTTTTTCAACACATCAGTTAAACTTTTATTTTTATCATTCAGAATTTTATTTTAATATCAGCAGTTGGGTTTTCTTGCTCCAGTATGCTTTTGCATTTCTTTATTAATATTAACTATACTTGTTTTAAATACTTACATATGATATGTATTTTCCTTTGGTGTTCATTTATTTATTGTATTTGATTTGGTGGCTTTCCTTCATTGTGCTACCTTCCTTTAGTGTTTGTTAATTTTCAGTTGTCAAGCCATCTTTACATTTGAGAATCTCTCTTCTCTTCCTTGTTAGTTGTTTTTAACATGGTCTGCCTCTGCAGTTTATGGGAATTATACCTACCTGAAGCATACTGCCCTTTCTCTCTTTGCTGGGATGCTTAATCCCATGGGTGAAAGTCAACACAAATGGAGGTGGGAAACAGAGCTGTTCATCCCAGCTCCTCGATTGGTCATCCTCTAGTTTATCCCCTCCTCCTCTTCCTTGTATTACTTGACTCTTATCCTTATTTATTTTTTTCTATTAAAAATATATCTCATTTTAAATAATTTTAATTGGGGAAGGAGGTACAAGATTGTGCTTAGTCTGTCATTGGATTTAACTTAATATGTAATATTTAGCAGCATTTTAGTGATACACTTAGATTTACTGCAGGGTGATCTTAGAGCTGTAGACTTTTGCTTTTAGAGTGTAATTATGAAGCAAAATAAATGACCCATGTATATTTCCTATTGGGTGACCTGAAATGTCACATTCAATGGCTCTTTTAGCAATTTCTCGAATATCTATTAGAGTGTAGATCATGAGGAAAATATGTATGAGGAAAATAGCATTTGAGATTTGAGCAATTAATTCACTTCTTATAGGTCCTTAAGTACTTTTTTCCCATGTCAATTAACTCATTTAATCTGAAGTTACATTCAGAGATTACTAATCAAATTCTGGAAGCATAAATTATGAGAGTACTCATATGCTCTAAAATAGTGTCACTATGTCCAGATGAAAAACTAAATAATCCTCCCAATAATTCCACATTGTCAAATATTAATTATTAGGTTTTTCTTTATATAACTAATCTATGTGTAACTGAAACTTTGTTATCATGTCTTCTTTTCCTAGCCCGACACTATTAGAAGCAATCTTCCCCATATTAAAGAAACTACAAGTGATGATGTAAGTGCTGCTAACACTAACAACCTGAAGAAGAGCACGAGAGTCACTAAAAACAAATTGAGGAACACACAGTTAGCAACTGAAAATCCTAATGGTGATGCTAGTGTAGAGGAAGACAAACAAGGAAAGCCAAATAAAAAGGTGATAAAGACGGTGCCCCAGTTGACTACACAAGACCTGAAACCGGAAACTCCTGAGAATAAGGTTGATTCTACACACCAGAAAACACATACAAAGCCACAGCCAGGCGTTGATCATCAGAAAAGTGAGAAGGCAAATGAGGGAAGAGAAGAGACTGATTTAGAAGAGGATGAAGAATTGATGCAAGCATATCAGTGCCATGTAACTGAAGAAATGGCAAAGGAGATTAAGAGGAAAATAAGAAAGAAACTGAAAGAACAGTTGACTTACTTTCCCTCAGATACTTTATTCCATGATGACAAACTAAGCAGTGAAAAAAGGAAAAAGAAAAAGGAAGTTCCAGTCTTCTCTAAAGCTGAAACAAGGTATTTTTGCATTGATAAATGTAAAATATCCTCTTAGAAAAACACTGTTATTTTCAGGTTTTGAATATTATCTGTGGTTTAACAAAGAAAATTCTTACGCTTTTATTTGGAGACATTGTCACTAAGATAAGAACAGCTAACTTTTACATAACACCTTACTATGTACTAGGTGCTTTACGAGAATTAACTCATTTATTTCTTATGACAATCTTATAAGGAAAAGTAATATTCTTCCTATCTTGCTGATGAGGAAATGGAAGTACAGAACTAGTAAGAGGCTGAGCCAGATCCTTGTCCCTACCCTGAACTACTCACTTACATCTGCTTTCAAAGTAATAGAAACCTAATTACTTCCCCTTTTTTGAGTTACAAATACCTGTTTGGATATATAAATATAACTTTTTTTCTTATACAGATAACATTAGCTCATTGTAGAAAAACTATTCAAAGATAATCACTATTGGCAATTTGGTATTCTAATCTTTTTCTCTATATGATGCTTATATATGTATGTACTTCTATATAGAGTGTGAGGTTAAGTGAACATACACATATTTATATGTTTTCTATTTGGAGAAAACAATAAGGTAAAAATGCTTTTTAACTGCTATAATTAACTTTGTTCCCCCCTGCAGTTCTCCTCTAGAGAAACAACTTGAGGTGGGAACATTTTATATGTGACTATTCTTTGGCATTCAGCATCAATTTCCCCTAAAGCCCTCAGCCAAAAATAATTCCCCTCTTTTCAAAAGCTAGGTGACCGGTGGTAATAAAGATACGGCAAACCAAGTTGCTGCAGGGACATGATAGTATATATTAGTTATCTGTTGCTCCATTAAAAAGATGATCCCAGAATTTAGCAGCTTAAGACAACAAGCATTTACTGTCTCAGAGTTTCTGTGGGCCAGCAATCTGAGAGTGACTTCACTGGGTGTCTCTGTCAATCACAGGTTGCAATCAGGATGTTAGCTGGGACTGAAGTCACCTCAAGCCTTGACTGGGGGAGGATCTGTCAAGTGACATAGCTGTTAGAAGGCCTTAGAAGATCCAGTTCTAAGCTCATTCATGTGGTTGTTGGTAGGCCTCAGGTCCTGACTGGCTTTGGGCCCGGTATACCAGTTCCTTGCCACATGGACTGTCTCCATATGGTCTACACACAACATGGCCACTTGCTTCCCCAGACCAAGGGCTCTGAGAGAGTGAGAGCAAGACAGAAGTCACAGTCTTTTTGGAACCTAATCTTATAAGTGGCATTCATTACTTTTATCATATTCTGTCTGTCAGAAGTAAGTCACTAGTCCAGCCCACACACAAAAGAAAGGGGATTACACAAAGACATGAATATGAAGAGGTGGGGATCAGTAAGGTCCATCTTAGAGGCTTCCTACCATAGTATACTATAAATCTTCCTTCTCATAGCTACCACCTCTGTGGTAGACTGGTAAGCCATAGTCAATATGAAATAGGGTTAGCTCATGAATTTTTAATAACACGTGACAGTGGCACGCAAAGGGTAGCTGTTCTCCTTAAAGAACAGGGTTTGGTGATGTGATCAAATAGAATGGCTTTCTGGAATGACTAATTTGAAATATTTCTCTAGTCTTACTTTCCTCAACCCATTTTTTTTTTGAAATATGACTAAAAATATTGGAAATTAATTTTTTATTATTTACATGCAGATTTTTTACTAGATACATTAAAATGTTAGTAGGCTGGTTTTTCTTTAAACTCAGTATGCTTCTGGGTTGCTACTTCTTACCATTTACTAGTTCATGTGATATAGATTTTAATTTTAGTAATAGCCTTCTGAAAATGTAGTGACTCACCAAGGAATTAATTTTTACCTAGAAATCCATGCCTGAGCAACATAGTGAAAGTCCATCTCTACAAAAATTACAAAAATTAGCCAGGTATGGTGCCTGTAGTCTCAGCTATTTGGGAGGCAGAAGTGGGAGGATTGCTGGAGCCTGGGAGGTTGAGGCAGCAGTGAGCTATGATTGTACCACTGCACTCCAACTTGGGCGACAGCGCGAAACCCAGTCTTAAAAAAAAAAGAAAAGAAAAAAGAGAAATCAAAAGTTGTGCATGTGAAGCCTCTTGAAGACGGAACAAACCTAGAATACTTTTTATACCTTTAAATAAGGTAATTTAAAAATTGGTTGATAAATCATTTACTTGGCAGCAGGGTGGGCATGCTTTGATAAGTCCTATGTAAAGAGAGATCAATTGCTCATAAAATATTAATACAATTTCCCTTTCCCCTGGGGTTTAGAGCTCAGTTTTAGTTGAATCGTGTAACTCCTCACGAAGTATAAAATACCACCTATGATACCTATTTGACACTTAACCATTTTAGTGTATAAGAAAATACATGCATCTCTCAAGAGACAATAATAGTGATTTTAGGATTATCTTTGCTCCTATTTACTGTTCACTCTGTTGCATCATGAATAATAATTATAATGATAATATATCTGTAATGGCTGATACTTGGATTATATTTGTAGTACATTGACCATCTCTGGTGACACAGTTGAAGGTGAACAAAAGAAAGAATCTTCAGTTAGATCAGTTTCTTCAGATTCTCATCAAGATGATGAAATAAGCTCAATGGAACAAAGCACAGAAGACAGCATGCAAGATGATACAAAACCTAAACCAAAAAAAACAAAAAAGAAGACTAAAGCAGGTTTGCTATACAAATTAAATGAAAAATTGTGTATGTTGGTAGAAATAACTTGATTCTAGGAATTTTAGCCCTTTAAAACTGATGGGTATACTTGAAAATAATTCAATATAGGATATTTGGTACTTGTTCTTGAATTCATCTAGATTAAAGCACACATGTATTTGTAGCTGTAGGTCTCTGATGAGTTTGTATCACTTGAGTCTTCTCTGATTTTTTTTATTTTTGAGATGGTGTCTTACTCTGTCTCCCAGGCTGGAATGCAGTGGCACGATCTCGGCTCATTGCAACCTCCACCTCCCGGGTTAAAGCGATTCTCCTGCCTCGGCCTCCTGAGTAGCTGGGATTGCAGATGCATGCCACCATACCCGGCTAATTTTTGTATTGTTAGTAGAGACGGGGTTTCACCATGTTGGCCAAGCTGGTCTCGAACTCATGACCTCAAGTGATCCACCTGCCTCAGCCTCCCAAAATGCTGGGGTTACAGGCATGAGCCACCATGCCTGACCTTCTCTGATTCTTGTCATACTTTAAATTCAACTCTAAAATGATACTGACTTTGTAGTTGCTATTGGGTCATAGAGGATTTCTTCTTTAAACCATTGAGTTTACATCCTCTAAATGGTTAGGACTCAGTTGTTGAAAGCTATAAATGGTCAGCAGCCAATAAACATTTCTGATGTTAAGGCTGCATCCTGTCCAACATGGTATCCTCCCAATTCGTCAGCCTAATACCACTTCTTTCCTTTCTCAACTTTTCTCTTTGCCTTGTTGATTTCTGTCTTCTTCTTTTCTTGTTTGTTTTCTCTTATTTTTCTTTACATGTTCTTTTCTACTCATACATCCTTTTTTAGTCTTTCAGTTTCCATTTGATTGGCCAAAAATTGGGATTAAAATGGGCAATTTTAGATTTTATAGTACTTATTCATTAGAAGATGTAAGTGATGATGTTTTGTGGTTTCTATAATTAAAATTTTAAAATCTTTTGTTGAAGCATAATGTGTATATAGATATATATAGAAAAGCACTAAGCAGTATACTTGTTTTATGTGTTTCTATATATATAAAGCACTAAGCAGTATACTCATATACATATTTTTAAAGTTTTTTTCACAAACTGAACATACCTATAAAATCATTACCTAAATTTGGAAACAGAACATCATTAGCACCCAGAAAAATCACCTTCCCGTTAGTTGCCCTGTGGGAGTAACCACTACCTGGACATCTAACAGAGTTTATTTTTGCTTATTTTTATACTTTAATATGAATAGAATGATAAATACTGTGCTCCTTGTGCCTGACTTTTTTTACTCAATGTTAATTTTGTAAGATTTATACTACTGTTGCTTGCATACAGTTGAGCTTATTCATTCTTAATTCTGTTTTTGTATTATTTAGATATCCATTGTGTGAATATACCACAGTTAATTTGCCTATTTTATTGATGGTCATTTGAGTTGTTTCTAGTTTTAGGCAATTATAAGTAAAGCGGTAATTCACATTGCAGTCACGTATTTGGTAAGCACATGCATACCTTTATCTTGGGCATATTGTTAGGAGTAGAATTGCTGTCATAGATTATGTATATTTTTTGCTTTAATAATTACTTCCAGTTTTCCAAAGTTGGTTTACCAGTTGACACTAGCAGTGTTTGAGAGTTCCAGTCACTCCACATCTTTACCAACATGTAATACTGTTTTTTAACGTTTTAGTCATTCTTAGGAGTGACTAAATTTTCCTCATTCTTCAGGAATGTATAGTGATATTCATTTTGGTTTTAATTTTATTTCCATGGTAACTATTGAAGTTGAGTGTTTTCATGTTTATTAACTACTTAGATTTTGACATTTGTAAATATATTCAAGTTGTCTGCATTTTTTAAAACACAGAATTGTCTTTTTCTAATTGATTTGTAGTGATAGGTTTATATACCTCAATATGAGATTATTCTCAGATATAAATACCTACCCACATTTATATCGCAAATGTCGTCCTACTCTGGTTTGATTATTTCTCTCTCATTGGTGTCTTTTGAAAAACAGAAATTTTTGTATTGTCCAGTTTATCCATTTTTTTCCTTTGATGGTAAGTGCTGTGATTTAAGAAATCTTTCCTAAGTTCTGAAGATATTTTTCTAAAAGTTTTATTCTAAAAGTTTTACTGTTTCTGTTTTACTTTCACATTTAGATATGCAGTTCATCAGGAATTGGTTTATGTTTATGATAGGAAGCAGTGATCAAGATATCCATGTGAATATATATTATGATTGACCCAGTACCATTTACTGAAGAGAGTGTCTTTTTCCCTCTGTGTTGCAGTGTCACTTTTCCCATAAATAACATGACTGTGTTACATGTGGATCAGTTTTTGTAGTCTCTATTCTTTTAAATTAGACAGTTTGTACCAACACTACCATGTCTAAATACTGTAGCTTTTTAATAGGTCTTGCTATTTAGTATTATACTCTAGGTTTTTCCTTCTTCATCTGCATTGTCTAGGCTATTCTTTACTTTGCATTTCTGTATGGATTTTAGAAGAGCTTCTCCATTCTCCCTCTTCCTTTTTACCCTCATTCTGTCTTGCAAGCTGTGATTTTGATCTAGACTGGGTGAATCTAAAGAGTCACAGCATAACAACTCTCTAAAGAGACTTGACATTTTTACACAGTATTGATTCTCAGGCTATGAATTTGGTATGCACTTCCATTTATTTGCATCTTATTTAATATATCCCAGCAATATACATTTCAGCAGAATCTCTCCTTAGATTTATTCCTGGGATTTGATGTTTCTTAATGATATTATAAATGGCATTTAAAAAATTTTTGTTTTGTATTTGTTGCTGGTACATATATGTAGAAATGTATTTAAAATTTTTTAACATTGTGTCCATTGATTTGCTAAATTCACTTATTGCAAGAGTTTATTTATTTATTTATTTTTGAGACAGGGTCTTGCCCTGTCACTCAGGCTGGAGTGCAGTGGCGTGATCTCAGCTCACTGCAACTTATACTTCCCAGGTTCAAGCGATCTTCCCACCTCAGTCTTCCAAGTAGCTGGGACTACAGGCATGCACCACCATTCTTGGCTAATTTTTGTAGAGACAAGGTCTCACTACATTTTCCAGGCTAGTCTCAAACTCCTGGGCTCAAGCAGTTCTCCCACCTCAGTCTCCCAGAGTGCTGGGATTACAGATGTGAGCTATCGCGGCCCACAGAGTTTATTCTTACATTGTTTGGATTTTTCTACATATGCAATCATGTAATACGTTAATAACGATAGTTTTATCGCTTCTTTTTCAGTCCTTATGCCTTATCATTTTGCTTGCCTTGATACAAATCAAGATTTAATCTCTTTATTATCAATCTTTTTTTTTTTTTTTTTTACTTCTGTCAGCTATTTGATATACTGTAGTTTTTGAGGGATGTGTCTATTTCATCCAAATTTTGCATTTCTATAGCATCTGAAAGGCTGTCCCATGTTTTCATTCATGGTATTGGCAGTTTGTTTTCTCTCAATTTCTTGATCAGCCTTAGGATTTTAAATTTATGAGTCTTTTCAAAAACCAACCTTTAGCTTTGATTTTCTCTGTTGTACATTTATGTACTATTTTAGTGATTTTTTTTCTTGTAACTGTATTTTCCTTCTTTGTACTTATTTGGGTTTGATTTGCTACTTATTTCTAGCTTTAAAATTGGGTTTTATAAGAAAGATTTCAGTCTTCTTTTATATGCATTTAAGACTAAATTCCCATTTAAGTACTACTTTACCTGCATCTCCAAAATTTTTAATATTGTGTGTTTTTATTATTTAACACAAAATATTTTCTAATTTCCATTTTAATTGATCATTATTTAGAAGTATGTTGCTTAGTTTCAGGCAGCAGATGCTTTTCTAGTTATCTTTTATTGGTTTCTGTCTTCCATTGTTGTCAGATAACATATTATGAATGATTTCAATCCTCTGAGTTTATTGAGGCCTTTTTAATGACCATTTTATGGTCAGATTTGGTAAATATTCCATGCTCATTTGAAAAGAATGCAATTTCTAATGTTGAGTGCAGTGTCCTATGTATGTCAGTTAGGTCAAGTTTAATTGTGCTCAGTTCTTCTTATTAATTTTTTTGGTCTACTTATTCTGTCAGCTGTTGAGAGAGGTATTAACATTTCCATTCCGATTTTCAGTTTATTTTTCTTGTATCTCTTGTCAAGTTATCACTTTTATCATAATGCAGCGCCCTTCTTTATCTCTAATAATTCATAGCCCTAAATACGATGGGAGATCCAGTTTTGCCCTTCAGTGCTTTTCCACTTAGCCATTTAGTCTTCTGTCTCATGCTGCTTCAAAATTTGGCAAATTCTTTGAGCAGGAGACTGGCTATATGTTAGACATCCTTCAGGTATCCATTTTTGTCACTGTAGCCCCCAAGCATGCCAAAATATCCGCTGGTTTCTCTGTCCCTCAGTAGCAACCTTCTGCCAGAAATCACACCTGGATTATCAACCTAGAACTGTGACCAGAATTGGTAGATGACCCCAGATGAAAAGTTGCTCTTGGTCCTTAGTGTAAATTGACCACACCCTCCAGGGCTTCACCTTTGCCTATTTTGTTTTGGTCCCCTTCCCCTGGCAGATCATGGTCTGCTAGCACCACAAGCCTGGGAGATTTCACTACCTCTCTAGCTTCTCTGTAGCATCAGAATTCAGTTTTGTGAGAAGAATTGGTCATGTGTTTGAGGCTTCTCAAATCTCCAGTTTTATCATTTTAGTCCTGTGGAATCACTAAAAGTTTTGCTTATTTCTCATTCTCCTGGCAGTGACTTTCTGCCTAAGCCAAACTCTCATCTTCAGCTCACACCCTGAATCAGCAAATGTCCCCAGAGACAAAAACAGCTGCCAGTCCATCAGCTGACCTCTGACTGATTCTCCCTTTCTGGAATTTTAATCTGTCTACTATATCTTCTTTCTGTACTTTTCTGATGCCTTTAAAATTTAAAATAAGATATTTGTAATTTATTTGGCTCTTTCCAGTTGTTACCCAAAGTGTTTACCTGCTGCATCCTACTGCATCCCACCCAGAATTAGAAATTCTAGTTGTCATATATATTCTACTTAGAAAATACCTGGATAAAGTTACTTTTCTGACTTTGACTCTCTTTTTTTTCTTTTTGTGTTTCTCCTACTTATTAGGAAAAATATAAACAAGGATTTTTCACCTTATTTGTAATGTATTAGCAAATGTAGTATTTTACTTTCACACTATGGTTTGCTGTTGTCTGGCTTTTTCTTTCTTTCCCCCTGAAGTTCCTTTGAACACAGTGAGATCATCACAGATCTTAAAGATTAGGTTATATGTAAATACTACTATGGGAACAACTAATTATAACATTGATTTTTTTTTCCATGCGTGTAGTTGCAGATAATAATGAAGATGTTGATGGTGATGGTGTTCATGAAATAACAAGCCGAGATAGCCCGGTTTATCCCAAATGTTTGCTTGATGATGACCTTGTCTTGGGAGTTTACATTCACCGAACTGATAGACTTAAGTCAGATTTTATGATTTCTCACCCAATGGTAAAAATTCATGTGGTTGATGAGCATACTGGTCAATATGTCAAGAAAGATGATAGGTAATTTTTTTTAATTGCACAACTAATTCTTGAAACTGAAACTAGTAGAAGTCTTTTTTCTGCCATTGGTAGTTGAAAGTCAGTGGGAATAGAGTTATGGATTTGTATTAGAGAATAGTCTACTAGTTGTAGGTGTTCATCAGTCATTAACATTGATCAGAATGTTGTAGAAGAAATGGAGAACATCTAATTCAGTAATTACTTTTTTTCCGAGATGGAGTCTCGCTTTGTCGCCCAGGCTGGAATGCAGTGCTCAATCTTGGCTCACTGCAACCTCTGCCTCCTGGGTTCAAGCGATTCTACTGCCTCAGCCTCCCAAGTAGCTGGGATTACAGGCACTCGCCACCACTCCTGGCTAATTTTTGTATTTTTAGTGGAGGCGGGGTTTGGCCAGGATGATCTCGAACTCCTGACCTCAGGCGATCTACCTGCCTCACCCTCCCAAAGTGCTGGGATTACAGGCATGACCCACCGTGCCTGGCTCAGTAATTACTTTTAAGTGGAAGGGAATAATTCATTTTAAGTGGTAGAGAGCTTCTGCCAGCTTAGTAGATGTAATTTATGACATAAAGTTGCATTGTAAATATTTTATATTGCATTGTAAATGCTTTAATTGTCTAACCTCATATTTTTCTTTTGAAAGTAATGTTATCTGGGCTTCAGGTAAGGTAAATGAATCTTGAATGTTTTTTCTAAGAGTACTTCTATAGCTAATGCATGCTTGAAATCCCAAATGAAAAGTACAATGAAATACACATTTATACTAGAATTTTTTAAAAAATTGTTTGGAAAGCCAGTGGGGAATGGAAACAGGAAGATTGTCCAAAAAAAGCCCATTCACCTATTCATTTGCCTTAGGGCACACAAAGAAAATATGACAACTCAAAGGGTTTACAGTCTTGTGCCTTTTTTATGTAAAATCAATTTTATGTCTTTTTTTTTTTTTTTTGAGACAATATCTCACTGCGTCTCACTGGCTGGAGTGCAGTGGTGCAATCACAGCTTACTACAGCCTCAACCTCCCTGGGCTCAGGTGATCCTCCCACCTCAGACTCCCACGTAGCTGGGACTGCAGACATGTGCCACCATGCCCAGCTAACTTTTTTTCTATTTTTTGTAGAAACGAGGTTTCATCATGTTACCCAGGCTGGTCCCAAACTCCTGAGCTCAAGCAGTCCACCTGCCTCAGCCTCCCAAAGTGCTGGGGTTACAGGCTTGAGCCGCTGTGCCTGGCAATGTCTATTTTATTATAAACTCTTACAAAATTCTGAAGGAGTTAGTTTATCCCAGCTTTATATGGCAAAGGTATAATCATACTTCTCACTTTATATTTCTATAATAAAATAATCATGTGAAACCAATTGATAGTAGACAAATATAAGATGGACTGTTACTTTTAAGTCTTATAAAATTTGTAAGTTTCTAGATGGACACTCAGAATAATTTTTCCTTTTGTATTATTATGACTATTCATTATTTCTGGTTGCCTCACCTTGTACACTATATATTTTTTTCTCACCTCAAAATTATGAAAATTGTGTTAATGGAAGTATCTTTTTTTGTACAGTGGACGGCCTGTTTCATCTTACTATGAAAAAGAGAATGTGGATTATATTCTTCCTATTATGACCCAGCCATATGATTTTAAACAGTTAAAATCAAGACTTCCAGAGTGGGAAGAACAAATTGTATTTAATGAAAATTTTCCCTATTTGCTTCGAGGCTCTGATGAGAGTCCTAAAGTCATCCTGTTCTTTGAGGTATGAATTGAATGGACCAATTCAAATTAAACGATAGTTAATATTTAATAGCACAAATGTAAGCTATTATTTTTAGTAGTCCAGTAAGGCAAAAAAAAAAGTTGTGTGAGAATTTAATCTCTAGGATTTAGTTTTCCAATGCTGTGGAATCAAGTGAGACGCCCTTTTATAAACAGTGATAGCATATTTGCTGAGTGTTTACTATTTAACCATTTGGCCTACTTTGTATAATTTAATAATTACAACAGCTCTGTGACTGTTAACTGTAGTGAAGTGATGAATCCACTCGATATGAATGCATTTCTCCATTTTAAACCCATTTCACAAAGCATAAACTCATTTAACCATGTCAGGCACCCTAAGAATATGTGTACCACCTGGATAAATAAAGATAAATGTACACAGATCAGTTAATGCAGTTTAATATGTAACCAAAAATGATGTAGAACTTATATGTGAAGGGTTAGTGGCGGGTCAGTGGAGTCAGGGAAAGCTTTATGGAATACATGGCTTTTGAGCTGACTAGTTGTTATTATATAATTTTCTTACTGAAAATGATAACAAGGTTTGGAATAAAAGTGATTTCCCCAAAGTTACTCGAATTTTAAGTTAAAAAAAATGCGTTTGCAGATAGTTTGAACCTAGAATACCACATTTCTTTACTCTATCATGTGTTCTGTCTCCATAAGCAAAGGACAATAGAGAAAGCCCCCTTCCAGTGTAAGCTAGATGGAGAAGTTTAGCATGGGAACAGCAGGGGACTTGGCATAACCAGTGCCGAAGATTCATTTTGTAGAATTACTTGTTTTTATGATCCTTGACTTTCAGGTTGTCTATTTGTATTTATGATACAAATATTCCAATATTTACATTTGTGATTATGTTGTGTGTGATTTACATAAAGCTGTTATTGTTGAAAAATTGATATAATTTGTATCTTAAGGAATTTTTTGTCTTCAAACTTTGTCATTTGTTACAATTTTCTTCTGTATTCATTTTAGTATTAAGAGATGAAGAAGGATAGATTGTTGTATTATAAACGCTTTTGGTTGCTTCTTAAGTTTTAATGTAATATGTTATTGCCTATGCAACTGCTTTTTGATCTCAGTTTTTTAAGTGTTGAGGACAACTTGATAATGTCTCACAGTCTTTAAAACCATTATTTTACTCTTAGGTATTTATCTTAAGGAAAAAAATGACAAGTCCGTGAAGATGTGTGTGCAAGGATATTTATTTCAGCACTGTTTATAATAGCAAAAATTTTAGGGAGATAAAATAACCTACATTTAGATCAGTAAGAGATTTGGTTAAATAAGTTATAATTTTTGTTAAATTTATGGTATTTGTGACAGAATAGTAGGCAGTCATTAACATTACGGTATTCATGTGTATGTATTGACATGAAGAGATATTCACTACATACTATATGAAAATAATTTGTGAAATAGCATTATTAGATTTGTAGTTCCACACATATGTTTAGGAATGCACAGAAAAAGATTTGGCCTGCAAACTAGATGTTAATGGTGACCATCTATGGGTCTGGATTACAAGTTGTTTTTACTTTGGATCTATATATTTTTTATATTATGTTTTCACTGAGCATGTATTATATCTGTAAAAAAGATTTAGGTATCCAAAAAGCACAGATGATTGGAGTCTGTATCATTTCTTAAGCAGTCTTCTTTCTATAAAAATCTCATTTTCGCAGCTGAGCTTTTAATAAGCACCAGTAAGTTTGAAGTGATAGCCTTTGATAAATATCTAGAATACGATCTCTGTGGCAGGTTGGTTGCAAATCCATGAGCTTTAATGTCCAGACAGGATAGAGGAATGGAAGAAATCCTCTTGAGAAGCCTAATTATAACATACATCCAAAGAGAAAAACCCCAACTTCAGGAAGGTGATCCAAGACAAAGACCCAGAAATAGGGTTGTGAGTTTTTTAAACAAACAATCCTTTAAAGTCTGCTGTGATACATAAAAAACAATGAAAGCTTAAGAATTCTATGCCTATTATATTTGTACCTAGGTTATATTTGAGGTGATTAACACTTTGCTTTGGATTTGAAATAAATCATAGTATTTATTAATGAAAGATAAAATAGTCAGAAAATGGACCCTCCCTAACTGAATGAGTTAACTTTAAGGTGAATGAAATGAGATAAAAATGTTTTTATTCCCTGTAAAGGTTAATGTTTTTAAGCACTATACAAATGATTTTTTAAAGTTTTAATAATGTACCATTAGAAAATATTAAATTTTAGGTAGCTTAGTCTTCTGTGAATTTATTTGCAGATTCTTGATTTCTTAAGCGTGGATGAAATTAAGAATAATTCTGAGGTTCAAAACCAAGAATGTGGCTTTCGGAAAATTGCCTGGGCATTTCTTAAGGTATGTTTTTCATCCATTTTAAACACTTTAAAACTAGTCTTCAAATTTAGTTGGCTGCTTTCTCCCAAATCAGTTTGGTCTCATATAAGGAATTAGAATCTAAGGTAATGTTGTAGGGATGAAGAGTTACTAATTCAAGCTCAGGTTATGCTCATTCAGATTCTTAAATATTTATTGATGGCCCAGTATGTGCCAGTTACACTATTTGGTTCTGAGGATGTAGCATTAAAAAAGACACAAACAGCCATGCCATTATTTATTCAGTTCAAAAAATATTAAGACTTTTCTATGTGCCAGCTACTGTTGTCAGTGGACAAAGATGACAAATTCCTTGAACTCCTGGACTTCATATTCCAGCAACACAAACATAAAACAATTGATTTCACAATTTATCATTTAATTATAAATTTTTATAAATATCGTAAAGAGGTATAGGATGGATGATGAACTGTGGGGTCAGGGAAAACATTCCTGAGGAAGAGACACATTGCCACCGGTGGGGAAGAAATGGTCTATGGTAGAGGGTACAATATATGCAAAAACCCTGATATTTGAAGGAGCAGGGTTAATTCAGAAAATCAAAAGAAGGCCACCAAGATTGGAGGACAGAGACTAAGGGGAGAAGAATGGTGCATGAAGAGGTTGCTAAGGTCAACGGGATGTTAATTATGATGAGGTCTTCTCAGTCATTATAGCAAGAGGAAGCCATTATAGAATTTAAAGAGCAATGGGAAGCCACTGTGGGATTTTAAACAAAAGAATAAAATAATCTGATTTGTGTTTTAGAAAGATATATACTCTGTTATGTGGAGAACAGATTCTAGAGGGAGCAAATGTAGATACTTGAAAATCACATTAGGAAATTCTTAACAGTAGTCTAGGTAAAAAATGTCTTTGTACATTTGTCTTTGACTAGGTGTCTCTGACTAGGATGTCTTTGACGAGATGTTTCAGCAAAGATGAAAGGCGTAGATTGATGTTTAAAAAAGGATATTTTAATTTTGTAATTATCTTTTCCTTCAAACATCAATTTAAATTATGAAAAGTCTTGAGTAATTATTTTGTACCATCTTATAAAAACATTTTCATTTGTGAATCCATTCATTCAACAAATATGATCTATAAAATGTGAGACAGTCTGCTAAATTCAGTACATTCATAGATAAATTAGACATTGTATATAGCTGCCCTCCAATTTAATTTCTATACAGACCTGTTACCTACATTATTATGTGCTATAGAACAGATGCTGTTAAAATCCAGTTGAGACATTTAATCCATATTGGAGGTTAGAGAGAGATTTTAGAAGTTTTATAGTCAAAGGGCTGAACAGCCACCAGGTTGGCTATGGTGAGTAAGTAATTTGAGAGTGGCCTTAGCAATCACCTGGTCCAGTGTGCTATCGATGATCACCCTTTTATAAATCTGTTAATGCCTTTTTCCATAACACCTTCCATACTGATTTAGAGCAAAGAAAAAAAGCCATTAAAAAAAAAAAGCAAAAAACTCACTTTCACATAGTAAACAGTGCCATCGTGTGGTTTTATTAGAAACTGCATTTCTTTTATGCTAAGATTTGTGCAGACCTGCAGAATTTACTGTAAGTTGCACTTAGGAAGCAGTAACATATTTCAGGGCATTTCTACCTCTAAGTACTATATGGATTTTTATTTATTTATTCATCTTATGCCATTGGCAAAAATGGCAGTCAAGAATTCTTATCCCATCCCCACCCCCCAGAAAGAGTAAGGTATTCTATGTGCTTCACGTCTTCTAACACTTACCTGTCTTCTTCATTAGACTGTAAGCTTTTTAGAGTCACCAATGACTTCTTTTGGGTAAATATGTTGAACATTTTTAGTCCTTATTTTACTAGGTCTTTTTGCATTTAATATGTCACTCTCTTGAAACTCCATGCTATAATATCACCAGCTCCCAGCATATTAATGTCACATAGAAAGTGTTTGGTGAATATATATTGAGGGAATTAATCATTGATGATAGAAAGAGTGGCAAGGATAAAATTCATCTTCAAGAAAGTGGCATGACGGATGCAGTAGCTGACTCCTGTAATCCCAGCACGCTGGGAGGTGAGGTGGGCCGATCACTTGAGGTCAGGAGTTTGAGACCAACCTGGCCAATATGGTGAAACCCTGTCTCTACTAAAAATACAAAAATTTGCCAGATGTGGTGGTGTGCACCTGTAATCCCAGCTACTCGGGAGGCTGAGCGGGGAGGATTGCTTGGACACAGGGAATGGAAGTTGTAGTGACCTGTGATTGTACCACTGCACTCCAGCCTGGGTGACAGAGTGAGACTCCATCTCAAAAAAAAAGGGAAGTGGCATGAAGACAATTAAAATTTAAATCTTTTATTACCTATCCTGTTGGTACGAGGGATGTCTTGGATAATTGTTAAGTTATTACAGTAATTCAAATGAGACTTTATCCTAATTCTCAGCTATGCCTCAGATTCTCAGGTACTTTCAGTTCTTTTAGTACATATATGTGGCTATTCTTTTAAACTAAAAAGTAATAAAGCCTTATTTATCTGAGCTCTACATTATATAATTTATAACCATAATGGCAGGGTCTTGGCTGAATCTTAGTTGTTTACTCAGGCTAAGCAACGTATTAATGTAAACTAAATTGCCTGTTTAAATTAATCTATGGAAAGTATGATTTAGAAGCTGGGGAATATCTTTTTAAAATTACCGTGATAAGCTTTGGGGAGCTGTAGGAGAGTTTATCAAGGGAGTCTCGAGTGCTTATGATTTAATGACTGAACATATCTATTACTCAATTGGGAATGGTTCTTTACCCCTGTGTGTCATTTGACACTAATCACAATGTCACCCGCTCAGCTTATAACCTCCATTGTCTTTACATTCTTTCCTAAAGGGGTAGGGGAAAAGATGGGCTATATTTTGCCATCTCTTTTTCCTTGTTGATGCATCATTCCTTAACTTATCATTCCTGAACAACGTTCTGAATTTTGCCTCTGCCACTAAAGCTTCTCCAACCAAATCACTAGTGATTTCTGTTTGCTAAATATATTGAACATTTTTTAGTTATTTTGTCACATCTATGCATTTAACATATCACACTCTTGAAACTCTGTTACCTTGGTTTTCTTGACACCATCCTCTCCTAATTTTTCTTATACCATTCTTTGAGTTTCCTTCATGGTCTTCTACCTACCTCCTTAATATCAGTCTTACTCATGGTTTCATCTTTAACCCACTTTTCTTGGAACCACTTTTCTCACCTGTGCTTCAGATTTGTAAATTCAGTCACCTGCTGGACATTTCAGCTTGGATGACTTATAGATATGTCAGATTCCTCCAAACTGAGTATCCGTGCTACTCTCTCTGCCACTTCAATTGGTGGTACCACCATCTGTCCACTCTCCCAGATTTACGAACTTAGAGTTACACTGTTTTGGTAGCTACAAGTCACATGGCTGTTTGAATTCAAATTAAATATAATTAAAAATTTACTTTCACATTTGTGCTAGCCATACTTCAAGTGCAGGGTAGCCACATGTGGATTCCGTATTGGTTAGCACAAATTGGTTAGAGTATTCCCATCATTATAGAAAGCTCTCTTGGACAATACTATCTTAGAGCCTTTCTTGCCTCTTTGTTTTTTTTTACTTTCCAAGTTACATAAGTCTACAAGTAACAGTTGTTAAATGTGTTCCCTGCACTCAGTGCCTATTCTTCTAATTTAAGATATTAAGTTACATGAGTCTACAAGTAACAGTTGTTAAATACCTTCCGGGCACTCAGTGCTTATTCTTCTAATTTAAGATACTTCATGTTTTGTGTGAACTGTTGCAAAGGGTTCAAACTATCTTTCTGCTCCTAATTTGCAGAAGACATAAAGGTTAGAAAGACGTTTCATTTCCTATTTTGAGTCATGGTCTAATGAAAGAGAACGTATTCTGAGTTGGTAAGATTTTTATGTTTCTCATAAAAATCTCCATTTAGGGCCAGGCGTGGTGGCTCACAACTGTAATCCCAACACTTTGGGAGGCCGAGGTGGGCAGATCACCTGAGGCCAGGAGTTCAAGACCAGCCTGACCAACATGGCAAAACCTCTGACTATACTAAAAACACAAAAATCAACCAGGTGTGGTGGCATGCACCTGTAATCCTAGCTACTCGGGAGGCTGAGGCACAAGAATCACTTGAACCCAGAGGAGGTGGAAATTGCAGTGAGCCAAGATTTTGCCACTGCACTCCGGCCTGGATAACAGAGCGAGATTCTGCCCAAAAAAAGAGACAAAAACCTCCATTTAGTTAGCTTAAATATAAGTTTTGTTTAATAGGGTTTTAAAAATAGACCTTTGAAAGAAGATATACTAAAATACTGAAAAAAATGTAACGAATGGCTTGAATGAGTTTAATTATCTTGAAATGATTTTAACTTTTTAAAAATTTAAAACATAAAATTTTAACCATTAAAAATACTGATATTAAACAAATGGAAGATTTGTGTCTTGTGTAAATATACAGTTTAGTCTTTATCATAATTATTTCAAACATGTGTATTGATCACTTCCTTTGTTCAGCGTGAAATCTGGCACAGTAATGTAAATGCTGTACCGACAGTCTGAAATTGTTGTACACGTGAAAAGAGAGCTATCAGGAAAATATTTTAAAAGCCATTTGGGCTACCTTTTGTCAAAAATGATCTGGAAGTGTGCTTAACTAACTATTTAATGTTCTTTGCTTTTTAAAACTAAGAAATTTCAGCATGCCATATTAATCTTTTAAAAATGTTTCTGACTTTATGCTATTGCTTTATTGGATATATTTATTTTCAATGAAGGTAACATTTTATATGAATTCTTATTTTAAGCTTCTGGGAGCCAATGGAAATGCAAACATCAACTCAAAACTTCGCTTGCAGCTATATTACCCACCTACTAAGCCTCGATCCCCATTAAGTGTTGTTGAGGCATTTGAATGGTGGTCAAAATGTCCAAGAAATCATTACCCATCAACACTGTACGTAACTGTAAGAGGACTGAAAGTTCCAGACTGTGTAAGTTAATAGTACATATTAAGTGTATATCATCTAGTGTTGAAATTAAATGGTGACATAGCATGTTTTTCATTTCTAAAAAGATAAGGCCTCTAATAATAATTTTAATAGATTTCTGGGGTTATATATTAAGCCTGTAATAGCTGATATTTAAAAGATGCTTAAATGAATTTTAAATGTGAAATGTGGCTTTTAGTATTAGGAAAAATGTTTTGTTATAATTTGATTTTCAAAAATTAAAGATAAAAGGTTGATTTAAAGCAGGAGTTGAAAAATAGTTTCTGTAAAGGGCCAGATAGTAAATATTTTAGGCTTTGGCCCTGTAGTTTCAGTCAATTTTGCCTTTATAGTGTGAAAATAGCTACATAGACATATGTAGGCCATAACTGAACAAATGGGTGTGATGTGTTCCAATAAAAGTTTATTTACAAAAACAGGTAGTAGGCCAGATTTGGTGTGTGGGCTGCAGTTTGCAGACTCCTGATTTCTGGGCACATTTTTCACAATATTATTCAAATAATCAGTATGTAATGTTTCTACTGCTGCTGTTTTCCATAGATTAATATTATAAATAATCTTAGCAAAGAATTGGCCCTAAAATAAAAAAGTTTTGCTTTTGTCTAGTTTCTTGTAAGACATTAATTTTTCAGGTCATTTGCACGTTCTGTAGCTGATATGTACTGTCACCACAGGGCTGATTTGCATTGGTTTGGATGGAGTTAAATCTATTATTTGAGAAATGAGGATTTTTAAAACTTGAGATTTTTATGATACTAGTTTTGTGATATTAAAGCCAGAGATATGATAGTATATCAGAGCCATGGCATAACTCATAAGTATTGGTGAAGAAGCAGAAACAAAGGATAGAGTTATTAAAATCATTTCATGTGACCTTTGTGGTCATATTTTTTCCTCCAAAATTTTTATGGCTTTTTGGTTACAGGACTGTAGTTTTAAGCAGCTTTTTTATTTTATTTAGAATAATGTACAAATAAAAGTAGAATTTTTTTCTGGATTACATTTTGAAAATATTTTCATATTATTTGTTTCAGTATTTTAAAAACTATATGCTAGAAAAAGAAAAAGGTGAACATGGTATATAAATTTTCATATTTTAATGCATATTTAGATAAAGCCATCTTACCGCTCTATGATGGCTCTTCAGGAGGAAAAAGGTAAACCAGTGCATTGTGAACGTCACCATGAGTCAAGCTCAGTAGACACAGAACCTGGATTAGAAGAGTCAAAGGAAGTAATAAAGTGGAAACGACTCCCTGGGCAGGTGAAGTGTTTGATAATAGTGGATTTATTTAGATGTTTACTTATTACCTTAAAAACTCCAATAACTCCTAGGATATCTAGCTTACTACTTAAAATGCTTGCTATTTATCCTTGTTTTTAACCACAATTTTGCCTTTCCATTAATTAATTTGACAAATAATAATAGAGTGCCTAGCATGTGTATATAAGCACTATCTTACATTCTTTGGGCACTTGGGCAATTGTATTAGCTTGGGCTGCTATAACAAAATACCACTGACTGGGTGGCTTAAACAGCAGACATTTATTTCTCACAGTTCTGGAGGCCGAGAAGTCCAAGATCAAGATGCTAGCCAGCCTAGTTCCTGGTGAGGGTCCACTTTTTGACTTGGAGCCCGCCTCCTCTTCACTATATTCTCACATGGTGGAGAGAGAGATCACCTTTCTCGCGTCTTTTCTTATAAGGGCACGAATCTGATTCATGAGCTTCTCACTCTCAGGACCAAATTACCTCCCAAAGACCCCCACATCTAAATACTATCACATAGGGGATTACAGCTTTAACATACAGTTTTTGAGAGGACATAGCATTCAGTGCATAGCAAAGATCAAGGTGATGACTGGGTTGATTTCTTCTGAGGCTTCTCCTTGGCTTACAGTTGGCTGCCCTCTTGCTGCCTCTTCACATGATCTTTGTGCATGCACGCCCCTGTTGTCTCTCCCCCTATTGGATTAGGACCCTTCCATAATTATTTCATTTTAATGTAATTACCTTTTTAAAGACCATGTCTCCAAATACTGTTACATTCTGAGGTGTTAGGGGTTAGAGCTTTAGCATATTCATTTGGGTGACAAGGGGTGGGGGTGTGAGTGGGAGGAGAGAGGACACAATTCAGCCTATAACAGCAGTCAGATAACATAGATTTTTAGCCTGGGCAATGTAGCAAGACCCATTCTCTTTTTGTTTTTTTTTTGAGACGGAGACTTGCTCTGTCGCCCAGGCTGGAGTGCAGTGGTGCAATCTCGGCTCACTGCAAGCTCCACCTCCCGGGTTCATGCCATTCTTCTGCCTCAGCCTCCGGAGTAGCTGGGACTACAGGCGTCTGCCACCACGCCTGGCTAATTTTTTGTATTTTTAGTAGAGATGGGGTTTCACCATGTTTGCCAGGATGGTCTCGATCTCCTGACCTCGTGATCCGCCTGCCTCAGCCTCCCAAAGTACTGGGATTACAGGCGTGAGCCACCGTGCCCGGCCAGCAAGACCCATTCTTTTAAAAAAAATTTTTTTAATTAGGTGGGCATGGTGGCATGCACCTGTAGTCCCAGCTACTTGGGAGGCTGAGGAAGGAAGATTGATTGAACCCAGGAATTCAAGGCTGCAGTGAGCTATGATTCTGCCACTGCACTCAAGCCTGGATGACAGAATGAGATCCCATCTCTTTAAAAAGAAAAAGAATTAAAAATTTAAAAAAAAATTTTTTGATGTCTGTAAGATGTATATCTCTTAATGTTTATGGATTCATGAAATTCTTCACAGCACCTGGCTTCTTCCTGAATCACACTTTGATAGAGATATGTACATGTATATACTTCTGCCACAAGCTGAGCAGAATTTAAGCTTTTACTAAAGTGTTCTTACTAGATTAGCATTTTATGCAGTGGCAAGAAGCATTGCTGATACAATTTTGCAATGTTTTACTTGTTTTTATAAAGAATGAAGTGGTTTATTTTATGCATATGAGCTGCTACCAGATGAAATTTATCCAAAATCTTAATTTATTCAAACATCTAATGTAGAAATAAGAGCTTACTATTCTTACTTATTCATCTTCATTTTCTATATTTTATATCACATTTGACTTTCTTTTTGAGGCTGATTTTACAGATACATTTTAAAATCACTTTGAGTTAGAATACTTTAAGCATGATATGGAGAGAATAACACTTAGATTATGCCCTTGGGGAACTTCCAAGTTAGGTGGGAAAAGAAAGCAGTTACATTGTTGTTTATTTTCAGATATGCTTCAGAGAAGTCTTGATGAAATGAGGAAATGTAGGTATAAAGATGATTGTACAGATCAGCAGTTCTCAAAATGTAGTTTGGAGACCTCTGGGAGTTCTGAGTCCCTTTCAGGGGGTTCTTGAAGTCAACTTCTTTTCATAATGATTCTAAGGTGTTACTAGTCTCATTCAGATTCATTCTCTTACAAGTATGTACTAGCATTTTCTAGAGGCTAAATAACGTGATATCACAAGAGAGCAGAGGCACTTACGAAAATCTAGATTTTATTCAGCTAGACATTTAAAGTTAGCAAGTTACTTTTATTTTATTTTTATGAAAACTCCAAATAGCCTCCAAAAAAATGTTCCAAGAATGTAAAGCATCTCGAAACTAAAAACATTTGAGAATTGCAGATATGAAGACTGAACTACAATGGTGGAAGAAGGGCTCATTCAACAGTGGAGCTTGAGATAGACTAGGATGCTCAAGGTAGGGGTGAGTGAAGGAGGGACAAGGGCGGGTATTTCATATGAAGGCAAAGTTGCAAATAAGTGGGAAAGGACCTGTTGTATTCATTAGGCACTCAAAAGCTTAGCTGGTTGGAAACCAGAGTTTGTAAAAGAGGAGATAAAGTAGTGTACTGGATGAGGCCCACATTGTGGAGTGTCTCAAATGGTAGCCTAATACTTGATTGTGAGGGATGTGAGGAATAATGGAAGGTTTTCGGGTGAGTGAGAAAAATAACAATTGTATTTGAGGATGAATTAATGCAGGCAGTGGCATGGGGAGATCTTGAAGTAGTAACATCAGAATTAGATGGCAGTCATTGATGTGTGAGGTGATGAGGGTCTAATGAATACGAGAGACAGAAAGTAGGAACCAGCATGATTTAGTGACTGACAAGGTAGTAAAGGAGGAGAAACAGTCAAGGCTTTTGAGGACCTTTATTGTTGTTATCAGACTTTCATTGAGTGTCTGTTGTGGATAGGGCACAGAGTCAAACCCTGAGAATACAAAGAACATGATAGTGGGTTCAATGTTTTCATTTTCAGCCTAGGTGATTGGGCACAGAGTTTTCCTTAATTACACTTCCTACTCTAGGAGCAGCAGCAAGTGGTTATAAAGCCTCCTGACATTTCTTTCAGTTTTTGTTACCTTGTTACCCTCCTCTCCCTTTTCTTAATTATGTGGTTGGAGGATGCAGAGAAAAGATGGGTAGCATGGAGTCTGGAGAATGCAGAGAAAGGATGGGGAGCATGGAGTCTGGTACATGATTGACACTTAACAAATTCTTTTGAATTTTTCACATTCCTAGTAGCTGGTCATAATGCTGTCTCCAGAGGAACTGCTAGATCTTGGTACTATTTGTGAAAAACCTGGTACCTGTCTAGAAAGCATGCCCTTGAAGTAACAGTCTTTGAGTAGGTCCATTAAGCTAGGCTTGACCCTTTGAATAATCCCTCTTAGCCATATAGAGCTAATAATGGTTACTCTTAGCTAGTAATAGCTACTCATAGGGTGGCTGTGATGAATATATTCAAAGACCTTTGTAATAAAGTACAACTTTCATGACATATAGTAAGAGCCCAGTATATGTTTACTTCAACTTTTTGAATTATAAGAAACAGAAGAACTAAGGCTCACTGAAGGTTGCAAGAGATAGAATTAGGATAAATAAACGTAACTGGTATTTTCTACAGTAGACATTAATACCCAGAAAATTTGGGCTTCATCTGGTAGAAGAGGGTGAAAACATTAAAATTTTGAAGAAATTGTAATAATGAATGAGAGACCAATAAGGGCCGATTGATTACTTTGAAAATACATTTTGGAAGGCAGCCACAAAAGGTGATTATTTTAAGATAGGCAAAGAGAGAATAAGCATTCATACATTCTGGCTTAAGCTAGGCCCCATAGGTACTTGTGGTCTTAAAAAAAGCTTGTGACTTTAACAAAAGTGACTTACTAGTGCTGTCATAGAATAAGGCTGTGACATACATTCTTTTAGTAGCTATATAGAAGCAGTGTGGCAGTGATGGCTTTAGAGTATCAGATATTGAAATTTTTCTATTCATATTTAGGTGAATTAAGTACTACTTAAACATGAAGAACAAACCCACTTTAAAAATTTCATGGACACTGATTCTCTTTTTACAAAGCAATTTACTATGGTTTTTCACCATTCTGCGTACTTGTTTTTCTCTTTCTCTGCATCATAAAAGGACTTAAAAGAACTACAGTAATTGAAATTAAAAACTAGCCTTCGCGTTTTAATGTTTGCTAATTTATATTTTTTAAACGTATGTTTTTTAGGCTTGCCGTATCCCAAACAAACACCTCTTCTCACTAAATGCAGGAGAACGAGGATGTTTTTGTCTTGATTTCTCCCACAATGGAAGAATATTAGCAGCAGCTTGTGCCAGCCGGGATGGATATCCAATTATTTGTGAGTAATAATCCTACCTGTTTAATCTGATTGTAGTCCACGTGGAGGACATTCTTTAGTTTTTTTAAATTCATGGAAATCTTAACTTGAGTAATCCCCTGTACTACTAAATTAAAGAAAACGGATTTCTTCAAACAAAGAAAGTTCTTTTGTAATAATTTTACACTTTTCTATACAGTAACTGTTCGTAAGTAGAATGAGATTGATCAAATGAAAGATGGTAAATTTATTTTTAAAACATGCAGGAGGATTTTTGTAAACATTTTGTATTTTAAATATAGAAATTTGGAAACAAGGATGAATAAATCTCATGGGGAACATTAGTCCAATGTGGCTAGTTGATAGCAGTGATGATTTGAGTTACAAAAGCCTCCAGATTTGCTGTGTAGTGGAATACCAATAATTGACTCAAGAGTACCTAGATGAAAACTTCTCATTATGATAGAGAAGTCAGCAGAGAGGCCAAGCAATTATTTCTGTTGCTTTAGAGACATTCTAAAGTGAGCATTATCATACTGTTCTAGACTTAGAAGCATTAAATACTCTCTCCTTTACTTCTGACTCAATAATAAAACCAGCTCTCCTCTGCAGAAGTAGCCAGCTCCTTGTGGGCATCTGCCCTAAACACTAGATCTTATTGAACTTTCCTCAGCTTAACACAGTTTGCTATTAATTGGTTGATTCCCTTTTTTTTAATCAGGGACTCATAATTGACTTGATTGGCATTTATTAAGTAGATATTGCTCCCCATGAAATAGTAATAAATTTTAAAAATAAAAAATCACTTGTGTCGTTTGATTACCACTATGCTATTTTTAAAATTCACCAAAAACCCATATGTAGAGGGAAAAAAGGTTCTTAGGAAATGCTCCTAAGTTATTAATAGTAATTTATTTCTTTTGGATAGTGAAAGAATTATTTTATTCCGATTTTATGTTTTAAAAGCTTCTGTGATAAATATGTTACTTTATGCTTAAATAAACTTGCTTTAAAATGCTATGTAGATTGAGATATTGCTTAAATCTCAAAAATAGAGGAGGAAGAGGAATCTTTGTCTTTGGTTTTTGACTATTTGATTATGATGTGTCTACTTGGAATTCCTTTAACTTGTTGAATATGCAGATCAGTGTTTTTCACAAATTAGAGATGTATTCAGTCATTATTTCTTGAAATGTTCTGTTTGGCCCTTTTCTCTTTCTTCTTCTGGGAGTCCCGTTATGCCTGTGTTGGTACTCTTGGTGGTGTCCCACAAGTCTCTGAAACTTTTCTATTTTTCTTCATTCTTTTTCTGCTTTTTTCAGACTGGATAATCTCAGTTGACCTGTTGTCAAATTTAGTAATTCTTTCAGTTTAGATCTGCTTTTGAGCCCCTCTAGTGAATTATTTATTTCAGTTATTGTACTTTTCAACTGTAAAATTTCTAGTTGGACTTTTTTTTTAATCATATCTATTTCTTTATTGATACTCTCTTTTTTGGTGGGAAATCCTTTTCACACTTTAATTCTTTAGATATAGTTTTCTTTAGATCTTGGAATATATTTATAATAGTGGATTGAAAGTCTTTGTTGAGAAAGCCCAGCGTCTGGGCTTCCTCAGTTTCTATGTGGATGACTTTTTTCCCCTGTGTATGGGCCACTCTTTCCTGTTTTTTCCATTTCTCATAATTTTGTATTGAAAACTGGATGTTTTAATAATGCAGTGTGGCAACTCTGGAAATCAGATGCCCTCCTTTCTCCCCTCACGCCCACCCAAGATTTATTATTTTTGCAGTTAGCTTTGTGATTTTGGACTAATTCTGTAGTCTTTACTGTCTGTCATGTGTTGCCATTGATGTCTGTGCTCGGTTAAGTTCGTGGTCAGACAGAGACCACCGTTGTGGTTAGACAGAGATTTTTAAATACTTGAGTGGATAGGTCTACTGGTCTTTGCCAAGAGACTCTGTGTGTGTTGGGGTATACCTTCAATGCTTCGGTACACAATCTACAGCTCTGCCTTAGCTTTACTTTCTGTTTGTCCTGAGCCTCCTCACGTCAGCCCGAGTGAGAAGTAAAGCCTGTCAGGTCTTTCTTGGTTGTGCATATTCCCTTCACATACATGGATGGGAATCCTTCTAGATACCCAGGAATATTTTGGAGTTTATCAGTGTCCCCTATGGACATCTCATGCCCGGTTTTTTGTTTTGTTTTGTTTCATTTTGTTTTTTGTTTTTATTTTAAGTTCTTTGGTGAGCCTCTTCTTAGCCTCACTTGCAGCTGTGATATTAAATGATGCCACGGGTTGTTTTGACATGCACCTTAGGGTTAGGGCTGTCCTCCCAGAGCATGCTGTGAGCCAGGTCAAATAAAGGCAGGCCCTGACAGTGGATCTTTCCTGGAGGGCCAGACTGTCAAATAGTGAGAAGTCTTTGGGGATGGGGCTTTTAGGGAGCATCAGACCTGTTCTGCCCCAACCAGTCTCTTGATTTTTATTGGTTTTTAAGGCTCCTTTAAAGTTTGAGACAGGAATGAGAACATAGCAAGTTAAAACACCGTAAAGCTCAATGTTCTTACCAAATTCAGCCATTTTTCTTAAATACTCTTCAAATTTTTGTAAGCTTTGCTTAATTTTCAGAGTTCTGAGAATGTTGATTTTTGCCAGTTTTTGCCAGTGTTCTTGTTGCTTCTGTGGGGAGGAGATTTTTTCTAAGATTCTTACTTTGCTATTCCACAAGTACAGTAGTCCCTCTTTTTCCATAGGGTATATGTTCTAAGACCCTCAGTGGAAGCCTGAAACCTCAAGTAGTACTGAACCCGATTGCCATCAGTAGAAACACATGTATGCTCATGCTTTCCACCCACAGATTTATATCTTTTCCATCTTAACAAAACACTTACCATGCACTAAAGGCCATTACTTTTGTCGTTTGAGGTGTGACAGCAAAACTAGCACAAACCTCTTTTTCGTTCTTCACAATTTCACGGATAGAAGATTTTTACTGTAGATCCTAGCAACCTCAACATATGATTTTTTTTTCTTTCCTTTTTAAATCAAGAACTTTCACCTTTTCAGTCAAAGGAAGTACTTTATCATTTCCCTTTGGCATATGCCAATTGCCAACATGATTACTCTTGCACCTTGTGACCGTTAAGTAAAATAAGGGTTACTTGAACAAAAGCACTGGGTGACAACCAGTCTGATAACTGAGACAGCTACTAAGTTTCTGATAGACAGCATCTATAGCATGGATACATTGAACACAGGATAATTCACATGCTGGAGACATGGAGCTAAATGGCATGAGATTTCATAACACTACTCAGAATGATGTGCATTTTAAAACTTAGGAATTATTTATTTCTGGAATTTTCCATTTGATATTTTCAGACCATGGTTGACTGCGGGTAACTGAAACCACAGAAGGTGAAACTGCACATAAGGGGGGACTGCTGTTATTTCTGAACTGCTAAGTATTTTAAAGGGCAATTGATTTTTACCACTAGATGGAAGCAGAGACTTGGAAACTTTGTTTTTCCGTGTTACTATCTTAGATTTCATTGTATGTTTAAACATATAGTAAAATACCACAGTGCTTTGTGTGTCTGATTGAGTCATTGTTAATTCCCATACTATCCCTGATTACTATCCCTGTTCATTTTAGTATTAAAATTTACTTTTGACAATAGCACAATTTAAATTTCTCCTTACTTCAAATAATTAAATTTTTGGTTGGCATTTAGTTGATTTTCAGGTGAAATAATAATGAAAGCCTAAATTATAGAATATAAGTGAATTGCAATGTAAATGTTATTATTCAACTGATATAAATTTATTATTAAAGATTCTTAGGGGATTTCTTTAAAGAGATGAAAATAATTGATAATTGTAGCAAAATTATAACTGAAAATTTTGCATGTGAATTTTTGTGTAAAGCAAAAGAAAAACTATTCTTAAGTAAATTTTGAAATTTTCTCTGTGCTGCAAATGTCTTTGGTTATAATTTTGTTATAGACTGCTTATGTCTAAATAATATTAAATTATATATTTGTATATTATTGGATTAAGGATCTTCTGTCTGGAAACCTAATTTCTAAATATTTTCATTAGTATATGAAATTCCTTCTGGACGTTTCATGAGAGAATTGTGTGGCCACCTCAATATCATTTATGATCTTTCCTGGTCAAAAGATGATCACTACATCCTTACTTCATCATCTGATGGCACTGCCAGGTTAGTATCCTTGAGAAGTACTTATGTGCATGCTGTTTGCTGTCAAGGAAAGCAAAGAGAATATAAACTGATGTAACTACTCTTATGCTCCAGTCGTATTTTCCCAAGAAGGGACTGTCATAAATATGCATCATGCAGACTGATTCCATAAATTATAGTAACACTTTTTAAAGACATTTTTCTTAAATGTCTTTTATTTATGTAGCATATAATATTTCTAGTCCTCACCATCTTTAAATGATCATTATGTAAACTGATTAATGCTTTGAGATGGGGTTAGGGGTTATTAAACACTTGAGATTTTTTCCTAGAGCATAAGCTCTTGGTGGCAGGGATACTGTCTTCACTATTGGCTGGATTTGCAGAGGGTAGAATCCAGTGGTGCTCAGTATATCACAGTAGAGGAAACAAATATGTACCTTATATTTTAACAGTTTTATAGATTGGTTAAACATTTACATTTTTCAGAATGTCAATCTTAAAAATAATTTATCCCTTTTCAATTTAATAAGTATCACAATAAAACATTTTAAAAGCTAACTTTAAAAGTTTCATTTATACTTTTTTTAGTTGCTTGTTCTACCTTGAATGTGTTCTAAAAATACTGTTAGTTTTCAGGGTGCTTTTAGATACATCACTTAATTTGATTCTTACAGCTATTAGGTAAGACATTATTCTCTCCACACACTACGAAACTGACATGTAAACAGTTGAGATCCATGCTGAATTCATTGTCATTTACTTCTGCCTTCTACTCTCTTAACACTTCGTGTTACTTTTAGTGTTCAGACCACTTCTTCTACTGATCTTGCCAACCTCCTTTTCTGTATAAAATATCTAATCAAGATGTTACCATTATTGGTTAGTTTTTATTTAAATGAAAAAGATGAGAATTAGTAACAATTGACTTCCTTCTTGGTCATGCTGGGAACCTACTATTACTCCTTTTTGACAATATCCTCAAGAAACTATCTGATCTGTTCTTTTAGCACAGCCATTCTGTCCAATGCCAGGCCATACTAGAGAAAAATATGTAACTTTGCTGAGGGGTGACTTTGGATTTGTAAGTCTTAATGTCACCTAAGCTGTCATCTCTGCTGAGGAATCCTTTTACTTTACTCAGCTTCCTTTTCTTTTTCCTCTGGCAGCAGATCCAAACTTACCATGAACATTCTCTACAGTAAATCACAGTCTTCCCACTTCATTAGATGACTATCTTCAATTTAGATGAAATTTAGTCAGACATGATCTTCGTATATTTCCCTCTGATTTCCCTCCTAATATCCATAGATATGTCCATTTTTAATCTCTGTCCATCTCTTTTAACAAAGAGGCACGTGACTGACGTTTTAAAGGCTATTTGACCTGTACTTTTCATCTCAGTCCCTGAAAATTTGTATTACATCTACTAGTCTGATTAATATCTTTCTCTCTATTGATTGTGTCCTCTCATCTTAGAAATATGCTCAAATGGGCCGGGCGCAGTGGCTTATGCCTGTAATCCCAGCACTTTGGGAAGCCGAGGTGGGCAGATCACTGGAGGTCAGGAGTTCGAGATCAGCCTGGCCAACATGGCGAAACCCTGTCTCTATTAAAAATACAAAAATAAGCCGGGTGTGGTGGTCTGCATCTGTAGTCCCAGCTACTTCAGAGGCTGAGGCAAGAGAATCACTTGAACTGGGAGGTGGAGGTTGCAGTGAGCCGAGATTGCGCCATTGCACTCCAGCCTGGGTGACAGATTGAGACTCTGCCTCAAAAAGAAAAAAGAAATATGCTCAAATTGCCTTATCTTAAAAACATCATTTTCAGTTCTTCCTGCCTTCTAGACTAGCCCATTATTTTTCTTTTTCTACACCATCAGGAGTATTCTACACATACTGTCTTTACTTCAGCCCAGTTATTCTGGCTTTCTTTCCCACCATGCTACATAAACTTCTTTCTTCAGAGGTTGGCAGTTTCTTGCTATTTTTAAATCCATTTGGACAGTTTAACTCCTGCTCTGCTTGCCTTCACTGTAGTAATTGATTATTGACCAGTCTTGAAATATTTTGAATTCATAGTTTTCATTGACAACCTCTTCTCTTCTCTTTTTATTACTCTGACCAGTTCTATCCATTGTCTTTCTCTGATTTATTTTCCTCTGCCGATCGTCTATATGTTTTATCCCCAGGATCCTTTAGCTGATCATCTCCTGGTTTTATATGCTTATCCTAGTTTCTCTTACCTTTCCCAGCTTTGACTCTTGCTGATATGCTAATGACTTCTAGCGCACACCTTTTTTATGAATTTGACTTCCTATTACACGTTTCCATTTGAATGGCCCATTGCCACCTCAAATCCAAAACCAAACTTACCCACCTCCTTAAATTTTGTTTTCCTCTTTTAATTCTCTTACATATATTTTAATGGCATCCTTATCCACCATCTCCCAAGCTGAAAACTCAGAGTGGTGTTCATCTCTTCTTTCTTTCCCATCATTTCTTTCACATCTAACTAGCACTAAAGTCTGCCAATTCTCCCTCCTAAAAGGCTCACAGTTTTGTCACGTCCTCTCTATTGCGTTTGCTTTAATTCAAGCCCTATTACTCTTTGCTTAAATTGTTGCTATTGACCTCAGTGTTCAGTCTCTAAGTCCTCTGTCTCTGCTGTGCTAAAATTATCTTTCCATAACTATCTTTCATAATGCCTTAATTTTTTAAAAGACTTTACCCATTGCCCATTGAAAAATTTTCCAGTTCCTTAGCATGGCCTAACAGGCATGTTCCTCATTGACCCAACATTCTTTTCTCATGCGCTTCCCTTGTACCCTTTGCTTTACCCACGTAATCTTTTGAAACACCCTAGCATCTTATCTTCTTTGGCATCTTCCTGCCCTTTGAAACTTACCTACTTTTCCTATACTTAAATGACCTTCTCCTACCCTTCCTGAATAACTTATTCATTCAACAAAAATTAAGTGCCTTTTGTGAGCTCTCATAGGTTTGTAGTTATTATTTAAAATCCAGCCCAAATTCTATTATTTCTTGAAGCTATCTTGGGTTTCTGCACACAATATGTAGTATATTATGCTAAAGCACACATTTTTTCCTTATTTATCTTTAAAACTGATACTAATTTAGGACTCTTTACATCATTAAAATAGTATTGTGAAAGCATTAACTGAGTGAAAAGAGAAGCATGTGGCTAGCATCAAAATGACAAGGAGAGTTTTGAAAGAGGTAAGGAATACTTGTAATAAAGGAGCTGTTGTCCAAAGAAAGAGAATTAGAATTGCAAATGCTCACAAGTGGCAGAAGTATGAATTTCTGTCCATGTCTTCTCCTTCTTTATTCCTGAGGATCCCTGACACATATTATTGTTAGTGTCTCCTAAGTATTTCCCACTTGATTAGCTTTCTGCCATATGGGTTTATCCTAAATACCCTTCTTTAGTTATCCCTGGAATAATCTGTGTTTTTCTCAAATCAACAACTTCTAATACAGTCAGAGAGGCTTTTCCATATGTAATGGCTCCCACACAGGCCTATATGTGCCCACTATTCCCTTTTCTCAAACATATGGCTTAACTTTATGTTTTTTCTTTCCCAAATCTAGTAATTTTTGTGTGTGTTCATTCAGTCTTTACAAATTTGTATTTCTTTGTTCTCTATGATCTGGTCTGATTTTTTTTCCCCAAACCCATTTATATATTTATTTTAATCTCAGATTCTACCATGGCCTGGGTAACAGAAACCATCATTGATTCCAGTTCAGTTTTTACACAAAAAGCTTTACTTTTATTTTTTTAATATTATGTCTGTTTTAATTATATTGAGCTGTTTTGAAGATGTATTTGCTTCATTTCTGCCTGTTATATAGTATTTTAAATAATGCTACTAAGATTTATTACCAAACAACTGAGTTTTTCATCTATCTTTTTAATATTTTCCCAAAATTAGTGGTTTTTTCTTTTAATAGGCATCATATTTCATATAAATATGCTTATTGAGAATACACTGTGGTAAAAATGCTTGTGCAATTGATTCATTCATGGGCTTTATTTTTACTCGAAAACATGTTCTTTCACTTCCTCTATTATTAGTTTGGATTCTTAGTAATTGAAGATCATATCCTATATTGTAAGCAGCTGCTGAGGAAACTCATAGAATATTTTTCTTGAATAGAAACTGTTTTTTTTTCTCTTATCAGTAATCTTGTAACAGACTCAATTTGCTTTAGTTTTCAAGCAGTAATTAAAAGGATGAATACAAATCCCATATTTAAAATTAATATGTTCTTCTAATTTTGATAATTTAACAAAATATATTTAAAAATCCAATGCTTCACACTTATATAGCACCTGTATATTGGTAGATTTCACCTAGTTTTATACATTGTTAGAAATGCAGAGTATCTAAGAGGTTAACCCTTAAGGGTTTACTCATTTGTCAAGACTGTAGCAGTGATAATAATCTTAATTTTTTTTAGTTAGCCATTATTTAGAGGACAGGATAATGAGTGTTAAACAAAAAGAACGTGCTTAATGTAGGATAGTCTTTTCTATCAAAATGTCATAATTATTTTAATCTTATTTTACTTGAGAATTCAAAATATAATAATTTTAGTATCTCTTAAATCTTTGAGATCTTCATTTTTACTATCTAGGCTTTGAAATTACAAATATAAAAGTTAATAGACTATTCTATTCTCTAAACCCCCATTAATAAACACTTTGTAAAAGTGGTATACACAACCTAAATGGGAAATCATTAAAGTTTCTCCCTATATATTTTTTATGTATATTGTACTAAATGCAATATTTTACCAACTGTTCAATGTGTGTTTAACCAACAGCAAAATAGGTAGGTTTTAAAAAGTTATTAATTTTATAGTATAGATTACAATTAGTGGATATAATATGCTGGATAATAACTATAACAAATAACTTTGTCACATGTGAAAATTCCAGTCATCAAATATGAGATCATCATTATATTTTTCATTGTTTTAAAACTTGGTTTACCATTGGTCGTTGTCACTTGCTTGCTTAAGGTTCATTGGCTGTGTTGGTTCTTAGAAAAACTGTTAAAAGAAACTTCTGCTTTTCAGAAGCAATATGTAACTTCTTATCCTTTTCCAGGATATGGAAAAATGAAATAAACAATACAAATACTTTCAGAGTTTTACCTCATCCTTCTTTTGTTTACACGGCTAAATTCCATCCAGCTGTAAGAGAGCTAGTAGTTACAGGATGCTATGATTCCATGATACGGATATGGAAAGTTGAGATGAGAGAAGATTCTGCCATATTGGTCCGACAGTTTGATGTTCACAAAAGTTTTATCAACTCACTTTGTTTTGATACTGAAGGTATGTCAGAGACTATGAATGAAGACCAGCTATGTGAAGAATTTTTTTTTACCAGAATAATAGTTATTTAGGCTTGAGAGGGTTATGTACTGATGATTGCGCATATTTAGGTTTATGCTTATTTTGCAGGTCATATGATAGATATGACACTAAGGGACTTCTGTTTGTAATTTTTAAGTTTTTAAATTCTTAAACATTTAGATTCAATTAATCTTTGCTATAACAACCAGTCATGTGCCAAATTGCATAAATATATTTCTTTGAACTGGTGATTATCATTCTTACTTTTTCTTCAAGAACCTTAAAATTTGCAAACATATAGAAGGGAAATTTGCAATTATTTAAAGTTTTATCTTGATATAAGAATAATATGGTGGCCGGGCGCGGTGGTTCGTGCCTGTAATCCCAGCACTTTGGGAGGCTGAGGTGGGTTGATCACAAGGTCAGGAGATCAAGACCATCCTGGCTAACACGGTGAAACACCATCTCTACTAAAAATACAAAAAATTAGCCGGGTGTGGTGGCATGCACCTGTAGTCCCAGCTACTTGGGAGGCTGGGACAGGAGAATCGCTTGAACCCTGGAGGTAGAGGTTGCAGTAAGCTGAGATCGCGCCACTGCACTCCAGCCTGGGCGACAGAGTGAGACTCCATCTCAAAAAAAAGAATAATGTAGTATGTTTTAAAGATGTAAAACGTAAATCATTTTATTATCTGAAAGAATGAAGAAATTTATTGTATCTATTAAATAGTCACTTTTTACATAATTTCAGAGACTGGGCATGTAGGCTAGCGCTATAATTAATTGGTATGGGATCCAGATCAAAAGGATAATACTGCTGATTTACTCAGTTCAGCTGTAGGGATGTTAATAAATTTGGAACATATTCAGGAAAGACTCTGAATAGAAAGGTATCTGAAAACTAACTCTGTCATAATAGCAGTAGTTGAGATTATAAAAGAGACATAAAGACTTTCTTCAACTATTTGGCCATACGATATCCAAATGTGCAAAAAAAAAAAAAAAAGGAAATTGGTCCATGTTACTCCAGTGGGTAGAGGTGGGCCAAAGCTGTAGAAGATAGATTTTCTTTGTTCAGAATTAGAAAGAATATTTTAATACAGGAAGCAGTTCACCAGTTGAATAGCTGTTTTATAAAATACTGAATTCACAGTTGCTGAACAGCCATCTGTTAGTGGTGGTGTTTGAGATATTCCTGAGTGGGTATGAAGTTGAACTTAATGGTCTCTGAGGTCTTTCAATTTTAAGATTATTTGACTCCAAAGAATTGATGTTAAACTGGTGCATATTAGAATATAGGTATTTTTCTAGGAATCCAAAACAGATTTATGGGTTAATAAAGATGAGAAATAATGTTACATGTCGGATGGTTCAAATTATTTGGCTTTGGAATATAAGCCATATACACATGTACTGAGAGGCTCATTTCTTTTTATAGTTAAATTCAGGTAAGTGAAAAAGGGAAAGAAGTCATCAAAAATAATTTAAAAGAGTAAAGAATTCATTTAAAGATAATTGGGGTTTGTTTGTGAGTTACATTTTGATTTTTGGCTTTTTTAAACTGAAATACCTTTTAATAGCCCTTCAATTCTTTGACTGTTTTACTGGGGTATAGTTTCCCCCGATTTCCTATTATTTGTTTCTAACTCTGTGTGACATTCATAAGTGAGTGATCTTATTTTTTTAAATAGGTCATCATATGTATTCAGGAGATTGTACAGGGGTGATTGTTGTTTGGAATACCTATGTCAAGATTAATGATTTGGAACATTCAGTGCACCACTGGACTATAAATAAGGTATAAAATCATATTTTATATTTTGGGATTTAATTAAAGAAGTTGGAAAAATCCAATCACATGACTTTAAGATAGGATGTCAGGACATTCTGTTCTCTCATTTCAAAAAATTAACAGTTTTTCTTAGTTATCAATAATTAATTAGCACACCCTCCTGATGGCTGACTGATGATATAACGACTTAGTGAAGATTTAAAATTTTGGCCAGGTGTTAATTTCACTTTTTTATACCCCATTTGCACTGTGGCATTCAGTAATCCATTGGGTGACATTTATGCTAAAATGAGATGTATGTTATATTACCATCGATAAGTAATAATTTATATTTCCTATTATATCCTTTTTCCTTGGTCCAATTATATCTCTAAAAACAGTGTTCTCAGTATTTTATCAACACTGGTGTCTTTCAGAGTTATGCGGTTATTATGAAGATCTGTCATTTAATCACAATAATTGTTTCATTTGAAATTTGCCGAATAGAAACAAATGAATAAGTTCTTTCATTTGGGGGCTGGAGTGTTTTTAAGACAGCTTGTATGTTAAGCAGTTTTGTTAGTGTACATTTTTTACTTTTTATTTAAAAATACAAATGAATCATTAAACTTGAATTTGTTCTATATAAATTGATTCAGTTTCTGCCTAACATATTATACCTTTTTCTTCAATTTTTCATAATATAATTATGATAGTAGTTGAAAAAAGACACCCTAAGTGAAAAATAATTTCCATGAATTTTAGTTAAATCTGTTGAGTCTATCAGATCTGTTGAAAAAGCAGTTCATTCTGTTGTTAGAAATTCTTATCTAAATAAGAATAGAAACTTGAAAATTATTTCTACATGTGGTTTTGAATTTATAAAAATTGGAAGCTTCTTACATGATTTTAAACAAAAAATGTAATGTTACAAGATGTGTTTGTTGGAAGTACTTCTTGTTTGGGACTGACCAAATTTTGGGAAAGTGAACATACTACAAAAACACATACTAATTAAATGTGCATTTGCACATTGCATAACAACACAGAAATACAATTCATCAGCTTTATTTTCAGCCCTAAACTGACGTTACTCAGAATCCTTTTGCTAACAATTTTAAAGCATCCTATACAGTGGAATTGGAAATGATATTTTAAGATTAATTTTGTACCCCCAAAAAAGTTTAACATTAGACAAACTTTTCAGTAGTAGTATTTTTTTTAATCATTTTAGGAAATTAAAGAAACTGAGTTTAAGGGAATTCCAATAAGTTATTTGGAGATTCATCCCAATGGAAAACGTTTGTTAATCCATACCAAAGACAGTACTTTGAGAATTATGGATCTCCGGATGTAAGTATATTTCAGTGTTGACAGGATAAGTACTCACAGAGTAAGTAATGAATTAAATTATATTTATAAAATTCGGTAGTGGTTCTCAACTAAGCAGTGTCCCCACACTCACCAAGGAACATCTGGCAGTATCTGGAGATTTTTTTTTTTTATGTTGCTTCTAGTATCTAATGAGTCGAGATAAAAAATATTGCTAAGCATCCTACAGCCCATAGGACAGTCCCCCTAAAACAATTATCCAGCCCAAAATGTGAGTAGTTCTGAGGCTGAAATGTAGTTAGTTGCTTTTATTTTCACAATTAAAAAAAAGAAACTTCTACCTTCAACAATGATATTGATTGATACTGATATTATCACTATGATACTGTTACAGCATTAGTATAATATGATATAACTACAGGAGAGGGCTTTTGATTTATATGTCCTTGTTTTTTTGTTTATTTCCAAATAATCGCAAATGTAGGGAAATATCCTTCCTGAAAAAGGTGGAAGCAGTGTTCTGGGAAAATCAACATGGACTTCTAGTGCACTTTTGTTTGATGTTAGAGATGATAATAATACTTACCTGGCACAAAGTGTGTGCTGAAATGGTGTTTACTATTTTTTCGTGAGTGAAAAAATATGGAAGGCTATGTACCATATTTAGCAGATGGTTTAATAATATGTTTTATCTAATTTTTTTTCAGAGATCAAATATTCCTTGTATTATTTTAAAAATTCATCAGAAGAATATATGAGTATAAAAATTCTATCCATTAGTTTAGTAACCAGCTCAAATGCTACTTCCATAAAGTAGTCTCTCTTGCTCTATAGCTAGAATTAATTTCTCTTGTCCAAGTTTGAAAAGAACTCTTCTGTTTTTCTTTTGCAGTATGTTCTACATCCACCTTCTATTTTACGTTGACATGTTTCTCCTCTCTTGCTAAATTATAAACTCCCTGGGCTCTTGGGACTAGCTCTCCTTTATTCTGCATCCATTATATTATAGAATGTCTCCCATATGGCAGATTCTCAAAAAATGTTTGTTGAATGGAAATTAAGTATTTAAGAGAAAAGATTTTATACCACCAGTCATTTACATGATTAAGACAGTTACATTTGTAAAATCTTTTTTGCTTGTAGATTAGTAGCAAGGAAGTTTGTAGGAGCAGCAAATTATCGGGAGAAGATTCATAGTACTTTGACTCCATGTGGGACTTTTCTGTTTGCTGGAAGTGAGGATGGTATAGTGTATGTTTGGAACCCAGAAACAGGTGAATGTTTATTGAACTTTAAAAATCATTTGGGGAGGTACAGGGGTTTGAAGAAGTGTGAAAATTCTACCATTTTATGGAATAATTTTCAAGGAAATTCTGATTTTGGGTTTTCAATTATGTTTTTTAAGATTAGAAAGCCTTTAAAGGAACTCAGCTACAGTCTAAACTTGTATTAAATTTTGTTCTCTATTGCTTTAATATCTTTATGGATTTAGAATTTCACATTATAATTCAAGGTTTGTTCTTTCATGGCCTATAATGAGACATTGCTGATCTTAGAAAAGCGTTTAATGGAGGCTAACACAAAGTACAAAATGTTACAAGCTGAATTTGGAATATGATTAGGTAGACAAATTGTTAAACATCTATATTTTCATTAGTAACGGAAACATACCTGTGAAAGTTTTGATGTCTGAAACTTAAATAGCAAGTTGCCTGAAATACTGCAGTTCAGTTTTTTTCCAATAAACAATTACATTGGGAAGCTCACTTGTGCCTCACCTTTGCTTTTCAAAAGAAAAGCTAAAGCTACATGAATGTTTTTAATAAGAAATTGAGAGAGTTTCATAAAACTAACTTTAAAATTTCTTTAATGAACAGTATTTGATTTTTTCCTTGTTTTTTTTTTATTCTTTCTGTTAGGCATTTTGACTAGTCAGGTAACTTAGGTTTTTGTTTGATTGTTTGTTTCCTGTACCGTGTTTTGATGCTTTAGCATCAATTCAGTAGCAACAAGTCTCGCCTTCAATAAATGAATCTAGATTCTTTGCTTTTTGACTCCTGACTGATTTTCCTGGATTCCACAGATCTCTACTTTAGACATCTTTTAGGCCATAGTCATAGGTATCTTTCAAGCAAATGGGTACCTCAAACAGCATCTGGGAAAAAAAAAATGGAAAAGTTAATCCTTCACCAAAGCTCACCCAACTAGAGTTTCTTTAGTTTTAGAGTCCTGTAATTTCTCCTGTAGTTCTACCCAGAGTTCTCTGTCATTTGGAGTTTGCTTAGCTCTGTCCAATCTCCAATCTTAGAGTCATATACCTCTCTACTTCCGTCTGTGCCCTTTGTCTTTATTTTGTGCCTTGAAAACCTCATTGAAGAGGTAGAAAGTAGAAGGAGGAGGGTCAGTGGAATGTAAAATAAAGATAATTTAATACATTGTTACTCAAACATTTTTAAATATTTGAGGTTTTCACATAAATAATGTGAGCATCATTGCTATAAATATTTTCTAATAAATGGCAGAATAATCTTGTGAGAAGATTTATCGATACAGATATGCTCTGATATACATTTTTGAATCTCTCTTTTTATTTAGGAGAACAAGTAGCCATGTATTCTGACTTGCCATTCAAGTCACCCATTCGAGACATTTCTTATCATCCATTTGAAAATATGGTTGCATTCTGTGCATTTGGGCAAAATGAGCCAATTCTTCTGTATATTTACGATTTCCATGGTAAGTCTACCACTTGATAAGTAAAGAATTTTTAGAGTAACCTTTACATTTAGACTAAACCAGGAATCTGTCTGGAATTCAAATGTTGACAAAAGTACACATAATAATTGTGCCCTTATGTTGGAATCACAGAAAGCTAGCCACAAGTTTCTTTGTAAATCAATTTAAGTAAATAGAATTCACCTAAAAATTATTTGGAATATGTTAACTAAATTTAAAAGGTAAATAAAACTTAGGGAATACAGATCTTTGATGTTTTCAGTTGACTGTTGAGTTAATATTTTATCCTGTGTTGTTACTAAAGCACATAGTTTTAATAAATTGTAGTTTTGAGAGTTTCTTAACATAAAAAGTAGGGGGAAAATCACATCAGTGAAAACATCACCTGGAATTAGAAATCTAATGTCTTTCGTGTCCGCAATTACACTATTCTATCATTCTGAGAAATAATAAGGAAATAAAAAGTGTGGATACATTATTTTTCAGGGACAGTATGGTATTCTAAGAATTCTTTGGATATATGCTGGTTTTCATATATTTCTTTAATTTCTATCCTGAAATTAGGATTCCACTCTTCTATATTATACTATTAGTGCTGTCATTCTCAAAATTGCATTTCTATTTTCTTCATATAGTATTGTACAAAAATGAAAAGTCTTTGTTAGTTTCTTTGATTTGCTTATGGAAAGTTAAGTGTATTAAGTTAATATAGATTGAATTGATTAATGGTTGTGATAAATACTAAGTAATTAGGCAATTAAGTTAGAAATCTGAAGTTCTTGATCACAGTGTGGATTATATTATGCCTTCCAGGGTAAATTATGCTAGAAAATAATGTGTAAAGTCAAAATGTAATCTTATTTTAAAGAATTTTATAGAGAAGAAATCATTTCTGCAATGCATACTCAGATTTATAGAACACTGTTAGTAATGGTAGAATTGCCAAGCAACACAGTACCATTTACTATTACAAGCAGACATTAGCAAAGATAAACACTGCCTGATTATAGGAAAAAATAGATGGATTCCTCAAATCATTCAATGTCCAAATCTGGTGTCTAGTTTCACCATGTATCCTGAAACAGTTCTCTCTTTGTACCCACTCTAAATCTTCACATAAATGAAGAGTTATACCAAAGTACTTTATATTTGGAACTGTTATACAGGAAATAGGCAGCACAGTTATTTCCTCAGACTCTTAAGAGGTTTTACAGTAGTCTTCATTCAATTTCTAATTTGCTTTTTATGCCTTTGAAATTTTCACTACACATACACATTAAAGTTGCACTCTATCTTTTCTTAAAGCAATTTATTTTTTGTCACTGACAGGATTTTATCATCAGAGTAGCCCAGGATAGTTAGGTTTGCCAGTTTGGTTTTTAGGCAGTAAGCAAAGAAGTCCATTCTAGAGGCCTAGTAGGAGAAAGAGCTAAGCATTTTAGGAGTCTAAAAAAATGGGGTTTAGGCTCCATTCTGTTACTCTAGTGACCTTGCACAAGCTTCTTGCCTTCCTGAAGCTCCATTTTCTTATCTATGAAAAGGTACTACAGTACTAATACCTGTCCTACCTAAGAGAGGTATTTGTGAAGATACTATGAGACCATGACTGTGAAAGTACTAGGTAAATTGATAAGCACAATATTGAAACAAAAGATAAAATGGGTTGTTATGCCCATCCAACCAATATATGCTTGACTATATGTAAGAATTTCTGTTTTAATATGCTAATAAGCATCTCTATATGGAAAGCAGTTGAAGAGTTTTTTCTCCTCTCTTTTACTCTGTTGGTCAGTCTTTTATTTATTAAAGTATGTTTCTTTCCAGGTCAATTTATTAGAATATAAATGCATAAAATTAAAAACATAATGTTATTTCCACACTATCTTAATGTGCAAGAGGAAGGATTTCCATGAGCATTTTAGAAATCTAAATATTCAAATAGTAGACACATTAAATTTAAATTATTTGTGCAATATATCACAAACACAATTTTTGATATGCAAACACACCTTTACAAACAAATTAAAACTAAAAAATGTTTCAACACATTTTCCCAACTCGTTGCTATTTTTAAAAAGAGGAAGCTTAGGAAGAAGTTAAGTAATCTTAAGCCATCTAAGATTGAGCAGAGTTCTTGTGAATGGTATAGATCCATAAGAAAAGTATAATATTTATTACCAACCTATTAGAGTTTTGTCTTATGTTTTATTTTTTAATACAGGAATATTTTGCTCATAATTTTTTGGTTGAAAATAAAGTTTACATATGGCTTTACATAAATATTTTAATAGTATAAAATTCAAAAAACACAAAAGACTTAAGGGATTTTTAAGTGGTGTTTAAAAAAAATTATCAGATAATTTTCCAGGAAAATGGAGCAAGCTTATTTTTTTTTATAAGCTAAACAAGTTGTGAATGAGACCACAGTGGTAACTAAATGTATCATCCATCTTTCAGTTCTAGCAAAATCTGTGAAGAGTTAGCAAGCATCTTTCCCTGGTAAACATATGTTCAGGTTGTGGTCTTTTGGGTCTTTCATTCTACTGACTTTTTGCTTTTTTTGGTAAGAAATATGATTTTTACTTTCAGAAGGCAGTTTTATTTGCCTGATGTTGAAAGGGTTAATCATCCAGTAATACAAAATTTAGTCACAGAGTACCACAAATAATGTACTTTTAGGATTCCCATAATAACAGAGTACTAGTCAGAGAAACGGCTTCTACTGAATTAAATTTATGAAGCTAGACTTCAGTTAATGTGTTGTTATTAATCAATATTCACCTCAGTCTCTAGGATATTGTTCTAGATTTAATAATAATTTTAGTAAATACTTACATAGCATTTTGTTTGTTCCTGGTTCTGTTTTAAGCATTTTACCTTACATATATTTAAGTTTCTGCAATAATCTTATGACATAGGGGCTGTTATCCTCGCTTTACAGGAGCCATGGCTTTAAATCAATGCAGTTTGCTCCTGGAGTCCATGCTCTTATTTGCTACACTAAATTTCCTTTTCAGCAAATTTCTTGAAATACTAGTTTCTAAATGTCTAATAATCAAACCTTGTTTTTTCTACAGTACAGTTTTTTCTATGTTTCTCTGTGGAGTATGTGGTTTCCTTGTATTTTCTATACGTTGTAAGAAGCAAAGATGGAAGCTTGTTCATCTTTTTCCTACTAGTACCTACCCTGAATACTGACACATAATAAATATGCATGTAGTGTTTTCAGTGGAGTCAAGTCAGTGGAGTCAAGTCTAATTTGAGAAGTTCTCAGCATTGTCTGATAATTCTAGGTAATGAGGCTGATTTTTCGCTAGGTGGCAATGTCTCCTCTGAACCAGAGTTAATACTGAGTTTATTAACCAGAGTATATTAACCAGAGTTAATAACAGAGTATCAACTCTGGTTCAGAGGACACATAGTCATAGTATCTTAGACAAGACAAATCTTTATTAAGCACCTATTGTGTGTCAAGTTGAGCTGTGTTATGAAACACAGGAATCAGACTCAGATTACCATTCTTTTTTCTAGTCCTTTGTACTTCCTAAGTAGTTGATTACATTTCTAAAAGAAATTTAAACCAAAAAGCAGTTTCTACTACTGACATGATTTTATTAACACAATTCATATTAATTAATGATAGCCTACGTTGTCATTGTTGACAAACTTATTTTTTATATTGTGGCACACTTTACCAGAGTTCAGGGCAACATGTACCTTTAGTTTCCTATAAAATTTGTTATTTAAGTTGCTCACTGCCTAGAAGCGTGTGATATTTAGAATGCCATATGTCTAACATAGTACCTGGCATGTTACTAATATGCAATAAATGAATAAATGTTGGCATTAACAATTACAAATCCTATAGAATAGCATTTTTTCCTTAAATTTTATAAAAATATATGCTGAGAGGCATCATCAGTAAATTTGGGGCTAATAACAGTGGTAGTAGTAGCTAACATTTATCAAGCATTTACTGTGTCTACCAATCTTATGAGCATTTTACATATATTATCTCATACCATCCTTCTAAAACTCTTCATTGTAGGTCCCATTATTATCCTCATTTTGCAGATGATGAAACGGAGGCACAGAGAAAACAATAATTTTCCTAAAGTAACACAGTTGGTGTAAAGCCACCATTTTGTCTAAGCTGACTCCAGAGTCCATGTTCTCAGTGCATTAAGCTATCTGTCTTAGGCACTTATTTAGTCTTTGCATTTCCTGATCATGAAGTAAATTTAAAAAGTAGCTAAATATTCCTATGGTAAAATGTGTTGTTGGTTTTCAATTTCAACATTTAGGAGAACCCCTTAAGAAAGGAAGTTTGCTTATCTAGTATTATTAATAGTTCACTCCCTTAAAAATGTGGGGGGTGGCTGGGTGTGGTGGCTCACACTTGTAATCTCAACACTTTGGGAGGCTGAGGCAGGAGGATCGCTTGAGGCCAGGAGTTTGAGACCAGCCTGAGCAACATAGTGAGACCTCATCTCTACATACATACATGTATACATACATACATACATACATACATACATACATACATAAAAATAAAACTTTGAGGAGTAACATAATTATGATGTAATAAGCCATTATGTTCTCAATATAGTTTAAAATACAAATATTCTTTAGTATATAGCACTAATTTTTTTTTTTTCTTGAGACACAGTCTCTGCTCTGTCACCCAAGCTGGAGTGCAGTAGCACAATCACAGCTCACTGCGGCCTCAACCTCCTGGGTTCAAGCAGTCCTCCCACCTCAGCCTCCCGAGTAGCTGGGACCACAGGATACTCGACTAATTTCGTGTGTGTATTTTTTGTAGAAACAGGGTTTTGCCATGTTTGAGACAATCCTAGGCCTGGTCTCAAGTGATCTGCCCACCTTGGCCTCCCAAAGTGCTGGGATTACAGGCGTGAGCCACCATGCCTGGCCTCATTAAATTTTAATATAACTCCTTTTACAATATTTTTGAAATCAGATAATGTCTAGTAGAAATAAATTTAATATCCACAGTTTTCTGTACAATATAGATACGATGTAGTGGTTTTCTATATTGGAGATAGCTATTTGTATGTATTCATTTGCAATACGATGTACATACGATACATCTACAAATGTAGAAATACATTTGTTTTCTACGTTCTATATGGCATTCATTTGTAATACTTATGAATAGTTCAAAAGCACATTCAGATAACATAATTCTCATACTTATACAAGATTATGTCATTAAAATATACCTAATAGTAGGGCAGAATTTTAAATATTTATTTTTAGCCTGGTAGGAGAAATTAAAAGATAGAAATGCCACATTTTAAGACATGCCAAAACTACCTGTTTCTTGGTTATATGCTGAAGTACCTATTTTAATATTATTCACATAATAGGTACTTTGATATGAAAGTTTATATCATTCAAGAACTCAAGACATATGGAAAACTTAACTTGATAGTTTTGAGCATAAACCAGAGCCCTGACTTCCTCTTTAAGACATTTTTTTTAATGTTTACAGTGGTGTTTTTAATTGCACTAATGCATGAATGATATGATGTAAAATAGACAACAACAAAGACTGGAGTAAGAGAGCGCTGGCATTCTAGACAAAATACTACCACTCTGTATTTGACCCTGATCAAATAATTTACCTTTCTGCACTTGTTTTGTTCTGCTTGTAAAATTAGAATAGCATATATTCTATTTTATATCAATATTTTTATCAAAGGATAAAATGAAACTATAAAATGAGGCATGAAGCATAAATACAGGCATACCTCGTTTTACTGGTGTTTGCTTTATTGTGCTTCATAGATATTGCGTTTTCTACAAATTGAAGGTTTGTGGCAATTCTATGTTAAGCCAGTCTGTGGGCGCCATTTTTCCAACATTGTGTGCTCACTTGGTGTCTCTCTGTCACATTTTCGTAGCTCTCAAAATATTTCAAACCTTTTCATTATTATGTCTGTTATGGTGATCTGCGGTGAGTGCTTTTTGATGTTACATTGTAATTGCTTTGGGGCACCACAAACTGTACCCATATAAGATGGCGAACTTAATTGATAAATGTTTTCAGTGTTCTGACTGCCCCACCCACCAGCCGTTCTCCCATTTCTCTCCCTCTCTTCAGGCCTCCCTATTCTCTGAGACACAGTATTGAAATTAAGCCAGTTAATAACCCTGCAGTGGCCTTTTAAGTATTCAAGTGAAAGGAAGAATTGTACATTTCTCATTATAAATAAAAAGGTAGAAGTGATTGAGGTCAGTGAGGAAGGCATGGGGAAAGCTGAGATAGGGCAAAGGCTAAGACTTTTGTGCCGTATAGTTAGCCAAGTTGTGAATGCGAAGTAAAAGTTCTTCATCAGTGAACACACAAATGACAGGAAAGTAAAACAGCCTTATTGCTGATATGGACAAAGTTTTAGTGATCTGGATAAAAGATGAAACCAGCCACAGTACCCCCTTATGCCAGAGCCTAATCTAGAGCAAGGCCTCTAACTCTCTTAAAGTCTGTGAAGGCTGTGAGAGGTGAGGTAGCTGCAAGAGAAAAGTTTGAAACTAGCAGCGGCTCATTCATGAGGTTTAAGGAAGGTAACCGTCTCCATAACATTAAAGTGCAAGGTGAAGCAACAAGTGATGATCTAGAAGCTGTAGCAAGTTATCCAGAAGATCTAGCTGAGATCATTGATGAAGGTGGCTACAGTAAACCACAGATTTTCAATGGAGATGAAGCAGCTTTCTAATGGAGGAAGATGCCCTCCAGTAGTTTCATAGCTAAAGAGGAGAAGACATGGATCAAGGAGTAATTTTGACTTTCACGTCTTAGTATTTAAGAAATACATTTCGTAAGTCCATAGCTGACATAGATAGTGATTCCTCTGATGAAGCTGGGCAAAGTACCTTGAAAACCTGGAAAGGATTCACCTTTCTAAATGCCAGTAAGAACATTCATGATTCATAAGAGGAAGTCAAAATATGGACACTAACAGAAGTTTGGAAGAAGTGTATTCCAACCCCCATGGATGACTCTGAGGGCTTCAAGACTTCAATGAAGGAAGTGACTGCAGATTTGGTGAAAATAGCAAGAGAACTAGAATTAGAAGTAGAGCCTGAAGATATGAATGAATTACTGCAATCTCATGATTAAACTAGAATGGATGAGTTGTTTTTTATGGATGAGCAAAGAAAGTAGATTCTTGAGAGAATCTACTCCTGGTGAAGACGCTGTGAACATTGTTGAGATGACAACAAAGATTTAGGAAATTCCATATATTTAGTTGGTAGAGCAATGGCAAGGTTTGAGAGGACACAATTTCTGTGGGTAAAATGCTATCAAATAGCATCACATGCTACAGAGAAATCTTTTGTGAAAGTAAGAGCCAATCAGTGCAGCAAATTTCATTGTTGTGTAAATTGCCACAGCCACCCCAGCCTTCAGCAACCACCCCATTTATCAGTCAGCAGACCCTTTATTAACATTAAAGCAAGACCTTCCATCAGCAAAAAGATTATGATTAACTGAAGACATAGATGATTGTTAGCATTTTTTAGCAATAAAATAGTTTTTAAGGTAAATGCATTGATTTTTTAGACATAATGCTACACTTAATAGACTACAATATAGTGTAAACATAACTTTTATAAGCACTAGAAAATTAAAAACATATGACTTTCTTTATTGAGATATATGCTTTATTGCAGTAGTCTGAAACCAAACCCGCCATATCTCTGAGTAATGCCTGTGTTATTAGAGTTCATGAACTAGGCTGCAGTCGGGAAATTGTAGCTATTCTCTGTAGCAGGGTATGTATGACACATTTTCAGTTGGATAACATTCTGTGTGATGATTGATAATGGAATAGGAACCAACAAGAGCAGAATAGCATGTACTGCAGGGAATTTGCAGATAGTTGATTCAATTTTTATATCCAGCTAATGAATTTGCCAGATGCTGGTAGATGCTGTCTCATTTGGTTGACTGTGAGACTTGAATCTGCTACACATCACTCTATAGATTTTGAACAGTTTTATTAGTAATACTTCAAAGTTCTAATTGACTTACAAGGTGTGTCAAGGAAATACAAAATTGCTAACAGGCCCTGAAACACAGGCTACCAGAATTGAAGTGTTAAGTCTATAGAACTTCTTGGATCCATCACCTCAGTATCTCAAGATTAGCTGAAGGAGGAACAAGTCAGGCCAGATAAAATACAAAAAAAAAAAAAAAATTATAAGTACTGAACATTTACTGCAGATGTTAGAGAAGGAGAATGCTATATAACTGCTAAATGCTGGGAAACTAAGTAGAACTACCAACTTATAGGGATGATATTATAACTGGAAATATAATAGTTTATAGCTAAAGAAATTAGGTATCCAGTAAGATGACCATATAAAGTAACAGGGCTATATATAATGAAATGTCTTGAACAAAGGAATTAAACGGTGAACCAAAGGGGAACCTTATTGTTAATATAATGTAAGAGAAAGAATATGTTGTGATTCCAGGTTCACTTCATTATAAAGTCAATAATGTAAGTACATAGATTGTAATAATAGCAAAGTTTGCATTTGCTTCAAATGCAAAGGGCAGTGGATTAAAATATCTTATTTCCTCCGTCCTTCCTCCTGTAAAGATAAAAATCTCTTGAGAAAACCACATTATTTTTTCATAATTGTTTAACTCAAGAACATACACAAAAGCACCAAGCTTATTATATAAATCAAAGGATTTTCCATCATAAAAACATTTTAAGAATTTTTTAATTTTGTAAAATTTTGAATCCCAAATGATAGCCTATTAGAAGTAAATTTAGAAGGATTTTGATGGATATAACATTTCTTTAAGCAAATGTAGTTGCCATCTCTGTGCTCTCATCATCTGTGCATTCCTCTGCTATACCACTTAGCACCTTGCAGTAATTTATTCTCCTTCAGAAGGTCGAAACCTCAAGTGGGGCCAGTGTCTGTATTCCCAGAATCTGCTTAGTGCATGGTACATGACAGCTCTTCAAAAAGTGAGGAAAAGATGGGAGTGAGACTGTTAAAATTATGAGTTTTAAACATACCAGGTTAGAGTAGAGCTAAATTTTAAATATGCAAAGTTAAATTAACACAAAAAGTAATGACAAAATGAAGAAAGAGTTATTTAATTGCAAAATTATACTCCAACTGTGGCCTATGTCAAAGTGTTTTAGAAACCCCTGAAATGTTAAAAGCATAGAGCTTGAAGGAATATCAGAAGTCATGTATTAAATCCTATTAATATTTTACAATGAAATCTATATAGTCTGATACAAGTTGATGTATGTATTTGTGGAGGCTGGAGGAGGGGGAAGAGCAGAAGAACTTCTGAACGGCTTCTGTTTCTAGTATCTGAGAAACTAAGTCTTTATGAATATTTCTGCAGATTTTTTTGTGGCTGCCTTCACAGAACTAAAGGTGTTAAAGATAAAATAGGGTGTTTAATTTGACCCCTTGAATACCAATCAGTTGGCTTCTGTATAGAAAATTTCCTTTAGATGAAAAAAACAAGTGTTCATAATTGTTTGTATTTATTTGTGTTATCCGCTTCCATTTGGGCCATTTTAATCCTTCCGAAAGGCATATTAATACCTGGAAAAATAAAGAGATAAATAATTAGGCTCTGCTTTTTGTTACTTTTTTTTCCAGTTAAAAATGTCATTTTTAAGAAAGAAAAATAATACATGTTTAGCATATTATAATACTTAGAAAATAGTTTGACAAAAAGAGTAAAATGAAAAATACTGAAATCTTACTAACCTATGTAACTGTTACTTACGTAGGTGTATGTGCTTCTGGGCCATTTCTATGCATGTTCGCTCACTCATATTAAAATGAAATCATGGTTGGTAGGTACACAATCTCAGAGAAAATATAGGGAGTTAAAAAATGTCATTAAATAATTAACCCAGTTTTATTTTCCATTCATAGCAGCAAAACACAATTAAATGTTGAAGGGACAATTTTAAAAAGCAAATAAGACAAAGATCATGAAACATGATATGCATTTGTTTATTTATTTATTCCTGAAACCCACCTACTAATGTTAAACATTCCAAATTCCAGTTCATGGAGCACTTATTTTCTTTTACAGCTTTAAAGTTTCTCTTGTTCTGTAAGCAGTCTTTGAATAGTTGAGGGTAATAAGTGTTCTGATTGTTTTGGAGAAAAGTTCAAAATGTGTAATGAAAAATAATAGTCAAATCCACAACAATCTACAGAGAAATGGCTACACTTCTGTTTAAAAACAGTAATTAGTATTGAGGAATGCACATCACTAAAAGGGTGGAGTGTAAGCAGGTCCTCTCCCTTGATAATATCCTTTGGTACTCACTAGCAGGGAGAGAACACCAATTATTATTGAGCTGGTCTTCATTTAGAGTGCCTGAATGAAATAGTACATGAATATAAAGATCAAATACCTAATATTGTTTATATGCATCATCTCAGACTCATAGTTCATGAAACCAAGGCCTATAACTTGAAAAAGTGGTCGTCCTTTTGTATATACTGTCTATATTGTTTTATAAATTATTTTTTCCAATGAATAATATGAGCAATTTTCCATTGTGATAATTACATTTCTATACATAATTTTAGTGGCTAAATTCCCTTTCATTAAATGAATACACCGTAGTTTAAACAACTGTTGTTGCACAATTATACTGTTATATCTTTTTCAACATTTAGATAGTGCTTCAGTACACACTAACTACCCTTACATTCCTCAGGAAATAATGTCTTGAGGTACAATGGGTCAGTTAAACAGGCAAAAAAAAAAGGCACTTTCTAATTTGCATTTTTATTACTAATTAATTTTTAGTGAAGTTAAATATATTTTTATTGGACACAGTTCTTTTGTGAATTTTCTTTAATGGTTCTTTGCCCATTTTTCTGTTCGATTATTAATTTTTAATGGATTTCATGGGAACTCTGCATAGTAAGATTAATTACCCCTTTCATTACAATTTTGTCATTTGCTTTTTTTGGTGAATGGCTTTATTGAGGTATAATTGACATATTATAAACTGAACTATTTAAATGTACTATCTGATAAGTTTGGGCATTTATAAACCTGGGAGACTATTGCCTCAATCAAGATAATGAACATATTTCATCCCCAAAAGTTACTTTGTGCCCTTTTGTGTTCTGTTCCTTCCTCACCCTTATCCCAGGCAACCACTATAAATTAGTTTGCATTTTCCAGAATTGTATATAAGTGAAACTGTATATACCATGTACTCTTTTTTTATCTGGCTCCTTTCACTTATAATTACTTTGATAAATCTGTGTTTTAGCATTTATCAGTAGTTTATTCTTTATATTGTTGGGTGTTGTTTAATTGTATGGCTATGCCACAGTTTGTTTATCCATTCACCTGTCAATGGACATTGGGGTTGTAACCAGGTTTTAGCTATTACAAATAAAGCTGCTCCAAATATTCACATACAAGTCTTTGTATGGACATATGCTTCATTTCTCTTTGACAAATTTCTAGGAGCAGAAGGGCTGGATCATATTGCAGATGTATGTTTGACTTCTTAAGAAGCTGCCAGACTATTTTTTAAAGTGATTGTGCCGTTTAACATTTAACATTCCCACCATTAGTATATCAGTGTACTTGCCAACTTTGAAATGGCCAATCTTGGCAATCATTAAAAAGTCAGGAAACAACAGGTGCTGGAGAGGATGTGGAGAAATAGGAACACTTTTACACTGTTGGTGGGACTGTAAACTAGTTCAACCATTGTGGAAGTCAGTGTGGCAATTCCTCAGGGATCTAGAACTAGAAATACCATTTGACACAGCCATCCCATTACTGGGTATATACCCAAAGGACTATAAATCATGCTGCTATAAAGACACATGCACACATATGTTTATTGCGGCACTATTCACAATAGGAAAGACTTGGAACCAACCCAAATGTCCAACAATGATAGACTGGATTAAGAAAATGTGGCACATATACACCATGGAATACTATGAAGCCATAAAAAATGATGAGTTCATGTTCTTTGTAGGGACATGGATGAGATTGGAAATCATTATTCTCAGCAAACTATCGCAAGGACAAAAAACCAAACACCACATGTTCTCACTCATAGATGGGAATTGAACAGTGAGAACACATGGACACAGGAAGGGGAACATCACACTCTGGGGCCTGTTGTGGGGTGGGGGGAGGGGGGAGGGATAGCATTAGGGATATACCTAATGCTAAATGACGAGTTAATGGGTGCAGCACACCAGCCTGGCACATGTATACATATGTAACTAACCTGTACATTGTGCACATGTACCCTAAAACTTAAAGTATAATAATAATAAAATAAAAATAAATAAAAAAATTTAAAAAAAGAAATGGCCAATCTTTTGAATATTAGCCATTCTAATATACATGCAGTGCTATTTTATTGTGGTTTTAATTTGCTTTTCCCTAATGACTAATGATACTGAGCACCTTTTTTTGCATGCTTATTTGTCATCCATATAGCTTCTTCAGTAAATTGTCTTTTCAAATCTTTTCTCCATTTTTTAAATTGTCCTATTTGTTTTCTGATTATTGAGTTTTGAGATTTCTTTGTGTTTTGTGTATACAAGTATTTTATCAGGCATATGATTTGCAGGTATTTCCCCCCAGTCTGGTTTGTTTTCTAATTGTCTTAACAGTTTAAAGAACAGAAGTTTGAGATTTTGATGAAGTTCAAATTATCAGCTTGTTCTTTTATGCATTTTAGTGTTGTGTCTAAGAAATCTTTGCCTAACCCAAGCTCACAAAGGTGTTCTCTGTTTTTTTCTAGAAGTCTTACAGCTTTGGGTTTTACATTTAGATCTGTGGTTCATTTTGAGTTACTTTTGTACATGTTGTAAAGTATGGATCAAAGTTCATTTTTTTCACATATGAATATCCAACTATTCTAACACCATTTGTTGGAAAAAACTGTCTTTTCTCCACTGAATGGCCTTTATACTTTGTCTATACACCCTGGGCACTCTATACTATTCTGTTGATCTGTTTATTTATCTTTATGCCAGTAGCAAACTGTGTGGATTACTGTAGCTTTATAGGATTTGAAGTCAGGTATTCTTTTCTTTTTCAAAGTTGTTTTGGCTGTTCTAGGTAATATTCATTTCCATGTCGATTTTAGAATTTATTTTACAATTTCTCCAAAAATAACCTGCTGGAATTTTGAGTGGGACTGCATTGAATCTACAGATCATTTGGGGAGAATTTACATCTTACCAATATTGAGTATGCCACCCCATGAACACAATGACAAATTGCTTTGTCAGTTTCTCTCAGCAGTATTTTTAGTTTTCAGTATACAGGTCTTTCACATCTTTCTCCTTTTTTTCCCCAAAGTATGTCACTTTTTTTATGCCATAGTAAATGGCATTTTTTTTTTTAATTTCAATTTTTGGTTCTTAATTGCTTGTATATAGACATATAGATGATTTTTGTGTTTTGATCTCAATCCTACAACATTGCTAAAGTCAATTCTAGTGCCTTATTTTTTTAGATTCCATTTAGAATTTTTACACAGATATGGAGCCAGGACCTCAGAGTGAGAACCTCCTTAAATTTTGCTGCCTGTGTGCCTCACTTGCCTTACTCCACTTTAGCTCTACCTAGACAATCATGTCTGCAAAGACAGTTTTTTTTTTTTCTTTTATACAGTTTGTCCATTTTTTGGTAGTTTCAAGCAGCAGAGTAAATCTAGTCCCTACTCCATTTTGGTCAGAAATGGAAGAACCCTATTACATCATTTCCTTTTTAATTTTTGTTGTGGTAGTTTATTTATATATTTAAGTCTTAAATATGATTTAAAAATCACATTAGCTCTGTCATCCAGTCTTCACTGGAATGCAGTGGCAGCCTCGACCTCCAGTCTCAAGCAATCCTCCCACCCACCTCAGCCTCCTCAGTAGCTGGAAACTACAGGCACATGGTACCCTGCCCGGTTAATTTTTCAATTTTTTATAGAGACAGGGTCTCATTATCTTGCCAGGGCTGGTCTCAAACTCCTAGGCTCAAGTGATCCTCCCACCTCAGCCTCCCAGAGTGCCAGGATTAAGGCATGAGACACTGTGCCTGGCAAGTTTTTTTATTTTAATGAAGACTCTTTAAATGTTCATGTTACAAAATCTGTTCATTGGTCCATAAGAATGTTGACAATTATTAACCTTTTCTGACTCATGTAATCCTTCGATGGATAACCTGATAAAAATTATGAATCTGCTTTCCAGAAATGCTTATATAAACACACTCACATTTCCATAGTAATTTCAGTAGTCCATAGACTCCCTGAAGGTTTATCCATTGATTCCATATTATGAATCCCTGTTTTGAGATTTATTTCTTTCATGTCATGTTTAGGAAGGCTTTCCATTTCAAGATTATGTAACTAAGGAAATACTTTTTTAAATGATGAGTTTATATATTTTTTCTCCTTTGTATATATAGACAGACATTTAATATTTTTCAAGTTCATGTGTTTTAAATGATCAAATGAGGTAATGTATGTGATAGCACCCCAAAAAATACAAAGTGCAGCACAGATGCTACCATGCTCATTATCATCATCATCATGATCAGTCATCATCAGAACATTCACCCTTTGAGCCATCTTCGTCACTCTAGAGAATTAAATCCAAAATAAGAATGATGTTAAGAAACAAAGTTAGCTATGAAAGTAATTATTCTTGCATGATCTATAAGGGAGAACAGAGAACACTATAAATAGAGTTATCTCTTGTTATCTATAGAGGACTGGTTCCAGAACCCCTGGGGATACCAAAAATCTATGGATGCTAAAGTCACTTACATAAAATGTCATAGTTTTTGCATATAATCTGTGGACATCTTCTCTCATACTTGGAATCATCTGTAGATTACTTACAATACCTAATATAGTATAAATGCTATGTAAATAGTTATCATACTGTATTTTTTATAGTATTGTTATTTTTTTCTGAATATTTTTTATCCATAGTTGGTTGAATTCATGGATAGGGAAGCCACAGATACAGTGGACCAACTGTATTCAGTATAAGAGAATGTGTAAAAAAAAAATTACGGTGCTTCATTAAATGAGATACTGTAAAACATTTAATAATTATAATTACGTCATTGTAGAAATGTAAGAAATACTTGCATTTAAATTGAGAAATGTTAAATTGTATTTACATTATGATATATAGAATGTGTGTGTAAAAATTAAGAAGGGTACAGAAATATGAAAATAGTTGTTTTAGAGAGGCTTGTGAATAAATATTATTTTAGCATTTCCCTTAATTCTGTTATGCCTTTGATTTTTTAGTATTATTTTTCTATATACATATATTTAAAGTTAGTCTCCCATCCCAGTTTACATGGCCTTCACAGCTCAATTATAATGCTGCCTGACATGAAATTCTATTTGCTTCCTTATGATTTTATAGCATTGAATAATTTCAAATTTTGCTAGTTATGGTGTCTTATTATTACCCAGTTTTTAAGATGTGTTATGCAGTTTCTGATTATTTGTTGAATGCTACAGTTTTAGGGCTTGATTATGCTTTTGCTATGATGATTTAACTAATTATGGATTCATTTCTTCAGTTGCCCAGCAGGAGGCTGAAATGTTCAAACGCTACAATGGAACATTTCCATTACCTGGAATACACCAAAGTCAAGATGCCCTATGTACCTGTCCAAAACTACCCCATCAAGGCTCTTTTCAGATTGATGAATTTGTCCACACTGAAAGTTCTTCAACGAAGATGCAGCTAGTAAAACAGAGGCTTGAAACTGTCACAGTAAGTTTATTTTATGCAGTTGAAACTTTAAAACTATTTCTATCCTGTTTTACATTGCCATGCCAATAAATATTCATTTAATGAAGTAAGTTAATTACTTAAAATTAGACCTTCCTATACTTTTATGGTTCCTTTCAGGTACTTATTCCTAAAACCTTAATTGCAACAGACAACCTGAATTTAGGATAATCTATCATGCTGTTCTGACTTGATATCTCTGTAAAGGCTAGCCCAGCACCTAGTGATAAGGGAGGGCTCTGAACCAGATGACCACACCTAGGACTTAGCATACAGGTATGACTCCATCTCCTAGGAAAGAAAGAGAAGCTGTGACTTTATCAGCCCAGCATGGTGGCGTACACCTGTAATCTCAGCCACTCAGGTGGCTGAGGCACAAGAATCACTTGAACCAGACAGGCAGAGGTTTCAGTGAGGCGAGATCCTGCCACTGCACTCCAGCCTGGGTGACAAAATGAGACTGTGTCCCTGCTTCCCCAAAAAAGGAAAATAAGTAAAGGCAAAGCGTATCTTAAAATGCTTTGCTATAAGAAACAGAATATTTAGAGTGTGTTCTCAGTAAAATAGAAGAAAACAGAATTTCTATTAATGAAGAGATGAGAGTCCCAAGATTTTGATTTTAGAAAGACATCTAAGATAAAATGAATTTAAAGAAAATCAAAAGGTAAGCTTCAATTAATTCCACATTGCAAATGGTAAAAGAGAAAGTTGACACTTTAAAATACCAGATCAATAGTGTAGCGTAGAGAACTAATTTCAGAAGCACGCAAGAATACAGAAAAAAAGAGATAGGTGAAAACTATGGTTTAGAGTGTAGCTCTGGGGTCCAGCTGCTTAGGCATAGGAATGGCATAGGCTCCAACCTGTGCCAGCTTTTTGACTGGAGAAGTTTAAGTAAACCTAGTTTTCCTCATCTATAAAATGAGGTGGTTTTTGGTTGTTTTGTTTTGTTTTAATTTAGAGACAGGGTCTCACTTTGTGGCCCAGGTTGGAATGCAGTGGTGTGATCATTGCTCACTGCAGTCTCGAACGCCTGGGCTCAAGCAATTCTCCTGCCTCTGACTCTTGAGTAGCTGGGACTGTAGGCACACACCACCAGGCCTGGCTAATTAAAAAAATTTTTTTTGTAGAGACAGGGTCTTGGTATGTAGCCCAGGCTGGTCTCCAACTCCTAGCCTCAAGCAGTCAGCAGTGCTCTTGCCTCAGCCTCCCAGAGTATTGGGATTTCAGGCATGAGCCATTATGGGGATTGTAGTATTTCTTACCTTACAGGATTTTTAAGATTCAGTAAGACCCTAAAAGTAAACCTCTTAACAGGGTGTCTGATACATAGTGCCACTGATAAATGTTAGTTATTATTGTTGATAATGAGAGAAGAGATGAATATGAGATAGATTGTGCATATAGTTGATCAGTGTTGTTAAAGAAGAGACCAGCATGTGTGAAAAGAGATAACAAAGATCAAATACAAAAGGCCTTCCTGTGCTAAAGTCCCAAAATCTATAAAATGAAAGTATCTATTACCAGACCAATTAATGAAAAGATGCCAGTATCTTAGAAATATCCTAGTGAAATCGCTTGATTTTTAAAGATTTCTTAAAGAAAAATCATAGATATAATGGGGGGGAGAAAAAAAGACTGGTTATCTACATAGGAACTAAGCTACCTTCGAACTTCTCCATGAGAGCCAAAGTAATAATGAAGCTGAAATAATACTAGTAGTATAATTGAAATTCACTAAGATAGAAAGATAAATCAGTGGGGAAAGGAAGAATTGTTCCCTTGTATGGTGTTGGGAAACCTTGTTAACTATGAGTTAACTGAAAAATACAGTCCATTTACATATATATCTTAGGTCACTCACCTAAATCAAATTCTCATTTACCAAGGAGTTAAATATGAAAATCCAGATCTTTTTAAAAACTAGGGAAATACACTTGCAATTATTTCTCAAATGAATGAAAACATACTAATTTTAAAAGCAGTGGAAGATCCTCTCCCAAAATATTAATAGATTATTGACATAGAATTTTAAATTTCTCTGTTTAAAAATATAAGGATGTGTATATTTGTGTGTATATACAAAACATACAAACACACACATATATGTGCAACAAACACCAGCCTGGGGAAATGTTTATATAAAATGTATTAAAGAAACAGCCCTTTTAACATGCAAATAATTAAACAGTGAAGAAAAATAGTAAATCTTTAACAAAGAAATGAGTGAAAGAAATAAACTGTTCTTCTAAAAGGAGGAGATAGAAATGTTTCATAGGCATATTTTAAAAGTTCTATCTCACTACTCATAAGAAAAGTACCACATAAACCAGGTATTTCCCATAAAATTGGAAAATAGATCATGAAAATGATGAGGAGGAAGATGCTTTGTTAAAGGTAGTGTAGCATTCTGTTAGTGAAAATTCCTAGAAAATTTTTCTCAAAGATAAATGGTCAAATGTAGTAAGAAGCCTAAGCATCCTGAGAAATATCTTTGACCATACTTCTAGTAGAATTAAGTGGAAGTCCTTTTATTAGAATTACTTTGAGCTCCTTGAAGACAGGGGCTGTGCACCCTTGTTCATTGTTTTATTCTTACCTTCTTTAATAAATGTTATCCCTTTTCTTGCTTCCTTGATAGATATCTTGATTAGTTTTAAACTATACAAGGAACTACATTGAGACAGCTTTAGTTCTGACTATGCTCTCTTCCTCTCTCTTCTTTCTAAAGTTAGAGACTTGAAGGTGTATCAGGATGCAGATTACATTCCATCTCTGGGTTTAGATTTAACCTAAACCCAGAATAAATGTAGGAATATAGAAAAGTATATATATTTCTTAGTTAACTTTTAGAATATATAACTATAAATTAATAAATTTATTTCAATATTGCAGTTCTTTGTATTTTAACATTTTTAATATAATCAAATAATGCATGCTGTTCCAGATTTTAAAAGGAAGTCTGAATAGATACATTGAGCTTTAAAGATGAAGAGAAACATATTTCTTCACTAGGAAAAAAAAGAAAATGTGTTCCTTGTCTAAAAACTTGCATGGCAAAGTAACTTCATCTACAGGCATAAAAACAACTCACCAACAGATTTATAAAAACAAGTTTCCTACAGTCTATCCGTCTTTATTCTGTAAAACTTAACATCCTGGAATCAACTAAGTCTTGTAGCTTTTTTCTAATTTCATTTTATATACCTGTCATCCTCAGATAAATGAAAGGATGTAAGAACTAAAGAAAGTAGATGTAAAGGAAAAATAAAATCAGAAATTTTTTTTTTTTTTTGAGACGGAATCTCACTCTGTCGCCCAGGCTGGAGTACAGTGGCACGATCTCAGCTCACTGCAAGCTCTGCCTCCTGGGTTCACGCCATTCTCCTGCCTCAGCCTCCCGAGTAGCTGGGACTACAGGTGCCCGCCACCACGCCCGATTAATTTTTTTTTGTATTTTTAGTAGGCTTTTTGTATTTTTAGTAGAGACGGGGTTTCACCGTGTTAGCCAGGATGATCTCGATCTCCTGACCTTGTGATCCGCCCACCTCGGCCTCCCAAAGTGCTGGGATTACAGGCATGAGCCACTGTGCCCGGCAGAAAAATGTTTTTTAAGAAATGAAATCAAACGCAAGAGAGAAGCAAATTGATAATTTATTATAAAAAAATTTACTTTGAATTATTACTTTATTTAGCTTTTAGCATATCATTTCTTTTTAAAATTATTTAGAGAATATGTCTGCTTTGGTATTGAGGTAGATAGAAGCTGCCTTTGGAAATGAAAGTTTTGCTTTGGTTTTTAAAAACCATTATTTTTCCTTTGTTGAGAGAATTCACTGAATTTATTTTTCTGATGCTATCTGCAATGTATTTTCTTTCAGAATGTACATAGTATGTATGGGAATAAAAACAAAGTGTCGTCTTTATTCCCATGGCAGCCTCATTCTATATTGTGCAAACATTTAGGTTGACTGAATTCCCACCTTTTGTCATTATGCCTTTTCTCGTTTCTTGCCATTTATTTCAGTAGACCCCAAATTCCTTTTTTTATTTATTTTTTATTACAATAGGAATGTTTTTCTAATAAATTATGGTACAGGTTTAGGGTGTAATTTTTGTGGGGTATGTGTGAGTGAATTGCATAATAAATTCAGTTCAGCAGGTATATAATAGGTGTTTAGGCATTAATGAGTAAAAGATACAAAAAATAGATAATTGTCGGTTATTGGGAGCATTACCATTTAGTCATAATATAAATCACTTAATTATTTCATAATTAGCATACTTGACTGCATGTTGCTGCCACAGCAATACCTAACAGCATTCTGCAACCCAGGTAAGACTTCACGGGTATCTTGAGAGCGTTGGTAAATCTCATTCTAAGTTTTCAGATCCAGAAATTTGATTTTATCAGTGCATCCAGGGTTGCTCAGAATCTGTAGTATCTATTAAGATTAATCAATCCTACAAAAAGTTGATTAACAAATGAGAATCCATGAAAATACACCTTATAATATAATAAAAGGTAGACCATTCTGGCAGCCTGAACACTCAAGATCTCATCCTGTCTAAATTTAACCTGAAGCCCAGGCTAATGATCACAGAGTTGATTGCTAAGTAGAGCCATAGGAGTATGGATTGAATGGGTTCGAAAATGTTTTATGCCAATTTTGAAAAAAGATTAATTTTCTCTACCCCACAGGAGATACCACCGTATATATTGATTAATGATAACTAACATCTGCTTAATTATTAGTAATAATTGATATATTTCTGGCACTGTGCTAAAGGCTTTACATTTTATTGTATTTAATTCTCAAACCATCCTATAGGGTTGAGTATTATTCCCATTTTCCAGAAGAGGATTTTGAGGCTTACAGAGATCAAGCCACATAACCAAGATCACACAAGTAGTAAGCACTGGAGCTGGGATTCAGCCCAGGTAGTTGGACTCCCATGTCCACAGTCAGTTTAACTGTCTCCTTTTAGTGACTGAATTACTGATACGCTTTAGATACAGTATCTGGCTCTTAGAAATTTATAGATAAAAAAATTAATAGGTATTCCAGATTTTGAGCAACTGTGGATGCACTGATAAAATCAAATTTCTGGATCTAAAAACTTAGAATGAGATATACCGATGTTCTCAAGGTACTGTCCACCTGTGAGGTCTTACCTAGGTTGCAGAATGCTTTTAGGTATTGCTGTGGCAGCAACATGCAGTCAAGTATGCTGATAAATAATTAAATGATTTATATTATGACTAAATGGTAATGCTCCCAATAACTGAGAAGTATCTATTTTTTTCAGTTCTTTTTTTTCCTAAACTCCATGTTGATTATGACCATTTTTCACTAGCACTGTACTAGGCTGATGCTATATGCTGGCTAACTCCTAATTGGACTGGACTTGAGTATTTTTTTTTCTTTTTCTTTTTCTTTTTCTTTTTTTTTTCTTTTTTTTTTTTTTTGAGTTGGAGTCTCACTCTGTCGCCCAGGCTGGAGTGCAGTGGCGCAATCTTGGCTCACTACAACCTCCACCTCCCAGATTCAAGTGATTCTCCTGCCTCAGCCTCCCGAGTAGCTGGGACTACAGGTACGCGCCACAACGCCTAGCTGATTTTTGTATTTTTAGTAGAGATGGGGTTTCACCACGTTGGCCCAGGATGGTCTCGATCTCTTGACCTCGTGATCTGCCTGCCTCGGCCTCCCAAAGTGCTGGGATTACAAGGCGTGAGCCACCGTACCCGGCCAGACTTGAGTATTTTTACTCTCTCCTTAGCAGCAGATTTTCAAATTGTCCATAATACATCGACTTTTACTAGTTTCTCTTTCAAAATGATCTTTTCTTGGCCGTGTACCATGAATTGTACAGAGTTCCTTTCTGTAGCTCTTTCAATAATAGTCATATATTTTATCATTTAGTAGTATTTACTATTTAATATTAGATTTCATCTGATACAAATAATATGGGAATGATAGTTATGGCTATTATTATTTATAGAGATAATTATATATTGCATTTAACTCAGCATGTGTCTTTTACACCTGTTAGTGTTCTAGTATAGAATTTTATTCTATTGATTGAAGAGCAAGTTTTTCTTGAGGCAGATAACCTGTGAGCCCTCGGGAGTTTCACAGTGCCATTTGTTTGGGCAAGTTAGATTTACCTTGAACATGTCATTAAGTCTCTTTCATTGGAAACAATGCAGAGTGACAACGGCAGGATAATGGATAAAGAAACTTCCAAATGCTGATTTAGGTTATTAGAAGATAAACATCTGAGTGTTTTGCAAACAGTCAATATTTAATGAAATTATGAATACTTCCTTATTTTATTGTATTTCTTTTAGGAGGTGATACGTTCCTGTGCTGCAAAAGTAAGTAGTTTTTATTACCAGGAAGATAACTTCAAAGGTATAGTGATGCTCCAAAGAACTGGAATGCACCATTCATAGAGTTTGGAACCTTTATAAGAGTTAATCTGATGTGTACTTTCATTATTGGAGCTCAGCTTTATCACAGAATTACAATACTGGAAGCTGATAATTTAGTAAGGGTGATCATTTAGCAAGTAGCTTCACATTTTTAAAGATTTAAGAATACTAAGTGATGGAGATACTTTCAGTAAAGGATCAACAAGGTCATGTCATTCTCTGAGAAAAATTTTATATGATATTTAATTTGTATAAGACACCGGTCAATATAGTTCCAGTAGGTATATGCTGAGTAAACTGTATAAGCATTGAAATGCATGCAAGCTGTACATAAATGATTTATTGTACTGATAATGCTCTCCTTCATTTATAAGTCTTTCACATTTCTTTTCTCATTTAACTATACTGTATAATAATCCTGAGAGATGGATTAGATATAATTGTTATTCCAATTTTAGAAAGGAGGAGACTGAAGTTTATTCAGGTTGAGTGATTTGCCCAAGGTCCCAAGTTAGTCTAAAAATGGTAGTGTACAAAAAGGCTCTCGATTAGTAAACAATTTCAACTAAATTGTATCTTATATGCTTTCAACACAGCAGCTTTCCTCTTTTACAAGCAAGGTTATTTTATGTGTAACTTTTAATTTAGGTGTTGGGAAAATAAGGAGTTGGAATGGCAACATGAGTTCATCCTTCCCTCTTCTGTCCACTCCCAAAATTCAGTTGAATAATTAGACGTCTATTCATTTAACAAATATAATTACATATCACAAAGAGAAGGTAAAACATCCAGAAGGAAAGAATTAGAATGTTAGTATATTTAGAGACTGCTTCATATAATGTCAGTGCAATGGAATTTTTTTTTTTTTTTAATTCAGTGGGCACCTACTACCATTTGGTAGTAGGCACTTGGAATGCAATAGGCTATTGTCGCTTTCCTGATGGGGCATGTTAGGGAGGGAGGAACATGTCAGAAAATACAAGACTTACCCCATCACTGAGCTGTCCAGCATCAGTCACAGAACCCATCACTTTTATACCTAATTATCACAAGTCAACAGGATATGGAATATAGACAAGGGGAAGGAAGACGAGGGGGGAAAAGAGAACAAGCTATATTCTGACTTGTACTGCAGATGTTCAGGAAACGTTCCTGATAGCAATGATTGGTGTAATGATTGTAGCTCCAAGATTACTAAACCTTCTGAAGTACTCATTGTGTATAAAATCAGAGGCAAAAATACAATTTATTTTCTGACTAGCAATTCAAAGCTATTTCTCTTTATTTAACAAATGTACTGCATACTCTTCTTTTGGAATGCTGTCTGAATGTCCAGAGAATAAAGTGTCCTGCACAGATTGAGCAAGGCTTTATGGAGAACAGCCTCTACTAATCTGGAAACTCCCCAAGGGTGAAGGATCATGCCATTCATCTTCATATCCCTAGTATTTAATAAAGGTAGAATAAATACTCATTGAAAAAATGATTAATTTGGAAATGAATCAGTGTCTGGAAAAATTAACCTTACTAGTATCTTCAGTTATTCTTTTTTTATAATAGTTTTATTGAGCTATAATTTATATACCGTAATGCCCACTCTTTTAAAATATACAGTTCACTGGTTTTTACCATATTCACAAAGTTTTGCAGCCATCCCTACTATCTGATTTTAGAGTTTTTCATCACCCCTGAATGAAGCCCCATATCTCTTAGCAGTCATTCCCAATTCCTACACATACACACTCCAAATACAAACTCTTGGAACATACCCCAAATTCCTGGCAGCCATTAATATGCTTTATAGATTTGTCTAATCTGAACATTTCATATAAATGGAGTCAGATGGTATGTAGTCATTTATAACTGACTTCTTTTACTCAAAATAACGTTTTCAGGATTCCTCTATTTGTAACATATATCAGTGAACAACACAGGGATTAGGGGGACCAACCACCTGTGCAGTCAAAAATTAATGTATAACTTTTGACTCCCCAAAAAAATAAGTACTCATCGCCTGCTGTTGACTGGAAGCCTTACTGATAATGTAAACAGTTAACACATATTTTATGTGTTATGTGTATTATATACTATATTCTTAAAGTAAGCCAGAGAACAGAAAATGTTATTAAGAAAATTAAAAGGAAGAGGATGTACATTTACTATTCATTAAGCAAAGTGAATCATCATAGAGGTCTTCCTTTGTCTTCACATTGAATAGCCTGAGGAGGAAAATGAGGGTTTGGTCTTGCTATTTCACTGGGGGCAGAGGCAGAAGAGGTGGAGAAGTGGGAAGGGGAGGCAGGAGAGGCAGGCACTCTTGGTGTAACTTACTGAAAAAAAATCCACCTATAGGTGGACCTGCACAGTTCAAACTCATGTTGTTCAAGGGTCAACTGCACTACTTTTTATTGCCAAATAAGATTTCATTGTATGAATAGGTTACGTATTGTTATATTTGATCAGTTTATGAACATTTGGGTTGTTTCTACTTTTTAGCTATTAAGATAATACTCCTACAAACATTGTGTGTATAAGTTTTGGTGTGGATATATATTCTCATTTCTATGGGATATGTATCTAGGAGTGGAACTGTTGGGTAATATGGTAACTATGTTTGACACTTTGAAGAACTCCCAAAACTTTTTCCAGAGCATGTGAACCATTTTCGAATTCCACCAGCAGTGTACGAATGAGGTTCCAGTTTCTTCTCATCCTCACCAACACTTGTATTCTCTTCTTTATAGCCATCCTAGTGGGTGAAAAGTGGTTATATCATAGTGATTTTGATTTGTGTTTTCTTTATGACTAATGATGTTGAGCGTTTTTTATATGCCATTTGTACTTTTTTTTCTGGAGAAATGTCTGTTTAAATATTTCACCTGGTTTTAAAATTGGGATTTTTTGTCTTTTTATTGTTTACTTTTAAGTTCTTTATATATTCTAGATACAAGTGTCTTATGAGTTAGATGATTTGCAAATATTTTATCCCATTTTGTGGATTGTCTTTTCACTTTCTTAATGATGTCTTTTGAAACAAAAAGGTTTTTTTATGAGGTTCAGTTTATTTTTTCTTTTGTCACTTGTGCTTTTTGTGTTGTAATAAAAAACCATTTTCTAGCCTTGTGTCACAAAGATTTACTCCTATGTTTTCTTCTTAAGATTTTTATAGTTTTAAATCTTACATTCAGGTCTGTGATTATTTTGCATTAATTTTTGTATATGGTATGATGGATAGGTCCACTTTCATTCTATTGCATGAGGCTATCCAGTTGTCTCAGCACTACTTATTGAAAAGAGTGCTTTGCCCTTTGACTGGTGTTGGCACCCTTGTCAAAAATCTTTAATCTTAACAACAGAGTGTATTTATGCAGTTTATCATCTATTAGATCTAGGATAATAAATTTTTCCCAAGTGTCCGTTACATAAGTTTTTGCCCTTCTACAGTATTTTTATATTGTTGAAGGCTCGCTTGTTTTTTCCATTAGCATTCTTTAAGCAAGTATTTATTGAGTATCTACCAAGTATTTTTCTAAGTGCTTGGAATGTAATAGTGAACAAGAACCTTTTATTGTAGAGAGACACATAATCTTAAAAGGAAACAAATAAGGTAGTTTCAGATAATAAGTGATGTGAAGAAAATAAAATAGGTTCATGGGACAAAGAATGACTGGGAAGGGAAGCTACTCTCAAGAGGATGGTCATAGAAGGCCTTGCTGAGAGAAACACTTAACAAGGAGCTAGTCATGTCCTGCAAAAATCCTCATCTAGGAAGAAAACTGGCATGCTCAAAGAGCAGAAAGAAGACCACTTTGCTTAAGTAGTGTAGTGAGCAAGCAAGGGGAAACAATTGTAAACCAAAAAGTATCTGAGACAGGTCTCAACAATTTAGAAGTTTATTTTGCTGAGGTTAAGGATAGGACCCAGAAGAAAAAACAAGAATCACAGACACAGTCTGTGGGTCTGCCTTTCTCCAAAGATGATTTTGGGGGCTTCAATATTTAAAGGGAAAAAAACAGGCTGGAGGAGAAAAGAAAGGTATGGTCACATTACTGAATCCTCAAGTTGCAAGAGAAAAGATGCATGTAGGGGGATAGTCAATTATGTATTCATCTCACACTCAGTAAATTGACACTTTTCAAAAGATAAGGTGAACATGAAAGCTACCTGCGGAGATATTTAACCTTTTATCTGTAGCTATCTGCTTATGAATAAAAAGAAAAGGAACTCTTTGAATGACTTAGCTTTCAGCTTAATTTTTTTCTTTTTGACATTAGATTATAAATTACCTCAGGGAGGAATAACACACACTCTCTTTTTCTGTCTCTTTAAATTTTACATAATAACTGCTTTCGCTTCTAATCTTTATGTATCTGTCCCTCCACACACCTCTGTAAGCTTCTTGAAGCCAGGAAACTTCATCTTTTTTTTTTTTGAAGTATTACATCACCTACCCTAGATGAATATAAATTCAGCCAAGTTGAAGTTTATTGAGTTATGTTTAGTGGAAGAGTGCTGTAAAGGTAAAGTGGTAATGTATATTGTAGTCGAATCCACCTCGGAACATATTATTCACTGAAAACATTTTTTTAAAGGTTCAGAAAATAGAGAATCCAGAGAAAATATTTTTTTAATTTTTCTGTTTAAAACGTATATTTGGATATTTTTGAGATTTGAGTAGAATAGTGTTTTTCAATTATTTGGAAAGGTTTTTTTAAAAAATAATTTTTAAAAACATAATTATTTTTTCGTGGCATTCCAAAACTGGATAACTGCAAATTAAGATGAGAACTTACAAACACAAAAAGGAAACAACAGACACTGAGGTCTACTTGAGGGCAAAGGGTGGGAGGAGAGAGAGGAGCAGAAAAGATAACTATTGGGGACTGGACTTAATACCCGTGTGATGTAATAATCCATACAAGTCCCTGTGACACGAGTTTACCTGTGCAAGCTTCACATGCACCCCTGGACCTAAAAGAAGAGTTTTTAAAAAAAGATTTATTATGTTGGCACTATTTGGAAGACTGGCTTAACTGGAAGAGTAGTACAAACTATAGTAATCTATATGTGGAGCGTGGTGAGCAATCTAGTATGAGTCCCAGCTTTCTGGCCTTGGCAAGTAGGTGGAGAATGATGGCTTTCCCTAAGAAAGTAAACAGTGGGGCAAAGGTTAGTTTAGTTTTGAACTTAATGATCAGGAGATGTGTTTTAGATTTAAGAAACATCAGCATTAGAAGGCAGATGAATTGATGAAAACAAATGTTTCTGCCCAGTGTAATTATGTGACGTGAAGGAAGAAGAGGAGCTCAGCGGATCTAACAAATAGCACTGATGAGGAATGGCTGGACATAGCAGGATAACCAAGAGAAGATGGCTCCCCAGAAACAAAGATAGAAGGATAGAGGCCTAAGTGAATCTGCTGAATTTGATCATTTGAAGTCCAGGGTTACCATAAGTCCAATTTAGTTTTATCATGGAGACAAGCTTTGTTGTACCCGGTTGAAGACTGAAGGATTCAGATATATGGATTGCAGTTGTGTGCTGTTTTTCAAGGAGTTTAGCTTTTAACGAAGCTTAAGGAAGTAACGGAATCAGAGGGAGAGTTTTAGTTGGTTTGTTTCCTCTTTGTTTTTGTACTAAAATAGAAGGGTCTATGCTTCTAACCTGCAGGGAAATAGCCAGTAGGAATTCGAAAGTAGAATTTTTCGTTTTGAAGCAGGGTCTTCCCTGTCACCCAAGCTGAGTGCAGTAGCATCATCACAGCTCAATGCAGCCTCGACCTTCTGGACTTAAGCAGTTCTCCTGCCTCAGCCTCCTGGGTAGCTGAGACCACAGGTGTGCACTGCCACGCCCAGCTAATTTTTTATTTTTTTGTAGAGATGAGGTCTCACTGTGTTGCCCAGGCTGGTCTTGAACTCTTGGACTCAAGTGATCCTCCTGCCTCAGCCTCCCAAATTGCTGGGATTATAAGCATTAGTCGTTGGGCCTGGCCTGAAGGTAGAATTTGGAAGAGCTTTAAGGATAACCCTAAGGGGACTGAGGGATGAATCTTGAACAGAATGCTCCTCTTCCTCTAACCCTAGAAGTAAAGACATAAGGATAGGTGGGAGAGGTCCATTCTTTCATAAGTTTGGAAATGAGAAGTTCAGGGGTTCAAGACCAAATTTTCTCTGTGAAGCAAGGCAGTGAACTAAGAGAGAAAAGGAGGTAAAGGTTTTGAGAAAACCAAGATGCATTGAGGTAAATTGCTTTACCCTAAAGAATATTGCTGGATAATTGGTTTGAGCCAGGACTAGATCTTAATTTTGAAATTGACATGAAAGTGTCATATCAGTAATCTGTGAACCACCAGTCCTTGGTACCTATCAGAGGGTCAAAAATCACGATTAAATATAACCAAAAAACTTTATAGTGACTGATTCAAATTTGAATACTGGTTTTAGCTAATGTAGTAGTAATGAACTGGTTTGGGGGTAAGATTTTTCTGGTATCTTATTGCTGTAGAAATTTTTCTTTAACAGTTACAGTGTTGTCTTCCAAATCCTTCACTTCTCTGTCCTGGCTTGTAAAGAAAACATCTGAGGACTGAGGGGTCATATTTGAATTGCTCTTTATAATACCATAGACTACTCATTGCTTAGACTTTACTAAGCTAGAAATCACAAGAGCATAAGCTACTCTTAAAATTTATATTATGAGAATGTAAAAGATACCTGACTTCAAATATCTTGAACCTCACTTTGGCTCAAGTTTTCTGTTTAACTTTTTCTTTAATACTGATATTTTAATTTTTACAACAGATACATGATTTGCAAAAAAAAAAAAAAAAAAAAAACATCCTGGGTATTATTGGTTTCTTTTTTTCTAATGCCACCAGAACTGCCATCAGATTAAAATATTATCTGCATTATTATTCATATTAGTGGAAAAATATGACAGCTGTCTGGGAGAGAGATGAATTTGTGAACTTTTAAGTATACAGACAGCATTAACATTCTTTCGGTTATAATTTAAAACCAACTTGAGATATGATATCATCACAGCTTGAAACTTCATAAACAATTCTTCAGGTGAATGTAGCGTGTTATCTAAAATTAGCTAAAAGGGTAGACTTGTAAGTATACATGGAAATGAGTACTATATATCTCCCAAAGGTTTTAAATTTTAACTAATCACTAAAAGAGAAACTAATTGTCAGCTTGCTTAATATTGTGCATTCAATTTCATGTTCAGAGCAGCAAGTTTTTTAACATGAAAATTAACCCCCGTCTAGAGAATTAGTATTTGCATATTTTGCTTGTCTGCTTATACCCTAAAAGAGTAGGCAAAACAGTTTTATGATTAACTTGGCAGAAGTTCCAGATGATTTTTTTTCTTTATTATGAATTTCATTAAATTTTTATGCTTTTAGTTTTCTCCAATATGGAGGTATTAAACTGACTTTGGCAGACTGTGGTTTTTGCATGAAGCAAACAGAAAAGGGTGTTGTGAAAAGAGGGTAGATTGGTGTAGGGTAGACTATCTTAACCAACCTTTCTGTTGTTGTAAAATTATTAAGCAATTCTTTTCCGCAGCACATATTTCAAAAATAGATATTGCTTCACTCTATTTAATGGTTATTATTATTTTTCTTCCTCTAAATGGAATAATAAATATGTACGAGCTTGCTTTGAAAATGATTTGAGTTCTAATTTCAAAACAAATATCTAATAATAACAGTAATAATTAACAGTTACCCCAAACTTTAGAAATTATCTGCTCTGTTACGTTGCTGCTCTCATCACTTTATGGACATTTGAATAGTCTGTAAAAAACTATGTCAAGAAAGATCAGAATTATAAAAATGTTTAGGAAGAACATATAATTATAGATTACAGGTTTTTTAAAAAAAAATTTTGTTGTAAAAGAATGACAAGTCTTTCTGTTTGAACAGAGGCATTTAAGTATCCTATTTTAACTTTCCAGGTATTTTTTGTTTTTAACACAAATTTCTGAAGAAGAAGACTATAAATGGCTATTGTGTGTATCTATAGATATATCTATATCTATAGATATGGATATATGTAGGTGTGTGTGTGTGCAAAGATGTGTGTGTATATAGATATATCTTCATTTCTCCAGCATACACCTGTTTGTTTGCACCAGATTTTTAAATGCATTACTTGATTTTAAGATAAAAATTTTCAGGAAGTAAAACTGAGAAATGATTCCAAAAAGAAGTGAATTAAATAGTTAAGTGATAAATATGTTCTTTTCCATTTGAAAGCACAGAACTCTGAAAAATTGGCTACATCATCATATGACATCATAAATACCTAATTACCCTTACTTCTAGTGATGTTAATAATAACTAATATAACACCTTATTTGTATACTACTTTATGGTTTGCCCTTGCCAAGATATTCTATTTAATCTATTTCTTATTTAATGTTCATTAGTGCTTTATGGTTAACATATGAATAGCACTTTATGATACCCGTTCATCATTATTGCTTTCCTGGCACATTCGCATTGAAGTATAGATATTATTTTTCTTATCTCCATTTAAAGATGGAAAGTGAAGCTCAAAGATATCAAATGAGTTTGTTGTTTTAGGTATTGTATCACTATAACTGGTCAGTTTTGATCTGTATTTAATGGATTTTGATAGAATTTTTAAAGCTGGGTGATATTTTAGGACTGATGTGGTATTTGACCCCCCCAACTACTTTGGAAAATACTTTTATTTTTTATTGAGATGACATAATAGTTTAGTTACTTTAAAACCATATTAACATATGGTCTTAATTGACTTTTTCACTGAATTTGCTAACTCTGCTCTAAGAGAAAAACCTAAACTAAGATATACTGTTTATTATCACTGTTTAAAAGCAAAAAATAGAAAAAAAAATTTACAAACATGTAAATAATGAATCAGATAAAGGGCATGTAACAAGAGCCCAGTATTGTCTTATACAGAACATCAAAAGGAAAATTTTAAATGCTTGCACAGTAGAAGTCCTCTGTATGGTTTTCATTATTTAACAAAAAAATGGGAAAGGGGCTGTTTTAATATAGTAATATTTATATGCCATAAATTATCATTTTGTTTATTTACAGATTACATTTTTGAAGTGAATTAGGAATCAGACTGTCAATTTCTCCAAAATAGATCACATTTTATTGTGCTTTTTGAAAGTAATGAAAAAGATTAAATGATTGATTTGTTAATAATGAAAAAAAGATAGATTTTTTTTCTGAAACGAATTCTGATTTACAAGATGAATTTGCCTATAAACATTTCAAGCTTTTTCAGTGAACTATTTATTTTCCTACAAGAGCTATAGTTAAAATGTTGTGTTTATTATGCATTTCATTTCTGTGAGGCTAGTGTGCACTCAGATAATCATACTAGGTTTTGTATGTTATAGAACATTGTATTTACTTACAGAAATTTTCCTTCTTATTTTAATGATATTTTTAAACAGTATCCTGAGTAAGGTGTTTTGATGCAATGGATACTATTTCACATGGCAAGCTAGGTTACAGCTGTGTTATCTGTGTCACCATGATGTATATAAACATGAGTAGTACAGGTGTTTTCTGTGTATCTCTGAAAAGGAAGTACTTGCTATTTCACTAAAATGCTAGGGAAATGTGAATATGAAACATTTTTACCCTTCCTTAATTGAACCAGTCAAGGAGTCATTTTTATTTCTTGCATTACTTTGCATAACTTAAGACCACTCTAAGTTATTAATAATGTCAAGTCCATGGTAAACTTCAGTAAGGCTGATTTATTTTCATATAGCTATGTTCTAATTACTATTATATTTTTTTCTTGATGAAAATGATTCTCTTTTGTAAAGTTTACAAACTAACCATGTACATCATTACCACTCCTTTTGACCTATCATGTGTCCTGGTTTGTATAATAAGCAAATATTTCTCATCCAGTTTTTGCATTAGTAATCCAGGAAATTACACTGTAGTTTCTGATTTGTTTTCCTAATACAGGTCAACAAAAATCTCTCATTTACTTCACCACCAGCAGTTTCCTCACAACAGTCTAAGTTAAAGCAGTCAAACATGCTGACCGCTCAAGAGATTCTACATCAGTTTGGTTTCACTCAGACCGGTGAGCCCCTTTCTTACTTTGACAATTCTTTTAAATGTTCAGATGCTTGTTGTGTTGATGAATATCACTTATTTCTTTAGAAATAAAGCTCATAATGGTCGGTTTTTACACTTGACAAATTATATTCTAGCATCTCTTTTGTCCTTAAAATCACCAAGGTTATTTCAAAAGTAAGTTTGGAATTGGTAACAGTAGATACACTGAACCTATGTGCTATTAACAGATAATAATTTAAAACTAGCAAAACACGTGAGTTTTAAACCTGCATGATGTTAAATCTGATTCAGTTTCCCAATTAGATAAAGAACCCATCATAGATGGATAATCCCATGTTATAATTCATTTCAAGGAAAGCCAAGGTAAAATACATTTTGGCAGAAATAGGATGTAACCTGTAGTGATATCACATCCCATTAAAGGGCAAATTAACAAAATATGCAAAAAAGCTTGTTACATAACTATACTGAATCACTGAAGTGAACTATACAATTGTTTTGGCAAATATTTTAAATGAGTTTCAATAAGGTTTTTAAAGGATGTCAAAGGAAAAACATCTAAGTGAGAAATGTTTTTGTGGTATTGAAAGATGACTTTTTCTGTTCATTAGCTATATGTTTTTGACAGTATTTTTTCTATTACTGAATTCTTTTAGAAAGGTAAGAAAGCTGAAAATAACAATTATCTTTTACAAAAATTATATGAAAAAGAAAATTTGCGTATGAGAAGATCAGCATAATTTACTTAGAAATTTGAGGACAATATATACCACTTTTTTACCTTGAAAGTATTTGGAACTTACATATACAAGTTATTTTAATATTGCTGTATAGGTTACATGTTATAGTGAGAAAATGCTTGGATTCACAACTCTTATGCTCAACCCTGGCTGTGCCTTTTATAACCCTTATTACCTGCAAACCTTAGACTCTTCATTTGAAAACTGAAAATGATATTTATATTATATATTGTTGAAGTTTAAATGAGATTGCACATATGAAAACACTATAAGCATAAGGTGCTATGTGAATATAACATATTTATATTGTAAACATGATGAATATGTGTAAGCTAACTTTGAACTACTTTGAAATCTAATTTCAAGTCACTATAATAATTAATAACAGTTATCTCAAACCTTAGAAATGTTTAATTTCTAGTGTTCCAGATATCTGCCAGAAACTAAAGTAATAGTGTGGGCTATTGTTATTTCCAGTGGAGCTGCGTCATGTACTACTTCTTTAGATTATTCTTTTCGCCCTAAATAGATACTTGGCTTGGCTTCAGACCTTGTCATTCTTATAACTAGGAGGGAGGGAACCTCTCTCCACCACTCTATCCCTACCAGCTGTCTGGGAACAAACTTTTCATTCCACAATTCAGGATTAAGAGCTTAGAAGGTAAATATCTGGTTGAGTTAATATATTGTTTAAAATTCATTTAAGCAGTATCTTATGTCTGTCTGCCAACAAGATATAGATAATACATACAAATTTTTTTTTCATTTTTTGTAAAGGGAAAGAGCAGAGGGAATAGGTAGGAAGGCCTTTGAAATGGGAAGAAGGATTACCACTGAGACAAATTAAAGGGAAAGAGGGATATGATAAAGGCAAGCCTTTCAGACTTCACAATTATATATAGGATTGGCTCCATTTCGCTTCAGTTTCCATGGCCATGTAGGCCATAAGAGGGATATTTATATCCCTGCACATACTATCTCAGAAGCATGACCATTAAGCCATTTGGTTACTAATATGTCTAACCTCATTTTAAGGCGTATCTTTCTTAGAAATGTCATTGAGATATCACTGAACAGAAAAATTTCAAAAGCATAATATGTGGTCCATCTCAAAATGGCCAAATTAATCTCTTTTATTAAGAAGCCAGTGTTTATGAAAAAAAATCCTGCCTTAGGAACCAGGTGAGCTAGTTTTCAGACCTAACTCTATTTCTAAACATGGAATCTTGAGCAGTTTCTTCAGGCCAGAGTTTTCTCATCCCTCCAAATAAATGAGGGCTCTGGCTATGGTGAGTTTCTGCTTTAAAAATTCTGTGATTCTATTCAGTGTTCAAATCAGTTTGTAAAGTGGATAAATAATTAAGTGTTGATTGTACGAATAATCTATTAGAATCTGAAATACATGACTACAAAAACAAATCATGTAAATAGAATGTTTAAAAATAAAAATCTCACTGAAAACCTATCTGAAATATACAAGTCACATCTGTCGATATTTGCCTTTGGACAGTATAAAAGAAAGCTATTTACACAGAGCTAGTAAGTATGAGCCCATTAGCGCTCATGCTAGGAGACTTAAGAGTAGGGGTTGATTTTATATATATGTAAGTGGGTTTACATGCTAGAGTGCTAGACTCTGCAGTGGGTTTATGTTCTGTTGTAACTTTTATTGATCTTTTTCAAGGTGAGTTCTAGGTAACGGAGACTGCTAGAAAAGTAAGCATTTCTCTCTTCTTTGATTTGTATTCCTCACAATTTCTAGAATGCTTCATTTATTCATTCTAAAATCATTTTAAGTGACCACCTTGTTTAAGGCCATCTATTTAGCATGTGGAGTAAATGTTACAGTCTCTGCCTTCAGGAACCTCTAGTCTGGCTAGGGAGACAAATAAGTATGCACCAAATTAAGTCAGAATGTGACAAATTCTGAAATCACAGTGTAAACAAAGTGTCACCAGAATAAAGAGGAATAGGAGAGCTAAAATATTCTCAAACTTTATGTGTTCCAATGGAACTCTTGGGTTTTTTGCCCCAAAAACCCTTCCCTCCACCTCCACTTCCCCTACTACCAAGTTTTCCTAATCCCAGTATTCCACAGCACCATTCACCCAGTTGTTTAGAGATAACTAGGAGCCACTCGTGATTACTCCTTTTCTCTCGACTTTCCTCTTTCCCACTTGCCCATGCTGTATTTGGAGTTCAGCCAATCTTTCTCCCCAACTGCAAAATCCCATTGCAGTAGTCCCTGTACCTACTGCAGTAGCCCTGAATAAAGTCTTTCTTACTGTGCTTTAACAAGTATCATTGAATAATTTTTTTTTAACAATACTTAGAAGAGAGCTTGGTATGGCTGGGGAGTGGTTTGAGTCTTGGTTTGACTGGAAAAGGTGAGATGAATGTGTTTAAGGCGAACTAAGTTTGCAGAGGTAGATTGGGTCAAATCATACCGCACTGAGGAATTCACATTTTATTCCCTAGATCAGGGGTCCTGACCCCCGACCCACACGCCTAGGTGCACAGCAGGAGGTGAGTGGTAGAGCTGGGAGCATTACTGTATGAACTCCGCCTCCTGTCAGATCAGTGACATCATTAGATTCTACTGTGAACGGCACACGTAGGGATCTAGGTTGTGAGCTCCTTATGAGAATCTAATGCCTGATCTGAGGTGGAATAGTTTCATCCCAAAACCGTTCACCTTTCCTCATCCCCTGCCCCCAAGTCCATGGAAAAATTGTCTTCCATGAACCTGGTCCCTGGTGCCAAAAAAGTTGGGTACTGCTGCTCTAGGTAAAAGAATTATCCAAGGAATGAATATGAAAGGGATTCTAAAATGTATTTTTTTCTTTGAATACAGCTGGCATCTATGTGAGTAATAGGTTACTTGTATCCAGAAAAGCTGGATACAGCTCCTATGAGATGCTTATTTTAGGAACTGTTCATTAAGCTATTAGTCTAAGTTCTTAACAAATCAGATAATCCTATAAAAATTAAAACTATAACATCTTCCCTGAGTAATTTTTAGAAGAAAAAAATTACAATTTTAACATTTTTTGTTTAATTTTAGGGCATAGCCCATCTAAATGCCTTACCATGTAGTAAACATCTTATATTGTATCTCAAAACTGTTTCCATGCTTTTCTAGTGTAATGAAGAAAATCTATGAAACAATAACAGCAACTTGCATTTGTATGAAAATTTATAAAGTGCTTTCATATATATCCTTATTTGATCTTCAACAAAACTCTCTGAAAAGTAGAGTAAACATGAAAATCATAGGGAGTGAAATCATTTTAGAGCTTCTGGGACCTCAAAACTTTTATTACTCAATTTCTGTACAGTGAAACCGAGAATCAGAGAGGCTGACATGTTAGAATTCACATAGCTAGTGGCAGTCATGTCTAGCTCAGTACTTCTTATCCTCACCATACCAAACTGCCTATTCCTAGACGACGGTACATGTTTAGGGAGATGAAGTGGGCTCCCTGCTCACAGCCCTCAGGGAGACTGTCTAGAGCCACTCCTTCATTCGTTGTCCTGCCACATTGCTAAGTGGGCCCTCTGGCTATGAGTATTACCTTCTTTTTTTTACTAGCTTTAGAGTTCTAAGATATATTGCAAAGTAATAATATAAACAGTATAACTCTTTGGAAAAGGTGTGGTTTTTGAGACTGAGGTGTCAAGGAGGACATCCTATTTCCTGAGGATTAATGAACTTACATCTTTCTTTAACCTTTAAATATAATTATGTTTGTCAATTGTTAGACTTTTTTAAGGCTTGGTTTCCAGTAATTATGGTATGTAGTCTCCAGTCCAAACAACAGGCTCTGTACAGAGAAGTTTTATTCTATGTTATTTTATCTGAATCAAGATCACACTCAACCATCTCAAGAGTCCCTACTATAGAAGAGGGGTGTCCAATCTTTTGGCTTCCCAGGGCCACATTGGAAGAAGACTTGTCTTGGGCCGCACATAAGATACGCTAATACTAACGATTGCTCATGAGTTTAAAAAAAATAAAATAAAAAAAACACAAAAAAACTCATAATATTTAAAGAAAATTTATGAATTTATGTTGAGCCACATTCAAAGTCATCATGTGGCCCATGGGTTGGACAAGCTTGCTGTAAAACTAAGTTTTAAAATGTGGATTATTCAGTAATAAAAATCACTGTTATGGGTAGGTAGGGGAGAGAAATTAGCAGGAAGTGTTACTACTGGCAATGTGGTAGTTGTATCATCTTTGCATGTTTATATTTGAAGGACAGCATATTTCATTTTTATGGACTTTGTATATATTTTCACAGCATTGCTCTAAATTAAATTTAATTCATATTAAATCGATAAGTCGAGTCAAACAAAAGAAAATGAATCATTTTATTAATATGACTTTATTCATGCACTCTTCATATTATCTTTATTAATTGTAAACTTACAGTGTGGTGATAGGGATGACATGATTTTTTAAAACTATGAATAGCTTCTGCCTTCTCCAAATTTTATTTGTGTTCTCCGTTAGACCTTGTAAAACTATGTTAAACTTGATAACCAACCATTTAATCGAATGTTTTGCCATATCCTATTTTCCTTCACAGTGAAAATATTTGATTTAAACAAGATCATAAAATTATTCAGTGACTGTGGTATTGGTTAAGAGATCTGTCAAGCTAACTCTTGTGCATCGACATGTTGAATAATATTTGAAGAACTGTATTTTTTTTTTTTTTTTTTTTTTAGACAGAGTCTTGCTCTGTCACCCAGGCTGGTGCAGTGGCACGATCTCGGCTCACTGCAAGCTCTGCCTCCCGGGTTCACTCCATTCTCCTGCCTCAGCCTCCCGAGTAGCTGGGACTACAGGTGCCCGCCACCATGCCTGGCTAATTTTTTGTGTTTTTTAGTAGAGACAGGGTTTCACCATGTTAGCCAGGATGGTCTCGATATCCTGACCTCGTGATCCGCCCACCTTGGCCTCCCAAAGTGCTGGGATTACAGGTATGAGCCACTGCACTTGGCCGTATTTTTTGTTTTTTAACACGGAACCTCACTCTTGTCACCCAGGCTGGAGTGCAGTGGCGCGGTCTCAGCTCGCTGTAACCTCCGCCTCTCAGATTCCAGTGATACTCGTGCCTCAGCCTCCTGAGTAGCTGGGATTGCAGGCGCCTGCCACCATGCCTAGCTAATTTTTGTATTTTTAGTAGAGACGGGGTTTCACCGTGTTGACCAGGCTGGTCTTGAACTCCTGACCTCAAGTGATCCGCCCATCTCAGCCTCCCAAAGTGCTGGGATTACAGGCATGAGCCACTGCATCTGGTCGAAGAACTGCATTTTTTCATTCATTTTGTGTGTCTTTGAAAGTATATACTTACATTCCCTTGACCAGCTCTTAAAATTGAGAGTCATTGTTCCAGTTAAATTTTTTACTGTTTTTAAGATTTTGGTATATTGAAGTTTTAATTTTTTATAGAGAAATGTAAAACTTTTTAGACAACTGAAATGTGAAATGAATCCTGGATCATAATTTCACCAGAGATTCTGTGATATTCTTGTATAAGCCATTGTAGAAGGTAGATTACATCTAAGCTGGAAGCATGATGATTCTTGTATTTCAAAGAAAAAACATTTTGGCAAAAATTAATAATTAGAATGACTCTCAATAAACACAGCTGATGGTATAAGGGGGTTTCCATTTTAAGGAAGGTAAAATGAGCTTCAAAGACTTTCTCATCTCGTCAGAATTGGCAGAGCTTTCTGTTAGTATTACTTCATGAACTTTAAACTGTTAATTGAAAAAGAATGTTTGATTTAATTCTGGTTTCAGACTTTCAAAATTCCAGTGTTTCAGGTGGTACAATAGGTAAAAGGCATTAATTCACTATTGTAGATTAATAGGTAATCTACAAAATTAACTGATTTCTATAGGCAGATGCCCTTAAATGTCTTTTATGGTACTAAAAAGAATCAAAAATGTTTTTATTATGCAGTTTTTAACGACAAGAATTTGTTTTCCAGACAGTCACTTTGCTGAATTCAACACATGTATATTATGGTGGAAAAAGCACTAGACTCAGGGTCAGCCAGCCAGAAGAACTGAGCCGACCTGGGATCCCACCACTTCCTAACTGTTTTGTTAGGTAGTTCACTTTCTCTCTTCGGATAAATGTCTCCACATTTCCTACTTCATAGAATTGTCAGAATCAACACAATACATTTAATACTTTGAAACTCATAAAATATTGGGAGAATAAACAGTATGAGGTTATGGGAGGCTTTTTTGATTTTTTTTTTTAGTTTGAAATTATACAGTTTGTTTTATTGCCAAAAGAGTGGAAGATATTTTAAGATACAACTTAATAAAATTTGTTAAGTGATGATTATAGGAAAAGGAACATGTCAAAGAGACAAATAATGGATATAGTATTTTTAGAAGCATGCCAAAAAAGGCATTAAGATGAAGTAATTTCAAGAAGAAAGTTGTCAAGCATCTTAAACTTGAGTAATCCACTAGAACACTTAACTTTCCAAACTTTAGCTTTCTACACGAGTACCACCCTTAAGCCGTCTTTGGCATGTAATGAGATAACATTGAGATTTTAAGATGATTAAAATCAAAGTATTCTCTCATCTGTGTAATCTGGCCAAAATCTACAGGGCATGGGTTCGGTTGGGGGACAATCCTTTATTCCACAGACATTAAAATAGAACAAAAGCAACAACAGAACTCCATTTGCTAGCCTCTGTTTCTCTTAGAATTTGACCATCTCTAAGAACATAATCCCCAGAGGTATCAAAAAATCTTGAGATACTTCATATAATTCCATTTTGCAACCTGTAGTTTTTCCTCTCTTAAGAAAATGCTTTTCAACAAGGTGCTGTGTCTCATGCCTGTAATCCCAGCACTTTTGGGAGGCTGAGGTGTAAGATCACTTGAGCTCAGGAGTTTGAGACCAGCTTGGGCAACATGACGAAGCTCTGTCTACAGAAAATACAAAATAGTTAGCCAGGTGTAGTGGCATGTGCCTATAGTCCCAGCTGCTCAAGAGGCTGAAATGGCAGGATCACTTGAGCCTGGAGGTCGAGACAGAGCAAGACCCTGTCTCAAAAAGAAAAAAGAAAAAAGGCCAGGTGGGGTGGCTCATGCCTTATGATCCCCTTGGGAGGCCGAGGTGGGCCAATCAGCTGAGGTCAGGAGTTCAAGACCAGCCTGGCCAACATGATGAAACCCTGTCTCTACTAAAATTACAAAAATTAGCCAGGCATGGTGGTGGGCGCCTGTAATCCCAGCTACTCGGGAGGCTTAGACAGGTGAATCACTTGAACCTGGGAGGCGGAAGTTGCAGTGAGCTGAGACCACGCCATTGCACTCCAGCCTGGATGACAAGAGCAAAACTCCGTCTCAAAAAAAACAAAAAAAGAAAAGAAAAAACACTTTTCTAGGCCAGGCACGGTGGCTCACACCTGTAATCCCAGCACTTTGGGAGGCCGAGGCAGGCGGATCACAAGGTCAGGAGATCGAGACCATCCTGGCTAACACGGTGAAACCCCGTCTCTACTAAAAATATAAAAAATTAGCTGGGCACGGTGGCAGGTGCCTGTAGTCCCAGCTACTTGGGAGGCTGAGGCAGGAGAATGGTGTGAACCCGGGAGGCGGAGCTTGCAGTGAGCCGAGATCATGCCACTGCACTCCAGCCTGGGCGGAAGAGCGAGACTCCGTCTCAAAAAAGAAAAAAAAAAACAAAACACTTTTCTATAGTAGATAACATCAAAATGGAAGAAAAGGTGCTTTTTTTTTTTTTACCAAAAATGTTTTGTTACAATTGTTTATTGACAGAAGCACTGATACGTGGAGGAATGAACTTCAGATTAGGAATTAACACCAAATTTCTAATTCAGCCTTTATCCTTCAGAAACCACTTGTTGTATTCAGCTTCTGAACTGCTTATAGTAGGCCAGACGATATGTTTTGTGCTAGTTGTTCAGATTAAAAATTATACACCCTGCCTTCAAGAGTCAACAGTTTTTTGTTAGAAGTAGACAGTTACTCACTACAGTGTGATCAGTGTTCTCCCATTGGTAAATGCTATAACATCATAAAAATGGTAAAAATGTTGTGAATATATTAAAGCCTCAGACTTATGTGTCTGGGGTAAGTTAAGAAAGAATTTAAAGACACTGATTTCTGCCATTACACCTTCCTAAATCAATCAATGTTTCCTTGTTTTGTTTTGTTTTTGTTTTTGTTTTGTGGCAGGCTGTTAATGCTGGGCATCCTTCACTTTCCAGGGATTTCACAGCCTGTTTAGCTTACGTATTGTACAAATGAATCTTCTGTTACTTCTCCTGGTTTTCAGTCAGGTTTTCCCCCATACAAATATGCTGATTCCAAATTCACAGGTTTCATAGTCAGATAGCTTCTATATCTACTACAGCCCTCCAATAATGTTTTCAGACAGATGTTTCTAATCGTTTTCCGTCTTCTATGAATTTGTTGAAATCTCTAATCTCTTCTTTTCAAGCTCAAAAGTGACCTTTTCATTGCTAATTCCAGTGGTCAATTCTTTGTTCTTATCTTGCTTAACCTATCAGCAGCATTTGACACATTGGATCACTTCTAAATACATGGTTTCTGGGATACCACATTCTCTTGTTTTGCCTCTTATCTCATTAGGCACTCTTCATTCTCCTTTGCTAATTTTTCCTCTTTTCTTCCATGTCTTATAAGATGGTTTCACTGCAATTTGACCCTGTTTTATTCCCTATATATGCCCACTCCCTTAGTGATCCCATGACTTTAACTCATATGCCAGTGATTTTCAGATATTTATCTTCAACCCATACCTCTTTTCTGAACTCTAGATGTACACAATCCATCATGGTAGCTAGAGGCTGGTGTAACATAGGAACTAAATTTTTAATTTTATTTCATTTTAATTAATTTACTTTTTTGGGAGGTGGGGGGGATGGTGTCTTGCTCTGTCGCCCAGGCAGGAGTGCAGTGGCGCGATCTCGGATCACTGCAACCTCTGTCCCCCAGGTTCAAGTGATTCTCCTGCCTCAGCCTCCCAAGTAGCTGGTACTACAAGTACCTGCCACCATGCCCAGCTAATTTTCTTATTTTCAGTAGAGGCGGGATTTCACCATGGTGGGCAGGCTGGTGTTGAACTCCTGACCTCAGGTGATCCGCCCACCTCAGCTTCCCAAAGTGCTGGGATTATAGGTGTGAGCTACCATGCCTGTCCAATTTACATTTTAAAAACCACATCTAGCCAGCAGGTACCATATGGGCCAGTGCAAGTTTATAAAATCCACTTCATTATCTGACTCCCAGCAAATCAGATGTTACAATATAAAGAATAGATTACCATTTAAAAAACTGAATGCAAATAACACTTTTAATAATAAAACTTGCCTAATGTTGAAGATTTTGTGGTGGCATTTCATCATCATGATTTTGAAGATGTTATTAATAAGCAATTTTGATTAGCTTGAATAGGGACTCTAGAAGTGTCTTATTTTTCCTATTTAAATAAATACATGAGATTCTGGTAGCACTTAGCCGGAGGTCAGAGGCATTTGTATTTAGATCCATATTCTGTTGCTTAATGCTGTGACTTGAGCAAGTTATTATTTCATTTCAGAGACTTGTCATTTGAAAATAGAGGACAGGAAAATGTTTACTACAAGTGAAAGGTTTTAAATACCAAAATTTGTTTGTCTTACAGTGCAATAGGAATAATAGATTGTATCTTTATAACTATATTCAGAACTACTTTAATCATTGAATGTTTTTATTTTAAATTTATCTAACTTCCCACTAAATTTTAGAAAGGGAAAGCACTATGTTCTTAGAACTAAACCTAGTAAATGTCTTATGTTAAAATCTATATTTCTGTGGTACATATGTATTATTTCTAAATATAACTTTCAGGCATACTGTTGAAAACATTTCAATAAGTGGTTTTTATTATATAAAGTAGAAGACTTGAAAGGTTTCAGCTACTTTATCGGAACATAATTTATACCGTGGTGAAAGTAGTAAATGTTTTGCAACTCACTGCTTTGCCTCTAGGGTAAAGGAAACTCAGTAATCAGTTTACTCAAAAGTGAGAATTGAAGGAAGAATTACAACAATGCCATATGGCTGCAACAGGTGAGATGAGAGGGTTGGTTATAAAGTAGCTAAATTATTTTGACCAGGCATAACTTTATTTTTTTATAGTTTGACGATATGACTACATTAATATAGTTTACTATCAACCATAAAATGCATTTTATAATTTTGTAATCTCAAATCGAAATGGACAGTTCAATTTTTAAGATAATTGGGCATATAAAATGATGTTGTTATAAAATATATTTCCAAATACTTAGATTTTAAAATAGGTTTTTCTATAACTTTTTTTTTCTGATAATACACTTAATACATGCCTTTGAAGAAAATGAGTATTCCATTCTGGCTGAGCAAGATGACTCATACCTGTAATCCCAACACTTTGCTTTGGGTATGAAAAATGGGTTCACACCATCTCATATTCTCTATACCATACCAATGTAATCCCGTCAGGTGATTCACTTGAGCCTAGGAGTTCATGACCAACCTGGGCCACACAGTGGGACCCTGTCTCTTTAAAAAAAATGTTTTTTTAATTATCCAGGAGTGGTGGCACATGCCTGTGGTCCCACCTACTCAGAAGGCTGAGGCAGAGGGGAATCGATTGAACCCAGGAGGTTGAGGCTGCAGTGAACCATGATTGTACCACTACATTCCAGCCTGGGTGACAGAGCAAGACCCTGTCTCAAAAAAAAAAAAAAAAAAAAAGGGAGGGGGGAAGGAAGGAATCAATCAATCATAATTTTAAGCCATCTTTAGTTCTTCACTATTACAGTGTATATATTTATATATACAAAATGTTGGACACATTTCTGATAATGAAAAATATTTTAATTCACAAAATAAAAGGTCTTTTTCTCCAAATTAATCATATATACTTGTTTTCGCATATTTCACATCAGTGTTCATTTCAGCCATTATATTCTGTGATTCTGTGGTAAGTGATCCAATTTTTAAAAAATTATTATTATTTTATATGTATATATATATATATATATATATATATATTTTTTTTTTTTTTTTTTTTTTTTTTTTTTTTTACTAATTTTGCTTAGGATGGGCACCGCCTGGAACCAAGCAAGCAGCTCTTCATGTTTCCTCCTCTGGGGGAAAAATGAAATAGCACTTGTATCACAAAAATAACAGTTTTTTTTATTTCCTTTGTAAATCCTTATGTCTCAGAGTAACTTTTTAAAAAATTAAATCTGTGACAAGAAATTTTTAGTTTTTAAACATTTTAGTTTGTGTCTACTGAAAGCTCTGGAAATTCAGAAGGAGGCTATCTAATTAAGCTCTCATTTACCCTTAGGTCATAATCTGCTAAAACTATACTCAGAATAGCCCTAAGGTTTCCCTTAGAGAAGTGAAGTGCATACTTTTGCATTTTGTGGTTTAGTCAGTTTGGTCTGGATAGTGAACAGTCTGTGATATAATAGAATTTACTGGTAATGTTTTCTGGAAATGAATATCCATCACTTATTGAAGATGTTAACTAACAATGGAAATTAGGTTTAGGAACCAGACCTTCTGGTAATGATAGAGACTTAGAGATAATGTTGATTTGTATTTTCTAGAATTTTAAATGCACATTTTTAAGAAGCCTTTTCCTTGAATGAAAAGTGAATGAAAATGTAAAGAATCACTGTGTTGTTCTTAGTCAGCAACTTGCCTACCAGTGTGAGAGCAAAGTTACTGAGAAATACGGAAAGTGACAAATGACTATATGCGTGACTGGTCATTTTTTTTTAAACAATGTAAGAGATTTTTGTGTTATAAATGGTTAATAAGTAAAAAGTGGAACATTGTTCTTATTTCAGACAATTTACTTTTTTCCTCAACTTTCTCTAAGAAAACATTCAACTGTAATTCATAAGGAATAAAAGTTAAGAATGATTTCTAACTGGTTTCCATCCTTTTTTTGAGAAGAACCAGAAATAACACATTTTAATAGAAGTACTCTAATGAAAACTGTTATTCAGTTTAAAAAATAAAAACATTTTTAATATTTTCAAAAGTTAATTGAAGCATTTCATCAAGCATTGTTTATGGAGAGCCTACTATGTAACAGAGACTCTGCCAAGCACTGCGAGAAATGGAAGATGAAAGCCCTCAGAGGCTTTCCAGTCTATCTGGGGAGTCCAGCAGGCAAAGAAATAGTTATAATATGATGGTGGTAAATTCAACAGGGCATGCGTATAAAACACTGTGGCAGCACAGAGGGGAGAGTAAGTCCGATTACATGTATCATCCTTATAAAGTGCACTTAGTTTTATGGCCTTGTTTAGAAATTTATCTTGCCCATGCAGTATACAACAGTATCATCTATTTTGGAGTTCTCTAAATGATAGCTTAGAACTCAGAATCTGGATTTCGTTGCTGGCCTTTTGTAAGGCTCATGTGTCACAAGTCATATAATGATCTTAGTATGCTTTCTTCAAATCTGCCTCCCAAGGATCTTACGGCATTCTGAGAATAAGTGAGTTTATGCTTAGTAGGACTCCAGTTTATTTCATATTAATGTCTATGTGGGTGTGTTTGTATTTCATATTAATGTCTATATGGGTGTTTGTATGTATATGTGTTATTGTGTATACTTGCCACTTTTTTTAAAAGGAATCAAGTCTTTTACATCTCATTGCTGTTAAATTTGTCTGAGAAATATAGGGCATGAACAGGTGTTTTGTTTTGGCCAACTTAGAATCAGTGAAGCTTGTTTTTTGTGGGAGTCCACTTTTCCTTTTTTTTTCCCTTCTTCAGTAGTGACATTATGAGGCATAATGTTATCTCAGTCTTTTTAGTCTGATTTTGAAGTGAAGATTTAATGAAGAGTTGAAAGTAAAACACTTTAAAAGCTAATGTAAAAGGCAGATATAAATGCACATATAACAGGCAAATTAATGTGCTTAATGTTCACTGAACTACTGCAGGGAAAAAATAACATAATAAGCATATTTTTAAAAATAACTTCTCTTTGCTTTGGATATGAAAATCTTTTTCTAAATCATCATGCTTATGTTCAAAGTTTAAATTTAAAAGTTTTCCCTAGAACTTAAAATGTCTCTTTTATGGAAAGACCTGGAAAAAATGGGTTCACACCATCTCACATTCTCAATACCATACCAATGTAATGGACCAAAAAATGTTTTCCACCATTAAATCCCTTCTTGTTTTAACTTTGTACTTTTTTTTTGGGGGGGGGGGGGTTATTTTACTTAAAAAGATGTTTAATTTGTACACATGCAGGTACTGGGAATGCAAGAGCATTTATACATTCAGTAAGTACCCAGTGCATACTTACAGTGTCCCAGGCACTTTTATACATGCTCTGAACGTATCAGTGAACAAAACTGGTAAAACTCCACATCTTTGTGTAGCTTACCTTCTAGTGGAGAATGACATTAAGCAAATGTAGTCTGGTTATCCCTCAGTATCTGGGTAGTTGGTTTTACGACCCTTTGTAGATAGCAAGGTCCTTGGATGCTCAAGTCCCCAATATAAAATGGACAGTATTTGGATATTGCCTGTGTACATCCTCCTATATACTTTAAATAATCTCTAGATTACTTATAATACCTAATACAATGTAAATGCTGTATAAATAGTTGTCCCGTATTGTATAGGGAATAATGACAAGAAAAAAGTCTATGTGTTCATTACAGATGCATTTCTTTTCTGAATAGTTTCAATCCATGGTTGGTTGAATGCGTGGATGCAGAACCCATGGATGCAGAGGGCTGTTAAATAAAAACATTATAACGACAAAGCAGGGAAGGGAGTTGCACCTGAGGAGTAGGGTTGGGTTGCTGTTTAAATGGAGTGGTCAAGGAAAGCTTCACAAAGTAGCTGAGAATTAAGCAAAATTCAGATGACGACAAAGAAGAAGAAAGAGAGGGAGGGAGGGAGGAAGGAAGGAAGGAAGGAGGGAGGAAGAGGGGAAGGGGAGGGAGGGAGAGGGTGAAGGGGAGGGAGGGAGGGAGAAGGGGAAGGAGGGAGGGAGTTGGGGGAGGGAGGGAGGAAGGAAGGAAGGAAAGGGAAGGGAGCTTGGAAAAAAGGAAGCTAGGAAGGAAGGAAGCTAGGAAGCTGTAAGTTGTTTGGGAGAATAGCATCCCCATCCAAGATCCTGAAACAGGAATGTACTTGGTATGCATTTTGAACAGCAAAGAGGTCAGTATAGCTAGATTGGAGGGAACAAGGAGGAGAGTAGAAAACAGTAAGTTCAGAGAGGTAGCAGCAGGCCCAGATTGTACAGAACCTTGTAGGAATGAAGTGCAGAACTCAGCCCCATCCCTAGCACTGCTAGTATTCACTGGAAACCTATTTTTAAATAGGTAGGTAGATGGGATTGCATAGTTTGATATTTGCTGTAAAAGGAATGAACAAAGTGTACTAGAGAATGCAGATGATATAGTAACAAATTCTGTGTTAAAGAAGACAATAAGGCCTCATAGAGAAGACAGTATGTGAACTAATTGTAAGATGAGAAGAATCATAAAAGGTGTTAGGGCATTACAGCTAGGAAGGCCAGTTAAAAGGTGATTTAATAATTGAGGTAGGAGAAGGGGGTTGAAGTAAGAGAGTGGAGATGTTAAATCATTAACGTGGAGGTCTAGAATGTGAGTGAAGATAGAGAAGTAGAATTTGAGGGTGCCAGAGGCTTCTAATTTAGGTGAATGAGTGGATAGCAATCCATAAATGAAAATAGGAGATACAGGAATATTGAGAGGAAGATAATGAATTGTATTTTAGATATATTAAGTTTGAAATGCCTACAAGATATTATGGCATTTCTGAAACACGATATCTAATAGCTTGCTCAATCATTTGAACCTCATTTATTAAATATCCTACTATGAGTCAAGCCCTGTGCTAGGAACTATACAGTGTATTTTGGAATATAGGCTTAGAGTGTAAGTATAGATGAAGGAGTCATTGGTATATGTGTGGTATTTGAGCCCATGGGAGTTAATGAGATAAGCTGGAAGAGGCTATTTAGTGAAAAGAAACTAAGAACTATTAGGGGTGACTATGAGGTGGATAACTTGGATGTTTCTTACCCAGAAAGACAGTAAGGAAAAAAAGGAGGAAACAAGAAAATACAAGAAGCTTCTTTTGTTGTTGTATTTTTTTAACTCTGCATTGTAATAACAAATCAGTAAAAAGGAAATACTGAAATTATAAATTTACCTTTCTTATCCTTGTTATATTTATACTTTTGATTTTCAGTCCATAATATATTGTTAAATCTATGTTAATCTATTGTTAATCTACTTTCAATCTATAACATTATTGTTAAAATAATGTTAAAGACAGATATTAAATTATATTTTAAGGATTGAACACACAGAATTGAAGTTTGTTGGCTTTGCCAGTGTAATAAATATGTGGCAGGCTTTATTAGGAACACATCCTGCTAGCCTCAGATAGAATATATAGAGCATGTCACAAACGATACGATTTGAACAGACTTCAATCCATATTAGAGTTTACTGAGGAAATTTATCAAATACTAAAAATTGTAGGCAACTCTTTATGGTTTTAGGTAGAAATTAGTATAGTTGGTATTTGATTATTGGTTAGCACAATTAAATTATTTGGGCATTAGTTTAGAAGTCTATTAAATCTGCTAACTTTATGTATTCATTTTATCAGTGAATTTTATTTTTGACTAATATTTGGGAATAAATAATACAGATTATTAAAGACTGGCATAGCCCAAGAAGGTCTTCCCAGAGATGTGAGTTGCAAATAACTAGTCCAAGATCACATATCTAACAATTGTCAGAGCCAGTCTTCTAATACATGCAGAATGGCCCCAGAGTCAGGGCATATTATACTAATAAATTATCCCTTGAAGTATGTTTTTTTCTAATTGTAAAGGAACAAATACTAATCATGGAGAATTATAAATAACTGATATCTCTGGTTGGGACAGTAATTTTCCCAGAAAACATTATTTTTCAATAAACATAGTAAATTTATTGAATAGAGCAGTCAACATGTAGAATATAAATATATAATATTTATTCATTCATGCATTAATTTTTTAGCTTTCTCTTATGTTTAGGAAGGTGATCTGATAAATCCAGAGTTGAGAAGGAGTGCTCTATTTGTTTTCTAATTGCTTTTAATAATGCTGAGACATTTTTAAAATAAGAACTCAGGCTGGGCTCAGTGGTTCATGCGCCTGGTACTTTGGGAGGTTGGGGCAGGAAGATTGCTTGAGGCCAGGAATTCAAGACAAGCCTGGGCAACATAGTGAGACCCCGTTACTACAAAAAAATTTAAAAAGTAGCTGAGTGTGGTGGTACATGCCTGTAGTCCCACTACTCGGGTGGCTGAGGTGGAAGCATCACTTGAGCCCAGGAGATCAAGGCTGCAGTGAGCCATGATTATGCCGCTGCACTCCATCCTGGGCAACCAAGCAAGACCCTGTATCATAAATAAATAAATAAATAAATAAATAAATAAATAACTCAAAGCCAGATTACTCTGCTTATGTGGAATATTTTACAGTGTTCAAAACTGTTAAAGATTCGGTGGCCTACTGTAAGATAATCGTCTATTCAGGCAAAACTGTTGAAGATTCAGTTTGCCTACTGTAAGATAATTAAATGTCTATTCAGGGCCTATTATTCCCCAACTTTATTTTGAAATTTTTTTTAACCATAAAAAATTGGAAAAATGTAAAATAAAACCCCTAAATTTGCATTTTCTTCTTCCTTCCCAAAACTTCATCATACATTTGCTAAAGTAAGGATATTTTACTGTCTAACCACAGTACCATTATCATACCTAAGAAAAATAACCAAGATTCTAATCTAATAAACAGTTCGTATTCAGATTTCCGTAATTGTGTCAAATAAGTCTCAAGCAGTTTTTTGTTTGCTTGCTTATTTTATTCAGCATCCAGTCCAGATTCATACTTAAATTGCTTGTCGTGTCATTAATATCAGTTAATCTAGAATCTTTCTTTGGTTGTTATGACATTGACTTTTGAGTCAAACTGGACCAACTTTTTTTTTTTTTTTTTTTTTTTTTTTTTTTTTTTTTTTTGAGATGGAGTCTCGCTCTGTCACCGAGGCTGGATTGCAATGATGCGATCTCAGCTCACTGCAACCTTTGCCTCCCGGGTTCAGGTGATTCTCCTGCCTCAGCCTCCCGAGTAGCTGGGATTACAGGCATGCGTCACCAAGCCCAGCTAATTTTTGTATTTTTAGTAGAGATGGGGTTTCACCATGTTGGTCAGGCTGGTCTCGAACTCCTGACCTCGTGATCTGCCCACCTTGGCCTCCCAAAGTGCTGGGATTATAGGCGTGAGCCACTGCGCCCGGCCTTCGACCCACTGTCTTATAAAATGTCCAACATTTTGAATGTATTTCATCCTGATTATATTCAGGCTAAACTTTTTTGGCAAAAATACTATAAAAAAAATCTACAAAGTACATGTAAATGGTTTGCATCATATCGGGTGCATATCATGTCAGCTTGTCCCACTTTTGGTGTTGTCAAGTTTAGTCCTTAATTAAGGTGGTGAACACCAGATCTCTTCATTGTAAAAATTAATTTTCTTTTCTTTGTAATTGTTGAATAATCTGTGGAATGATACTTTAAGGCCATGTGAATATCTTGTTCCCAACCTTCCTTTGTTCTTTGTGTGTGTTCCTTACTTAGTGGGCTTAGTAACCCTACTTAGTGATTTCAGTGTCCATTGATGATCCTAGCCTGAAATAATTATTGTAGTGGGCTGAGGATACAAAATGGTGTTTTCTAGTGCTGTTATCACCTTATTCTTCAGTAGAGTGTTTTCTTTGCCCCCACCACTGCGCCCCGCCCCGCCCCCCATTCCTGTCTTTCTTTCTATATGAGTACTATGGGTTTTTTTCATTCAATTTGTTGTACTACTTTTCTAACATTTTTTGAGTGTGGCTCAAATTGTCCCCAATTTGGCAAAGGAGAGCCCATTCATTCCTGCTCTTATGTCCTTTGATATGAACCAGTTAGCCTTTGAGCACTTCTGTGCTTATAATGTCCTAAGTTCATCTGGTACTATCCCTACCCCAGAGCTGGAATCAGTCATTTCTCCAAAGAACTCTGATACTATTAGTAGGTAATGCAATTTAGAAACTAAAATCTGGGACTAAGTACACTCATTGCTATTGGGGAATCATTCCTTCTAGATCCTTTCAGTGAACATAACTTGAAAATATATTTTTACAAAATCAAGTTTATATTGATATTCCCAGTTGTCTTTATTGTATATTTGTATGCTTTCGTTTGACATAATAGGGAGCCTTGTCATTTATCAATAATAAAGGCTACAAATATTTTTCCCATTTTGTCATTTGGCTTTTGACTTTGCAGTACAAATGTTGCAAAGTATGGATTCAATTTATTTTTCAAAATGTCCATCCACTTGTCCCCAACATATTGTCCCAACACCATGTATATGAAAACATCTCTTCTTCTTCATAAACCGTATGTACTTGAATCTTTTTCTAAACATTTTAATCTATTCTGTTCATCTACATGGCTACTCGTGTTAATATTGCATTATTTTAGTTACAGAGGCTTTTTATGATATATACTAATATTGAGTAGTGTTTATTTCCAGTGGTTGCTCGTTTTTTTCCCCTCGGGATTTTTTTAAGGTATTCTTACATGTTCTTCTATATGATTTTCAGAATCAACTTGTCTAGTGCTGGAAAAAAAAACTTTTTAAAAATTAAAATCATATTAAATTTATATATTGTCTTGGGGAGAGCTCACATTTATATGATGCTACATTGTCTTGTCACACAACATGGGATGTTCCAACTAGATACTCCTCGACTTACAATAGAGTTATAGCCCAGTAAACCCATAATATGTCAGAAAAGCATCCAAACCTACCAAACATCATACTTTAGCCTAGCCTGCCTTAAACATGCTCAGAACACTTACATTAGCATACAGTTGGGCCACATCATCTAAGACAAAGCCTATTTTATAATTAAGTGTTGAATATCTCATGTAGTTTATTGAATATTCCACTGAAAGTGAAAAACTGAGTAGTTGTATGGGTACTCAAAGTATGCTTTCCACTGAAAGCATGTTACTTTCAAAGTATGGTAAAGTTGAAAAATTGTTAAGTCAGACCTTCATAAGTCAAGGGCCACCTGGACTTTTGTGTTTTTCAGAAGTATTTTAAGGTGTTCTTCATACTGTTTTACACATTTTTTGTTGTATTTATTCATATTATTATTTATATTGCCCTTATAAGTGAAATATTCTCTTTCATTGTATCTTCTAATTTGTTTGAATATGTAAGAGAAATTGACGTTTGTATATTAAATTTTATATGATGCTGACTTTCCAGTTTATTAGTTCTGGTACTGATTGTGTTAATTTTAGCATTGATTCTTTTGGACTTACTAGATATAAAATTATATTATCTGCAAAACATAGTTTACCTTCTTTTCCAGTTCTTAAGAAAGGCTTGCAGTCTCAGTACAGATAACTTCTTCACATTAAACTAGCAGAAAAGGGCCGAGCGCGGTGGCTCACGCCTGTAATCCCAGCACTTTGGGAGGCTGAGGCGGGTGGATCACGAGGTCAGGAGATCGAGACCAGCCTGGCTAACACACTGAGACCCCGTCTCTACTAAAAATACAAAAAATTAGCCAGGCGTGATGGCGGGCACCTGTAGTCCCAGCTACTCGGGAGGCTGAGGCAGGAGAATGGCGTGAACCTGGAGGTGGAGCTTGCAGTAAGCCGAGATTGCGCCACTGCACTCCAGCCTAGGCAACAGAGCAAGACTCCATCTCAAAAAAAAAAAAAAAAAAAAAAATATATATATATATATATATATATATATGTATATATAAACTAGCAGAAAAGATCTCTGCCTTCAGTAACTGTATTCTACTGGAATGTAATAAATCTCATGTTTTCATAGGCACAGATAATCAAACCATAATTCTATCTCTGTTCTATATAGAAAGATCCCCGGGGATTGCCAAAACTGACATAGGATGCATAGGTATCATATTGCCCGAAACAAGTAACTCTTAAGATGTCATGAAAGGGAGGTTAGAGCTTCTCCTGTTCCCAGAACAGTGCCTTGTGCTTAGCAAGTAGCTTGTAACCACTTGGTAATGATACATAAGATTGCTGGACATATGTTCTGTCTTCAAAACTTGGCACATGTTCCTGTCTGTTTTTGTTTTGCAGCCTATCTGTTTGTCTTTGTTCTTCTTTCTTTGATCGTAGTCCTGAGTTAAAGGTTGGTAGGGTTTAGGAAAACTAAAAAATGTATGCTTTCAGCTGTTCAGATTAGGTACAATGGAATAAAATGTCATGATCTGATTTTCTACAAAATAAATACTAAAAGTGTCTCCCAAGAAACATAAAATTTCTTTTATTATCTTCTCTAGACTGTATTAGTATCTGGGAAATTAGGGAAATGTTTAAGTATAGTCACGCATTGCTTAACAGTGGCGATACATTTTAAGAAATGCATAGTTAGGTGATTTTTTTCATTATGCAAATATCATAGAGTGTACTTACACAAACCTAGATAGTATAGCCTACTACACCTAAGCTATATGGTATGGCCAACTGTTCCTACACTACAAACCTGTACAGCATGTGACCATACCTAATGCCATAGGCAGTTGTAATACAATGGTAAAAATTGTGTATCTAAACATAGAAAAGGTACAGCAAAATGCAGTATTATAATCTTATGAGACCCTCATTGTATATGCGATCTGTCATTGACTAAAACATCATTACTCAGCACATGACTGTAAAACATTTCAGTTTTGCACTAAGTTTAGGAACATTACCAAAGGGTAAATTAACGTTTTTTAAAACAGTCCTAGTACGTTAACTCAGGCATTCTGATGACTAATACACCTAACACTGCATTGTAGCATATGAATCTGGTGAATGTGGCATAGGAGAATAGATTCATTCAGTTAATATTTGAGTCAATTCTTGAAGACCTTCTGTATTTTAAGCATTTGGGTTAGGCACTGTGGATATGAAGATGAAAAAAATCAGGTCCCAACCACAGGGGCTAAACAAACACATAAATGGGTCTGAAGGGTTTGTGGCTTAGAGGTGTGGGTGTCAGTCCAGGTACTGCTGCTTTTAGTTATATGACCTTAGGAATGTTACCTACCTTCTAATTTACTTTCTGAAAGCCACTGTTTCCTTCCTTTAAAATAGGGTTATCTTGTTGTTTAGTAATTAACTTAAACTTTTGTGTGTATTTGACAAAGTCTCACCCTGTCACCTGGGCTGGAGTGCAGTGGTGCAACCATAGCTCACTGAAGCCTTGACCTCCCAGGCTCAACTCAAGCCATCCTCCCAAGTAGCTGGACTACACATGCACACCCACATCCAGCTAATTTTTTTTTTCTTTTTTTTTTTTCTTTTTTTTTCCGGTAGAGACAGGGTCTCGCTATGTTGCCAGGGCTAGTCTCAGACTCCCGGGCTTAAACAATTCTGCCTCAGCCTCCCCAAGTGCTGGAATTACAGACATGAGCCACTGCACCTGGCAAGAAATCTTAATAGTTGTTTTTTGTTTGTTTTGGTTTAATTTAAAAGACTCTCTAATTCTTCTATTGTCATCAGTATCACTACCAGTTCTAGTTTATTTCTTCTTCTTCAGGCTACTGAGGCTCTTGAAGAAAATTATTTTCTTTGCCTCTTCATGGTCTATTGCCCCAGCTATACTGATGGAAGTCTGAGTTGTAGCAAAATCAAACCTGCCCAACTGATACCCCTCTGCTGGGGCACAGGAGTAAGGCTCTCTTCTCAAGTCTCATCAGTTGCAAGTTACAGCCATCTCCCAATGACTGGGACTGAATGCCAGTTCTTCCAGAAACCATTTCTTCCAGGTGTATAGACCCTTTTTAGGGTTATTATGATTCATAGGATCTGCTAGGCCCTTATTGTACTACAAACATTAAACTTACAGATATTGCCCATTTCCAAGGGGATTTATAGCTTCTGCTGGCTGAAAGCCCTCAATGAACTCTGAAAACTTAATTTTCTACTCACACCTTTGGAAAAAGCCTGCTTACCCTGCACAGATCCTTGCTCAACACCGAGTAGAACAAAGTCCTCCCACCCCAACCCTTTGCCTTGACATATTGGCACTGAGATCCCAGGAAAACTTCATTCTGATATATACTCCAGGGTTTGCTAGCCTTCTTGTCTTAGTCTTTGTAGATCTTTCGAAAGAAACTAAACTATATGACTTCAAATGTTAAAATCTCTAGAGTAGAAAGGATGTTCACATAGAAGATTAGTTGAAAAGATTATCATGAAGATAAAAGTTGTGAAGGTAAAGATGAGCTATAAAATTAAATAATAGAATAAAATTTCCCTGAGCAGAAGAATGATAAGACTCTGCAGGTCAAAGGGTTTATCAAGTCCCGGGAAAAGATTAATGATAACAAAGGCACTCAGCCGTACTCTAGTGAAATTCCTGATTTCCTAGGTAAAGGAAAAATATCACAAGCTTCTATAGAGGAGGAACAGGTTCTTTACATAGGAAAGAAAATCACATGAGCACCTGACATATCTAAAACACTAGAAGCTGGCTGATAGTGGAATAACATATAGGCAACCAAGATAAAGGGTTTCTTATCCAAAGGAAGGCATATTTGGATATACAAGGATTTAGAGAGTACTGTAACCAAATGACAATTCAATGAAACAGAAATCTCAAGACAGAGGAAAACATTAGATTTTTCTGTTAGGCATAGAGGAAAAAATTAGGTGTTTTCTTACACTATATCATTTTGTTTCATAAATTCACACTTAGCACTTCTACAAATTCCCATGCATTTTTATCTCTTTAAACTTAACTATATAAAAAGAATAGAGAAATAAAAGCCTTCTAAAAGTTTAATCTTGATGTGGAGCAAGGAGATATTGGTATGTATAGTATCTTGGTTGGAGAGAGGTTTAGACATAAATTTATTTGGATAAATAATAAATGTATTTATTACTGTTAGAATCCAGAAGGGAACTAATAGCAGATTTTAAGTGTTGGTAAAATTGAAAACAAGAATTCAAGATCAACAGGCAAGAAAAAAAAGGAGTATCCACTGAAATAGACCGAAAACAAGAAAATTTTAAAAAGCAACCATATAAATAATTGGAAGTAGAGTTTTGCTTCTAATTAATATGTACATTGTAATGATCATCACTCTTACCATATTATTGAGAAGACCTCACATAAACTAAAAAGCCATCAAAGAGATGTGGTCACAGAGAATTCTAAACAAAATAAATTGCAAAGAGAAATGAACCCTACTGCATAAAGAAGTAAAGACAAACAGTCACTTAAATACATGGGAACATTTATTGAGATAGAAACCAGGCAAACAGAGGAGCAAGCCTTCTATAATCAGAGCTACTGCTGAGGCAAGGAGAGATTAGCTGAACTTCTAAGGACTATGTGGACTGGCATGATAGATTGGAATCTGAAAGATCCCAAATGTCACTCAGTCCTCTCCGCCTATCAGTTCTCCCCAAGAGGACTTTTGAAGCTTAAGCACTGACAGGAAACTGGGAGTAAGGCAGAGAGAGTTCCCATAATCTCTAGAAGTTTAAATCCCAAAGTCCCCCTAGAAGGAATAACTCATCTCATTTTGGGGAGAGTTATAATAGGTGTATTGAAATTAACTAAGCAACAGCCCAGTCCCAACCCAAGTCAGCTCCTGATTTGAAAAGAGATCTACCCCTCACCCTAGCTTTCTGAAAAAGGAAATGGTGAGCCTTTTCTGAGGGAAGACGTTTGCTATTTCAGTCTACTGATTACATGTCTGGCAGTTCTAACCTATAATCAAATTCTGAGGCATGTGAATTAGCAGAAATAGATGACCCATAACAAAGAAAAAGAACAATGAATAAAAGGAATCCTACAGATAATCAAAATGTTGGCATTAGCAGGCAAGAATTTTAAAATATCTGTTACACATATGTTAAATAACTTATGAGGAACCATGAGCAAAAGGAGTGCAAAGATGGAGAATTTCATGGAAGTCAGGATTTCCATTTCTCTTAAATGGAAATCCTAAAAAATAAATGAATTATAGTCTAGACCTGAAGATTATAACAGATAAAATGAAAATTCATTAGATGGACCTAACAACAGATAACAGCAGATAACAACAGATAGGACACCTTAAAAGAAAGGACCACTGAACTGGAGGGCAAAACAATAAAAATTATACAGATTATTCAAATTGAAACAAAGATGAAGAGGAGGCATGGGAAGAAGAAAGAGTCATATCTGTGTGTCCCTGTGAAATGGATTAAACATGCAACTGGAATTGCAGAAGGAAAACAGAAAATATGGGTGAAGAAATATTTGAAGAAATAATGGGCTAGTAGTTTTCCTCTAATTAAAGACAACCTATAGACATAAAAAGCTTAGCAAGGAGAAGCAGTCATCAGCATTTAAAGCTTGTTTCCATAACTGTGTTGATGCTGTCTCAAAATGGCAGATAGGAGGCAGGACTAACTTGCAGCTCCCACTTGGACGGACAGAGCAGTGCACAGAGAATCACACTGTGAACTTTTGCTCCAAGAACTACTACCAGAAAAGCCAAGAGAATCCACAGACCTGTTAGAGGGGGCAGCTTGCTGCTACATGCTCTGTGAGACAGCTGAAAAACTTAGTGCCCAAAGAGTGAGAGAGGGAATGTCCACCCCTGAACACACATCCTCACTGGGGAACCTGAAGGTCCAGATCACCAGAAAAGGATTTGACCTTACCTGGAGCTGAGACAAATTTAGAGAGCCGAGTGAAATATAGGGGTAGAGGAAGCAGTGGGAAGAGCCCTGTGGGCACTCTTGGTCCTCAGGGAAGCCATTCCTGCATTCCTGACTGTCTTGCAGGAGTCCTTGGGGAGGGCTGCCAGTGGAATTGAAGAAAGACAACAAGGAGAAGGAAACTTCTAGCTGAAGTCTGTAACAATTTCAACTGAAGGCAAAGTTTCCTGGACAGAATCCAAAGGAGGGAGCAAATGAGGAGTGCAGATATGAGCACAGAATCCACAGCAGGTGGGAAGGTGCAAAACCTAAAAGCCCTGCTTGCTTTCTCAGAAGGGAGGCTTGTAGCCTGGGGCAAGTTCTCAACCCTGCTCACTGGCTGCCTGGAAATAAACTCTTTGCTACTGAGGGGTAGAGTGGGAACGAGAGTGGCATTTTGGGATGCATGGGAACTGGGTGAGGCCTGTAACTACTGCCTTTCCTTCACTTCCCTGGTGACCTATATGACACAGCAGTGGCAGCCATAATCCTCCTGGGAAAGTAACTCCATCAGCCTGAGAACCACATTCCCATCCCACACAGCAGTTGCAGCAAGCCCCGCCCAAAGAGAGTCTGAGTTCAGACATACCTAATCCTGCGGGTGCCCCCCACCACCACCATGGTCTTTCTCTACCTGTCCTGGTACCTTAAGACAAAGGATATAATCTCTTGGGAGCTCTGTGGCCCTGCCCACCACCTAAGAAACCTGAATACTTATCCAGGTGACCCTAGGGCAAGCTTGTACCCTCCCTATTCTACCACAGCTTATGTTCTCTTGAAAGCACCACCTTCTGGCTGGAAACCAACCAACACAAAACCAGCACACTAAACAAAACTACAACCAAGGACCATCACAGAATCCACTTCACTCCCCTGCTACCTCCACCAGCGCAGGGGCTGGTATCCATGGCTGAGAGACCTGAAGACGGATCACATCACCAGACTCTGCAGAAACTCCCCAGTACCAACACGGAGCCTGGTGGCTCTGCTGGGTGGCTGGGCCCAGAAGAAAAACAACGATCACAGCTCTCAGGAAGCCCCATCCTTAGGGGAATGGGGAGAGCACCACATCAGGGGCATCCCGTGGGACAGAAGAATCTGAACAATAGTCCTTGAGCCACAGATCTTCCCCTCTGACATAATCTACCCAAATGAGAAGGAGCCAGAAAAACAATTCTGGTAATATGACAAAACAAGGTTCTTTAACACCCCCAAAAGATCACACTAGCTCACCAGCAATGGATCCAAACCAAGAAGAAATCTCTGAATTGCCAGAAAAAGAATTCTGAAGGTCAATTATTTAGCTACTCAAGGAGGCACCAGAGAAAGGTGAATACCAACTTAAAGAAATTTTTTAAATGATACAGGATATGGATGGAAAAATCTCCAGAGAAGCAGCATGAAAAAAAACAATCACAACTTCTGGAAATGAAGGACACATTTAGGGAAATGCAAAATACACTGGAAAGTCTTACCAATAGACTCAAACAAGTAAAAGAAAGAACATAAGAGCTGAAAGACAAGGCTTTCTAATTGACCCAAGCCGACAAAGACAAAGAAAAAATTTTTTTAATGAACAAAGCCTCTCAGAAGTTTGGTATTATGTTAAATGACCAAATCTAAGAATAATTGGTGTTCCTGGAAGAAGAGAAATCCAAAAGTTTGGAAAACATACTTGAGGGAATAATCTAGGGAAACGTCCCTGGTCTTGCTAGAGATACAGACATCCAAATATAAGAAGCTCAAAGAACACCTGGGAAATTCATCACAAAAAGATCATCACCTAGTCACATCATCAGGTTATCTAAAGTCAAGATGAAGGAAAGAATCTTAAGAGCTGTGAGGCAAAAGCATCAGGTAACCTATAAAGGAAAATCTGTCAGATTAACAGCAGATTTCTTAGCAGAAATCCTAGAAGCTAGAAGGGATTGGGGTCCTATCTTTAGCCGCCTTAAACAAAACAATCATCAGCCAAGAATTTTGTATCCAGAGGAACTAAGCTTCATAAATGAAGGAACTCCAAAAGGAACCCTCAAAACCATGTAAATACATGGAAGTTAAATAAACTGATCCCAAATGATCATTGGGTCAACAATGAAATCAAGATGGAAATTTAAAAATTCTTTGAACTGGATGATAATAGTGATGCAACTTGTCAAAACTGCTGGGATACAGCAAAAGCAGTGCTAAGAGGAAAGTTCATAGCCGTAAATGCCTACAATCATCTGAAAGAGCACAGGCAGACAAACTAAGGTCACACCTCAAGGAACTAGAGAAACAAGAACAAACCAAACCCAAACCCAGCAGAAGAGAAAAAATAACAAAGATCAGAGCAGACCTAAATGAAACAACAAAAAAATACAAAAGATGAATGAAATGAAAAGCTGGTTCTTTGAAAAGATTAACAAAATCGATAGACCATTAGTGAGATTAACCAAGAAAAGAAGAGAGAAGATCCAAATAAGCTCAATTAGAAATGAAATGGGGGATATTACAACCAAACCACAGAAATACAAAAGATTGTTCAAGACTACTGTGAAAGCCTTTATGCATACAAATCAGAAAACCTAGAGGAGATAGATAAATTGCTGGAAATATACTATCCTTCTGGATAAAACAGCATAAAAATAGAAACTCTGAACAGACCAATAACAAGCACAAAGATTGAAATGGTAATAAAAAATTTGCCATCAAAAATAAGTCCAGGACTAGATGGATTCACAGCTGAATTCTATCAGACATTCAAAGAAGAATTGTTACCAATCCTCCTGACACTATTCCAAAAGATAGAGAACAAGGGAATCTTTCCTAAATCATTCTATGAATCCCGTATCACCGTAATACCAAAGCCAGGAAAGGACGTAACAAAAAAAAAAGAAAACTGCAGACCAATATCCCTGATTAACATAAATGCAAAAATCCTCAACAAAATACTAGCTAACCAAATCCAGTAGCATATCAAAAAGATAATGTACCATGATCAAGCAGGGATGGTTTAACATATGCAAGTCAATAAGTGTGATACACAACTTAAACAGAATTAAAAATAAAAGTCATGTGGTCATCTCAAGAGAAAAAGCATTTGACAAAATCCAGCGTCCTTTATGATTAAAACCCTCAGCAAAATTGATGTAGAAGGGACATACCTTAAGGTAATAAGAGCCATCTGTGACAAACCCACAGCCAACATTATACTGAACAGGGAAAAGTTGAAAGAACTCCCCCTGAGAACTGGAACAAGACAAGGATGCCCACTTTCACCACTTCTGTTCAACATAATACTGGAAGTCCTAGCCATAGCAATCACACAAGGGAAAGAAATAAAGGACATTCAAATCAGTAAAGAAGTCAAACTGTCACTGTTTGCCAATGATATGATTGTATACCTAGAAAACGCTAAAGACTCATCCAAAAAGCTCCTAGATCTGATAAATTAATTCAGTAGAGTTTCTGGATGCAAAATCAATGTACACAAATCAGTAGCACTGCTAAATAGCAACAGTGACCAAGCTGAGAATCAAACCAAGAACTGAACCCCCTTTACAGTAGCTGCAAAACATAAAATAAAATACTTAGGAATGTACCTAACCAAGGAGGTGAAAGATCTCTACAAGGAAAAGTAAAAAACAGTGCTGAAAGAAATCACAGATGACACCAAAAAAAGATGGAAACACATCCCATGCTCATGGATGGGTAAAACCAATATTGTGAAAATGACCGTACTGCCAAAAGCAATAAAAAATTCAATGCAATTTCCATCAAAATACCACCATCATTTTTCGCAGAACTAGAAAACAATCCTAAAATTAATATGGAACCAAAGAAAGAGCCCATGTAGCGAAAGCAAGACTAAGCAAAAAGAACAAATATGGAGGCATCACATTACCCAACTTCAAACTATATTATAAAGCTATAGTCATCGAAAGAGCATAGTACTGATCTTAGACCAATGAAACAGAATAGAGAACCCAGAAATAAACCCACATACTTAACAGCCAACTGATCTTCGACAAAGCAAACAAAACATAGAGTGAGGAAAGGACACCCTGTTCAACAAATGGTGCTGGGATAATTGGCAAGCCACATGTAGAAGAATGAAACTGGATCCTCATCTCTCACTTTATACAAAAATCAACTCAAGATGGATGAAAGACGCTCCCGCTCCCACTCCCTCTCCCTCTCCCTCTCCCTCTCCCTCTTCCTCTTCCTCTCCCCACGGTCTCCCTCTCCCTCTCTTTCCACGGTCTCCCTCTGATGCCAAGCCGAAGCTGGACGGTACTGCTGCCATCTCGGCCTACTGCAACCTCCCTGCCTGATTCTCCTGCCTCAGCTTGCCGAGTGCCTGCGATTGCAGGCGTGCGCCGCCACGCCTGACTGGTTTTCGTATTTTTTTGGTGGAGACGGGGATTCGCTGTGTTGGCCGGGCTGGTCTCCAGCTCCTAACCGCGAGTGATCCGCCAGCCTCGGCCTCCCGAGGTGCCGGGATTGCAGACGGAGTCTCGTTCACTCAGTGCTCAATGGTGCCCAGGCTGGAGTGCAGTGGCGTGATCTCGGCTCGCTACAACCTCCACCTCCCAGCCGCCTGCCTTGGCCTCCCAAAGTGCTGAGATTGCAGCCTCTGCCCGGCCGCCACCCCGTCTGGGAAGTGAGGAGCGTCTCCGCCTGGCCGCCCATCGTCTGGGATGTGAGGAGCCCCTCTGCCTGGCTGCCCAGTCTGGAAAGTGAGGAGCGTCTCTGCCCGGCTGCCATCCCATCTAGGAAGTGAGGAGCGCCTCTTCCCGGCCGCCATCACATCTGGGAAGTGAGGAGCGTCTCTGCCCGGCCGCCCATCGTCTGAGATGTGGGGAGCACCTCTGCCCTGCCGCCCCGTCCAGGATGTGAGGAGCGTCTCTGCCCGGACGCCCCGTCTGAGAAGTGAGGAGACCCTCTGCCTGGCAACCGCCCTGTCTGAGAAGTGAGGAGCCCCTCCGCCCAGCAGCCACCCTGTCTGGGAAGTGAGGAGCATCTCCGCCCGGCAGCCACCTCGTCCGGGAGGGAGGTGGGGGGGTCAGCCCCCCGCCCGGCCAGCCGCCCTGTCCGGGAGGTGAGGGGCGCCTCTGCCCGGCCGCCCCTACTGGGAAGTGAGGAGCCCCTCTGCCCGGCCAGCCGCCCCGTCCGGGAGGGAGGTGGGGGGGTCAGCCCCCCGCCCGGCCAGCCGCCCCATCCGGGAGGGAGGTGGGGGGGGTCAGCCCCCCGTCCGGCCAGCCGCCCCGTCCGGGGGGTGAGGGGCGCCTCTGCCCGGCCGCGCCTACTGGGAAGTGAGGAGCCCCTCTGCCCGGCCACCACCCCGTCCCGGAGGGAGGTGGGGGGGTCAACCCCCGCCCGGCCAGCTGCCCCGTCCGGGAAGTGAGGGGCGCCTCTGCCCGGCCAGCCGCCCCGTCCGGGAGGGAGGTGGGGGGGTCAGCCCCCCGCCCGGCCAGCCGCCCCGTCCGGGAGGTGAGGGGCGCCTCTGCCCGGCCGCCCCTACTGGGAAGTGAGGAGCCCCTCTGCCCGGCCACCACCCCGTCTGGGAGGTGTACCCAACAGCTCATTGAGAACAGGCCATGATGACAATGGCGGTTTTGTAGAATAGAAAGGGGGGAAAGGTGGGGAAAAGATTGAGAAATCGGATGGTTGCCGTGTCTGTGTAGAAAGAGGTAGACATTGGAGACTTTTCATTTTGTTCTGTACTAAGAAAAATTCTTCTGCCTTGGGATCCTGTTGATCGGTGACCTTACCCCCAACCCTGTGCTCTCTGAAACATGTGCTGTATCCACTCAGGGTTGAATGGATTAAGGGCGGTGCAAGATGTGCTTTGTTAAACAGATGCTTGAAGGCAGCATGCTCCTTAAGAGTCATCACCACTCCCTAATCTCAAGTACCCAGGGACACAAACACTGCGGAAGGCCGCAGGGTCCTCTGCCTAGGAAAACCAGAGACCTTTGTTCACTTGTTTATCTACTGACCTTCCCTCCACTATTGTCCTGTGACCCTGCCAAATCCCCCTCTGCGAGAAACACCCAAGAATGATCAATAAAAATAATAATAATAATAATAATAAAATAAAATAAAATTTAAAAAAAAGATGGATGAAAGACTTAAATCTAAGACCCAGAATCATAAAAATTCTGGAAGATAATATTGGAAAAACACTACTAGACATTGGCTTAGGCAAAGACTTTATGATCAAGAACCCAAAAGCAATTGCAACAAAAACAAAGATAAATAGATGGAACTTAAACTAAAAGGCTTCTGCACAGCAAAAGAATCAGCAGAGTAAACAGAGAACCCACAGAGTGGGAGAAAATCTTCTCAAAGTATGCATCTGACAAAGGACTACTATACAGAATCTACAAGGAACTCAAACAAATCAGCAAGAAAAAAAAAATCCCATCACAAAGTGGGCTAAGGACATGCATAGACAATTGACAGTTGTCAAAAGAAGATATACAAATGGCCAACAAGCATATGAAAAAATGCTCAGCATCACTAATGATCAGGGAACTGCAAATCAAAACTGCAATGTGATGCCACCTTACTCCTGCAATAATGGCCATAATCAAAAAATAATAGATGTTGGTGTAAATGTGGTGAAAAGGGAACATCCCTGCATTGCCGGTGGGAACATGAACTAGTACAACCACTATGGAAAACAGTGTGGAGATTCCTTAAAGAACTATTAGGTTGGTGCAAAAGTTACTGCAGTTTTTGCCATTAGTTTCAATTAGCAAAATCTGCAATTACTTTTGCACCAACCTAAGAAAAGTAGCGCTTTTGCTCCAGCAATCCCGCTACCATCTACCCAGAGGGAAAAAAAAGTCACTGTACAAAAAAGATACTTGCACACACATGTTTATATATAGCAGCACAATTTGCAATTGCAAAAATACGGAACCATCCCAAATGCCCATCAATCACCAAGTATATATATGTGTATATACACCACATTTTCTTTATACATATATATATATACACACACTCACACCTACACACACACACCATGGAATACTACTTAGTCATAAAAAGGAATGGAATAATGGCATTCACAGCAACCTGGATAGAATTGGAGACTCTTATTCTAAGGACTTTGGGGACTTGGAAAGGGTGGGACAGGGGTGAGGGATAGAAGAGTACACATTGGGTACAGTGTACACTGCTTGGGTGACAGATACACAAAATCTCATAAATCACCACTAAAGAACTTACCCATGTAACCAAACACCACTTGTTCCTCAAAGACCTATTGAAATAAAAAATAAAATCAAAAAAAATAAAATTTAAAAGCTTAGCAAAATCCAAAGATACACACATACACGTATACATATATATAAATGAAACCATAGATACCTCCTAATTAAACTGAAGAAAATGAAAAATTTATATTCCTTTAGAGTATAAATATACACACGTGTGTGTGTGTGTGTGTGTGTGTGTGTGTGTGTGTGTGTGTGTGTGTGAAACCATACCTAGGTACCTCCTGATTAAACTAAAAAGAAAATTACAAAAGCAGCCAGAGGGGAAAAGTGTTACGTTCAGGGAAATCATAGTAAGAATGATGACTTCCTTCTCATAAGAAATAATGGAATGAAATCATTTTCTAAAAGAAAATGGCTATTAACCTAGATTTCAATACCCAGCAAAACATTCTTTGTAAATGAATCCCTACTAAAGATTTTTCAGGAAAAAACATAGTCACCAGCAGACTTACACTACAAAATAACAGGGGATTAATGATCTCATGTGAAAGCCTGGATCTGCAAGAAGGGATAAAGATAAATATATCAGTTTAAAACAACAATACTGACAATATATTGTGGTGTTTATAACATATAGAAGTTAAATATAAGGCAGCAAAAGCATAAAGGGTGGTTGAATAAATGGGGTTAACACTGTTTTAAGTTGCTTATATTATTCTTGAAGTAGAAGAAATCCTAATTCAAGGTATAGTACAGTGGTACGTTGTAATCTCTACATTAGCCATTAAAAAATATGAAGAGATGTAACTAAAAAGCCATCAGAGGACATAAAATGGAAGAGTAAAACTATTTGACTATTGCAAAAGAATATAGAAAAAGAGGAAGAAAAGAACAAAAAGAAATGCAATAAGATAGCAAAATGCTAAACTTCAGCAAAGCCATATGAGTAATTGCATTAAATGTAAATAGTCAAATCATTGAAAGGCAGAGATTGTTAGACTGGACAACCTAGCAGTAATATTTATTGATAGATTGATTCTTTATTCTGCTGACAGACTGCTTTTATAATTTTTTTCATTTTTATTTGTTGATAGGTCGATTTATTCTATCTATATATTCCTGAGTTCATTCGGATATATGCAGATTTTAAAATATTTCATACTAACATCAACATTTTAACTATATTCCTACACAATTATGTTGAATGAACATAACATTTATAATTTAGAGTATAAGCAATAGCATTTTTATTTATTTCATATGTCCCAGAAAGTAAGTATATTACTAGTCAGGGTTCTCCAGAGAAACAGAACCAGTAGGAAGACCATAGAGAGAGAAAGATTTACTTTAAGGAATTGTCTCAAACATTGTGGGGGCTGGCAAGACCAAAATCTGCAGGCTAGGCCAACAGGAGGGAGACGTAGGAAAGAGTTGCAGTTCCAGTCTGAAGGCAGCCTGTTGGCAGAATCCCCTCGCTCTCAGGTGAGTTGTCATTTTCTTAAGGCCTTCATCTGATTGGATGAGGCCCACTTAACATCATGGAGGGCAGTGTGCTTTACTCAAAGCCTGTTGATTTAAATGTTAATTCCATCTAAAACCTTCAAAGAAATATCTAGAATAATGTTTGATCAAGTATCTGGGTACCATGGCCTAGCTAAGTAGACATATAATACTAACCATTATAGCATGCTACTTATTATGAGCTTTCAATTATTGTTATACATTAATAAAAGTGAAATGAGATACAAATACAGATTTTTAAGTAAAATTTACCTAAAATAGGAAGTTATTTTGATACATTTTTTTCTAAAGTTTATTCCTTTCTATATATTTTTTACTGCAAGCTTGAACAAACATGCATGATTGTATTTCCAAATATTATTTATATATGTAATCTAAATTTAAAACTAAGATTATAACTTTGGATAATCCAGTTTTTGAAATTCTAATTTTCAACACATTCTTATCCTAAAATGGAAACACTAAAATCTGTAGAGTTTTTTTTGTTTTTTTCTTGGTATTGTATAAACTGTATATATAGATTTTTGCCTGGTTTGCTTTGGTTTTTATTATTTTAAAGTTCCTTTTCTCCAATTAAAATTACTTTCTGTTTAGATAAGAATTTAAAAATCAGTAATCAGCCTAGGTCAATTTTATAACAGTCAGATTACAATAGTGAGAAGACGTGTGTAAGATGTTGTTAATTGCTGAACTCTGGCATGACCACTCTCATTTGAAAGCCAGTTGCCATGCCACACTATTCTCAGTGTTTGCAGCTAGGATTGTGAGACTGTAGGGGCTGACAAAGTTGGGATTTCTCAATTTATTCTCTCTATATTTCTATATTGTTAAAATCTTACAATAGGAATCTACATTACTTATTTGCCTGCATGTTGTACCCTTTGAAAAAAAATTAACCCAAAACTGGTGTTACTCTATGAATAAGAGTGTCTTTCCATCAAAATTACCTTAAAGATTTTATTACACTTAAGATGAAACTCTGTTCATTTGCTCTGTGGTAATTCTTCAGAAAAGGATATCCATGTTTTACTAGACTCTTATAGTCAGAAACTGTAATATATTCATCTTTTATCACTGAGTACCAAGAATAACCACTCAAAAATATTAGTCAATTGAATGAAGGTAGTATAGTGCTTTATACTTCACTGGCTAACAATAAATGTTACAAAAAATTAATGAAACAAAAACTGCATGTTTCATGATTCATTTTGAAAATACTCTTGCAAAGCGATAAAAAGTGATTGTTTGTGTTGATCTCACTTAATCCTTTACCGTACTTTAAGAAAAATGAGTCATATGCTTGTAGAAGAGAAACTAACATTTAAACTAGGAATTTTACTAATTGCTATTAACAGACATTGTAGTTCTTGCCTCTTGTCCTGCATATGACAGCCTTTAGCATTGTTTGAACAAACTATGTTAATATCCTAAATTATATGTTAGTTTGCTGGTGGCCAGAAATTAGGAATTAAACAAGACCCACACTTGTGTTCATTTTTAACTTGAGTTAGACTTTGAACCAGTATCTTTACAGATGAGATCCCCTGTGTCACGTCCTGAAAGGGTGTTTATTACAAAGAAATGCAGTAGAGAACATTGGGAACAAAAAGATAAATCCACACATGATAAAAGAATATTTCTCAAGATTAGCCATCTGTGTTATCATTTTAAAGGAGGGAATCAGGGGAACATTTTTCTTCAGATACTCATGGTGATTGAATAAATAGAGTATGTCATAGTAGGAAGTCAGATGATCAAAGAGAAATTCAGATGGATTTATTTATTCTTTTGAGAAAATAAGACAGTAGTGATTCACTTCATAGCCCTTGTGATACTTCTTTTTAAAAACTTCATATCCTTGAATCAGAAATAAAACTTTCATGGAAGAAAAGCAGCAGAGCCCAGATAATGGTGTAATTTTTGAGTTGAGAGCAGGATGTGGACACATCTTGCGCTATTGCTAGACATCACTTGAATGGGAAAAAAGGCTTAGCTAACCTTGAGTCAGTTTAGACCAACTGTTTCTGACCAAAGAATTCATGATACATCTTAAAAGGATCTTGCCTTCCAAGTGAGACTTTTTTCTTGGAAGCTGTGTGAGTCATAATAAATGTTTTTCCAATAAAATGGCATGAATATTTTCAACATAAAATGGACAGGCTTAATAACCAAATACTCACAATGTTTTCTTTCCACAGGGATTATCAGCATAGAAAGAAAGCCTTGTAACCATCAGGTAGATACAGCACCAACGGTAAGACAGTCTGTTGCTACGTTGTTAAAAGTGTTAAGAAAGTACAAAATTATACTGGTTATAGTTACAGTGCCATTGTAGAAAACTCTTAAAACCTTTTTGCCAAAAGTTATATCCCTGCAAGATTTGTTCATATTAATGTTGTTAACTTAGAAATAATTTATAGTTTTGATAATGTAATGTAAGTATTTGTGCAAATTGATTTTTACCCTTCTAAAAATGAATGTTATTTTGTGCACTAGCATCATTATTTAAAGTGAATGTTTTATAATAGTGAAAAAAGGCCATTATGCTTCATTTCTCTTATAGGTTACTTTGCTTTATTATTATAGAACTGAAGTCTTATCTTTTATCCTTCTTCTCAACAAAAGGCATTTAACAATTATAGCATCTATTCACTATATTTAAAAAGTTGTATTAATAGAAGGAAGATAATTATTAGATTTCCCTTTTAGTCTCTGAATATGATATTTGTGTGAAACATATATTAGTTGCTAGTTTGCAATTGAAAGACTCATAAGATGATATAGAGTACACTGTACATTCCCTAATCCTACTCTTATTTCTTATCCTTTGCATTCATAAGTCTTCCAAGTACTTCCTGTGATTCTCCATTTCCTATTGTGAGAAAGATTTGGTAATATAGGTTGAGTATCCCTTATCCAAAATGCTTAGGACCAGAAGTGTTTTGGATTTTGGTCTTTTTCAAATTTTGGAACATTTGTGTTACACTTCCTGCATCCCTGAGCCAAAAATTAGAAATCCAAAATGTCCCAATGAACATTTTCTTTGAAAGTCATGTCAATGTTCATAAAGTTTCAGATTTTGGAGGATTTCATATTTCAGGTTTTTGGATTAGGGATAGTCAAACTGTACCAATTAAGAAAATAAAGATGGCCGGACACAGTGGCTCACGCCTGTAATCCCAGCACTTTGGGAGGCCAAGGCGGGCAGATCACAAGGTCAGGAGATTGAGACCATCCTGGCCAACATGGTGAAACCCCATCTCTACTAAAATACAAAAAGTTATCTGGGCATGGTGGTGCATGCCTGTAGTCCCAGCTACTCGGGAGGCTGAGGCAGGGGAATCGCTTGAACCCAGGAGGTGAAGGTTGCTGTGAGCCGAGATTGCACCACTGCACTTCAGCCTGGCATCAGAGCAAGACTCCATCTCAAAAATAAATAAATAAAGGTAATATTAAAGTATTTGAATTGTGTTGATGATTAATATATGCCTCAGTAGCAAATTGACTCTATTTTTTATTTGTAATAAATCCCTATGATTGATTTAACATGTTTGATAACTTAATATGTGGGACTTTAGAAAAGACCAGTACATGAGGAATTAGCATAATCATTAAAAAGAACTTGACTGTAGTATGTATGTTTCAGTTATCCTTTAGTAAGTATGCTAAAAGAGTAGCCATAACATGATATAAATTTTATTCTTTAGTATTAAAAAATTAAAGAATGGCAATTAAGAAAAATTTATTATTTTAATGTATTTGAATAATATATTCAGTCCTTTTTGATGTATTTTTCTGAGGAAGGATTGGCTACTCTTCTCCTTCTGTGTCTCTACTACAAAGTAAGGATGTTACTACCTCTCTCCCCAACAGCCCCTGGCTTTCCAACACTTAATCTTTGCCCTTTCTCCATAACCTCTAAATAGAATCATAAGTCTGTTCATTATTATTGCCCAGTGCCCTCTGGTCCCAGACCAGGACAAGTAAAGTCTGATTTTCACAGAAATGTAATTTTATCTAATTTCCATCCTTGAACCTATCTTCTCTTATTTTCTTTAAAGGGCTTAGGAGAAGAAAATGTTTAGGGAGGAAAAAAAGGAGTCTAAAAATTATCAAAGTGGAATATTTGTAGCCCCAAATTTTGTATTCTACTGACCCAAAAAAAGAAGAGATACCATGATTTAAGTATCTGTTAGAGCCTGAGAAAAAAACAGAAAGGGAGTGGGCCAGGATTTTAGAATAGCTGAGGCTGGGACCCTGAGTGACTTCTCGACCCCAGACCTAACCCTCAATTCCCAGCTTACTTCTTTACCCATTTTCATGCCCACGTTCCCCTTGCTCCAAGTACTGCCATGAATGGCAGTTCTAGGAGAGTGGTATATGCTAGTTGCAGCCATTAAATGGGTGAGGGAAGTGAGCAAATGAGAATTTATCAGACCTCTTTTCAAGGGAAAGATATGTTTGTTTGTTTGTTTGTTTGTTTTTTTGAGACAGAGTCTCGCTCTGTTGCCCAGGCTGGAGTGCCGTGGCGCAATCTCAGTTCACTGCAATGTCCGTCTCCCGGGTTCAAGCAGTTCTCCTGCCTCAGCCTCCTAAGTAGCTGGGATTACAGGCGTCCACAACCACGCCCAGCTAATTTTTGTATTTTTAGTAGAGATGGGGTTTCACCGTGTAGGTCAGGCTGGCCTCAAACTCCTGACCTCGTGATCTGCCCACCTCAGCCTCCCAAAGTGCTGGGATTACAGGCATGAGCCACCGCGCCCAGCCGATATGTTTCTTAACATTCCAAGTTGGAATTCTAAGTGAAGTTTTCAGTAAATATATGGTTATGGTCAATCAAACTTGAGTTTGATTCTATAGTACTATAATACAATCCAGTGTCCCTTCAGTAAATAAAGATCAGCCTGAGAACAAAACCACCTCTGTCCCTTTGTTCCATGTCACCTCTCACTCTCTTTTTAATTCACTTGTTTCCTTTTTGTTTTTCATTTACTACATGAACTTTGATTTTTTTGTTTGGGTTTTTTTTTTCTTTCTTACAAATAGTACCATATTTGTTTTTTTGAGATACCTTTAATAGAAAGTGAAAAAAATCTCCACATGATGTGACACCCCTTTCGTCAAAAAGAATCAAACCTCTATTTTTAACTGTCTATAATCACTTAATTTTTTTGGCATGCTGAGCTCTTCATTTTGTTTATACCTCAGAGTACATTTTCTAGTTGTTCTTCAAGAATTAGAAAATGGGAAGTGAATTATCTGAGTCTGCATATTTTTAAATACTTGTCAATTGCCTTTACTATTAGACAGCTTGCCAAGATTTTTAATTACTTGAACTTAACCTTTTCTCCTCAAAACATTGTGGAAGTTGATTATCTTTGCATTCTGGCGTTTAGTATTGCAGAAGAGACATTGGACATCAGACTGCTAGTCATTCTCTTGTGTAAGGAACCTATGTGGCCTGCTCGTATATTATAGATATTGTTTTATTTTCTTTATACCTAATGTCCTAGGTCAGATTTGATGGTTAAATGTGTGGCTTTCTTTTCACTAATTTTTGTCCTGAATGATATTCATTCAGACACTGTACTATTGATAATAGAAAAAGTAAATAAGACATGAGATAATCATGATGTTAGATTATATGAAAAGACTTACATCATGCCACTTTAAGAATTAGTCCCTCTGCACTTGCTTATCGCCTATAGTAAGTTAAGGATAATATCAGCCCAGATTAATCAGAGGTTATTGTCTGAACCCTAAAAGGCAGGTGTAAAAGTTAGTTAATTGTTAAGTCAGCACAAGTTTGAGTCCTGTATTTACTTTAAATGAAGGACTTATTTGCAAATCAAAGGGAAATGGCAACTAGCATAAGGAAGTATTCCCCCTGGAACATAGTTAAAACATATCTACCTTTCAGTGTACAGTCATATGCTTGGCAAATCCCATAGCTTTTCATATTTTCTGGCAGAATTAATATACATGTAAAATACATTGAAACATGATAAGCCATACTGAATATATAATTTCTAGTGTCTTGAGTACTGTTTTTGAATCTCTTCCAGTGAAAACTAATATGATAAAATTCAAATGACATCAATATGGCCTATTCGAATGAATAACTTAAATTTTTGTAAAGCTCCTACATTCCAAACTTGTAACACTAATATTAATATTTTTAGTTTTTATTCAGTGACCCTGTAACCCCGGTAGAGAGAACAAAGCTTCTTTTAGCAAATGGATTTTGGGCAGTATATAAAATTACAGCTTGCATTTTCACAGAGGCCTACACATCTATCACAACAGGTTGAAATAAAATTCAGACTGTCTCATCAGGATTATACCAACTATGAAACGCTTGCCATGTGTCTTAAGTATTCCTTTAATTATTAGAATTTAAAGCATTCTAACCTGATTGGAAATTTAAATGTTGATTCATTATTCTTCATATTTATAAGACCAATTTTAAAAGCTATTAATTTATTCCTTCTGCAGTTACCTTTCTTCAAAGTTTTCTAAGGGCTGAATGAATTTTTGTCACATGGTATTTCATCAGTAGTAAACTTTAATATGCGTTAGTCTTATTTTGTTATTCTGAAATATTTCTGAGATGTTTGTAATATTGTTTGCCATTAACACTAAACTTATTCATAAATGTACTGATCTGAATCATATAAATTAAATTTTATCCTGAATCTCTTGGATTATATAATATCTGTACTTACTCAATAGCTGTTGGGTTGTTATTGTTGTTAGATTGTTATCATTGTTTAGCCAATTCTGTAGATTGACAAGATTGCTACCTATTGCAGTATTATACTTTTGTATACTTTATACATATATTCATGTAAAATATGGCTGTTTCATATTTTAACATAATATTTGGGACAGCTTGTATGTAGATACATGTATGAGTTTAAGTGAAATGTCCTTTATTCAAAGGAAGCACTTTATTTTCTACAATCTATTGCATTTTCCAAGAATTCATAGTATGTAAACTGGGGTGAATGGGCCCCTATAAAACTCATAAAATAGAACCCATGGCCAATCTCTTCCTGTAGGTAATTGCAGGGTGGAGAGGGAACTGATAAACTATAAGCTTTTATAACTTGTCATAAAAGAACTTGTTTTCCCTTATCAATAAAGTAGCAATTCAAAGCAGTTCTATCGAAATTCAAATATAAATGCAAAATAGGTTCTCTTTAACAACCACTTGTAGTCTTCCGTAATATAACATGTTTAAGTATAAGCACATCAGTTTATTTCTCCAGACATTGTAAATTGTGAAGCTTATGTTGATTTTTTTCCCATTAGCATACTCCACTGGCATTTATGTTTTTCTTAGACTTTTTTTCCTCCATTTCTCTTTTGGTTTTGCTAAATTTTTCTACCTGAAAAACTCTTAAAATTCTGAAAATTTTATATTACTGGAAGATATAACAGCAGCATAAATTGAATTTTCTAAATTATCAAGAAACATGAGGTATACAATATACATAGGATAGTACCATACCTAGCACTGGTGAGGTATGGAAATACTATGGGAAAAGTAGAAATACCAAAAAAAAAAAAAACCCACAAAACATGGTTTTATAGGTCTTTAGATATATGTATACACACACATATATATATGTGTGTGTATATATATTGTGTGTGTGTGTGTGTGTGTGTGTATATATATATACACACACAATGTGTCTTTGAGTAGTTCTTGATGTCATTAGAAAAGTGACCTGTAAACAGCTAAATCCTAATATATGAAATGAATAAAAAATTCAGAGCAATAACGGAAGGGATGTCATGTTACTGAGGCAGTTTGTGCCCAAATATAGGAATATGGTGTAAGGCTTTGAGTGCTGTAGGAATTCCCAGCACTGGAGTGGTTTAGGAAGGCTGTTTAGAGTCGGCAAGTGCTAAACCAGATCATGAAAGGATGGGATTTTTAAAAGAATGCGTTTTGCTAGACCAGAGTAACAGTGTGACCAAAGATTATAGAAAGACACACTGTGTACACACAGTTTATAGATGGGTAGAAAATTTGACTGCAGCAGCGTAGATGAGATAGTAGAAGATTGGAAAATGTGATTTGGGCATCATTTATAAAGATCATTGAATGTTAGGTTAACAGTTAAGACTATCTGTATAAGCAATAGTAAGGTATTTGATCATGAGAATAATATGATGAAGGGAGTAATGTTTTAAAAGGATTAAAATAAAAGCAGCTCATGAAATTGCAGGTGGTGGCGTTAGGAAGAAGGTAACTGAGCTGTGAAGCTACAGAAATCTACATTTGTGGTGATAAGGATTTAAATAAGGAGACTATCGGGATCAGTGTGGAAATAGAGGTATGCTTATAAAAAGACTTGGAGATGAGAGCTGATGAAAGGGACTCAAAGGAAAAGTTGTAGTTAAAAAGGGAGATCCCATCATTGGAAGGCCCAGGCCTAGGTTGTGGGAAGTCATGTATTATAATTGCATGCAGGTTCTTCACAATGGATATCCAAAGGCCCCATCCAGGAAGGAGGCGCAGGTCCAGTCTTTAGAAAAAGCTGAGTCAGGAACCATTCTCCTCCTACCCACCTTCTATTCCACCTATTCCACAGAGCTGTTTATCCAAAGCACAAATATGATCATGTATTTAAGATCCTGTGGTGTACCCCATCACCTGTCAGATGAAAACTTAGTTGTTTTGCATGTCATTTGAAACCCTTCTGCTACTTTTCTAAACTTACCTCCAGTTTGTCCCAGTACTCACTCTGGCCGCTCTGAGCTATTTGCAGTTCCTAAATATGCCTACGGTTTCTCACATTGAGAAGCAATGTTAGAAGTAAAGAACACTGATTCCAGAACCAAATTACCTGGTGTCAAGTCCTGATTCTTTGGCTGTGTTTGTCTTTAGTCACGTTTCTTTACCTCTCTGTGCTTCAGTTTGCTCATCTGTAAATGGGGATAATACCTACTTCATGGAATGTTATGAGGAATGAGTTTATGCAAATAGGACCTCACTCGATATATTTGTGTATACCAGCTGCTGAATATTATTTAATTACAGGAGATAGCCAGATATTAAGGACAAGAACATATTTCAAGCTTGAGAAGTAAAACTAGTTCAAGAATCAAAGGGAGCACCCAAGGAAGGATCCCAGTTAGGTCAAGGAGATCAGGAACAAGGAAACCTGATGAATGTTGCCTCCCACAGCTTGTTTGTGTCTTAGTCAATTTTCTTTCTTTTTTTTTTTTTGTTTTTTTTGTTTTTTGTTTTATTTATGTATGTATTTGTTTATTGCATATTGTGACTCTTCCCTGAAATCAATGCAGAAGTTCAGTTATGCCAGGACAATAGGCATGAACTGGGACTATCTCGGGCAACCCTAAATATATGATCACCTTATTCATCAGTTCTGTAAGTCATGATAGCCAAAGTGATCTATAAGTCAGAATGGGATAACCTCCTGCTTTACACCCTCAGTAACTTCTCCTTATGTTTAGGATAAAACCCAAACCCTTTCCTAGGGCCTATAGGGCTTTGCATGATCTGCTGTCTGTCTGTCTCTTCAGCATCATCCTATGGTACTCTCTGTTCTGAGTTTCTTGAACACAACCAACCTTTCTCCCACTCACCCAAAGACCTTCGAACATTTGATCTCTCTGCCCCTGAATATACACAACCTTTTGCATAATAGGCCTTTTCTTGAGATCCCAGGTAAATGTTAACTTTTCAAAAGACCTTCCTTCACCCCCATTAGTCTTTATTATTACACTTTCTTTTTTTTCCTTAGCAGTTATCCCAATTTGGAATTTTTTATTTATTTTCTTATCTGGTCTTCCTTAACTGGATGTAAGTTCCATAACAGCATGGACTATGTCCATCTTACTCACCACTACTTATAGGCCTTCAGTAGATACTGCTTAAATGAATAAATGTATATATGATGAAACTGTAAGAATAAGTAAGAACAGAGAGCCGGCCTAGATGTATGTTCATATTTTGAAAGCTGGAAGAAGAGCCCTCAAAGAAGACAAATGGTAGAAAGGGAGGCAGGAGATCAGGGATAATGTAGCATCTCGGAAACCAATGCAAGTATGGAAATGGAGTGTGTTTTTATGCTGTCTCTGGGAGAATGAGAACAGGGCCCAGAAAGGAAGCTGGATGGTCACACTAGGAGGCATGATGAATCAGAAGCAATTGAAGAGGCTTGTCATGAGAGGAGATGGAAAATAGAATAGCAATTAATTTAGCCCTGTGGATATGTTACTGACTTATTTCAGAAAAGAAAGCATTTTGCCAAAAGGACTGCCATGAGATAAACCTATATAGAATGTGAAATAAAGATTTCTTTTTCCTTGTTCTGTGAAAGTGAAAAGTACAGTTTGGGTAATTATACAACAGTATTCCATTCAAAATAAATATTTCTCAGATGGAAGGAAAGATCCAGCAATATGAATGAGGCAGGAGAAAGATGCAAACTGGGTTTTAGCATTTGACAAAGGAGTAGAGTAGGTCAGTTGTGGCAAGGTCTCTTGCCAAGGGACTTACTTTTCTAATTGCTAGAATGACAAAAGTTGAAAAAATTGATCTTAAAGTCAACTTTTGGGTCTAAAGTTCTATGCATCTTTTTCAGCTGCTCTTATTGCTCAAAGACAATATATTAGAGCAGAAAAATGAAGCACATCTCTAGTGGTGATCCTTTGAATGCTCACTTATCATTTTATTTATTCTTAGGATTCAGTTAGAATTCACTTCCTTATGTTATAATGTGGCAGTTAACACCCACCACCATTTTTGTTGAAAACTTCATGCCGCTTAATAAGTGGGCATAGGTTAGTTGTTGTCAGTAGATCAGAATCTAAGTCTCTTCACTATAGGGCCCAGTCTCTCCACCTTCATAAACTCAGTGCTTGATAAACAATGCTAAGCAGTGGGATGTGGGATCCAGATATCTGTGCAATTTAGCCAGCAGATGGGTTGGAGAACACGTGTAGTATATAGCGTGAAAGAGGGAGGGCACTGGTCAGGCTGCCTAGTGTTCTATTGAATGAACACCCAGTAATCTTTTTTCTTCATTTCATAAATTCTCACTATTTTTTCTAATATAAGAAAAGGGGCAGGTGTGGTGGCGCATGCCTGCCAGCACTTTGAGAGGCTGAGGCGGGAGGATCGCTTGAGGCCAAGAGTTCAAGACTGGCCTGGACAACATAGCAAGAACCCATCTCTTAAAAACATTTTTTTTAAATTAGCTAGGTGCAGTGCCACGCACCTGTTGTCCCAGCCACTCTGGAGGCTGAGGCAGAAGGATCACTTGAGCCCAGGAGTTCAAGACTAGGTATTATTGGTTTCTATTATCTGGATATTTTGTTTGTTATTGAACATAACTCCTTGATGTTTTAAAGATATGTTGTTGAGACAAGTCTTCTCATTATTTATATATTTGTGCCTCATACCATCCTTATATCTGGAAAGAAGATGATAATAGTGTCTGCCTTATTAATATTATTCTATTGTTTCAAGTACTAAATACTGTGTCTAACACACAGTAATCTCTCGGCCATTAGCTATTACTATTTAACCCTAACTGCAATGTTGTCCATTTCTTTTTACTGAATTTCATAGATTCATTTTTGACTCGCTACCCTGCTTGTCAAAATTCTTTTGAATCTTGATTTTTTCAACTGTGTTAATAGCTGCCTTCCAAACTTTGTAGCATTAACGAGTTTTATAATGCCTCATACAAGTTTTCTTTATTCAAAAACATGAGAAAAATGTTAAACAGTGCACAAAATCAAAATGGCAACAATTTTTTTTCCTGCAGGCAATTTAAGTTTTTATTTTTAAGTAATTTTGCATGAGGAGTGTTACTACTTAATAGTAATTTCAGTGTTTATTGTGCTTTAACAAAGCATTTACTGCATGCCTTTAAAATAAGATATAGTGGTTACTTAAAATTTTCCTTTACCAAAAGGAAAATAAAATTTAACCACTCTAAGGAAGCAGTAATATAGTCACTAGCAGGAAGCAAACCTTGAGTTAACAGGCTATGAAATGAAGGAAACAATTATTTGGAAAAGAAAAAATTTAACACACATTATTATGGAGCATTACTTTCCATTTGGGGAGAAATTTAATCAAAGGTTATCAAACTGCTAGTACCCTGGTTTTCCTGCCTAGATGGACATCTACCATCTGCCACTACTAATGTTCCATAGATTGTTTTTTTACCGTGATAAACATGTGAGTTCACCAAGTTTCATCTTCTTGTGATACTCTATCCTGTCATCTCAGTGTCCCCAGCAGTGAGATTAGTCTTTGACAGAGATAGCCACACGGCCGTCACTAACACAGACACCCTTGGTATAACTACATAATTGGGTCACAGATTAGCTAGATGCATAAAGATTAAGTAAAATAAATCCGTAGAGGGGGAAAAAACCCTTCTTATTCTGTAGTTTAAATCAAACTTCATAAAGTTTTCTTGTCAGAATCTCTCTGGCTGGCACTATCTTATGGCAACATATGCAGACTTCTCTGGGAGTACTTTTTGGCTTCAGAGCTTATTTTACCAAATCTGAAAATAAATCCTGGTTTTCAGCAGAGGAATTCCAGTTAGTCGATCTGCATTTGATTTAGAAAATATGATCACATTTATAGCTGTGGGTGTTCTACAGAAATATTTCGCTACAAAACACCTTTCCTCTATGATAATTTGAAGAACTTCAGGAATTGAATAATAATTGTACCTAACATTTATTGGGCACCTACTATGCACTGTGCAAAGCAGATAATCTCACTTGAATGTCATAATAATTCTATGAGATAAATTATTATTATCATCACCGTTTGCCAAAGGGAAAACAGAAAAAAGGTCTTCAAGCGTCTTCTAGAACCATTTAGATTTAATATGTTAATTCATTATGATAAATGAGCCAAAAATATTAACTCTCTAAAAGCAGAATCAGTTTATCTGAATAAACCATTAAACTCTAATGTCATTCAGTGGCACAAGGCAAATTTTGTGAAAATTGAGAGCAGTTTAGGTAGTATTAACAGCAGTTAACATGTATGAAACAATGTATATTTTTAAAAGCCCTGCTACATACTATATATTATCTCATCTGATCTTTGTAATATAACTGTAACTTTCAATGGGATTAGGCAGGGAATGTGATAATGAAGGTTGGAGACAACAGGCACCACTGGAAAGGCTGACCAGAATGGCAGCTAAAAAGAACAGATGACCTTGATTTCCTCCTTCTTAATAAATCCACCATGGAAATTATCTAAGAAAGCCAATTTCTAAAACATTTCTTGGAAAACATTCCATCAGCCCACAAAGAAGTTTCAAACAGATAACGATCTGAGGCTAGTGGATAGAACCTTAGTCAATTTCCTGGGAAGAGGGGCACTTCAATTCTAATAGCTGTGGAGTGGGTTAAAGATGTGTAAGTAACAGAGTAATCTGGATGTGAGAAGGGGATCTTGGGGTTTGGTGGGAAGAAAGGGGCCCAGAAGCTGTGGTTTTTGAAGTGCACTGGCAGAGTCACCTGTGACCTTGAGAAAGGAAATTACAAACACCTGCTATACTTCAAACTAGGCTACCCACATGCCACAGACAGCTGCTTGAAGAAAAGGAGTGAAGGAATGAGGAGGTGATTGTTTGTATCCCCCAAGAATGAGGTGATGGGGCTGCTTCATCTCTTCCTTGAGACCTACTTGGTAAGCTCACTGTATACACTTAAGTTTCAGCTCATGTTCAAGCATGAATGACTGTCCAGCTCATATTCTAATCTTAATTCTTTTCTTTCTCTTTTACTAGAAAAAAAATCTTTATAATCCATACTTAGACTGTTACCACTTGGTAATTTAAAGAACCTAAAAATAAGCACAGCTTGGCCAGGCATGATGGCTCACGCCTGTAATCCCAGCACTTTGGGATGCCGAGGTGGGCAGATCACGAGGTCAGGAGATCGAGACCAGCCTGGCTAACACACTGAGACCCCGTCTCTACTAAAAATAAAAATAAAAAAAATTAGCCGGGCATGGTGGCGAGCACCTGTAGTCCCAGCTACTCGGGAGGGTGAGGCAGGAAAATGGCGTGAACCCGGGAGGTGGAGCTTGCAGTGAGCCAAGATCGCGCCACTGCACTCCAGCCTGGGCAACAAAGTGAGACTCCGTCTCAAAAAATAAATAAATAAATAAAAATAAAAATAAGCACAGCTCAGTAAAACTCCTGTCTTCCCCAGGACCTTCACTGGGCCTTTCCACTTTAGTTTTCTGTCATTGGTACTACCAGCTGTTTGGTCTTATGAGCAATACTTTGGTGTAATATGTTAAGCTTAGCTAGTTCTCTTATATCCCACAGATGTTGCTTTCTCCTTTGATTATATTTCCACAGTCTCACCTCTTTTGTCCATTTCCATGGCCAGAATCAAGGTTGTCTTCTCTGACATGGAGAAATATGGTCTCCTTACGTGTATTTTTTCTTGCACTGTTTCTTTCTTCATCATAACCAACTACACTTCCTTTAACAATCATTTCCATGATGTTCTTTTTTTATAACAGCTTTATTTGGATATAATTCACATGGCATAAAATGCACCCTTTTAAAGTGTACCATTCAGTGGGTTTTAATATATTTATAGTTTTGCAGCCATCACCTCTATCTAATTTTAAAACATTCGTTGCCCCCCCAGAAGAAATCCCGTACTCATTAGCAATGATCCTTTCCATTTCTTCACCCCTAACAACTACTAATCAACTTTCCATCTCTATGGGTTTGCCTATTCTGGATATTTTATATAAACGCACTGTGTAGCCTTTTGTGTCTGTCTTTTTTCACTTACCGTAATGTTTTCAAGGTTCATCCATGTTGTGGCATGTATCAGAATTTCATTCCTTTTGATGACCAAAAATATTATCAAGTATATGGATATGCTACATTTTTTATCCATTAATTCACTGATGGACATTTGGGTTGTTTCCATTTTTAGCTACCATGAATATTACTCTGTGAGCATTCATGTACAGGTTTTTGCATGGACGTAAGTTTTCCATTCTCTTGGGTGTATATATTTAGGAGTAGAATTGCCGCATCATATGGTAACTCTGTTTAACCTTCTGAGGAACTGTCAAAATGTTTTCCAAAGCAACTGAACCACTTTACGATCACACCAGACATGAATGAGTGTTGCAGTGTCCCCACATCGTAACTTGTTACTGATTTTGTATTATAGCTGTCCTAGTGGATAGGAAGTGACACCTCATGATTTTCATTTGCATTTCCCAGTGACGATAATGTGAGCATCTTCTGAAATGACATTTGTATGTTTTCTTTGGAGAAATGTCTAATTCAAATTCTTTGCTCATTTTCTAATTGGGGAGATTATAATTATGTTTTGTTATATAATTATGTATACTAGATTTTTTTAATATACTGTGTGTGTGTGTGTGTGTGTGTGTGTGTGAATCAGAGCTTATTTCAATAAACTGAGAAATAATTTTTGGTTTTCAGAAATGGAGTTGAAGTAGGCTTGCTCTGCCTGTGGAGTAGCCATTCTTTATTCCTTTACTTTCCTAATAAACTTGCTTTCACTTTATGGATTCTCCTGTAATTCTAAAAAGAAAGAGAGAGAGAGAGAAAGGAAAGGAGAAAGGAAGGGAAAGAAAGAAAAGGAAAGAAAGAGAGAGAAAGAAAAAGAAAGAAAAGGAAAGGAAGGAAGAGAGAGGGAGGGAAGAAGGAAGGAAGAAAGGAAGGGAGGGAGGAAGGGAGGGAGGGAGGGTTTGAAGTTAACAAATCTATATTTGGTTTGGAAAATATGGTCACATAGCTATAGGCATTCTGCAGAAAACATCATTCCTTGTTAATAGTCAAATAACTTAGGAATTTAATAATAATTATACCTAACTCTTATTGAGTACTTAATATGTACCAGGCATATAGTATATAAATATACCTATATAGTATATAAAAATAAATTGTAAAATTTTGTAAAATATATATAAATTTTTAATGTAAATATATTTATATTATTTGTAGCTAATTAAGTTAACCTGTTTATTATTGACTTGTAAGAGTTATTTGTATAGTCTGGATACACGTCTCTTACTAGATACATTTAGCCCTCCGTGTCTGTAGGTTCTGCATTCACAGATTCAGCCAACTACAAATGGAAAACATTTGAAAAAAAATAACAATTTGAAAATAAAAATAGTATAACAACTATTTGTATAGCATTTACATTGTATTAGGTATTATAAATCTGGAGATTAAAGTGTATGGGAGGATTGTGTAAGTTGTATGCAAATACTATTTTATATAAGGGACTTGAACATCCACAGATTTTGTTGTCCAAGGGGAATCCTGGAACCAATCCTCCAAGGGTACCGAAGGTTGACTGTATATGATTTGCAAATATTTTCTTCCATTCTGTAGGTTGTCTTTTCTCTTTCTTGATCATATCCTTTGACACACAAAATTTTTTAGATTTTGATAAAGTTTAGTTTACTTTTTTATTTTGTCACTTATACCTATGATGTTATATCTAAGAAACCATTGCCTGATCTGAAGATTGACTCTCAGATTTTCTTATGAGGGCTTTATATATTTAGCTGTTACCTTTAAGGTCTGTAATCCAGTTTGACTTTATTTTTGTAGATGGTGTGAGTTAAGGATCCAACTTTATTCTTTCGCATTTAGCTGTTGTTGAAAAAAGTGGGGGTTTTTTGTTAGTTTGTTTTTTGGTGTTTTTTTTTTTTCCTTTTAATGGTCTTGGCACCCTTGTTGAAAATCAGGTGACCAAAAATGTAAGAGTTTATATTTAGAGTCTGAATTTTTTTGCATTGATCCATACACACGCCTATTCTATGGTCAGCATTACACGGTTTTAATTACTGTATCTGTAGAAGTTTTAAAATCAGGGTGTGTCCTTCAACCTTGTTCTTTTTCGAGATTGTTTTGGTTATTTTAGATCCCTTGCATTTCCATAGGAATCTTATGATCACCTTCTCAGCCTTTGCAAAATTTTTTATGGGAATTGCATTGAATTCATAGATTAAATTGTGAAAACATTAAGTCTTCCCAGTCTTTTAGCATGGGTCCATTTATTTAGGTCTGTTTAAATTTTTTCAATGGTGTTTTGTGGTTTTCAGCATTTTTTTTGTTAAATTTATTTGTATGCCATTGCAAATGGAATTGGTGTTATGTTCAGATTGTTCATTACTCAGGTAAAGATGTTTGTTGCTTGGGTATAGAAAGACAAGTGGTTTTTTGTATATTGCTCATGTATCCTGAGACCTTTTTGAATCTGTATATTCTAACAGGTTTTTCTGGGGTTTGTTTTTTTTCAGATTTTGTTGGGGGGATCAGTTCTTTGAGATTGTCTGCATACTCTACTAATAGAGATAGTTTTACTTCTCCTTTCCGATCCGGGTGCCTTTTTTTTTTCTTGCCTAATTTTTCCAGTTAGAACCTCCAGTACAATGTTGAAGTGGTATGAATGTCCCTGTCTTTTTCCTAATCTTAGAAGGTAAACTGTCAGTCTTTTACCATTAATTATGAAATTAGCTATGCTGTTATGTATGTGTGTGTGTGTAGCCTATATATAGCCTTTATAGGCTATATATCAGGTTATTATATATTATCAGGTTGAGGACATTTCCTTGTGTTCTTACTTTTGTTGAGTGTTTTTCTTAGGAAATGATGTTAAATTTTATTAAATGATTTTCCATATCTACTGAGTTTGTTCTGTGGATCTTACCTTTAATACTATTAATATGGTCTGTTACATTGGTAGATTTTCATATGTTAAGCCAACCTGTCATTCCCTTGACAAATCCCACTTGTTATGATGTATAATATAATCTTTTTCATATGTTGATTCTGTTTATTGGTATATTTTTGAGGGTTTTGCATCAGTATTCATAAGGGACATTGATCTGTAATTTTCTTGTCTGGTTTTGGGATCATGGTAATACCGATCCCATGGAATGAATTAGAAAATGTTCATTTCTATCTTATTTTAGGGAAGTTTGTGAAGGATTGGTATTTGTTTAAACATTTGGTACAATTCACCAATGATGCATTCTGGGCAGTGTTTTGATTGCTGGTTTAATCTCTTTATTGGCCTATTCACATTTTCTCTCTTCTTCAGTCAGTTTTAAGTTGCATCTTTCTAGGATTTTTTTGTCCCTTTCATATAAGCTATTTGATTTGTTAACATACAATTGATAGTTCATTTCCTTATAATCCATTTCATTTCCCTAAAGTAGTTAATGATACTTCTTCTTTCATTCCTGATTTTATTAATTTGGATCTTACCTTTTGTTTTTTCTACCCTGGCCAGTCTATTTGAAGCTCTGTCAATTTTCTTGATCTTTCGAAGAACCAATTTTTATTTCACTAATTTTCTCTACTCTTTTTCTATTTGTTGTTTTATTTATTTCCACTCTAAATTTTTTTCCCTCTGCTTCCTTTGGGTTTAATTTTTATTTAACAATTTTAAGGTACAGAGTAAAAATATTCACTTGATATCTTTTTCTCTTAATAAAAACATTTACAGCTATAAAATTTCATCAAATTACTGCTTTTTCTACACCCCATACATATTGGTATCGTGTTTTTCTTTTCATTTATTCTCTTGTAATTTCCCTGGGGTTTTATTTTTGGACCCAGTGGTTATTTGGAGTATGTTGTTTACGTTCCATACATTATGAAATTTTCTGTGAATGATTTCTTTTTCAGTTTATCATGGTTGGAGAACATACTTTCTGTGCTTTCAGGTTTTTAAAATTTATTTATTTAAATAAGTTTTATTTGGGGGCCTAACATATTGTCTCCTAGAGAATGTTCTGTGGACAAGAATATGTATTCTGCTTTTGTTAAGTGAAGCATCCTATAGACATCTATTACAGCATTGATTAAATCTTCTATTTTTATGTTGATCTTTATTTTGAGACTGTATCATGTACTTATATGTTTATACTTTTTAAGTCTTCCTGATTGGTTGACCCTTTTATTATTATACAATGTCCTTCTTTGTCTCTAGTGAGTGAGTTTTTGTCTTAAAGTCTATTTTGCCTGATATTAGAATAGCCACTCCAGTTCTCTTTTGATTTCCATTTGCATGGTATGTCTTTTTCCATTTTTCAACAGTCTTGTATCCTTAAATCTGAAGTGTTCTTGTACATAGCTTGTAATTGGATTATTTATTTTATCCATTCTGATAATCTCTGCTTTTTATTTGGAGTGTTTAATCTATTTACACTTAGTGAAATTACTGATAAGATAGGATGATGTCTACAATTTGGTTTTGGAGTTTTATATGTCTGATATATTATCGTTGTTGTTTTTCCTTTGTTTCACCGTTACTCACTTTTGGGCATTAAATTAGTATTTTTTTACTATATAATTTTAATTTTCTTTTCCCTTTAGTATATTTTCTTGAGTTTTTTCAGTGTTTGCCCTTAGAATTACAATTAACATCTCAAAACAATCTAGTTTGGATTAATACCAAGTTAATTTCAGTAGTATATAAAAACTTTGCTCCAAGATAGTTCATTTCCCTTCTGCCTCCTTTGTGCTGGTTTTATACAAATTACATCTTTATACATTTTAAGCCCACCAACTTATTTTTATAACTATTTCTTTACAAAGTTTTTTTTAATTAGATGGAGAGAAAAGAATTACAAACAAAAACATATATATATATATATATATATATATATATATATATATGTATGTATGTATATATATGTACTGGTTTTTATATTTTGTGTAGTTACCTTTATCAGTGTTCTTTATTTCTTTAAATGGATTTTAGTTACTGTCAGTGCTCTTTCATTTCAGTCCGAAGGACTTCTGTTTTTCTTGAAGGGCAGGTCCACAAGCAACAAACTCTCTGAATTATCAGTTATCTTGCAATGTATTTATTTCACCTTTTTTTAATTTATTTTTTCAGTAACCCAGGACACTGCTTATCCTTCCTTTTTTTTTTGTTTGTTTTTGTTTTGGTTTTTGTTTTTTGAGACAGAGTCTCGCTCTGTCGCCCAGGATGGAGTGCACGGTGCGATCTCAGCTTACCGCAACCTCCACCTCCCAGGTTCAGGCAATTCGCCTGCCTCAGCCTCCTCAGTAGCTGAGATTACAGGCATGTGCCACCACGCCCAGCTAATTTTTTTGTATTTTTAGTAGATACAGGGTTTCACCGTGTTGGTCAGGCTGGTCTTGAACTCCTGACCTCATGATCCACCCGCCTCAGCCTCCCAAAGTTCTGGGATTACAGGCGTGAGCCACGGCACCTGGCCCCTTCCTTTTTTCTTTTTTTAAAGGAGTGTTTTGCTGGATGGTTTGAACTCTTGGTTGAGTCTGCTTTCAACACAATATCAAAAGCATCATCCCGCTAACTTCTGGCCTTCACATTTTTTTATGAGATATCTACTGTTAATCTTATTGAGAATCACTTCTGTGTGATGAGTTTTTTATTCTTGTTGCTTTTGAGATCCTATCTTTGGCCTTCAGTCATTTGACCATGATTTGTCTAGATATGGATCTTTTTTAATCTATTCTACTTGGAGTTGATTTAGCTTGTCAATGTGCAGATTAATGTTTTCCATCAACTTTGGGAAGTTTGGGGTCATTTTTCCCCTTTCTCTGACTCTTCTTCTGGGAGTCCTGTTATGCATATGTTGGTACATTTGATGGCATCCTATAATTCTCTGAGGCTCTGTTCATTTTTGTTCATTCTATTTTCCTTCTGTTCCTCAGACTAAATCATCTCAATTTACTTATCTTCAAGTTTACTGATTCTTCTGCCAGTTTATACCTACTATTGAGTCCCTCTAGTGAATATTGTTCTTTTCAACTGCAGAATTTCACTTGTTTTTTAAAATTATATCTCTATATTGATTTTTTGTTTGTTTGTTTGGTGAGGTACATGTATACTTTCTCTTAATTCTTTAGACAAGGTTTCCTTTAGGTCTTTGAACATACTTATAATAGTATTTAAAATATTTGTCTAGTAAGTCCAACATCTGGGCTTTCTCAGAAGCAATTCTGTTAACTATTTTGCCTCCATATGGAGACATACTTTCCTCTTTCCTTGCATGTTTCGTAATTTTTTGATAAGAGGATATTTGAGATTATATAATGTGGCAAACTGGAAATTAATTTCTCTAGTCCTAACTCATATCACCACCTAAGGCAGGTGCAGTGTTAAACAGTTACCATTAATTGCTTTTGACAAATGCCCTAGGGATATAATCATTCACAGCATGCTGTGAGTCACATCTTAAAAAGATGAGCCCTGGGACATGGTGGTGGGCATCTGTAATCCCAGCTACTTGGGAGGCTGAGGCAGGAGGATCACTTGAACCCGGTAGGCAGAGGTTGCAGTGAGCCGAGATTGCACCACTGCGCTCCAGTCTGGGCAACAGAGTGAGACTCTGGGTCTCAAAAAAAAAAAAAAAAGGAAAGATGAGCTCTGGGAATGGAGCTTTTCAGGGAGCTGCTACACAGGTCATAAAGTGACATTTCTTTGCGATTGGGTTTTAGAGGTGCTCCAGACCCATTCTGCCCTGTCTAGTAACTGCTAGGCTGCTAGTTTTCACAGCAGCCATAGTTGTGAGATTGTTGACTTGTAAGGATACCACGGAGTTGGCAAGGGGATGATAAGAATAGAGAAAATTAAAATTCCACAAAGCTTGCTGTTTTTACTGTTATTTGGCTGTTATTCTTAAAATCACACTCCTGAGATTATTGCAAGCCTTTAGTTAGTTTTCAGAGTTCTGATAAAGTTGATTTTGACAGTTAATCCCAGTGTTCTTGCATTGTTGGAGGAGCCCATTTCACTGCTTCACTGTTCTGGAAGTGATTCCCCTTTACTCATTTATCCTTAAGCTCAGAGTTTTCCATTTGTTTCTGAAGATTCTATTTGCTACTTTCTATTTAGCCATTGAAAATGCTTTTTGATAAGTTTTAGAGTCCCCTAATCAACTGTCTACATTTCCTTATGTATCACAATTAGAATTATATGCTAACGTGCTAACGCAGGGATATTTCTCTTTTCTTTTTCTTTCTTTTTTTTTTTTTTTTTTTGAGATGGAGTTTCACCCTTGTCACCCAGGCTGGAGTTCAGTGGTGCGATCTCAGCTCACTGCAACCTCCGCCTCCCAGGTTCAAGTGATTCTCCTGCCTCAGCTTCCCGAGTAGCTGGGATTACAGGTGTGCGCCACCATGCCGGCTAATTTTTTTTGTATTATTAGTAGAGACAGGGCTTCACCACGTTGGCCAGGCTGGTCTCGAACTCCTGACCTCAGGTGATCCACCCACCTCGGCCTCCGAAAGTGCTGGGATTACAGGCGTGAGCCACCGCGCCCAGCCAGGGATGTTTTCTACTATGCTTCTTCATTATCCTTTCTCTTATTATATCCTTATCTTCTTCCCCATAAACCAAATGCTCATATGCATGTACGCGAACTTCTCCTAGAATATTTGGATTGACTTTGGAATTAGATAAGCCTCGGTATTTTAGTAAAATAAGCAGTTAATTACTGATATCTGGCTATCCTCTTTCTCATTTAATTTTAGTACTCAAGATTTCTTCACAGCCTTTTTTTTTTTTTTTTCTTTTTGAGACAGAATCTCACTCTGTAACCCAGGCTGGAGTGCAGTAGCAACATCATCACGGCTCACTGCAGCCTTGACCTCCTGGGTTCAAGCAGTCCTCCTACCTCAGCCTCCTGAGTAGCTGGGACTGCAGATGCACACCACCACACCTAGCTGATTTTTTTAATTTTTTTGTAGAGATAGGGGTCTCACTTTGTTGCCCAGGTTGGTCTCAAACTCCTGGGCTCAGGTGATCCTCCCTCCTTGACCTCCCAAAGTGCTGAGATTACAGGCATGAGCCACTGCACTTGGCCTCTTCACAGCCTTTCCACAGTAACTTTCTTCTATCATTTTAGTAATTTCCTGCACCCTAAATACCAACTTCAGTAACCAAATGGACAGAAATGTTAATGTGTACATATGTATGTATGTTAATATATACATATATGTGTATGTGGTACATGTATGCTGCCACCTTGGTCTAATTTCAATTTCCCATGTAGCTTGCTTGTTTGGTGGCCTCAACAAATTGTGAGTGAGAAATTAGTATGAAGAAAAGTACTTTGTTGATCTTCTTCAGGTGTCTTCATTATTAATAAAGAAATGCCAAGTCTTTAAGACCCTTTTTTTTTGGCATAATTTTAAGGAAAGTGACAAGCAGTGAACCAAGCAGGTTTGTGTTCCCATGGTTCCATGAGGGCTTATAATGTAAGTCTAGTGATTAAGAAGAGCATAGACGTGGGAGAAAAGCAGACTTGCTTACATCTCTATTCTGCTAAACTGTGTAACTTAAAAATAACAGTTATTTTAGTTTATAGTTAAGGAAACTAAGGCATGATAAATACTAAATGGGGTAGTTATGAATATATGTGTATGTGTGTGTGTATATGTGCACACACATATATGTATAGTATAAAATGGTTAACACCTTCCTGACACATAGCAAGCATTAAGTAAATGGTAGATACCTATATTCCTAAATATATCTAGACAGATACACAGGCATGTCTATAATGTATCAGATGATTAATAGTAACAGTAAATGAACATCAATGCTGAGAGAAAACCCAACTGAGGTCTGTATGATTGTTTTAGAGCTAATGAGTTCTAAAACCTTGGTTGAATAAAATTAAAGCATCTAAATGAGATGTTTAAGAAACAGAATATCTCATAAGATACAGGAGATTATTGTAAAGGCAGGGTCTCACTTTGTCATCTAGGCTGGAGTGCAGTGGCATGATCTCAGCTCACTGCAGCCTCGACTTCCAGGGCTCAAGCTATCCTCCTGCCTCAGCCTCCCAAGTAGCTGGGACTACAGGCATGCATCACCATGCCTGGTTAATTTTTGTATTTTTAGTAGAGACAGGGTTTCACCATGTTGTCTAGGCTTGTCTCGAACTCCTGGACTCAAGCGATCCGCCCACCTCAGCCTCCCAGAGTGCTGGGATTTACAAGTGTGAGCCACCACCCCCAGCCCAGGCTACACTAAATTTATTTAAAAATTAATTGTGCTGTGACATTATGACAGCTATAATGTAAGAAGGCAATAGGAATTTTTCAGCTCCATTATCATATGGGACCACTGTCATATATGCAGTACGTCATTGACTGAAATGTTATTATGTAGTGTATGTCTGTATTTATAAATATGGAATTTTTTTTTTTTTTTTTTTTTTTTAGACGGAGTTTCGCTCTAGTCATCCAGGGTGCAGTGCAGTGGTGCGATCTTGGCTCACTACAACCTCTGCCTCCTGGGTTCAAGTGATTCTCCTGCCTCAGCCTCCTGAGTAGCTGGGACTACAGGCGTGCTCCACCACGCCCAGCTAATTTTTCTATTTTTAGTAGAGATGGGGTTTCACCATGTTGGCCAGGCTGGTCTCAAACTCCTGACCTCAGGTGATCCACCCACCTAGGTTGGGATTACAGGCGTGAGCCACCACGCCGGTCCTGTTTATATATTTCTAAAATGTTTTATAACTAATGAAACTGTATCTGTAAATCATGAGTAGGATGTTATTTACAAATACTTGGATTTATTCTCATTTAAAAATATTGTCTGTGTCTATTACTAGTAATTTTACATTTGCTTACAGCTTACAGTTCATTAAGAGAATTTAAAATAATTCATTATACTTTTCTGAAATAATTCATGCACAAATTATTATTTTAATATTATATATCTGCATGCACCTTGGTACTATTTATTAGCAACATAAAAGTAGAAAAACAGAAGAGTAACTTGTACAAATGTTAGAGGTACCCTTTTTTTTGAAAAGGAATACCAAACCAAATACAATGTAACATCCCAAAAAATGGAAGCTCTCTGAGAGTGGTTTTTTTTTTTAAATTTCTTTTATTCATTATTCTCTCCTTAGCCTGTAAGAGATTTGATAATAGGTAACTGATGATTGTTGTTGGATGAACAGATTCAATTTTTAAAGTTTGCATATTTTTCTATTTTAAAATTTGGCTAATCTTTAAGAGATTGTAAGGAAACCTAAAAATTATATACTATACTCCTAGTTGCAGTTTGAGCATAAGATTGTTGAAAAAAAATGACAAAGTAGATGTTAAATTGACCAAATCTGGAGCTAGTGAGCATTTCAGTGTGACATGTGGGAAACTAAGCAAGATAAGTAAAGCTAATAACTCAGAAAGCAAGAGTAGGTTAATTTCGTAAGTTTGGCCAGTAACATTCTAAGATTCGACTTTATATTTTAAATTATCTTTCTTACCCATTCAGTTACTACTTGATATGTGCAGAAATAAGTATATATGTCTTATAAAGTAGACCAGTAAAATAAAGTATTAACTAAACGTTAGGTACATCAGAATTGCTGAAAGACTTGCTAAAACACAGATTACTGGGCCATCCCCAGAATTTATGATGCACTTGATTTGGAATAGGGCCCAAGAATTTACATTTCTAACAAGTTTCCAGGTGATGTTGCTGCTGCAGGTCTGGGGAATACGTTTTGAGAACCCTAATCTAAATCAGTGATTCATAATTTTCTTTTTATAGTGAGCAGATTATCCCTCCCAAGAAAGAAAATGAAAATACACTATGATTTTTTCTTCTCTTAACAAATCTGTAGTCCAATGTATAAAGGTCTGCAGAATTCTCTTGATTTATTTTTAGGGAATAGCCAATAAAAAGATGTTATTTTAGAAACTTTTTCAATGTAATACCGATTATTTCTTATAATAAAGTATGTGAATTGTGATTCGCAGTAAGAAAAGGTTTAATTCATACCAATTGTCTTAGTCTGTTTGGGCTGCTGTAACAAAATACCATAGACCGAGTGACTTATAAATGACTGAAGTTTATTTCTCACATTTCTGGAGACTGGGAAGTCCAAGCTCAAGGGACTGGCAGATTTGATGTCTGATGAGGGCTCATTTCCTGGTTCATAGATGACATCATCATGCTGTGTCTTCACAAGTGGAAAGGGCAGGGAAGCTCTCTGGGGTTTCTTTTGTAAGGGCTTTAATTCCATTCCTGCCTTCATGACCTAATCACCTCCCAAAGGCCCCATCATCACATCGATGATTAAGTTTCAACATATGAATTTGAGGGGCACAAACATTCAGATGATATCACCATCATATAAAAATGAGCTTTCACATGTAAAGTAGCTTTATTTTTGAAGCCCAAAGGTCAAGTTCAGTCTAACTTGGAAAGTCATCCCTATTTGTCAAAGAATAAGAAAAGTATTTCCAAATGGTGAATTCAGAGGAAATGCTTTATCGTTATTGTTGTCTAATATTACTAAGAGGCTTTTCCTATATATTATTGCAGCAATCAGACAAAAGCTTTTTCAGTTAATGTGTGATCACAAACAATAAAGCTATGATGTTATCCAATAAATTAATATTTTCAATTTACCTTAAAATCTATGAATGCTGTTCTTTTGATATAATTGAGTACTTAGTTTGGTAAAATTTTAAAGCTGGAAGGTATACCATATATCATCTTGTCTAGACCTCTTATTTTACAGATATATAATCTGAGTACTTAAACCTTGGAGGCCTACACAGGACTGGAAACTCATTCTCTTGATTTCTAGTTTGGTATTCTTTCCAACACCTTTAGTCATTATTTTATCAGAAGATATCTGGAATTAAATGCTTTCAAATGCTTGTTTGAAGTTTTTAAGTTTCACTTATCGTTGCATTATACAGCAAGATAGGAACAGATCATTTATCTGATACAGAGGCAATAAACTGTGTGCAATTATTTACTTTCTTTATCTTTGTTTTCTTAATCTATTATTATCCAGATAAGATCAGTTAAAAATAATAGGACCTTGATTTCTTTTTTATAAATATCTTTAGGGTTGTCCCTGGATATAATGGTAAGGGACTGTATGTTTCTACCACATGATGCTAGAAATAGGGCTATATGTTTCTTTATTCCTCTTATGAAATAAAATATAGTCCTAGTGTCACTATTAGTAAAGGAAGCATTTTAATATTTAATAATGTGCTTCTGTACAATTCAGGATTTATTGTTAAATTTGGTTTTCTACAAATATTTTTTATCTTTGACATTATTGAGAAATGAGACTTTCTTAAAGCGTATTTTATTTCACTTTTTAAATAATTACTAAAATATTACTTTATATTTGGCTCTATATTAAATGGTAATAATTGTACCAGTAATCCTAAGGAGTACCCTGAAGTCTTTGGCTGAGTGCTGATCTGCACATGTGTGGAGCAAAACTTCGTAAGAAAAGGACCATCAGAGAGTAGAAGACACAACAACAGGATGGCAAAAATTCGCATTTCTGATAGCCAGAATGATAAACCTTCTGTCAGAAGACAAAATTATAATACATTTAAAGATCTTAATTGGCTTATTTGCCAGAATGGGGCAGCATTTCATTCCATAAAATAGAATATATGTTCCAGTGAGCTGAGCAAAAGAAGTTGGTTTTATAGACAGAGAAGGAACGGGGGGAGAAACAAAGAATAAAGAGCAGATTGGTTTTTTAAAGTTCCTTTCCTTGTATATCAGGAAAAGGAAAACAGAATAACAGAAGAATAACTGGTTAACTTCAGGTTACTTTTTGTTGTCAAGATTAAAACAGAGGGAGCTTCATTACCATACTGGTTGGAAATTTAAACTGGCCTGTTTGGGAAGTTGGCTCTCTTTCTCTCCCAATTTCTTGGAAGGTGAATTAACAAGTTAGTTTTGGTTTGATGACATAGAACTTCAGCACGAGTGACTTCATTTTGATTGTTAGTCTGGTCTGTTGGGGCCTAGTTCAGGAGCTTAGTCCAATGGCTTGTAATTTTTATTCAATATTCAATATACCTGGGGCATCAGGTAGAATCATCAGGAAGGTCACACCTTGATAGTGGGGTTAATTTATCCCTAGAGTAAAGTCTTCTCTGAATATGCTCTATCAAAACCTAAACCTGGGCCAGGAGCGGTGGCTTACGCCTGTAATCCCAACACTTTGGAAGCCGAGGCAGGCAGATCACGAGGTCAGGAGATCGAGACCAGCCTGACCAACGTGGTGAAACCCCATCTCTACTAAAAATACAAAAATTAGCTGGGCATAGTGGTGCACGCCTGTAATCCCAGCTACTCAGGAGGCTGAGGCAGGAAAATCGCTTGAACCCGGGAGACGGAGGTTGCAGTGAGCCAAGACTGCACCACTGCACTCCAGCCTGGGTGACAGAGTGAGACTCCGTCTGAAAAAAAAAAAAAAAAACCTAAACCTGAAAACGGATATCAAGTAATGGCATGCCAGACCAAGGTCCAACACTCTTTAAAGAAATAGAAGAAAATCCAGCACTCACCAAAGTAAAAATCGTGTCTATTAGTTTCCTAGGGCTGTTGTAGCAAACTACCACAAACTTGGTGGCTTAAAACCTAAGACATTTATTCATTCACAGTTCTGGAAGCCCGGAGTCTGAAATCAGGTTAGTCAAGGAGAAAGCATAAAGAAGGTGGTGGGATCCAGATGCCATATTGCCTTATTAGACTGGCACAGAGAAGTTCCCAAATGATTATGGGCCCAATTGAAGTAGGGCTGAAGGAAAAAGTGCTCAAGCGTGTGAATTTATTCAGTGCTTAGCTTGTCGAATGACTTGGAGGTATTACGAACATCAATTATTGGATTGCATTGTGGATAAAACTGTAAGGAACAGCTATGCTGCTGAACTCTACTGGTTGGTGTTCCCTCAGTACACTGGTTTCATTGACCAGGCGTCACTGAGAATTCTTCAGAGACCACTATAATAATATTTAATCCCTTGAAAGATAATACAGAAAGGAATTCCCCTAATGTCTTACAACAGCCTGGCAGACTCTGCCTAAATCAAGAAATGGTGTTTCCAGCAGTGCTGGAAAAGAGTGAAAATAGTGTGTCAAAAAAACAAAACTTGCCAATCCAGTGACACTGAGACCATGATTATGACCAAGCAACCCCTCAAGCTTTGAGAAAAAGAAGAACTCTATTTCAAATATGTGAACAGTGGTCAAAATTTGACCACGTGGATTTTGTGAAACATCTCTTTTTCTAGTCCTGTCATTACCAAGATGGACATATTAGCTCGTGTCTTTAAACTTCTGTCACAGAAAGATTTCTTAATTACTCTGTCAGCTCAAGATTTGAGTCATATTGCTGAAGATATTCTCCTACATGCCAAACCACAGGGTGCAAGAAATGGTATGTTATAAAAGACACTCATCAAAAGAATGGTCAAGAAAGATATTTCTATAGTGATGCCTGACTGAACAAGGAGAAAATAGACTGTTACTTCAGAACAAACCTCTGGATAGGACTGTGCCACCTAACTGCTTTATAGAACTTTAATTTATTATAAAATATTGAAATAATAAAATCTAATTGGACATAGGGAAGTTATGATTTACTCACAATCCACTGCCAAATTAACACAAGCAAAGAAGTTTACTACATACAATATGATGATCAGAAGACAGTAAGTGATCTTCATATGAGAAGTTCACAGCACATTGGATAAAAACGCTGAAATACAAGCAGATTCCCGTGAGCCACGCTGTTTTTGTCCTTCAGTGTGTTAAGGGAATAATCCTAACTGAATGGTTAGATTCGGCTGCCGGCATGTGGACAGATGGTAGCATGTGAAACCACCCTGATTCCTCATTGCGTAGCAATTCTGTACAGTCATACCTTGAAGATATTGCCGGTTTGGTTCCAGACCACTGCAATACCGTGAATATCACAGTGAAACAAGCCACACAAATTTGGGGGTTTCTCAGTACATAGAAAACTATGTTTAAAACTATGTTTACTGTAGTCTATTAAGTATGTAGTAGCACCATGTCTAAATGATCAGTGTACATACGTTAGTGAAAAAAATACTTGATTGCTAAAAAATACCAATGATCATCTCAGCCTTCAGCAAGTCATCTTTTTACTGGAGGCAGGTCTTGCCTCAGTGTTGATGGCAGCTGACTGACCAGACTGATAGTTGCTGAAGGTTGTGGTGACTGTGGCAATTTCTTAAAATAAGACAAAAATGAAATTTGCCACATCGATTGACTCTTCCTTTCACAAAAGATTTCTCTGTAGCATGTAGTGCTGTCTGATAGCATTTTACCCAAAGTAAAACTTTGAGAATTGGATTCAGTACTCTCAAACCCTGCTGCTGCTTTATCAACTAAATTTATGTGATATTCTAAATCCTCTGTTATTTCAGCAAGAGTCACAGCATCTTCACGAGGAGTAGATTCCATCTGAAGAAACCACTTTCTTTGTTCATCCATAAGAAAGAACTCTTTATCCATTCGTTTTATCATGAGATTGCAGCAATTCAGTCACGTGTTCAGGCTCCACTTCTAATTCTAGTTTTCTTGCTGTTTCCACCAAATCTCCAGTTACTTCCTCCACTGAAGTCTTAAAACCCTCAGAGTCATCCATGAGGGTCAGAATAAACCTTCCACACCCCTGTTAATGTTGACAATTGGATGTCCTCCTATGAATCACAAATCTTCTTAATGTCATCTAGAATAGTGCATCCTTTCCAGAAGGTTTTCAACTTACTTGCTCGTATTCATCAGAGGAATCACTGTCTATGTCAGCTATGGACTTAAGAAATACATTTCTTAAATAACAAAACCTGAAAGTCAAAACTACTCCTTGATCCATGGGCTGCAGAATGGTTGTTGTTGTAGCTGGCATGAAAACAACATTTATCTCCTTGTGCATCTCCATCAGAGCTCTTTGGTAGACCAGTGAGAAGTAATATTTTGAAAGGAATCTTTTTTTCTGAGCAGAAGGTCACAAAGCAGTAGGGCTTAAAATATTCATTAAACTGTGCTGTAGATGGATGGGCTATCATCTAGATTTGTTCTTCCATTTATAGAGGAGAGACAGAGTAGATTTAACATAATTCTTAAGGGCTCTGGGATTTTTGAAATGGCAAATGAACACTGGCTTCAACTTGAAGTCACCAGCTGTATTAGTTCCTAGCAGGAGAGTCAGCCTGTTCTTTGAAGCTTTTAAGCCAGTCATTGACTTCTCCTCTCTAGCTATGAAAGTCATAGACGGCATCTTCTTCCAATATAAGTCTGTTTAAATCTCCATTGAGAAAATCTATTCTTTAGTATAGCCACCTTCATTAGTGATCTTACCTAGAGCTGGATAACTTGCTGCAGCTTGTACCTCAGCACTTGCAGCTTCACCTTGCACTTTTATGTTACGGAGATGGCTTCTTTCTTCACACTTCATGAAGCAACCTCTGCTAGCTTCCAACTTTTCTTCTGTAGCTTCCTCACGTTTCTCAGCCTTCATAGAATTGAAGAGAGTTAAGGCTTTGCTCTGAATTGGATTTTGGCTTAAGAGAATGTTGTGGCTTGTTTGATCTTCTATCCAGACCACTAAAACTTCCATATCAGCAATAAGGCTGTTTTGCTTTCTTATCATTCATGTGTTCACTGGAGTAGCACTTTTAATTTCCTTCAAGAACTTTTCCTTTGTATTCATAACTTGACTGTTTGGCACAAAATGCCAGTTTTTTGCTTCTATCAGCTTTCTACATCCCTTCCTCACTAAACTTAATCATTTCTAGTTTTTTATTTAAAATGAAGGACTTGCAACTCTTTTCATTTGAACACTTAGGGGCCATTATAGAGTTATTAATTGGCCTAATTTCAATACCATTATATCTCAGGGAATAGGAAGCCCAAGGAGAAGGGGAGAGAGACCTGGTGGTAGGGGGTAAGAGGGTGGAGGTTGGTTGGTGAAGCAATCAAAACATACACAACATTTATCAATTAAGTTATTGTCTTCTATGGCTATGGTTTATGGCACCCCAAAAGAATTACATTGGTAGCATCAAAGATCACCTATCATAGATCACCATAACAGATATAATAATAAAGGAAAAATTTGAACTGTTGTAAGAATTACCAGAATATGACACACAGACACAAGTAAGCACATGCTGTTGGAAAAAAATGGCCTTGATAGACTTGCTCAATGCAGGGTTGCCACAAACCTTCAGTTGGCAAAAAAATGCAGTATCTACATGTTTGGGAAAAACTTTCCAACCATGTTTTCACTGTGTTCTCACACCACAATTAACACAGAAGACTTCCATGACCAGCTAGATGTACTCCAATTCAATTCTAGTACCCTCTACTTGAAGACAGTGTCGGATCCCACAGGTTGAGGGCTCAGTCCCCAAGACTGCCCCCCACCCCAGGCACCATTCACAAGTACAGGCTTCCAGAACTTTTGACCAACCGGCTTCAAGTTGGGGTTCCCACAACCCCCTCTTCCAGTTCACTTAATTTGCTGGAGTAACTCATGGAACTCAGGGAAACACTTACTTATATTTACTGATTTATTACAAGGCATGTTGCAAAGGAAACAGATGAAGAGATACGTAGAGCGATCTATGAAGGAAGGAGGGGAAGCTTCTTTGACCTCCCTGGGGCATGACTCTCCTGGAACCTCCATTTGTTCAGCTATTTGGAAGCTCTGCTAACCCAGTCCTCTTAGGTTTTTGTGGAAGCTCCGCGACATCAGCATTCCTTCCTCCAGGGTAGAGGGGGGAAGGACCCTCTGATTGCTCATAAGACCTACAGTCAGAAAGGTAGGGGGTGGTGATTAGAGCCCTACCTTGGGGCAGGTAAAAGGAGAGCAGAAGGAGATCAGAGACATTCTGTTTTCTGAGGCCTGCCCCTAAGGCCTAACATACCCACCATTAAACCAAAAAACTGTAACAAGGGATATGGGAGTTATGAACCAGGACCTGCAAACAGAAACATAATACATATTATAACACCACACTGTGAAATACAATAAAATGAGGTCTGCGTGTACTTGAATGTCAACAATGGTATTACGATGACATGCTCCAATTTCTTTGCTTTAGAGAACGTAGCCTCACCAGTCATCACCCTCCCAAGGATGCTGGTTGTAGAGTTTTATGACAAAGACATTTCTACATCCGGAGATGACAGCTTAATAGTGTGGAAAACGGTTCTGTAAGTTGCTGAGGACCTGAAATGGATACAAGTGAGGCATTACACATTTGTAGTTTTAGGCTGGGGTGGTAGTAAGTGGTTCATCTGACACCATCAGGTTTAAAAGTGTACTAGCCTGCTAGGGCTGCCCTAACAAAATACCACAGACTGGGTGGTTTTGCAGAAATTTATTTTCTCAGTGTGTTATGTATATGTATGTCGACTGCTACTCATCCATTTTAAAAAGTATGAAATAATGTATTTTGCAGCAACCTGTATGGGAATGGGACCATTATCCTAAGTGAAGTAACTCACGAACAAAAAACCAAATACTACGTGTTCTCACTTAAAAGTAGGAGCTAAGCTACACAAAGGCATACAGAGAGGTATAATGGACATTGGAGAGTCAGAAGAGTGGAAGGAGGGTGGGAGAGGGATGAAGAATGAAAAATTACCTGTCGGGGGCCAGGTGCAGTGGTTCACGTCTGTAATCCCAGCACTTTGGGAGGCCAAGGCAGGCGGATCACCTGAGGTCAGGAGTTTGAGACAGCCTGGCCAACGTGGTGAAACCCCATCTCTACCTCAAATACAAAAATTGGCTGAGCATGGTGGCGGGTGCCTGTAATCCCAGCTACTCAGGAGGCCAAGGCAGGAGAATAGCTTGAACCCGGGAGGCAGAGGTTGCAGTGAGCCGAGATGGCGCCACTGCACTCCAGCCTGGGCAAGAGAGCAAGACTCTGTCTCAAAAAAAAAAAAATTACCTGTGGGGTACAGTGTATACTATTTACATGACAGGTACACTGAAAGCCCAGACTTCACCACTGTACAATTCATCCATGTAACCAGAAACCACTTGTACCCCTAAAGCTATTGAAATAATTTTTTTAAAAAAGAAGAAGAAGAAGAAATTTATTTTCTCACAATTCTGGAGGCTAGAAGACCAAGATCAAGGTGCTAGCACAGTCGGTTTCTCCTACTGCCTCTCCTGCTGGCTTGCAGATGGCCACTTTCTCACTGTATCTTCCTCTTATAAAAATGCCAGTCCTGTTAATCCAGGCCCCACCCCTATGATTTCATTTAACATGAATTACCTCCGTAAAGGCCATGTCTTCAAATACATTCACATTGGGAGCTAGGACTTCAACCTATGAATTTTGAGTGACACAATTCAGTCCATAACAGTCACAGAATGCAGAACATGTTTACAGATACTAGTGGGCCATGCAAAATTGATGTGTGTATTTGGTTCTGTAAGAGAATAATCAGTAGGTACTGTAATAGAAAAGGTGTAATGTGGGCTCTCATAGGCTTTTTGGACCCCTGTGCCTCTGAAGGGATTCTTTTATCAAGACACCCCTGTGTGTAAAATTCAGGAAAATTTTTCAGACTTCACTTGATAAGCTTCAGACTTTCCGAGGTTCACACAGTGACACAGCCTGATGTAGGATTTCGTAAGTGATTCTGTTGCCTAAGCTGAATCCTTCCCAGCAGCCACCTAGGGCTCCAGACAAATAAGCATACATTAATCTCATCTTTGCATGAGACTCATTAAAGTTGTGTTTTGTACCACACCCAGGATAAGGAACAACAGGAACAAACCATCACAGAGTTTCCTGGAACTAGGGGAAGAGAAAGAAAGAAGGGAAGGAAGGAAAGAGATTGAGACTGGGTTTAAGTCTTGATTCTATCACTTACTAGTTTACTTGACTTTAGAGAAGTTCCTAAATTTCTCTGGACATCAAATACCTCTTTTGTAAAATGGAAATAAAGATACATGGCCTGACCAAGTTGTCATAAGGATTAAGCAGAATAACACCTAAACAGCTAGCATGGTATCGAGAACATGGTGAGCACTCAGCACATTTTAATTAGCTTTCCTCTCCTATGATAGTACCAGGTAAGAGACTGAAAGAGAAATTTGGAGAACAAAGAGAAAAGTTAAAGTTCCGCTTGTATGTAAGTGACTTAACATCAGTATACTAAAATTATAACTTGTGGCCGGACGCAGTGGCTCACGCCTGTAATCCCAGCACTTTGGGAGGCCAAGGCGAGCAGATCACCTGAGGTCAGGAGTTCGAAACCAACCTGACCAACATGGAGAAACCCCGTCTCTACTAAAAATACAAAAATTAGCCAGGCGCGGTGGTGGGCGCCTGTAATCCCAACTACTCAGGAGGCTGAGGCAGGAGAATCGCTTGAACCCGGGTGGCGGAGGTTGCAGTGAGTGTAGATCACACCAGTGCACTCCAGCCTGGGCGACAGAGCCAGACTCCATCTCAAAAAAAAAAAAAAAAATTGTAATTTGTAAACCTTAAATAACACCCTGCATCGCATGTTGTAAATTAGATACTATGCTAAGCTGTACAATAGGCATTGCATTTGAGCCAGTTGAATTAAATTATCATTACTGCCCTTATATGGTGACAGCAGTTAAGTCCAAACTCATTCGTTAGAATTGCCTGATGTGTTAATAAATATTGTTAAATGGATTAAAAGGTATCAGAAACAGTTATGTGAACTGTAATGGAATCCTCTGGTTAAAACCTTTCTGTGCCTTTCCATTGGCCATATTATTGAGTCTGAACTTTATCAACATGCATGATCTGAGCCCTGCTTACTCCATGAGCCTCAGCTTCTCCTAACCTTCTATCTCAGCTCTCACGTCTAATGCCGGGTTCCCACCACATGGGACTCTTAGGTTTCTCTTCCCTGGACTCTCACGTGCTGTGCACACTGAGACATGCTATAAATATATATATATATATATATATGTATATATAACTATATATGTAATTTTCCATTACATATGTAGTTGTATAACCTATACATTTTCAGATACTGTTTAAGTAGAGGGGAAAACAGCATAAATGTATTATTTAGTATAGATGTTATTATGTCCTACTTTATACAGTGTATCAGATCTAAATCTAAAATGAATTGAGGTCTTCCTGCCTTTAACTACTATAAGGGATTTTTTTCTTCTTCTTTTTTTTTAGAGACAAGGTCTTCCTGCGTCACCCAGGCTGAAGTGTAGTAGTGCAGTCATAGCTCACTGCAGCCTCCAAACCCTGGGGCTCAAGTGATCCTCCCACCTCAGCCTCCTGAGTGCTAGGACTGCAGGCACACACTACCACAGCCAACTAATTTTTTTTGTTGTTTTTTTATATAGAGATGGAGGTCTGGCTTTGTTGCTCAGGTTGATCTCTAACTCTTGGCTTCAAGCAGTCCTCCTGCCTCGGCCTCCCAAAGTGCTGAGACTACAGGCATGAGCCACCATGCCCAGCCAAGGATTTTTAAATGCCTGTGCAGCCACTGCCATATCATTTTGACTTGGGTTTTCAAAAGAAAAGGAAGTCAAATATAATGATTATTGTAACACAAAGAAGAGGATTCTCATGAAAAGGCTTTTCCTCTTAAATTCGTATCAAGTAAAAATAACTTATATGGATACTTTTTAAAGATAGAAGGCTTAAGTTGTTGATATAAAACATCAAAAAATATGTATGTGTGTAGAGAAATTTATCTCAAAAAAAGACATTAACAGTAAACCAAGCAATACAATCAGATTGTTCCATTGAGTTTTTCCTTTTTGTAAAACTGTAGACCTTCTGAAGAATTTTTTTTCAGATGCATCTGCTTAGCACAGAGAATGAGACATAAAGGTAGTATAAAACAATTCTAAAAAAGTAAATGGTGTGTGAGCTTTTTTTTATTTGCTTCACAAGTAATTTACTTTAAAAAATTAACATCTGCTATTTTGAAGCTAATCTTAGTGTATTGAATGCTCGTAACCATTTCTCAATCCCACAGTCTTTTATCTTGCTTCTCCTGCTGTGTTCCCACCACCCCTCATCCCATTAGCAAACCTTGAGACAGCCTCACACTTACCAAAGTACTGCTTTGGTTTCAGCTGCTCTTCTGCAAGAGGAAGTGAATGTTGGGGGTTTTCTCTGTGGTACAGTTGTGATAAAGCTGTGGTGGTCTTATCTCTCTCTTAGGTAGTGGCTCTTTATGACTACACAGCGAATCGATCAGATGAACTAACCATCCATCGCGGAGACATTATCCGAGTGTTTTTCAAAGATAATGAAGACTGGTGGTATGGCAGCATAGGAAAGGGACAGGAAGGTTATTTTCCAGCTAATCATGTGGCTAGTGAAAGTAAGTTTTATGCTCCCTTCCTGGTTTACTAGTATGGTATAACTGATAGTCCAAGATTTTATCATTTTCTAGTCTTTAATTTACTGTCTTTGTAACCTTTGCATATGTTTACCAATGGGTATTGTTTTTCATTCTCATGATGTAAAAAAATAAAAAGAGGAGGCACTAGTACATTAGAAGCTGCTCCATTCTGAGATTGGAATGTTTGTTTCATGGACTTCTTATCCTCGGGGACCCTGCCCCTCTAGCTACCAGCTTTCTTATTCAACTCATTTGACCCTGCCACCTGCCTCATGCACAGTTCTGTCAGTTCTTCTCTAGCCACAGTGCCTCCTCAGCTGACTGGCATCTTAAGAGCTTCTAGTTCCCCAACTGCATTCTTTTACTTTGTATACCTCAGTCCTATCTGGTTACCTGTGAAAACAAAACTACAATAAGTTGTTTCATTCTCAAGTAAATTTAGCCCTCATTTATGGGGGAAAAAATGAGCCAGAGCTGAAAATATGTAAGCACAAAGTTGATAAATGACAATTATTTAAAAGTTATGTGCACGTGTTGACAAAGCCTAGAACTTACCATGTGATGTGACAAGACTGTATGAACCTTTCTTGTATTTTAATTTCTACTTCGTGTTTTAATAATGGTTTTTGTTCATTAAATAATAGCTTAAAATGAAAAAAAAAAGAGCTAGGGAAGAAAATCTAAATATGAGTTTCTGAAAGCTGTAGATTCACCACTAGGCCTTGAGAGGTGAAAACAGAACGAACGCAGAGAGCCTGAAAACAAAAATAATAATAACTTAAAACTGTCATTAAAGGGGAGAAGTACAGTAGTGCTTCTTGAGAAGAATGCATTCTATCCACAATTAACTTGATAGCATGCTAGGAAAAGCACAACACTCAGGGGTCAGGAAAACTGACTTCTAACCTCAGCTCAACATCTTACACTCATACGCCCCAGTTACCTTCTGTAAAATGAAGGAATTAAATGATATTATCTGTAAGCTTTTCTTCTGTAAGCACAAAAATTCTGGTTCTGATTCAAAATGTAGTATAGGCGGGCCAGGCACTGTGGCTCACGCCTGTAATCCCAGCACTTTGGGAGGCCGAGGCAGGCAGATCACTTTAGGTCAGGAGTTCGAGACCAGCCTGGCCAACATGGCAAAACCTTGTCTCTACTAACAATACAAAAAATGAGCCAGGCGTGGTGGTGGGCACCTATAATCCCAGCTACTTGGGAGGCTGAGGCGGGAGAATCGCGTGAACCCGGGAGGCAGAGGTTGCAGTGAGCCAAGATCGTGCCACTGCACTCCAGCCCAGCAACAGAGCAAAACTCTGTCTCAAAAAAAAGAAAAAAAAGTTGTAGTATAGGCAGCCTTGAAATTGAGAACAATCTGTGTTTTGAATATTTAAGTCTTTTGTTTCTGCAAAGAAATAATTATTATAAATAATAATTGGTTTTCAGGCTAGTCCATGAAACTGTTTAACCCAAAACTACGACTAAACAAAAATATTATTGATTCTAACCTAAGTTTTCAATTTTGACAGCCAAAGAGATGAAGGAATGGAAGAATTTCCTTCGTGATTACCGGATGCTGGGCTAAGCCTAGATAAAATTATCTGTCTTTGGCACCTTCCCACGACCTTGTCTTCAGCCAGGTCCTTCCCATTGCTCCCCTCCCCAGTCTCTCAAGTGCCCTAAGTCCCATTGCAGCTCCCTTCTTCAGTTTATCTGCCACAGTCAGCAGACTCCTCCCCTAAAAAGTTCTATGTGTCTCAAAAATTGTACCACTTCTCACTCTCATAAAATTCTTAATGTCTTCTGTGTAGCTGTTTTAGTTACCTTCTTGTAAGTAGTGAATGACATATAACTTTTTTTTTCTTTCTTTCTTTTTTTTCTGAGACGGGGCCTCACTTTGTCACCCAGGCTAGAGTGCAGTGATGCAGTCACGGCTCACTAAAGCCTTGACCTCCCGGGCTCAAGCAGTCCTCCCATCTCAGCCTCCTGAGTAGCTGGAACTACAGGGGCATGCTACCATGCCCAGCTGATTTTGACACATAACTCTTAAACTCTGTTAGAGGTATATTTTTGTGTTTAGAAGAGGTTGTGTAATGGAAAAAACATAGGCCGTATGAAAGGAAGAAATTTTAGGGCAAGTTAATTCCCATGTAGGTATAAGACAGCATATAAGTTCCATAAGCTCAGCACTTCTAACTTCCAGATCATCTAAAATAGCCAAGTTCCTTCTTCTCATTGTTGGGTCTCCCACAGGGTCAACAGCTGAGGTTAAACAGGAGTAGCTTCTGTTTAAATCAAGCTTTTTAAATCAAGAGCTGCTGGCACAATGGTAGTCACTCTGGAGTATGCCTCATTTTAACGAAATATTACAATCCATTACTCTTTTCATGTACAAATGGAAATATTTTTTAAATTTTCTCCCTTGTGTATCTCTAGGCAGGGTGGGATTAAGTGCTTTAATTTGAGAATGTAGTTTACAAAAATAACCTCTTAGGCTTGCAGATCTTGAGAGGATATAGATATTTGAGCTACAGTGAATTAAAAAGCTAATGAGGCCAGATGCAGCAGCTCATACCTGTAATCCCAACACTTCAGGAGGCTGAAGAGGGAGGATCACTTGACGCCAAGAGTTTGAGACCAGCCTGGGCAATATAACAAGACTCCATCTCCACAAAAGATAAATTTTTTTTAAAAGCTAATAAAATTTGTTCTTCTTCCATGATGATCAAAGCCAGACCTCTGAAGCATATTGCAGTGATGAGTTGATGGCTACGTACAGAAATAAATTCTTTGTCTCAATGATGACCATCTTTCAACTGCCATAATTCCTTATTGTATCCCAGAATAATTTATGTTTTCTTTTGGCATCAGTCACTGCTTTAAAAAGCCTTGTATAGACCAGAACAAACAAAAAAAAAAAACTTAGAAAAATCTGCGACTGTAATGATTGAACTCTCACACTTCATTAGGGGTTATTTCCCTTTCCCTTTTATCCTTTTTTTACCTGAATTTAACAAAAAACTCAATTGCCCAGTTTTAACATTAGAGAAAAAAATGACTGTCAGTAGCATATTCTAGTCTAAAAATAGTAGGAAGAATTGTCCTTGATCTTTATCTGAAGCCAACTATGCAAAGTGAATTATCTAAGGGAGTATAAGAGCAGAATCTAAGGAAGTATACAAGCAGATACTCTAAGAGAGCCTGTCCTCTAAGAGAACAACACAATAAAAGAAGTTCGTACTCCCACTGTTACAAGGAACTTACTCTCTTTGTATCTTAAGGCACTGTAAAGAACAACATGATCAGCTTCCCCCATCACATCTAACACCCTCAAAATATGAGATAAACCCAATAATAAAATCACTCCACATACAAAGACAATTAGTATATCTCATAATCTTAGTTGTACAATTTTGATCAAGTATATCTCAGCAATTTCTTTCAGTTCAGAGATGTTCTTAACCAAAATATATTTTTGTTTTAACCCTTTAAAATTTGCACATAGCTCTTTAGATTCAATACCCTATGTAGATTCAATAGATTATATAGAATATTGGATTGTAAGAATCTTAAATTCAACACTGTATATAGATTCAATATCATATATAGTCCTAACTCCATGCTTATTGATTTCATATCGTCTTCCCAAATTATCATTTCCTTTTTTTTGAGACAGAGTCTCGCCCTGTCTCCCAGGCTGGAGTGCAGTGGCGCTGTCTTGGCTCACTGCAACCTCCACCTCTCAGGTTCAAACAATTCCCATGCCTCAGCCTCCCAAAGCTGGGACTACAGGTGCACGCCACCATGCCCAGCTAATTATTATATTTTTGGGTAGGGATGGGGTTTCACCATGTTGGCCAGGCTGGTCTCAAACTCTTGGCCTCAAGGGATCTGCCCACCTCGGCCTCCCAAAGTGTTGGCATGAGCCACCGCGCCCTGCCCCCAAATTAGTTTTTCTGCGTACCTCTGACTGGTAAAATCCTACCTAGTCTTCAGAGTCTGATACACCTACCACTTCTTCCATTAAGCATTTTCCATCCCCACATCAGAGTTTGTCTTTGTAATTATTTCACTTTCAAATAATGTCACATTTATTTTATGGTTACTTGTAAACATGTCTTTCTCTGACCAGACTGTAAGCTCCTTGCTAATGAAGACTATCTTTTGATGATCTCCATATGTTCTCCAACAGTTCCTAGCAGATATCCTGGCATTTAGCAGGTCCCTGGTAAATGTGTATTGAGATAAAATAAAATAAGCATCTGTCTGACCAGATAATAAGTGAAAATGACACCTTCTGCATTTCTGAAATCCAGATGATTAAAATTTTCCAATCATAGTTCTTTTGATAACTAATGAGTAAAATTGCAAATTGCCGTAACAAGTAAGTTTTAGGTATCTTATTGGTACACCAAGGAATTGAATATCGATTTCTTTAATTTCATATTTGCCCCTACCATCGTTGTTTTTCCCCCATGGAGCAGTGCTCCTCAATTTGATTACATGAATTCCTTTTTCCAATTTCAGCACTGTATCAAGAACTGCCTCCTGAGATAAAGGAGCGATCCCCTCCTTTAAGCCCTGAGGAAAAAACTAAAATAGAAAAATCTCCAGCTCCTCAAAAGGTAAATGTTTTTGAGCATACGTATTACATATGTACTTTGATTTTCACTCTCTCTGGATAAAATATTACTTTATTTTTTATGCTTATTATCCTTCATTGTTCACATTATTTTTTATGTCTTGGTACAAACATCATTATGAAATACATAAGGCAAACGTTATAGCCATTTTCCAGATAAGGAAACTGAGGAGGCCCAGAGAGGTTAAAGTAGACTCCAAGTCACAGCCTAAGTGATGGGACAAGGACCCAAAGTAGAACTTGTGGCTTTAGGTGTGCTGTTTCTACTCTGCACTTATTTCTTTAACTGTGATACTGACAGTGTCATCAGCCCCACCTGAGAGGTAAACATTTATGCTAGAGCTCACTGGAGTTCACAAAATTAAGAAGTTCTGTCTTTCTGGAGCATTCCTTTTACTTGCAAATAATTTAAAATGTTTTTACGTTAAAATGAATGTGGATGTATTACCAGCCAGAGTAGCCAGAGAAATGTCATGTATTTTAGTCTGTGTCATCAGACCCTTCAGGGATATTAATCAGTATTCTTCTGTTGTTAGCAGTACTTTGGTAGAAAGGTTTAATAAGCACTGTACTATCATGTATATTGCTTACTAAACTTGTTTTATTATATTAAATTAGCTCTTCCCTTACACTGAATAACCTCACTGCTTCTTGATTCCATGAACCAACATAGATTTTTTTTACAAATACATTTCATGTACATATCATTACAGTGTCAAAATAAAGTTTTTTGACAGTTGAACCTGACGTATATCATTCAGTCAGTCAGCATGTTTTATTGAATGCCTTCATCCATGCGCTCTATTAATCCCCACTGAAACAGGAGTTTCAGGAGTAGGCAAGGCACTTGCCCTTAAGTTGCTTACAGGCTGGTGCACACACCTGCAAGCAAGCAAGTCCAGTAGACTCTGGTAGAAACTATAATGCAGATATGTACACAGTATATTGGGAACACATACAAAGAAAGCCTCTTAAATATACCCTGGGGGAGTCCATGAAGAGTTCCCAAGGAGGAAATACTTGACCTGAGGCATCTAGGATGCAAAAATATGTGTTAGGTCAGTGAAGTTAGAAAAACCTTTCCAGCAGAGGGAATAACGTGAGTAAGTTATGGGATGGTATGATTATGTCTGGGCATAAGTTCTAATAGAGAGAAGTACAGGAGAAATCCAGGAACCAGGCCACAGAAGAGCGTAGCATACTCTACTAAAACACTTAAATTTTATACTCCTGACGAAGGGGATCCCCTGAAGGACGTAATTCAGGGAATGACATGAACAGATTTGCATGTTAGAAAGGTCATTCTAGTGCAGCAGAATAGTTGCTGAATTTGAGGTAGCTAAGGACCTAGCACAAGGAAATTAGGAATCCATGGAAATAAAATACAAAAACCTGAACTAGGGGGGATGGAGGTCAGGGGACATAAGCTGTAATTGACAGGATTTTATGATTGATTGGATTTTATTAGTGAAGTTGGAATCTAGGATTTTGCTAAGGGTCTTAGACAACTGAATAAATAGTGGTGCCATAGAAGTAATGAAATAAATAAGAAAGATTTGGGAAGACAGGGAAAAGGAATCACCATTCCTTGCAGAGTAAGATATGATAAGCTCAGTTTTAGATATCTCAATTTGTTAGTAGTATCTGTAGTGCTCCCAGATAGAAATATTCACTGGGAGCCAGAAATGCAGGATTGGAATTTGAGAGAATGTAGAGCTTCAAAATCAAATGAGAATTAGTGTGTTAGTTCTATTATATCAGTAAGTGGAAGCTTGTAATGAAGGCAGAGCCCAGAAAGTATGTCATAGAGCTATAAGAGGAGAAGGCCAAGGACAGAACCTAATTAAACACTAGTATTAAGGGACAGTCAAAGGAAGAGAAAATTAAGAAAGAATAAAGGAAAAGGAAAAAAAGAAAAAATAATAAACAGAAAAAAGTGCCCTGGAAGCCAGAAGAGGTAGAGAGGTTCAAGAAGAGTATAGTTGGAAACAGCCAAGCAGTTAGGTTGTCGAAGCATTTGGTCATCAAGAGGACCCTGGTAGCTTTGTACCGGTATCAATAGAGTGGCAAGGATTAAAGAGCAGAGTAAAGGTGGAATGAGGCCTCAGCATGTGAACTCTCATGGAAGCCATTCTCAAAGTTTCACTTTGAAGAATAAAAAAAGATTCCTCAGTGGCTAAAGGGAGGTCTGGTGTCCATGAATGATTTTTTAAATAATGGACAGATGTAAAATTATATATTAAGGAGACAAAGCCAATAGACAGGTTCAGGTTGAAGACAGATAAAGAAAGGACACCAAGGACACAGTGGATCTTGGAGGAAGCAGGAAGTACTTTATTGGAAAGACAGGTTGACAGATCAGTCTTGCTCCAAGCAGAGGGTTCTCAAGTGAGAGTGATTGTGCCATCCAGGAGTCATTTAGCAATGTTTGGAGATGTTTTTTTGTTTTCTCAACTACAAGGTGGGGGATAATACTGGTGGGCAGAGGTCATGGATGTTGCTCAGTATCCTAGAATGCAGAGGACAGCTCCCCTCAACAAAGAATTCTCTGGCCAAAAATGTCAACAGGATGGAGCTTAGAGCAGTGCCCCTCTAAACAGGTAAGTGTGGATAGGGATGCAGATAAGTTAATAAAGGGTTGAAGTCTAGAAATTAAAGATATTTTTATGTTCTCCAAAACAAAAAGCAAGGTTCATTTCTAATGCGAGTGGCAAAGGAGTGAGATAGGAGCACAAGAAGAATAATAACCATCTGAGTAAGGAAAATAGGGGCTCATTTAGGACATATAAAAAGATTTCTTAGTAGTTCTGGGAGCTGCTCTTTTGGATACCATAAGAATGGAGGTGGCATAAATCTACAGTTGGATTTTTTCTTCTTCAGTAGTCTCTTCTCAGCATCTAGGGCATAGCAGTAGAGAAGGCAGATTTGGTTTAATATATAATTGGAGTTGTGAATGTGAAAGGAACACAAGAGGTTGAGAGACTTGATAGAATTGGTAAGAATTACCAGAGTGATGCACCATAGAGGATTATCCATTTGGAAAGGACGTAGAATCAGAAGATTGGCAGAGTTAGAAAGCACGTTCTCCTCTACAAGGTTACAGCAAGCTACCGGGGCCCAGGTAGAGGCATAGCATCACACGGAAAAGGAGTCACCAAGCTAGAACTATAGAGTTCAAGGCCATAAACTCTTTTGCTTATTTAGTATCTCAGATGTCAGGCAGCTCAGGTTATGATAAATTCATAAAGTATGTATAAAAGCTGAAGTGAAATTGAGGAACATGTTATTAGAGTTGAACTGGTCAAGGAACTAGGACCCAGAGTGTTGGACAGGTTGTACTCTTGAACATTAAGATTCCAGGATGATAGCAAGAGTTAGGATGAAGAGGAAACTGATGAACAAAGAGCTGACATACTTAATTCTTAGGTTAGAACAAAGGTCTCAACTTTGGCTTCACATTGAAATCACCAAACCAGTTAAAAAACTAGATATGGATTACAATCTCCACCCCTTCAAATACATTTAGTTGGTGAAATAGGACGTAGGCAAGGGCAGATTTCAAAAGCTTTCCAGGTAATTTTAATGTGCAGCCAATATTGACAGCCATTGTGTTAGAATGACCACAAGGTCTGCAGATCACAGATGCAAAGATAAGCAGGAGATGTAATAGCCAGGTGTCAGAGCACCCAAGGAAAAGTGCTTTGGCATTGCAATACCCTAAAATCAGCAGTAGGGAACTAAGAGGAGGCCATTGTTAACTCCCGGCTCTCATGGTTCATGAGAGAACCATGAACTATGTGAGAATGAGTAGCCTGTGCTGTAAGGAACTGAAAGAAAAATGGTTTCTTGGTAAAACATCAGTTTCAAATAAGCAAGGATATATGGTGATGGTTGCCTACAACAATGTAAGGACTGTAAGGGATACAGTCAAGAGGATTGGCAGGAATTTGATTATGGGCAAATGTTACAAGTGTAATATTACCCATTGTTTGTAATTCAGCAGCAGATTTAAGAATTTAGGAAAATGCTTGTCTTAGTTGTGTCTGCTGTAACAAATGTAGACTGGGTGGCTTAAATAACAAAATTTTTTTCTCACACTTCTGGAAGCTGGAAAGTTCATGATCAATGTGCTGGCAGATCCAGGGTCTGGTGAAAGTCTCCTTCCTGGTTTGCAACCTCACTTATCCTCACTGGGCAGAGAGCAGAGAGAGGAAGCAAGCTTTTTTGTGTCTCTCATTATAAAAGCACCAATACCATTTATGAGGGCTCTGCCCTCAAGACCTAATTACCTCCCAAATACCTCCTAACAACCATCTTGTTGAGAGTTAGGATTTTAACACATGAATTTGGGGGTTACACAGACATGAGGTCCATAACATAAACATAAGGTTAACACAAACATAACACAAACCTGAGGTCTAAATTTACAACATAAAAACCTTTAATGCAGTGGAAGCATTTATAACATTGGTGTAAAGGGTTGCTGTGACAGCTAACAATACTTTTAGTCTGTATTAAAAACTGTGTGATGCTATGAAACATACAGTCTTTACTCTTTGTGATTTTTCTCATGTCCCTGACTCTGCAACACGGTAACCTTTGAAACTGAGGTGACCTGACCCCCCCTCCCTTAGTATGTTTCTATTACCCTTGAGTTAACATTGACTCTGCCAGAGGAAACATAAAGAACTCTGTCAGTGTCTTACCTGTGAAGTTGGTATTGCCCCTTCCTCTTCCTGATGTGCCTGTGTTCTTATGGATAGGGACCTCCTACTTGTTTCCAAAACTTCCCAGTTCTCACTGCCTGTGCCACTCTACTTAGGTGGACTCACTGCATCATAGTCTTAGTTTAGACTGTAGTTGATTTTTCAAATTTCCTATGACTTTTGCCCCTCATAGAGTGATCTCCATGCTTCAAACATACCTTCATATTCATATTGCAGCAGACCAGTTCTTCAGATACCATCGTCAGTCACCCTTGAGGTCTACTTCAGGCTAATCCCACTGATGCCCAAACCTTAATTCTAATAGATTTAAGGAATTTAGAGTCATGTAAAGGAGTGGCAGAGGATAAAACTCCATTTGGGCAAGGGAGTAGGAATGTTCTCATGGAGGATATGGAACTCAAATTAGGCTTTAAATCTTAAGATGCGTGGATTTCTTTTGTTGAAGAACATGATTTGATCTTCTCTATCTGAATCCACGTGTTAGAGTAGAATCCTGCATATATTTTTTTCTCTTAGGAATGTGCTATGTGTGTAAGACAGTATTTTACTTCCCAGTGAGAGAAGGTATAACAAATGATCTATGTTTATGGAAAAGAAGCCCCTAAGAAATATAATGTTGCCTCGAGTAATTAAAATGATTTGAGTGCACTCTGAGTCATGGAACTAACAGCCAACTTTTGAGAAACGTGTAACTGAGCTTCTTAGCACCTGGCTAGTTGCATTTCTTAAATTTAGCTCCTTTATTAAAATATATATGGTTTGATTTTATCAAGACCTTACCTTATAAACCTCCCACAGAGTCTATCAGATATTTAATTTCATGTTCAAGTCTTATTTTTATTATCACTTTTTTTTAAGAAAGAACATGAAAAGTCGTCTGTGATAAAGTGACTAAAATTGTGGGGCATCTAAGTTCATAGAATTACAGAACTAGTGACATGGAAAGGACCTTAGAGAACATCCTTGGTGATTCTGATCAACTCCTTCATTCTACAGGAAATTGAGATCCGGGAAGCTATAAGAAGTTCGTTTAAAATGATGCTGCTAATTAGGAGCATGGCCTCCATATTCTCAGGCCAGTGCCCATTTTCCTCCACCACCTAGTTAGCAACACACACATACAGTTGGTACCTGCACAGTTAGCCAGGTTCTGTATCACACTGGTTTTTTACATCCCTGGTTGTTTTTTGGTTTGTTTGTTTTTGTTTTCTTTGTTTGGTTGCTTGGTTGGTTGGTTGGTTTTTTTTGTTGTTGTTGTTGTTTTGAAACAGTCTCACTCTATTGCCAAGCTGAAGTACAGTGGTGAGATCTCAGCTCACTGCAACCTCCACCTCCCAAGTTCAAGCAATTCTCATGCCTCAGCCTCCCAAGTAGCTGAGATTACAGGCGTGCACCACCATGCCTGGCTAATTTTTGTATTTTTAAGTAGAGACAGGGTTTCACTAGTTTGGCCAGGCTGGCCTCGAACTCCTGACCTCAAATGATCCGCCTGCCTCAGCCTCCCAAACTGCTGGGATTATAGGCATGAGCCACCGTGCCCAGCCCACATCCCTGTTTGGTATTTGTTTCATTGTACCCTTCTTCATGTGTAAGTTTTAAGAATTGTACTCTATATTTTTAATGAAAAAAGGAAACAAACCTCAATCATTTTCTTTCCTTTTTAAAATTATTTATTTTCAAGCTATAGAATAAGAAGCAAAATTATACCTCTTAATAGCTTGGCAGCTGCTGCATCTTACATGTTCTTCCAAGTGGAACACACCTGCTCTGTTGCTAATTGTGCCAGGTACCTTCCAGCATTTCATCTGGTTCATTGAAATGTTAGTGGGTGATGGCAGCATTTGTTGCTGGCTCTTCACTGGAGGAGGAGGGGACGAGATGAGTTAATCATCCCGAAACAAATCAGTAACAACTTATACCACAGGGGAGTGGGAGCAGGAAAATGTTTTCCTCCAAGTTCATTCCAGAACATTTTTACCAAGGTGTGCTACAAATTGCATCTAACAGAAAAGAGAATATAAGTATTATCAGGAAGGAGAGAAACTCAGAAGCTTTGAAAACGAGTAGTGCTGACAAACTTTGTTCTATTTTTTGTGTTTTGGACTTTTTTTGCTTTTTAGCCTTTTTATTTTTGCTAGCCTAAGCATTAACCTTTATGATCCATTTATTTGGGGAGGAAAGTTATTACTAAAATTTGTTTTAATTACTAGAGTTGTTCTACTATAAAAAATAACATGTTCATAGTTTTAAAATTTTAACCAGTGAAGAATAGTATAAAACGAAAAATTAGTCTTCTGTCCTGCTAATATTTATGCTCATTCTGTTTCTTACATATGCTTACAAAAATGTTCTTGCATATATAAATACACGTCTTTGTCTATTTTTTATGTTTATGAAACTAGGATCATACTTAAGATTCTGCTTTTTCTTTTTTCAATATATCTTTGACATCTTTTTTTTTTTTTTTTTTTTTGAGGCGGGGTCTCGCCCTGTCACCCAGGTTGGAGTGCAGTGATGGGATCCCAACTCACTGCAACCTCTGCCTTCCCAGTTCAAGTGATTCTCCTGCCTCAGTCTCCCGAGTGGCTTGGACTACAGATGTGGGCCACCATGCCCTGCTAATGTTTGTACTTTTAGTAGAGATGGGGTTTCACCATGCTGGCCAGGCTGATCTCAAACTCCTAGCCTCAAGTGATCTGCGCGCCTCAGCCTCCCAAAGTGCTGCGATGACAAGTGTGAGCCACCACTCCTGGCCTCTTTTCTTATTAGCAGAGACAATCCTATTTTTTAACCATTTTTAGGTACCAAAATACCCAGTTTTCTTTTTTTAATTCCTAAAATCTGTTTTTTTAATTCCTGAAAATGCTGTTTTCTTTTTTCTTTATTTCTAAAAAACAAAACCCAAAGTAGTAAAGTACTATTTACCTTCTATTAGTGTTTCAACATTAATACAGTCAAGTATGTTTTTATATAAATGCTAGATGTACAGTAATAAGTATGCACAGAAATGTTAGATTATTTTTGAAGATGTGGAGAAACTACTGTTATTTTTGCTTATATTCTTCTCTAAAAATTCACTAAATGAATAACAGTTATTGGTTTTGCTATTCAAGATAATTATAAAAATATCTATTATAGCTAATCTTCACATGAGCAGAGGAATGTCTTAATAATTTTCATTATTTTATTAAGCATGTAGAGTCAATAAGAGCATGCTGGCTTAATTCCAAAGGACAGACTATTCTAAACCAAAGTGTACACTCTGGTTATTTTCAGGAACAGCTGCTTTCTTGCCTAGTTCAAAACAAGAACAGAGAACCCAAAAGCATTAGATAACTTCATGGTAGTTCCTCTTCCAGCCAAACACACATACACGCAAAATTTTACATTGGTAAATCTGTCAGCCTCTCAGAAAAATGGTAGGCAATAAATATATTGCCCTCAATGTGCATGTGTTTTTCTTAGTCTTCAAAGTATCTAATAATTGTGCTGTATAACACTTTTCAAATATCACTTTATAGAGAAAATTTTTTTCCATTTACTGATCCCTGTACCAGGAATGAATCTGAATTATTGTTAATCATAGGAATAATATGATTTATTATTATATTAAGTCCAACAACAAATTTATAATAGACAGTGCAGATTTTTGTTATGGTGAAACAGGTTTTCCAAATAGCCAGTAGTTAGTTAATATATACTAAATCATTGGAAATATGGTCATAATTGTTGCTTCTTTTCTATTGCTAAAGAATAATATCAATTTGTATTTTTTTACTTTAGTAATTCTGTTCAAAGAAAATACAGTGATTTATTTCTATTATATTTAATAAAATTAATTTATGCTTGGATTTGCTTTAAACTTTTTGTAATATTTGAAGTTTTCTTACTTTATCTGAAGAGAACTGAATCAAAACTAACTTTGTATATATCAAGGATAGTGATGAAACTGACCTGAAGCCTTACCTTATAAGTAAGTTAAAACTAACCTGCGGGCGGGCGCGGTGGCTCACGTCTGTAATCCCAGCACTTTGGGAGGCCAAGGCAGGTGGATCACCTGAGGTCGGGAGTTCGAGACCAGCCTGACCAACATGGAGAAACCCCCGTTTCTACTAAAAATACAAAATTAGCTGGGTGTGGTGGCGCATGCCTGTAATCCCAGCTACTCGGAGGCTGAGGCAGGAGAATCGCTTGATCTCAGGAGGCATAGGTTGCAGTGAGCTGAGATCACGCCATTGCACTCCAGGCTGGGCAACAAGAGTGAAACTCCGTCTCAAAAAAAAAAAAAAAACTAAAGTGCTTATTTGTGTCCCAGGAAGAATTTCAATGCAGATAGCACTAATATGTTTTTTCTTTCCCCTAATTTGTTTCAATAACTTATAACACCTATTTTGAGAAAAAAGTATTAATTTCATATAAATGTTATTTACATTTGAATAATATGTGTTATTCTGGAGTCTAGAGAGATAAGTGTCCCATAAAGAAGGTGGGTGGTATCCCAGTGATGTAACAGCAAAGCCTGTGTGAGTTACCTTTACCTCATACCCATAGATTCCACTCCCAACAATAGAGTCCTGAAATGACCTACGCAGAGGAATCTCAAAGCCTCAAGAAATTAATAGGGACTCTCTCCTACTCCGAAAGGAACTTATAAGGCCTTTATTCTCTTGAAGGTCTGGCAACTTGTTTGACTGCTTCTTTTCCACCTGTGCCTCTGCCATTGTATTTGATATATGTACCTCAGCCCCTACTGTGTCTCTTCTCCCACAACAGCCCTGTTTCTTGCCACTTTGGGCAAGTGCTCTCCATATTTCCAGGACCCTCTTAACTCTCTACAAGGTGAGACCCTGCAGGCTGCTTATCTTCTCAGTTTATCCAGCCTGAAGGCAGGACCTAGATAATTGCCAGTGGTTCTGAAATGAAAGGAACATGAGAGAATCCCCCTGTAGTTTAACTTCAGAACAAGGTTTAGGGAATGTGTCATTTCCTCGATATCTTCCTAAATTCTCGTTAATTAAAAGTTTCACAGAATAACCTAGGGATGAATTGCTTTTCTGTTTAGCAACCCACTCCTTATTTAGCTGATTTGAGTCTCTGAGCTTAGTCTCTGCCACATCTCATTTTCTTACACAGATCTTCCATTAAAACTTAGTTTAGAGAATACTATAAATTCTCAAATTCTAAGGCTTGTTTTTATCAGGTAACATATTTGCTCTTCATGATGTTTTTTCAAAGGTTCAGCAGGGCACAGTGGCTCATGCTTTTAATCCCAGCATTTTGGGAGGCCAGGGTGGATGGATCGCTTGAGCTCAGGAGTTTGAGACCAGCCTGGGCAACATGGTGAAACCCCATCTCTATAAAACGTACAAAAATTATCCAGGCATGGTAGTGTGCATCTGTAGTCCCAGCTGCTTGGGAGGCTGAGGTGGGAGGATCGCTTCAGCCTGAGAGGATGAGGCTGCAGTGAACAGTGATCGTGCTACTGCACTCAAGTCTGGGCAACAGATCAAGACTCTGTGTCACAAAAAAAAAGCGGAGGATTAACCTAAATATCAGTAACATCCCTCTAAAAGTCTGCTACAGATCTAAAATGTGAAAGATGTTATTGAGAGAACTTCCCACCCATCATTCCTAGTCATAAATTGTCCTTTAGACAGTGGCCAAATTGACTAGTATCAGTCGTTGTGTCTTCTGACTCGACAAGCAGCATGACCTTTTTTTGGAAGTTCTCCGTCACCCTAACTCTGCTGTCCTCTTGTTTTGTCAACCATTCTATTCCAGGGTTTCTCAACCTCGGCACTGTTGGCATTTGGGGCTGGATAATTCTTTGTTGTTGGGAATATGCTGTGCATTATAACATGGTTAGTGCCATTGTTGGCCTCTGTCCACTAGATGCACCTCTTCCCACTTGTGACAATCAAAAATGTCTTTCAGACACGGCCAGATTTCCCCAGGGGTCAAAATCACCCCTCACTCTCCAGTTGAGAACCACTGCTATATTTTAATTTTTATGTATAATATATATAAATTACAATATAAATATTGTAATTAAAGGAAAAAACACTTATAAGTATTAAAGGAATTACATATTATAAATATTGTAATTAAAGGAAAAAACACTCATAAGTAAAATAAAAAGCTTTTCATTTTAAGATCCTGTAATGAAATTTTGCTTACATTATTCCATTAACTGCCAGTATATGAGTAGTTGTATATGAGCTGTAGACTACCCTACTTAAAAACAAGCTGTAGACTACCCTACTTAAAAACAAGAATTTTACATAAAGATATATCCAGCTTTGTGAGACTCAAAGTGATGAGTATATATAAAATGTCTAATAATTAAATTTAGATATCTATTGACTAATGTTAATTTCCTTTGTTTCAGAAGTTAAACATACGCTAATCTTTTCATAAACTATGGAAAATCAACTGTATGCTATTATTTTTATAATTACTTAGCAGTCACAGTAATGGGTCATATTGGTCTCTCATTTTAATATGGTTCCCCTTTAGGTACATAAAAAGGGAAGAACTTTTTCTTATTTAAGTGTGTCTTTTATTCAGACAAGCCATGCATACAATAAAAGATGTTTCAACATGTTGGAACAAATTTGCTTTTATTACTCTTTTATTTGAATTTTTTTGTACTTAATGAGTCTGTTCTCTTTTTACCTCTCTTACCGCTTCCCCATTGCTATAGGCGTTTTTAAGCAGCCACCTCTTACACACCACTGTATTTGGGTGACCTGGTTTGGGAAGAACTATTCCCTAGTGATAAGAGATTAGGAAATAGTTTAGTCCCAAAAGAGGAAGTGGGTAACCCAATGACCCTTCAGTTTGCAGGAATTCTAAGAAAGGGAGTGCATTCTGGTGCTTCTTGCTTCCGTGGTTGTCTGCAATCAGTTTTCATTCTTCTCAAACCGGGCCTCTCAGACCACTAGGAAATAAAAGCAGGATTATTTAGCAATATGATGCCAGATGCATCATTAGCACTTGGAGTGTTTCACTTGTCTCACCAATCCCCAGGCCTGGTGGGGGGACATTTAGTTGTCCATTTCTTTCACTAGTGCCCAGGATTGGTGGGGGCACAACAAGTTGCCCATTTTTCTCACTTCTACTCTGGTATTTAACCATAGCTTTTGTAAAAATTATAGTATTGTATTGACACTGTCTCTTCATGAGATTTGTGATTACTTTCCTCAGCGAGGCCCGTGGTCTTGGTCATCTTTTTTGTTTTTCCCTACTGACTCTACCCCATTCTCTACAGCAGCAGGTCAGAAAAGAATGTCCACGTTTCTCACTCAAGCTGCTGATTTCTTACTCCAAGTTGACTTGGTCTTCTGCTTTCTTGAAGAGAGGCCATATAATATGAATCCCCTCACATTTTCATCCCTACTTTCTCTATATTTCTGTAATTTTACCCTCCTGCAGCTGTTTTCAGGTATCAGAGAAGGAACTGCTTTTCCTTTCTATGGCAGACCTCTCCAGTTGTGCTTTTGGTCATTTTCCTTTCTCACATTCTTCTGGTCCTTATTCAATCAGTGATCCCCATCCCCACTCACCTACCAGCATTGGCATTTTTATTTATTCATTTAACACATACTTTGAGTGCCTGCTGGTTTTCTGTGCACTGTAGTAGAAGACAGTCTGGATGGTATAATGGTCAATAAAACAAAAATAGTCCTTGCACTTATGGAACTTACAGTCTAACAGGTGAAAGTAACTTTAATCAGAGAGTCACAAAATGAAACATAAAAGCAATAAAAGGATAGTGAAGGGAAACTATGAGACCATGTGGTGAGAAGTGGATGAATTAGGTTTTAAGAGGAGCCGGGTGGGTGGGAGGATTTGTTTGAGGCATTAGAAACAGCATGTGCAAAAGCCTGCTGTGGCCAGAAATGTTTCATCATGGCTGCAGCTTAGGATGCAAGGTTGAAAGCAGAAAAAGCTAGACCTGAACAAGTGGACAGGATTGAGGAGGTCCTTGGCTGGCATGTTAAGGAGGTGAATTTTATCCTGAAGGTAGTAAGGAGCCATCAAAGTATTTAAAGCAAGGGGATGACATGATCATATTGGTTGTTTCAAAAGCTCCTTCTAGAAGCTCTGAAAGACTGGGAAAAGCCTACTGAAAGAAATAAGACCAGAAGGGGCTGTTGCAATAATTCAAGCCAAAAATAATAAGGAGCTAGGAATTGGTGACTAAATCCATGTGAAGGAAAAGAAATCTGACTTTCTAATTGAAACATCTCAGTGTTTAAGAATGTAGGAAGGACTTCAATTTGAGACATGTAAAGTTCATAGCACCTGCAACAACCAATTGCAGATACCTTGCAGACATCTATGAGGCTCAAGAGAGATTTGCTGAAAACTCATATTTGCAAGATAGTTTTGATTACAATTTATGAATCCAAGTATATTTCCAGAAAAATTGCTATATTTAAACTTGCTTTGCTGAAAACTAACCATTGCTAAGTTGTTACATTCTGAAGAAAACTTGATATCTGAATCCACGGGAATAGAGGAGTGTCAAGAATGAAAATGACAAAGGGTAGAAGACGGGGACTTAAGGAATGCCATTTTTTTTTAGAGTGAATTGAAGGGAACGAACTTGGGAAGGATATTTCTGTGTAACAGCCACTGCCTGGTATATAGCCTTCTGGTCTCTGCTGATAACAGTATCCATTCTCCCATTCTTCAGTCTTCATTGCACCTTTTACCTGCCTCCTGAAGATACTTTCCTAAAATAGAAAACAAATCATGTGACTTACCAGTGCATAAATCTTAGTTGGCTCCATATTTGTCTATAAAGTCCAAATCTCGTAAGTTTTTATCTAGGTCTTACCCCTCAAAGATTAAATAGATGTTCTCACCTATTTTGCCTTATCTTCCAAAACACCCTCCTAATTATGCTGCCCCACAGATAAGTATTTATTATTGTTTTTAATTGGCACAATTAGTATCCAAAACTACAAATCGTGATCAGGATGGTCTTCACTTTTTGGAGATGGAATCTCGCTCTGTCTCACAGGTTGGAGTGCCGTGGCACAATCTTGACTCACTGCAACCTCCGCCTCCTGGGTTCAAGCAATTCTCCTACCTCAGCCTCCCGAGTAACTGGGATTACAGGTGCCCGCCACCACACCCGGCTAATTTTTGCATTTTTAGTAGAGACCGGGGTTTCACTATGTTGGCCAGGCTGGTCTTGGACTCCTGACCTTGTGATCTGCCTGCCTTGGCCTCCCAAAGTGCTGGGATTACAGGTGTGAGCCACCACACCCGGCGGTCTTCACTTTTTGTTACAGTATGCTTCTAGAAACTGCATCTTAATACAGAAGAATTTTTTCCCTTAAGGAAGAGCATTATAATTGGAGGATTTAACATCAAGTAAACCAGATACATTATCAGTAATTCTGAAATCAGGCCGGGCCCAGTGGCTCATGCCCATAATTCTAGCACTTTGGGAAGCTGGGGCAGGAGGATTGCTTGAGGCCAGGAGTTTAAGGCTAACCTGGACAATATAGTGAAACCTCATCTCTACTAAAAAATCAAAAAAATTAGACATGATGGCATACACCTGTAGTCCCAGCTACTCAAGAGACTGAGGCCACAGGTTGGCCTGAGCCCACAGGTTAGCCTGAGCCCAGGAGGTCAAGGCCATAGTGAGCTATGATCACGCCACTGCACTCCAGCCTGAGTGACAGAGCGAGATCCTGTCTCAAATTAGAAAGTAAGTGAATAAACAAATATATACATACATACATTCTAAAGTCAAAGAAAACTTCAAACTTATGTGAATATTTAAAATCCTAAAATTGTGCTCCCGGAAACAGAGTTGTAGCAATAAAAGAAACCTTTCTAGTCTTGTTTAGAGCTTGTATACTCCAGTAGTTTGTAAACTGTCATTTACAGAGCCCTATTCCTCAGGGATCTGGGGGCATAGGGTTGGGAAGCAGGGGGTGCCAGGCCATGCAAACCTAGTTTCACCCAGAGTATTTCTTCTTTCACATATTTATACATGAGCCTTTTGAATAAAATTGTATTGAAAATAGTTTTGCCATTAAATCAGTTTGAAAAACACTAGTATAACCTTCAGACTACCTCTATAACCTTGGTAACTCTGGGCCTCCAATTCCTGGTCTGTAAAATAAGAGAATGGTGCTATGATGCTTATGTTTTTATTTTGAACCCTCACCTACTTTCAAGTGAAAAAAAAAAAAGACCCCAAGAGAGGCTAAGTGGTTTACCCAGGCCACACAGAGTTAATGACAGAACCAAGACAAGAATTGAACCACCAACTTTAGTTGTTTTTCCTCTCTCACATCCTTTTTTTAAAAACTCCTACAAAGTAGATATAAACAAACTATGAAATTATATGGAAAAGGTATATCTATCATGAGGTATATAAGCCGCATGTAAAAATAGAACTATACCGTATCATAAATTTGCCTTATTTAAGTCTCGTGTGCTAGATGTAACATACATTAATTGAACATTAACCTAATTTTATATTCATTCTTCAAGTTTATAAAAATATTTGGGGGAATTGTTTGCATAGCCCCTTTCTCTTTTACAAAGCTATCTATGAGTTGTTTTCTTCCTTATAAATTTCCACATAATCAGTGGAAGCATTTAATCATTCCATTAATCATTTATTTTATGTTAACTATCATTGCATTTAAATTTAAAAGCATCACTAACAAGTTGTGAGGGTTTGGAAAGCGCAAGTCTCTAGATTCTGGTCCTTTCACTCGTCACTTTTTCTTTGCTCGTTTTTCCTCTCTTCATCCCCTCCTCTCTAAATCAATGATATCCATGAAGAGGAAACAAAGTCATAAAACAACTTTCTAACAAGTGTGTGTGGAAAGAAGGGCAGTCATGTTCTTTGGCGTTGTCGATGGTGGGGGTTATTTGCGGGCTGATTGAACACCAGCCTTGGGGGCTTTTTCGTTTAAAGGTAAAATAAAACAAAACAGCTCACAGAGACACCTCCTTCTTCCCCCTGCTTCTGCCTCCATGAGTAACTACCTATATGACGTGCTGCTGCTGAGACCAAGGAATGAGTGAGTAAAGGTGTTTGGAAGTCAAATATTGGTCCTAGTTAAGTAAGTGTCCTTTTCAAGTAAGTGGTAAACTTTGTAATGTGGACCCCCTTCTAACTTAGGATTCATATAATTTGAACACAGGCTAAGCTGCCTCTGCATCATTAAAAAGGATTTGGGTATGCCAGTGATAGGAATACACAGTAGAAAAGATGGCAGGGACCATGTTTAACATACCTAAGACAAACTTTCTGAGGATATCACAGCATCCATTTCACATGAACAGGCTTAGCAGAATTGGCAAGACCTGCACATGGCAACATATTATTCATTTTTCAGGATAACAAAAAATAATTAAAAGTAACATTGGCTTAACACTGGTATATAGTTCAGTATGACTTCTCTCCCCTCAACCTCTGGAATAGGTTCAAATTGATGAGAATTTCTGATTAGAGCCCTTAATGTTGAGTTTTTTGAAAAGTTTTATCAAGTTTCATATATACCTATATTGATGGTAAGTTGCTGGTCTTGCCATGGGCAAAGAGAGAAAAATGATACTGAGACCTTGTAAAGAATAGCTGGACATGGAGGCGCACACCTGTAATCCCAGCAACTCAGAAGGCTGAGGCGGGAGGATTGCTTGAGCCCAGGAGTTCAAGGCTGCAGTGAGCTACGATCATGCCACTGTACTCCAGCCTGAGCAACAAAGCATGACCCAATCTCTTAAAAAAAAGAAAAGAATAAAACATTTCACATTTAATTTGACTGCTGTGTTTAGAATTTATTTCACAAGTCTGGAAAGAAACAGGATAATTTCTGTTATGATGGTGCTTTCTGAGGTTTTGATGATTTTCTTTGCTTATTGTTCTATTGGATGAGGGCAGTCTGAATTAGTAGTTGAATCTGAAATTTCCCGTGTGTATGTACTTTTTTCCCAAACACGTTTTAACTGAGTCAGAGCAATTCCACTGGTGGAGAAAAATTAAGATGTCATGGGTTCTTTTGTTGTTCTACCAAATGGGTCACCTGTTGCAACACTCACCTTTCACCAAAAAGTCTCCTTGCTCTTTAATTCTTGTTTTTATTATGCTTGACTTAAAGCTCTACAGCTAGCAGTAATAATCATATAATTATGGTCCAGAAAAGCATAATATCCTCTTGAAATCTGTAAGAAAAGTAATGCTTGTTTAAAGATAGTGCCAAATCTTGCTGAAGAATGATCTTGCAGAAATCTGATTGTGAAGAAGGAAATCTAAAAAGGCCAAACAAGCTTCAGTAGAGATAACACCAGGAAAGCAGTTACTCAAACAAGACTGAAAGAGAAGGTTGTATTCCTTTTCTTTCATTTCATTTTGTTTTTATGTTTTCTGGATTACTGAAATAATTAGGAACATATGGTATATCTGTTTCATTTGTATATTATTGAACTTAAACATAGTAACAATTTATATTTTCTTTGTGAGTGTTAAACGAATCCTTTCCATAACGTGATTATCTCTAAAAAAAATTGCAATTCGTTTTATAGCAACATTAGGTTGATTTATAGATTATATATCATATCAAACTCAATTTCCCACAGTATACTTTAATATGAAGTTAATGTTTCAGATTCTAAAGGAAGTATCCGATGCTCAGGGTAAAATTTGGTACCCTTGAAAGTGCTTATTGTTTTTCTCACGAAGGTGCCATTAATAAAACAAGATATACTGAACACATTTTGTAGATTTAAAGAGCTTTCAAATTCAAACTCTTGCATACAGATCAATGTGTATTACTATGAAAATATAGAGTATACTATAAAGAATATGAAGGAAAGATGCAGGCTAAAAGATATATTTAGAGCTTAAGTAATATACCACATTGTATTGGGAGATTAATTTAAACTGATTCACAACTGATTTTTTTTTTTTTTTTTTGGTCACATACCTGAAAGCTGACTTTACTTATAAATGAGTGTTTGAACTCTCTGGAGAACTACTTCCTTGGTTTTTCATGGGAGCAAATATATTGTCCTGATAGACAATATATGTTCAGGACAGGCATAGATATTCCTGTTCAGAACAGGCATATTCTCTCCCCATTCAGGAAGTTGGTGGGTTTTCAGCATGTGAATATTGACTGTGTTGTCTTTTCTCATTTTTTACTTACTACTTGTTTTTCCTCTTCTTCCACAGCAATCAATCAATAAGAACAAGTCCCAGGACTTCAGACTAGGCTCAGAATCTATGACACAGTAAGCAACTTCTTCAAAATAATTTGCAGTGATAAATGGTTGGGGTTTTCTTTTAAGGATAATTTCTCCATTTCTTATTTTTATAACATTATCAAACTATAAGTTAAATTTCAGATAGTTGATTTTAAAGGAGTTTAGCTTGTTTACGATTTTTTTTTCTTTTTTTTTTTTTTTGGAGACAGAGTCTTGCTGTGTCACCCAGGCTGGAGTGCCGTGGCACAATCTCAGCTCACTGCAACCTCCACCTCCTGGGCTCAAGCAGTTCTCCTGCCTCAGCCTCCCAAGTAGCTGGGATTACAGGCACGCACCTCCGCACCCAGCTAATTTTTGTATTTTTAGTAGAGACAGGGTTTCACCATGTTGGCCAGGCTGGTCTTGAACTCCTGACCTCAGGTGATCCACCTGCCTCGGCCTCCCAAAGTACTGGAATTACAGGCATGAGCCACCATGCCTGGCTGTTTAAACAATGAATATTTTAATAGTTGGACTCTGAGAATGTGTATTATTACAAAGTTATAAGAAATCCTATTAAACTAGTATCACACAAAACTTTAGAGGACCTATTTTGTCATTTATTTTTATTTGAGTACTATTTTGAAATAACATTAACTGAAAACAAGTGAACGTGTATTAAAAGTAAAATTATGAATGCCTTTTTTGAAGCATTAAGAAAAAAGCTAATAAGCAGAACATTGTCATTATATATTTTCTATAAATGCTTAATGTATTTGGGTAATTTATTTTGAAGTATTTATTTTAAAAGAACTCTGGAAAGTTTTTATATTTTTAATTAGTACTTGCTGTGTCACTTAATGTACCCATCAAAAGTCACTCTTTTGCCTCAAAAAAAAATTTTACATCAAAACATTCCCAACATATTTCTCAATTTTTATCATTTTCAGTTATCTTTTGGACCTAACATTATGTCCAAACTTTATATTCAAATTACATTACTAACAAAATATAACGGAAGTGTGACAGCATTGAACAGCTTAGCTATCATACCCTCCCATCCCATCACCACCACCCCCACGTACATTGCTGGGTGCTTGCTTACTCACACATGCACACAGACAATCCCTGCTGAGCTTCCTTGGGGAAAATATTTGTTCAAGTTAACCCTGCTATATGCTTTGGCAATTTGAAGAATAATATGTCTCTTCCAGTACAAAAATTCTGATTCAGATGACAGTTATTTACAGGAATTGTCTAATAAAATCATGCAGCATTTAACAAGACAGTATTTCATTGTACAGATGAAAGACAAATGTAATTTTTAAGAGTCACAGAATCATGATCTAGAAGATACCTTAGAAATTCTTTCTATAATCTCTCCAGGTTTTATAGTTTCTTGTTTTACTGTTATCAGTCAGATATGTTTTTAGTTCCAGTCTCTGGACATTTAAAATTTTACATAATAGTAGATAAACAGTCACTGACCCTAAGGAGCGTATACTCAACAACAAAATACACTAGAAACAATAAGCACAGACTGTTTCAACAACCAAAAAAAAATGACCATGTTTAACACATCATGGGAACAGTGCTCTTGGTGTCTTTGAACATATTTCATAAAAATTTTTAGAACTTTTTACTTAATATTACGCAAATGAAAAAATGTCTCCTACATACTCCTCACTCGGTCTACATTTCATACCAGTTTTCACGAGATACAGAGATCCATGTCATGCCCTCCAGATTAAAGTTCAATAAAACCTCACAAACATCTCAGCTTCTAAAGGATGTCAGTATAGCTCAGCTTCTCTTTTTGAAGATGCTTCTGAAAATAAAAATTTTCATGAGAAGTTCAGATATGTCTAAATGCCCAAGTTCATCTAAAGCTTTTGGACTTTCCCTACTTACAATTTCTTAGAAGTAAGGATGAATTAAGATAGATTTCTCATGACTTGAAAACTGTAGGCGAGTTGATGGTGGAAACACTAGAGCCCAGCATGTACAAAGAAGTCATTTCTTTGATTTACCTAAATGAGTTTCTTGTACCCAAGTAAATGGACAGAGGCTAATTTTTTGTTTCTTTGCAGCCCTGCCTTTGAGTTTGTAACTTTTGCTTATTAGTTGGTTGACCAATATATGTAAATGAGCCACATAGACAGCCTCTTACTACTTTCCACTTGAATTTCTTGTCTTGTTTTTTTGTTTTTTTTTTTTTTTGAGAAATGTCAGTCACTTCTATGCAAGCAATTTATACACATTTTAGTAAAGTTACATTCTCTTTTTTAAGGTATCTAGAAGAAACTTCTATTGGTTAATTTAACAAAAGTATTTTCCTGAAAATCTTAAACTTCTACATTTTGTACCGCATGCCCTGTGATGTTCTTCATATATTATCTGCTGCCTAAGTCAGAGTTGGTAATGAGGCTGCTATAAATATGCTGTCATCCTTAACAAGTAGTATTAATGTTCCATAGTTAACTAATATAGCCTGTATTGAATTTTGTTGGGTTTTTTTTAACATAGCAACCTTTATTTCATTAACAGCTTTGTTCAGAGAGAGGTTAATTCATATAGTTAATCATATTAAAGTCTTATTAACCCTGAAATCTGAACTAAATGAATGAAATCTCTTCTTAATATGGTGCGGCTATAAATGTCAATTCCAAGCATCCTGTCACTCCACTGTATATTTTTTTCCATCTTTATAATAACCATTCCAGGCTCTTTCATTTCTCTTTATGAGGAGGTAGTTTATAGTCCACATTTTTTTTTCTAAAATAATCCTGCTACTTGCCACTTTTCTTCTAAATTTTTACTTTTATTATCCGTTTTCTGCCTTTTTTTAATCCTCATCCTACCCCCAATTTCTAAAATTAAAGGCATTTATTGTCATGTGTGTGACCTCACAGTGTGCCCAGCAGTGAGCTAGATGCATTGAGAGATATTAAAGAAGCATTACAGGTCAGATGAGGAAATAGAAATAAGAAGCATTTAGAAGGCAACCAATTATATAATTAGGTGCAAAATGATGTGATGCAAATTGTAATTACAGAAGAGAGCTGAATGAGAAGGCAGGAGGAATATGCATAGCTAGAGAAGGCCTCTAGATAAAGGTAAGGCTTGAGTTTTTGTCTGCCTCATGGGAGGGCATTTGGATGTGATGTGGGAAAGAACTAGTTTAAAGGAGCATACGGCTATGAAGAGAGGGGAGAGAGTGGGAGGAGACTGACTGATTAGTGTCTTGGAGTTGGGGAATTGCAGTGGGAGAAAAAAACAGGATAGAGATTGTGGCTCTAGAAGAATGCAATGTGAGTGTCTTGAGGGCATCTGATGATTGGAAGGTGGGGCCAGGAGACATGTCTTGCTGTATTTGCCCAGCATTTTACATGAGCCTGAGCAAACATTATTTGTCTGTATCAAGAATTTGGTCTTGTCCTAGACCTCGATGCTACTGCCATAAAGAGGAAGGGTCAGGATTAGCCTTTGAAGGTGTCAGTAGTTCATTTGTGAGCATCAGTCCAATTGGGAAAATGTGATCATCTGCTCTCTGTTCTAGGTGCTATACTAGGTACTGAAATGCAGTGATGAATGATATGATACACAACTTGTACATTGTGGAAGTGCCCAGTGTGGCAAGGAAGACAGACACGTAATAGTCATTTGCTAAATATAGATTTGCTGAGCACCTACAGTGTCACACACAGTGTTCTAGGCACTGAGGGTACAGCAGTAAACAGATAAAAAATCCCTGCTATAAGGAGCTAACATTTTATTTACCTATATGCAAAATAAGTAAAATGTCTAATTATACCAGATGTGTGCTACAGTATGGAGAAAAATAAAGCATGGGTAGGGGAAAGGAAAGGAGACATGAAGGTTGCAGTTGTAAATCGGAGCATGAGAGAAGGCCTGAGAAAAGTGGAAGGAGGCAGGGAATTGAGTAATGTGAGTATGTAGAACACAAGTGCAGCGGGCCCTGAAGCAGAAGCATACCTGTTACCCTCAAAGAAAAGTAAGGAAATTAGGCTTTTTAGAGTAGAGTAAGAAACTGGGAGAGATTGGATAAAATCAGAGACAGTAATAAGACCTTATATACTATTATAAGACTTCTGGCTTTTACACCAAGTGAAGTAGGAAGCCATTAAACACAGGAAGTGACCTAACAATTTAACAGAATCCCTCTGACATTTAAGATAAGAATAGACATTAATGGACAAGGGTTGAATCAGAGAGACCAGTTAAAATAATATTGAAATTATCCAGGTGAGACTTGGTGGTGGTGCCTCGGAAAAAAGTGGGAGCCATGAAGTTAGTGAAAAGAGGTCAGATTTTATGTATGCATATATATTTCTAACTTATAAAGAGATACACTTGATATAAAATAAATTGCGGCCAGGCGCGGTGGCTCACGCCTGTAATCCTAGCACTTTGGGAGGCCGAGGCAAACGGATCATCTGAGGTCAGGAGTTCGAGACCAGCCTGGCCAACATGGTGAAACTTTGTCTCTACTAAAAATACAAAAAAATTAGCCGGACATGGTGGCAGGCGCCTGGAATCCCAGCTCCTCAGGAGGCTGAGGCAGGAGAATCGCTTGAACCCGGGAGGTGGAGATTGCAGTGAGCCGAGATCGTGCCACTGCACTCCAGCCCGGGAGACAGAGTGAGACTCCATCTCAAAAAAATAAAATGAAATTAAATAAAATAAACGGTTTAAGTTTCGACATGGGTAAATACCCATGAACCATCACCACAATTAAGGTAATGAGCATACCCATCTCTCCAAGACTTCTGATGCTCTTTTGTAATTTTGCCCTCCTACATCTTTCTTCCCTTCCCTGAGCCACATCCCCTGATAATCACTGATCTACTTTCTCTCACTGTCTAGAGTTTTAAATACCACAGTTTGTTTATTCATGTACCTTTGTGGATGGACCTTTGAATCATTTCCACTTTGCGGCTACTACAAATAAAGTTAATGTCAACATTTATGTACAAGTTTTTGTGGCTACTACAAATGAAGCTAATATCAACATTTATATACAAGTCTTTGTGTGAACATAGGGGTTTTTTTTGTTTGTTTAACATCATATCACTGAAAGAGGCATTGAAGAAGGTTATGCTTTCATTTTTCTTGGGTGACATCTTGAAGTAGAATGGCTGGACTATATAGTTGGTTTATGCTTAACTTTTTAAGAAACTGCCAAATTGTTTTCCATACGGTTTTACCTTTTTACAGTCCTACCAACATGTATGAGTTCTGCTTCCTCACCAATACTTGATATGGTCAGTCCTTCTAATTTAGCCATTCCAATACATGTAGAGATATATCATTGTTGTTTGATTTTGCATATCCCCAACAACTAATGATGTTAAGCATCCTTTGATGTGCTTACCTTCTATGCATACATCTTCTTTGGTGAAATTTCTGTTCAAATCTTTTGCTCATTTGTAATAGGTTATTTGTTTTATTAAATTTTAAGAGTCATTTATATATTCTAAATATGTTCTTTATCAACTATGTGATTTTCAAATATTTTTCCTGATCTGTGTTTTGCCTTTTTATTCTTTTAGCAGTGACTTTTGAAGAGCAAACTGTTTTTTACTTTGTTGAAGTTCCGTTTACCAAAATTTTTCTTTTACAAATCATGCTTTAGTATAATATCTAAGAAACCTCTGCCAACCCAAAGCCACTAAAGTTTTCTCTTATATTTTCTTGTAGAAGTTTTATAATTTTTTATTTAAGACTATGAATTGTTTTCAGTTAGTTTGTATGTGTGATATGTGATGTGAGTTTTGGATCAGAGTTTATTTTCTTTTTTTTCTTTTTCTTTTTTTTTTTTTTTTTTTGCATTTGGAGATCCTGTTGTTCTAGCATCATTTGTTGAAAAACAACTCTGTCTCAACTGAATGGCCTTTGCACCTTTGCTGAAATCAGCTCTTAATATATATGTGGGTCTGTTTATGGTCTATCTATTATTTTTCTATTTCTCTTTTGGTTTTTTTTGGGGGGAGGGTTGTTTGTTTGTTTGTTTGTTTTGAGGCAGAATCTCCCTTTGTCATCCAGGCTGGAGTGCAATGGCGTGATCTTGGCTCACTGCAACCTCTGCCTCCAGGGTTCAAGCAGTTCTCCTGCCTCAGCCACCCAAGTAGCGTACACCACTACACAAGCTAATGTTGGGTGTTTTGTTTTGTTTTGTTTTGTTTTGTTTTGTTTTGTTTTGAGATGGAGTCTTGCACTGTCACCCGGGCTGGAGTGCAATGGCATGATCTCGGCTCACTACAACCTCCGCCTCCCGGGTTCAGGTGATTCTCCTGCCTCAGCCTCCTGAGTAGCTGGGATTACAGGTGCACACCACCACACCCAGCTAATTTATTGTATTTTTAGTAGAGATGGGGTTTCACTATGTTGGCCAGGCTGTTCTCAAACTCCTGGCCTCAAGTGATCCACCCGCCTCAGCCTCCCCAAGTGCTGGGATTACAGGTGTGAGCCAAGGCACCCAGCCCATTATTTTTCTATTCCTCTGTCTTTATGCTACTACCACATTATTTTAATTACTGAGTAGTTTTGTAGTATGTCTTGAAATCAGGTAATATTAGTCCTCCAACTTTGTCCTTTTCAAATTTGGTTTGGCTATTTAATATTTAGGGTTCTTTCCATTTCCACGTGAATTTTAGAATTAGCTTATCAATTTCTATAGCATATTCCAATTGATATTGCATTTAATCCAGATACTAATTTGGAGAGAATTGACATTTTAACAATATTCAATCATCTGAGTCATTAACATGATATATCTTTGCATTTATTTACAACTTCTTTAATTTCTCTTGGTAACATTTTTTAGTTTTCAATGTATAGGTCTTGGACATACAGTGTATAGGTCTTTGGTTGATTTATTCCTACATGTTTCATATGTAAATGGTATTGTCGCTAGTTTATAGAAATACTACTGATTATTGTATGTTGATCTTGTTTTATGCGAACCTACTAAACTCACTTGTTAGTTGTAATAGCTTTTAGTGGATTCCACGAGATATTCTGTGTAGACAGACAATCGTGCAAATAAAAGACAGTTTTCTTTCTTCACAATCTGGGCGCCTTTTCTTTCTTTCTTTTTTTCTTTTTTTTTTTTTTTTTTCTTTTTTTTTTTTTGCCCTGTTAACACTGGGTAGAACCTCTAATACAATGTTGAATAAAACTAGTCAGAATAGACATTCTTGTCTTGTTCCTGATCATGTGGGAAATGAATAGGAGCATTTGATCTTTTACCATGAAGTATGATGTTATTCTAGGTTTTTTATAAATGCCCTTTATTAGGTAGTTTCCCTTTCCTAAGAGTTTTTGTCAGGAATAGATGTTTGATTTCTCAAACATGTTTTTGCATTAGTTAAGTAATCTATGGTTTTTGTTTTTAAATTTCTTAATATGGTGAGTTACACTGATATTCAAATGTTAAACCAACTTCGCGTTCCTCGGATAAAACCTACTTAGTGGTGTGTTATCCTTTTTATAAAGGATAGTGCTTGTTGAATTTGATGTGCTAAAATTTCCTTTAGAACTTCTTGCATTTTGTTCATGAGAAATATGGGTCTGTAATTTTTTTGTAACATCTTAAGCTGATTTTGATGAGGAGATAATGCTGGCTTCATGGAACAAGTTGGGAAGTATTCCCACCTCTTCAATTTTCTAGAATAGTTTGTGTAGATTTAGTATTACTTCCTCCTTGTGTAATTTCTATTTCTTTATTCATATTCTCTATTTCATGAGACATTGCTCATACATTAGTTCTTTATACATATTTCCTTTAGTTCTTTGAACACATTTTTAATTACGGATTTTAAGTCTTTGTCTAGTAAGGCCAGTGTCTGGGCTTCCTCGGGAACAGTTCTGTTCATTGCTAGTGGGAATAAACACTGTTCCGGGCCTCAAGTGATTTTCCCAGATGTGTGCACTCATCAGTTCACTGCTGGATACTTGAGGGGGACCTTTTGCAGATCTTCATCGTCTGTGGCTCAGTATCTTGAAAATTGTTGTTTCATGTGTTTTGTTCAGGTTTGTTGTTGTTGTTTTAGACAAGAGGTAAATGTGGTTCCTCCTACTCTATCTGGGCTACAAGCAAAGGTCTAGATGTTCTATGTATTTTCAAGGTAGCCTTTTGATAGATTGTATATAGATTGTGAGAGATAAAAGAAGAAAGAGGATCACTACAGTCTGATCTTCCTAGAGTGGGCTTTAGTGGTCAGAGAAAGCCAAAGATGAAGACAGAATTTAAGACCATATAGACACGACGGGGTAAACAAGAAGAATAGGGCCTAGAAGTCAGGAGCTAAGGCACAAAAGTAGGGCAGTGCCTGGGATACCCTCAGACCAGCAAGTATCCATGGGGTCTTTGTGTGTGTGTGTTTGTGTATGTGTGTGTGTGTGTGTGTGTGTGTAATTAGCTGCCCAGATATTTACATATTTCACCTAAAAGAAATACAGATTTCTGACTTCTTGAAAATAATCCAGAGTTCTGGACCACAGCTCTACATTCTTTGATGACATCCATCAATGAGCTGAGATAGACTGCCTCCTTTAGATGAGTCATCCATTCTCCAGTTTGCCACAGTCCATTGTATCGTTGTCTCTGCTGTATTATCTTTGGCTTGCTTCCCTTATTCACCTTATCAGTCTAGAATATAGATTCCTTGGAAATAAGGCCAAAAGGGTACACTTCAGAAAGATTAAGATTGTGTGCTATCAGTGCTTTTTTTCAGAGCTTAACCTTTCCTTTGTTCTTTTATCATTCTATCTAAATTTACTGTCCTTTCTTCTTTGTAATTTCTGACCTTTTCATTCTCAGTCATCTGACTTCATTTCACTTACTTACACATTTCTTCATTAGTCTATTCAGGGTGCCACAGAGAATACCACAGACTTCATTGCTTAAACTACAGAAACTTATTTTCACACAGTTCTGGGGGCTAGAAGTCCCAAGATCAAGGTGCCAGCAGGATTGGTTTCCCGTGAGGCCTCTCTTCCTGGCTTGGAGGTGGCTGCCTTCTTGTTGTGTCCTCACATGGCCTCTTCTCTGTGCAAAAAGAGCACGCTCTGGTTTCATCTTTCCATCTTCTAAGGACTCTAGTCTTATTAGATTAGAACCCCACTCTTCTGACCCCATTTAACCTTAGTTATCTCCCTAGAAGCCCCTGTCTCCAAATGCAGTTACATTAGGAGTTCAGGTGTCAACATGTGAATTTTGGGGAAATATCATTTGGTTCACAAGAATCTCTATTCAGTCCTATTTAATACCTGATTTTGAAATTCTTGTATCTTTTTCAAGCTCCTCTGTGGTGTTTCTCACCATTCCTAGACAACTTAGAAGATACTCTGTTCCATTCTTCAGTTTTCCTTTTTTTTTCATTGTTTTTGTGTTTTCTTTCTCCTAATATAAAGTGCATTACTACACACTCATCCACAAAACATTTGTTTTATATTTTGCTATTGCCATTGAATCATTTGGAAAGCTACATTGTTCATTCCACAGATCAGGATGTTACAGCTTTCTTATATATAAATTTCCTTCATTTCTTTTCTTGTCATGAATGAATGTCCTATACTTTTGTGTGTGTGTGTGTGTGTGTGTGTGTGTTTGTGTGTGTTTCCACCTAAGTTGATAGAACTTTCTGATTTTTCCCAGGCATCTAATATTTTTCTGAGACAGATGAAATTTATTTTATTCTGTAAGTCCACAGATAATTGTTTAAGATTTTGAAATTTATTTTATTCTTGTCCCTTTATCATGGCTAAGAAGGAGCCCAACCAGCCAAAGGTTTGTCTGTTAACGTTATTTTAAGCAATTCCTTGTCTCTCATCCCCGTGTATACTCATTAGTTCTGCCGGATGTTTTTCTCTGTCATATCCTCACATTTATCCCCATTTTTGTTTCCACTGCCACGGCCCTAGATCAAAGCCTCATCTGAGCTTTTAGCTCAGCTCTCTTTTACTGGCTCCTTGTTTCTGATCTTTCCCTCCTATAGTTCTGAAATGAGAAAAGAACAGAGCCATGAGGACCAAGGACACATAATGGATACACGGATGAGGAAGAACAAGCAAGCAGGCAGAAAAGTCACTCTAATAGAGGTAAGGGGAAAACCAATAGAAAGTTGCGCTATGTTGTCAACAGGAAAAGATTTAGGAAAGCATGGTCAGCAAGGACAAATACCAGAGAGAGGCAAGTAAAATAAGGACTGACAAGTCCCATTTGGGATCTGTAACCGGGAGGCCATTTGCGACCTTGGAGAAGATAGTTTTGATGGAGAAACCTGGAAGCATAAATCAGATTGTCTCCAGCCCAAAGGGAAAAAGACTGTAAGAATAGTCTTATTCTCTTTAGAAGCTGGAATTTAAAGGAAAGAAAAAGCTAGGCAGTAACTAGTGGAAAACACAGGGTATAGACAAGATCTTTATAAAGAGGGGAATGACAAGAATATTTACAAACTGAGAGGAAAGAGCCACTTGAGAAGGAGCCATCTGCGGTGTCGGAGCAGAGTGATAGTCCCTGGGGGCCTAAGGAACTCCAGAGGATTACAGCTCAAGAGTGGGCCACTTTTTCCACCGAGATACGCCAGTGGGAAAATGTGTTTGGATGGTAGGGGTTGGGGTATAGGGAAGGCCTGCCAGAAGGCCTTTTCTCTATTAAGTAGAAGTGAAGTTTCTGTTCAAGGTGAAATGTTACGAAGCTGTTCATGTCCACATTTATAAATTTGTCATTTTGTAGGAACTAGAGTCAAAATTTTCATATTTTTATTTTTCCATTGTAGAAAACTAAAATCTAATTGTACAGAAGCATATAGATGCATAGTTATGTAATCATGGGCTAAGGAATTATTTTTAACCTTGATACCAGAATTGGAAAACATTATAAAACAGATTCTTAAATAATGGAAACTTTAAAATTATGCAGGTCAAAAAGAAAAAAAGTCATAGAATTTTTAAATGAACAATAACCTGGGATGGAAGAGATTTACCCATGGAAGAGTAATACTCTTTTTTTTGTTGTTGTTGTTGTTTTGAGACGTCTTGCTCTGTCACCCAGCCTAGAATGCAGTGGTGCAATCTCAGCTCACTGCAGTCTCCACCTCCCGGGTTCAAGTGATTCTCCTGCCTCAGCCTCCCGAGTAGCTGGGACTACAGGCACGTGTCACCACACCCAGCTAATTTTTGTATTTTAATAGAGTCAGGGTTTTGCCATGTTTCCCAGGCTGGTCTTGAACTCCTGACCTCAAGCCATCCACCTGCCTCAGCCTCCCAAAGTGCTGGGATTACAGGCGTGAGCCACCGCACCTGGCCAGGAGTAATACCCTTAACAAATAAAAAGCTCTAAGAGGAGCTTTTTCAACAAGAAAAAAAATACACCAGTAGAAAAACGGGACAAAGATATACACAGGACATTCTTAAAGGATTCTTAAAGGGATAAATATAAATGGCAACAGACATATGAAAAATGTTTACCATCCATTGATCAAATTAATGAAAATTAAAACAATAAAATGAGATGGTATTTTACCCTTTCAAAATGACAAGTTTCAAACTTATGATACATACCTAGTATTGATGAGAAAATGGGATGTGGATTCCCGCTTACACTGCTGGTAATACTATAAGATTGATCCATTCTTTGTGAAGTATAATTAGGTAATATGTTAGGGTTTTTTTTTTGTTTTGTTTTGTTTTCAAAATGTGCATCTCTTTGACCTGACAGTTCAACTTCAAGGAATCTCTTATAGGAAAGTATTCAAGTATACATGGAGAGATTTAGTTAAAAGGCTACTCCTTCGAGCAGTGTTTTTAAAATAAAGGGTTGATTAAAATATGAAATATTTATATAACAGAATATCATATGGTTATTCATCATATTATGGAAGTATTTTTATGGACATGAAAAGATGTTTATGATTTTTAAGTAAAAAATGATTATAAAATAGTTTATATAATATACATCAAAAGACATGAATAATTATCTGAGTAGTAAGATTATGGTAATTTTTTTCTTCTATTTTAACTTTGTGCATTTTCTAATTTATCTACTTACTGTATATTTACTACTTGATCATTTCTTTCAAAATGAATGTAATTTTTAGAAATTTTCTAATACAGCGTGTTGTTTCTACATTTAAAGAAACCAAGGTTTCAAAGTTACAGCTACAAAGTACCTGAACTAGGAATTAATCTTCTTGCCCCAAGTTCAGGGCTGTTTCTCTTACACATTGCTTTGTATATTAACTCTGATTAGATGGCCAGTGCTTCCAGTCAGGGGCTATTATTTAATACATACTCACATTTTTTTCCTCCCCTGCACTTAGCCTGGTGTCTTGCCACAGAAGTAAACCTTCAGGAAAGATCTATTGGATTGAATGTCTTGTGGGGTAAGGTCCAGGTTTTTTTGTTGTGTTTTGTTTTTGTTTTTTTGAGAGGGAGTCTTGCTGTGTTGCCCAGGCTGGACTGCAATGGTGCGATCTTGGCTCACTGTAACCTCCACCTCCTGGATTCAAGTGATTCTCCTGCCTCAGCCTCCCGAGTAGCTGGGATTACAGGCACCCACCACCACACCTGGCTAATTTTTGTATTTTAGTAGAGATGGGGTTTCACCATGTTGGCCAGGCTGGTCTCAAACCCCTGACCTCAAGTGATCACCCGCCTCAGCCTCCCAAAATGCTGGGATGACAGGCATGAGCCACCATGCCCGGCCACGGCCCGGTATTTTTATGAATCTTATTCCCCAGACATAACATACACACAAACACTAACCTAGTTTCATACTTGTTTTCATAAGCTTGCTAAGAAGAATGTTTCTTTCTCTTTTCATCACAAGAGCCTTTAAAAAGGGCTTTGCTTCGTTACTTTCTTCCTCTGTTAGATTACAGAGATACTTTATGAGAAGATAGAGAAGGAATGGCTTTGCATTTATCCTTGTCTTTTGGTTAGATGTCTTCTCCTCCCTCTTTCAGCACATCCCTGCTGTCTCCTAGCTTTCAGGTCCTTTTGCTGTTAGCGTTCATCAAGCCAGTGTGCCACTCTTGATTTTCCTCCCATCGTCAGGAGGAGCCGCCAGTGTCCGAAGGGTGCACATGACCATCTTTATTCTGTCTCTTTTCTCCCTTTTATGCGCCATCTTTGTCATTCTCTATCCAGTGTGTTTCTTCCTCTTCTGAGTCTGAATCATTTCCCTCAAAGATGTTATCTTTGCTGCCTACTTTAGATTTTTCGAGTTGAATTTCTCTTTGGGTTCTTCTCCTGAAGGTCCGTCTGGCTTCTCTGTTTACTTCTCACAGTGCAGTCACCACCTGATTGATTTCACTTGTCCTACATCTTCTGCACGTGCAGGATCCATCTCACTAATTTCCAGCTGTTCTTCTCCCCTTCTCCCCCTTCCCTTTTCTGTTTTTCTTCTTCTTTTTTGTCCTCCCACTAACATGAACTCTTCCTCTCACTTTGTTTTGCCTTATTCTTCCTGTAAGATCCTTTACCCTCCTCACTGCCTTTTGCAGAAGTTTATATGTCTCTCTGTGACTTTAGCCCAGCCTTCATTGAAACTACTTTCTTTTCCATTTTTATCAGATCCTAATTTGGTGAAAGTTTTACGTACTTTTTCTGTATATGTACAGGGAGACTTTTTTTGCCCCTAGTGGTATTATACCTTGGCATGCCGTATTCTGTACCATTTTTATACTCAACTTCATGTGCATTCATGAGCTTCACTAGAACGTATTTTTGGGCTTCTATATATGATACAAGCTTACCTGGAGTAGCTCTGTTTAACAAATTTAAAATCAAGAAACATCAAGTGATAAAGAATTTTTGCCCCTCATGTGTAAATGTGTTTTATATGAAAAGATAGTGCGACCATTGATTTAAGATTGGGCCTGTTCCTTAAAGCACAGGTGTCCCCTACACCTCCTGTGCCCCCAGGGAAAGCCCTTCAGGAATGGTTAGCCATTGCCCTTTCTTGCCACAGTGTGCCAGCTGTCACTTTTCTCAGGAGTGGTCGATGGAGTTGACTGCTACCTTAACCAGATTTGCCATCGTTCTGAAACTGCCGTGTGTTTTCTAAGGACAACCAGGTGTTAAGCCTTTCTCTTTAGAAGAAGGACAGTAACCTTTCTGTGTAAGTCCAGAACTTATCAATGCTGTATGAATGATTGCATTAAAAAATGTTAGGTTTAGCCCCACTAATTTATCTCACACTAGTTGTAGTGCAAATACTACATGCTGTCTAAGGAAGCAACTTCTTGTTTCATCTGCATATTGGTTCTTGATTTTTATGAATTGTATAATTTGTTTTACATCAAAGCCACATCTGGATGCTTGATTGTTACTATCTTGGTCAAAAATGAGACAGCCCATTTTTTAATTGATTTGAAAAATGTAATAACCTAATTATATAAAAGTAGGCATAGCCATAGACTAAATGAAAGAATGCTATTTAATAAAATTATCTGTATCCTTCCGAATCACTAACCCTGAATATCATCCATGAGGACTTTTTTTCCCATTCAATGAAGAATTTCATATACTCTGATTGCCTGCTCTTCATTTCTGGAAGTTACTTATGGTTTGGAGTTTTTAGTGTCTATATTTGGGGATTTTATTTCTTTCTTGCTTACATTAACCTGTCAATGCAGGAGCAGGCCTTAAACAATTGCTAATGATACAAAAAGATGCTAACAATGTTTGAGAGGCAAACTAGAAGATAGGAAATTAGTATTTTGGTCTTTTTTAGTTGTGTTTGTATGTGTTTGTGTTTTACACAATGTCCTTTATTACCTGTGCTGTTGCCTGAGCACACTAAGATTTGGTTGTAGTCAGAAGACATTATTCAAGTTTATTTAGTACATTTTGTGTATTTTTCTTTCCAGTAAAGAATTGAAGAAAAGTTAAGAGCTGCCGAAATGCACAGAGGTGAAAATGACAAACCAAATGGAATTTCTCTTCAGAGTTCAGAATTTTCAGATACTAAGGAGGAAGAAAGGATCCACTACTTCTTGTTCTTATGAATGACTCTAGAAAAATCAGAATCAAGTTGTGGGTGGAAAAATCAACGTGGCCTTTGAGTTCAGTTGTTATAAACCATTGTGACTATTGTTGGTCAAAGTATTGGTACTTATATTGTTAGTAATTGCATCATAATTACATTACCAGTGTTGGAAAACTAATGAAGAAAACACTGTAATTGCTACTCAGCAAATGTGAATAAAAGGTGTTTGCGTTATTAGGATGTCTGTTAAGTAATCATTTAATATTATTATATTGGTAATGGTTGTATGTGTGATGCTATGCCCAGAATATGAAGTATCTGTTTTTGAAATTCACTTTATTTAAAAGATAAGCAGCTGACTGGGCACGGTGCCTCATGCCTGTAATCCTAGCACCTTGGGAGGCTGAGGCAGGTGGATCACCTAAGGTCAGGAGTTCAACAACACCAGCCTGACCAACATGGTGAAACCCCATCTCTACTAAAAATACAAAAATCAGCCGGGTCTCATGGCAGGCACCTGTAATCCCATCTACTGAGGCAGGAGAATTGCTTGACCCAGGAGGCAGAGGTTGCAGTGAGCCAAGATCACGCCATTGCACTCCAGCCTGGGGGACAGAGCAAGACTCTATCTCCAAAAAACAAAAAAGATAAGCAGCTTTAGAATATGGCGCATTCAAAACAGTCTCAGTAACAAAGACATTAAAAGAAAACAATTTACTTTCTAATTAAAATTTTGTGTTTCTTAAGATCAAATCATATAGGTAACTTCATAGACCTAAATTAAAAGTGATTTTTGGCTGGACTGGCAACAATGTTCCCAATGTCTTTACTTTTTAAAAAAGGCTTTTCATATTTAAGCACATACCTATTTTGTAGACTTACATTGTTTAATATTTATTTTAATCTTAATATTTTTACATTATTATATTGCATTATTTATTTTTTCTAAGTTCCAGAATAATAGTGTCATTATTATAGACTATATGTTTTGAAGTTTGATATTATAATGGGATATTCATTTTTTGTTCTTTTCTTGACTCCTTTCTCAAGTGTGTGATAAGGTCTGCTGATAAAATATTTAACCCCAAGAAAGTGAAAACTAATATAAAATTAGAAAGACCTATCCAAATTAGACAGTCAATTCCATTAAAATAAGAAGTGAGAAAAACAATGTTGGGCATTGAGGTGTAAATTTTGCCCAGATGTATACCCAGTGTGAAATATCTTCTAATAAAAATATATTTGGCTCTTATCCCTGCACATGTAGAGGCATAAAAATTGGTAAACATGTCCCGCTGTGTAGAACTTTAAAAAAAAGGCATTTTTGAAAGTGTTGAGTGGCACTGATAACTGGTGAAGCCTACAGCCATCCGCCCAAAAGTCTGTTCTGATGGCACTGAGTTTTCATTGTTCTGGATGTATAAGTCTGTGTGTCAGGTACAGCTGGGCCCAGCCAGCTTGAGTCACTCTTGTACAAGCTTGTTTTTTTCTGTCTTGTGAATGCACTTGATAATTTAAAAATAAAAATATCTGTTTCTCTGCAGTTTCAGCTAATAATTTTGAGATATGTGTTGATTTTCTGATTGAATCACCAAGAATTTCAACAAGTTTAGAAATAATTTAAGATGAATGAAAAATATGTCAGGGGGAGCTAAGCATTTGCTAAGCTCTTGATGTTTATATGAAAAATAAAGGGTTGTTTTTATATTGCAACTACTAAAGAGAAAAATAGCAGTTGAAGCAAACACCAGGAAAATTTGGCTCTACTGAAAGCCCAGTCCTTTTCCCCTTTGTCTCGCTGACAAAGTAAGACTAGGGTTATGTTCATGAATAGATTAATAAAAGATGTTTCTTTACCACACAATCTGAGATGAGATGGGGTGGGGGAGATCATGACAGTGCCCTCCAAGCAATAGATCCAGCTGATAATCAAGCAGAAAATCAGACACCAGAATCCATTTGATGATGTACGGCATTAAACATTTCCTTATAACAAATTGGGTTTGTTTTATCTTTATTCTGAAAGTACTGAATTTTATCCCATGTCATCTCTTTTCTCCAAACAAGTAACAATTTGACACTGTCTTCTTCTATATCTAAATAATATTTTTAAACCATTGTTGGAAATGCACTGCCCAGTTATTCATCCAACTCTGTCTTGAAGATTAATGTTTCTTCAGTATTGAAATGATACTATGTATAGGACTTGGAAAGCTAGAATAAAAATCAAGTTTTTAAAAGATTTAAAACATGAAATATTTTACACAGTGAATGCAAATTTATGTTTAAAATGCATATTTTAAATGAAATCAGTGCTTTTAAATGGCTAACGCTTGGTACTTCTGAAATCTTGTGCAGGGTTTCTATCACATACAAATGAATACTTGACCTTAATATTATCTTTAAATTATAGAAGAATTTAATTAAAGAAAGATGTCTTTAGGAAGCTCAGCAAGACTATATTTGAGAAATAACTTACCATTTTATAGCTTCATGTGACATGTTGTCACTTTAGTCATATATTTAGCCACAAATATTTTTAAGAGTTAGGAAGTTCTAGAAACTATAACAAAAGTTTGTGACCTTACACTTCTATGTGTATTCAAATGATTTCCATCTGATGGCCATATCTGTTTAGTGAATTATGGAAACACTTTTAAGCAATCCAAATGTTTTAAGCTATATATTTGTTCGTTTCTATTTAATTGAACTGTACCGAAAATAGTCCCCAAATCCTCACTTTATTATGTACATGACTTCATTTACTCTTCACATCAAATCTATGAGATAGATAAAATCTTCCCTGCTCTAGAACTAAGGAAACCAAGTTCTGAAGGTTAAGTAACTTCTCCAACTGCACAACTCCAGCCACTGCTAGTTGCAAATGGAGATATCAGACTCCACTGGGTGATCTGTAAAGTACTGGATCTCAGTTGCTGTGGAGAGGAAAATGCTGATATTTGGACATGACAACACACACAAGAGTAAGGAAGCAGTTGGCATGTGCCTATGACCACACTCAGGGACTAGAAACATCTCAAATGTTTGTCATTCAACAGTGACCTAAATAAAATAAAATATATCTGAGTGAACTTTTTTTAAAAAAAACTGATCATTTGTTTATCATAATTATTTTAGTAAATCTTTACTCCATACTATAATTATGTTTCCTTAAGAAACAGATTCTGTAGAATCAAACTAATTACATGTACAGTAACATTTTATTCAAGAAACCGAAAAGGCGCCATTCCAGTCATATATGAGAGAATAAAAACATCAAGAAGCATGTCAATCAAAAGGCTGTGTTGACTGGAGAACTCATTCTATGGATGGACACAATTATATGCAGGAGAATTGAATGTCAGCATCATTTAGGGTTAACAATGGACTAACTAGGCAAAAGCAGACAGCTACTCTCTGCCGAGGCCCAGGAAGCAAACTTGGTAATGAGGCACTTCATTCTTCATATCCTTCTGCTCTAATTATTGTGAATAGGAAATACTTTAAGCTAAGGCGGGAACTGGATAACAAAAACATTTGTTTTGTAAACACAAAGAATGCTATTTTTCTAATGATCCCCTTCAAATCTACATCAAGCATATGTTGTGAGCAGTGGGTTTTCTAAAGTTGCTCTTCTAACACCTCAAATTCATACTGATTATAGATGGGTTATTTTCGTCTCGAAAAGCTAGGGAGGCTAATGCTGCTAAGAATCAATTTTAGTTTCTCGTCAATCTAAAAAAGGGATATGTACACCACACATAATTCATGTTCTACCTCTTATCACTTAGGTCAAAATGCTCCAATACATACTTCAGTGTTATTTCTAAAAGTACTAAGCAATATGATTTTTACTCACTGTAGTTCATTTCTTCATAAAAATGATTTGAGCCCAATGAAAGAATAGAAGAAAATTTAAGAATGGTTTCCTTATAAAACATTTATGTAAGTAAACTCAAATATTGCCAATCAAAGGATGATTTCTTAACATTGCTTGGAGTGGAGATGTTAGTGAAGATAAGAAAAAAATAGTCTGAAAGGAGGAAAAAGCAAGAAGTTGAGGAACATAACTTGCTGCCAGGGCAAAAATAAGCAACTGAAGCTTGCGCAAAGCGGTCACAAGACTAAAGGAAGAAGGTTCCCTAGAGAAAAGTTTGGTAGCTTCAGTTTGGTTTTTTGATGTTTTCAGCTGAGAATCAGTAGTTAAGGTGTTTTTTTGGTCTTAAATTTGTTCACAGGGCCATTCTGTATAAATGCTCCACATAACTTTTCCTGAACTATGATTCTTTAATAAAAGTTAAGCACAGTAATGTGTTTAACCATCCCTGCCTATTATACAAAAGTTAATGTTCAGACGTGTCTACTGAAGCTACTTTTAGCAACTAAATATTTCCATGGTGGTAAAGAAATATCAGTAAAATCTATGCACTTTAAGCACATCGAATTCTTATACTTATCATGTGTGCAGGCAGAGTACATAATAAACTAGTCTATAGCAGCTGTAAATTTCTGAGGATTTATCTAACCACAAATACATTGAAATGGGGAAATGGGTCTATATTAAACTATGCAAGATGCTGCTGGAGCGTTGCCATTTCTGCAACATCCTGTAATTAATTTATCATGACAGGTCTGGCAAACTGAAACATCCAATACACTTGCGACAGACTGTTATACTATAGTTGTTAGAGATCCTGTAGTCACATTAAGTGAAGGTAGATTTTTTTTTTGCCTTCATACATGAATATAGGGCTGTTAATATTTAGAGTACCCTGTAGCCAAGGACAGATTGTAATTTTTGAATTTCAAAATAACAATATATAGAATATGGAAAATATCCCAGACTGAAATCATGAGTTCAGTCTTTTCTCTGCCATGTGTGGTCTTTTCCTGAAGAGGGACAGTCCTGGGAAGGGGAACGATACAGTTTGGTCAGCGCTTCCCATGCATGTGTCCCTCGGGCTAGATAGGATGGATTCTCTCCTGGAAGATTTGAAGATCAGTTCTCTCTTGGTTGTCTCTCAAACACATTCTTTTCCTGTAAGCCAAGCTCACAAGACCAGCTTCTGTGTGCCAGCCTCTTCTGGAAGCTGCAGTCCTGCCATTTGCAAACTTAAAGTACAAATGATACAGAAATTATTCCTGCTCCAACCCCATCCAATCCAGAGAAAGAAGAAAATGTAAAGCTTGTGGGGTTTTTGGCCAAAATAGATCCTATCTAACAATATGTTATTTGTTGGTTCATATCAGTGTGAAAGACAGAGCCGCTCTTGACTTGATGTGTGTAATTTGATGCAGGTGAAATAGTGACTGACGCTAAGGATGGAGCTATGTAGTAAACGAGGCTTCTTGCTCCAGGAGTGAAGTGAAGTTACTTCCCATGAAAAGTGAGATCTATATTGTATGACGGTCCACAGCCTTGCCCATTTCCTAGAGAAGATCAGTTTCTCAGTCTACAAACAAGTGGAGTCAAGGGGGTCTGAGAACCTTAAATCTGGACATTTCAGTGAGAAGGAAAAGATGTTGGGGAAAGGTCCCAGGGATGGAGAATGAGTCCTGCTCAGTGGGAAAGAGGTGAGAAGCTGGGCAAGGGGCCTCAAGTGGTCCCAGCCTGCTTACTACAGGTTAACTGTAAACACTTGACTAGTTGTGTGTTCTTTGTATTTTCTTTCTTTATCCTTACTATTGGAAACGGATCCTGTCTCGGAAGACCTAAGAGGTTTGTTGCTTGGGATTAAGTTTTAAAAGAAAAGCATCCAGCAGATCCCCAAACTGAGTAGCTCAAGGGAAACGTAAATGAGAGACCATGGAGGAGAAGCTTGTGTGGCCTCCTGCTTCCTCCACCAGAAGGTCCCCTTCCAGAGCTATTCCATGTCACAGTTGGGAAATCAGGTGGAGGGTGTGCCCAAAAACATGAGAACGAAGACCCTTCTTTCACACAAGTGACTTGTCCAGGACCACAGACACCCGTGGCAGCACCCTGCCTCCTCCTGCCAACTCCCGCTGTTTAGGGGACATTCTCACCTAAAGCGGCATCATCAAATCCTAATGCTGAAAAGTCCTGTATTTTCTCAACCTCCTACACAACTAAAACTGAATATCCCTCATAGAACACGGTCTATGTTCTGATAAATCCCACTTTAAAACCAGGTTATTATAGGCCGGGCACGATGGCTCACGCCTGTAATCTCAGCACTTTGGGAGGCCGAGGCGGGCGGATCACGAGGTCAGGAGTTCGAGACCAGTCTGGCCAACATAGTGAAACCCCGTCTCTACTAAAAATACTCAAAAAATTAGCCGGGCGTGGTGGTGTGCGCCTGTAATCCCAGCTACTCGGGAGGCTGAGGCAGGAGAGTCATGTGAACCCAGGAGGCGGAGGTTGCAGTGAGCCAAGATCGCGCCACTGCACTCCAGCCTGGGCGACAGAATGAGACTCTGTCTCAGAAAAAAGAAAAAAGAAAATTAAAAAAAAATAAAAAATAAAACCAGGTTATTACAAATGATGAGTTTGAATAAATGAGGGTAAAAGTAGGTAAAAAATGTAAACAAGGTGGCATCAGAGAGTCAGGAGAAATGACATTTCTATGCACACATGGCGGGAGGATGTTAGGTTTTTTTTTTTATTTTTATTTTACTTTAAGTTCCGGGATACATGTGCAGAACATGCAGGTTTGTTACATAGGTATACGTGTGCCATGGTGGTTTGCGGCACCCATCAACCTGTCATCTAGGTTTTAAGCCCCGCATACATTAGCTATTTGCCCTGATGCTCTCCCTCCTCTCGCCCTCCCCACCATTTATTTTCATTTTTTGACTATATTGACAACTGGATACAGATAGTGTGACTAGTTCTATTTACCTACCAGTAGCTGGAATTAAGGACTACTTTCCTAAATATATTTTTATAATTTAGGATCCTCAATAATTTTAACACTTAAATATGTGTTTTAATGTATGTGTATGTCAAAATGTGAATGTGTACACATTCACTTACTCAACAGCTTAATTGCTGAATGCCCGTTTGTTGACAGACACTTGAACCAGGAGCCTTGGCTCTTCTACTCTGTTTCACCTTGAAATTGTCATATATTTATTATGGCTGCTGTCACCCTACAGTGGCTGTCAGAGGAACTCCATACTCTACCAAACTTGAGCCTCATTAACAATCTTTAGTAGACAAAAAAAAGCATTATTCTCCCACTTTTAAAAACCAGTTACAAAGAAGTCAAATGACTAGACCAACAATTGATCAGAACCCAGGTGCCCTCTGCCCAGTGCTATGTTTTTCCAAACAGGAAAATTCTTTACTGACATCGAAGAAATGTGGAAATAAATTATAAGACAAGCCAATCTGTGTTCCCTGTGTAAGACACAACTATGAATTAGTAAGGCTAATTTAGATATATGTTTTTTGGAATCAACTTATGGTCTCTTCCTGTAGTCATTTATGTTTGTGTTTTTGCTGCAATTCTCTGTTTGTGTATTTTATTTTTAGGCAAGAATCTAAAATATGAAATCCCAACACAGGTCAAATAAGAGAATTTTTAAAAATATGTTTTATTTCAATAGCTTTTGGAGTACAAGTGGTTTTTGGTTACATGGATTAATTATATAGTGGTGAAGTCTGAGAGTTTAGTGTACCCATCACCCAGGTAGTGTACGTTGTACCCTATATATAGTTTTTTATCCCACATCCCTCCTCCCACCTTCCCCCTTCTGAGTCTCCAAAGACAATATATCACTGTATGTCCTTATGTCCTCATAGCTTAGCTCCCACTTTTAAGTGAGAACGTATGGTATTTGGTTTTCCATCCCTGAATTACTTCACTTAGAATCATGGCCTTCAGCACTATCCAAGTTGCTGCAAAAGACATTATTTTGTCCCTTTTTATGACTGAGTAGTATTCCATGGTGTATACATGCCACATTTTCTTTTTTTGTTGTTTTTTTTGTTTTGTTTTTGAGACAGTTTCACTCTTGTTGCCCAAGCTGGAATGCAATGGCACGATCTCGGCTCAGTGCAACCTCCGCCTCCCTGATTCAAGCGATTCTTCTACCTCAGCCTCCAGAGTAGCTGGGATTACAGGCGCCTGCCACCATGCCTGGCTAATTTTTTTTTTTTTTTTTTTTTTTGAATTTTTAGTAGAGACAAGGTTTCACCATGTTGGCCAGGCTGGTCTCGAACTCGACCTCAGGTGATTCACCCACCTTGGCCTCCCAAAGTGCTGAGATGACAGGTGTGAGCCACCGCGCCCAGCCCAACATGCCACATTTTCTTTATCCACTCATTGGTTGATGGTCACTTAGGTTGGTTCCATATCTTTGAAGCTGTGAATTGTGCTGCAATAAACGTGTGTGCATGTGTTTTTTCATTTAATTACTTATTTTCCTTTGGGTAGATAGCCAGTAGTGGGGTTGATGGTAGATCTACATTTAGTTCTTTAAGGAATCTCCATATTGTTATCCATACAGGTTGTACTAATTTACATTCTCACCAGCAGTGTAAAACTGTTACCTTTTCACCACATCCACGCCAACATCTATTGTTTTCTGACTTTAATGATGGCCATTCTTATCGCTTCTCAGCCTTTTGGCTAAGATCAAGTGTAATAATAGCCATTCTTGCAGGAGTAAGGTAATATCTCATTGTGGTTTTAATTTACATTTCCCTGATGTTTAGTGATGTTGAGCATTTATTTATGTTTCCCGGCAATTTGTATATCTTCTTTTGAGAAATGTTTATTTATGTCATTTGCCTACTTTTTGATGGGATTTTTTTTTCTTGCTGATTTGTTTGAGTTCTTATAGATTCTGGATACTAGTCCTTCGTTAGGTGCATAATTTGCAAATATTTCCTCCCATTCTGTGCATTGTTTACTCTGATGATTATTTCTTTTGCTGTGCAGAAGCTTTTTAATTTAATCAGGTCCTATTTATTTTTGTTTTGCTGCATTTGCTTTTGGGGTTTGAGTCATGAATTCTTTGCTTAGGCCAATGTCCAGAAGAGTTTTTCCAACATTATCTTCTATAATTTTTATGGTTTCAGGTCTTAGATTTAAATCTTTGATCCACCTTGAGTAGATTTTTGTATAAGGTGAGAGATATGGATCCAGTTTCATTCTTCTACACGTGGCTATCCAGTTTTTCCAGCACCATTTATGAAACAGGGTGTCCTTTCCACAGTTTATGTTTTTGTATCAAGTAAGAGCATTTAAGTTTTATGTTTTGTAAATGGGAAAAAGAGATATGCAGAAAAGACCAGAATTCCTTTTTCGAAAACTTTTTATGAGCCAAACAAAACACAATCATTTAATGCATTGTATATTCAAATCCAATAGTTATTGTTCAAATGCAAATAAATTGTGTTTTCTATTAAGGGGTAATATATTTCCGTTTGACCTAAGGCTTCTTTAGATCAACTCACCAGGCTGGAAGTACCACAGACCACTTCATGAAATGCAAGCCTGACCATACCACAGCCTCCTTAAAACTCCACACTGAAGCCCCATCCATTATCCTAAATCCATTGAGATCTTCCTGTTTGCCTAGAATAATTCCTATACATCTATCTTTGTGCCCTCTGATACCACAAATGAAATTCAGTCACCTTGGAAGTGACAGAAAAATTAAGAAACTTGGTTGATACCTGTAAAAGTCCAAGTATCGTTTACAGCCATACCACCCTGAACGTGCCCGATCTCAGCTGAAAAAGTACAAGCAGCTCAGCAGTGTGGACAAAAGCCTCCAGGATCCACTCCTGTGGCTTTTCCAGGTTCATTGGCTTGCTGTGGAAGTCCTCTGCTCACATGGCAGCAGGACCATACTACTTCCCTCCGATGACCATTGACACTCCAAGCCTTTGAGTTCTTGCTACTTGAAAACAGTTTTTTCCCAGTGCCTTTCCTGGGTATTACCATTCTGGTTTCATCTCAAATGTCACATGCACTAAGATTCCTTTCCTGATCTGTTAACGTTGGGTGAGTTACCTCCCAGTGTTCTCATTATGCCCTACACCTAATGCCTATCAAGACATTAGCACAGAACATTGAAACTGACATACCTATAGATTGTGAGCTCACGAAAGTTAGAAATGCTATCATGCACATCTTTGTATGCATGACACCAGCCACTGACTTGGCACACAGTAGGAGGCTGAAAATGCTGTTCGGACCTGGGTGTGGATCACAATAGAAAGGCTGAAATAACAATCTACTAATATTCTCCATCTATCAATCAACATGTATTATTCAATATATCTTTTCTGCCTGAGACAATTCTTATAATTGCTCAGTATCACAGAATGTTCTCAAATGGAATATAATCTTTTTAAAATTCTAAATGCCCAGCAAGAATAGGGAATTTATGGAGAAATCTAAAAGTATTTCATTAGTCATTCTACCATAGCTTCCCGTGGTCACAGCTGTCTTCTTTCTTTTTTCATTCTCTCTTCCCTATATCACACTCTCTTTTTTTCTCATTTCTGGCTCCCTTTTTTCTTCTTCTCTGCCTGACTTCAGCCAGTAGCATTCACTGAACTCAAAATTTAACCATTAACACGACTACTGATCACTGTCTCAGTCTGCTCCTGATGCTGGGGAATCCCAGACGGCAGTCCCTTCCACGCTGTGAACTTAGAGACCTTCACTCATGCCTGAAGTGCATGCTGAGTAACTTTTTATTTACATAAAGACACAATCTTAAAATGTGGGATGTAATCTTCCTTTTATGTCTTTAACTTTTTTTATTGAGGCAAATTAGCCAGAAGGTTAAATCTGCTTTGCATCATATTTTGCATTCTCATTCATTTGTGGGTAAATAGCCCTCAAAAGACTTCTAAAAATTTGTATATCTAAACATTGTTGCCTGTGAATCTGATATCTCGGTCACTTTTTTATTTACAATTTCAATAGTTATCTGAGAGAAAAGATTCCTAGATTCATAAACAAAAGTCCAGAGCATCACTGTGGCTGAGTCTGATCATCCAACGATAAGGATTCACAGTTCCTTGGGTTAGTCTTCGTGCCATTAAGTGAACCTAGTCCTTTGCATCACCCATATTTTTATAATCTAAAAAAAAAAATCTAAAAGCTTCGAACAACTCTTTGTTCAACAAGCAAGCCCAATATCCAGCCCAGCCAGCAGTGTTGACATTAGAAGTTTTGGCCAGATGTAGTGGCTCACGCCTGTAATGCCAACACTTTGGGCGGCAGAGGCAGGCAGATCACGAGGTCAGGAGTTCGAGACCAGCCTGACCAACATGGTGAAACCCCATCTCTACCAAAAATACAAAAATTAGCCAGGCATGGTGGCATGCACCTGTAGTCCCAGCTACTCAGGAGGCTGAGGCAGGAGAATCACTTGAACCCAGGAGGCAGAGGTTACCATGAGATCACACCACTGCACTCCAGCCTGGGCGACAGAGCGAGACTCCATCTAAAAAAAAAAAAAAAAAAAAAAAAAGTTTCAAGAGCACCCTGATGACCACGAGGCAGAGGTGTAGAAGTCACGCTTATACTGACTGGATGGAGGAAAGACATGGAACTCAACGTCCTCTGGCACTAGTTTAGTTCAGCCTCATCTGCTCATGGTCAGGGCACTGTCACTCGGGTTTCTATGTGACTGACAGCAATGCTGCTGAACACCTTTAATTTACTCTTGATGTGCTTTCAACTTTTGAGTTTATACTCCTTCTGAGGATTTGTGTAACTATACTTCTAAGTATCAATGTTAGTCTGGTCAGCTCCTTAAGAATGGAGGCCATTGTGGGTAACCTCACTATGGCACCCACTCTGTCTACACAGCCAGAGAAATGTAATTTTGGCATTTATCATATTAAATAAATCACTCTTAGCCAAGCGTGGTGGCTCTCGCCTGTAATCCCAGCACTTTGGGAGGCCGAGGCAGGTGGATTACTTGAGGCTAGGAATTCGAGACCAGCCTGGCCAACATGGCAAAACCCCGTCTCTACTAAAAATACAAAAATCAGCCAGGTGCAGTGGCGAGCATCTGTCATCCCAGCTACTCAGGAGGCTGAGGCAGGAGAATTGCTTAAACCCAGGAGGTGGAGGTTGCAGTGAGCCGAGACCGCACCACTGCATTCCAGCCTGGGCAACAGAGGGTGACTCTGTCTCAAAAAATATATATAATAAAATAAAATAAAATAAAATAATATAAATAAATTACTCTTAGTGATACCACATCACTCTGCTTAAAAATTTATTTAACCACTTTAGTAGGCTGCAGCTATTAAGTTCACAAAATAATTGCCATTATTCCAATTTACTTTGTTCTATGTACAGAGTCATAATTTATCAGGAAAAGAAAAAGTGTTTATTGTTATAATTATTCATAATTATAGACTAATTTTAATAATAGCTAGCATCTGCTGAGCACACACTAGGTAAACTAGGATTCTTGTTAGGAAATGTGCACTATCTCATTTAATATTCAGAATAAACTTACAAGGTAGATATTACTACTTCCATTTGAAAACAAAACAAAAACCCTAAAGCTCAGAAAGGTTAAACAGTGTGTCTGAGATCACACAGCTTTTAAGTTGGGGTGTCAGGATCAGATTTCTGGGATGTCTGACTCCAAAATTCCCCTCTTAATCATTAGGTTACTGCCCTTGAGTGTGCCAAACTATACACTGTATTTCTTTTAAAATGAACTAGCTTCTTTTAAATGCTTCTTCCACTCACAGTTGACAAAAAGTAACTTTTTATTATTAAAAAATGAGTAAGATCCAGACCAGGCTACACAACATAGTGAGACCTCGTCTCCACAAAAAATAAGAAATAAAATAGCCAGGTGTGGTGGCAGACACCTGTAGTTCCAGATTCTTGGGAGGCTGAGGTGGGAGGATTGCTTGAGCCCAGGAGAATAAGGCTGAAGTGAACCATGATCGCACCACTGCACCCCAGCCTGGGTAACAGTGAGACCCTGTCTCTAAAAAAAAAAAGAAAGAAAGAAAAAGAAAAACAGTGAAGCAAGCTAAACATTTAGTATTTTCCAAATTTCTAATACCTTTTACAAAACAATCTTCAACAAAATAGGTTGATCAAAATGATCTCATGGTTGCATATTGCTCTGGAAATATTTATATATTTACATCAACCTTTAACATTTAGGCCAGGCACAGTGGCTCACACCTGTAATCCTAACAGTTTGGGAGGCCAAAGCGGGGTGATCGCTTAAGCCCAGGAGTTTGAGACCAGCCTGGGCAACATGGTTGAAACCCTGTCTCTACAAAAAAATACAAAAAAATTAGCCAGGCATAGTGGCATGTGCCTGTGGTCCCAGCTACTTGGGAGGCTGAAATGGGAGGATCGCTTGGAGCCTAGAAGGTCGAGGCTGCCGTGACCTGTGATTGTGCTACTGTACTCCAGCCTGGGTAACAAAGAAAAAAACAAAAACAAAAAAACCTTTAACGTTTAAGTAAACTTTTTTTTTTCTTCGAAATTTATGTGATACAGAGAAGTTATCCTAGTCCAAAAAGAATGGTGAATAGAAGACCATCCCCAATGCGTTCCACACCCTTGTAAGAATTATGACTATTAGGGTTGCTTTGGGATGAAAGGAGAGGTCCTTGTGGAAGATCTTCCTTCTTGGCATGTTCTCTCACTGTCCTAAGGAGACGGAGATGGCCCTTTGTCACTCGCAGCCCTTGTTGCACCATAAACAGCCTCATCGTAGGTGTTAATTTGCTGTCTGTCACATGATAATGTGTTTTCACATCTATTCCCAGTGCTTACCTTAGTGCTGGCACATAGTAGGCACATTCAATAAATAAAGAGCAGAGGCAGATCTAGGCCCACAGGCTTATTTTCTATCTATCAATAACCGATCTGAGGAGGAATCGTATGGAGGGATATTAACATATGGAAAATATGCAGTAGGATCACATCATCCCACATTGGCCCTGTGTCTATTTCTATTTCCTAGAGGAAATCTATTTCCACTCCTCCCCGCTTTCCACCTCCCTCCTCTCTTAGCCTGTACCCCCGCCCCTCTGCCCTGGGCTCAGCTGCAAGGTGTCTTTTTAATTCTTACATTCTCTTTATTTACATCAAAATTGTTTGCAGAGCCCCACACCTTCTGGCTTCCAGCTGGTAGAAGGTGCAAACAAAAGCAAGACAAACACACACTGCATCTGTACCTTGAAACAGCCTCAATTCCAGGTGGTTGAAGGGACTCCCTGGGGCACCTGGAATTCAGGTGGGGCCAGAGCAGTGTTTCAAGTCAAGCCTGCCTGTAATTCCCCTTTCCTCTTTGCTGCCAGGCAGTGCAGAGCTGGGCGTACAGAGCCGATTGCTCAAGCTCTCTCAGGTGTGTGTATCTGGGTGTGTGCAGCAATGAAGGGCAGGCCAGTGCCCCGAAACTTAGCCCTTGGCTTCACCAAGGCGGCTGTGAGCCAAGGTCAGGTTTCTGCGTCTGTTTCCTAAAAATCATATTCCTCCTGGACTAAAGGGGAAAATTCTTCTCCCTGTGGTTGTTCTTCTGAACTGTGGTACCAAATCTCTAGAGCCTGCCTTTTGGGAACTGAAGCAGGTAGTGAGGAATTCCTGCTCCAGCCATTCTGAGGCCAGGGAGGGGGCCCCGCCCCCGCTTCCTCCACAATATGTTCCAGTTTTCCCTGTCACTGATTGCTCCTGGTTACCTTGTGGTGCCAATGGATGTAAAGGCATGTCAACACTGCCATTACAAGCTTTTCTTGTCAATGATTCATAACATTAGGACAAATAATCATCTGGCCTTAATCCCGGCAGGCAGAAAAAGTACAGCAGAGTTAACAGGAAGGTAACGTATGCAAGTAGTTGAGTATTTGCTAATTATTTCCTGACCCAGCGAACCCAATAGACTGTAGCAACAATTTTTCACCCTGTGGTGTTTAAACTTTCATAAGTAGAAAACGGACCTGGATCAGAAAGAAGGGAGATGGGCTTAAAAAAGAGAGTCTTTTGGTGTCTGACTTGAGTACTTTTTTTTTTTTGAGTCAGTCTCGCTCTGTTGCCCAGGCTGCAGTACAGTGATGCGATCTCCACTCACTGCAACCTCCGCCTCCTGGGTTCGGGCAATTCTCCTGCCTCAGCCTCCTGAGTAGCTGGGATTACAGGTGCGCACCACCACGCCCAGCTAATTGTTCTTGTTTTTGTTTTTGGTTTGTATTTTTAGTAGAGATGGGGTTTCACTATGTTGGTCAGGCTGGTCTCAAACTCCTGACCTCAGGTGATCCGCCTGCCTCGGACTCCCAAAGTACTTGGATTACAGGTGTTAGCCACTGCACCGGGGCTGACTTGTTTCTTTTGGCCAAAAAAATTAAGAAAGCTTTATGAAACCTTGTACAAGGTGTCCTGTTTTCCTCTTAATTCTTCCAAAATTCTTTTCTTTAAAGTTCAGTTTTAAACATTGGCAAATCAAGTAAGAAGGAAGCCCATTTCCTTATGGCACAGCTCAATACTCAATAAGAGATACAGGATGAAAACCAAGAATCTTCATTCCCAGCTCTATAGGAAAAAAATTAATACGATTTATGCAAAACTTCAAAGGAAGCCCCTCCCTCCACACACCTCCCATTTGTGTAGGTGTTTCCTTCATCCCCCTACCACCAGTGTGGGTTTTTAGGTGAGCATAATTGTGCTTTTGTCTTGGACTTGGCTCACCCCACTACACTCAACTCCCAGAGCCCCTGGCCTGGAGCCCAGGGTGGGGCTTTGCCCTCAGTACTGTAAACAATCATAATTACCTTTACAAACTTAAAAAAAAAATTTTCAAGGCCAAGAATATAGAGCATACTATAACCCCTTGTGCATGAATCTGTTAGAATGTGCGTGGTGTCTCCCTCATAAAATGGCCAAAGGGAAAAGAAAATCAGCAGCTCTCAGTGTCCCCATGGGCCTCTCTGGGCCTGGGAGTTCTCTGCTTCCAGCTTGTAGTGGTGACAGCAGTACAAGTGAAAGGGATAAATATTGAAGCAGAACTTAAAGAGATCTTCTTACCATTCATGCAGCTTCTGTGAATTGGATGGAAGCAGAGGCTTGGTGTAGATATGCCTACCCTAGACTCCGACGGGGAGGAGGTGCGTCTCCTGACCTCGGCTTGTAGCATGTCTGAGGCTACTCCTTACAGTATCTCTGTCTGGTTGACAGCACCTATTGTTCTGATGAAGTTGACCTGCATCCAAGCGTCTGCCTCATTTTGATTACCACCATGGTGCCAAGGCTATGATTCCCACATAATCCTGGTAGTTTATTTCATGCACAATCACTAACAGGTGTGATCTATGTCTAAGATCAAAACAATTCATGAAAATTCAAAATTTTTAAATTCAATCACTTTTGGCCACACAGTTTTATCAAGATTCATACAAAAGGTTTGATTTATCAATGAGATGGATTGCTTTCCAGGCCACAGAGTTCCTTTGATTATTTTACTGCCAGGTTAACAGGTGTGAGTATGGAGACCTGAACATCTAGACAGATGCCTTCAACCTCGCATGGACTCATTTCAAAGGCCATGTCAAAGCCAAAGACATAGAATGGGGAGCTCCCTGGCTGGGCAAGTGTGATGATTTTACTAAGCCTCTTTAAGGAAGTATCAGAGTTGTGTACATGTCATTTTTTCCATTCAGAAGCCAAAACACTGCTCCATGGCTGTGAGTTATTGAGCTCATGCTCTGTGCTTGTGTTACGGTATGTTTCGGGCATGTTCATCATCAAGAATGGTCATCTGTAGTGTTCCTTGTGCTGAGAGAAGGTGATTTACAATGCAGCTACCAGAATGAGAAGCCATGGGATCCACACTACTAACACTTCATTAACAAGCTCTTGGTTGGGCACTGTGGCTCACACCTGTAATCCCAACACATTGAGAAGCAAGACAGGAGGATCGCTTGAGGTCAAGAGTTGGAAGCCAGCCTGGGCAATATACAGACACCCCCATCCCTACAAAAGTTAAATTACAAATAAAGTAAATTAGCTGGGCATGGTGGTACATGCCTGTAGTCCCAGCTACTCAGGGGGGCTGAGGTGGGAGGGTCACTTGAGCTCGGGAGGTCAGGGCTGCAGTGAGCCCTGATTGCATCACTGCAGTCTAGCCTGGGCAACACAGCAAGACCCTGTCTCTAAAAAAAGTAATACATATATTTTTAAAGCAAGCTCTTTGCCTTGCCTCAGGACCCTGCTGAGGAGCACCTCCGCCCCCACCCCAACAGCTCTGGGGCCTTCCCTTGAAGTGCTAGCTTATAATCACCAGTTACCAACTTCCCTTCTCTCCCTAGGAGGGCTCAGTGTTTAGGAGGTTATTCCTCCCTTGTGCTTAGCTTCTTTCCAAATGTTTAACTCTTGTGATGGTCCTGAGAGCCATTCCTGCAGTACTCACAGTTTTTGCTTCTTCCTTTAATAAAGATTGCCCACATCCCAGTGTAATCTCCCAATTCATTCCTCCATCAACGCTCCCTCAAAACCACCAGAGAGAGAGCATTCTCCCTATAGTCCTGTCTGTCTGGTCTCCACACAAATGCAACCACTTGGGTGGGGGACTCCCCAGTGGCAAATGTCCTTGCACACAACTATGAAAAGTAACCCAGGTGAGATGCAATGGGAATCCTGGGGGAAACACAACCGAACCAGCTCAGGACCAGTGAAGCTGCCCAGTTCTCTGTCTTTGGAGGTTTTTAAACTAGGCCGCACGATGTTGTCTCCTCTCTACTGCTTGCTACCATCTAAAATAATTTGTTTAATGGTAATCCAAAAAAAAAAAAAAAAAGCTGAGGGCATAAAGGGATTGGTTTTCTGGGACAGGTAGCTTAAGACTTAACACCCAGAGAGTTCAACTTGTAACGCATCCCATTCCAGAGGCACATTCGTCACATGCTGTCTCCATCTATCTATTGATTAAAAAAATAAGACATGCCCCAGCCTTGGCTTCAAAGCTGGAGAGACCTAGCAATATTTTTTTAAAACTTTTTCTCTGACATCGTGTCATTCCTTCTTTTGTTGCAGGTGGCATTAGTTCGAAGTACAGTTCCCATGCCTTTGGGCTGAATGCTTAGAACCTACAGAGGGGTATGAACTGTTTTCTAAACCATGAGACTGGTCTCTTTGGCTCATCTAGGCAAAAAAAGGGTTAAGTCCTCTGGGTAAAACATTGTCAATCACTAGTGGCTGCCACCAAGATGAAAAACAAGCTGCACCTGTACACAGGCAATTTAAGAGATTCTGGTCAGCTATTTTTCTCTGGTGCTTTGTTCTGCCAGCTGCCTCTGTGCTTTGGATGCAGGTGGAAGCATGGACTTTGCTATCTATAAAAAAATTTAATGGTGAAGATCAACTTCCGCTTCACCTCCCCAGGGATCAAAGTTTTGGGGCTTTTTTTTTTCTTTTTCCTGAAAGACTGGTAGAGCAACGCCTAGACAATGGGTAAGTTGTTGAGGCTCCCCTTCTCCCCACACAAGTAGCAGGAGATCTTTGACAGATTCTATTTTTTTTTCTTCCCAATTTGAAGGAAATAAAGGAAATGTGGAGATGCATGTCAAGCATTTGCCAAAAGGAGGGCTGGAGAATGACAGCTGGGAGCCTGGGTCACCATCGCAGCCTGCTGCACGTAGGGCAGGTGGCAACGACGTGGATAGGACAGGCTCTCTGCCTGCGAGTGTGAGACACACGCTTACTATACAGCATCCTCTGTGGAAGGGAGGGTGTCATACAAGTTATATACATGACCAGATGACTTTCCATGACACAACGGATGACCATTAAGGTGTGTAGGAAGGAAAGAAGCTTAAAAACCCGATGCTCTGGCTTAACAAGAAGCTCTAAGTAAATGTGCCTCACCAATGACATTATCAAAGTTTTTGAACTCACTCAACAAATGAGTACAAAAAGATGTATCATCTATCATGTACCAGGCACTACATTAGTTATTGGACTAATGGTGACTGTTATGGGCTGAATTACATGTTCTCTGAAATTCATATATTGAAGCCCTAACCCTTAGAACCTCAGAATGTGACCATATCTGGAGATAGGACCTTTAGAAACATGATTAAGGCCTGGGCGCAGTGGCTCAGCACTTAGGGAGGCCAAGGCAAGAGGATCACTTGAGGCCAGGAGTTTAAAACCAGCCTAGGCAACACAGTGAGACCCTGTCTCTGCAAAAAATTTAAAAATTAGCCAGATGTGGTGATGCACACCTGTAGTCCCAGCTACTCAGGAGGTTGGAGTGGGAAGATCACTTGTGCCCAGGAGTTCAAGGTTGCAGTGAGCCATAGTTGCACCACTGCACTCCAGTCTGGGTGACAGAGCGAGACCATGTCTCTAAAATAATAAAAATAATAATAAAATTTTTAAGGCTATTAAGTTAAAATAAGGTTGTTAGCATGGGCCCTAATCCAACTGACTGGTGTCCTTTTAAGAAGAGGAAATTTTACGGACAAGAACACTCAAAGGCTCGTGCACTGAGGAAAGACCATGTAAGGACACAGAAAGAAGGCGGCCACCTACAAGCCAAGGAGAGAGGCCTCAGCACAAACCAAACCTGCCAACACCTTGATCTTGGCCTTCCAGCCCCCAGAACTATGAGAACTGTGAGAAAATAAATTTCTGTTGCTTAGGCCACTTAGTGTGTGATATTTTATATGGTAGCCCTAGCAAACCAATAGAACAGTGAACAAGGCAAGGTCCTTGTTCTTGCTGAACTTAAAATCTATTAAGGAATTCAAAATCTCGTGCCCACTTAAGCAAAGGAGAAAGGGAGGTAACTAGAGACACTTGTAAACACTACTGAGACAGCCAGAGTTAGTAAGAGAAGCAGGCCCGGGACTTCCAGCTAATCTTTGGACGTATTTCATTACGGGGCATGTGGCCATTACCCAGGATATTTGAATCAAGGGTTAAACAGTATTATCACTCTGCTTCAACAAGAGAAAGCAAGAAATCCTGCACTGATCATGTGAGGGGGAGGGAGGAAATCTAGCAGATCTCACCTAAAAGGGCAAATGGAAAAGAACTGTGTGGCTCAATGCACATCACAAATGTGTGGGCTTCAACATGACCACTAGAGGCAAAGGAAATTTGTATATTTTTATAATCGCCACACAGGTGCTTATTTTAGATTGTTTTCTTGAAAGTTGTTAGTTATTTCTTTTTAACCTCACTACCCTATAGACTGACTCCCTCAAGGGAGGCGTAACATAAGATAAAAATATAGAAGTTTCTATTTGGAGCTCAACAGGTTAAAACAGAGCTGAAAATAGCTCCTGGGCATGTCTTTTTTTTTTTTTTTTTTTTGAGACGGATCTCGGCTCACTGCAAGCTCCGCCTCCCGGGTTCACGCCATTCTCCTGCCTCAGCCTCCCAAGTAGCTGGGACTACAGGCGCCCGCCACTACGCCCGGCTAATTTTTTGTATTTTTAGTAGAGACGGGGTTTCACCGTTTTAGCCAGGATGGTCTCGATCTCCTGACCTCGTGATCCGCCTGCCTCGGCCTCCCAAAGTGCTGGGATTACAGGCGTGAGCCACCGTGCCCGGCCCTCCTGGGCATGTCTTAGGGTTGGCTGACTATTTAATCCTCTGATATGTAAGAGAAATTGATGTGTTCTCCTCTGAATAGCCACTGTATCTGTCATGAAGCTTACTGTCCTTGGGATTTTTCAGCATGGTCATTGGGGGAACTGAGCTTTGTGTTCCCAAAGAAAAATACGAAGCTCTTCTACGCCTACCAGATAAACTGTGATGAAGTGTGTAATTCCTGTTGTGTGGCTGGTATGCTCCATGCATGATTCAGATATTGAGATTCTGTCCAGACAGGCGAGGACCCCTGCGCGTGTAGGCATGGAGGTGGGTAGGGTCTCCAGTCAAGGGAGAAGCCACTTATTGGAACAGTTATAAAAGTTCCACCAAACTCTGGAGGGAGGTGTGGAGGCCTCAGGCAGGAACCCGGGATGAGCCCTGAATGGAAAGGCCCTATGCTAGTGGCAGGGTTCAAATCTTTTCCTTGAGTTGCCAGATAAAATACAAGACTCCCAGTCAAATTTAAATTTCAGATAAACAGTACATCATTTTTAAGATACATATGCCTCGTGCCACATTTGGAACTTGCAATATTTGGGACATATTTATATCAAAGAATTCTGTGTTATTTACATGAAATTCAAATTTAACTGAGTGCCCTATACTTTGATTTGTTGAATCCGGTGATCTTTTCTTAATGGCAAATACCCGTTTCAGTGTGGAAGGGAAGTAAGATTTGTTCCCTATTTGTGAAGATGGGCCTAGGGCTGAGTCAGGTTGTCTGAAAAACTGTACTCATCTTTTGGTGTTCTTTCTGCATAGCATGGAGCACCAAAGCCAGAAAATTATAGAAAGATGAGGAATACCAGACAGCAGAAACCTGACCGCTTTTATTCCTCATGCATGCTCTTGGCTTAGTCGTCTTTTCCACTCCCTTCGCAGCTAAAGAAGGCTTCCTAAATTCCCGGGCCATCTCAGCTGTGCTAAGGTGGCAAACCTAAGGAAAGCCTCCCAGACGGGAAGGACTAGCTGGCCTCACTTTGGTGGGAGCATTAAAGTGAATCGTAGTCCCCCAGGGAACAGCAAGTGTTGAAATAAAAAAGACAAAGTCAGAGTCATTTGGCCAGACAGTCCTTCCCACCTGGAAGGCTCTGGGACTTGTCTTATGGAAGGAGGAAAATACTTCTCCCAAGTATGAAGAAATCATCCAAAATGCAAAGGCTCCCTGGTCCCGCAGTAGCCGGTCCCCTCCACCTTCAGCCAAGGGATTCCTTAATTCATCAACCAGTATTTACAGAGGACTTGCCATGTGCCAAATGCTGTGTCGCTGCTGGAAACACAACAACGAAGAGGCATCACCTTCACCCCAAAGAGCTTCTGTCTCCCGGCAGATCCTGATGCTGCTCTTTGTAGACTCAGCCTGGGCCTGGGCCTTGCCACCCAGCTCCCCCTCCATTGCCTCACAGAGACTCATTCAGTGACTGCCCATTACCTATCAGCATGGAGAACGGCTATGGCCTGCATGTTTATGTCCCCTGCAGTTTCACATGTTGAAATCCTAACCCCCAGGGTGATGATATTAGGGAGCAGGGTCTTTAGGAGGTGATTAGGTCATAAGGGTGGAGCTCCCATGAATAGGATGAGTGCCCTTATAAAAGAGGCTCAAGAGAGAACCCTCACTCCTTCCACCACATTTGTATACCATTAGAAGACACCGTCTAGGAACCAGGAAGCAGGCCCCCACCAAACAACAAATCTGCCGGCACCCAGCTTCCAGAATGGGTAGGAAAAAAAGTCTGTATTTCTAAGTTGCCCAGCCTATGGTACTTTAGCCTGAATAGACTAAGAGAGGAAGAAGGTGTTCATCACAGACATTTGTCCTGGGCTCGGGTTCTCCTTTAGTAACTTGTCATATAAAGCTGGGGCTCTTTCCTTTCATTCTAGCTGATTACACACAGGACAGGTCAATGTTCCCCCACACTTAGACCATATGTGATGCTGGAATGGAGGTCCTGGCATATTCAACGTGAGTGGCCGTGTCAGGCAGCACCTACTCCCTGCACCTCCATCACACTGCCCTGTTTCACTGTTCCGGCTGCACACATCGCTATCTGACACTGTTCCCTTTGTTTGTGTTGTGTTTGTTTGTCACATCTCTCTGAATTAGATTGAAAACATCATGAAAGAAGCCATCTCAGCTTTCATTCACCATTGTTTCTCCCAAGCCTGCAATAGTACCTGACACAGGACACACTTAATAAGCATGCATTTAATGAATGAATAAGCAAGCAAATAACCAAATTACTTGTCCCAGGCAACCAACGTGTGAAATACACAGGGTGGATCTCATGCATTGGAACAGAGCTGCATGTGGGAGATCAGGGAATGGCATCTTCCAAAGACGACGAGCACGTGCTCTGTTTTCTCATGGAGATATCTGGTACTGCATCTGTCGTCCTTATCGCGGTCACCCACACAGGAACCTGGGAACCAACTTAGCCTCTTCCTTCTCTCCTACTATATGAAGGGTATTTTTACCCAGTATTGTTACTTCCATCTCCACCGTGGTAGAGCTAGCAGACTGGCCCTTCACCTCTGTCACCTCCTCCAAGTGTATTAGTCAGGGTTCTCCCAGGAAACAGAACCAAAGAGGAGAGATAGAGATAGGGATAGAGACAATAGAGACAGAGACAGAAATAGAAATAGAGATAAAGATTTACTTTCAGGAACTGGCTCATACAATGGTGGGAACCGGCAGTTTGCAGGGCAGACTGGAAATTCCAGCAAGAGCTGATGTTGTCTTGAGCCAGAAGGCAGTCTGGAGGCAGAGTTCCTTCCTCTTAGGAGTGAGGGGAACCTCGGTTTCTCTATGGAAGGTTTCAACTGATTAGATGAGGCCACTCACACTAGGGAGGGTCACCTGCTTTACTCAGAGATTTAAATGTCAGTCACATCTAAAAAATAACAGCCAGCATGGTAGCTCATACCTGTAATACCAACGCTTTGAGAGGTCGAGGCTGGAGCATTGTTTGAGGCCAGGAGTTCAAGACGAGCCTAGGCAACATAGCGAGACCCCGTCTCTACAAAAAATGAAGAAACTAGGTGATTGTGGTGACTCACACCTGTAGTCCTAGCTACTTGGGAGGGTGAGGCAGGAGGATTGCCTGAGCCCAGGAGTTCCAGGCTGCAGTGAGTTATGATAGGGACATGGCACTCAAGCCTGGGTGACAGAGAGAGACTGTTTCCAAAAAAGTTTGTTATTTTTCTTACAAAATAAAATATTTATTTAAAATACCTCACAGCAACATCTGGACTGGTGTTTGACCAAACAGCTGGATTCTACAGCCCTAGCCAAGTTGACAGGGCTCTCGTAGATGGTGCTACCTTCATCCCAGCCTCTTCCATGGTGCCGTCAGTACCACAGAGGATGAAAAGCTAAAAACGGTATTTCTAAGACTCCCTTGTAACTGGGGTTCTTAACAGGGCCAGGTCTAGGATGAGGCAAGCAAGGCACCCCAGGCACAAAATTTAAGGGGCATCAAAAAACTCAGTAATCAAGATAAACACACTTTTTTTTTTTTTGAGATGGCGTCTCACTCTGCTGCCCAGGCTGGAGGGCAGTGGCGTGATCTCAGCTCACTGCAAGCTCCGCCTCCCGGGTTCACGCCATTCTCCTGCCTCAGCCTCCCGAGTAGCTGGGACTACAGGCGCCTGCAACTACGCCCGGCTAATTTTTTGTATTTTTTTTTTTAGTAGAGACGGGGTTTCACCGTGTTAGCCAGGACGGTCTTGATCTCCTGACCTCGTGATCCGCCCGCCTCGGCCTCCCAAACTGCTGGGATTACAGGCGTGAGCCACCGCGCCCAGCCAAGATAAATACTCTTAATGCAGTATTTTGAAAAATTAAAAAGTAGCCGGGTGCAGTGGCTTGCACCTGTAGTCCCAGCAGTCTGGGAGATGGAGGCAGGCAGATTGCTTGAGCTCAGTTCTTGAGTTCGAGACCAGCCTGGGCAACATGGTGAAACCCTGTCTTTATTTAAAAAAAAAAAAAAACAAAATAATTAGCTGTGAATGATGGTGTGTACCTGTAGTCCCAGCTACTTGACAGGCTGAGGTGGGAGAATCACCTGAGGTCCGGAAGTTAAGGCTGCAGTGAGCCATGATTGAGTCACTGCACTCCAGCCTGGATGACAGAGCCAGACCCTGTCAAAATAAATAAATAAATAAATAAATAAATAAATAAATAAATAAATAAAAATAAAAAGTAACGCAGTATTACTGACATTTCCTTTTGCCTCTGACTCCAGTATGGCTTGGCAGGGCAGGGTTCTTAATGGAATTAAGATCCCCCATAAGAAGCACTCGTGTGGAATCTGAAGGGCAGGATGAAGCGGAAGAGATCTTTCTCTGCTGGTTTCTGCTGTCAAGCACAATGGTGCTCCTGTGTCCAGTCACTGCTGCAATGGGGGCTGCAAGGCAGGGGCTGGGCTCTACACATTTTGCTGTTGCACATGGAGCAGCCTAGCATAGCTCTCCAGCTAGTACTTGCAGTGACCGCAGTACCTGCCTCAGCTAGGGTGGGTTCTTTCAGAAATCTATTGTGCTAAAAGTGGTCTCCTGATACCCTACTACTGTTGAGTCAGGGGTGCAATTCCCAGGAGGGCCATTCTGCAATGTTGTTCATTCCTGGAGTTCAGCCCAGAGCCCGTTTCTCTTGCCCTCCTAAAGAAGTGTAAAAACACCTAATTTCCTACATTACATCCCTTTCTGGTTGACATCCCTAGAGAGATCTCTGTTGACCAGTGTCATCACGTCTCTCATGTTCATCCCATCCTTTCAAGCCCCACCATCCTGCTCTTATTCAGATCCCTTTTAATCTCTCCCCTCCTCTCTGTGACATGGCTTCCAGATGACTGTACACTCACCCTCTTTACACCTTTTTTTTTTTTCATTCTCCATACCCAGATAGAATCTCTTCTTCTTCTTCCTTTGTGGCTTCCACTCTATCATGTAGATTCACCCTGTTTCCAAAGATTTAGATAACAATAATGTACCCTGTAGAAAGTCCAGTGTCAAAAATCCAATATGGAAAGTTTACAGAACTTCTTTAAATGCTCAGGGAGCTTACATTCATTTCCCACCATTTATCTCCAGCGAATTCTTCATTTCTTGATTTCCCACATTCTCCATTTTCTCACAAGGCATTTTTGTGTGTAGAAGACCTGACTAAATAGTTTGGGGCAAAGCAACCTCTTTTTTTTAAAAAGTCTTACATCTTCTCTGCCTTCATGCACTCTCACTTGTTTACTGTCCCTCTTCTCTCTCAGAAAGAAAAACATCCCGCAATTTTCTGATTTTCTAGTGTGCTTCATTTCTTCCACCTTCTCCTTATGGGCCTTCTCCTAGTTTTCCACATGCAATTGGCCAATCAATAGTTTCTTCCTGTAAAATGACATTATGTCCCTCAGAAGGCTTCTGCTAGAGCTCAGTTTGGGAACATGAGCTAGCAAGAGCTAAATTACTCTAAAGAATTGGATCAAGGTATTAAGAGTTCATGAAAACAATCTGGGAGAAGAGGTGAGAAAGACATGGGCAAGGAGAGGAGCCAGGAGCGTGGGTAGAAGCCAGGACATTTTATGAGGTGGTCAGGCCAGTGAGAATTCCCAGGGAGGTGATAGAAGAACTTTCAACAACAACAACAACAACAACAACAAAGTCTGATGTTCACTTAAAGTGCTGTAGAGGGATAACTGTGTTGTGTTTAGGTGCATGGGCTCTGGGTCATTGATTGCATTCTGGGTCATTGATTGTGGTTTTTGTTTGTTTGTTTGAGATGGAATCTCACTCTACCGCCCAGGCTAGAGTGAGATGAAGCAATCTCAGCTCACTGCAACCTACACCTCCCAGGTTTGAGCGATCCTCCCACCTCAGCCTAGCTAGTAGCTATGACTATAGGCGTTTGCCACCATGCCCGACTAATTTTTGTATTTTTAAGACATACGGAGTTTCACTACGTTAACCAGGCTGGTCTTGAACTCCTGACTTCAAATGATCCGCCTGCCTTGGCCTCCCAAAGTGCTGGGATTACAGGCATAAGTCACTGCCTGACTTGACTGTTCAAAATTCATCTCTATCATTAACTTGCTCTGTGATTAGCAAGCTGCTCAATCTCTTAAGCTTCATTTCTTTTTTGTAAAACAGGATAATAACTGTTAAAAAGAAAAAGCCTATTTCTACTGATTATTGCAGGATTAAATAACATGTGAAAACCTCCTGGCAAAAGAAATAAATTTCCTGGAAGTGTTAGCTATGATGATGACTTAAACAATGACACTGAGCAGATGCTGTTACTTCTGCTGTGTAAACTGCCATTGTCTCTCCAAACTTCCATTAAAACTCTGTAGGCTTATAAAAAATACATAAAATATTAAAATAATTGTATTCTCTGTTCTGGATGAGGCAAGGATGAAGGGCACGTGAATTCACAAGGGCAAGTGAATTCGTAGCAGCAGAAGCGATTGCTCCTTGGCACAACATGCAAGCTTGTTGAGGAGGAGCGGAAATCTGGGAGAGAGACTTTCCCGAGGCTGGGGATGGAGGACTGAGCCAACTGCACCCAGATCTGAAAGAGTAGGGAAAATGCTGGTGATAACTGAGTTCACGGTCCTTTAAGCAGCCATCAGGTGGCTACTGCAGAGCCAACAGCCTCTCCCTACCCACATTATGGCAGGCATGCAGTGTTGAGAAGGATTCTGAAACCATGTCCCAGTTCAATCTGAGCTTGGATGACCTAACTGATTAAGGACCCTGACATGACTCAGAAGTGTTCTATGTTGGGGGTCAGCAAATGATGGCCCCAGGGCCAAATCCAGGCCACAACCTGTTTTTATGTGACCCACAAGCTAAGAATGCTTTTTCCATTTTCAAATGCTTGCAGGAAAATTTAATGAGAATATTATTTCATGACACATGAAAACAATATAAAATGCAAACTGTACTGGTCATAAAATTTTGAAATTGATCTATTTTAAAAGTTGTGGGGAAAAATGGTTTTGCTCTTGTTATACAAGTAACTACATAATATCCTTGATTGTATTTCTTGGCCCAGAAAGCCTGAAATATTTACTATCTTGCTCTTTACAGAGAAAGGCCAACCAACCTTGTTTCATGTTATGCAAAGGAGTCACCACAAGATGTCTTCTCAACCTTATGGGTGCACTCTCTATTTTAAACTTGATTTTATCCTATACGAATTGTGGGTTGGAGCCCAAAGAGGTCTATGAATTGATTTCTCTTCTTTTGATAGAAAAATCCTTTTTAAAATTATCCCTTAGTGACAAGGACATTAGTAAGTCAATAAGGTAAGCCTGATTGATTGACTTTTTTTCTTTTATCAAATACTAAAAATGAGTCAGTAAGTAGCTCTCATTGTCTCCTGCTTTAGAGACCAAAGGATAAGACAGGCCCACAGCCATGCTAATGATGTCACTTTCGTAGTGTTTCTTCTGTTTGCATGGTGACTGTCAAGTTCTATTTTGCCTAATTTTTATTTTTTTATTAAAAAATTTTTTCTTCTCTGCCCACGACCACCCACCTCCCTTCTGTGACTAATTGCAGACACCTGCTTTCTCAGTAAGATGTGGGATTTGGGCATAATTTATCTGCTAGAGTTTGGAGAAGTGCCCTCAAGCCCATGGCCTTGCCTGTGGTCCCCAGCCCTGGGAAGCAGGACACCTTCCCTTCTCCTCCCAGTGGGCTCCTCTGGTGCCTCTCCTCCAGAAAAGCTAGGTGAACTTTGAATTTTTTCAATGTAATAATTTCCCCCATAATTACATTATAATATCAATGGAGCTTATCTCATTGCAGATTGATCTTCAATTGGCACCGACTCTTAAAACTTTCTCTTTCTCAGCCCCACCCTCTGTCAAGTACTGCAGTTAATGTCATGACGAAGAGGATGAAATGCGTCAGAGCTTTACTGGAGTTGCCTTTTAAAAAGAAGCCCACGAAGATCCTTTTAGGGGAGAGAAAATTCCTTTGCAAAGTGAATAATAATACTGTAATTATATGTTCTGCCAATTTTGGTTTTCTTCAGAGGAAACAGAAACAGTGTTCCTCCTTTTCTGAAAACTTCTTTCCTGAAGTTTACTATTTACTCATCCAGCAACCATTTACTTGATTTTGCCTAATTGGTTTTACAGAAGCAATAAAGCTTTTTGTGAGGAGTCAAACAATAGAGTTATAAAGAAAATCACCCTTCCTCTCCTTCCTCCAATCTCGCTCACTGGGTCAATCAAGCATTTCTTCCATATGTTTCTCTACATTCAGATAGGCAAAAGCAAATGTAAAGAGTTATTTTTCTACTTTTACAAAAAATAAGGGTACACTGTGAATACCACCCTGAAATTATCATCAATATGTGTGGAGCTAACTCATTCTTGGTAGTTGCCTGCTATTCCATTATTCCATTGTACAGCTGTTGAGGTCCCTGCTGATAGACTTTTTTTTTTTTTTTTTTTTTTTTGAGACAGAGTCTCTCTCTGTTGCCCAGGCTGGAGTGCGGTGGTGCAATCTTGGCTCACTGCAACCTCTACCTCCCGGGTTCAAGTGATTCTCCTGTCTGAACCTCCTGAGTAGCTGGGACTACAGGCACATGCCACCACGCCTAGCTAATTTTTTTGTATTTTTAGTAGCGATAGGGTTTCACCAAGTTGACCAGGCTCGAACTCCTGGCCTCTAGTGATCTGCCTGCTTTGGCCTCCCAAAGTGCTGGGATTACAGGCGTGAGCCACCACACCCAGCCCCGATAGACTTTCAATTTGATAAAGATTTACTTTGTACCAAATACATACTAGACACTTCAACAGATTGTGGGGAGAGAAAAATGAACAACTCATCACCTTTCATGACACCAAGGTCCTGTGGGGAAGATAAAATAAATGATTGCACGTGGACACTAAGTGTGACAATGTGGTGTGCACAATTGCACAGCGAAGGCACAGAGAACTTGGAGGGGGATTCAGTCAGCTGGCGATGAGTCCAACACACAGGGGGGAGGGTGCAGGCACAGGGAACAGCGTGTGCAAAGCCAGGGAGGCTGCAGGAGCTGGTCATGCTCAGGAAACTGGCTGAAGCACTGTTCCCGTGCAGGCGCTGCTGAAAAGCCCAGAGGGGTAGGTGGGCACAGAAGTCAGTGGGTTGGTATACCAAACTAGAGAGTCAGGACTCGTCCAGTGGGCTGAGAGTAAAGAAGGGACATGCAAGTGTTTAAAGCAAGGTGTATTAGTCCATTCTCATGCTGCCAATAAAGACATACCTGAGACTGGATAATTTATAAAGGAAAGAGATTTAATGGACTTACAGTTCCACATGGCTAGGGAGCCCTCACAATCATGGTGGAAGATGAAGGAAGAGCAAAGGGAGGTCTTATGAAGGGCGGCCAGCAAGTGAGAGCGTGTGCAGGGATGGGGTTGTGTCCAGGGAAACTCTCATTTATAAAACCATCAGATCTCGTGAGAATTATTCACTGTCATGAGAACAGCATGGGAAAGACCTGCCCCCATGATTCAATAACCTCCCACCAGGTCCTTCCCGCAATGCGTGGAAATTACGGGAGCTACAATTCAAGATGAGATTTGGGTGGGGTCACAGCCAAACCATACCACAGGGCAATCAGATCCTGTTTTTAGAGGATATCTGGAGGGCATCTGGAAATGAAACTTGTGAGGAAAGCATTATCTAATCACGGGAGGATGCTGGACCAAGGCGGGGCAGTGAGGGAAGAATGAAGGGGAGGTGGTAATGGGAACTAGCCTTCTGAGGTGAACCCAGTAATACTTGTGGGCAGACTGAGAGGAGTGGTGAAGCAAAAGGACTTCTAGGTTGGCAATCAGGTGTACCCAATGAAGGACATGCAGGAGGAGGGCAGATGTGCCCAAGAGAGGTGAAGACTTGTGTTTTGCACATGTGGAGTTTGAATTGCCTGTGGAACATCTTGGGCTCTTTGAACATTTTTCAGATGTGAGGTGATGATGGCCTTCCTAAAGTACCTTCCTTTCACTCTGTGATAGGTTTATCCCCTTCACAGAGAAAATGGAATACAGTGATGCAGTAGGGTTCTAATCATGACTGCTATCTCAGGAGATGGGAGCAATACAGCAGCCAAGGACTCTGCTACAGGGGCAGTGCCTCTGAGTGAGTTCACAGGGGCCTCCTCCCACTGACAAACTAAAACCATGACCGTCTGTGTAGATCAGTAAGTATATGACATCCTTCCTTAGGGCTGAGGCCATATCAGAGGGTGTGGCTAGAGAGTGGAGGTGGGGAGGATCCCATCAGTTAAGCACTTGTGTACAGGTCCCAACAGCAGCAGCTCTGGGAGCAGCCTGTCCCTAGTGAGCATCTCTTGGAGACTGACCAGTGTCACTAATGACCTCCTTATTGCCTAATCCAGCATGCATTATCATTCCACATCTTCATTCAGTAAACACTGTGGAAGACTCCCCTCTGTGCCAAGCATACTGAACTGCCAGAGACATCATAATGAGCAAGACTTGCTTTCAAGGTGCTCTCGGACCAGTTGGGAAGTCTGAAAGTGACAACCCCTAAATCCCCTTACTGCAAGATGACTGCTTCCAGACTGATAGGTACAAAGTATAGCAGTGTGACAAAAGGAAAAGTTACATTGATGTTACATGGAGCAAAAGGTGGAAAAAATTCTCCTGGGATAAGCAGGAGTCCATCTACAAGATGGCCTAGGCTCTCATTAGCATATTCTGCCAGAGGTATTTGAAACAAAATGACTCCATCTTGAATAGGGGCTGCGTAAAATGAAGATGAGACCTGCTGGGCTATATTCCCAGGAGTTTAAGCGTTTTTAGTCACAGGATGAGATAAGAAGTTGGCGGGACTGGTATCATAAGATACAGGTCAGTCATAAAGACCCTACTGATGAAACAGGATGCAGTAAAGAAGCTGGCCAAAACCCACCAAAACCAAGAATACCATGAAAGTGACCTGGGTCGTCATTACTGCTCGTTTCATGCTAATTATAATGCATTAGCATGCTAAAAGACACTCCCACTGGTGCCATCACAGTTTACAGATGCCATGGCAACATCTGGAACTTAGTCTATATGTCTTAAATAGGGGAGGAACCCTCAGTTGGGGGGGAATCTCCACCCCTTTCCCAGAAAACTCAAGAATAATCTATCATTTGTTCAGCATATGATCAAAAAACAACCATAAGATAGCCAACCAGCAGCCTTCGGGGCTGCTCTGCCTATGGAATAGCCATCCTTTGTTTCTTTACTTCTCTAATAAACCTGCTTTCACTTTACTCTGTGGACTCGCCCAGAATTCTCTCTTGTGCAAGATCCAAGAACTCTCTCTTGGGGTCTTGGTAGGGACCCCCTTTCCAGTAACACTTCCACAGAGAAGAAGGCCCTGGTTCCCAGACACCTTCAGGGGATCAGCTGTAGCAGAATCATCTGGAGAGCTTTTGAGAATCAGTTCCGGCAAGAAAGATATTTGCAATTTTAAAAATCTGACACTGTAGAGAAAATGAAAGAATTTGTTTTCAGAGAATGCTTTCTTTAGGAAATGCATGCTAATATTGTTTCTTAGATACAAGGCTCAGAGGGGCTTGGCTGGAGGGGGAGCTTGATGCCAAAAGTGCAAAGCTGCTCTGCAAAACAAAGGGTGGTGGTCAGAACGTGGGGAAGATGCCTTCAACTTGGGCATCATCTGGGTGGTTCCCAGAGGAAGTCGGAGATGATTTTTGGGTTAGAGAGAAAGGGAAAGACCTTGAAACTGGAGTACAGGACAGGAGATAAGAGGGGAAGAAGGGGCAGGGGGCAGATAAGGTCAGGGCATCAGGACAGCAATGGCCAGGCGCTAACTTGTCTAATGGTGGGAAGGGCCAAGTCACGCAGGAGCAGTGGTGTCTGGTATGGAATATTATGTTGTTTCCTATTGCTGTCTTTCATCATTAGGTCATTAGTTAAGCTTTATACCACTGCTCAGTGTCAGCATTAGTTAAGCTTTATACCTTAAGGTCTTCAGTTAAGTTTTATACCAGGTTATTAGTTAAGCTTTATACCACTGCTCAGTGACAGCCTGGTGGTGGGGATGTCCTGGGGAAAGAAGAGGGTAAATTGATACAAAGACAGATATCGAGACCTCCAAACTGATCAAGGAAAAAGTTGAGGACAGGAGGTCTCAGCTGGTGTAACAGGAAAAAGAAAAAAATCAAGGAAAATTGAACTATCACTCCCCTCCTTTAACCCAGGATTCCTCAGAGGCAATTCAGGAGGAAAATGGAATTCCTCTGGAAATAGACATCATGGAAGCTTGAGTTCTTTTGTGTGGCTGGAAGTATGTCTCTGATTCCGAAAAGGTGAAAGACTTGAAAAGTAAACTACAAACACAGATTTTCTTTCTGTGTCCTGTCTGTCCCTGAGAATTCTGTTTGCGACGGTTTGGGGTGCGGCTGTGTCCAGGTGGCTCTGATGTGTGGTCAGGATTCAGGACCACTGCCATAAGTCATGGAGCCACAGGAATTTCAAGGAGACAGTTTTTGTTTGAGAATGCTCACTTTGGTGGCAGGGTGGTGGCAGGCTGATGAGGCACAGAGGGAGGCCGGGTCTTGAGAACTGACGGGGCCTGCCATATGGGGCCCTCCCGAGGAGGCTTCCTGTGTGTGCAAGGTACCACAGCCCCGCCATCCAGCAATGTATGACTTACCGCTCTCTTCCTCTGAGTGCACATTCTCCATAGCAGCAGAATGACAGTCACTTGTCATTCCACTACCTGATCTGGAGGAAGAGAAAAACCAGCGGTGTTTGTCTTTACTCAGGATGCCATCTCTGGAAGACAGGGACTGAGCCAAGGGATTGGACGTAGGGTTTGACTCCCAGCTTTGGAATCCTGCTGACTTCTAGTTTCCACATCTCATCAGAAAGTCAGGAAGTGGCTAAAGCAAATACTGCCTTTCGCATTAGACCTAAGTGCAGCTGGAGCTTCAAAGGAGAAGCTTAGTTTCCTTCCCCAGTTGGAATGCTCCAATATTTCCCTACTTTTCAATAAAATGCTGAAAAGAAATTCCAATGCTGCTGTGCTTACAAAGGCAATATTTAAAACGTGTACTTCATTAAAGTTGAGAATAGACAAACCCCTTTAGGGGCTTTCTTCCCTTAGAAATGCATCCTGCGTTCTCATTTTGAGGGACAAAATGTAACAACTACTGGGCATAATAAAAAGAATTGCCTCTTAACCTACACAGCCTTCACTCCCCACACCTCCCTTTTGAATGTAAATGTGGGCAATACCAGGAAATGAGCCGGGCACAATATTTGCGCTAGGTCCTCATATCTCCACTCTGTCTATTTGGAGTCTTAGGTAAACATGCCCCCAGCCAGAGAGCCAGCCCTGTGTGAACCCTGCAGCCTCTTCAATAAAGCACCTCCTCGAAATCCTGATTCACATCTCTCAAATCCATTGTAATCCTTCACAGTCAGAAAACAAAAGCCACTGTACTGAGCTTAAAACAGTAAGTGCCTTACACTGAAAATGCCTTTAATATCTAACTCTACCAAACATTGGGAGAGAATGCCTATTTCAGGAGTCATCTCACTTGTTCATGGGCATTTAATGCATAAATCTCAAGTATATGGTATGTTATTATATGAAATGTATACAGTGTAGGTCATGCACATAGGAATGTAGTACTGTTACTAGTATATAATCCTTCTGCTGTAGTGCGAAGTAACGTAAGTCCTGCATACAAATGCACGCCTCACAATACAGAGTGCTACACATCATGCTAACATGTGTACTATTCATAACTCTATACCATTCGAAATGCTAATTGTCACTTTTTTTCAAAGTCCAAGCATTTGTTTTGGAAGAATAAGGCCAAAGCTCACATTGTTCTAACTGTATGGCCAGCTGCTGGCTTTACCACAATGAGACGCATTGTTGGGTAAATGGAGTCCCTCAGGTGAATATAATTATGCAAATCCTTCCCTAACTACCAGCACTCTCTTGGCCCTCCCCGCTGGCCACTCATCACTGGGAACACTGTCAGATTGCATTACCGGAGGCCTCACTTGTTTGCTGGGAGTATCCTCCCCGCATTCTCCAGAAAAGAACCTGCTGCTGGCCCTGCCCCCGTAAGGCCTGTGGGCCCACTTGGGACCTCACCAGAAGACCAAGCTTTTTTCACCAGCTGACACATTTCTTCACTATATCTCAAGCACTGGAAAACATACCTTTTAATTCCCTAAGGCGGTGTCTACCCCTTGTTCAAGGCAGGCCTGCACAGAGATGTTTCTAACACCAGAGGCAAGAGAGATGGAATGAATGAGGCTCCTTCACTGAAGCCCCTGGAAATGATGTAGACACATGGTCAAGTATCATTCACACACACACACACGCGCGCGCACACACACACACTTCTTCATTCACTCCAGAACAATCTTAAGCGGTTATGCAATCACGCACTTTAGCATCCCTCATCCACAGACAGGGGAACACGGGTGACATTACTTATTTATTGACATAACTATAGACATACTTAGAAATAGGGAACCTGGGCAAAAAAACTCTCTTGAAAGTCCCCACCCCATTTAATTTACATGAGTCACTCGTGTGTGGGTCATTTTTTCCCACATTTTTGGTGATTTCCCACAGTCACCAAAATAGAACTCCACCTAGAGTGAGCCCTGCATAAATGTGAACGAAACACTGTACTTAAACTAACTTTTGTTTACCTTCTAGAACCAGCTCAACAAAATAAGAAACTTACCTTAGTTATTGTCAGGCCTCTGAGCCCAAGCCTATCTCCCTTCGCTGACTCTCTTTTCGGACTCATCCCGCCTGCACCCAGGTGAAATAAATAGCCTTGTTGCTCACACAAAGCCTATTTGGTGGTCTCTTCAAACAGACGTGCGTGACAGTTATCCTCTGTATTATTAGTGAATAATACTTCATTTCTCAACATTTTGTAAATTGCACTTTGCGGTTTAACCCATTGACAAGAGAGTTTGAATGAAAAGTAAAATATCAAGACAGTGAACCAAACAATACTTCTCTGAAGAAAATAAAGTAGCCAAAAGAGGTTAAAAACACAGAACCGTGAATACAAAATCCATTTACTTTAACTCTAACTCAGCCTTGAGAGCAAGATGATTCCTGAAGAATGAGATATTTTAAATCCGAACACTATAAAATCTGTAAAAACGTCAGGGAAGGTATGAGTGAGACTAAGCCTTGGTTAGCAGAAGGAAAGGAGAGGAAAGAGATCAAACCTACTGGAAAAGAACTTTCTTCTTTCAGAGCTGAGCCCAGGCACGATGGAGATAAGAAGGAAGGAGACCCACTTGTTCCTTTCTTTGCACAAAAGCTGTTCAATTATTGTGGGATGGAATCAGAGGAAATGGGAAGGTCTGTGGGAGGAAGTGAATAGGGTGCTTTGTCTTTTTAAGCTTTTTCTGGATCCTGCAGTTCTACTTTAAAAAAAGAAAAAGGGATCTGGGCCCTGGTAATAAAATACAGTTTTGCATAACCTTTCATCTTAATTCAAGAGCCCCTAGGTTTAGGTGTACAAAGTAAGAATAAATTTATGTATTGCAACCGACCGCAACTCTACTCAAGATTTGTAAAAGATTGTCTATCTCCTGTAGGAAACATAGAACAGACTTTCTAACTAAACTCTTTCCTCACATCCTGATTATAATATTTACATTTTTTCATTATTTCTAGCTATTGTTTAGTTCGTTCTATCGGCAATACACTGTGCCAGGCGTTTGACTCATGGGAACATCTTTATTCTTCAAAACAATCACATCAGGTGGAATTATTATTATTATTATTATTTTTTTTTTTTTTTGAGATGGAGTTTCGCCCTTGTTGCCCAGGCTGGAGTGCAATGGCATGACCTTGGCTCACTGCAACCTCTGCCTCCCGGGTTCAAGCGATTCTCCTGCCTCAGCTTCCTGAGTAGCTGGGATTTACAGGCATGCGCCACTACGTCGGGCTAATTTTGTATTTTTAGTAGAGACAGGGTTTCTCTATGTTGGTCAGGCTGGTCTCAAACTCCTGACCTCAGGTGATCCGCCCACCTCAGCCTCCCCAAGTGCCGGGATTATAGGCGTAAGCCACCACTCCGGCTAGGTGGAATTATTATCTCCATTTTACCCAAGAGGACACTGAGGCCCATCTACATTGAGAAAGGAACATGAACAAGAAAGTATATGGGTCTGCTACAGAGCAGGCCCCACAGTGGAGCAGATCCTGAGGTCTCCTGCCCTTTATGGCCTCTTCTCTGATACTCTCCTGTGGAATGATGGCCTGAGTAACCTCACATAAGGAGTTTGGATCCTGGAAGGCCCAAGTCAGCTGTCAAGTTCCCCAGTAAAAGCAGATACTCATCAGCCCTCACTGAAGAAGCCACCAGGAAAGGCTGCCAAGACATCATGGGCACATCCTGTGGTTGCTCCTGGGAAACCAAACTTCTTTTGTCTAAAATACAAATTGTATCCATATGAACCTAAAGATTTCTGAATTTCTGAATTTTCTTTAGTGTCATGATTCCATTTGGAAATTGTTCTCATTTCTTGGAAGCACCTGCATGTTGTGAGATGTTTACATTATGGGAGAAGAGGGGAAAATTTAAATACAGTAGTCCACCTGTTACTGGGGGGTCCTCGCTCCCAGAGTTCCCAAGATAGTGGCGGGCCACTTCCAAGATGGTGGAAGCCTCTTGTTCTCTGATCTGGGGCTCTTGGCCTCAGGGATTCCAAGGAATGGAATCTTGGGCCATGCGGTGAGTGTTATAGCTCTATTAGAAGACGTGGGTCACGGAAGAGAACTGTGGAACCCAGCGACTAGTGTTCAGCTCAATTAGGACGAACCCAGGCACTTAGCCATGCAGGAACAATGGCGAGCCATTAGCCCAAGCGGGAGCCGCAATGGGCGCCTCCCTGGATCAGGAACGCAGGGGAAACCCTGCTGGATCCAGAGGGGTGGAAGTCAGTGGTGGGTCTGCGACAGCAGCAAACAGCAGTGGTGGACGGCAAGGAAAAGCTCAGCTCGAGCTGTAACAAACACGAACCAGAAGAGTGTGCAGTTGCAAGATTTAATAGAGTTGCAAGATTTAATAGAGTGAAAACCGAGCTCCCATAAAACGGGAGGGGACCCAAAGGGGATTGCCGTTGCTGGCTCAAATGCCTGGGTTTATATCCCGATCATTGTCCCTCCCCCTGTGCTCTGAGGCAATAGATGATTGGCTATTTCTTTACCTCCTGTTTTAGCCTAATTAGCATTTTAGTGAGCTCTCTTTACTACCTGATTGGTCGGGTGTGAGCTAAGTTGCAAGCCCCGTTTTTAAAGGTGGATGCGGTCACCTTCTCAGCTAGGCTTAGGGATTCTTAGTCGGCCAGCTAGTCCTGTCCCTCACACCCTTATCCTTGGCGGATTATGTCCCAAGCCCCACAGTGTGTGGCTGAAACCCTGGATAGCATAAACCCTGTATATACTCTGTTTCTTTTTATACATACATACCCATGAGAAAGTCTAACGTATAAATTAGGCATATTAAGAGATTAACAACAATAACTAATAATAAAATAGAACAATTATAACAATAGACTGTAATAAAAGTTATGTGAATGTGGTCTCTCTCTCAAAACATCTTATTGTGAATACTGAACCTCAAAAAGTGAAACTGTGGATAACAGGGGACTACTGTAATGCAGGCAATATTTTCTAAAAAATATTGCCTCGGTGAGGCAGATAAAGAATTGTGTCTGATAATCTACATAAAAAACAAAATTTTGCATCTTTTTGCCTGATTGGGTTGTAAGGGAGAAAACCCAATCTTTTTCTCACCCATCACTAGGTCCATGGCTGAGGTACCTATCAGAGGCATTTGAACTAGAGCAACTCTGTCTTGAACAAGAGCTGGGTAAAATGAGGCTGAGGCCTACTGGGCTGCATTCCCAGATGATTAGGCATTCTAAGTCACAGGATGAGATACGAGATCAGCACAAGATACAGGTCATAAAAACCTTGCTGATAAAATAGGTTGCAGTAAAGAAGCCAGCCAAGACCCACCAAAACCAAGATGGCAACGAGAGTGACCTCTGGTCATCCTGACTGCTACACTCCCACCAGCGCCATGACAGTTTACAAATGCCATGGCAACGTCAGGAAGTTACCCTATATGGTCTAAAAAAGGGAGGCATGAATAATCCACCCCTTGTTTAGCATATTATCAAGAAATAACCATAAAAATGGGCAACCAGCGGCCCTCTGGTCTGCTTTATCTACGGAGTAGCCATTCTTCTATTCCTCCACTTTCTTAATAAACTTGCTTTCACTTTATGGACTTGCCCTGAATTCTTTCTTGCGCAAGATCCAACAACCCTCTCTTGGCATCTGGATCCAGACCCCTTTACCCTAACATACCTATAACAAAAGACAGATTAACAAGAAAAAGAGCAGACAGATTTATTTAATACCACAACCCAAACAAATGTTTTCTCCTGCTGGCCTGAATTGAGAAAGGAGGTTCTAGGAGAAATTTTTACCCCGTCTTTTTTTTTTTTTTCTGGGAGACAGAGTCTTGCTCTGTCGCCCAGGCTGGAGGGCAGTGGCTCACTGCAACCTCCACCTCCCAGGTTCAGGCGATTCTCATGCCTCAGCCTCCTAGATAGCTGGGATTACAGGTGTGAGCCACCATGCCCAGCTAATTTTGTATTTCTAGTAGAGACGGGGTTTCACCATGTTGGCTAGGCTGGTCTTGAACTCCTGACCTCAGGTGATCCACTTGCCTTGGCCTCCCAAAGTGCTAGGATTACACGGGTGAGCCACCGCACCCGGCCTTACCTCCTGTCTTGACTGGGCATTATAGACAGAGATGCAGAGAGCTGACCTAGGTGAGAATTCCTACCTTCTGTTGGCTTTTTGTCGGTTGTCTCAGGATCTTTTCTGCAGGCTTCAGAGGGAGTGTGATGTCTCCATTGCCCCACGCTGGGCACCAGAAACTGTAGAGGAGAAAAGTAATATCTTTTCATCACATCAAGATTCAAGGCTGAGGCCCTACACAGAAGACAGATTAACAAGAGAAAAGCATATGAATTTATTTAATGTAAGTTTTATATGACACAGGAGGCTTCAGAAATAAAGACCCAAGGAGACAAGGAAACCTGTGCATTTTCATGTTAAGTTTGATGAAGAAGTGGATCCTTGTGGAGAAGAGAGATTGGACAAAAGGGGTATGATCAAATGGTGATAAACTGGGGGGAACTTAGCAAGGGCTGTTTGTTCAGATTCTTCTCCATATCCTTGTGTCTTCAGAGACAAGGACATTCTTTCCCTATGGGATAGAACAGCATCCCTGGAATGAGAGTGTTATGACCTGCTACAGAAAGAAGAGTGTGGGGAAGGTGAGGGAGGCTTTCCTGCTTCTGCTGTTTTCTCAAGTGCCAAGCAAGGTACCGTATCTAGGAGAGCATGTCCTGAATCCTGTCATTGTATTATACGTAAGTTTTAAATGATCTGTGGCCTCAGCACAATATTCAGAGTGTCAGGATTCTTGTCTTGTTCCAGTTTATTGCTCACATCAGTGTCTACAAGGGAGTCAATTCTTTTTTTCTTTTTTCTTAAACAATGTCTTGCTCTGTCACCCAGGCTGGAATGCAGTGGCCCAATCACAGCTCACCTGGGCCAACCTGGGCTCAAGTGATCCTCCTACCTCAGTCTCCCAAGTAGCTGGGATCACAGGTGTGAACCATTGTATCCAGCTGATTTCTTTATTTTTTTTGTAGAGATGGGGTCTCCCTGTGCTGCCTAGGCTGGTCTCAAACTCCTATACTCAAGCAATCCTCCTGCCTCAGCCTCCCAAAGTGCTGGGATTACAGGCATCAGCTGCTGCGCCCAGCTGGAGTCAATTATTTACCAAGACCCAAATTATATTAGCTATACAATATAGAACAGTAAACAAGCTGTCAGTCTGAAGCCAGAACTGTACTAGAAGTATTTTAAAGGCCCGTATTCCTTATATAAAACGCAGATTGCAGTAACACTTTGCTAATTAACAACCACAGCTTCCTCCAAGTGTCCCTTCCCAGCATCTCCACCGCAGGGCCAGTGGAATTCTGAAAGACGCGCAGTTGAATGCCATCCTAGAAACTAAATTGTACCCTGATTTTCAGATGTTCTAAAACCATCAGTGTCAGCACTGGAAAAGAAAAAGTGAAAAAAATTAACCCAAACTCACCTCTCAACTTTAAAGATTCTAATAATCTGTCAAAAGACAGTTTTGCAACCTGAGAAGTAGGGGCAGGAAATGGAGATCCTTTTTTACTTGTAGTCTTGGGCTTAGGTATTGAAAGGAAATAGGCACTTGGAGCGTTTCACAGTTGAGGAGGCCAAAGCAGGTACAGCTGAAAATCTGCTGTCTCTTCCACCTGAAACTGTCAGCTCAGAAACACTGCTGCCCATTGATTCCAAGCCAGGGCAGTGGTTTCTAGGGTTGTTAGAGGGGTTTTTCTTGGCTGCCAGGCTGACAGCAACACAGAGCTTAGAAATGACAACTGAACAATAGGAAAATTCCACCATGTTGGTATTAATCATTACAAAGGAAAGCCTGTTCCCTGATGCCAACAGCAAAAACCTAGAGCAGGGAGTGAGTCCGTTTGCTCCCCTCCTTCTGACCAAATTCAGGCACCAAAGCAATCAAACAAGGGTAAGGTAGATAGGAAGAGGGAGAAATCCTGTTCAAAGGCCAAATTATCCTATTTTCTTCGAAAAAGTACCTTTGTAACTACGGTGAAGTGCATTGTTATCAGATAAAGGCCCGCATAGCAGCCTGTACAACTGAGTGACTGATAGTTTATTATTTGATGGTGGTGATTAATGCAACAAAGTGCCAATAAGTGACTCAATCCTCAATCCCTAGTCAGAAGATTTTATCAGGTGCTTGCTAAAAGCTTGCACGGAAATATGAATAATCGTTTACCTGAATAATATTCTTCCATGTGTATGTAGAAAGGGGATGTGTTTCAGCATCTCCTGGCTTAAATGAATACATAAATAGATCTATTTTATTTATTTATTTATTGAGATGGAGTCTCACTCTATCACCAAGGCTGGAGTGCAGTGGCTCAGTCTTGGCTCACTGCAGCCTCCACTGCCCAGGTTCAAGTGATCCTCCTGTCTCAGCCTCCCAAGTAGCTGGGACTACAGGCACATGCCACCACATCTGGCTAATTTTTGTATTTTTAGTAGAGTTGGGGTTTCACCATGTTGGCCAGGTTTGTCTCGAACTCCTTACCCAAGTGATCCACCTGCCTTGGCCTCCCAGAGGGCTGGAATTACAGTCATGAGCCACTGTGCCTGACCAGGTCTATTTCTTTTAATTTTCCTATGTTTTCTTTGTCATCCATATTCTAGCAATGTGCAGGGTCAATGAAAAGCTGCTCGTCTCCTTGTGAACACTGAAGAGTGGGTCCTGTCTGCTGGCCTGGAGGTGTTGGGGTTTGCATTAGTTTCCTTCTCATCATTGTCTATGATTTGTTACTATTGTTAGGGATATAAAGTAACAGTAAAGAAAATTTGGAAGATGGACTCACTAAATCCCAACTATTTTCCCTTTTGAAAATTTCCATCTAATATTAGTTCTTAGGCATTCTCATTTGTTTACATGGTAGCTTATTTCATATGTGCATAATGATAGACCCTGTGTTCCTTTACTGAACATTTCACAGTGGCCATTTTACCACCTTTTTGTAGGCTACTAGATAGGTAGATAGATAGATAGATATAATTTTTAAAACATAGATAGGTTCTTGCTCTACCACCCAGGCAGGAGTAGGAATGTAGTGGCATGATCACTGCTCACTGTAGCCTCATCCTCCCTAGCTCAAGCCGTCCTCCTGCCCCAGCCTCATGAGTAGTTGGGACTACAATTGTACACCACTGAGCATGGCTAATTTTTAAAATTTTTTTTGTAGAGATGAGGTCTTGCTATGTTGGCCAGGCTGGTCTCGAACTCCTGGGCTCAAACAATCCTCCTGTATCAGCCTCCCAAAGTGCTGAGATTACAGATGTAAGCCACTGCACCTGGTCTTATTTCAAATGGCTTCATTGTACCATAATTTAATTAATGTCTTATTGTTGAATATATAGCTTGTTTTCTTCCTTTCTTCCAACTTCTTAACTTCAAATCCTGTCTTCTTCCTTTCTTCCTGTGCTAAATCCTACCTCTTCTTATTTATTTTGGCATTTTTATACCAAGTTTCCAGAAGTGGAATTATTGTCTCAAGGCAAATAAACATTTTTACTGTTCTTTATATAATATTGTTAAATTGTTTTCCAAAATATTTGTAGCAATTCACACTGCCAGCAACAGAAGATGAGAGTAACAAATTCCACACCCTCTTTTAACAGTTTGAATTGCCAAAAAATCCTCACACTTCAACACATATGTTTTATTTTTAGTGAGGTTCATAATTTAAGTCTTTTATTTACTAATTATGCTTCTTTTGTTGAAATATTCATTGATCTACTAGGATCTCTGTGTTTTTCTTACCAGCTTGGTATAACTGTTTTAAATAGTAAAGAATTGCTGTACTACTAGGATCTCTGTGTTTTTCTTACCAGCTTGTATAACGGTTTTAAATAGTAAAGAATTGCTGTATTTAACATTTTTGCTATATTCAGTTTTCACAGCCTCTTGTATGACTTTCTACTTTGGTTAAGGAAGATTTTTTTTTTTGAGATGTAAATGCTTTCAACATTTCTTTTCCTTCCTTCCTTCCTTCCTTCCTTCCTTCCTTCCTTCCTTCCTTCCTCCCTCCCTCCCTCCCTCCCTCCCTTCCTCCCTTCCTTCCTCTCTTTCTTTCTTTCTTCTTCTTTTTTTATTTCGGAGTCTGGCTCATTGCCCAGGCTGGAGTGCAGTGGTGCAATCTGTGCTCACTGCAACCTCCGCCTCCCAGGTTCAAGCAATTCTCCTGCCTCAGCTTCCCGAGTAGCTGGGATTACAGGTGCACGCCACCACACCCAGCTAATTTTTGTGTTTTCAGTAGAGACATTGTTTCACCATGTTGGCCAGGCTGGTCTCGAACTGCTTACCTCAAGTGATCCACCCACCTCGGCCTCCCAAAGTGCTGGGATTAAAAGGCATGAGCCATTGCACCAGGCCTCAACATTTCTTTTTTTTTTTTTTTTCTCGCTCTGTCACCAGGTTGGAGTGCAATGGCACAATCTCAGCTCACTGCAACCTCTGCCTTCCAGGTTCAAGCGAATCTCCTGCCTCAGCCTCCTGAATAACTGAGATTATAGGCACATGCCACCATGCCTGGCTAATTTTTGTATTTTTAGTAGAGATGGGATTTTACCACATTGGCCAGGCTGGTCTTGAACACCTGACCTCAAGATCCTCCCACCTCGGCCTCCCAAAGTGCTAGGATTACAGGTGTGAGCCACCATGCCCAGCTCATTTCTTTAGCTAAATTTATTGACTTTTGGCATTGTGACTTCATCTTCCAAAGTTAATAAAGTAATCCAGTGATTAACTATTTGATAAATATTCAACTTTTTCTATAAATTAAAATAATATTTAGTTTTTTTTTTACTATATCATGTAGGATATGATACAAGTATAAATGGATTTTTTATTCCAATTACTAACCACTAACCACTGTTCCTTTCTTTCCTGGTCATTTTATGCAGCCTCCCTTATGATATACTAAATTCTTATAAACACAGAGCTATCTCAACCCAGTGCTACATACGCATTTAGTGTCGCTTTGGAATATGCTCCCTTATAGGGCAGTGCTGGCTTTCTTCATCTTTTTCTTTTCTAGAATATTCTTTGATATTTAACATATTCCTTCTTTTAAATGAAATTTGAAATCATATCATCAACTTTAAAGCATCATGTTGGGATTTGGTGGTATTGCTTTAAACCTGAGAAATTATTTCTTGTGCTACCTGGGATAAAGTAACAAACGATGACTGGAATATTTTAGCAATGGATATTGTGAGCCAAGCTGGACTACACGAATTTTCGCTCAGAACAGCCTGAGGCAGATATGAAAGGAGAGGCCAATATACATCATAGCCAATAAGAGGACTGTAGATCCATATCAGAGAGAAATGTCAAGAATCAGGTCCAAGGGGAGTGAGTCAAGCCTTGAAAGGTACGAAGACTATTAAGACATTTAAAACCAAGGAGCAAGAATAGACCAGAAAACAGGTGCTACGTGGCCATTGGTGCATAAGCAAACCCTTGGTTCTTCCTCCTGGAACTTTTCTACAACTCCATTGACTTTCCCTTCATCTTAGCAGTATTGTCCTGTGCCTGGCTATCATTTTTGTAAACTGGAAATAAGCTTTTCTGATCCATTGTAAACTGTCCTCATGAATGAAATCCAAGCATCTCTGAGCTTTCTCCAGTCTTCAATGTGATCTCAGTGTTTAATGAATTCTGTAAAAATCTCCAGCAAATTGAGAATGCCTCTTTCCTTGCAGCTGCCTCATTCTGTATTTTTTAATAGGTTGAAGAAACATTTGCTTTATAATATTCTGTAATATTTTGTTTCAAAATGTGTACTCTTGGAATCAGCTGTAAATCATAATATATACCTTTAATAATTTTCCAACTTCAAAATTGCTTTTTTAAAAAAATAAAGAAGACATGATGCTCTCTTAACGTGAAACACTGTTTTCTAAGACTAAAATATTTTCAACAAAAAATTTCAGGTATATTCCATTTTCTTCAGTCGAGATCAAGATAGCAGAGAACAGCCAGATAAGTTCCCCATAGATCTGTCTTTACTCAAACGCTGCTATGAGTCCAAACACATTTTATTTATGAATGGTTTTTGAAATTCTCCAGTGCTTTTTATTTCTATTAGAAACTCTTTTTACAAATGACATCTCCATGAGTAAATATTTAAAAGAACAAGTGTCATAAAGAACTGAATGTTGCATCCATTATAATACTGTATTCCAATGTTAGATCTCAAGACCAAGACTCCTTGAAACTTCAATGTTATCTGCAGAATTCCAGTTTGAAAGTGCTTTCATGTTCTTAATCTTTTAGAAGTATTTTTAGTAGACAATTATATTTTACCTGTCTATCACATTCCTTTGGAGGAACTTCTTCTCCTAGTTTTAGCCATGAGAGCCAATGGTAGCAGCCATCATTTATGTCACCCCACATTCTTGGCCACATCGCTGTTCAAGAAGAGAGACCTTGAATCAACAGAGGATACATGGAATTCCAAGGCACTTGAAAAAGCCTCGTGTAACAGACACTCTTGGTTCTTTGTGCCACTCCACTGGCGTACCCATTTCTGCATGCCTGTGCTCTTGGCTCTATGTGCTTTTTGTCTAAGAGCTCACATCTGTGACTCTTTTCTGAGGTCTAGCCTAGGCTACTGAAGATGCTTTGCCTTTATGCGTTGCCTGCAGGCAAGTGCAAAGAGTCAGAAGCACTTGAAATTCATGCTCCCTGGGGTGGCCTTTGGCCAATGCCTGACTGCTTTGGGAGTTTAAAGCCCAGGAAACTTGTCTGGTGTCTGGATAACTCAGAGCATCATTTATACACTACAGTGACCTTGCAGGATAAAGCTAAGTCTGGAATTTTCCTGAAATCATACCCTTGCTTGGCTTCTTCCCCATTCCCTGTCCTGTTCCCTGTACTTCCCCCGAGCCCCCTACCTCCCATTTCCTTTCTCTTAGAGCACTTTCATTATATTAGTTTGGTGCAAAAGTAATTGCCAGTTTTGCCATTACTTTTAACGGCAAAAAACCCCAATTACTTTTGCACAAACCTAATACACATCACACGCGCACACACAGCCTCATGGCAGGGTCTACTTCTAGGGAACCTGACCCAAGCAGCATGGACTCAGGCTGGGCCAGTAAGGGAGTGTCTTTCCCTGAGATGTTCATACTTGGAGCTGGGAGGTAGCAAGCTTATCAGGATATGAGTCTGAAGCTGCTGGTGGCTTGAGAGAATGAAGCTGACCCACAGAAGAAGCAGAAACAACACTGATGCTATTGTAGTCTCTGCCTCCAGCTGCCTTTGAGGCTATCCCCACTCCTACCTTCTGAAGATGTGGCTGAGATAGTTAAGTTAGGTTCCTGTCATTTGCATCCAAGAAAACCGTAACTAAAGGGGTCAAGACTAAAGAGTTCTCAAATCCTAAAGACCCTTTTCGTGGAGAAAAGCACAGTTATACATAACTTTGTATGCAATTGCAGGGGTACACAGTCCCATTCCTTATAGTTTAGCTCAACTATATTAGCATCTTACATACACTTACAATTTTATAAGCATTAAATACTTCTGGGTTGCCCATGACTTTTCCTGACAACAGAGTTTGCCTTGCTAATCTCTTAGACGTTTTTGAGAAAAACAATAAACAGGACTTCTGTTTGGGTTTTTTCCCCAAGTAAACACAGTCACCATCACAGAAATCACAACTGATCAAGTCAATAAATAAGGAAGTTAAAAAAAAAAAGTATGTGCAAGCAGAGTACATATTCAAAACTGTGCAAATGGCCAAAATGGCCGGGCACAGTGGCTCACGCCTGTAATCCCAGCACTTTGGGAGGCCGAGGTGGGCAGATCACTTGAGGTCAGGAGTTTGAGACCAGCCTGCCCAACATGGTGAAATGCCGTCTCTACTAAAAGTACAAAATTTAGTTGGGTGTGGTGGCGCATGCCTGTAATCCCAGCTACTCGGGAGGCTGAGGCAGGGGAATTGCTTGAACCCGGGAGGTGGAGGTTGCAGTGAGCAGAGATGGCGCCATTGCACTCCAGCCTGGGGAACAAGAGCAAAACTCCATCTAAAAAAAAAAAAAAAAAAGCAAATATTCACATGAATAGAAAACGTAGGAGGCAGGAAAGATGTATCACTGGACCATTGGACTATCATCTCACATTCTTTTTTTTTTAATTATTTTTTGTAGAAACGGGGTCTCACTATGTTTACCAGGCTGGTCATGACCTCCTGGCCTCAAACGATCCTCCCACCTCAGCCTCCCAGAATGCTGGGATTACAAGCATGAGCCACTGTGTCTGGCCTATCATCTCACACTGAGCAACGTGGAAGTGACTGTAGTACATCTTTGATTGGGAAAAAATATTTACACTATTGTAAGATCAATAGAACTATGACTTAAATCCGACAATTCCCCTAGAGTTTATGAATTTTGTCATTTTTTCATGTGTCCAAGTGAAAAAACAACAATTCTCTCAGCATAGTTGGGAAAGCTCCTGTCTTCTCCCTGCCCTGCCCCCTTCAGCACCCTGACCCCACCCCCCACACAATACATTATGTCAGAAAGATTAAATGGCTTAACACCATCAGGCCCAAAATGACAGAGTCATGTTCAGGGCCTACATTTCTTTTTTTCTTCCTTTCATTTTTAGAGATGGGGTCTTGCTTTGTTGCCCAGGCTGGAGTACAGTGGCACAATCATAGCTCACTACCACCTGGAACTCCTGGGCTCAAGCGATCCTCCTGCCTTGGCCTCCCAAAGTGCTGGGATTACAAGCATGAGCTGCTGCACCCGGCCCCACATTTCTGAGTGCTAGTTCACTTCTCAGATGCACCTCACATTGTTTTCCCTGAGCCTTCTGAAGCTCCCCTTCAACCATCAAGAAACCCTCATGGTGCTGAGCATGGCAGCTCATACCTATAATTCCAGCACTCTGGGAGGCTGAGGCAGGAGAATCTCTTGAGGGCAGGAGTTTGAGACCAGCCTAGGTAACATAGCGAGAGCCTGTCTCTACAAAAAATAAAAAAATTAGCTGGGTGAGGCAGCACGTGCCTATCATCCCAGCTACTCCAAAGGCTGAGATGGGAGGATTGCTTGAGTCCAGGAGTTTGAGCCTGCAGTGAGCCATGATTGTACCACTGCACTCCAGCCTGGGCAACAGAGTAAGACCCTGTCTCGAAACAAAACGAAAAAAAACCAACTATGGGTTTGGGTTTCAGACCAGCCTGAAGCTAAGCCTGCTCACGGTGCTCTCGGGACATTTGCCTTCATCTCGCTGCATCTAGAGCAAACAGGAAGGTGTTAGGAGAGGCAGGAAGGCGGGGTTTCCATCAGCATCAGGCAGGAGGGGACAAAGGAGTTTTTCATGCCTGGCAGAATCCTCACTCTAAGATGGTAGGAATGTACAGTTACAGCTATATATCCCTTTGGGAAACTTTTTGGGAAGTAGGAAGATCTACCTCCATCTGACTGTGGTATTTTCTGCTTTATGAAAAGCAGAGATATGTGCTTTTCATGTAGCTTTATGAATGTAATCTTCTATCCTGTGACAGAAAAAGAAAGAGAAAGGAAGAAAGAGGGAGAAAGAAGGAAGGAAAGAAAGAAGAAAATGAAGGAAAGAAAGAAGAAAAGGAAGGAATGAAGAAAGGAAGGAAGAAGGAAGAAGGGAGGGAAGGAGGGAGGAAGGAATGTAGGAAGGAAGGAAGGGAGGAGAACTTGATATTTGATAACTGTGTTTGTGAGCATCTTTCTGGTCATCCTATCATCTTCTCATTTTGACAGGCACATGTCAAACTTCAGTGCTGCCTGATCTCTTTCCCTTCACTGAGACTTGATTTTATCTGGTGACAGTTTTCCTTTTAACCAGTTATCAGGAGTAGGCGGCTTGTATTCCCTTTCCCCTTTAAAATTCATACCTTTAAACTTCATAGTCACACATGTTGCTACATAACATATTACCACAGACTTAGCCACTTAAAACAACCCTCCTTTATGAGCTCACAGGGATGTGGTCCACAGGCTAGGAGAGGGCTGGGTCCTTAGGGTCTCACAGGGTCAAAATGGAGGCAGATGCTGGATGGCGCGCTTATCTGGACGTCCTTGAGAAGAAGAATCAGCTTTCGACCTCCTTCAGGCTGTTGACAGAATTCAGATCCTGTGGCTGGTGAGGACGGAGGACCCCTTCCTTGCTGGCTGTCAGGTGGGAGTGACTCTCAGCTCTAGGGGCTTCTCTGTTCCTTGCATGAGGACCCCTATATCCTCAAAGCCAGTAATAGGCGTGAATCCCCTCACGCTTTGAATTTCTCTGACTTCCTCTTCTGCTACTTTCTAGAGAAAATTCTCTGCTTTAAAGGGCTTGCCTGCTGGGCTAGGCCCACCAGTATGATCTTCATGCAGGGTGGCTGACTCGGGAGTTTAGTGACAACTGCAAAACTCTTTCATAGCTGTGCCTAGCTTAGCATTTGCATAAGTAAGGCACAGGACTCTGCATGAAGGGGTCATCTTTAGAATTCTGCGCACCACAGCTACCAACCTGGAAGCACTTTAGTCCCCTCTGGGGGTCCCGGATGAATGTGGAGGTCTCCATGTTCCAGAGATGGTAAGAGTATGTTCTGCCAGGGTGGCTTCCGCTTCTGGGGTTACTTGCTGCGTATGGCTTGGATTTTGTCTGCTAGGCCTCTCTGTCCTCTTATTCTTTTGTCTTCCTTGGGTGGGAGGTTTAGAGATTCCGCCTACATTTTTCCGAGGCTAAAAATTCTTTTTAAAAGTATGTTTGTTGAAATGTATACAGGAGCTAGTTATATTGGACTAGGAGGGCATTTTGGAGTATATAATCCCATATAATAATAGATTCAATGTCCACAGATTCTTTATTAATCAAATGAATCTCTCTCCCTCCCCGTGTGTGTGTGCATGCGTGCGTGCATGCGTGTGTGTGTTTATTTACTAGTGATATGGTATGGTTACTAAGCAATCAGAAGGGACACCAACTATGAGTGACACACACAGCTAAATAACAGCCCTGCTCTGCTCCAGTATATAGGAGGCACTGTATTAAGTGCTATGGGAGACACCAAGATGAATAGAAAAAAAAGCGGTCTGACATAAAAATCTTATGAGAAGCTAGACATGGCGGCTCATTCCTATAATCCCAGCACTTTGGGAGGCTGAGGTAGGAGGATCACTTGATGCCAGGAGTTTCAGGCTGCAGTGAGCCGTGATCGCACCACTGCACTCTAGCCTGGGTGACAGAGTGAGACCCTGTCTCAAAAAATAAATAAATAAATAAATAAATCTTGTGAGGAAGATGAAGTATGTGTATAAAGGGTAAAGAGAGATGAAAATATTCATAAACTGTTCTTTGAGGCGAGAGGGGAGAAGGATTATTTCTAGCTCAGGAGTCCAGAAGATTCCATGGGCTTCCTGCTCATGAGGAGAAGCCTGCAGACCAGGCACTCAGGACTTACACATCTCAGCTAGGGAAAAGCTGTTTCTCAAGGTTTCTCTAGAATATGCACATGAATGTACTGCAGAATATAAAAGGCCCTTTGATGTCCAACACAGGAATAACTCTGTTTTCTGAGTTAGACCTAATTTTGAATATTTAAAAAATAAATCATGACATCATGATGTCATCAATTTCATGACGTCAGGAGACTCAGAGACTAGTGAACAGATTATCTATTGCTATTTTGTTCTCCATCCAAAGTAATATTATAGAATGTTCAGATGTTATCTTACTGGCCTTCCATCTGCTCACAAGATTTCCTTGTTTCAGGTTTCTCATCTTTTGATGAGCAATCTTGAAACTGGATTCTGTTTCAACAACTGTGCTTATGCTTTAAAGGGGAAGACATGCTGACCCTTCTGGTGGCACCTTTCAGGGTGCAGAGGATTGCTGTGGTGCTAGCTTTGATGGATTGTTTGCAAAAGTGGCTGCAATTATTCAGCTCCCTCTGCAGTGGTGGAGTCTGTGTCCACTCCGCTTGACTCTCAGCTGATCCTGTGGCCTGCTTAGACCAAGAGACTGCAAAAGAAGTGACTGTCTGTGCTGAGCCCTCATCTCTAGAGACAATGCACGCTTCCACCTGCCCCTTTCAAACTCTGCTGAGCTGCCTTGTGAACAAACAGCCCAGGCTCCTCATCCAGCCCAATCCAGAGGCAGAGCAGATGGCAGTTGCTTGAGGGAAGGCATCTGAGGTCAGCAGAACTAGAGATTCACCAGAAGGAACTTATGGCTGTTATTTTAAGACACTAAGTTTTGGGTTGCTTTGCTAATATGCTCATAGTTCCATTTCTCTTCGGAGACAGGTCAAACGGATAAGTCCCACCCTGTTCTTGGGAGCAACATTAAACAGTAGTCTGGGACAAAGGTTTCTCACAGAAACTTCACGAGCATGATAGACTCCATATGTTTCAATAACAGGCAAAGTATCTTTCTGTGAAAGTCACACTCAGATTTTGTGTAATTTACTGAAGAACTCCAGTTAAAAGCCACAATATTTTATTTCCATCTTTTTCCTAAGAGTGGAAAAAAACCATTAAATGTGTGATACATTTTAGGGGCTTCAGACTTAAAGGAGAATTTAATTGAGGGTCTTCAGGACCTCTGATCTTTCAAAATCCTCTAGTGGTGCCATTCACACAGCATTGGCCAAATTTTGGGGGTCGTGTCTGAAATGTTTGGATAACAAAAAAGTCTTTTTAGGTTAAAAATTATTTTACTTGATTTCTTTTCTTAAGTAATATTTACAGGGTACTTTATCTTTTTTACTTTATCTCTTACAGAACATTTAAACCTTATAACTTTAAGATGTAGGTATTATCCCCCAAACCCTCCCCCACAAAACACACATGATACATGAAAAAAACTGAGGCTCAGAGAGATGAAGTCACTTCCCATAATGGAAGAGGCAGGGCATGTTCTTATTACCATCTGACACCAAAACTCATCCTTTTTCCGCATGTTAGTAAATGATCAGAGGTTTGGCATCAGATAGTATATTTCCTTTAAGGCCTTCAAAATGTTAATCATTTCTCTTCTTGCACATTTTTTTTTTTAGAGACGGAATTTCGTTCTTGTTGCCCAGGCTGGAGTGCAATGGTGCGATCTCAGCTCACTGCAACCTCTGCCTCCCTGGTTCAAGTGATTCTCCTGCTTCAGCCTCCTGAGTAGCTGGGATTACAGGCACGCGCCACCACACCTGGCTAATTTTGTGTTTTTAGTAGAGATGGGGTTTTACCATGCTGTCCAGGCTAGTCTCGAACTCCTGACCTCAGGTGATCCACCCGCCTTGGCCTCCCAAAGTGCTGGGATTACAGGCATGAGCCTTCATACCCGGTCAAACATCTGTCTTTAATTTAGAAAATACGGAGTAAAGAAATCATTAACTTATAAGTATAAGCCATTTAATTTTTTAAAAAGGTCAAGTCCAGTTGATCACACCTGTAATCCCAGCACTTTGGGAGGTGGAGGCAGGTGGATCACTTGAGACCAGGAGTTCGAGAGCAGCTTGGGCAACATGGCGAAACCCTGTCTCTACAAAAAATACAAAAATTAGCCCCATGTGGTGACGCATGCCTGCAGTCCCAGCTATTCAGGAGGCTGAGGTAGGAGGACAGCTTGAGCCTGGGAGGCAGAGGTTGCAGTGAGCCATGATAGTGCCACTATGCTCCAGCCTGGGCAACAGAGCCAGACCATGCCTCCAAAAAACACAAACACATACACACACACACACACACACACACACACACACACACAACCCCACAAAAAATCCCATAAGTTCTCTCCAGTCTTACTTGTATGCTCAGCTTTCAAATGTTTATAATGTACCACTAACGTTACTAGTGCATGGCGTTCACCCTTCCTGTCAACATTTTATTATGAATATTTTAAAAGTCCAGAAAAATCAAAAGTTTTTTCTTTTCTTTGACAGAGTCTTGCTCTGTCACCCAGTCTGGAGTGCAGTGGTGAGATCCCAGCTCACTACAACCTCCACCTCCCAGGTTCATGTGATTCTCCTGCCTCAGCCTCCGGAGTAGCTGGAACTACAGGTGCACACCACCACACCCGGCTAATTTTTATATTTTTAGCAGAGATGGGGTTTTGCCAGTGTTGGCCAGGCTGGTCTTGAACTCCTGACCTCAAGTGATCTGCCCGCCTTGGCCTCTCAAAGTGCTGGCATTACAAGCATGAGCCACTGCTCCTAGTCAAAAGATTTTTAAAGCAAACACCCATACACTTAGGCCTAGATCTACAATTGACATCTTACACTACTTGCTCTAGCATAGCATCAAATCATCTAGCCATCCCTATCCATCCACCAACCTATCTGTATTCACCTTTAATTGGATAGGTAGGTAGCCCAGGACAAAAGACTGTTAAGAATATTGCTTTGTGAGCAAAGGTTTTTCACTTCACCTTGGCACCAGGTTCTGCAGACAAAACCACCAATGATCTGTAAGTCAACTTCAAAGGAAGGACACCAATAAAAGCGCCAACTGCAATCAGTTTCAAAATGACTTACATAGTCTGAATGGTGGCATTGCCTGCCTGCTCATAGGAAGGGTTGGCAAGAATGCAACTCCTGCCTGGTGGCCCAGAGAGTGTTCCTTCATTGAAGCTCTAATTCTGAGTCATATTTTGGGTCTGTCTTTATTTTCTTTCTTTCTTTTTTTTTTTTTTAAACTCCTGGGACTTCCTTCTCTATAGTGATACAAACAAAGATAAAAGATAAGGAAAGAAAATCATGGACTAGGGGTCTGTAGAAGGGTAGAAGATTATCTCACGGCTCTGCCAAAGGGGTTAGATATCTGGGACAGAGGGTGAAATCCACTGAGTAGAGAAAACTAAAAAACACATATAGTGGTGGAGAGAAGAGGCAAGGCAACTCCAGAAGAATGATTCAGCTATTATAGAAGTTAGGAGGAAGAGCAGTCAGCATGTGCTACAGAGCTGGGGTTCTGGCAGAGTTCTGGAAGTGGGGCCCTGGAAATACTCCACAACTGTTTTCAACTAGAATAAGGCCCACATAGCCCTATAATTGATTTTATGTCCCAAGCACATGCTACTTCATGTCCCAGACTACTCTCTTAAATAATAATTGAACCAAAGGGACCCCATAATCAGTATTATAAATAGATTTGAGACTTGTGACTTAGGGAGCTCCACAAATTTCAATATATACTGGTTGTTTTTGTAGATGGGGTGGGGTGAGCTCTCTGGCTGCCTGATTATGGTTGCTGGGAGCTTCTCCAGTGAGCGTAGTCCTGCAACTCCTCCTCTCCCTGCTAAAACCACCACCATCCTGCTTGGAGATAAGAAGACGTTTAAAAAATGTTAATACCTATTAAGAGAGCACTCAGAGGAAAACAACTAGAGGAATGGGAAGAGGATGGAAGGAGGGAATTGTGGAGAAACTTACTAATTGTCTTGCAGTAGTCAGTCAGGAAAAATTCTACTCCACCAAAATCTATTATTGGTGTAGTACTTTATTCATGGATTTCCCTGTGGACAAGATTACTGGGACTTTAGCTTAAAAAAAAAACATGAGGGCCTCTGATACTAGTTTGTAAAAGAAAGAAAAAAGAAAAAAAAATCGGCTGGGCTTGGTGGCTCATGCCTGTAATCCCAGCACTTTGGGAGGGCGAGGTGGGCAGATCGCCTGAGGCCAGGAGTTCAAGACCAGCCTGGCCAGCATGGTGAAACCCCGTCTCTACTAAAAATCAAAAATTAGCCAGGTGTGGTGGCACATGCCTGTAATCCCAGCTACTCAGGAGGCTGAGGCAGGAGAATCGCTTGAACCTGAGAGGCAGAGCTTGCAGTGAGCTGAGATTGCACCACTGCATTCCAGCCTGGGTGACAGAGTGAGACTCTGTCTCAAGAAAAAAAAAAAAAATTCAAAAATTAAGCCCAGATCAAAAACAATCCTGTCATCCTATTGGTTATGAAGATAATATGAGGCTGTAACCATTTTGAGAGACAGGGGGTGCTCTTAGTGGGCCTGTAGACCTGCGTGGGCAGAGGGAACAGCAACTGAGCCATGGAAATGAAGATTAAAGGGGAAATTGTGCCATCAGAATCACCGCAGTATCCCAGCTAACCAACCTACCAGCTCAAGGCCTGAATATTGTTGCTGCTGAAACCCTTTTTGTTTCTCCCACACTTCTCTTTGTGTCCTTACAGAAAGGCCCCATTAGCTGAGACCACCTGAGTCTGAATGTGTCTTGGGTCTTTGCAATCTTAAGTAGCTCAAATAACTGGAAGTGGAGACCTCTAATTCTAAGATGGGCTAGCACTCTGGACACTGTATGTATGTGAGGGGGGCAGAGGAAAGAGCTATATAATCTTCACTCACACCTCCATAGCCTTCCTCTTGGGAATTATGAGGACTATAGATATATTAGAGGCAATCTAATTTCATAATTGATTAAATAGGCCTATGTTTATAGCCAGTGGCAATAAGAACAAAGTAGGAACCTAAATCTGACTCCTGGTGAGGCTCACTTTTTACTCTTCTTTTTATTTATCAAGCAGTGCACGTGCTTTCTCTCTCTCTCTCTCTGTCTTCCTGCCCCCACACAACTCAACAATCTTTCCAAGTGAGCATTCTCTCCCTGTTTTCCAGTTGACCTAGTGATGATAGACCTTGGCAAAATGCTATTTAAAAGAGGGATTTTCAGAAGGCTAGGAAGCCCTGGGCTCAGTGATTTCTATGGGCCACTACAGTATTCCATGCTTCCCTTTTGCAGCATTCATACCCACTCTTGAGGTCATGTATTTCTCTCTAGAGTGTATGTTCCATGAGGACAGATACTGTTTGTCTTGTTCACTGCTATATCCTAGCATCTAACACAGACGAATTGCCAGCATAGACTCCGCCAGAATTCCATTATCTGTTCAGCAAACACATACAAAGGACTTACTATGAGCTAGGCACTGGGCCCACGGAAGATGGTAATGGTACAGTGGTTTTCAAAGTGTGGGTCCTGGACCAATGGTATCAACGTCACCCGGGAATTTGTTAGAATTACAAAGGCTCGGGCCTCAACCCAGACCTACAGAATCAGAAACTGAGGGGTTGGCACCAAAAATCTGTGTTTTCACAAGCCCACCAGGTGATTGGTTGCATGCTAATGTTTGAGAACCACTATGCCGGCTTGCCCCAATTATTTATTACAATTGTCCACATTCTTTTCTCCAATTGGAAGGAGTCTATAGCACCTAGCACATGCGTATTGCCAAAAGCTCTTGGTAGTTCCATAGTTCTCAAGCCTTACTGCACTTCAGAATCACCTGGGGTGCTTTCCAAAATTACCAAGGGCTTGGTTTCTCCCCCTTGAGATTCGGCTTCACTTGGTCCTGGGTGTGACCTGGGCATTGATTTTTTTTTTTTTAAGTTCTTCAGATGATTCTAATACACAGCTAAGATTAAGAATCACTGAGGTAGCTGGAAGACTACAAAGGGAGCGGGGAATTGAAACTGAACACACTGAAGGAAGCCAAAGTATTAGGTTGAGTCACATGAAGTTGACCACATATTGTAGGTCAAATCAGTCAAATATTGCCAATTTAACCTACCAGATGTTCTCAACTCCCAAACAGAAGCAGTCATGGTGTGTAGCCAACAAAAGGACCTAGGTAATAGAAAAATCACGGCTGGGTGCGGTGGCTCACGCCTGTAATACCAGCACTTTGGGAGGCCGAGGCAGGTGGATTACCTGAGATCAGGAGTTCAAGACCAGCCTGACCAACATGGAGAAACCCCATCTCTACAAACATCCAAAATTAGCTGGGCATGGTGGAGCATGCCTGTAATCCCAGCTACTCAGGGGGCTGAGGCAGGAATCGCTTGAACCCAGGAGGTGGAGGTTGCGGTAAGCCAAGATCGCGCCATTGCACTCCAGCCTGGGCAACAAGAGCAAAACTCCATCTCAAAAAAAAAAAAAAAAAAGAAGGAAAAGAAAAATCATAAGCTCAGTTACACTGTTTAACTGAAGCAGAATCCATTATCTTCACCACTAATACTGCCATTGTGATTTTTGATTACTTTTCTTCTAGGGCTGGGGTCACAAACTTTTTTTCTGTAAAGGGCCAGATAGTAAATATTTCAGGTTTTGGAGGTCACATGGTCTCTGTTGCAACTATTTCACTCCACCATTGCAGCAGAAAACTAACCATAGATAATATGGGAAATAAAAGGGTGTGGCTGTGTTCCAATAAAACTGCATTTATTAAAACAGGAAGTGGGCCAGATTTGGCCAGGAGCTATAATTTGTCCACCTCTGTTCAACAGTATTGGTTTTTCCGTAAGAATGTTAGAAAGTAGGTGTAAGTTGTTTTAGACTTTTGCATGATGAAACGGCTGGCTTGTGATATGAACTAGCTGTAAGACATACAGAAAGCTTCCCGATGTTGCACAGCCTTTAAGTGACACAACTGAGTATTGTTGGGTTCCTTCGACTCCCATTTAAGCAGAAATTTTAAGGCTTGGGGATAGAGATGGGAGGAGACCCAAAGTGTGGAAATGCCTCCCTTCCTTTACGTGGTGTTTAGCAAATGTTATCATCAAAGGCATTACCTTCATGAGCAATACACACTTCAAACAAACCCTCTAAAATCACTGTAGTTTTGTTACCGGTAGAGGGTGTCCAGGTTCTTGGTGTCTTGGACAAAGAATTGGACAAAATGTGCAAATAAAGCAAGGAAAGAATGAAGCAACACAGGCAGAGATTTATTGAAAATGAAAGCATACTCCACAGGGTGGGAGCAGACCTGAGCAAGTGGCTCAGGAGCCCAGTTACACAATTTTCTGGGACTTAAATACCCTCTAGAGGTTTCCCATTGCTTACTTGGTGTACACCCTATGTAAATGAAGTGGTGGCCCATGATCAGTCTGATTGCTTGTGGGAGGGGATAAAATAGAGTATATACAAAGTTATACTCCTATGCAAATGAAGACTTGACCCATGACCAACCTGATTGGTTGCAGAAGGGGACCAATCAGAGGTACTTTCAATATTTCATCTGCCATGCGGAAAAAGTTGGGGGGTTGTAAAGGGAGTAGCCTCTGGTCCTTTTGATAGTTGGGCATGGCAAGTTGGGGGTTTTCCTTTTGATTTAGTTCTAGGAATTAATTGTGAATCAGCCCTAGGTTCCCTGCCTCTAGACCCTATTCTCCTGCCTCAGTTTCCCATATTTTCATGACTTCATTTACTCAGAGATAATTAGAGTTGGAGGGAATCTATGGCTGAGCTGATCCCAAATAATTTATAGCTGAGCAAGCAGAGACCCACAGAGATGAAGTGGTTGACCATAGTAACACATGTAGGGTGGAGGTGAGACCACTCACAGATGCTCAACCACATTCATACGTGGATTGTCTGAATATTTACTGAGCACTTATGTCATGTTGGGCATTGGGTTAGACACTAAAGAAAAAAGGGAGTTTCCACCCTGAAAAAGTTCAGACATGCATTAACCCATGAGCCACAGTTAAGCATGTGGCTCTGAGTGTCTGGAGACAGTGGACAAAGTTTTTGGGGAGCAGAACACCTGCTGGTTTCATTACTGATGAAAGTTAGCTGAGATCTCACCACTGCACACTCCAGCCTGGGTGACAGAGTGAGACTTTGTCTCAGAAGAAAAAAAAAAAAAAAAAGAAACCTAAGGGGTCCTTTCTGAAATTTCTGCTGGTTAATTTCCAAGCTTTTCCTTTATTTTATGGTATCATCAATTATAAGACTCTATGGGTTTAATAAGTTTACAACAAAAGAAAAATCAGACCATGTTAAAGACACAATCTGATGTCAGAAATGGTAAAAGATGAAAAAGAATATGTTAAAGAAATATGGTTATTAAAAAAGCAAATTTGAAACAAGCCTGTTTCTTAATACATCTGTGACTATCCAAGAAAATATTACTCTGCCAGTAACTTTATATATGTTATATATTGTTTATATGTAAACATATATGCTGTATATGTAATACATATTTAATTGTTTTGAATTCTGTGTTGCTTGCAGAGGAGGTGCTCAGTAAATATTTGTTGAATAAATAAATGAGTTACAGGCTCTTGACAAATAATCTCTTACCTGTTGTTCTCTTTAACTTGTATATTTATGCCCCTTATTTGCTGACTCATTGTCATTTAGTGAAATTTCATGATGGAGTGGCATTCATTCGTATTTTCAATCACCGTATTTAACCAGAATACGTGCTCCTAATGTCTTTCATTTCGGAATATTTGAAATGGGGAAGGAAATAAATTTGGGATGTTCAAAGTAAGGCCAAACTGGCGAGTACCCTAACCAATCACCACTTTCCAGAAGGCTTCAGGTCATACACTGAACACTGCGCGCCTTGACTCGGAAACTGGGCAAGGAAGGGAAGGGAGTTGTCTGTCCATTGTTAGCTATTTAGGACCATTAAAGAATAGGTGGATGGATTTGTATTCTTTAGAAAAGTGACCGAATGGAAACAAATCCTGACTCTGCCTAACATCTGCCCCCAAACACAGGCGAAGGGTGATTTGTTAACTTATAAGTTCATTTCAGAGGATGTTTTCTAGCAGGAAAACCTCACAATTATATCCTTGGTACTCCAATGTCTCTGGCCTACTAAAGCTTTCTTTCAATTTTGTCTTTGATCTGAGGTTCTCCCTGGGCTTTGTAACTATATACAGGATTAAATACTTACCCCATTTAAATAGAAATCCCAAAGCACAGAGGAGTAAAGTGATTTGAAACAAGGGTTTTTGGCATGTTGATTAGAGACTGGTTTAGAACCAAGGATTTCTGAATGAAAATGTGTGTGTGTGTGTGTGTGTGTGTGTGTGTGTGTGTGTTTGGTCTTGTTTTGTTTATGCGCTTAACTTCGTGAGATATAAATTCCCTTATGACAGATCATATGCAATTGAACCATATTTCTAAAGAGGTTTAGATATATACAAAATTATGCTTCCCCATATATTATAAAAATCAAACAAAAGATGGATCAGCGGCCGAGGTTAGCCATTATTAGTACCAACATCTGGAACATAATAATTCCCTGGATTTAAGAAAATCTACTTATAGTTAGGGTCTTAATATTTTTCTAATACTCTATAGACAAATGGGCATTTTAATTAAAAATTATGGGCCCCAAAGGAATTGAAAGCTATTGGGGAGTGTTTAGACAGAAAACACAGGGTTGGGGGAGTAAGGCAGGGTGTTTTGGTGTGGTCCTCTCAGACCACCTGCATTAGAATCAGCTGCAAGCTTGTTAAACCTTCCCAGGTCTACACCTGACTCATAAATCAGAATCCGAGGGTGACGTCAAGAATCTCCATTTTAAACAAATTTCCAATGTGTTTCTGAGGATCATTGACTCTACAAATGCATTCTAGATTAAAGAGTAAAAGAAAATATAAAATTAAGCTAAGAACACCTTCAAGAACAAATATTGGCAGAATTTCTTAATGACCAAAATATCAAAATATAATCAGATTATTCCATACGAAAAATTCAGTAGAAGATTTGGCTTTTGAAAATGATGAGGAAACTTTTAGAGAAATTATTTGTTGATAATATTCTGCTCTTAAAAAAGAAAAGAGTTTTAAGTAATCAGTTCTTCCTGAACTAATTACTTTATGGACTATAAAACGTGAAAACAGCCCTTATGAACTTCGGATCAAAAGATATGTTTTCAATAAGATTTTTCTGGGATTAAAGCACATTCTTTTGAAATTAAGAAGCAGTAGGAAGTGCACTATGTACAATCCAATTAACTGAGTATAAGATTCAGGCCCTGCCAGCATTTGGCCCTGCTAACCTAAGGTTTAATTTTATACTGTCTATGAAAAAGGGATTTGAACAAAATTATTTATATGAATCAGCTATAAATAAGTAATTTTATATCACTGCAGAAACCATTCCATAACTCCCCATATCTCTACGGACAAAGTTCAAGCTCTATTTACACCGCTTTTCTCTCCGGCCTCGTATCTTTTTTTTTCCTCCAGGTTTCTCTTTCAGTTTCTCAAAACTCACCTCTCAGACATCACCTTTCTTCTTCTTTTCTCTCTCCCTCTTTCTTCTTCCCTAGCATATTGAGAGCACTTCATAAATATTGTGTCATTACTAACAAGATTATTACAGGTAATAGAAAAAGCAGACACATTTAAGATACATTTTGCAGATAGAATATTCAGGTCTTTCTGAGCATTTGAGTGTAAGGAGGGTAATAAGGTAAAGAGAGAAACCAAGGATGACAAATTTTTGGCTTGAGAAATGAAGAAATTAAGATACAAGGGCCAATTACTGCTAATGAGAAAAAAGCATTTAAATGATTATGAGTTCTGTTTTGTTCATACTTAATCTAAGATGCTTATATGGGGAAGATGTTAACATGGAATAGGCTGCAGGAGTCTAGAATTTCAGAGTGGGCTCAGGGGTGAAGAGATGGTATTTAAAGCCACAGCACTGATGAAATCCTTTAGGAAGAATGATGGAGAGAGAAGGAGGAAAGGGCCACTTGAGGCCCAAAGTGAGGAGGAGCAGCAAACAGAGGGAACCAGTGAGAAGCAGGAAAACCAAGAGAGTCATGCCTGAAGCCAAGAGAGAAAAATGGTTAGAGAAAGAGGGGGTGTCAACTCTGTTGACTGCTGCCAATAAGTAAAGTAAAATGAGGCCCAAGAAGTGACTACAGCATTTGGCGAAGTGGAGGTCACTGGTGACATTGAAGAGGCAGGCATGGAGGAGTGGGGGCAATGAAAGTTCATGTGGAGTGGGCAGAGGGGAGGCAACCTGGGGAAGTGGGGACCTGCCATACAGAATTCCCTTAAGCAGTTTTGCTGAGGAGCAGATAAATGGGGTGGTATGATGGGGTATATAAGGGGATATTGTCCACTTGAGTCCAAGAGTTTGAGACCAGCCTGGGCAACATGGTGAAACCTTGTCTCTACAGAAAGTACGAAAATTAGTGGGGCTTGGGGGCACGTGCCTGTAGTCCCAGCTACTTGGGAAGCTGAGGTAGGAGGATCACATGAGCCCAGGAGGCTGAGGCTGCAGTGAACCCTGATTGTGCCAATACTGATTAGCCTGGTATGACAGAGCATGACTCTGTCCCCACTCCCCCAAAAAAAAAGAAAAAAGAAAAGAAAAAAAATTAAACTATACTGATGAGGGAACATTGTCTTTCCTGCTGGAAGTTGTAGACCATGTTAATGTGAGGGAATAATTGGGAGAGAGGAAGACAATGATGATGTCGGGGAGAGAGAGAGTATTCACAAGATGAAACCCCTGAGGATACAGAGGAATGGCTTGCAGAGGCCAGATGGATGGGCCAGTCCATGACTGCAGCTGGGCATGCTCACCCATGCTAACAAGAGACAGAGTAGGCATGCAGGTGTGGCTCTTGACGGCTTCTCTTTTCTCATTCGTGTATGAGTCAAAGTTATCTGCGGGGACTGGGTAGAAACGGGATGGAGAGTTTGAGAGAAAGGGGTGTGAAACTGTTGTTTGGAGCATGGGGAAAAAATTTACTAACTAGATATACTCAGGTAGTAGAACTGCCTGAATGTCCAAATACAATATATCATCATGAATTTAAAGATAACTTGTTATATTTGGGTGTTTTTATTCAGCAAGTTTAAGATGTCACATCTTACTCTACTGTCCTTTCCAACTTTTGCCTGACTTTATCTGTCAGTCCTGCCTAGGTGTCAGTTCTGTAGGAAACCTGTCTTCTTCCTCCACGTCTTGATCTGGTGCTCTACGTGGTCTCCGTTATCCCTATTCTGATTATATTGTAGTAACCTTTACTCATCTGTATCTCCCATCTGAACATAAGCTCACAGAGGGCAGGGACTTTGATCTATGTTGTTCTGAGCTCTAACCCCAACTTCTGACACAGCACCTGGCACAAAATAGAGCCTCGACATGTACTAGTTGAATTAAAGAAATATAGTGTAAAGACAAATATCAAACCACCTCTTTCATTTCCATATTAGCATCAAGATTACTTTCTTTTCTTTCTTTTTTTTGAGATGGAGCATTCCTCTGTCGCCCATGCTGGAGTGCAGTGGTGCAATCTTAGCTCACTGCAACCTCCGCCTCACAGGTTCAAGTGATTCTTGTTCCTCATCCTCCCAAGTAGCTGGGATTACAGGCACGCACCATCACACCCCACTAATTTTTGTACTTTTAATGGAGATGGGGTTTTGCCATGTTGGCCAGCCAGGCTGGTCTCGAACTCCCGACCTCAGGTGATCCACCTGCCTCAGCCTCCCAAAGTGCTGAGATTACAGGCATGAGCCACCGCACCTGGCCAAGATTATTTTCACTGAATATTAATTTTAAAAAATTATTAACTGTTTATTACCAGAACACTAACAAGTTCCATAAGATTTATAGTTTAGCTTCCTTTTGCTATAGGGAGCAAAGTTACTAGGTATAATTGTATATAAGTAAACTTTACTTTTGAAATTTATTTATTTTCAGAGATGGGGTCTCTCTGTGTTGTCCAGGCTGGTCTCAAACTCCTGGGCTCAAGGGATCCTCCCACCTCAGCCTCCCAAGTCGCTAAACTTTACTTTTACAAAGAGATTTGTATTTTAGCTGACTTCCTTTCCTCAAGGATGAGGACTTGGTGACTAAGGAAGAATTGATTTTTATAATAGTAATGGTTCAAAGGAGAAAAATAAGCCCCAAAGTTGTAAGTATTTTAAGTGGAGTGTAATAGACCTGCACATCACATTTTTTTTGGATTAGAAAGCAGCAAGCTTAAGGAAAAATATGCCCTCTACTTCCCACATATATATTTGTACAAGGAGAAACATATTAACTAAAATATGTTAGAATGATTAGTAATATTTTGAGAAGATATAATTGAGTTTTAAAGTAAGTTTTTAACATAGAATAGTTTTAACACACAATTGGGGACATGGGTCTCGGAGGTATTCACTTTCCCATCGCTGGGTAACAGACATTTTTCTCTAATTGATCATAAGTCATCATGGTGACTTATCTAATCAACAGGCACGGCAACATTTTACAGAGATGCAAGAATGTATTTACTTGCAGAATCTTCACAATAACAACCTTGACTTGAAATGCATTTTTATCTCCAGTATAATTAAAATATAAGTAAAATAAAGCTTTGAGAGATTAAGTAAAACATACAAAGTCACACAGCTGGTAAAGGGTAGGGTCTGAATTCAAATCAAGATTGGTGGCCAGGTGCGGTGGCTCACACCTGTAATCCCAGCACTTTGGGAGGCTGAGGTGGGAGGACTGGTTGAACCCAGGAATTTGAGACCAGTCTGGGCAAGATGGCAAGACACCACCTATATTTAAAAAGAAAAAAAAAGATTGGTCTGGCTTCAAAACTGATTTTCTTTCAATAAAGCAAGACAGTGAGCCCCTTATGGGAAGCCCTGATGATATCTAATGTCCCTTTCAGTTCTAATATTGTATAATTTCTAAAGAAAGAAGGAAGTTTATCCCTGGGCATCTCTCTTATCTTGAATTTTCAGTCCCATCTAGAGGTCGGGGACACATCAGTCTTCTCAGTGTCTCTCCTGTTCTCTGGATGGACATACGCAGAAGCAACTTCACACACAGTAACTCACAAGGGCAGCCTTTCATTTAAGTAGTATATAATACTGTTTTCACTTGTACTACCTGAATTCCTGCTGTAGAGAGCAGGATGATTTTCAAAATTGATCAGAACAATCAACGTTTTGGAGATGCTTGTGAACTGGGTGTGCTGTGTGAGTATTTGACCATAACAGCTAAATTTACACTCCTTTTCATGAAGTTAGGTTTTTAGTCTCTAGTTATTGGGTTACAAGCGTGTTGGAAATATAAATATCTATTTCAGTTCTGTAAGATGTTGAGTTCACTCTTGTCATTAATAATTAAGTGACCTCTCAATATAACTGTGTAATTGGCAGTGCACATTATCAGCAAGATGGGCATTCAACACACTACACAGCAAGCATCACTGGACTGTGGAAAGTGTACATAATAACAAACATTTGTATAGTGCATTACTTAATAAAAGTTTCACTGTGGGAAAGAACTCATTGCCCAGATAAGGAAAAAAGGCTCAGAGATGTGAGTGACTTGTCTAAGTTCAAACTGCTAGTAAGTGGCAGAGTCAGCGCTTGGAAAAATACTCGGAGAGGGCATGAATATAAAGAGCTTCCCAACACTGGGAAGACGTGTCACGTCATCTATCAGCAGGACAGTAAAAGTCCACCAAATTGACTCAAAAACTAGTAATTAGGCGTAACAAATCCTTGGCTCTATGAACACCAAGTGTATCATGCCCATGAGAATTCAGAATTGGAACAGAGTGAGTAAAGGAAATTTAAAGGAATTTATGTTAAAAGGGATATTACAGCATAGTGAAGAGAACACTAAGCTGAAGATGGAGCCAGTAGAGATTCATCTGTGAAATGGGGCTATTTTGAACAAACGACTCCGCATACCCTTGAAGGCTCACAGGCCGGCTCCCATATGGGAGCTCCCTTGTCCTCCAGCTTCTGGTTGGTTCTGCCAGTGAGGACCCCTAGGCAGAGATAGGAGAAATGGGGAAACAAAGTTAGGGTTTACCCTTGGCTCCCTCCCTGTGAGGTCTCCTTCGATGGCAGTGGTCTCATCAAAGGCTAGTGCTCCTCTCAAGGGCTCCTGCTTTCCTGACTGTCCCCCTCCAGGCGGCCTTCCAGGTGCCTTCAGGCCTGCACCCTGTTGCTCTCCTAGCCCCTGCCCACATCTGTGGTATCAGTACATTTGTGAACGAATTCCCCTTACAGCATCCGCACTCAAATGCCGCTAGACCCTGACTGATGCATTCTGGAAGATTCCTCCCCATTGTCCATGTGATTGTTTGTGAACTATTTAACTCAGTTTGCTTGTTCTTTCTTTTCCATTGTAATGATTCCTGGCTTCTTCACACGAAGTGCATATGGTGTGCAATTATTAGAGGAAAGTGCCTTGAGTCTGCTCCATTTTCTTTAAAGTGTAACTGTTGTCCATAGTGACAAATAAGAGAGAAAACAAAAGTAGGTAAAATAAGGGCACATCTTTATTTTGCTACAAGGCAGTAAGTACACCGTCATATCTCAAAAGTTCAGTGCTGGCCATCTTGCATCAAATGTTCTTAAGGCAGTGACTGGCTATCAACCACAGTTTCTGTCTCCCCAGTTGCAAACACAGGATCCATGCAACAGTTCTGAGACCATACACTTAGAAACCACAGGGGATGCGGATCAAATGCAGAACTCCCAAATTATAAAACAGTCAGGCTACACTCAAAACAAAACATAGAACATCAACAACACACATCTCCCAAAAAAGAAGTGCAACGCATGCTTGTATAAACCAACAATAACAAAAAAACCACAATAAAAAATGCAGAGTCTCCCAAACAAGTTTTCAAATGTATTGCAGAAGGAAAAAAAATGTATATATATATAAAATTAAAAAGTCTGAAATACTAGTGCATAGTCAATTACCTAACACCAAGTTTCTTTTCTTTCTGTCCAAGCTCTACTGCCCCTCTGATACTAGCAGCATGTCTACAGGCTAAGACCATAGCAGCAAAAAACGTTTTTCATTTGGCATTTACAAAATTAAATTACTGAATAAAAATATAATTTTTTATAAAACTATTTCTTACAGTAATAATTTTTAAAGCAAGCTAACAGAAAACTCATAAAATGGTTTGGTACAATAAATGTACCTTCAATGTCATTAACCATAAATGAGCATTTACAATCTGGATTAAATGTCACATGGTATTAAGTCTACACTTAGAGTAATGCTTTTACTGATTTTTAAAAATATATGCATATGTTTAGTGATCGAGAAAAGTGAAATACTGGAGTACCTTTTAATGTGTCAAATTTCAAAAAACCCATCACAGGAAAAAATACTGATCTGTTGGATCCTTTAAAATACAGATAAATCATTTTATGTTTTTTTTAAAAAAATCTGCATTAAGATATTAACAACTGGCTACAATTCATTACCTAATAATTTAGGTAAGACTGTTATTTATTTTTAAAAATCCTTTTAGTTGGGTGAAATCCAAGAAGACTTCATTCAACTAAATGCACTTGGTGCTGCTCTCAACTGTTGTACCACAACAAAAATAGGTTCTTCTCCCATTCATGAAAAGTTTCATGTTGAGGAATGATATATCCCAAGTCAACTTGAAGTGTTCTGAAAACCATAATGCTTTTCTGGAAATGTCTCACATGACCAGCGTCCGGGCTGAGAATGCATTCACGTATTTACGAGCTTGACTGGAAGATGTCATCTGCTCCTCCATCTTTCCACAGGATGCAGGTTCCCAGGTACTGCTACAAGGCTGATGGAGAAAGGGATGGCAACAGGAGCGTCAGACAAAGAAGCTCATTCTATAGACCCAGCAGGGCCAGCACTGACCAACAGATGGCAAGTGGTTGACACCAGGAAGGCTTTGTCAGATAGAATCTTACCTCCCTGGCCCCCAGAAATCCGGTGTTCTTAAGGGATATGGATGATCAGAAATTATTTGTTAAGAGGGAAAACCCATTCCAAGCAGCTTCATAAGATATAATCCCATCTTCATATTTTAATGCCTTCCGTCTATTAGGCAATTTTACAAAGCTGGAGACAGGAATGAGCATTATTCTCCAGATACCTAAAGTGAGCTATGGCCATCTACTCACTAAGCAAACTGCTGAGTGCTGTAGCCACAGTGCAAAGCAGCTCATGCACGCACTGGAATTGATCAACACCTGCTAAGTGTCATATATATGTTTTCATCAATTACTTTAGAAATATTTATCAGTATAGTTTAATTTTTTTCCTTTTTTTTTTGAGACAGAGTCATGCTCTGTCATACCAGGCTGATCGGTATTGGTGCAATCACAGCTCACTGTAGCCTCAGCCTCCTGGGCTCAAGTGATCCTCCTACCTCAGCTACCCAAGCAGCTGGGACTACAGGCACGTGCCACCAAGCCCCACTAATTTTTGTATTTTCTGTAGAGACAGGGTTTCACCATGTTGCCCAGGTTGGTCTTGAACTCCTGGACTCAAGTGATCTGCCGGTCTTGGCCTCCCAAAGTGCTGAGATTACAGGCATGAAGCCAGTATAGTTTAATTTTTAAAGATACACTAGAAGATACAAGATGGACCTAATATCTAAGGACAGCATCTCCATGCCAGGGACAGTGGCACTTCACATTTCACATGCATTATTTCATTAAAACAGCACCATCACCTCGGGAGGCAGGTTCATTCTCTCTCTAGACAGGCTCGAGAATGGAGACAGAAAATGGAGGTAACTTGCCCAAGGCCACTCTGTAGGTAAGTGGTGGACTGGCTTTGAACTTTGCTGTCTCCAGCTCCTGCGATGCCTCTGTGTTGCCTCAAATGCAAACATGTACTATTTATGCCCCACTTGGTTTCCAAAAGGACGTAAGATGATTAGAAAAGAAATACAAGACAACAGAGTTTAAAAATGTGTATAAAGAAGAGTCATAACAGGGAAACAAATTTGGAAAAAATAAACACAGTTGGCCCTCTGCATCTGTGGGTCCCATATCTGTGGGTTCCACATCCATAGATTCAATCAATGGCAGATCAAAAATATTCAGAAAAAAATAATTGCTGTGTATTGAACATGTATAGGTGTTTTCCTTGTCATTATCCCCTAACAATATAACAACTATTTCCATAGCATTTACATTGTATTAGCTATTATAAGTAATCTAGAGATGACTTAAAGTATACAGGAATGAACGGGTACAATGTACATTATTCCAACGATAAATACACTCACAGCCTCGACTTTGACCACTATGCAATACATCCATGTAACAAAATTACACTTGTACCCCACGAATGTATACAAATAATAAAAAAAATTATATGGTAAGATGTGTGTAGATTATATGCAAACACAATGCTATTTTATATCAGGGACTTGAGCATCCCTGGACTTTGGTGTCCTTGCGGGTTCTGAAACAAATCCCCCATGGACACTAAGGAACAACTGTAACATGAAGATGGTATGAGATTTGCACACGAAACACCAGCATAAAGCACAGTGCCCCAGCTAGATGTAACCTCCTGCTTGACTCTGATCTCTCTAGCAGTCAATGCAGAGAGGGGAACAGAAACAAACAGATATAAGATTTGGTGGCTGTAAGCTCAAAAGGAAACCAGTGGGTTAGAAAAGGCACTATTCCTGGTATTGCTATCTGGAGGGATTATTTTCCATGGGACAAAAGAATAAGAAAGGCCTTAGCTGTTCAGAGCCTACAGTGTCCTTTATGAGACAGAATGGACACAGGTGAAACAGGAGGAATAATAACAGGCCGTGTGCGCAGGTTTGTGGTGTTGTCCATGGGAAGAGGGGATGGGACACTGAGGAACTGTCAAGGCAATGCTGTGGGGAAAGGGTGAAAACAGCTAAGATTAGGGGAGAGAGAGGTGGAAACGCAGGGATGTCATCCAGGGAGCGAGATAGCAGGAAAGAGGCAGGAAGCTGCAATTTGTACATTGCCAGTGGGAGGGGATGTGGAGTGGGGGAGGGCTGAGAAAGAAAGGGTTAAACGACAACATAAAACAAGCCCTCACTATAGGCACCGCATGCCTCTAAGTGTTATTGATATAACTCCTCTCATTTAATTCTCACACAAAACACCTGTGGCATAGCTACCATTCACTGCATCCATTTTACAGACCAGGCAATTTGAAAGGAAGAGAGGATTTAGGCGCCATACTCAAGGTTACCTGGGTAAGAAATGATGGAGCAAGAATGTCACCCATGGGACCACACCCCTGGTGAGTACCAGACGCTGCCTCTAATTCGAGTTCTTATCAGAAACAATAAAAGGAACCTGGGAAGTTGTGTGCTCAGGGCACCAGGGCCTTGGAATCCAGGAAAGTGCTGAGATGGGGTGTGAGAGTCACCAGACTTCTTAGCAAAGAAACATAATTCTACTAAAACAAGGTATGGGTACAGTGGTAGGGTTTCCTTGCCTAGTTGCTGCAACAAAGTTTCCTGACATAGGGTTTGCAGTGTAATGTTCTAGCTTTTAAACTTTCCTAGGGCACAAAGCTTGTGCCATCTCCCCACTGATGTCAACAGCACTGTCTATGAATAGAAATGTTCACTCTGCAAGCTCAGAGGCTCAACATATAACTTGAAATACTACATAGCAAGATGGATTATCATAATATTTTCCAGGAACTGAGTATCTCAAAAATGACAAGACAAAGATAACAGACAGGTATTCTGAATTGCCTTCTATTCCGAATTTAATGTTTTCCTAAACAAAATTACCAGGTTAGTTACAGTATTTGAAATAGTTCTGAATAAATCATGTTTCTCTAGCCTCAAGCATGCAGGTGAAATACGCATATCTCTCTGGTGTCTATCTGTCCATACAAATTCCCGAAACATGAAATTGACACAGGAAACCAATTAAAAAACAAAATTTAATGTTATCTTTTCAGTTACTGAGCTTGCATTTGTAGTCGCTACAACAGTGTGACATTTAATAGTGACTACTTGAGGGTGAATAGTTCAATATGGTGAATATGAAGTACGATGCAGGGCTTATGGCAAGGATTAGATGCACATGGAGCCAAGGACTTGGATCTTAAAGAACAAGTGACAAAACAGGAAGCAGAATGAAATATCTTAATATCATAATATCTTGTAGGTAAATTTAAATTTACATAAAGACACACATAGAAAAGAAAAATACTTGAAACAAATGGAGGGGAAGGGGAATGAAGGTGAGAATGGAGATGTGAGAACCAGGAAAGAAAGGATTGCTTCTGTTTTACTCTAGCTAAGAATTTTTCCAAAGTCTTTAAAATGGCCTATTAGAATTTTTTTTTTTCTATTTAGCTGGGCTTCAATCAATATAGAATTTTCTTGTCCATTTTTCTTTTTTTTAGATATAGGGCCTCATTCTGTTGCCCAGGCTGGAGTGCAGGGGCGTGATCACAGCTCCCTCAAACTCCTGGCCTCAAGCAAGCCTCCCGCCTCAGCCTCCTGAGTAGCTGGGACTACAGGAGTGTGTCACCATGCCCAGCTATGTTTTTTAAAAAAAATTTTTTGTAGAGAGCGGGGGTCTCGCTATGTTGCCTAGGCTGGTCTCAAACTCCTGGCCTCAGGTGATCTTCCTGCCTTGGCCTCTCATAGGGTTAGGATTAAGGATAAGCTACTACAACCAGCCAGAATTAATTTTCTAAATGCGTAAATTATCTTAAATGCTATGTTAAAACAATCTTATGCTTGCTATTACTATGCCTCCTGTTAAAAGTCAAGTTCTGTGTCTTTTTTGTTTTCGTTTTTGAGAGAGGGTCTTGCTCCTTGCCCAGGCTGGCATGATCACAGCTCACTGCAGCCTCCATATCCGGGGTTAAAGTTGATTCTCCAACCTCAGCCTCCTCAGTAGCTCAGACTACAGGCAGGTGCTACACTACACCTGGCTAATTTTTGTATTTTTGGTAGAGACAGGGTCTCGCTGTGTTGCACAGGCTAGTCTCAACCTCCTGGACTGAAGTGATCCACTTGCCTTGGCTTCCTAAAGTGCTGGGATTACAGGCATGAGCCACTACACCTGGCCTAAAAGTCAAGGTCTGATCCTTTGTAATATAGTCCTTAGGTTGACTCAGAATTCCCAAAGTCGATTCAGGAGAATCTAGTACTAAGTATTATCAACTGAATCTATTTTCAACTTGAAATCTGACTGTGTTCCTGTGAGATCCCCTACACAGCTCATCACTGTATTCATATTTAGCTCTTCCTCCAGGACTAGGTATTTAAAAATGAGATCAATATAAAGAAGGTACCATATATTTGTAATTAGAGTTCTGAGAGACCTTTCCAAATAGTTAGCTTCTCCTAAGTCAAAAGAGAATTTACCAAGAAACAAATAAAAATGAAATATCCAAATTCCAGAAAGCATAGCATTTCTGAGTCATATATCCCCTGAAGCTCAGAGCTAGGGCAGCCAAGATGACTTGGAACGCCTGATTCTCCCAGTATAGACAAACACCAGGATGTGGTAGCCACCATGTACGAGAACCACTGTGTGTAGGAACAAAAAGGCCACCAAGCATGAGCGAGGCAGCTCCTTTTCTGCACCAGGAAAGCACAAGACAAGCACATCTTACCACAATAAATGAAACAAACTGGTCAGAGTAGACATATGCCTATGTCGTGAAAGTCAAGGAAGATCAGAAGATTGAGTACTTTGGTACAAAAAAAAAGAAACGCTCCCTTTCTCCCATCTTACCTGAAGCCTGGGAGCCCCATGCCAACTTTTCATGCAGAAAGAATTATTTTGACAAAGGAAGATTAATGTCTTTGTGCTGGAAGAACATTTTTAAATACTGTCATACATATCTTTGCAAATTCTCCTTGTTCTCTCTCCCTAAACTTTAGTTTCATTTACCCTAAAGAACTGCTGAGAATTATGGGTTTCTGCATATGAATTCTTGTTAAGTTACTAACCCATGGTGCTCTTGCAGACATGTCACTCTATCATAATTCATTTCAACATTAATAATCCTACCCACACATCCTCCTCCTGTGGCCGGGGAGTCATCTCGCTTATCCTGTAATGTGCCTTTAATTGCCCCTGGGCAGAAGTGAACTATAAACAGTCTGTCAAAGCTTTAACTGGGATATCCTGTTAAAGCACTTTAAATAAATATTGCCATCTTTTGTAGAAAACAGAAGAAATAAAAAGAAACAAGACCATGTCCACAGGTGGTTTTCTGTCAGAATTAGATGATCTTCACATTTTCATTTAGAACATGAATAGTTTTTTCATCAAGCTGAACAAAAACGGTTCTTATTATTATATTCATACAGCAACTTCACCCAGTATCTGCTGGCTTCAAAAGCCTTGGCAAATTATGTGTTTTACAATTTGCTGACCTAATAAGAAACTTGTATAAACTAAAAAAAAAAAAAAAAAAAAAAAAAAAAAAAAAGTAAAACCAAAGCAACTCATCAGATGGTATCATGTTTTTATTGTGTTTTGTTTTAAAATAAGCAGGCATCAATGGTATATAAAACAGTAAAAAATAAGAATTTTCTGCTTATTCTATTTCACCTATCTGAAAAAAAAATACTTCCTCTGGACTAAAATTCTAAAAATGAGAATTCCTTCCCAAAGGGACATCTTTTGAAAAAATGGATCAGTTATAAGAGAGACTGTAGAAATCTTTAGTTGTCTTTGGAAAGTCAGAGATAAGCTTAAACTGAAATGTTGCTAAGGTAAGATTAATGGTTACCAAACTTTTCTCGAGAGTAAATGCTTCCCTAGGTTGGCACAAATCAATTAAATGACTCCAACTTCAGCACTACTGATTTTCTATAGAAAATAATCTTAAAAGTTAGGGAAATAAAAATCGAGATGGTGATTGGAAGTTGCCTCATCCACCAATGACTCCACTTCCCAAGCCTAACTAACAATTGCAAATGTGGATGGACCTTTCCCAAATTTGGAGTTTGTCCCCGATGTCTCTAGAGGTCTCTTCACCTTTCACGTTGATAGACTTTCTAAGTTTATATCATATAGCCTAGGGTGGCACAACTTTTTGCAATATCCTTTTCCTTAGTCACATATGAGTTCCAAACTATTAAGATTAAGACCAAGTGCCAAATTGCTCTAAAGCAATTCTATCTTTGCTGGCCTGCCCAAGGAAGATTTTTATCTCAGAATGTTTATTCTCTCTAAGTGTCACCAAACAAAACAAATGAAAAATTCACATCTCAAAATGTCTGGGGCAGGGCATTCTGACTCTGAGCTCAACATAGCTTCTCCCTTCACTTAGCCCTTCTCAGTTCAACCCAAAAGCTATACACAGAAAAGCTGCTTAATTTATAACATTTTTTGAAAGCAGGTCACTGAATTACTACTGACAGCCACGTGAATTTCTGCCAGGGTAAGTGGAAAAAAGTGACCAAAAGGGAGAACCAAATGAGTGTGCAGGCATCCAGGGGAGCGGGTCAGCACAGCACACTAGATGAAAAAGGCTCGGAAAGATCTCTGTCGTGTGCAGACGGTTTCCATGTCTGTTTAAATGACAACACGAACAGCAGAAAAATAGAGAAAACCAGTAAATCAGTTGCTTCATCTCCATCATACCGCGAGGTCTGACTACCTTTATTTCAAGGAATCAGTTGAATCAGCTCTCTCTTTTGGTGACCCACTGACACAGTTCTGTAAGAGTGGGACAGGGAATAGCATGCCAGAGGAAATAATATACCACAATGAAAAAAACAAACAAAAACCCGAAAAACAAAAAACCACCCTGGCCTTTGGTGAGGGCTCCTTGCCTGCATTTCAAGGACAGGGACTATGTGGCGACTCTGCCTAATAATATCACCTGTGTATAGTGGCAAGTGTGCCGCCATCTTGAAAGCAATATTATATCCATTTGATCTTCACAGTAACCTGTGTGATGAGTGAAGGATATTCCATGGTCCCAAACTTATACTTTGCTTAATTGTGTTCACTTGATGAATTAAAGTCATGCCGTTTGAAAACAGTGGAGTCTAGCCTGGAACCCAGGTTCTGTTGCCCCCATGCTTGTTTATTATACTGCTCAGCAGTGCCTATCAGGCAAAAAGGGCTTGCCTTATTTTTTTGAAAAATATAAAAGTTCATAGACAAATAACAAAATAGGAGCAATCTAAAACACGCTGAACCGAAAGCTGAGGGGAGTATCAACTGCTAGCAACATTTTTAAATTCTTTGATACTGTGTAAATGTGTTTAAATAATAATGGCTGGAGAAATTTCTTTAACTTAAACTCCTTGTTTTAAAAAAGTCAGGCCATGGGCAAGCCAAGTCAGGAAATTAAAATTTAAGGCTGTCATTCTGTGGTTACGAAAAAGAGGCAAGTGAGTGAGTAGAAAGCCTATGAACACATCTTTTACACTTGGGTTTTAAATAGGAATAAAAGGAAATTATAATTTAAGAGAAAAATACAGAAGTTCAGAAGGCTTATAACTTAAAGCACGGTTTTTGATCTACCAATAAAAATGTCTACCTTAAGGAAAGTTGATTAGCATAATGTGCTTTTTTCAAAACAAAGGAAATGGAAAGCACGCTGAGGAAAGCAGGCAACTCTTTTCTCCTTGCTGAGGAGGGAGCTATGCGTCTGCCTCGGTCTCTCTCGGGTAACTACTGAAGGGCAGAATCCAGCAGCATTCCACAGTGCCTTTCATACCACAAATGCACGCTTTCTAGGCTGAATGTTTTCTCTACTTCCTCATTTGTGACCATTTTATAAGCTTCTAGACTCTATCCTCTACCCCACACAATGTGGAGAAAAGGCTGAATACTGACAATGATATGACATGAAAATCTCATATATTCTGAGCCACATGAAAGACACAAATATGAAAAACATCTCAGAACATTTTTATTATAAGAATATCCTGTTTGCTTTTACAATTTAAAATTAAAACAACTGTGAAAATATAAAAGAAACATAACAATTATAAGATTATGTAGCTGTTGCAAATTCCTTTTGGAAAAAGACTAAGTAATTAAAAAAACAAACATAACATGAGTGTACATAATGGCTTATAAAAGCCTCTATTTAAGCACTGTAGATTATAGATTAGGGGATACATGGAGAGCTCTGGATTATTAAAATTCACTGAGTCTTGGCTAGGTGTGGCAGCTCACGCCTGTAATCCTAGCACTTTGGGAGGCTGAGACAGGCAGATCACCTGAGGTTGGGAGTTTGAGCCTGGCCTGGCCAACATGGTGAAACCATGTCTCTACTAAAAATACGAAAATTAGCTGAGTGTGGTGGTGGGTGCCTGTAATCCCAACTACTTGGGAAACTGAGGCAGGAGAATAGCTTGGACCAAGGAGGTGGAGGTTGCAGTAAGCCAAGATTGTACCACTGCACTGCAGCCTGGGTGACAGAGTGAGACTCTGTCTCAAAACAAAACAAAAAAAATTATTTGTATCTCAATGACAAACCACATAACAATGGACAGACTTAGCACCCTGATTTTGGTGTCTATGTACCATTTCTCACTAAGAGGATTCAGAGCACCATGGGGAAATGGCTGATTCCAGTAAGAGAGTAAGGAAATGTGGCTATTAAATTAAAGCAACTTAAATTAATTCAAATTGAAAATTCTGCTCCTCAGCAGCACTTGCCATATTTCAAGTGCTCAAAAGCCACTGGCTATCATAGTGGATAGCAGCATATTAGATATTTCCTTCACATCACTGTAGAAGTTCTATTAGACAGCACTGGACTAGAGAGTAAAAGAGATTTAAGAGGCTTAACCAAATGCAATGTGTGAAATTGTTTCAATTTTGATTCTTTTTTGGATTAATGGGAAAATTTAAATATACCTGAGAATGAGAAGATTAAAGAATTATTGTTAAATATGTAATGATGGTATTAGGTTATATATAAAAATGTCTATTTTTAGAGACACATCTGGAAGTACATGAGAATAAAATGTTATATTAGTTGGAATTTACTTTAAAATACTTCAGGCTGGGCAGGGTGGCTCCTGCCTGTAATCCCAGCACTTTGGGAGGTCAAGGCAGAAGGATTGCTTGAGCCCAGGAGTTTGAGGCCAGGCTGGGCAACACAGGGAGACCCCATCTCTAAAAAAAAAAAAAAAAACTAGCTGGGCATGGTGGCATGTGCCTATAGTCCCAGCTACTCAGGAGGCTGAGGGAGGAGGATTGCTTGAGTCCAGGAGGTAGGCTGCAGTGAGCCATGATCTTGCCACTGCACTCCAGCCTGGGTGACAGAGCAAGGCCTTGTCTCAAAAAAATAAAAAATAAAAAACTGGCCGGGTGCAGTGGCTCATGTCTGTAATCCCAGCACTTTGGTAGGCCAAGGCGGGCCGATCATGAGGTCAGGAGATTGAGACCATCCTGGCTAACACGGTGAAACCCCGTCCCTACTAAAAATACCAAAAATTAGCTAGCATGGTGACAAGCGCCTGTAGTCCCAGCTACTCGAGAGGCTAAGGCAGAAGAATCACTTGAACCCAAGAGGTGGAGGTTGCAGTGAGCCGAGATCATGCCACTGCACTCCAGCCTGGGTGACAGAACAAGACGCTGTCTCAAAAAAAAAAAAAAATTAAAAAAAAAATTAAAAAATAAAAATAAAAACTTCATAAAAAAGAGATGAGGTAGCCCAGGCGTGGTGGCTCACATCTATAATCCCAGCACTTTGGGAGGCCGAGGCAGGTGGATCACTTGAGGTCAGCAGTTCGAGACCAGCCTAGCCAACATGGAGAAACCCTATCTCTACTAAAAATACAAAAATTAGCCAGGCAGATATCTGTAGTCCCAGCTACTCAGGGGACTGAGGCAGGAGAATTGCTTGAACCTGGGAGGCAGAGGTTACAGTGAGCTGAGATTGCGTCACTGCACCCCAGCCTGGGCAACAGAATGAGATTTCATCTCAAAAAAAAAAAAAAAGAGATGAGGTAAATATGGCAAAATGATAACAATTGTTGACTCTAGAACATAGTATATTTTCCATACATCTATGTGTGTACAAAATTTATAATAAAATGTCAAACACATAGCTTCTCGGCATTTCTAATTTTAAAACAGCAAACATAATTTATATATATTGCATGTGCATTTATATGTACGTTAGAAGCAAAACCATAATGGCCCAGTATATGGGCCTCAAAAATAGTAATAATTGCTTGTCTAAAATGTTGTTGCCATAATCAAGCCGGGGTGATTAAAACTGAAATGATAAAACACAGAATTGCGCAGTTCCTATGTTCTTCAATAAACTGTTCTTGAACCTAAGTTATTTAGACAGTTTAGAGGGATAGACAATCAACTGCATTACACCAGTTGCAAACATTTTACATTTTAGAAGTATTCAAATTTTAAAATATTTTGAAACTCCTATTTTGCTGTTTTAATAAAAACATTATGACAAAAATGTCTAGATGGTTTGGCTAAAATCCCACTTAATATTTGATTTATTATAAGTACAAATTACAAAAATTATAGATTATATAAAGTACTCTTAAGTAAAATACATATCATTTAATAAATGTGCAATATGTTCAATAATACCATGTGTGAGAAATATGCCTAATTAGGTCAAATTGGATTATCAATAGAAATATATGAAATAGCACTGTGTTTCAAACAAACAAAATTACCAAATTGCATAAAAAATCTATAGAAATATTATTGAATCAGGATTATATGAAATATAGGTGATGTATGTTTAAATATTTAGAGTCACTTGATGCATTTTCCAATACTTATCACAATAGTCTGAAACATTTTAGAAATCACATATTTCTGTGATATCAGAAGCTAGAACTCCATGACATAAAATGAAGGAGATACTTGGTGTATAACATTCATTCATTTAGTGAATATTTCTTTTTTCCTCCCAATTGGCAAGTATGTAGAACAACATTCACTAAGTATTTCTTAAAATAAATTAGTATCTATTATAGCAGATTAAATTTTTGTTTGTTTGTTTGAGATAGAGTCTCACTCTATTGCCTAGGCTGGAGTTCAATGGCACGATCTGGGCTCACTGCAACTTTCACCTCCTGGGTTCAAGCAATTCTCCTGCCGCAGCCTCCCAAGTAGCTGGGATTACATGTGCGCACCACCACGCCTGGCTATTTTTTGTATTTTTAGTAAAGACAGAGTTTCACCATGTTGGCCAGGTTGGTCTCAAACTCCTGACCTTGTGATCCACCCGCCTCTGCCTCCCAAAGTGCTGGGATTACAGGTGTGAGCCACCACGGCTGGCCTTAAAAAATTTTTTTTAGAGACAAGGTCTTGGTCTTGTCTCCCAGGCTAGAGTGCAGGGGTATAATCATAGCTCACTGTAACCTTGAACTCCTGGGCTTAAGGGATCCTCCTGCCCTAGCCTCCCAAGTAGCTAGGATTACAGGTATGTACCACTACACCCAGCTAATTATTATTATTATTATTATTATTTTTTTTTTTTTTTTTTTTTTGAGATGGAGTCTCGCTCAGTCACCCAGGCCGGAGTGTAGTGGCGCTATCTCAGCTCACTGCAAGCTCCGCCTCCTGGGTTCATGCCATTCTCCTGCCTCAGCCTCCCAAGTAGCTGGGACTACAGGTGCCCGCCACTACGCCCGGCTAATTTTTTTGTATTTTTAGTAGAGACGGGGTTTCACCGTGTTAGCCAGGATGGTCTCGATCTCCTGACCTCGTGATCCGCCCACCTCGGCCTCCAAAAGTGCTGGGATTACAGGCGTGAGCCACCACGCCCAGCCCAGCTAATTATTTTTTAATAGAGACTGAGTCTCACTATGTTGCCCAGGCTGGTCTCAAATTCCTGGTCTCAAGCTATCCTCCAGTCTTGGCTTCCCAAAGTATTGTGATTACAGGCATGAGCCACTGAGCCTGGCTTTATAGCAGATTATTAAAATATATCTGGTCAGTGTAAACCAGTAAACTATATGGTTTAGACAGGAGTATTGACTCTAAAATTAACTTTCAAGTCTCAATTATTCAGTTTGATAGAATTGACAAATATTACCTTCACCATACACAACTTAATCTCAGTGTACAGATGTTAGAATTCATAAAGTGCCAATATGACTCACTGATAGACAGGAGAATACAGATTAATAAAATAGAGCTATAACTTAATTTTGAGTTTCAAAGATAACCAATATTTCCATTAAATAAAATACAAATATACTGATAAAGCTCAATACTGAACTATGGGTTTCAACTTATGTAATGGTAATTGTCCCCAAGTATATTGATGTGTTGGCTTTTTGAAATTTAGAACAGACTTTTTCTGTACTACTACAAATACAAGTTGGCCCCAGACTAGGTTAGAAAATATATGCAAAACTTAATCTAACTTAATTAAAACACGAATAGCAGTAGTTGAATTCTGTTCTCTAGAAACCAAGAGCCAAGTAACTTAGGTGGGAATAATTAAAAAAAAAAAAAAAAGCAAAAGCTTTTCTTCTGGACCTAAGAACAGCTTTCAGGAAAATTTTGAAATGGCTGCCCTTTGCCTTGAAATCTTTGTAACTCCCTTTCTGGGTTCCTCTTATGTCTGGGTGGAGTTCATTCTCTTCCTCATCTCCCAATTATTTGTGATATTCTTTTTTTTGAGATGGAGTCTCATTCTGTCACCCAGGCTGGAGTGCAGTGTCATGATCTCGGCTCACTGCAGCCTCTGCCTCCTGGGTTCAAGCGATCCTCCTGTCTCAGCCTCCCGAGTAGCTGGGATTAGTAGAGATGGGGTTTCACCGTGTTGGCCAGGCTGGTCTCAAACTCCTGACCTCAAGTTATCCACCCGCCTTGGCCTCCCAAAGTGCTGGGATTACAGGCATGAGCCACTGCGTCTGGCCTCTTTGTGGTATTCTGAGTCTTCTCCACACGGGGCCAACTCCAGCCTCACTGACGCAGGAACTTGTCCAGATTCCCCATAAATACTGACTCCCTGTCTCACATTCCAGTCCACAGCCATTTTACCAAAACAATTGCTGTCAGAGAGAGGCCAGGAAGGAAGCAATCTGATTTAATTAAACAAAATGTGCTTGCAATCCTTATTTTACAATAATACTACGCACTGGCTAGGTGCGGTAGCTCACACCTGTAATCCCAGCACTGTAGGAGGCCGAGGTGGGCAGATCACTTGAAACCAGGAATTCGAGACCTGCCTGGCCAACATGGCAAAACCTTGTCTCTATCCAAAAATACAAAAAAACGGCTGGGTTGCCGGTGGCTCACACCTGTAATTCCAGCTAATTGGGAGGCTGAGGCATAAGAATCACTTGAATCTGGGAGGCGGAGGTTGCAGTGAGCCGAGATCACCCCACTACACTCCAGCCTGGGCCACCGGGTAAGACCCTGTTTCAAAAAACAAAGCAACATCAACAAAAAACCCTGAAAAACTAAGCATCACAAATACTTACCGGGCAAGTTTTCAGATTCTCACAATTTGGAAGGAGAAACTATCACAAGAATGGGAAATCCCTTTAAGGTAATGGGCAGACTCAAAGGCTGCTGTCCTATGATCGTGCCATTTAACTTACAGCAAGAAATATGACCTTCAGCTTCTGAATCCAGGCTCTTCACTTCCTCTAGGGTTATGAAGTTTCCCTCTGCATGGCACAGGGGGATGGAGGAGAGGGCTCTGCAGGTGGCTGGGTATTGGGCTATTTAATGTCAGAAACTGCTTTAAATAATTTAGGGAAGCAAAATTTGCATTCTTATTTACATTTGGCTCAGGATTAATTTGGAATTGGTTATATTTCATCAACACACACCCACTTTAGGGTTACAAGGGAAATCTCTTTTGATATTAAAACCTGACAGCAGATGGTCAACTTCAGATCGGCCTCACAACATTGACAGTTGACTTTCTTATTCTGACAGTCAAATACATTGCAATTATTTTCTGTCTGACTAATTTCAGACTTCATTTAAAATTGGAACAGTCTCTGAGCTTTGGTTGCCTAGGGATACAGCATAAAAAATAAAAAATTTGGAACATAAAGTAAACTATATTGATATATTTTTATAAAACATTTGAGGGCAGAAGAAGATAGTGACACACGTGTAATACATCTTAGTCTCAGTCACAGTAAGAAATGTTTCATTTCATCATGCTTTGGGGAATCTGCACTGATAAAAATTTCTAGCATGTCTCATATGAGTAGCAAAAAGGAATTATTGGATTTTTCTAGACATCAAGAATTGTATAAAAGCATTACTCCCCTATGTCTAAAATGTTGAAAACGAAAAACAGACCACCAGCACTACCATCACCACCACCACCACCACCACCAAAGATGACAGTTTTTCAGTGAATGAATTTTAAAATACCAATGTTGGAATAGTAATTACCTGCAAGGGGCTCGCCAGGGACCTGTTTTTAGGTACTGTAAATGCTTTGAGAACATTGTCTTCATCTTCTGATGCTGGTGCCATTAAAACGGAGCTTGTAAGAATATTCTAAAGGGAAGAGAATAATTTGAAATTTAAATGAGGTTGGATAATATGAGAGCCACATTTTTCTAACACTGTGGAGAGTAGATTACTATGAGATGATACACATTAGCATAAAAAAATGCAGTCATCTGCCAGAAATTCTCCCCACTATGAGCTAAAAGGAGAAATCAACTATGTCTGAACCTTAATCCCATTGTGGCAAACATCACCACAACACAAAGCTCCTTTGGGATCCCAGAGTTCTAGGCATGTGTTAGGCACTCAAAAAACATCTGCTAAATGAATTAATAAATACATGCCTTTCAAAATAGAAGATTTACTAAGTTCTGGGGAGAGAACACTTTATTTCATATATTGGTACAGAACTATCAATATTTTAGAGCTATAAATTATTGGCAAAAAATGGTGAAAAGTAGGGAATTTAGAACAAGACCTTCTGAGTTCCAACCCAGCACCATCCCTTATTAGGTATACAATCTTGAGCAAATGACTAAGCCTCTTTGTGCCTCTGTTTTCCAGTTGACATAATAGAAATGATAATAATACCCACCTGGCCGGGCGCGGTGGCTCACGCCTGTAATCCTAGCACTTTGGGAGGCCGAGGCGGGTAGATCACCTGAGGTCAGGAGTTCAAGACCAGCCTGACCAACATGGAGAAACCCCGTCTCTACTAAAAATTCAAAATTAGCTGGGCGTGGTGGCGGGTGCCTGTAATCCCAGCTTCTCGGGAGACTGAGGCAGGAGAATCGCTTGAACCCGGGAGGCAGAGGTTGCAGTGAGCCGAAATCGTGCCATTGCACTCCAGTCTGGGCAACAAGAGCGAAACTCCGTCTCAAAAAAAATAAAAATTAATAAAAATAATACCAACCTTACAGGATAATTGTGAGAATTAACTGAATCAATTCATCGAAAGCCCCTAGAGCAGTACTTACCACTTAGTACCTACTAAATAAATCTTAGCAGCTGTTATTAGCTCTGATTTTCCTTAAGACATAAGGACAACCCTTCACAAATTATAAACTTTAAAAATGGTGGTAGTAACCCAAAGCAATTGGGTACAATACTGGGCATCTACTATAGACAACGTGGTTGATACCATATGAGATGCTACACAAACCAAACAAGAGACAACTTAACAAGAAGACAATATTATTTAGAAGACAAATAAAGGAAAATATATAAATGAACATAGTTTTTATATCCATGTAGATTTTTTTAAATGGCCAAGGCACTCAAATAATGAGAAAACAAATAATGAAAAAGTCTGCAATGTTTCTAATACATGAAAAAATCTCAACTTTATACTCTACATTAATAATCATTTTTTAAAAATCATGTGCAGGAGAACATTTAGAAATAAGATGTGTTAAAGAGGGAGTGCTGAAACCGCAGCAGCCCTATGCCACACACAGGATTTCATGAGGCACCAGTGTCACATAACAACTTGGGGGCTGGTGCACACGTACTTACCGGTGCATCTGCCACAGGCGAGGTCTGCGTGAACAGTTGGGTATTCAGACTGTCCCCTTCCCAGTGGTGTGAGCAGAAGAAGTTTCCTGATTTATCAGTTGGAGATTCCACCTAAAAGCATATAGAAAGTGCTTTGTTGTTTCTAGAACTTCCTATGAAACATGTACAGTCAGGAGTATATTTCTGGCCAGTCCCTCAAATACTTTTATAAAACTATGTTGCTAACTTACACTATCAGCTCAATTTGCTCTATCTTCTGGATTCAACAAAGAAACACTGATGGCAAATTTGAAATGTGACTAGCTCCAAATTTACTGCCCCTGTAAAGCTCCTACGTTTTCAACCAATGTTCTGATTCTAGGTGTTTATTCTATTAAGAATATATTTTAATGATACACCTAGTAGTGTTGTATCCGTCAAGGATTTTATTTTGGTGACATAAAAGATCTTTTGGTGACAAAAGACTGGTTTTTAATCACATTCTGGTAAAATTCTCCATTACTAAATAATCAAATCAGATTTTTAGCTATAAAAAAAAATACTTATCTTTACATGAAAATAAATTCAAGAAGCACTGTATCTAACCTGGTGGAAAACAGCTGTTGCCAACAAGCTAAAACTTTGATCCTTGCAGGTTAGATTCTCTTTTTTAATTTTAATTTTTATTTTTTTTGAGACGGAGTCTTGCTGTCTCCCAGGCTGGAGTGCAGTGGTACGATCTTGGCTCACTGCAAGATCTGCCTCCCGGGTTCACACCATAATCCTGCTTCAGACTCCTGAGTAGCTGGGACTACAGGCGCCCGCCACCAAACCCAGCTAATTTTTTTGTATTTTTAGTGGATACGGGGTTTCACCATGTTAGCCAGGATGATCTCGAACTCCTGACCTTGTGATCTGCCCACCTCAGCCTCCCAAAGTGCTGGGATTACAGGTATGAGCCACCGCGCCCAGCCTCCCTTTTTTTAATACAATTAATTAAAGATACTATTATTTTAATTTAAATTCCAATTCTTCACATCTAAAAATGAAATATCAACTTTATATAATCAGTAATGTTTAAAAGTACATTAAAAACCTCTTTCCCTCCCTTTTCTTGATACTCTCTAGTATGTTTTCTGTCCAAACATGAAGTAGATAGAGATGGCTTGGCTTCCCAAAGGAAAGGTTGATGATGCCTACAGTCTGGCAGTACCTTTTCGCTGCACCTTGTATGAAAATCTTGCACGAAAAGTCGTGGTGTTGCACAGTGCCAATGGCAGACACATCAAGCTGCACACAAGGAATAAAGGGGGCAGGATTCTCAGCTTGTTGCTTCCAAAGGGTTGCGTGTTTACCTCTTGTTTGATTTTCTTCAGTAAGGGTGGTCCATTTTCTTGAAACTCAGCAACAATTCCAGATTCATCAGATTCCTGTTTGATCACATCCTGCAGATCTTCTACTAGATGAGAGGGTGTCTGAGGCTAAACGGAAGAGTGGGTATTTTTGCATCAGAGAGAACTCCTAATGGGACTAATAAACCAATGAAATCCAAAAACTTTTCTAGAACTTACTAGCATCTTCAGGGGACCGTATTTAATTTCTTGAGCTGCAAGTGCATGTTTGAATGGTGTAGGAGTTCTTGGAGAGCTTTCTAAGATTGACCTTTTGATAGCTGGGGTTCTAAAACTTTAAAAAGAAAACAAGCAGTGGCTCAATACAAAAGAATAAATGTCCCTACATGGCTTTACCTGTTACATTTAACATTTTTCCACTGAATACAATAAACTCTGTTCCGGATATGGAATTGGGGTGTGCTGATTAATCACGTTATTCGTTAAGAAAAAGAGAATATGCATATCACATATTTTCAAATATTTCAAAATATTATACCTCGAAGACTAAAAGCATTAAATGATTTAACATCTTTCCTTAATGGCTCTGAAGACACATGTAGTGCCTATGATCTGTATAAGACTATGAGCATCAAGAAGACCTGATGTCATTTACAAATCAGGTTTCCCTATTCATGAAAACAGAGCCCATACTACAAAACATGTTAAACTTTTAAAATTTACTTTTTGTACTTCGAAATAACAGTGCATTTCTTTTCAAGGTTTCTGATAATTCACACTTTCTCTACCATTTCTCTGAATTGATTAAGGCTTTATTGAATAAAAATGACTGCTTACTCATCCCTTGGCTTCTAATCATATAATATTCCTGGGGATGTCAGAAGAGGTCCTATCTACACATAAATTCAAAAAGAAAAAATAAGATTAAAAAATACAAACTAAAAATAAATAAATAATAAACAAATAAAATTAAATAAAAATACAAACTAGGTAAGAAACCATACTCGTTCTTATTCTGAAGCTTACAATTAGAGAGGAAAGGAGGTTGAAAATCTGGCTTTCATAAGAAGGCCTTATGGAGGGAACAAACAAACCGAATGGAAAAGTTTTATGAAAACTACTTGTGCATATATAGGAAATTTTGGAGTAAGTTACAAAAGGAATCTAGTTTATCTTCCCATCTTCTACCTGTAGGTAGTTGTAATATGCCCAGGACAGATATATTCAATGTGGGAATAGACATGATTATATATAAATGGTCAGTAAAATTATGCACATACAAGTGGATCAGACATCTGGGAACTATATTCCATTAATTAAATATAAGTAAATAAGATAAATCATTTTATTCCTGAACCAAAGACTTACACAGTATTTTCCTTTTGAGTTTTCACAGTCTGGTCTCTATGAAATGGTGTTGTAACAGTCAATTTGTGACCAATGAGGGGGGTGGAAGTTAAAGAAGGCATTTCCAAGTCTGAGTTTTCATGGTTACTGGAAGTGTTTAAGAACTAAATATGGAGAGAAAGAAAAAATACTTAGATTAGATGGTAATTCTTTATTCTCCCCAATTTAAAAATCACACCTAGATAACAAGAATGTTTTCCTGACCCACTATATTAAATAATAAAGATGCTAACAAGCATGTTATATTGACTAGGGTATTGTTTTATTTCAATTGAGCACCCAGGATTTGGGTGTGGTTTCCAAGAAATAAAATTTAGGGTCATTGCTGAAAAACTTGCAAAACTGTGAGAAAATACTCTCAATAAATGACACTTGTCATTAAAGAGAATGAGATGTGTTCTTTATTAACATTTAAAAGGCTTTAGTGATTTTGGGGAAAATAATAGTTAATAATTAATAGTTTCCTTTCATACTTTGTTTTTTCTCTTTAATAATCTATGAACCAAAATTAGTATTACAGAAGGTTTACATTATATGGAAAATTCTTGAATAATAAACTGTGTCTCTCAGAACACTAAAGTTCTGGGAAAAAACTAGGTGTTCCTTAAACAATTCCAAGGTAAAATAAATTTGGGAAACACAACATATCATAATCTCCTCCTGGAAATTCACAAGGCACAACGGCATATTAATAACTCTGAGAAGGCCTGCAGTTAAAAAAAAGAAAGTTTTTAAAGAAATGGGATCTCGCTATGTTCACCAGGCTGAACTTGAACTCCTGTGCTTAAGCAATCCTCTTGCCTTAGCTTCCCCAGTAGCTAGGACTACAGGCCCATGCCACTATGCCCAGCTAAGAAACCTACTTGTAACTTTGTTTGATTCAGTGTTTCCCAAATGTATATACCTATATCATACCTAAATCTGTTCTTAAAACAAATTCAACAGATACAATTGGAAAAATGTTTTAAAGTGCCAAATTATCTATTAATTTAATTATTTAAATAATTTAGGAACACAAATCTCTGATAAGAATTGTGATTTTCATGCCTTAAAAAAGCTGTATGAAATAAAAATATTCCTTGGCAAAAACTGCACTAGTAAAATAGTATGGCACAACTCAAAAGAGCCAATGTTGAGAAACTGAAATTAAAAATATGTTCTTTTCCTTAAGCATTTGTTTCTCATCCTCTTCCCAAACTCTTCCATTTAAAGATGAATTGGAACCTTTAAATTTTCTAGCTTTAAATTTTCTAGTTGCAACCCAAATGTTATATAAACACAATTTGGTTCCCTCCTCCCCTGGGTCAGTGAATCGCATAAGAATAAATGAACAACGAGGAAGAAATGATGTTAACAATTTTAAAGGGAGGGATCAGATGGGAGAAAAAGAAAGGGACAGAAATGTTAAACTCTAGTGTTGAAGGAAATAAAAGTACGTTTCATGCAACTATCTTTCAAAACCACCCAAAAGTAAAAGAGAGAGAATGATGCCAAAATCAACAGTTAGCCTGCAGACAGCCTAAACTTTGGGAGGCAGTATAACTTAGCAACAGCTAGATTCAACGACAGAATGAAATCAGCAAAGGCAGCAGTAATTAGTCATTTGTTCCGAAGTATTAGTTTCTAGATTATTAAGGCTCAGGTGTCTGTTGAAAATGAGTAACAGCTGTGCAGAAATTGTGTTCTACCTGCGAGGGAGAGAAGGGTAGGCTTTTGACAGGGGAACGCTTGGGAGTTGAACTGCTGACGTCAGCAAATATGAAGGAGCTACAGTCTCCAGTGGCTAAGGGGCTGGCCTGGCCCCGTTTTTTTCGAAGGATGACCAGTGGAATTGTGCTGTGCCTTGCAGGAGGTAAGACCTTGGGTGGGTCAAGTGAACTCTCACTCAACATACGTTTGTTCACCCTTGGGCTAGGTTCTCCTGCAGGTTTAGTCCCATTGCCCTCTCTTTGCTGAAGCTGTAGGGCTTTGCCTGTGTGATGTTGGCTAGGTGAAAAATCTGCTTCTTCAAAGAATTCAAAACTGCTGAGATCACACCATGATGAAGAATCCTGAAACAATGTGGGAGGCACAGAACTTTGAGATAGTGTGTGCCATCATCACCTGAAACAGCACTGAGAGAGAGATGCTCAACGCAAAGCAAACACTAGGCCCGTTGGTTTGGCTTCTTGAGCAACAGCTTCAAGATGAGCAGTTGCTCTATTATACTGCAGTAGAGCAGGGTCTAGTGGGCTGCCTCAAGGCTGGCCCTCTGATGTGCTGCAGGGACCTCCCGACACTCTACATCTGCATGCAATGGAAAGCAAAATGAAGACCTTTTCTAGATGGCATATTACGGCAATGGTCATCTCCTAACCAATGAGTGTGCAATAAATGATTTTTAATCAACTGGGAAAGGAACCAAGTGTTCGCTGAGGAGGTGCTGAATACAAATTTGTTTCACGAAAGATGATTCATCTCAGTGAAGCAATGGGACCAGTAATCAATAATCACCATTTTGTGGAAAGAGCCAGGTATGACCAAGGAGCTGATTATTACTTCAAATACACTAAAAGATTGCTTTCAGCTCTGAGTAAGCCAAATCATTAATGTGCTGTTCAAAAGCAAGACAAAATTCTAGAGAAGCACCATGAAGTAAGCAAAGAAAAAAAAAAGTTAAAAGTAACTCAAACACCATTCCGTTCCCATAATCCAAGCTCTGCTTTATAAGTCATCAATCTGACTATTTTTAAAAATATGACTTTTGAAGGAAAAGTGTGAAAATGTGAAAAAAAACTCTTCCTTCAAAAGTCCTATTTTGTAAGTATTTATAAATACTTTTGTCTCTCTCGGTAGGCTATGAAATCAGATCTTTGAAAAAACATATTCATGAAGATGAAAATCATACTTCTACCTTTACATTAATATATGCTAATAACAGCTTGGCTATAGAAAATGGCAATGATTTAAGAAATGGGTTTTCTAATTTATCTTCCAGAATCGTTAACTTCCCTTCACAATTCTACTTACAGAATCTATAAATTGGAGTGTTTCTGCAAATTCTAAGAGGTTCTTAACATTATCCAGAATGGTGCCCTGGTGGACGATCATGCACCTTGCTGGCGAGGCGCTTTCTTCAGGTAGGGAGCCAGGATCCGCTGGCAGAGATGGAGTGGAGTGGTGTTCTCCCAAACAGGAAACAGGTGCACTGTCTCCATGAGGTCTGGTGTGGTCGGCAATGGTGGTGCTGTGCCACCCGGGGTAGCTGCATGTGTGGTTCTGTGTCTAAGGAAGGGGGAAGGGTGTAGAAATAAAGAGAGGACAGAAGAAAGGGAGAAGGAACTTAGCAATGAAGTTGCACAAGGTATCAGATGCTGTTGGAGGAAAGATAAGAGTAGTTGCATCATCCCAAACTTACGCCTATGAAACAGTTGTCAAGATGTTTCCTTTTATCAATGCAAGACCCTGTTTTTAATAGTGCTAGAGGTTGTACCTATATGATTACCTTGTTATCATTTTGTAAAAATGTCAAATCATAGGTCTATATTTCGAAGTATAATTATCATATTGTCTTAAAATTCCACTTTAATATAATTTGCCAAAGGTCCATAAATGCTTGCTGTGAGTGAAGAACTGAAGAACTGTCCTATTTGCATTCTAACCACAAAAAAGCTAGAGGACTCAGGAGTTAGAGTTGCTTTGATCTACACATATTCTTGTTGCTTCTATCCCTTTCTAATGCTACAGATTGCACTGATGCAGTGAAGCACTGCCAAATCAACGTGGTTAGGAAAGCAGAAGAGCAAATTAACAGAAGTCTCCTTACAGTATGACCACACAACAGGAGAAATTGCAAAACATTAACTAAAGTTAAAAAGTGGTCGAACTAGCATGTGCACATAAACATCTTATTATTTAACAAAAAATAAATTTACCCCTAGGAATACCTACTGGGCATCACTTCTCTTTTATTGTCTTTGTTGGTTAACTATGTATGTTGCAAAGCACAAGGAGCCATCCCAGTTGGCTGCCCAGTCGCTAAAGATGTCAGAATTCAGTAATGGCCCACATAACTTTCACACATGCAAATAAAAGAGAGCAGCTAATGTTATTTATGAAGAGGTTTTATATATAACCTTTTACATGTATATACTGAACATGCATCAAATCATGTCTGAAATTATAAAATATGAAAATATAGGTTAACAAAATAATAGAAAAAAACCAAAATGGTACCATATAGATACATAGCTCTGTAGAAAATGCAGATTTTCATTCATTTTATCTTTGCTAGTCTTTAAACTGATTATAGTCCTTCTGAAGAAAAAAATTGATGATAACAATCATAAGTGGATATTGCATTTTTATTGCAATTACAAAAAGACTGCTTCCAATTTAATCAGCATATAATCTGATACCAACTACATTTTACTACAAGCAACTTCTTGTGTTGAGACATTCTGAATGGATATATGGAGCCTTGCTAAGTGTAATATTTAGAAGAGAAGAGCGCTTAGGTAAACTGAGGCAAAGCTGCTATCCCCTCATTCAAGCACATGATGACAGTCTTACTGGTAGCACCTGCTGTCCTTTTAGCTCATTCTCGGTTGACATTAGGAGCAATTCTAATTCCTTTATTCGCTTTTCCTTCTCAGGGTCTTCATCATTATAGTGTCTCTGAAATTACAAAGTAAGGGAAATAAAGACAAAGGTCTGATTGGAAGCTGCAAATACAATGGGTGTAGCCAATATGGTCATGAGGTGCCGCACAGCCCAAAGAGCCTCACTGTGACAACACCACCAACCAAATTTGGCTCCTGCAGAAATCTTTGTGAATGTTATTTCAGACTTAAGGGAGTGATGTGAAATCTCAGGCTAGAGTGGATGCTGACTGATGAGTTATTTCACCTTGCAACATCAAAGAATCAGAAAATTCCAGAGCAAACTCATTCTAGAAGACAAGATTAATAGATTGCTGGCCAAGACTCTGCTCTCCTCTCCATGTTCCCTTTCCTTTTTACTTTAGTTGCTCAGGTAAAAATATGTGTTTAGATGAAAGAAATAAGCATTTCTTAAAAGTGGTGCTTTGAACAGTGAATGATCAATGATCTTACCTGAATGGCTGCGGCAGCTGGCTGAGGGACATTGACTATATTTACATGTAACGCTACAGGGTATGGAACATGACTGGAGACCTAGATGCAAAAGACAAAACAAAGGCCACGTCATTCAGGGCTACATATGCTTCAGGGGACTTGGCTTCCTGAGGTTTCGTTCTGGGACTGAGAGAAAAAAAACACTTTACTGATAAAATACACTAAACAAATTTTTAAAACCTTTTAATGTGAAATTTAGCCAGGCCTTTAAAATGGCTAAACAGCTAAAGGAACATGGTGAAAAATCCTTGGGAGGTGTTGATGAGCACTTTAAATTTTGGGAAGTGTTCCTTAATTAGAGAAAAACACAATGAAAAAAACAATAAAAAATATATTATAAAATACATTAATGAATGTTTCAAAATTGTTTCTATGGGAAAAATTGATGGCACCAGCTGTTTGTAAATAAAAATATTTTTCTTGGAATAATTTTGAGTTTTAATAAAAAGCACAGGAATTCTTATGATAATTTATTCATCTGAGACCTTTCTGTAAAGTTTGTAGTCAAATCCATGGACAGAGAAGAATAAAAACTATTTATGAACATGTTTTGCATATAATTTGCATATGAGCTCTCTATTCTTGGGTAAGTTTTATCATTTAATATTGTTATTCTTAAGATTAAAGTTTCTCGATTTTTTTCCTCTTTCTTCTTCTTTTTCCACCTATTATGGATTATCACTTTCCCTAAATATAAATATCTAGAAATAAGGAAGGGATCACACTGATCCAACGGAGACTAAAAGGAGACATCAGAAAATGAATGTCACAAAGTTCTGCTCCTGACTCAGAGTAAGAAGGTAAACACTTACTGAGTGAATAAATTAAGACATGTCTGCCTGATCACTGCCAGAATGAAACATACCATAACCACTGAATTTCAGTGTCAAACTCTCTCCTCTTTAAACATAATACTACCTTCCCTTTTCGTTTTGGAAGAGAAAAACATTACATCTACAAATGCGACTCCATTCCCCTATTCTTCAATAGTACCTTAAGTAAATTTACATTCAAAGGTTGCCTTCAAATTAGATTTGAAGCAGCAATTTAGAATCGGACAGCTCGTTTTCTAGTCAGCACTATCTCTATGAGCTGTGTCACCCTGGGCAAAGCGCTTACCATCCTCGTTTCTGGAGACATAAACCAGGGGTAACACACCATACCTACACCCTATCTACTTCAAAGGGCATAGGTGAAGACTGGCCATGATCATGCTCAGGAAAGTTCTCTGAAAAGTATACAACTGCAAAGTATGATTATTACCTGGAGCTAAACTAACCGTCTCTCTCATTAAACTAGATTCACAGGAATGGCTTACATTTTGTGCTTCAGAAATGTGGTAATAGGAATAGTCGTTGTTAACAGTGGGCTGGCCAGTGGCAGGGAGTTGAGCTGTAGGCGGAGCCTGAGCAAAACCCATCAAATGACTGTTCTTCTGGAAGCTTGTGGCCACTGCTGGCTGGCTGGCTTTTGAAGACTCCTGCAGATAACCTTCCTGTTCGACCTTCCGACGCATTGTAGAATTCCAGTGGTTCTTGATAGCATTATCAGTTCTGCACAGAAATATATCACACAAATTTCACAAACAAAAATTTCAATTCAGATTAAAGTGAATTGACAGAAAACTGTTTCTAACAGAGACCTTTCCCTTGGGCCTATTAGTTGTTTTCTCTTTTTAATTGTTTCCTTCTTCTCCACCCTCTGAGATCAGGCTTTCTCTATTGCCTAGTTAGATTTCTCTTAGTTACACAATCTGGAATGCATGTCGTTTTCTAGAAATATCAGTATCTTTTAACCATTCCATTTCCTTGGTAAAGGAGTATTTTCAATACGATAACGCTTCATGTTTATTCTGACCGGTCGCGGTACAAGACTCCAACACAATGTAAAGTTCCAGCTGCCTTGGGGAAATTACTCCTTTGAATGTGGCACAGCAGGGCCTACACACCACGAGAGGGACATGGTGAAGTCTGGTGGATGATAAGATGCTGCTGATGAAGAATACTTCACTCTTTATCTCTCAAAGCACTAGTGAGAACTTCTGAGACCAAAAAACCTCCTACTCTTTGAAAGCCACCCCAATTGTTTTCTGAATCAGACAGAGACGAGAGTGGAAAATGGGATCCCAAAGGGAAAGATCCTAACCCCCAGTATATTTTCAAAAGGCAACGCATTTTTACTAAAGTCTTTCCATTCTCAGGAAAACAGTTTCTCAATTCAAAAAAACCGTTTAAGTCTCCCTTTTTCTATTTCAATGGGGGTGGGGGAATGTATGCTAAAGAAAGAGGAAGTTCAATAGCCCTGTTAATTTTGAGAAGAATCAGCAGTGTATCCTCTCAGGCCATATGGGAGGAAAGGCCTTTTTTTACCAACCTCTTAAAATTTCTAAGTTTATACTGAACCACAAGGGTGCAAATGCTTTGGAGCATCACTAGAGAATACTATATAAACTTTCTCCTGGATTATGAAGCTCAAGAATAAAACTATTTTTAATATTTTTGATCTACATCATTTTAATGCAAGATTTATCATTAAAAGTATTGCTTTCCAAAGGAACAAAATCTGTTATATACTACTTAAGTGGGAAAAATGGGACAAAATGAGCTTCCATAGTTATCCCTCATAATGAGGTCATTTTCTTGCCTTGTTCATTAAAAAGAAAGCATTATTACCCTGACATTATTTAAAAACCTGGAAGTAGTATGAGAATTCAAGAAATACATTATTTCTTTAATCAATGAAGTAAAAAATTAAGCAAAGTGGTATAATGAAATGAATACTGGTGGCCAGGTATGGTGGCCCATGCCTATAATCCCAGCACTTTGGGAGGTGAAAGGATTGTTTGAGGCCAGGAGTTTGATACCAGCCTGGGTAACATAGCAGGATTCCATCTCTACAAAAAATATTTTAAAATCAGCTGGGTGTAGTGGGGTGCACCTGTAGTCCTAGCTACTCAAGAAGCTGAGGTGGGAGGATCCCTTGAGCCCAGGAGTTCAAGGATGTATTGAGCTATGATCATGCCACTGCACTCTGTCACTCATGTGTGACAGAACAAGCCTCTGTCTCTAAAAAATAATAATTAAAAAAAATAAAAGAAATGAATGATGGTTATCAGGAAAATGGTAGCTGAGTTCCTTTGAGTAACTTAACCAGCTACGTGAACTGCCAGAGACAAACTGTCTTCAGTTTCTTTCTATGCATTTAGAGTTTTATAGTTTACCAAGTCCTTTGACATTCATTTTACTTGATCCTAACACTGGCCCTGTATGATTCATTTTGGAAATGGGGAAATTGAGGCTGGGGAAAGCTAAATGTCTTCACCCAGGGCTCACTGTCAGGTGGATCCTGGAAGTTCTCAACCAAATAAACTCTAAGATGTCTTCAATCTCTAAAAGCTATGTAGCTGGTTTATCTAATAAAACACTTACGACTGATGAAATATAATTTACTCACCATACATTTAAAGCAGAATGTTCAATACCCACTCCCTCATTCTTCCCGATCAATATATTTTTTGACATATTATTACCGTCCAGGCAGTAGCTTTGCGATTTCTGCCCATCTGTTCCCCAGTCTCTTGTGTGCCTGGTAAATAATTCTGTCTTCCTCTTCTGTCCAGGAGGTTTTCTTAACTTCTGGATTCAAGTGGTTATGCCACCTCTCCCTACATTGTTTTCCAATTCTCCCCTTTAAGTGCTTGGCAATAACAGACCAACGTTTCGGACCGTATTTCTGTACAAGCTCTATCACCTTCAGATAAACACACAAAAATAACCTATGTTTTAAAGTTATGTAATGAGTCAGTATAATCATTCTTCAGTGTTACAAGATCTTTAGAAAATTTCCAAAATTTGCTTTCATTCACTGGAAATATGGGAATAGAGTCCTCTACTTCCTGTTTGCCCATTTTACCTGCTTCCTCAAATAGGAAAATATTAGCATTTTGGGAATATTCTTAATTATGAGTCACACACCAATGAAGAAAGAACTTACTCTCTGATCTTCTTCTTTGGTCCAAGGACCCTTGATGAGCTCAGGGTTTAGTACTTTCTGCCATCGGTGCTGGCACTGCACATCTGTTCGATTCTAGACAAATAAAGTATGCACCACCATAAAGATATGATGTGATAAGCACGTGAATTTTTTGTTGTAATAGGAATCACACATAGACCATATGCAGTGAAAATATTTAAGAACATTTTAGAGCATGTTTAGAGCCCATCTATCCCTCATTACTTACAGGCTACAGAACATGCAAGTAATATATCAAAGTTGCATCTAAAATTAGACACTCTGCCTCCTGAGGGAAACATTCCTGCCACATGATCTAAAGGACCATCATACTACACATGTGCCTGCCAAGTTAACCTTAACCTCAGATACTTTTGCAGAGTATCTACATAGCCTGAGGCTTGATAGAGATTCTATGTTGTCAGGCTTTCATGGAAACCACCCTAAAAGACTAAAGTTTGCTTCCCATTCAGACAAGAGATGTGCTTCAATCCAGGACCAAAGTATTTATATTGCAGAAAGAAAAAAGATGCATAAAAGATAGGTCCTATGTTACAGGAGTTTGTAAACTTATAAGAAGGAAAAGACAAGTAGATGACTGACTATCACAGATGCTGAATTTGATTCACTTGGAAGAAAAGACCAAAGCAAAATGATACTGAAGTGAGGAGAGAAGCATCTTCTTAGGAGGAGAAATGGTTTCCTTGGGAGGAGTCTTGAAGAGCTCTTCATAAGGACTTTGAAGGATGGACAGAACTTTAATTGGTGACATAAAGGGAGAATATTCTAGGAGGTGGGAAGACCAGGAGCAAAAGCCCAGAGGAGGTAAAGCAGAAATAAATTCAAGCAAACCTGCTTAGAGAGAGGAAGCAGGAAACAGAACTGGAGCTGTAAGTTGGGGCAATAGAGGAGGGCCTCTGTGTGCCAAGTCAAGGCAGTTTACTTAATTTGTGAGATTCTGTCACTGTGGTTGGTTTTGAAAAGATAAGGTACAGCTGCATTTTAGGAAGTTCCACCTGCCAATGGTGTTTGGGATGAATGGAAAAGTAGAAGACTGGCTGGGCACGGTGGCTCATGCCTGCAATCCTAGCACTTCGGGAGGCTGAGGTGGGCAGATCACTTGAGGTCAGGAGTTTGGGACCAGCCTGATCAATATGGTGAAACCTTGTCTCTACTAAAAATACAAAAATTAGCCAGGCATGGTGGCGGGCACCTGTGATCCCATCTACTAAGGGGGCTGAGGCACGAGAATCGCTTGAACCTGGGAGGCGGAGGTTGCAGTGAGCTGAGATCGTGCCACTGCACTCCAGCCTGGGCAACAAAGCTAGATTCCATCTCAAAAAACAAAAAACAAAAAACAAAAAAAAAAAAAAGAAAGAAAAATGGAAAACTACAAGTGGGGAAGCCAGTTAGGAAGTTATATGATAGTCCAAATGAGAGGGCAGGAGCCCAACCTTCAGCACAGCCATGAGAATGAAAAGGACGGGACTGACTATAAAGGAATTCCAGGGTCCTTAGTAACTGCTTAGATGTAGGGGTTGGGGGAATGTGATAAGTCAAGAAAGGTCTTCAGAATTTTAAACCTTGGTGCCAAAAGTATTGCTATTGACAAAAATAGGGAATTCAGGAAAAACTGACTTGGAGGAAATATCAAGTTTAATCAACTACCATGTAACAAATCATCAAAATACTAATTATCCTATAAATGAAAAGATAAAACAAGAAGCAACTGTTTTTAAAATTTGATAATCTAAATTATAATAATCGATTCTAATAATCTAAATTCTAATAATTTAATTATATGCATTATAATATAAAATATAAGTTATGGGTAGGGCATTTCTCCCACTTCTTAAATGTGAGTAAATTATACACTATCTTAATAACTCCTCCTAGAATATTTTATAGAAATCTTTGGGAGAAGCTTTCCTTTCGTTATAAGAAAAACTTACTAACTTACCGGGAGATAATTGGCAATAACTTTCCAGTCATCTGTTCCATTCTGTTCCACCAGCTTCTTCAGTTTTTCATCCTAAGACATTTAAAGGTAATCCTAGGATATCAGTTATTTACTATATAACTCTGTTCAAGTTAAAGTGAATGAGGGAACGAATCTAGAATAAAAAGTCTCTCTAAAGTATCCGAATACAGGAGATATTAATGTAATATACGGACTTGGGAGTATAGATTTATTTAGAATCAGACCAGAGTTGGCATCTTGACTCAACTATTAATTGTGTAAAGCGGGTATACCATTTTACCTTTCTGGGCCTTAGTATTGCCATCTATAAAATGGAAATTAACAGGGTTATTTGGGGATTACATGGGGCAATTTATTAACATGAGGCTGATATTAACAGGGTTATTTGGGGATTACATGAGGCAATTTTGCAAAACATTTATCATAATGCCTGGCATATATTGAGTGTTTATTATAAATAACTGCTTTACTCTGTTAGGAAAAAATGCATTCCAGTGCTAGATTCAGTACACATTTACCTATGGTAATAAATAGGATCTTGAGCAAGAAATAGAATATTTCCAGTTAGTTTAACTTTTTATAAAGAAATAAAGACCATTTTTAAAATTAAATTTGAAAGCTATATAAGAAAATCAGTTAGATTTAGATAGGCCAGATGTGTTAGAACATAAAAGACATTAAACATTTCCAGCTAATCAGTTCTTTTAGTTTATATGCTGTTCACAATCCTACCAGTTCATAAGTATATAAATGCATTCCTTCTTATGTTTCTGCAAAGGTAACATTCACACACAGTGGAGGTCCCTGGTACAATACAGACACAAGAATTAGGAAACCAATGTTGACAACAGAATTTCCGTATCATAAGGATTATCCAAGTGGATAATCTTAATAGGTAAAATATGAATTTCCTATGGGCCTCTCTGGGAATCCTACCTGCCTGTTAAAAGGAGCTCTGGTTTAAATGAAGCAGAGAACAGTGAAACTGAAGAAGAGCCAATACCATTTATTGTAACATGAATCATCTAAAATTAGTTGCAAAAATTTTAAGAACATTAGAGAAACTTTTCTCCACATATTAATAATTTTGCTTCTAAAATATTTTTCCATTCCTACAAAATCAAACTTTTGATAAGCCAGCCGAAAAAGAAACAGGAGAAGCAGATGTGTCTCCATCCATTATCGGATGATTTTAAAACATACCTTCATATAGATGGCTCTGTTAAGTATATCAAGGATATTAAATCAATACACTGTAAAAAGATGAGTTCTCTGAGTGTTTTGTTTTATTCTTTTGTTTGTTTTGTTTTTGGGAGTAGCAAGTCATTCACTTATTGAGAGAACATTTATTAATATCCTATTTTGGGTCCAAGCATTTGTGAATTCAGGAAACACAAAGATGAATAGACAAGAGCCCTGCCCTCAACAGACTTGCAGTCAGCTGGAGGAGGTATATATGTCCCAGCAACAATAAAGTAGAACATGCACCCATGCATGGGATCACAGGAGGATGCATCCAATCCTGTCCGGCGAAGCCAGGGATGGCTTCACAGAAGAGGTGATGCCTTCATGGGTAATGTAAAAGTAGGAAGAAGAGGTGGGACAAAAGGATGAGAACTCAACAGGCAAAAGGAAACACAGATGAAGCCTAAAATGAGAAGAGGACATTCAAAGAACTGCAAATAGTGTGGAAATGGATAATATAATGAAGTGGGGGGCATAGGGCACGCTGCACATGCGGGCTAGGATAAGATCTCAAGGAGCCTGCTAATGAGCTTGAGCACCTGTAGTTTAGTTGAAATTTTGTTTTTTATAAATTATACACTCTATCTATTTTCTGCGTCTTGATAAAATGATTAGTTACCTCTTCCCGGGTCCACCTTGTTTTCCCCAAGTGACGCTTTCCAGACTTGGGAAGCAGCCCATCATAGTCATGGTCACACATCTCAAAGTCCTCATCATCCTCGTCACTGCTATATATGCTGCAGAAATAAGAATGGGTAGACGTGGGCTGAAACAAGAGGATTTAGACTACTACTGGATTACAAAACTTACACAAAACTCCTCAACAATCTTTTCAAAGGTTATGAAGACAAAACTTTGAAAACTTGCACAACAAGATTGTTTGCTGCATTCTGTTGCTCTAGTATTGTAAACTGGTTCTGCTGTTATGGGTATCCACAGACACGGCCAAGGACCTGGCACCTTCCTATTCCCCTGCATGTCTGAACCTGCTGTTACTATTAGACCAGGGACAAGTTACACATTTGGCCACCTTCCAACCAGTGAAGGTTTAAGTTGAAAACTTAAGGTTAAGGATAAGAAAAGGAACAAGAACCCATGTCCTTTATATAAGTGCACACTCAAAATCTTTGGCATCTGTCACATCGTTTAAATAATATTTCTCAAACATAATAAACAATTCAACTATGCTATTCCAATGGGGTTTTTGTTTTATTAAAAGAAGAAAAAAATCAAGAAGTAGTACAGCGCAAAACAGAATTATAGTGATCCCATAAAGTCTAGAGGATTAGGAGAATCTAAGAGGAAAGGATTTTAAAACCAAAGCAAAGATAAGAACATTGAGTGATCAAGCTTTAATGTTTTGTAAATAAAATTAATACCAAATTGCTCACAACTCCAGGCCTGGTTGATCCAACTTGTGCCCATGTTTACAATACTTAGTTTCTAGAGTAACTAAGTGAATAATTAGGCCACTTGTTAGTCAGAGTCTTACTTACTCTTGTTTTTTCTGTCTCTGATGGAATGGTGTTTGAAATATTATAAAATGTAACCTAATCCAGAAGGGATTTCCCCAGAAAAAAGCCATGGATTTAAAAGAACCCATTACTATTTTCGAAAGCTTTTTCTTTTATTTAGTTAACCTAACCTAGGAAATTTTATGACTTTTGAAGAAGTAACTATATGCTTACTGTTTGTTAATCATAATCATAATGTTTGTTAATCTAATCAACTGATCAGATGACAATAATTTTACAGACACGGTTTATTTTATAGTTTTTCTTATAAAACTTAAAATAGGAAAAATACTATCTTAGAAACTTCACTAAAATTTGTCATTGCAATGTTGGGAAACCCATTAAACTAAGACCAATAAAAACAATGATATAAAGCCATATCATAATGTAAATCATTGTTTTTAAAAAGAAAAGTTATATTCATTACAGGTTTTGTCTTCCCAAACTAACTCACTGGTATGCATATTACCAGCCCCCTACAAGTGAAGCTGAAGTGCTTACCAAAAATCCTGAATTGGGGGTTCTCATAATTTAAAGCTATTATTTTAAGCAACAATCTGATAGTCCAGGTTGAATGGCGACATGATGTAATCCAAATTTAAAATACCACCACCACCAAATAAAATCCCAGGAAATATATATTTATAATCTGTAATAATTCCTTTCATTTAGTGTCTGTGTTTTGAAACAATAGCCTAGTTCTGTTTCCACTGTCAACAGGAGGCACTAAACAACTTCTGAACAAGAACTACAAAAATGTAAAACACGATATGATAAAGCAAAAAAAAAAAAAAAAAAAAAAAGCTATAAAGCCCAGAGGTGTAAGTCTGCATCTTTTGAAAGATTCATAGGGAACTCCTTGGAAAGACCCCAAATGCAGTCCCTTGTGAAATGTGAGAGACACCAAGAAAACCAGAGGAATCTGAAACTGCAGTCATAGATTCAAGTCGAATTAACTTTTCAGGTTTGGCTGGATCTAGAGGTCACATTTTCAGAACTGAGCACATTTTTCAGAGTAGTCATTGAGCACCTCTCTCTCCGCAGCGGTTTAACAACCCAGGAACAAGCAACCTATTCAGCCGCCCGCAGGGGGCAGCCAACGTCAGGTGAGAGCACGGGAATCAACAGGACTAGGGTTCTGGAGGCAAAGGTTCTAGTCTAGCCTCCACCTAGCTGTATGACTTGGACAAATCACTTCCTCTCTCTCAAGACTTCAGTTCCTCGCCTTTACAATAAGGGCTTGCTTGGATCCTATTTCTAAGGTACTTTCCAGCGCTAATACATGACCATGCCATGTCCTTCCGTGCCTCTTAAAAGCTAAGCACAGAGGCAAAGATGTGCAAAACTAAGGTCTTGGGGGCAAGGTGGAGAGTGACTTCTGCAGGACCTGAAGGGGCCAGGACGCAGCAGGGCGAGTCCGGGGCTGCTCACGCGCCCAGCTCCTGAGTTTCCCTGCCAGGCTGGCCACCCAGGCTCGCCTTTGAACTTTGCATGCGATTTGCTTGCTCTAAGTCGTCCTAGAAGCATGATTAATTTCTACTAAGGAACCTGAAATAACTTTTCCTTTATCTGCTCTGACAAGATCTCAGACCCAACAGTCAGAGGATTTTCAAAGGCTGATTTCAGGGTTGATGCACTCGACTCCCCACCTGCTAGACCCGGTGTGGTTACAAGAGTACAACTATGAATGTTACATTCTGTCAAGGAAACAAACCGTGCAAAGAAACGAAAAAGAAAAGAGGTGCTGGGGGTTAGGAAGAGGGAGGGGAGCGGGAGGAAGTGCCTTGTGGCCGCTACTGTGATTCGGAGGGGTTCAAACTCATTTCGCTGACCTGGTTAATATAATCCCTGCCGAGTTGACGCTCGCCCTTGCAAGAAACGGCTCCGAGCCCGCAGTCGGGTTTCTCTTCCCCTGAGGCAGGTTCAAGGCTCCCGCCCCTCCCAGCCGCCTCCCCTCTGGGCTACCTGGAGCCTCAGGGAACCTGCGCGGCCCCGCCCCGCGGGGGCGGCCGAGACCTCGGGGCGCGGAGCCGCTGCCGCGCCTCCTCCCAGCACCCCTGCCCGACTCCCTCCTCCTGCTGCCAGTTTCAGCTCTCGAAAAAAAAAAAAAAAAAAAAAACAGATGACCCCGGTAGCTGTCCTGTGAAGTCCTAAAGGCGAAAAGTGGAGCCCTCGAGGGGCAGCACACCGTCCTGCGCGGCCAGGCTCCGGAGTAGGCATAGGGAGCCCGGAGCTCCCCCAAGTCGCCCTCTCGTCCCCAGAGCCCAACCAAGCCCCGGCGCTGCTCCCCGCCCAGCCCAGCCCGCGGGTGCTGCTGCAGGGTCTCCACCCACGCTCTTTGCAACTTCCCAGCGCCGCGCGGGGACCAGCGCCCGCAGGCTCAACAACAAACCAGTAGGAGAAAATCAAACAATCTAAGGAAAGGCGAATGGATTTGCTTTGCCTCCATGGACTTCGCCTTAGAACTCCTTCGCGAGGGTCTGTCCGGTCACCGCGCCTCGGCCGGGGCGACCTAAGGCGGCTGAAGGAGGGTGCGAGAAGGCGCGGCGACCTCAGCCGCATCCACGTGTGCGCGCCGCGCAGGGACCTTTCGCCTGGGGGCAGAGCCCGCGGGGATCGCGTCCCGGTTGCGCGGCAGCGGCCTTGGGTGCTGCCGGCCTCTGTCCCCTTGAGCCGAGTGGCGACTGCGACGGCTGCCGAGCTAGCCCTGGCACCCGCCGCTCGCAGGGAGCCCCGGCGTGTGCTGCTGGGAAAGTCCAGAGGCCGGTGGAGACTGGGGAACGAGCAACTGACAGTTCGGACGAGGATTTCCCTCCTCCTCCTCCTCTCCCTCTTCCCATCTGTCCGGCCAAAAATGTGAAGGGACTGCACCCATCTTCCCGGCGAGCCTCCCTAAGTGCAGTGACATGTGCGACGGCGGCGCGTGTGGGTGCGCGTGCAATGTTTGCAGTGGAAGTAAAAGCCTTTCAGAGAAAAATGATTCGAACCTCCAAAACCAGGTCTTAAGACAATTTGCAAAAGTAGAGACCCCTTTATCCCCCTAAAATCTGCTTTTCAGCCGCCTGTCAGCTGACACTGGTCCTCGCCTCCATAAAGAATGAATGAAATTTAAATGAACTACCTGCAGCTACTAAACAATCCAGCATTTTCCCTGTATCTGCCATATGCTCTGCACTTCCAAGTCCAAACATATCTCAATGCATCCAGCAATTACGCTGCGGATCCCTCGCCGACACCCGCGGCATCAAGCCAGGCACCTGGTGGGCTCCCCGGGGCTGGTGGGCACCGCTCTGCCCTCGGCTGGAACGTGCTTTCTTTTTCCCCCTAAAGAAAAATGTATCCCCATGCAACTTGCAAAATGAGCCGCAGGGCGTGCTTCCCAACGTCCGGATACATTTCCCGCAAAGACTCTTCCATTCATCAGTCTCTGGAGCGGCTTCTGCTGCCGAGGCAGGGGCTCCAGGTCCTCGGAGGGTCTGACAGCCCCTCAGATGATCCCGGAACGAATTCCCACCTGCTCCCGGGAGCCTGGCGCCCCGCGCGCCCCCGCGCGCCCCCGCCCTCGGCCGCCCGCCCGGCTCCCCGTTACCTGTGCCGGGGTCTTCGGGCCATGGCGCGGCGGGCGCGGGGCTCCGCCGAGAGCCGCGGGGACCGCACCGGGCTGCCGCCTCCCGCTGCCCGCCGCCTGCCTGCGTCCCTCCCCGGCTGCGCAGCGGCGCTCCGCACCGCTGGGGCGAAGTTTCTCAGGAGAAAGAGGAGGAGGAGGTCACGGAGGAGGAGGAGAAGGAGGAGGAGGAAACAGGTTGATATTAAAGTGTAAACTCTGTAAACAGAGATGCCATCAAACAAAGAGCTTTGGACACTCCCCCTCCCGCCAAATCTGGCGCCCCTGCAGTGCGCACGCGCCCTGCCCGCCGCCTCCGCGGTCGCCCTGGCTGCCGCCCGCGGGGCTGCCGGGCTGGCCGGGTCGCCGCTCCCATTCGGCGCTCGCGCCGCCGCGGTGCGCCTAGCGCGCCGCGAGGCCCGGGAGGCGCGCGGGCAGGGAGCCCGGGGCCAGGGAGGGGTGGCCGGGGGCCGCGACGGCGCCTTTTCCTGAGCAAACCCCGCTCCCGGGTCGCGGCGGCGCCGACCCGCGCCCAGTCCCGCCGCCTCCCCTCCTCCCTGGCTGCCGCACCGCGGTCGCCCGGCTCCGCGTGCTCCCGGGCAGCGGGACCAGAGCTCCTCCAGCTCCCACTCACTGTCGCGGGGGCGGCAAGCGGTGGGGGGAAATTCCCGCACAGAAGATTGGATTTTCGTCAAGGTTTACAACTGTGCCCTCTGGAGACGGGGAAATTAGGAGTTGGAGGAGTAGGGGATGTGAGCATATGTATTCATAGGCTGTTTGGCTAGGGTTTTTTTTCCTTCTTCTTAAATAAATAACATCTCTAATTTAACTTGTTAGTGACAAAGGACGCTTCAATACAAGTGGGCGGCAACCATCACCGCTCACTAATGGAGCGCCCCAGCGGAGCTTTCACTCCCCTCCCGGATCCTGCAGCCGCCACCGTCGTATTGTCACATGTCCTTCACTCTCACCCCAGCACACACCCGGGCCCCACCCACCCCGCCCCGCCCGGCCCAGGCGGTGCCCACCGCACACCTTTGCTCCCCTCCCTGCACAGAGCGCGCACCCTGGATTGCACACCTGCAAAAAAAAAAAAAAAAAAAAAAAAAAAAAAAAAATACACGGGGGTCCAGACAGCCCGCCCCTAGCAGAACTCAGGAAACCCCACGTTTGCATGCATGGTTTTAGAAGTAAAACAGTTTGTGATTTTGGAGGTCGGTATCCCTGCTTAGTGTCATTTGAGGGCTCTATTTTACGAGATAAAAGTCAGCAAAGGCTTTCGTGTTGTTTAATGAGGGTCTCCAGAAGTAAAGGAAGAAGATAAGTGCTGAATTTATAAGGATTGATGACTGGGGGGATTTTAGGGGAGTTTTAGTTTTACTTCCGTTTATAGATTAGAACCATTGGGGATTTTTTTTTCATTCTCTGTACACACTAATGTATTTTTCCTTTAATCTTTTAGGAGTTTGAGACTTCTGCTGACTGGGTTTGTGGGTGTCCCATGTGCCCCAGCAGTTCAAACTTAGCTCAGAAAGCATTTTTTCTTACTAAAAAAGCATGTTCTTACTAAAATGAGTCATAATTTTATTAAACGGTGAAGCATGCGAGGTTTCAAGACTATCTGGTGTTTTAGACTTTCTTTAAAATTGTTATATAGTTTAAATCTTTATCAAGTGTTAGTTGCTAGTAAGGTTTTAACATTCCTTTCCTCCTGAGAAGAAAATAACACTGAAACAAAATTATTGTGAGATATTTCGGATCACAATTACAAAGGACAAGGCAAATTAATACTTTTAAAGCCAATATTTATTTCTAGATTCTATAATAATTTTCTTTCTTCACATCAAAAATAAACAAAATCTTTTAAAAATATCTAGAATAAACATCTAGAAACCACCCCTAAAGAAATTGCATTCTGGCTTTCGGATTGCTTTATGAATCTAACTGGCAAGATTCCCAATTGCTGAGTCTCTTGGACACAATGTGAGTATCTGAACCCTTTGTGAAGTGAGTTCATAGCCTCTTTTTCAAGATTTTAGGAGGTGTGTAACTACTCCTAAGTTCTTGAACCCCTTTAAAGTAGAAAGATACTAAGTTCAGTTTTCCTTTTTTTCTTTGTAAATCATTTTCCTATGTATCATTTTGAGAATTTATAATTTTTCATTTCCCAGATATAGTTTTACATTTTTCCCTCAGTTGTATGACAATAATATGTTTGGGAATATGCATAGTCCAATAAAGAATTCACATGCAGTAATTTTATTAGGCTAATGTTGGATATATTGCTATCTGATAAGCTTATGGAAAAACAGAATCAAATGGAGTTATCAAAATTCTTGTATGGATGAAACTATATTTTTAAACTCATTACAGAATGTTTGTATTTATACATTTTCTCTCTCCATTTATAATTATTACAAAAGTATTTTTAGATGACAACTTTACACATTTCATCACTTTTTTTTTTAAGATCTGCTTGCTACATCAGTTATTTCAGCTGTGGCAGGGCTGCACTGGAGCTAAATTTGGGTACAGCCTTTCATTTGCAGTGCACTAGAAAGGGGTCAGAAAACTCTTTTGTAAAAGACCAGATAGTAAATGCTTTGTAGGCTATGTTGTATATTCTTCTGTGTCTTTCCTTGTCTGTCTTTCTTTTTGTCTTTTTTTACAACCCTTTAAAAATGTAAAAACCGTTTTTAGCTCAAAGGCTGTATTGAGTCTGCAGGCCAACACTAGAGTAGTTGGCCAACACTAGAGCAGTGATCCTCAATCTTTAGAGCCCAAGTGTCCAATCTTTTGGCTTCCCTGGGCCACATTGGAAGAAGGGCCACACATGAAATATACTAACACTAACGATAGCTGATGAGCTTAAAGAAATACCACAAAAAAACTCATAATGTTTTAAGAAAGTTCACAAATTTGCGTTGGGCTGCATTCAAAGCTGTCCTTGGCTATATGCAGCCTGCGGGTCACAGGTTAGACAAACTTGCTTTCGAGTGTATCAGAATTGCTGGGTGTACCCATGAAAGATGCACAGTCCCAGGCTGTCCCCCTAGAGACCATGATTCAGTAGGTTTGAGATGAGGCCTAACAATCTGCATCTTTAACAGTAGTTTTCATGGAAGGTCTGCAGAGCACTGGTTGATAATCTCAGTATCAGAGTGAAGGCAGACTGCTTTGATACACTTTTACCTTTTTTAAAAATAAAAAAATATGTATATTTTTGAGACAGGGTCTCCCTCTATTGCTCAGGCTGGAGTCCAGTGGCACCATCACAGTTCATTGTAGTCTCCACCTCCCAGGCTTAAGTGATTTTTCCATCTCAGCCTCCCAAGTAGCTAGAACTACAGGCATGCACCTCCATGCCCAGTTAATTTTTAAATATTTTGTTGAGAAGAGGTCTCACCATATTGCCCAAGCTGGTCTCAAACTCCTAGGCTCAAGCGCTTGATCCTCCTGCCTCAGCCTCCCAAAGTGCTGGGATTACAGTTGTGAGCCACTGCACCCAGCCCACTTTTACCTTTGCCATTTGTCTCTCACCGCCTTCCTCTCCCTCATTCACTTTCACCTCTCCTGGGCTAAAGATTCAGGCTCTCCATAACCCAAACTAATTTAACTCCGTGAGAAAGTTGGTGCTGCTGACCAGAGGGCTGTAGCTGCCTGTTCCTTCTTCCTTCGCTACTGAACTTCAACCTCAGCTTGAAGGAAAAGGAATCGCTTGATCACATGCTGCTCATCATTAGGATTCTCCTGCTGAAAAAAGCAAGCACTTAAGGGATTTTATTTTACTCTAAGCACTGGAGAAGGGCTGAAGGACAAAATATATATAAAAGATACAAATTCTAGTTTCTTTGCTTCTAATTGCTGGGAAATCCTGGGCACGTGGTGGATCTTTAATCCTCGTGATCCACATCCCAAAGATGAATCAGGCTCATCAATGGTGAAAACAGACCAGATTAGGGGCTCCATGTCTCTACCACCCACCTTTCCTCACCCACTCAACCCAGTTTGGCTCAGGGCATTAAGAGGGAAATAGTTACAGTAAATGGTTAAAATGCAGACAATTCTTAATTATTTCAGTTAATGAAGAAAAGCTGTGGCATGTATAATTGAAATCCATAGTTTTGAGATAAATCTCATGTTGACTCCCCCAGAAAATCTTTTAGTAATGACAGTGGACTAAGTGCTACCTCAGTGTAGCATGTTTCATAGAACCTCCATAACAGTGTAGTATGTTTCATAGAACCTCCATAACAGATAGTGACCAAATAAATTTTTATTTTAAAATGATTCCTGGATTTGGCACTTCTTGTTTGTTTCCGCTCTCCAGATTCTCATCAACTTACATATTCCTATGACAACCAACCCACATATTTTTATTGTTGTTTGAGCTGTCTTGTATAAAAGTTATGAGTCTTTCCATAAAGAGGGAAGGACAGTCCAGAGAAAGTCAAAAGTGAGAGCAAAATCACACAATCAGAATCCACAAGGCATGTTCCCAGCACAGGAAAGAAGGAGCTAGCCAGATTGCCTGAAGCAAGGAGAGCTTTGAAGGCCGGATTCATGTATGTGCGTTGAATAGCAAAGCTATATTATCAGAGCTGTGTGTGTGGAAGATTAATCTATCAGTATTGTCAGATAGATTGGAGTGAGAAGAGACAAGGGGAAGAGGCTAGGTAATTGTCTGGGGTAGGACAGTAACCGTAAGTGGAATGAAAAGGAGGAGGCAGATCAGAAGAACATAGGCAGAGCCTTCAAGACTTAGCAACTGATTGGGTTGCTAAGGATATTAGAGGCACCATTAATAGAAATAGGGAAGTCAAGAGGCGAAGAGAAGTATGCACTGGGAGATTCAAAGAGGAAAGCATGTTTAGATTTCGGTATGTTAAATTTGTGGTTTCTTATGGAAGACATCCGGGTAGAGTTGTTCAGCAGGTGGTAGAGAGTGTGGGATCAGAGCCTGCTGGCGAAGTCAAGCTGGGTCAGGAATACACGGGAGCTAAATTTTGTGAGTTAATTGTTAGACACAGCCATTATTAAAAAGTAAATTATATAAACTTACAGTTAAATATATTTTATTTTAAAAGACAATAAATATTCAAAACTCATCACTTCCTATTTTATGACATTTTCCTATTATCTACATACTTGAGGTTATTTATGTCTATCACACAATGTAATATGTGCTGTTGTGCATCTCTTTCCAATTTCATATGTAGTGATGTAATGTTAGTAACTTGAAATTGGCTCTAGTTGGAGTATTTACACCACAGGAAATGGCAAGTGCTACAAATAAGGGCTTTTTCTTATTGGAAAACTGATTGTTAAACATTCACCAGTAGCACATCAAATAAATGCTTTATTTAAGAGTTTATTTACATGAAGGCAACAACTGTGCTATTTCATAGAGTTGCTAATGTAGAGATCTGACCAAGGGAAAGTCTTTGGATAATATTTAAGAGGTTAAAAGACAGGGCTGAGACTGAGAGGTAGAGGCTGGGTGGAGAGACCTGTTGGGGAATAAAGAAAGTTATATATATATATACACACACACACAAATGTTTTCTTCTTTTAATAAAATTCTGTATTTTTTCAACTGATTTTGAAAGGCTTTGATTTATTTGAGGAAAAGGTGGCTTTCAAATACACACACACATACGTATATACATATATGTTTTGAGACAGAGTCTCGCTCTTATTGCTCAGGCTGGAGTGCAATGGTGCGATCTTGGCTCACGACAACCTCCGCTTCCCGAGTTCAAGCGATTCTCCTGCCACAGCCTCCCGAGTAGCTGGGATTACAGGCACCTTCCACCACGCCCAGCTAATATTTTGTATTTTTAGTAGAGACGGGGTTTCACAATGTTGGCCAGGCTGGTCTCGAACTCCTGACCTCAGGTGGTCCACCCGCCTCAGCCTCCCAAAGTGTTGGGATTACAGGCGTGAGCCACTGCACCCGGCCTCAAATATTTTTATATGTGACACGATAAGAAGCACATCTTACATCCTATCTCAACGCACACGCACACACACACACACACAGAGCTAAGAAAAGTTCTGGCCATGTGTGGTGGCTCACACCTGTAATCCCAGCACTTTTTTGGTATGCCGAGGTGGGAGGATTGCTTGAGACCAGGAGTTTGAGACCAGCCTGGGCAACATAGTGAGACCTTGTCCCTATTAAATAATAATTTTTAAAAGTTTCACAAAACAATACTTACCCCTTACTACCAAGCATGCAATCTGAGACCTCTTCTCTTCTCTTCTCTTCATTCTGGTCAGGATCCCAAAGTTGTTTTCGTGCTCTGTTTATAGGTAGTGAATCGCAGTTTGAAAAACATTGCTGTAGAGGATGAAGGTCTTACCTCTTTCTGCTTTAGAATATCTGTTTTATGGAATCGTTAACTTTTCTCCAAGTGACAGTCCTATCTTTTTAAAGCTTTCGGGGAAATTCTTCAAGACCAGTTTACAGATGTAATTTCTTTCTTTCTTTCTTTCTTTCTTTTTTTTTTTTTTTGACGGAGTCTAGCTCTGTCACCTGGGCTGGAGTGCAATGGCACGATCTCGGCTCACTGCAACCTCTGACTTCCTGGTTCAAGCAATTCTCCTGCCTCAGCCTCCCGAGTAGCTGGGATTACATGCGCCTGCCACCACGCCCAGTTAATTTTTGTATTTTTAGTACAGACGGGGTTTCACTGTGTTGGCCAGGCTGGTCTTGAACTCCTGACCTCGTGATCCGCCTGCCTGGGCCTCCCAAAGTGTTGTGATTACAGGCGTGAGACACTGCACCCGGCCTACAGATGTAATTTCTCTCTTATCTCTTCTCACAACTGTTCTTAGTCAATTCCCCTCCTTCTCTATACTTTCCCACATATGTTATAAATGTAAAATAGCAGCTTTCAAAGTTAGTCAACAAAACAGTAAGCTTTTATTAGTAGAAATGCTAATAGAAACAACAACAACAAAAGATTAATAACATTTAGGGGCTTATTGGAATAACAAATAACAGGGTGTTTAAGGCAGGTTCATCAAATGTATGAGCAGCACACAGTTTCTCTGAGCCTCATATTTCAAACCTTCAATCCATGGAGGCTGCAGTAGAGATCTTTAAAAATGTTTCCAGTCTTTAATATTCTGTTTCTTTCTTAAATACTCAGGTCTCTCAATTTACCTTTGTATCCCTGACAATGTTTCCATAGTTCCTTATAGTTGATAAACACATGTGTTTACTTAGTGTTGGGCACTGTGCAAGGCTTGGGCCTGCAGAAAGAAAGAAGTGGAACTTTTACTAGATGATTCCTGCACATTCAGGGCCTGTTTTCTCTTTCTATTGTCACCACCTTCTTCTAGGCTATTATTACTTCACCCTGAACTACCATAACAGCCCCCTAATTAATTTTCCACCCTGTGGCCACTTTTCCCCCATGCATTCTGCATCCCACTGCTCAATAATCTCATTATACTCACTTTTAGCATGTTAGTCATCTGTTTAAATACCCTTAACTGGCTCCCTAATGTTGACAAGATAGAGATCTGAACTCCTTAACTTGGCATTCCCTATACTGAGCTTGCTCTGGCCTCTGTGCCCAGACAACCTTACCCCCAGGGGTGATAGTATTTAATACCTGAAGTGGCTCATGTATTGGCCAATCAGAGTGGGCCTGGCTATAGACAACCTGCAGGGCTTGACGGGCACACTGACTGCATGCCATTTTGCCTTAGAACACAACCTACCTTTCAGCCTTATCTCTTATCATACTCTGTTCACTCTGTTTCCTCCCCCAAAAAACCATTGGCAATCTCAGGCCTTTGGTTACAAGCATGCCTCCTGCCTGCAATGCCTTCCTTTCTCCTCTCTGCTTATGTAAGTGCTACCCATTCTTCAGGCCCTGCTGAAGTCCAAATCTTCCTTCTGAAGCCTTCTTGGACCTTGCTAATCCACAGTCATTTCTCCCACCTGTGAGTTGTGTTAATACCTACCTTCCCTGACTCTTGTTGAGTGTATGGCCTATGTTACCTTTCTTTGCTATCATCTATCTATCTATGTATCTATCTATGTATCTATCTATGTATCTATCTATCTATCTATCTATCTATCTATCTGTCATCTATTACCTATCTATCTATCTAAGCATCATCTATCTATCTATTTATAAATGTGTCTTATTTCATCTGGAGCCTTCATTATAGGTCAGAGAGGAGAGACAGTATCTTTTACCTTTCTACCTACTCAGTTCCTAGAACGGGGTCTTGAACATAAGTACGTACATAAATCTTTGTTGTGCTGATGACAACTGATGAGAACTAGTTGGAGCTGTTTTATTTATTTTTTATTTAATATACTTATTAGCACGTTATATTTGGCTTTAGAGATTACAACAGGCTGTGCCATATATTATATCATTTAATCCTCACAGCAGTTCATGCCTTTCTGCCTATGTCTCCCCCGCAGGTATTATTTTCCTCAATTCCAGGTCAAGTAACTGAAATTGAAACAGGTGAAGTAATTTGCACAAGGTCACACAGATAACATTTACCAGAGCTGGGACTGTTTAAATGAAGGTTTTTTTGTTCCAAATCCAAAGTTCTTTCCGCTACTCTCTGGCAGCCTTCAACTTTTAACTCCTATGCCTTTATGTTCTTGTAATTCTTCCTGTATTGTGAGTCCTTCAAAGGGATTCAATTCTGTCCTCAGATAAAGGTTGATAACCTTACAAATGATAGCAAAATCATAATTTTAAGCTTACTTGTAGTGCTTTATTTCTATGATTTGGATAGATTTCTGTCTGTTTGGCAATATGACTTTGGAACTGTTTTTCTTTTAAAGCATGATGTTTCACATATTATTTTTCTGAATCTTATTTCTGTCTCTCCTACTTTATCATTGTATATTTATCTGATTGTTGACTTTACTACATCTTTATATAATATTGAATTTACCTCAATGGGCCATCCATTTTAAAATTAGTCATAAAATCAATAAGTGAATGAGTGCTTAATTCCAGCAACTGTAGGTTTTTTTAGGCTTTGTGAAAACCATTTGGTAAGAAATGGCATGTTTTTTAATCACCACTATGTCTTTCCTTGTTTTTTTTTTTTTTTTTTTTTTAACCAAAGTCTAAGAAAATAAAGTTTTTAACTCGAACAGAACAAGAAGAAAGGAACGGATTTAAGGGAGTTATTTTTCTTGGGCCCTTCACAGAAGTGGACTACATGATTTTAAATGTGAACCCTGTTAGGATGAAGTGTACCATAACTCTACTCTTTCTTTTACATTTGTTGCTAGAAATACAAAGTTTGTGGATGATGTAAAAAATCAATTTTACAAAGTTTTGACATCTATAGAAATTGCTTATTCCAATTTACTCTTCAGTTAAGGTAACGGTTCTGAGAAAAATAAAAACAATCAGTTTATGAAACATATCAGTTCTTGAGTTATCTTAATTTGGTTTAAATATTTGTGTTAAGCAAAACATTCAGCCTCTAAGGAAACTATATCAAAGTGTTTATAATCCTTTGTCTTAAAATTTTGACAAAGTTCCAAAGTGCTAGTTCTGCTGGGAGCTTGGGGAGGCTCATTTGATCCTTTAGTATGGAGCTTGACAGAGAGCACTTTGGCCCCAAAAGGCGGAATTTGTTTGAAAAATGTCAGGTACACCAAAATCGTGATATAAAAGCTCTTATTTCTTTATCAATAATTGATAAATTATAAGTGTATATATTTATGGGGAACAATATGACATTTTGATATATGTATAAAATTTCTAATTATGTTTTAATCTAGGTTACATGGAGTTTTGATAACTTTTTCTCTTTTTTTTTGAGATGAGATGTTGCTATGTTGCCCAAGCTGGTTTTGAATTCCTGGGCTCAAGTGATCCTCCTGCCTCAGCCTCCCAAGCAGCTGGGACTTAGAGGGTGTGCATAGCACCTTAGCTGGCTTTTAGATTGCATATACTTTTTTTTCTTTGAAAACTCTTTTGCTGCTTCTTTCTTTCTTCTAAATAACTGGTAGTTAAGGATATCCTCATGGAACATTTAAAGAACAATATCTATGCAAAATACTTTTTAAAAGAAGATACCTTTTACCTTCACACTGTTACATGTTTTTCTCAATGATTTGACGTACATGTATATAAAGTTGGTGTTACTAATATTTAAAACTCTGAAAAAAACCTCACTCTATTGCACTTAAAGGTACCTTTCAGTGTGTAAATATCAAAATTTTCATGATGATAATATTGATGAAAAGCCACAAAACATTTTGTCATAAGTAGGTCTCTTTGAAAATATAAGATGGGAACAGATTTTATTAATAAAAACTTGATGCAGTTCCTCCATAGTGGTGTACAATCTTGTGCCATGTTATGTCTTCATTGGTTCCTTTTGAAGACTGTCAACAGGTTTTGCATGTAATGACTCATTCAAAAGAACATGCCAAGCAAAGTTTTGAAATTAGAACAGGCTTGGTTGTTGACGTTCTCTCTCAGTGAATGGCATTACCACCCTTTCAGTTGTAGTCAAGCCAGGAACTTGGAGTCGCCCTAAACTCTCCCCTCACCGACATTCAGTCAAGTTCAAAGCCCTGCTAAGTTCACTGCTTTATTTCCCTCCTTTTTAATCTCTCTTACCATCACTTTAGTTTAGAGAATGATCAACTCCCTTGTGCTGGGCTAGCCCCTCTCAAAGCCATTTTCCTCTCACCTGTCAGGCAGAAAAATTCCTAAACACAGTCCTGGCTATAATACTCCTTGCTTAAAATGCTGCTGGTAGCAGTGGCTCTTGAGCAGAATATCAGTGTCATCTGGAAACTGTCTTCAAACTACACATGCCTCCCCTATTTCTTCCACCAATGTCCCCTTCACCCTAAGAAAACCCCTACTCTAAAGATTAAAGCATTTCATCTAAGGTTTTTATAGCCTCATATTACACTTATGCCCTAGTAACAGTGCACTTCTCATAGGTCCTCATATATGCCATAAGGACTTGTGCCCAGATATCTCACTCATTCTGAGCCTCTGCTTGCTACTCTCCTCCCAGCCTTCTTTGGTGACTAATTCCTGCTCGTCATTATAAATTCGTTTAGAAACCTGCTGCTCAAAAAGGTCTTTCATGGCATACTGTGAATGCTCCCATGCCTCCAGCAGAGTACTTACACAATATCCACTGTTTCATGTCTCACTCTTGCCCTCTGAAAGAGGGAATCATATTTTAGTGGCATAAGAATGACCATTTAACACTCAGACTCCTGAGTAACCATCTCCAGAAGTTGAATTCAATAGGCTTAGCTAAGACTTAAGAATATGCATTTTTAACAGGCAGAATCAGGTGATGCTGACGTGATGGTTTCTGGACCACGTCTTGAGAAATACTGCACTTGGATATAAGCACCTTAGAGGCTGGAATTTTGGGCTCTATTAACCTTCACGTAACAAATCACTTGCACTTTGTAGATGTCCCATAAATGTTTGAGGCAATGAATTAAACTGAGCATAGCTTTTAATTCAAGAGTTATGTCAATTTCAGTATTTTTAGGCCTTTTCACTTCTCCAGTCCTATCCCACCAAAGAAAATCCCACATTCTTGCCCTCTGTCTGCCTGTCTCAGAGAAAGTAGCATCTTTGAAAACCCTCAGTAGTGAAGAATCTGAGACTCAGGCCTGTCAAAAATGAAAATTGGTTAATAAAATAAAAAGTGACATTATATGTGATTTTCTCTGGTTACATAGCTCATTGGGTTTCCTTTAGGACAGTGCTGCCAGGTAAAATTCAATTCGAGCCATATATCTACTTAAAATTTTTTTGTGCCATGCTAAAAAAAGAAGAAAAGAAACAGATATCCCTAAAAAAAAAGAAACAAATATCCCTAATTGTGATGACATATATACACATATGTATACATATGTATATACATACTTTTTTTTGAGATAGAATCTTGCTCTGTTGCCAGGCTGGAGTACAGTGGCGTGATCTTGGCTCACTGCAACCTCTGTCTCCTTGGTTCAAGGAATTCTCCTGCCTCACCCTCCTGAGTAGCTGGGATTACAGGTGCACACCACCATGCCGGGCTAATTTTTGTATTTTTAGTAGAGACAGGGTTTCACCATGTTAGCCAGGCTGGTCTTGAACTCTTGACCTAAAGTGATCCACCTGCCTTGGCCTTCCAAAATGCTGGGATTAGAGGGGTGGATATGTTTTATTTAAACTAATATATACAAAATGTTATCATTTCAAGGTGCAGTCAATAATAAAAATTATTAAGAAGATATTTTACATTCTTTTCTTGGTACTAAGTCTTTGAAATCTGGTGTATATATTATACCCATGGCACAACTCAATTCAGATACTCAATACTCATCAGAAATACTTTATTTACAAATTTAGAATTCATAAAATGTATAGTTGAAAAAGTAGATTGCATACCCAAGTTGTTTAAAACATACTTAAAATTTTTTATACTTAAAAGTTTTCCTGTAACTAAAGCAACTGTCAGTTTTAAATTTAATATTAAATTAATTAATGTTAATTATAAATAAGTTAGTCATTAACTATCAATAAATTAACAATCAATAATTGTTAAATTAATTAAAAATAAATAAATTTTAAAATTCAGTTCCTCAGCCACACAAACTGCAGTTCAATTGCTCAATGGCCATATGTAGTTATGGCTCCTATATTAGACAGTACAGCTGTAGGGCATGGAATTGTTCAAGGTCAGATACCTTGGCTTAAGGTATTATGCTGTCTTCAAGCTATTCATACTCATCTTCATCATTTTCTTAAAGATCAAATTTGTAGAATTCCTGAGTGCTGGAAAATAAAAAGATTTATCCCAATAGGTTCCAGTTAGATCATTTGATATTCAGCTTTTGATCAAACAATAAACATTTACCTTAAATGGATGTGTAGGCTGCCTGAGTCAGTGATAGCAGGCAGGGTAGAAGGAGGGCAGGACGTACATATCTGACTTGGAGTCAGAGACCCTGAGCTTGAGTCCTAGGGCTCCCAAACTCACTGTGCAGCTTTGGGCAAAATGTTTAATATTTGACCCTAAATCTTCATCAATATAAGAGAAATGGTACGTGTACTATGCATGACCCCACAGAACCAGAGTGAGGATCTAGTGGATAATATATGTCCAAGTGTTTCATAACCTGTGGATAAATTACTACAAGAACACAAATATGGTTTGTAATTAATAGACTGAGACACTAGATTAATAGCTACTATTTATTAAGCATTTGCTATATGTCAGCCACTTTTTTAGACTATTGCTAACCCTCAAAGCATCCTTGCCAGTAGTGAGTCTTATCTCCATTTGACTGAGGAGGAAATAGAGCAGTTGAGAGTTTAAGTACATGTGCAAATTTACACAACCTTTAAAGTTTAGAGCTAGGTTTTGAACCCAGGCTTTTATGATCACAAAACCTTAGGGACTTCCTAGGAGATTTTTTTAAAGTGATATTATTCCTAGATTTCTTTTCAGTAATTGAATAGTTCATCTATGAGTATTGCAAATAATGAGTGAACTGAGAATACTACTTATTTTAAGAGGGATTGTGAAATTCCAGACCTATAAGAGGGTTAACTCATTGCAACAAATAGAATAAAGAGTAACTCCACAGAGATTTTTGAATAAGAATTTACTCCAGATAATTTTCCAAAGAAAGAATACGTGACCTACTGAGGTCAGTAATTATTGGCATTTCTGGCTTTGAGTCATGCCTGGGGCTGTAGGACTTAGTTGGCCATGATTAGGCATAAACTAATTAAGAAAACAACTGGGATTTAGTAGTATTATGGTCAGTTTTCATGTAAAATGTAAAAGCTTTTCCTTTATGAAATATATGACTTGGTGTTAGTGAAGGCAATGAAGGGAATCAACAACAAATCAGCACCTCTGATATTTTGAGTATCACCATGCTGAAATCAGCTTCCAAAAAATCCAAAAGGTAGGGCTTTCATTTTATTTAAGCTATTTAGATATCCTCTGGATCACTGATTTGTACCAAAAAGGATGCAAGGGAGCTCTAACAACAGGACCTAGAAAATTTATGTTGCCTCCATATAGTAAAAAAGAAATGTATCTGTCTTTTATTTTTCCTTCTGGGATTTCAAAAATAATTTTCAAGATTCATAGTTGGCATGGTGCTGTGTTGGACATATCACAAAAATAGGGCATTTATCACTTCTTCTTTTTTTTTTTTTTTTTTGAGACCAAGTCTCACTTTGTCTTCCAGGCTGGAGTGCAATGGCGCAATCTCGGGTCACTGCAACCTCCACTTCCCGGGTTCAAGCAATTCTCTTGCCTCAGCCTTCTGAGTAGCTGGGAGCTGGGATTACAGGTGCCCACCACCATGCCCGGCTAATTTTTGTATTTTTAGTAGAGATGGGGTTTCACCATGTTGGTCAAGCTGGTCTCAAACTCCTGACCTTGTGATCAACCCGCCTCGGCCTCCCAATTTATCACTTCTTTGGAGGCCAACAAACACTCAAGGAGGGTTTACTTTGTGACAAGCACTTGCTAGGAGCTTGCAGACAAAAGATGAGTGTGACAAGTACCTGCCCTTGGAGGTGCTTAGTGGGAGGAAACCAGCATGTAGTAATTACCATACAAGGTGCATAAAGTTCTGTCCAAGGGAGCTTGGGTTATTCTTAATTCCAACAACCAGGTAAGAAGTTGGTGAGCACTTGCCCTATGTAACCCAGGCTTTTCTTTTCTTTTTCTTTTTTTTTTCTTTTTGAGACAGGGTCTTGCTCTGTCACCCAGGCTGGAGTGCGGTGGCGCAATCACAGTTCACTGCAGCCTTGACCTCCTGGGCCCAAGTGACCCTCCCACCTCAGCCTCCTGAGTAGCTGGGACCGCAGATGTGTGCCACCATGCCTGGCTAATTAGTTTTATTTTTTGTAGCAACAGGGTCTCCCTATGTTTGCCCAGGCTGGGCTCAAACTCCTGGGCTCAAGTGATCCTGTCTCCTCAGCCTCCCAAAGTGCTGGGATTATAGGTGTGAGCCACCGTGCACAGCACAATGTTAAGTGTTTTCAGTAGATTGCCCTGAGCAAAGTTACTTTCCCTGTTGTTCTGACACTTAATAACCCTAGGGTGTTGTCAGACTCCTGTTCCAACCATTGCTTTGAATTAAATGACCACATTGATCCATTTGTAACCATTACCTCTTGGTGTACATTAGTTTTTGAGCGGGGGTTTGGTCAAGAATAGGCCCACATGAGACTCTGGAGTAAAAAAATCTCAATTAACCTCATTAGGTAGGTGATAAATCTTAGCAAGTGTATTGCATTTGGTAGCCTTGGAAAGAGGACTTTTTCAGTTTTGCTCTGCCTCTCTAATAAATATAGTACTCATAAATGCATGTTATATTCAACATGTTATAAAGTGCTTTTTAAAAATAATTTCTTCAAAGACATATAGTTTTTTGGCTATCATCGAAGTCTTTAAGAATTGTAGTATTAGATTCTTATTTTCCATGTGGTACATATACACCATGGAATACTATGTGGCCATAAAAAAGAATGAGAGTATGTCCTTTGCAGGGACATGGATGGAACTGGAGGGCATTATCCTTAACAAACTAACATAGAAACAGAAAACCAAATATCACATGTTCTCACTTTTAAGCAGGAGCTAAATGATTAGAACACATGGACACATAAAGGGGAACGATACACACTGGGACCTACCTGAAGGTGGAGGGCTGGAGGAGGAAGAGGAGCAGAAAAAATAACTATTGGGTACTAGGCTTAGTACATGGGTGATGAAATAATCTGTACAACAAACCCCCATGACCCAAGTTTACCTATATAAACCTGCACGCGTACCTGTGAACCTAAAAGTTTTTTAAAAAATAGATTCTTGTTTTCCTTACTGTAAACAATCATGCCAAGGCCTCTTGAACTGCTCTCTGAGAGCAACTACTCACCTAAAAGAGATGAGTGAATCCATTGTGGCATGAGGGACTCCATTGACTGTCCAGTCTCCTGGGAGGAACTCTGCAGCCATGCATGTCATACCAAGAGAGTCGCTCCAGTGATTACTTCCCAGAACAAAGAAAACCTCAGGCCAATATTAGATATCCAATCTTCATGTTGTGTTCCACCTCTATATAGATCTAAGAGAAGCTTGATTTTGAAGGTAGCATCCCATAGCCTAACTGAAGGCTTTGAAATGAGATCGTGGCTTGTCTATCACCAAGTGAAAGAAAGCAACAGATATGTCCAGGAGACTGAGATCCTTCCTCTGAGACTGGCTGCAGCATCTCTCCTCCTGAGATGCTCCATTTAGTGAGTGACAGCATTGGGGGTGACGTTCTTTGGGATTCAGAAAACAAGAACAAGCTCTCCTATTTTCTGTTTTCTCTTCACAGTTCTGCCTGCCTTGCCTAAGGGGAGTTTTTGGAAAGAAACCTCCCTTCTTAGCCACCCTTCTCTTTGAGAATACCAGATAACTCCTGAAGGTGGGGGAATTCAGAACTAAAGACAGAAGCTGACAATCTGGAGCCAGCGGATAGATCTGCAGAGGCTGCATCACCTGGGAGTCAGTGATGGCAACCCTGCAGGATCGGAAAGACAGTGTTACCTCAGGAATATGTTAGGAAATAGAAATATATATAAAATAGTATATGTGTGTATATATATATATGTAATAGTATATGTGTATATATATGTATACATAAAAGTATGTATATATACATAAAATGAACATTCTGAACCTATATGAAAATTAATTGAAGGAAGGAAGGATGGGAAGTAGAAGTAGCAATATTTGCAGTGTTTGTGTACTAAAAGTTGGTCTAATTTCCTGACCAGTGTGTACATTAAAATATTGCCAGTATTCTATGTGGCATGTGATTATCTGCCATGATTTTCTTTCCTTAAAAGTTTTTAGGCTGGGCGCGGTGACTCATTCCTGTAATCTCAGCACTCTGGGAGGCTGAGGTGGGCAGATTACTTGAGGTCAGGAGTTCAAGACCAACCTGGCCAACATGGTGAAACCCCGTCTCTGCTAAAAATACAAAAATTAGCCAGGCATGATGGCGCACACCTGTAATTCCAGCTACTCGGGAGGCTGAGGCAGGAGAATAGCTTGAACCTGGGAGGTGGAGTTTGCAGTGAGCCGAGATCACGCCGCTGCACTCCAGCCTGGGCAACAGAGCGAGACTCCATCTAAATAAATAAATAAACAAATAAATAAATAAACGTTTTTAATTAAGTTCTCACTCTACTTCAGTGCTCCTGATAGAAAACACTCATACAAATTAAAAATTCAATGTATATTTTAGGTCTGTGAGTAGACTTTAGGAGACAAAATTTTATGTAAAATACAATGAATATATTCAAGTTTTCGTTTTTTAAAGGCGAGAGTTTCCATAGCAGTCATTAGATTCATGAAGTTACTGTTGGACCCAAAAAGTGAGGAGTCACTCGTGTCTTATTATGTGCCATTTTGTAGAATCAACCTAATTCTGCCTTACAGAATGAAGCTGAAAGAAGTTCAACTAATTTAAATCTAGTTCTAAACAACTATTTCATCCATAAATGTGAATTTGATGGAACCATAGTCAAGTATGTTATTTGCTACATACAAAGATTGGAGACAAATCTAAGTATTGTATTTTATAATTATTAAAAATTAAATCGTGTAGTTTTCTGCTAAAAGTCAGAAACTTCTAGTTCAAAGAATTTGCTTTTAAAATGTAGTTGTTGATTTCCAAAAAAAGATGAAACCTTGTGTAAGATTTTGGTATAAGAACGTTAATCTTTTCCTCTCCCCAGAAATACACATTAAACTAAAGAGAATCAGAATTCTAGTCATAAGCTTTTATTTTTTGCACTTGAAGAACTGAAAGCTTTCTCTGTTTGTTATTTTCTGAAGGAGGGGGTTTCCTGTGTGTCTTTCTGAAGTTCTGGGGATCCCCTCATCTTTTCAGTCCTAGGCACCTTTTTCTTCATATTGAGCATCCTTTGAACCAATAAGAGTGTCTGTGGCCACGGTATGCCATCCCCTGGCAGAGCGATCTGCGTTTTTTCTTGACTGAATCAGGGTGCTGCCTCCTGGTATAAGGCTTGAGGTATCTCCAAGTGCTGACTGCAGGGCCAGCCTCAGAAGGAGACAGAAACTGACTGATTTGAAGGCATGAAAGACTGGATTCTCAGCTGCACTTATCATATTCATGATGTCTAAATTTCTTTCTTTCTTTTTTTTTTTTTTTTTTTTTTTTTGAGACAGCATCTCATTTTGTCACCCAAGCTGGAGTACAGTGGTGTAATCATGACTGTCTGCAGCCTCGACCTCCTGGGCTCAAGTAATCTTCCCACCTCAGCCTCCTGAGTATCTGGGATTACCAGCGTGAGCCGCCATGCCCAGCCTGAAATTCTATTTTAAAAAATGTACTACTTTGAAGTTTTTCTACTCCTTTTCTTACTATTATTAATCTAATATTTTGGCTAGGGGCATTCGGACATCTATTTACATATAAACGATGAGAAAAGAGGTTGGTTCGTGGGTGCATGAGAACCTAGGAGGGAACAGTTGGGGCGGGTTCAGCATGGGAAGCAGGGAAGTTCTCCCAGCATGAGCTTTGGCTGAGCCTCTTCCAGGAGGAAGAGCCCAGGGCTTGATGCTGCCGCTCCTGCTGCAATGCCAAGAATGGCCACTAGGGAACTGGGCCCACTTGTCAACTTGCCTTCTACCCAAGTTGGTAATAAAAAAAGCCTAAAACCTGCGTCCGTTTTTCAAATCATTGTGGAGTAAAAGATACATATTTCTTTTATGCTGAGATCTGGAACTTTAAAAAATCACAAGTGGTGTTTTAAATGTATTATTAATGCAGAACACTTTATTATAGTTCAATAAAGAATTCTATGTCTCCATTACACAGACTAATGACACCTCCAGACATAGTTATAGTAATTTTCCCAGCTGATACAGTTTAATTAATGATATAAGGACATAATTACATGTTTCAGTGATCTTTCACATATTTACAGGAACTGCTGTAACTAGCTTAATTAGAGTAATTACGTAAATAGCTGATAATGCACAACAAATTACAGGAAAAAATCTTCTATAGTTTGGTGTGTTCAATTTCTAAGCAAGCTTATAGAAGGAAAACATTTACATCTTGGGATAAAATGTAAGACTATGTGGCCTCTAAATTTTGTTGTTCCTAACCCAGCAGAACATAACTGTTGGAGGTTTAACAGTTAACTTGTCTTCCTTTTGTAGTTCTGTTGCAGACCTCATGTCAGTTGTTGGTTGTGTTCTATGAAATTGCTCATTCTGCTTTGCCACTGGCTGAAGTTTCATGATGAGTTTTTTTGTCATGTTGGGTAGTTATTATATTGCACTCACTGAGAACTGGAAAGGGCGCTTAGGGAAAAGGTTGACAAATCTCACACCTCTTTTTCATTTCCTTTCTTGTCCTTTCTTTAACTGATATCTTCTGTTTCCTTCACACTCATACACAAAGATGTTTCTTTGGACTGTCCTTTAAGCACTCTTTCTGTAGTTAAACACATATTTGTAAAGACTACAATTGATGTTCTCCTGTGGAGTTCTAGTTCTGGTTACCCACCACTCAAGTCCTTTCAATGTTGTCTTTCTCATTGAATTGATCAGCCTTTGAGTCCTTAGAGAGAAGCAAGAGCCCCTTTTTAAGTGAAATAATGCCCCTCCTTAATCAGCTGGTGTGTTTCCATTGGCTGACATCAGGCACGCCCTCTAACTTCCTTTACTTTTGCAGACTACTAGATCCATATCTTGGTGCTTCTTGTGGAAGAAGACCTAAGGAAATCCAACTGAGCCAAAAGAAATATCAGCCTTATGTAGAGGATAGGGTCAAATTTTAATTCCAGTTTGCTTAAATCAATGACTCATCGTTTTGCACATTCATGCTCTGCCTAATTTTTCTGTCTTTTACCTGCCCTACTTTCTGTCCTGCTATCCCACAGCATGAGACCTCTCTGTTGGTCAGGCCAGACTCTTGACTGTCCTGTGAACACACTTCTAAATCCATGTATTTATTTCCTTTTTGTCTTCCTTTTTACTGGATTTTACCAGTTTTTGAGCCCCTCTTAGGTTTACTTCCTGCAAGAAGCCTTTCATTTCTAATCTCATTGATTTTTATCTTCCAGGACACAGCCTACACTATGAAAATCAAACAATTCTACACTGTCACGTATTGTGCATCCACCTCTTCTCTCCAACTACATGGAAGCTCCTGGAGGACAGAAGAACTGTGATTGATACTTTATCTCCCACCAGATATCAGGCATTCAGTAAATTCTCATTCACAGATTCAGGAATATTTAATCAGGACCTCTGCATGCGATTGTGCAGGCTACATACACACAATTCTAGGGGGCATCATCCAACATCAACTTTGCAAGGCTTTTTACTGTTACAAATATCTGCCCCTTCTACAGTGCCTCTTGCTGCAGCCACTGATGTCTATACCCTCATCTTTACCAACTGGTCTCACCCTGCAGAAATCTGGCATTAGTTAGTTCACCTCTACACAATAAGATTCACTAATCTCCCTCAAAGAATTCACAGTCTAACAGGTGACACAGACATACAAGTAAATAATTGCTAAATCTTTGGATATATGGAATTATAAGAGTATATAGGAGGGCTGGGCATGGTGTTCCACATCTGTAATCCCAGCACTTGGGGAGGCTGAGGCAGGTGGATCACTTGAGGTCAGGAGTTCCAGACTAGCCTGGCCAACATGGCACAACTCCATCTCTACTAAAAATAAAAAAATTAGTTGGGTGTGGTGGTGTGTACCTGTAACCCCAGCTACTCAGGAGGCTGAGGCACAAGAATCACTTGAATCTGGGAGGCAGAGGTTGCAGTGAGCCAAGATCGCGCCACTGCACTCCAGCCTGGATGAAAGAAGACTCCATCTCAAAAAAAAAAAAAAAAAAAAGTATGCAGGAATTGCAGAAATGGCGTAGGGGAGAAAGTAATATTTAAATTGTAGAATTAACAAGTCTAACTGGATGCTAGGTTGAAGTGGGGAGAGTGAAAGAGTCTAGGGTCACTCCTAGGTTTTTGGCTCTGGAGACTTCATAAGTGATGGTGAAGCTTGTGGGAGAGGGAATTCTGGATAAGGAAGAGGATGTCTGGAGAAAAATGAATGGTTTGGGATGTGTGGCTTCTGAGATGCCTGTGACACAAGGGAGATAACTGGTGAAGCATTGTTTTCATGAGCTTTGTGCTGAGAAATGGCAAAATGAGGAGCCTCAGCAGATAAGTGGTGGTTATATGGAGTGTTGGAGTTCCCAGAGAGAGTGTGTGTACAGGATGAAAAGGGAAAAGGGCCAAAAACTGAGTTCCTGAGGGTAGGAAGGGGAAAGCTAGCAAAGACCAGGCACAGGCAAAAAAGCCCCCAAAGCCCCAAGTTTCACCCCATGTCACAGGTCATGAGTTATGATAACTGAGGATAGACCCCCTCGAAGATCCTGCTTTAATAAATCCTTAGGGATGTTAGGGATTCCTAACAAGCACAACCAAATGGCAATTTAAGCATGAAATTTTATTTCCATATGAAATGGGTAGATAAACATTTCCTTTCTAAGCTTTCTTCACATTTTTAAAATATAGTAAACCCTTTAGAAAATTATTATCTTTTTAATAGAAAGATTAAGTTAGAATTAAATAATGAAGCAAATGTCCCTTGACTGTGGAGGGTAGGTCGAGGTGTAAGAACCAGTAAAGTGAGATCATCGGGGCACACTGGTGAGCACAGAGGAGGCAGAATTGCTCATCTGCCTTCACAGCCCTGCCCCCATGGCCAGTTTCCTGTCACAGTGTGCTGTGCTTGGCATGCTTGACCCTGAAGTCCCTTGCAGGAACCATCATTACCCATTGCTTTCCATTTCTGTGTTCTTTTCCCCTGCTCTCCTCTGCTCTACTCGATCAAAGTCTGTTTTAGGTGTTTATCCCATCCTTGCTTTACAGCTCCTTACAAATGGCTTTAAATTCATTCTATATTCTTATGATTCTGAATTTTCTTTTCTTTTCTTTTTTTTTTTTTTTTTGAGACAGGGTCTAGCTCTGTTGTCCAGACTGGAGTACAGTGGAGCGATCACAGCTCACTGCAGGCTTGAACTCCTGGCCTCAAGGAATCCTCCTGCCTCAGCCTCCCAAAGCCAGCTTGGATCTCTCTCTTCAATTCCAGACTGACGTAGCTAAATACCTGGTCCTCATTTTCCAACCCTTCTCTCTCATCCAGCTCCTTCTAAGTCTTTTCTTGCTTGTTGAATGGCAACTTCATTCGCCCAGTTATAACATTTGGGGGTTATCCTTGATTTCTCTCTTCATAATCCATTAAGAAATCTTATTGGCTCTACCCATAAAAAATATCCAGAATATGACCACACCTCCCCACCTCTCTTGCTCCTGCTCTGTTATTAGCCACCGTTATCTCCCACCTACAATATTATACTGTTCTTCTAACTGGCAGCTTGCTGTCTATTCTCAACACAGCAGACAGAATGATCCTCTTAACAGGTAAATCAGGCCATGTCACCCCTCTTCTCAAACCGTTTTTGATGGCTTCCCATTTGAGAGTAAAAACATAGGACTTGGCCAGGCACAGTGGTTCTTGCGTATAATCCCAACACTTTGAGAGGCCAGGGTGAGAGGATCCCTTGAGGTCAGAAGTTTGAGACCAGCCTGTGCAACAGAGTGAGACCCCATCTCTACTAAAAAAAAAAAAAAAAAAATTATCCTGGCGTGGTAGCCTGCGTCTGTAGTCCCAGGTACTCAGAAGGTTGAAGTGAAAGGTTCTCTTGTGCCCAGGAGTCTCAGGTTGCAGTAAAGCTAAGATTGTGCCACTACATTCCATCCTGAGCAACAGAGCCAGACCCTGTCTAACAAAAGTAAAAACCTAGGTTCCTATAATGAGTTATGTATGATTCACCAGCTGCTGCCACCATACTGGTTTTGTACCTCCTTCTGTTGTTTTTGCTCAGGGCTTCCAATCACCGTGGCCACTTGGCTGAATTTGGACTTACTGGGCTTGCCCCACTTCAGGACCTTGGCTCGTTTTTTTTTTTTTTTTAACCTGGATGTTTTTGTTTTTTTCCTCTATCCATGTGATTTGCTCCCTCACAGCCTTTAGGTCTTTTTTGTTTGTTTGTTTTTTGAGACAGAGTCTCCTTCCATCACCCAGGCTGGAGCGCAGTGGTAGTATCTCAGCTCACTGCAACTTCTGCCTTCTGGGTTCAAGCGGTTCTCCTGCCTCAGCCTCCCGAATAGCTGGGACTACCGGTGCGTGCCACCATGCCAGGCTAATTTTTGCATTTTTAGTAGAGATGGGGGGTTTCACCATGTTGGTCAGGCTGGTCTCAAACTCCTCACCTCAAGTGATCCACCTGCCTTGGCCTCCCAAAGTGCTGGGATTACAGGCATGAGCCACCACACCCTGCCCCTTTAGGTCTTTATTCAAATTTCTTTTTGCTGTATGATCCTCCTGTACACATCAGTATTTAAGCTCCCCGCTCCCACATTCCCAATGCCTCTTCCTTGCTGAATTTTTCTCTTCAACGTTTAAACACTTTATTTGGACTTATTTATCTTTTTAATTGTCTCCCCTGCCTCTAGAATATAAACTGAGAGGGCAGGAGGCATCGTTTCCCCCAGCTGTATCTCCTGTGCCTGGAGAAGGGCCTGGCACATGTTGGGCACACAGTAATAATTGATGAATGAAGGAAGAGAAAGGACACAGTCACTTCTGCACAGCTTGTCCATAGACTCTCTGTCATCCCTCGATACCATTCAAAAAGATGTAAAACCCTTACTGTCTTCCCAACAGCTCCTGGATTGAGTGGGAAGAATTAGTAAATTCTGTCTAGTATACATGGGTTGGATATGGAGTAACCAAAATCATCCTCTTCTATTTTTTTCTATCTCCCATTATCAACTATTGTCTTTGTTGTCATTATCTTTGTTGTCATTATCACTTATTGATCACTTTTTTATGCTCTAGGAATTAGACCAGGAACTTGACACACACTATCCCACTTAATCTTTACAGTAACACTATAATTTAGGTATTATATACCCTTCCTTTTGAGATGATGGAATTGAATGTTAAAGAAGTTAAGAAATTTGGCCAAGATCACAGCAGCTAGTAAGTTAAAGGGACTCAATACTGCTATCATTTCTCATACACCCAGATCTATATTTGAAATATATCCAGCCAGGCATGGTGGCTCATGCCTGTAATTTCAGCACTTTGGGAGGCCGAGGTGGGTGGATCACTTGAGGTCAGGAGTTCAAGACCAGCCTGACCTACATGGTGAAACCCCGTCTCTATAAAAATACAAAATTAGCCAGGCATGGTGGCAAGCACCTGTAATCCCAGCTACTTGGGAAGCTGAAGAATTGCTTGAACCTGGGAGGCAGAGGTTGCAGTGAGTCAAGATCACACTCCAGCCTGGGCAATGAGAGCAAAACTCTGTCTTAAAAAAAAAAGAACTATATCCATATGTAAGACTGGAGCTCCTTGTAAATGGTTTGGACCACGTGTTAACAGGCAATGTAATAAGTTCCAATACAGAATAAATAAAGCTACAAAACAAAACAAAGCCTTTTATCAAAAAACATAAGCTCAGTTAAGTAAGTTGAATTATGGTGGGCACTGCTATACTTGGGAGGTGGTTCATTTCAATAGAAAATGATAGGTAAGATAGAAAAGAGGGTAGCTGGCAAGGTGGCTGAATAGGAACAGTTCCAGTCTGCAGCTCCTAGTGAGATCAATGCAGAAAGTGGGTGATTTCTGCATTTCCAACTGAGATACCCAGCTCATCTCATTGGGACTGGTTAGACGGCACAGCCCACAGAGGGCGAGCTGAAGCAGGGTGGGGCATTGCCTCACCTGGGAAGCACAAGGGGTCAGGGCACTCTTTCCCCTAACCAAGGGAAGCTGTGAGGGACTGGGCTGTGACGGACAGTGCATTCTGGCCCAGGTACTATGCTTTTCCCATGGTCTTCACAACCCACAGACCAGGAAATTCCCTCAGCTCCCTATGCCACCAGAGCCCTGGGTTTCAAGCACGAAACTGGGCACTCGTTTGGGCAGACACCGAGCTAGCAGAAGGAATTTTCTTTCATACCCCAGTGGCACCTGGAACACCAGCAAGACAGAACTGTTCACTCCCCAGGAAAGGGGGCTGAAGCCAGGGAGCCAAGTGGTCTAGCTCAGTGGGTCCCATCCCCATGGAGCCCAGCAAGCTAAGGTCCACTGGCTTGAAATTCTTGCTGCCAGCACAGCAGTCTGAAATTGACCTGGAATGTTGGAGTTTGGTGGGGGGAGGTGTGTCCACCATTACTGAGGCTTGAATAGGCAGTTTTCCCCTCACAGTGTAAACAAAGCCACTGGGAAATTTGGACTGGGCAGAGCCCACCGCAGCACAGCAAAGCCACCGTAGCCAGACTGCCTCTAGATTCCTCCTCTCTGGACAGGGCATCCCTGAAAGAAAGGCAGCAGCCCCAGTCAGGCGCTTATAGATAAAGCTCTCATCTCCCTGGGACAGAGCACCTGAGGGAAGGGTGGCTGTGGGCGCAGCTTCAGCAACATTCCTGCCTACTGGCTCTGAAGAGAGCAGCAGATCTCCCAGCGCAGCGCTTGAGCTCTTCTAAGGGACAGACTGCCTTCTCAAGTGGGTCCCTGACCCCCGTGCCTCCTGACTGGGAGACATCTCCCAGCAGGGGTCGACAGACACCTCATACAGGAGAGCTCTGGGTGGCATCTGGTGGGTGCCCCTCTGGGACCAAGCTTCCAGAGGAAGGAACAGGCAGCAATCTTTGCTGTTCTGCAGCCTCCACTGGTGACACCCAGGAAAACATGGTCTGGAATGGATCTCCAGCAAACTCCAGCAGACCTGCAGCAGAGGTCTTAATGCCTGACCATTAGAAGGAAAACAAACAAACAGAGAGGAATAGCCTCAACATCAACAAAAAGGATGGCCAACAGGAACCCCATCTGAAGGTCATCAATATCAAAGACGAAAGGTAGATAGATCCATGAAGATTAGGAAAAACCAGCACAAAAGGGCAGAAAAATCCAAAAACCAGAATGCCCCTTCTCCTCCAAAGGATCACAACTCCTTGCCAGTAAAGGAACAAAACTGGACGGAGAGTGACTTTGATAATTGACAGAAGTAGGCTTCAGAAGGTGGGTAATAACAAACTCCTCTGAGCTAAAGGAGTGTGTTCTAACCCAATGCAGGGAAGCTACGAACCTTGAAAAAAGGTTAGAGGAATCGCTAACTAGAATAACCAGTTTAGAGAAGAATATAAATGACCTGATGGAGCTGAAAAACACAGCACGAGAATTTCGTGAAGCATACACAAGTATCAATAGCCAAATTGATCAAGTGGAAGAAAGGATATCAGAGATGGAAGATCAACTTAATGAAATAAAGTGTGAAGACAAGATTAGAGAAAAAAGAATGAAAAAGAATGAACAAAGCCTCCAAGAAATATGGGACTATGTGAAAAGACCAAACCTACGTTTGATTGGTGTACCTGAAAGTGATGGGGAGAATGGAACCAAGATGGAAAACACTCTTTAGGATATTATCCAGGAGAACTTCCCCAATCTAGAAAGACAGGCCAACATTCAAATTCAGGAAATACAGAGAACACCACAAAGATACTCCTCAAGAAGAGCAACCCAAGACACATAATCATCAGATTCACCAAGGTTGAAATAAAGGAAAAAATGTTAAGAGCAGCCAGAGAGAAAGGTTGGGTTACCCACAAAGGGAAGCCCATTAGACTAACAGTGGATCTCTCTGCAGAAACCCTGCAAGCCAGAAGAGAGTGGGGCCAATATTTAACATTCTTAAAGAAAAGAATTTTCAACCCAGAATTTCATATCCAGCCAAACTAAGATTCATAAGTGAAGGAGAAATAAAATCCTTTACAGACAAGCAAATGCTGAGAGACTGCTTTACAAGAGCTCCTGAAGGAAGTACTAAATATGGAAAGAAAAAACTGGTACCAGCCACTGTAAAAACATACCAAATTGTAAAGACCATCGACACTATGAAGAAACTGCATCAACTAACAGGCAAAATAACCAGCTAGCATCATAATGACAGGATCAAATTCACACATAACAATATTAACCTTAAATGTAAATGGGCTAAATGCCTCAATTAAAAGACTCAGACTGGCAAATTGGATAAAGAGTCGAGACCCATTGGTGTGCTGTATTCAGGAGACCAATCTCACATACAAAGACACATATAGGCTCAAAATAAAGGGATGGAGGAATATTTACCAAGCAAATGGAAATTAAAAAAAAAAAGCAGGGATTGCAATCCTAGTCTCTGACAAAACAGACTTTAAACTAACAAAGATCAAAAAAGACAAAGAAAGGCATTACATAATGGTAAAAGGATAAATGCAACAAGAAGAGCTAACTATCCTAAATATATATGCACCCAATACAGGAGCACCCAGATTCATAAAGCAAGTTCTTAGAGACCTACAGAGACTTAGACTCCCACACAATAATTGTGGGAGACTTTAACACCCCAGTGTCAATATTAGATGGATCATTGAGACAGAAAATTAACAAGGATATTCAGGACTTGAACTCAGCTGTGGACCAAGCAGACCTAATAGACATCTACAGAACTCTCCACCCTAAATCAACAGAATATACATTCTTTTTGGCACCACATTGCACTTATTCTAAAATTGACCATTTAATTGGAAGTAAAACACTCCTCAGCAAATGCAAAAGAATGGAAGTTATAACAAACAGTCTCTCAGGCCACAGTGCAATCAAATTAGAACTCAGGATTAAGAAACTCACTCAAAACCACACAACTACCTGGAAACTGAACAACCTGCTCCTGAATGACTACTTGGTACATAACGAAATTAAGGCAGAAATAAATAAGTTCTTTGAAACCAATGAGAACAAAGACACAACGTACCAGAATCTCTGGGACACAGCTAAAGCAGTGTTTAGAAGGAAATTTATAGCACTAAATGCCCACAGGAGAAAGCAGGAAAGATCTAAAGTCGACACCCTAACATCACAATTAAAAGGACTAGAGAAGCAGGAGCAAACAAATTCAAAGCTAGCAGAAGACAAAAAATAACTAAGATCAGAGCAGAACTGAAGGAGATAGAGACATGAAAAACCCTTCAAAAAATCGATGAATCCAGGAGCTTGTTTCTTGAAAAGGTTAACAAAATAGATAGACTGCTAGCCAGATTAATAAAAAGAAAAGAGAGAAGAATCAAATAGACACAATAAAAAATGATAAAGGGGATATCACTACTGATCCCACAAAAATACAAACTACCATCGGAGAATACTATAAACACCTCTAATGCAAATAAACTAGAAAATCTAGAAGAAATGGATAAATTTCTGGACACATACACCCTCCCAAGACTAAACCAGGAAGAAGTGGAATCCCTGAAAAGATCAATAACACCTTCTGAAATTGAGGCAGTAATTAATAGCCTACCAACCAAAAAAAGCCTGGGACCAGACGGATTCCCAGCCAAATTCTACCAGAGGTACAAAGAGGAACTGGTACCATTCCTTCTGAAACTATTCCAAATAATAGAAAAAGAGGGACTCCTCTCTAACTCATTTTATGAGGCCTGCATCATCCTGATACCAAAACCTGGCAGAGACACAACAAAAAAAGAAAATTTCAGGCCAATATCCCTGATGAACATCAATGCAAAAATCCTCAATAAAATACTGGCAAACTGAATCCAGCAGCACATCAAAAAGCTTATCCACCATTATCCCAGGGCTTCATCCCTGGGATGCAAGGCTGGCTCAACATATGCAAATCAAAATACCTAATCCATCACATAAACAGAACCAATGACAAAAATTACATGATTATCTCAATAGATGCAGAAAAGGCCTTTGACAAAATTCAATGTCCCTTAATGCTAAAAACTCTCAGTAAACTAGATATTGATGGAACATATCTCAAAATAATAAAAGCTATTTATGACAAACCAACAGGCAATATCATACTGAACGGGCAAAAACTGGAAGCATTCCCTTTGAAAATCGGCACAAGACAAGGATGCCCTGTCTCACCAGTCGTATTCAACATAGTATTGCAAATTCTGGCCAGGGCAATCAGGCAAGAGAAAGAAATAAAGCGTATTCAAATAGGAAGACAGGAAGTCAAGTTGTCTCTGTTTGCAAATGATATAATTGTATGTTTAGAAAACCCCATTGTCTTGGCCTAAAATCTCCTTAAGCTGATAAGCAACTTCAGCAAAGTCTCAGGATACAAAATCGATGTGCAAAAATCACAGGCATTCCTATACACCAAAACTAGACAACAGAGAGCCAAATCATGAGTGAACTCCAGTTCACAATTGCTACAATGAGAATAAAATACCTAGAAATACAACTAACAAGGGATGTGAAGGACCTCTTCAAGGAGAACTACGAACCACTGCTCAAGAAAATAAGAGAGGACACAAACAAATGGAAAAACATTCCATGCTCATGGATAGGAAGAATTAATATCATGAAAACGGCCATACTGCCCCAAGTAATTTATAGATTCAATGCTATCCCCATCAAGCTACCACTGACTTTCTTCATAGAATTAGAAAAAACTACTTTAAATTTCATATGGAACCAAAAAAAGAGCCCGTACAGCCAAGACAATTCTAAACAAAAAGAACAAAGCTGGAGGCATCATGCTACCTGACTTCAAACTATACTACAAGGCTACAGTAACCAAAACAGCATGGTGCTGGTACCAAAACAGACATCTAGACCAATAGAACAGAATAGAGGCCTCAGAAATAGTGCCACACGTCTACAACCATCTGATCTTTGATAAACCTGACAAAAACAAGCAATGGGGAAAGGATTTCCTATTTAATAAAAGGTGTTGGGAAAACTGGCTAGCCATATGCAGAAAACTGAAACTGGACCCCTTCCTTACACCTTATACAAAAATTAACTCAAAATGGATTAAAGATTTAAACATAAGACCTAAAACCATAAAAACCCTAGAAGACAACCTAGGCACCACCATTCAGGACATAGGCATGGGCAAAGACTTCCTGACTAAAAACACAAAAAGCAATGGCAACAAAAGCCAAAATTGACCAATGGGATATAATTAAACTAAAGAGCTTCTGCACAACAAAAGGAACTATCATCAGAGTGAACAGGCAACCTACAGAATGCGAGAAAATTTTTGCAATCTATCCATCTGACAAAGGGCAAATATCCAGAATCTACAAAGAACTTAAACAAATTTACAAGAAAAAAACAAACAACCCCATCAAAAAGTGGGCAAAGGATATGAACAGACACTTCTCAAAAGAAGACATTTATGTGGCCAAGAAACATACGAAAAAAAGCTAATCATCACTGGTCATTAGGGAAATGCAAATCAAAACCACAATGAGATACCATCTCATGCCAGTTAGAATGGCGATCATTAAAAAGTCAGGAAACAACAGATGCTGGAGAGGATGTGGAGAAATAGAAATGCTTTTACACTGTTGGGGGCAGTGTAAACTAGTTCAACTATTGTGGAAGACAGTGTGTCAAATTCTTAAGGATCTAGAACCAGAAAGACCATTTGACCCAGCAATCCCATTACTGGGTATATACCCAAAGGATTATAAACCGTTCTACTAAAAAGACACTTGCATGCACATGTTTATTGCAACACTGTTCACAATAGCAAAGACTTGGAACCAACCCAAATGCCCATCAATGATAGACTGGATAAAGAAAATGTGGCACATATACATTATGGAATATTATGCAGCCATAAAAAAGGATGAGTTCATGTCCTTTGCAGGAACATGGATGAATCTGGAAACCATAATTCTCAGCAAACTAACACAGGAACAGAAAGCCAAACACCACGTATTCTCAGTCATAATTGGGAGTTGAACAATGAGAACATGGACACAGGGAGGGGAACATCACACACTGGACCTGTTGGGGGTTGGGGGCTAGGGGAGGGATAGCATTAGAAGAAATACCTAATGTAGATGACAGGTTGATGGGTGCAGTGAACCACCAAGGCATGTGTATACCTATGCAACAAATCTGCGTGTTCTACACATGTATCCCAGAACTTAAAGTGTAATTTAAAAAAAAAAAAAAAAAGAAAGAAAAAAGAAAGATACAACCGGGAAATCATGTGTTATTAGAGTCATAGTTCATACCTTAACATCCCACTGTAAGCACAGGATACAAAAAGTCCAGGAAGTCCTGGATAAACTTGCAGAATATCCAGTACCAAATAAGGCATGAACTGAAAAATTCCAAAATTTATTTCCAAGTACTTTTCGCTACTGAATAAAATTAATGGATGCCTAAAAAAAAAAAGAAAATAATAGGTAAGATCTTATTCTGACTAATTTATTGAAAATAGATAATAAATTTTGCATTCTTCTTACAAGTCAAAAGTCTCTTAAAAGTCAAAATCGCTTATGGCAAAGAACAGGAATAGAAGATTATAATCAGACTATAATAAGTTATAGCTATTGCATATAACTATAAAAAATAAAACTACAACTAATGTTACTTTGTCTTAACTGTCCTGGTGAAATTTTAGTCAGTTTTCCAAAGGAAGCAATTTAGATCCCTAGGATGAAGAAAACAGAGTCAAGGAACCAGTTTTAAAATATATATATTTATAGACTGTGAAACCTATACAGTTTGCTGTTCATTCAAGTAAAATAAAACATTTAATTTTAAAAACTGGTGACAGGAAAGGATTTGACCGTGATCATAGATGGTTTAGAATGATAATGTGGAGACATACTTTCTTCCTCCCAGAAACCATTTCAGTTCTTCCTCTTAGCATTTCTACGTCTTATTTGCTTATAAAGCAGAGGTTTTGGGGGTGGGGGCATGGGATTGGGGACGAATGTTCGGATGCTGGGGACCGTCTAACGGCACAAACTGAAGTCAGAGATATTGAACACAGTGTTTAAAGAGGCTGTTATTTCATCATGAGTTTTGTAACTCCATAGAAGACACTTGAGGAAATTAGTAGCTTATACTTACATGTGCATGTTTTCTATTTTCAACAGGATTTTGTAAGAGAGAAAAAACTTTTAAAAATTAAGAGCACACCACTCAGTTGATGTTATACCAGAACGATATGAGGTACCTTGAAGTCATTCAAAAATAACTCTCCCACATAAACCTGTCACCTTGCAGACACTACACTTCCTTTCTTTCATTTAAAAAATTGGCAACTTGTCCTTCTAGGTCAAGTGCTCCATGCCTCTTTCTTCTTCCTTTTTAAGCAGCTAATAGAAAAGAAGGCAGAGTACATTAATAATAGGTGGTATGAAGGATACATTTAAAGACCTGTAGGCATGCATTTGTCAGAGTACTTCGCTTAGAAGCTAAAGGAGGTGCTCTAAGAAGATGAGAGCACGTGTACCTCTTAGAGTAGTAAAGAACTGCTTTACACACACCAGAAGACTGTTTACTAGCACAGGGTATTCGTTTTGTTGTTATGATGCATGCAAATAATTTTTACTTTTCAGGTGCCTCATTCAGTCAACAACTGTTCACCAGTTCCTTCATATTTTTGTTGCTTACTAGAATTAATTTAAGATGCAAACGTAAGAGATTTTAAAACCCTGTAATGCTAATTGTTGCTTTAGGAAAATACAGTTAACTTCTGGTCTCCCTAGCAGTCAAACCCTTCAGATGTTAAGGGTTCACTATTCCCCTGGTCCCCATCTTCATTCTTTAGTGAAAGGTTTAAAAAAATGGGAGTTACTTTCTCCTTGTTTTTGTTTTTCCTTCCATAACATACATTTGGCAATTTGAACCTCTTATCTCTGTAATGTAGAGGAATTGGTTTATAAACAATTCCTGAAATTGACTTTCCTTAATTGTAAGAACAATACGACTTCATTTGAAAATGGTTTTAGCTACAGAATGTAAATACAAATACTCTCCTCATGTCTCTGTTTCCTTCACAGTTTTCCTCATGTTGTCTTCATCTTCTTCTCCCTTTTCTTCTCCTTCATCTTCTCCTCCTTCTCCTTCCTCTCTTCTTCTTTTTCTATTTTACCTATCTGTATTTGGAAGGTATGTACTGCTTTCTGAATTTGTTCTTACGCAAGGATTCTGCTTGTGTTCTTAACTTTATTGCTACCCTACTTTTTTGCTCCACTTTCAACCACTGTTAACCCAATTGACGCCTGACTCAGAAAAAATAGTCACTTTCCCTTCAATGTCATGGGAATTTATTGAGACTTTTCTATATCACGTTATGACTGTCTTGTATACTTACTCATTCATTATCATCAGTGCTAAATATTGGTGATACAGAGATAAATAGTAACAGAGATTCTTGTACTTGAGGAGACCAGTAGTCAGGGAGTTGTTGTTTATAATGAATGTTGATATATTGTGGTCAGTCCTATGCTAACAGTGTGTATCAGGGATCACAGACGAATGAGAAAGGATCACAAATGAAGGACTTCACAGAGGAGGAGATACTGGGTTGGCACTAGTAGAAGCATATGGGAGAGAAACTCAGAACATTTCCCAAAGAGGAACTAGCATGAGGGAACAATATGGAATTATAAAGTGTGTGACCCTATGGAGACAAATCAGATAAAGAAAATGAATGACCAGCTAAGAATGATGCAATGAAAAGGGGTGGAGATTGTAGAGAACTAGAGAACATGCCACATTTCAAGCAAACAGCAATTACTTAGCTTTGACTGTTTGCTGCCATGCAGGATGTGGGCCCAATGTTAGTGAATCTTCCATTTCTTTACAAAAAAAAATTAAAGTTCTTTTTTTTTTAATTAGCTATCTTCTACAGGAAGGAGAGAAAAATAGAAGTTCTGTAAAATGTCCAAACAAAAATCTTTTTAAACACTCTCAGGCCCAAACAAAACATGTCTGCAGGATGGATGGGCCCACAGACCTACAGTTGGCAATCTTGGCCAATAACACACTCCGAAAATGGTTAGTTCTGGATAGCACGATCAGGGAGTGTGTTCTGGGGAACAGGAGAGCTGGTAGGTAGTGGTTTAAGATAAAGATGGGGAGATATGTTGGAGATAGTTTGTAAAAGATACTGGATTCCTTATACTGGCAGTTTAGATTTCATTTTAAATGTAACAGAGAACAATAAACAATTTAATGTAGAAAACATTGGGATTGGATTTATTATAACTTAGTGAAAATGTTAATAGTAATTGATTTTTTGTATTAAAAAATTTCTGAATATAGATTTATATGATCTCTTCATAGAGATAGTGTGCATAGACATTGCTTTGGCTACAGCTGTCTACCCCAGGCCACCCTACTACTCTGTACTCACTGAAGCCTGGTAATAAATGGGTTTAAAGACAAAAATATATATATATATATATATATATATTTTTTTTTTGTCTGCAGAGGAGTAGCTTCAGTACTTGTTTGTAGTTACAATTAGTATTAATCACGTACTCAGGAACTAAGCGAACCATAATACAAGTCTATTACCACCACCTCCACCACATGTGTTTACAGATGCAATTGTGTAAACTGGGTACTCAGCCAGAATTGTCTGTACTGTTAAAAAGGGTTGTCAGCCACCTCCCATTCTCAGCATTAAACAGATTCAGCCTTGCTAAAAGCAATTTGACATGCGCAGCTAGAATAAACACAACAGAACACTTCCTTAGACTTTTACTTGTTTGTGCATAGAGCTGGGTCAAAGTTGGGGTGACCTCATGCCAGAAGGAAGTGACTGGGCTATCACACACTGTCTACCTGCATCATGGCCATGGCTACTGGCATTGCTTTGGCCACCACTGTCTAACCTAAACCACTCTACCACTCCCTTCTCTCTACACGCCGAGGCCTGGTAATGAATGGGCTTAAAGGAAAGAGATCTCTAATTTCTACCAGAGGATCAATGCATTGCCATAGCTGCACATACTGCGAGATGGTAGGTCTACATTAAAATTCAGCCCCTTCTTCAGCATGCTGAAATGAGACTCCGATGATCTACAGTCTTGTATATGGAGGAGTCTGACTTTGTAGTGGGGTTTAATGTTCCTGGCATCAAGTTACGAGCTGAGTTATAAGCACCGCAGGAGGGATGTGTTCTCTTGCCTCCTCTTCACTGGAGCTTTAAGTAGGGTCTCTGGCTTTACACAGGTCCAGACAGAGTTTAGGGTCAAAAGTTGAAACTAATGACTAAAATCATACTTGGAGCATTTAGTCATAGTAGGTCTTAGAACTAGGACATAACTATCCTTAAGGGGAAAATGAATCTTCAAATCTCTACCAGCCCAGAGGTAATAAAGCAGGAAAGTTCATTTAAAAGTAGAACTGTGGATTAGGAGTGATGAGACTAACTTCATTTGAAGGTCTTTGTCAAATCACCTTTTGTCTCTCTCTCAGTTGGTCCAGTTGTAAAATGGAAGTAATTGTTGTACTTTCCTACTTGATGGAAGTGAGTATCCCTTGAGTGTGTATTGAGATCGGCAGGCGAAAAGTTCTTGATGGCGCCGATTCTTATTTTTATTGGTTAAAAATTACCCTTGTATAAAAAAGAAAAGACAATCCTCTTCAACTCTGCTTTAATTATAACAAATACTTCATGTTAGAAGATGAACCAGATAGAAGTTAGTCTTTAATTAGACTTTTACTTTAGTTAATTTCTAATGAGTGGTATGTTTATTTGGTGACTCTGGAGTATAATACAAATGGTGAAAGTGAAAATGAAAACAATTTTAAGAATAGATGAGGCAATGGAAAATTCCTGGGCTTTCTCACCCTTCTGTATGCTGCCCATTGGCAGTCAGAGAAAGGCATAACCAAGTTTCCTCACAGATGTTGTCCATATAAACCCAAATCTTCCATTCCCACTTTCACCCAAAAAGGGGAAAAAAGATATCCATAATTAACGGGAACTCTGGGACTCAATTTTTATGGTTTGCCAACTTCCCTGTTCTAACTTTCACTACTTTCATTATCAGTATCAAAGACTGCATACCCTGGAATCACTTTTGCTCATTTCCATTCCTAGCATTTATTTTTGTAGTGATTCTTTTAACTCACTCTTCAATTATTCTAAGAAAGTCTCTGAGTTATTTTTCTCATCATGTTTTTTGATCTTATTCACCTCCCACCTCACGTTAACTTACAAGGAAAGCTTTGGCTCTTCCATTTAATACACAATGTTGGCTCTTTGATCTTTCTTTTTCTTTCTTTCTTTCTTTTTTTTTTAAGTGAAAGCAAGTTTAATAAAAGTTAAGGAATAAAAGAATGGCTACTCCACAGGTAGGCCAAACAGCCTTGTCTCTTTCTGAGAGAGGTGGGCCATCTACTGTTGCCTTTTGGTATGACTTTGAAATTAGAAAATTCTGGTGGCAGAGTGTAGGTAAATTTATAAAATAAACAACAATTCAAGCAGTTGTATACGTTTACAAATTAAGCCTATTCGCAAAAATATTGTTTAAAACATCGAATTCATTTGCCATTACTTTCATTATGCAATGCACATTTTTTTTTTTTTTTTTTGCCTAGCATGGTTAGGGATGAGGAGGCAGAGAAGACAGATACGAGGTCTTGAATAAGCTCAGCACTCTGATAACAGGCAAGCAAACTGTTCCTGGCTTTGCTGCACATTACAATCACCCAGGAAGCTCTTAAAAACTCACTAAGGCCCAGGCTCCACCCCCAAGAAATTCTTGTTTAATTGGTCTGGGATGGGGCTCAAGTATTAGTATTTTTTCAAAACTCTCCAGATGATTCAAATGTATTAGAATTAAAAACTACTGCTATTGATTTTGCAGCTTTTTATTTCTTAGAGCAGGTTTTTGTTTTGGTTTGTTTGGTTTTTTGTCAGTAAGCAAAGAGGCTGCTTTTGTCAGGTTTCTCACAAAGCAGAAGCTCCCTCATGGAATATAGTTCTAAAAGGGTTTCCAGAGAGAAATTGTCGAGACTTAACATGGCCAAATGACCAAATCCTGCCACTGGCCAGTCAGAGCTGAACATTTCCTCCTGAACTTTTTGTATTTTTCAATGAAATGTGTGCAGCGAATCAGAGAGAAATAATTTCATTCACAATTCTGCTCTCCCTTTGGTTGAAAGTGTCAACCTGAGCTAGTTACTTCACTTCTCAACTCTAAAAGGAGGACAATGACAGCAGGTAAATCACAGGGGCTTATAAGAATGAAGAGAAAGCATGCACACCCAGCCCTAGCACTGAGCCTAGCATTTGGCACATGGGAAGTTCTCTGTGAACGTTAAAATTGCTATTGGTAAAGGGAATTGTACTGAGTAGCAACTGTAGTGAGTGATGTTTATTGGTTTCAGGAAATGTCTTTTTAATTTTTGCTGAAGCCTGGCTTTAGTCCCTAATGGATTCTTTACAGAAAGTTAAATTGAACTGCATATAGTCAACTCTTGACTTTTCATGCATAGCTAAGCAGTTTAACTAAATTTAACTACGATTTTACTGCCAAAATATGCTCCTACGACTATGACTAGGCCAGGATACAGCTCACGTGTCTACAGAGGAATAAACTAAAATCTACTTTTTCTCTTACAATCCTCAGCAAGATGCTAATGATGGTGTGTGGGCATGCTCCATTGTCAAATGATGCAAGCTGGGTTTATTTTTCCTTCAAAAATTGCTTTATAACAACCTTAAATGAACTGTTAAAAGTAACCAAAAACCAAAAACAAAAAAATCCATATCTACCTATCATCCTAGCCTCTTACCCTAACATGGTTGTTAACTGTTTTTTTTTTTTTTTGGCTTCTTCCAATTCTATTACATGTTTGACCCGTATTATTCTTTCCTGACTGAGGAATCACTGTATTTATTTTGTATTTGATCTTTTCCCCTTGGAAAGATCTTGGGCTGCACAGCTTAGTAAGCAGAAGCATGAGCACCGGTGTCCGAGTCAGTGCCTTCCAAGTCTACACTATTTCTGGCTGTATGACCTTGAACCCTTAGCTCAACCTTTCTGTGCTTCATAAAGTTGTATGAGGATTTATTATATGGGTACTCCACATAACTTCAGCTATGATTTAACAGTTTTTTGTAAGTCCTTTCAATTTGCTACATGACATACACTTTCATTATTTAAATGCTGATGTAACTTCACCAATGAAATGTTAATACTCTGAGGAGTGGAAGTTGTGTAGACTAAAAAGTACACATTTCTCTTCTTGTTTTCCATATTAAATCAATTTTTTTTTGAGACAGGGTCTCACTTTGTTGCCCAGGCTGGAGTGCAATGGTGCGATCTTGGCTCACTGCAACCTCCACCTCCTGGGCTTAAGCAATCCTCGCACCTCACCTTCTGAGTAGCTGGGACTATAGGCACATGCCACCATGCCCGGCTAATTTTTTGATTTTTTGTAGAGATGGGGTTTCTCCGTGTTGCCTAGGTTGGTCTCGAACTCTGGGCTCAAGCAATCTGCCTGCCTCAACCTCCCAAAATGCTGGGATTATAGGTGTGAGCCACCATGCCCGGCCAATTTAATTTGAATTGGATACATCCAAGTGTATTGAGCGAGTATGTGTAGATAGAAAAGAATGAATAAAATATGGTTATTTGAGGAAGATTCTACCAGATAACCATGCAAGACATTGTTATGTAGCTCCAGATTACACAAAATGAATTCTAAACCTCTGCCAGTTTACTGGGTGGTTCGTCACAGATGAAGAAGTTACTGTAGACTCACTAGACTCACATTCAAATGAATCTGATCAAGAGAATGCTTCCTTGACCGAGCGTGGTGGCTCACACCTGTTATCCCAGCATTTTGGGTGGCAGAGGCAGGTGGATCACTTGAGGTCAGGAGTTCCAGACCACCCTGGCCAATATGGTGAAAACCTGTCCCTACTAAAAATACAAAAATTAGCTGGGTGTGGTGGCGTGGGCCTGTAGTCTCAGCTAGTTGGGAAGCTAAGGCAGGAGAATCACTTGAACCTGGGAGGCAGAGGTTGCAGTGAGCTGAGATAGTGCCACTGCACTCCAGCCTGGGCAACAGAGGGAGACTCCACCTCAAAAAAAAAAAGAGTGCTTCCTTTATCTGAAGCACAGTCAGGTATGGTGTTGGTGGAGAAGAAAGACAGAAAGATTAACTCTGCACTTCACACTTTCCACCTTCAAATAAAAAGTGACTAGCTGATGATTTACTGGGACTGGGGATGATCTGTGATGCTCATTCATTCAACAAATTGTCATCACACCTCTGTTATTTGCCAGGCTATGTGACAAGGATGCCATGGGAACAGAAGCATTCAGGGCCCGTCCTCCCAGAGCTTACCATCAAGGAGGGGAGACAGACATTAATCAAATGATCAATGGAACAGTGTAAAATTGTTCAATTGACATGCCCTAGGAAGGAAAGGTGCATGGTACAAAGCAAGAGTCCAGAATTAAGGTAGTTGACCTGGCCAGGGAGGTCAGAAAATCTTGCTTAAAGAAGTCACAGTTGTGCTGAGAACAGATGGATGAGTAGACATTGATTAGGTGTAAAGGAAGGAAAGAGCATCCTAGCAGAAGGAACAGAAAGTACAAAAGTCCTGTTGCAGGAGGAAGCAGAGCAAGTAAAGGGAATTGAAAGAAGGCCAGGTGGCCAGTCCTGTGACAGAGTGGAGTGAATTACCCTCATGTGGATTGAGCCAGTGGTGTGCTGGAGCTGGCTGTACTAGCTTCTGTGAGCATGATTCCACACATATCTCTTCCCAGCTCCACCTTCAGGGATGTAAAGTTTGTAGCTTGAAACTAGCCAAGGTGGATGCATTTGCGTAGTAAAAATCAGCCAGCTCCCCTACCTTTCCACCCCCTTGGCTGGTTAAACAGCACACCACTGGATTGGACTATGTGGAGCTAGGTCCAGATTTAAAATCCAACCATTCCAGATGGTCTGGGGTCTGAGATTTGAAGCAGGGAAGAGACACATCTTGGGAGATAGCAAGATTGTGACTTTCTGTGTTTATCATGCCTTATACAGCCAGAGCAAACTAGTTAGGTATGAGGACTGTCTTCTGCCCTTGTGCTTTTACCCTTTCCTTCTTTTCTTTTCCCTTCCCTTCCCTTCCCTTTCTGTTGTTACAAATTTAAATGACGCAACATTCATACCAAATACTGGAGGAAGCCGAGTTTCCTCCCTGCAATCCCAGGATGGATGCCTCTTCCTCATGGCCCCTCTCACCTTGAGCTCCAGCTGAATCCTCTCTCTATGCACTCTTCCGCCTGCTGCCCCTGCTTGCTGCTTTACCCCAACGAGGTCATCACCTATCTCAAGGCCACTACCTCTCTTCTTTTTTTTTTTTTTTTGAGATGGAGTCTCGCTCTGTCACCCAGGCTGGAGTACAATGGCACAATCTTGGCTCACTGCAACCTCTGCCTTCCAGGTTCAAGCGATTCTCCTGCCTCAGCCTCCTGACTAGCTGGGATCAGAGGGATGCACCACCATGTCTGGCTAATTTTTGTATTTTTAGTAGAGACAGGGTTTCACCATGTTGGTCGGGCTGGTCTCAAACTCCTGACCTTGTGATCTGCCTGCCTCGGCCTCCCAAAGTGCTGGGATTACAGGCATGAGCCACTGCGCCCGGCACACCTCTCTTCTTTCATTCCCCAAAGTAGCACCAGCACCAGGCACAGGAAAGAAACCACCTTGAACTTCAAGTCCTTATTGCCCTAAGCTCTGGCTTTGGATGGTCTTTCCTCCTGGGGCTCTCAAAGCCCTAGCATCCACCTTCCATACCCCGGTTCCTGTAATAGGATTTGGAAAATTTAAGTTTGCAGACTTTATTCCAGATTAGGCTCAATGTGTATCTTTGCATATCACAAAAGCTCACCATGTTGTTGGCTAAACAAAAGAAAAGTCTCCCAGATTGACCCTCAGCAGTAGGATAAACTAACAATATGTTTGTAATTATAATTTGTCTTTTCCTTGGCCAAGATTGTCTTTTTAAGCAGTGTTCACTACTTCACCAACCTATGATCTTGAGCCTTGGGTTTTTATTGTTTGAACATTAATTTTCCTTCACAATGGCAAGTTTGTCATAAGTGGAGAGCTGGAAACACTATCTCTTCCCTGAACTGAATGTTGGTAGGCCAGTTCATTTTAGACTGCAATTTACAATCTTCCAGTGTTGCTGAGATTTTTTTTTTTTTTTTCACTTTTTGAGACGGGGTCTTACTCTGTCGCCCAGGCTGGAGTGCAGTGGTGCGATCTCAGCTCACTGCAACCTCCGCCTCCCAGGTTCAAGCGATTCTAGGGCCACAGCCTCTCGATTAGCTGGGATCACAGGCACCCACCAACACGCCCAGCTAATTTTTGTATTTTTAGTAGAGACAGGTTTTTTTGAGATGCAGTCTTGCTCTGTCACCCAGGCTGGTGTGCAGTGGCGCAATCTTGGCTCACTGCAACCTCCACCTGCCGGGTTTAAGTGATCCTCCTGCCTCAGCCTCCTGAGTAGCTGGGATTACAGGTGCCCGACACCATGCCCGGCTAATTTTTGTATTTTTAGTAGAGACAGGGTTTTGCCATGTTAGCCAGACTAGTCTCAAACTCCTGACTTCAGGCGATCCGCCCGCCTCGGCCTCCCAAAGTGCTGGGATTACAGGCGTGAGCCACTATGCCATGCCAGAGATTTTATTTTTTTTAGTTTAGATTCCTTGGCATAATTAGAATGAGACATTCTGCACTCCTCCCCTCATTGGGTCTGGAACCCTGGTTGCTGGCGTGTTGCTGCAGGTTTTCTTCACCATCACAGCCAGCTTGCAAGCTATTAACAGCATCCCTGCTGGGCACAGGGGAAGCATTAACCCTAGCACCTTTCTCTTCTTCTCATCTTCTTATTCTCCTAACACAGAATTCCTCTGTAGACTTTAAAGAAAAGGTTATCTGTGCCATTTCAGCCATAAAAGAAAGAAGCTGCTAGAGGGAATAGAAGGAAGGCTGTGTTATTGTTGAGAAAATACCTGGCCAGTTTAAAGTTACAGAGTTTTTTTCTCGGTGCTTCAGACTTCCTTAGGCTTTCCCTTTCAGTCTCTTTTCCACCCCGACAGAATCTGTTCAATTCGTTCACACTAAGGTATAAATGACCAACAAGACTTAATACATTATCATTTCTAGAGCTATTTTCATTTCATTAGGGTAAAAGGATTTAGTTAAAGGAAATACTATTACTGGATGGAGAAGAATTATGTTGAAAAGTCATCTTTGGGCTGAGCACGGTGGCTCACGCCTGTAATCCCAGCACTTTGGGAAGCCGAGGCGGGTGGATCATCTAAGGTCAGGAGTTTGAGACCAGCTTGGCCAATGTGGTGAAACCCCGTCTCTACTAAAAATACAAAAATTAGCCAGGCATGGTGGCATGCGCCTGTAATCCCAGCTTCTCAGGAGGCTGAGACAGGAGAATCACTTGAACCTAGGAGACAGAGGTTGCAGATTGCGCCATTGCACTCCAGCCTGGGTGTCAAGAGTGAAACTCTGTCTGAAAAAAAAAAAAAAAAAAAAAAAAGGGAAAGAAAAGGTACCTTTGTGACACCTTTGAAATTATTTTCCCCACTCAGTGGGTCACTCCTTGAGACTAAATATGAGGGCAGAAATTGAAGGCTTGTGATTTTTGGATAGAGAGGTCCCTATTGTAATGAATTCAGCACTGATGAATAAAGTCAGTTTTCCCTTTTTAGAACTAGATTGAATTGGTCCCTCTTTTTTAAGGTAAAATCTCTGAGAGGGGTTGAGAGAAAGGAGGTAGTATCTTCTATCCAATCTTTTATTAATATAAATGTGTATTACTCATCAATACTAGCCCTAACGCTCATCTCAATAAACTCTAAAACAGCCATAAAGGAAGGAAAACAGGGCTAGGCGCAGTGGCTCACTGCTGTAATCCTGGCACTTTGGGAGGTTGAGACAGGAAGATTGCTTGAGTGAGGTGGAGACCTGCAACATGGGGAGATCTTGTCTCTAAAAAAATTTTTTTTTTTTTGAGATGGAGTCTCGCTCTGTTGCCAGGCTGGAGTGCAGTGGCACGATCTCTGCTTCCTGGGTTCAAGCAATTCTCCTGCCTCAGCCTCCCGAGTAGCTGGGACTACAGGCATGCACCACCATACCCAGCTAATGTTTTTGTATTTAGCCAGGTGTGGTGGTGCACACCTGTGGTTACAGCCACTCCAAGCTGCAGTGAGCCGTGATTGCACCACTGGGTGACAGAGTGAGGCCCTGTCTCAAAAAAAGAAAAGAAAAAAGAAAAAAAAAAAAGGAATGAAAACACTCACAGCATATGTTGGTCATGCCTGAAAATAAAGGGTCCTCAGTGCTATTAATCCTTGCCTTTGAACAAATCTAATTCAAACAAGAAATACTACAAATGCTGAAACTTGTCATTTTATTACCTGGTCTTTGCTCACACTGGTATCTTACATCTTAAGGTTTTGATAAGACTATTGAGGCAAAGTCAAATAAACGTCATGAGGTCATGACTGGGGTTGGATTGGGAAATTTGGTCTACTAATTCCAGAAATGAGGACTAGAGATCTGTGCAGATGGAAATGAAGGCCAATTAGACATGATTAACATGTAGATTCAAAAATAAGATAGCATAGCACTTTACTCTGAGACTTTGCCAGTATAGGTTAGTAAATTAAAATGAAATGCAGTCAAGTTGAGACATCAGAAAATGAGGTTAACAGCAACATTATGCAAACATCACAAGACCTGATTAGTGGATCTTCACGCTTTGGGAAGATGGATTCCCTAAAGCTGAACAGTGGGTTCTTTTGTGGTTTGATGACCTTATCCACTTTCTGAAGGAAAGGACTTGCACACAAAATAAGGGAGAAGTATTTTTGGTTAGGGCAAGTATCAAAATTGGGGATGCATATAAAGCTTTAGAGTTGCCCAAAGCTTTTAAAAGTTACTGATATTTAAGAGTATTTGTTACCTTTTATTTATGCCTAGGTTCTCCCACTACAAGATCTGCTTGTAATGGTGCTATTAGCTGCTATGAAAAGAAAACTAAATAGTTAAATATAAATGATATTTTGTGGATCTAAAGAGTAGGTGATTAGAAAATAGACTGAAGGATCATAAGTCCTGGATTATTTTTTAAAGTTCTACCTTTGCTCTTCCTAAGATTTCATTTCCATAAACCTTTAGGCTGTTATGGTGCAAATTGCTTGTTGCTTAAGGGCAGCAAGATTTACTTAGTGACTATCTGCAAATCATTTTAGAATCTTGAGGGAGGAATGTTATTAGAGCATAGAGCAGTAAATGTTCTCTGTGCAGGGAAAAGCTTCCCCAGCCCATGGCCACAGGCTTTGATCTCATCAGCCCTCATAAAGTCAAATGAATTTCTGTCCTGTGTTTTATAGAGACTTTCTTCTAAGGAGAGCAAACCTCAGTGCAGACATTATCTAATTCTTCCTCTTACATTCATGTAAGGTTGGGTGGGGCAGGTGTTATTAATACCCAACCCATTCTGCAGATGGGGAAATAAAATAGAAAGTTAAGTGAATTTCCCAAGGTCAAAGAGAAGCTGAACAAGAGCCAGGAGGGTTCAATTTGGGGTTTCCCAATTGGTGGCCCAGAGCTTTTGTATGCTGACCCCAGAATCATCAAGGAGCAGTTAGACAACTGGCAGGTCATATAGGGCTATGAAAGGAGAGTAGGATCCTGAGCCCAAGGGGCTGAGTGTTAACCCTTCTGTTGTTTACTTGTGATGTTAAACAAGTTGTTGGTCCTGCTGGAATTAGTTCCTCTTCTTTAAAAGAGGATATTCTATATTAGAAGTGTGTGCCCCACAAGACTGCTGGATTAGATGAAATAATGCATTTTCAAGTGACAGCATATGATAAAATAGTCCGCATCACATACATTCCAGAGAGTAAAGTTTATGTCCATTATGTTGACATTCATAAGTACAAATATGAAAGTTAATCAATAAATGTATTATCCAGATTCATTTCAAAATATGCAAAGTAGTCCATCATTATATTTACTATAGAATTTATATGATTTTAATGCAGTAAAGGTATGCACAAATCCATGTGTCTTTGATTCTTTCTTTCAGTCATTATTCCATGACCCTCATTCAGACACAATTATAATTCCTAGGAGGCCTAAGGAGAAGTCTCATTTGTACTCACAAGGAAGACCTACTAGCTATCATATGGTTCTGTCATTTGCTTCCTTTTCAAGCTTTTCCCCTCACCTCTTTGTGCCTGCCACAGCTGCCTGTGTTGCCCATGATCATCATTCCACCAGGCACAGTTGTTGGGCTCTAGGCATGGCCACCACTGCCGCTGGTGTGCTGGGTTCCTCATGGAGCCTAAGAGCCCTGTGTTCTCTGAGTTTTCAAAGTACTACAACCAAGCTGTGTATGGAGCTGGAATTGCTGGTGGAGGCTGGCAGGGACTTTCCTCTCTACAGGTTACATCTTTCTCCGTGGCTTTTCTTCCTGTGTCCTGATGTCACAAAGTTATCGTGTAATGGCTTCATGACCCACATAGCACTTGGGGGCTGGGTCAGGGGAGAAAATTGAGGATTGATCACTGTGCTGCTCTTAGAAGTAGCACAGTGCTGCTTCTCTTCTGATCACTAGTGCTGTTTATTAAAAAATTGGATCACGACTGTATTGTGCTTGTCTCAATTGCTTTTTTTAAGGAAGGATTTTCTTCCAAGAGGTATGTCAGACTCTCAGTTAAATGATTTCTAGTAGGCAACCAATCTAGAATAAGAGACATGTCTGAATCCTGGACTGAGCACAGCCATCCCTCTCAATTCTCCCACAGGGAAATAACTGTGGGCCGGGCATGGTGGCTCACACTTGTAATCCTAGCACTTTGGGAGGCCAAGGCAGACAGGCAGATCACTTGAGGTCAGGAGTTCAAGACCAGCCTGGCCAACATGGCAAAACCCTGTCTCTACTAAAACTACAAAGATTAGCCAGGCATGGTGTTGGGCACCTGTAATCCCAGCTACTCAGGAGGCTGAGACAGGAAGATCACTTAAACTTAGCAGGTGGAGGTTGCAGTGAGCCAAGATTGTGCCACTGCACTCTAGCCTGGGTGACAGAGCAAGACTGCATCTCAAAAAAAAAAAAAAGAGAGAGAGAGAGAGAACTGTGATGTAAACAAACAAACAAACAAACAAAAAACACCAAAGTTAATAAATAAAAACATGATTTAAAGGTTAGTTTTTTATTCAATGTTTTCAATGAATCATATGTGCTCCTGGACTTAATTAACTTTATTAGGGAGTGATCGGTTCTTTAGTTTGTAGTAGCTCCTCTTTTCCCTCAAACATATGAGAATGAAAATAAAAAAGAACTATCCATTGACCACACATACTTAACGTTTCAGAGATTATAGCAGTTATTAGGCCAAACAATGTCCCTATTTGTAGCTGGAAAGTCTATGTTCCAATGATTCATATAATTATCATTTTTTTGAGGTGGAGGAAGAAGATTATTCTAAATTTTTTTTCCTTTTCCTTTATATCCTGTCTGTCTGCCCCAAATCCAACTCCACATCTGGAGATATAAATGTTACAGATTATAAAGTGAGATTGTCAATCTGTTGCTGTTGTTGTTAGCATGAAAAACTATTTCCTCTGGGGGGAGAAAGGCTAATGACAGCATTCAAAACTGAATTGTTCAATTTCTGCCAGATATATGACATCTGAAAAATGATTTCACTTTTTCTTTTAAAAGACAAATTTTTAAAGCAGTTTTATTTTTTATTTTTGAGATGGGATCTCACCCTGTCACCCAGGCTGGAGTGCAGTGGTGCGATCTCGGCTCATTGCAACCTTCGCCTCCCAGGTTCAACCGATCCTCCCACCTCAGTCTTCTGAATAGCCGGGACCACAGGCACGTGCCACCATGCCTGGCTAATTTTTCATATTTTTGGTAAAGACTGGGTTTCACCATGTTGCCCAGGCTGGTTTCAAACTCCTGAGCTCAAGTGATCCTCCTGCCTCGGCCTCCCAAAGTGCTGGAATTACAGGCATGAGCCACTGCGCCTGGCCTAGATTCACAGCAAAATTGAGCAGAGAGTGTAGAGATTTCCCATAAATCTCCTGCCTTCCCACCCACATGGATAGGCTCCCTATTATCAACCTCCTCGACCAGAGTGGTACATTTTTACAATTAATGAATGTACATTGATATGCCGTAGTCATTCTTTACCTTAGGGTTCTCTGTTGGTATTGTGCATTCTGTAGATTTGGACAAATGTACAATAATATGTCCCCATTATTATAGTATCATACAGAGTATTTTCACCGCCCCCCAAATCCTCTGTATTCTGCCTATTCATCCCTCTCCCAACATCTAATTCCTCATATTTTTACTGTCTCCACAGTTTTGCCTTTTCCAGAATGCCATGTAGTTGGAATTATACAATATACAGCCTTTTCAGGTTGGCTTCTTTCACTGAGTAATATGCAGTAAGTTTCTGCCATGTCTTTTCATGGCATGATAGCTCATTTGTTTCTAGCACTGAATAATATTGCATTGTCTGGGTGTACCAGAGTCTATCCTTTCACCCAATGAAGGGCATCTTGGTTGCTTCCAAGTTTTGGCAATTATGAATAAAGCTGCTATAAACATCAGTGTGCAGAGTTTTGTGTGGACTCTCTTTTTTGGCTCTAAATATCTAGAAGAGTACTCACTATATAGGTATTATGGTTTTTTGGGTTTGTTAAATTATTATTTATTTATTTATTTCTGAGACAGAGTCTCGATCTGTTGCCTAGGCTGGAGTGCAGTGGTGCGATCTCAGCTCACTGCAACCTCTGCCTCCTGGGTTCAAGCAATTCTTCTGTCTCAGCCTCCAAAGTAGCTGGGATTACAAGCATGTGCCACCACAGATGGCTAATTTTTGTAGTTTAAGTAGAGACAGGGTTTTGCCATGTTGGCCAGGCTTGTCTCGAACTCCTGACTTCAGGCAATCACCTGCCTCGGCCTCCTAAAGTGCTAGGATTACAAGAATAAGCCACTGCGCCCAGACTGGGTTTGTTAAGTTATATTTGAGACTTTTCATGGAGCAGAACTTTTATGAAACTTAAAACACATGAATTGAACATACATTCCTGCCCTCACCCTGTAAATGTAAGTTTGGCTCAAAGATGAATTCCGAAAGAATTTCTGTGGCTGAACTAGAGGCATGAAGAACTGGAGGCTTTACTATGTATCTGGACTAGGCTTTTAAACATATACTCATTAGAATATGAAGATTTATTATGGTGGTTTTTTTTTTTCAATATTCTGTTTCAGGACACTAAAAGTGCAGGAACAAAAGTGCTAAAATTTTGACTCCTAGTTTTTCTCTAGGACCATATGTGTATGACTAGATCAGGAGAAAAATCTGTAAGCTCACAGGTAAATTAATGTTCGTAAAATTTTCAAACTGTTCTTCTGGACTAAGAATGACACATTGAATATCAGAATGTTGCTCTGAATAGAAGTTTGGAGGTTTTCTTGAACTCTGAAAAATGTGCATGTTTTTATATATGCGTATGTGTGTGCACTGGCTGTTAAGGAAATAGTTACACTGACTAAACTTCTAATCAAAGGCATAATAGCTAAAGACCTCAAAGCTCAGTTATTTTAATTTTTGTGCTCTAGACTTTTGATTAGCAAACCTTTATAATATGCACACAGGAGCCTAATAATAGAAATCTCACTGCTCAACTCATTTTGAATGTTCATTAAGAAGCACTTTTCCCCCCAAACCGAGAAGAGAGTTTATCTTTTTGGTACACTCAAGACTCCTATCAACTCTGTGGCATATAAATAAAGGGGTTAGGAAAAACCAAAGAACTTCCAGAATGACCGTAGGCTACAGGTGTAAGAAGAAAGCACCAACAATGTGGCATATTTATAAAAACTGGCAAATCACAGAAGAGACTGGATGGCATGGGGAAGGGTACTTGCCTCCCCTCAGTTTGTCCCAGTGCAAAAGCGGTTAAATCAAGTTACAGCCTGACCTGCTGGGAAAGTACGGTTTAGCAGTCTCACAATTATCACTGTTGTTCAGCTGTAAAGGAAAGAAGAGAAGGGTTTTTTGTTGTTGTTGCTCTATTTTATTTTGATTTTAAGAAGTGTTTCGGCATGTTTAGGAAGAGGAAGTTAGATTTATGCCAAGTTATCACTGATTTCTCTGGATATTCCCTCTTGTCCTCCAGAGGTGGGAATTTCCCTACCTTTCTCCTTGCTTCCCCTGCTGCTTCCAGCTCAATAGTGGAACAACTTGCATATAAGCCTTTTCCTAGGCTGCCCACCTTTGACTGAATCCAGGCCTGAGCTAAGTTTTTGATGTATTTGAATATAGTACAACAATTCAGGGAGAACTTTATCATCCAAAGAATCTTTTTTTTCTCAACCCAGAAGATAATATAACAAGCACAGAAGAACATTTTCTCATCTGATTATCTCAAAATATGCATACATAAAGACATATAGCTTTGTAATTTTAATCTTCTTTATGTTATGTTTCCCCCTAGTTTATAGTATTTTGCTATATTTTTTTTAAATTTTTTTTTTTTTTTTTTTTTTTTTTTTTTTTTTTGTCCAGATGCAGTGGCTCATGCGTGTAATCCCAGCACTTTGGGAGGCTGAGGTAGGAGGACTGCCTGAGCCTAGGCATTCAAGACCAGCCTGAACAACATGGCAAAACCCTGTCTCTATTTAATTATTATTATTTTTTTTCTGAGTTGGAGTCTCACTCTGTTGCCCAAGCTGGAGTGCAGTGGTGAGATCTTCGCTTACTGCAGCCTCAGCCTCCTGGGTTCAAGCAATTCTCCTGCCTCAGCCTCCCGAGTAGCTGGGATTACAGATGCCAGCCACCATGCCCGGCTAATATTTTGTATTTTTGTTAGAGACGGGGTTTCACCATGCTGGCCAGGCTGGTCTCAAACTCCTGACCTCAGGTGATCCGCCCACCTCAGCCTCCTAAACTGCTGGGATTACAAGCATGAGCCACTGCACCCGGCCAAAAATTTTTTCAGAGTCAAGGTCTTACCCTGTCATGCAAGGTGGAGTGTAGTGGCACCATCATAGCTCACTGCAACCTCCTGGGCTCAAGTGATCCTCCCACCTTGGCCTCCAGAGTAGCTGGGACTATAGACATGTGCCACCATACATGGCTTAGCTTTTTCATTTTTCATTAGAAATTCATAGTTTTTTTTTTTACATTTAGTTTGGGAATTTCAAAATTTAAATTATTGCATATAGTTATATTGTTATCACTTATCATAATAGGATAAAAATAAAGATATAAGCTAGTGCTTATATTCTATTTTCAGTTTCCTCATTTACAGAATATTACTGAATCTTGACATTTTCAGTCACCTGTAATCCTACTTCTTATTTAACTCAAAGATTTTTAAAAATCGATAAGAAAATAGTGGTTTATCCCATTTTTAAAGATAAGGTTAATTAGATTATTTCAATTCTGAATATTATTTTATGCCCACACGATGGCTGTGGGAGAGTATCATGCTGGGAATGGATGGTAATTGTCCATTTTAGTGCTATATAAAGCATCCGAATGAAGTTTAATACTGAAGTTATTAAAAGAGAGTCTTGATTCTATTCTGGGATTGAGTGTGGCCCTGAGGGCCAAAGAAATGGACATATGCATCTTGAATTATTGATTCCTTCCTACAGGGCGGGACTAGGGAGAGGAGTGGGTACCTCTGATTATTCTTTTTGCCTCAGGCTCCAATATGGTTTGGGAAGGCACTGATACTGATCTTACCTGCATTTAAAATTTTAATATTTTGTTCATCATGATTTTTTGTGTGTTAATTCAGATTTCTAAAATTATTCATTAGAATATTATTTCCCTGGATGACTTTGTTTTTTATGACACACCCCCCACAACCTTAAATTTGGTGCACAAGACAATTTTGTGCCTAGCCCTAGCCTGTTTTTCTGTATTTGCTGTTTCCCTAACTCTCGAGGGTAAGTATCATGGCCATCTCTGATTAGTTGAAATGCTTAGAACCTGAAACAGTACTCCACACAGAATAGATGTTTGTTAAGAGGTTAATGGTACCACTGATAGAGATTCGACACTTATGCAGGCCAGGTCCCTTCCAATGCAACGAGTCCAGCGATGTGGGCCAAGGAGTCATAACAATTTACTTCATGACCTTTCTCCCAAAAGGTAGGGACAGGCGGGCAGCACTCCCTGAGAATACTAGGCTCATTTACGAAGTCAAAGCATCTGCAGGACCATCTTGAATGTAGCCCCTATACTGTGAGAGTGGCCTGAGTCTACATGATGTACAATATAGAGGCTATGGAGCTAGATCACCTGGGTTTGCAGTTCAGCTGGCCCACTTAGCACTTGCAGGACTCTGGGTAAGTTGCACAACTGTTGTGCTAAGTTTCTTTCCCTATATCATGGGGATATTAAGAGTACCTGTCTCAGATTACATGCCTGTAATCCCAGCACTTTGGGAGGCTGAGGCGGGTGGATCATGAGGTCAGGAGTTTGAGACCAATCTGGCCAACATAGTGAAACCCTGTCTCTAATAAAAATACAAAAAATTAGCTGGGTATGGTGGTGTTTTTGCCTGTAATCCCAGCTACTCGAGAGGCTGAGGCAGGAGAATCGTGTGAACCTGGAGGTGGAGGTTGCAGTGAGGTGAGATTGCGCCATTACACTCCAGCCTGGGCGACCGTGTGGGCTTGAGACTCTGTCTCAAAAAAAAAAACAAAACAAAAAAAACAAAAAAGGAGTACCTGCCTCATGAGCTTTCTGTGAGGATGAAATGAATTAATGCATGTGTCTTTGAATAGGTTCCTTGGAAAACTGCCTAAGGCAAAAGCTTCTGTGTTAATTTTTTATTAGGGAGTGCAATCCCAGGAGGCAAGAGAGGGGAAAAGGAATGTAAGACAGGAGAGGAGGGAGAGCAAATACAGAGGGTGCATTGCGCTGCTGGCCCGTCTTCCTGATCACTTGGTCTCACAGAACTGCTCCAAGGCTGTATGAAAACATCTAGAAACAGGCCCTCAGAAAGGAGGAAGAGCAAGCTATTCATCTGTCGGCTCCTTCCTGTCTCCTTTCTTTCATAGGTCAAAGTAGACCTATGGAGTTGGAACTCCACCACCTGTAAGAGCTGCATTAGCTGGCCCTCTGGGCAGCTGCTAGGAAAACCAGAATCTCCACAAGGCCAGTCAAGCCAGTGTGCAGGTCCAGTGGTCTCTGTCAGTCACAGCCCTACATGGTGGCTCCTTCCTCTTTAGCTACAGCGGCTACGGCAGCTGTGGCTTCACAGCCACAGGAACAATCTGAGCTGTATTGTTGGAGCCTGGATTCTTCTAGATATTCTCAAACCTAGAAACTAGTTGCTGCTCCCTCAGCAAAGTTTTTTTGTATGTGTTTGAGGGACATATTTGTTTTTGGCTCTGCCTGGTCTCTCTGTCTCCTACACTGTCCTTGAGATCTTCAAATATCTTTTTTTTTTTTTTTTTTGGTCATTTGGAGCTCAACTCAAATGTCACCTTCTCAGAAAGGCCTTCCAATGATGGGTGTAACTTTCCTTGTTCTCAGACATAAAGAGATGCATGTATATCCTTCTTCCCTTAAACTCTTAACCCTGTTTTTAAAATGCATCTACTTTTGTCCCACAGATGAGGACATTTTATATTACAAGAGGAAAAGGCGAGAATCGGGGCCTGCGGCTCACTCTCACACTCTGCAGCCTGGCAGTTCACAGCCAAACCACAAATGGAACTAATGTCTCACTATTGGCTTCCCATCACATCTGACCTATTATGAATCAACCCCCTTTCCCTATCAATGTCAAAACTGGCTTGTTCAGGATGTGAAAAGATGTCATTTCTCTTCCTGTTTCTTTTTCATTCTCTTTAAAACAATTAAGGTTGACTTTGAAGTCTTGGCTTATAGTAAATTTAGTGCTGGCAGTGAAATTTGGAAAGAAAAATCAGCCACTTACAAATATAAAAGATGCTTTTTACTTTATTTCTTTCCACTTCATCTCTCTATGCCTCCCTCCTCATAGAACATGTGTATAGTAACCCCCACCCTGCCACCCTGGGCTACTACAAGCTCAGTTCTTTGTTCCAGGTAATTGTTCCTGGAATGGTTTCTAACCCTCTTTGGTCAACACATGCTAAGTTACTCACAAGGCTCGAGAATTCATATTTTGTGATAAAGATAATGTGTGATTATAAAATAAAAGATCTAATATTTCCATTATAATCACCCTCTAATTTAATTTAGGGTTCTTTCAGGACTTTTTTTTTCTTTTTCTCTGCTTTCTTATTTGATCCACTTCCAAGCAACTTCTGTATAAAGGATAATGGTCAGAACTGACACCTTAACTTAATAAATCCAGAAATAAACACTCTCATAATGGATTGAATTCCTTGGCTTCCATGCAGCACAATCGTCTGTCTGTTAAGCACTCAGTTCTTTTTTAAATTTTTAAAAAATTTTTTATTATTTCAATAATTTTGGGGGACAGGTGGTGTTTGGTTACATGGATAAGTTCTTTAGTGGTGATTTCTGAGATTTTGGTGCACCCATCACCTGAGCAGTGGACACTGTACCCAATGTGTAGTCTTTTATCCCCTACCCCTCTCCCATCCTTCCCCCCAAGTCCCTAGAATCCATTCTATCATTCTTATGCCTTAAGTCCTCATAGCTTAGCTCCCACATATGAGTGAGAACATATGATGTTTGGTTTGCCATTTCTGAGTTACTTCACTTAGAATAATGGTCTTCAACTCCATCCAGGTTGCTGCAAATGCCATTATTATTATTATTATTATTATTATTATTATTATTATTATTTGAGAAGGAGTTCTGCTCTTGTTGCCCGGGCTGGTGTGCAAAGGCATGATCTCAGTTCACCGCAACCTCTGCCTCCTGGGTTCAAGTGATTCTCCTGCCTCAGCCTCCCAAGTAGCTGGAATTACAAGCATGCGCCACTACGCCCAGCTAATTTTGTATTTTTAGTAGAGTCGGTGTTTCTCCATGTTGGTCAGGCTGGTCTCAAACTCCTGACCTCAGGTGATTTGCCCACCTCAGCCTCCCAAAGTGCTGGGATTAGAGACGTGAACCACCGCACCTGGCCTAAATTTCTTTAAGTTGGTTTTCACCTTTCTCTGATGTATCATTGAGTAGCTTAATAATCGACCTTCTGAATTCTTTATCTGACAATTCAGAGATTTCTTCTTGGTTTGGATCCATTGTTGGAGAGCTAGTGTGATCTTTTGGTGGTGTTATAGAACCTTGTTTCATCATATTACCAGAATTACTTTTCTGGTTCCTTCTCATTTAGGTGGACTGTTTCAGCAGAAAGATCTGGAACTCAAGCGCTGCTGCTCAGATTCTTTTGTCCCACATGATGATCCCTTAATATGGTCCCCTCCCCCTTCTCCTAGGGATAGGGCTTCCTGAAAGCCAGACTGCAGTGATTGTTATTGCCCTCCTGGGCCTAGCCACCCAGTAGCACTACTGGCCTTCAGGCTGGTGCTGAAGAGTGTCTGCAAAGAGTCCTGTGATGTGATCTGTCTTCAGTCTCCCAGCTGTGGATACCAGCACCTGCTCTAGTAGAGGTCGCAGGGGAGTGAAGTGTACTCTGGGAGTCCTTGGTGTAGTTTTGTTTAGTGTGCTGGTTTTCTTGAATGCTAGTTATGCTAGCAGTGAAGTTGTCATGTGGATGGACTCAGGACCTCTGGTTAGCCAGAGTGTTGCAGGCAGTGGAATTAGCTGTTGTTTTCTCCTTCTTTGGGACAGGGTTGTTCTGTTTTGAGTTGCTATAATGGCTTAGGTTTGTTGGCCTCCAGTCAGGAAGTGGCACTTTCCATACAGCACCAGCCGCAGTAGTAAAAGGGGGATATAATCTTGCCCTACATTGGCCAGAATGGGTCCTCGGGTGTCCCAGGTGATGGGCAGGGCCATAGAGCTCCCAAGAGCTTATGTCTTTTGTCTTCAGAGTTTTTCAGCTGTCTTGTGGCATTTACAGCAGCAAGCGCTGAACACTCACTTCTATGATGTCTTGACTGTGGTCAACCAGCGTCTGGTTGGACCCGGCCATTGAAGGGAATGCACAACCATGTGAAACAAGTCTCCTCACTTCAGAGCAGCTCCAGTGGTGAGAAAGGTCTTTGAATATTGAGCTGAAATCTACATCCTGTGACCCTGGCCCACTGTACTGGTTCACCTTATGAAACAGTGCTTCCGAAAGCACCCCCTGTGGTTCTCCTGGAAATGAAGTCTTTCCACCCTCCATGTGAGGCCCTTTGCATGACAGTTGGTGGTTGTGGAGCCCAGATCCCTGCTTTCATAAGCTTAAGTTTGAAGATCTGTGCTCCAAAGCTAAAGGGAATAATGAGGCCAATGCTTCTTTTGCATCCTAGTCCTTCAGATAGATGGAGACAGGTTATTGTTATCTCTTTGTTCCTCCATGTCATCTGTTCTCCAAACCGTTTCCCCAATTTTTCCAACTGCCCCTCATAGGAAATAGCTCCAAGTCTTATTCTCTTCAAACTATGTTTTATTATTAGCATTTGTCCTAAAATTTCATACTCAGAACTAAACATAGTGCTCCAACTGTGCCCTGAAAGAGGTTGGGGGGAAGGGTAAAGAATGGAAGTACTAGCCTTCCTTCTTAGAACAGATACCCTATTTCTTATAAGAGAAACCATTGATGAAATTAAACAAATTTCTTGGGTTCAAGATCTTCACTTAGCTATAGAAAATTTGGTCTAGAGAGAAACAGTTTAAATATAACTATGGAACTGCAAAGGAGAATACTGATGGGTTAGCCTGAGCACTGTGTATGGTAAAACCTCACTCATTACTCTGGGTTGCCGATTTAGAACTTTTGGTAGTTGGGATGGGGTTAAGATAAAGATTGTCTTTGGCTTATCTGTGTCAAGTGGATTTAGTAAGCAAAAAATGGTGTAAAAAGTTGCCAGGATATACTTAATTTATTTCAGAGAACACATTTTTTAAGTTTGGAATATGATATCATCTGTATTCTCTGTATGTATTCTCATTTTATATATGAATAAAGTAATTCTTGTTATTTATGAAAGCAAGTCTATGAGAGTATCTACTTGCTGGCACTCTTTTTGGCCTAAGAGGACATCATCGGATAGATATAAGACAATAAAATTTTATTTTTTTAAAGAATATCATATAATTCATAGCTTTCAGTAGTTTAGACTGGCCTCTTTCTCTGCCTGAGTTGAGTCAAAGTTAACTGCATGGAACACTTGGTAGACCAGCTAAGGGTCCTGACATAATTTATGATGTTTACATATTTTTCCTTCATATGGTAACTCAGTGGTTATTATTGTCTATATGAACGGGTACATCTAAAACTCAAACAAATAGAAGATAATTAGTGAATCTTTCCCAACAAGTCATGAATATTGAGCACAGGACTAGTGTGGAAGCAAACCACTGCAGAGTGGAGAACTACATCCTTCATTTATAGCTCCAAAATAACAGTAGACCCTGGTTTTTATGCGCCGTCTTTTTACAAATTATTTGTCTCTTCCTGATGACTCCTCTTCCTCCTTCCACCTCACTAGAGTTAGGGTTTGAATCTTAGTTTTCTCTGCCTAACTTTTTCTCTTTTGGAGAGTTCATTTCACTCTTATGGCTCTATCTCCACTTATCCTCCACCCCTGACTTCTTGATCTTTCTCTGTAACGCTATCCTCTGGACCAGCTGCTGCTATTTGATTTCGAGAGCAAAGTAAATGTTAATCAAGCATCCACTCTGTGGTCCTTCATATCAGTAATCTTATTTATCCTCATAATAAACTCTTGAGGTAGGCTGTGTTACTCCTGTTCAAATATGGGAAACCAGAAGCTTAGAAAATGATATTCAACGTTGTCTTAAACTCAACATTAGTTTGTGAGGATAATTTGATTATTGTCTGTCACTGCGAGGTCTTCATAATGTTTATAGACCATATCTGTGTTTGCTCAACAATTGTTTGTACTCTGCCTTGTAGACAGTGAGCACTAAATAAATATCTGTGAATGAGTAAATGAATGAGTAAATGAGTGAATGAATGGTCAGATATAAATTTTAGGTATATGATATGTAATAATTAGTTTGATTTGAGAAGTCCAAAGGCAGCAAGAAGACTAGGAAGCAACTGCACCAAGCCAGACGAGAGACGGCGTGTGTGGTGGTCATGAAGGTAGTGAGGAGATGGAAGCCATGCTCCTGGTTTACAGAAGAGAGGGCAGTTCATTCAGAGTAGAATTGACCTGCAAAGATCTTTGGGTTCTCGCACTCACAGGATTTGGAGACTGACTGAGCTCCCAGGTTTCTGGGTGGGTGACAGGGTGCTTGATGTTGCCACCAACTAAGTATGGGAATACAGGAGAAAAATCTTTAGGTCTTTGAGCACCCCACTACCAGATTAATCTTCATCAGACACCATTTTCATTATGTAACTCTCAAGATCAAGAATCCATAGTGACTCTTTTCTGCACCACAAAACAAATACTGATTTTTTATTTTGGTGTCCAAAGAACTTATTTTGGCATTCAATGATTTGGTACCTTCTCCTCCCCTGATCCCAGCTGGATTATATATGTTGTTATTGTTGTTATTGTAGTGCCTAAACATAGCGCTCGGTGAGTAGTATGTGTGTAATAATGTTTGTTTAAAGGACTTGAAAACAATTATATAATGATGCCTTTGAAAGTCATGATTACGAGTATGGGGTAATTCAGGAAAATAATAATGTAACTTGCCTTTACATGAATTTATGTTACAATTCATAATAGCAATCATTTATATAATGAATTTCATGTGCTACATATTAATTCTAAATGCTTTACATTGAGGAATTCATTTAATTCTTACAACCCTATAAGATAGATATTATTATTATTCCCATTCTATAAATGAGAACACTGGGAAGTTAAGAACATTGGTTAAAGTTGCATAGGTAGTAAGTGTAGAGAGTTTGGATTTGGACACAGGCAAGTCTGGCTTAAATGTTCACTTAACTATCACATCATATACAGCATCTTGTAGCTAACTCAGGACCCATTGATTATCATAGTTACAAGATAAGTAGTTATCTCATTTATCAAAGATGAACACACAACTAAATGCTAAAAAAAAGAGTAATCAAAATCTTTATCACCTTTGAGCAAATGTATTTCCTAATTCTCCATCATGTTATGCTCATGCTTAGAATTATTGAAAATGGTAAAGGTTTAAGAAGTTCTTTTGCATCTGTAACTCATTTGATTCTCACAAAAAGTTGTGCAGTTGTGGACAAATTTGTTATGCCTCATTGTTTTGTTTGTTTTTTGTTTTTTGAGATGGAGTCTCACTCTGTCATCCAGGCTGGAGTGCAATGGTGTGATCTCGGCTCACTGCAACCTCCACCTCCCAGGTTCAGGCAATTCTCCCGTCCCAGCCTCCTGAGTAGCTGGGATTATAGGCACGCACAACCACACCCAGCTAATTTTTCTATTTTTAGTAGAGACGGGGCTTCACCATTTTGGTCAGGCTGGTCTTGAACTCCTGACCTCGTGATCCACCTGCCTCGGCCTCCCAAAGTGCTGGGATTACAAGTGTGAGCCACTGCACCTGGCCCGTCATGCCCCATTTTCAAGAGGAAGGTGACACAGCAGAGCTGGAAGAGAAGAGTTTTGCTCAGGGCTCCTGTTTCTAACCCAGTGTTTCCACAGCGTTAGAGACTGGGTGCCTGACCTGAACTCTTTCAACAAGAGCACAACTTTCAGCAAACAAGCTCTAGGATCCAGTGTTACCACACGTGTAGGAAATATTGAACTTTGGATTGAGATCTCCTAGGTCAGATGTGCATGTGTAAACCACTGAGATTTTGTAAGAATACTTGCTAAAATGTTTTATTCAAAATATTCCTATATAGTCTTCTAAAATTTTGAAACAATTTACTGTTTATATCCTAATTCTTAGGAGCTTTTTAAAAAAACAGTTAATGGAAAGTTTCATAACTTAATAATCTCAGTTTTTACCGTCTTGCTGAATTACCAATAATAATTATTGCTAACAATGGTTGTGATTTGGTAACTTGTATTTGATTAATTCACTGAAAATGAATCTAGGCTCATAGATTCACCAAAATGGGAGGGGAGTAATAACAAGAATCTGCCACTTAGAGTTGTTCTCAGGATTGGCTATATGCATTAATTTGCAAAGTGCTTCAAACAGCTCCCCATGCCTAGCAAATATTCAGTAAATATAAACTATTATTTTTATTAACATTATTATTAACATAAGTACTAATGGTCCATAACAATTATCTTTTCAGGATGGTATTCCAGTATTTTAAACAGTGGCACCAAGAGCTGTTTTATGGAAGACCTGTGTCCCCAACTATTCCTGAGAGTTCTTTTGGGATCTTTCACTTACTATTTTCTCTTAAGTCCTTACCAAGCCATTATATTATTCCAGGCCACTGTTAAGAGTCTATCTTCCTCTCTGTTAGATAAAAGTAGTAGTTTTTTCCTCCAGTGTTATCTTCTAGGTGACATATCGAAAACTCAGTGGAAAGTTGAAGTCTGGAGTTAAATAAAGATCTAGTAGTGGTGTGAAAAGCATTTTATTGCTATTGTCTACCAGCTAACAACTTATTGATAAAGAAGATAAAAATTTTAGTGATCTTTATCAATTGTACCCTACAAGACTGATGCCCCTGTGTTTAACCTTACTTTGTGGTGATGGCCACAACTACTTTTTCATTATGTCACCTGACACTATTTTTTTTTTGACAGATCAAGAAATAAACTATTCAAAACAAAGAAAATCCACAAGAAAAAGATTTTGACTCATGAAAGGGGTACCCCTAACTTTCCTTGCTGGGTAAAATGAATCATTGTTAGATAATGACCTCAGGACAGACTTTTTAAAACAAAACATAATATTTTCATTTTCCTTTATCTTTGAATTTCACTCTTACGGATTTGTGGTTATAATGAAACATCCCTCATTTTATTTCAGAGCTATCTTCTGAGACTAGAGCCATTTCTGTGCCAAAGCTACAACCCTCAAAGATGCCTGGCTGGACACACTGGGAAATTCGTGTGAACAAATGAACTAATGTACTGTTGTGTTCTGTATGACCAGTGGGAAAATAGTCAAGATTCCTCCTAATTCTTGGAAAATTTCTTTCCTTCCCACCTTCCCGCCCTTGTCCAATTTCTCTGGTTTTACCTTCCTCTGTCTGTTTCCTTTTCACTTCATATTGTCTTCTCCTATTTTCATTTCTTTTCTCCTATCTTCCCTCCATTCCTTTACCTTGACCCTTTCACTCTGATTTCTTCTATTATTTATTTCCATCTAGGAAATTCTATGGCAGCTTGTAAATCCAAAATACAAACCATTACTGATAAGACCGAGGGACTAAAGCTAAAACATGTAATCAGGTCATCTTCCTGTCCTTGCATGCTTGCCCTGTTTCCCTGAGAATTCAGTTCCACCATAGTTCTTGGCTCTTGGTTCCCTGTCACATTTACAGTCTTGTTCCTAGGCCTACCCCTTTATGCTTTGCATCTTTATGTAATCTTTTTTCTTTCTTACCTTTAGCTCACTCTACCAGACTCTGGTGTGGGTTTGCAGTGCTGCATCTGCTCCTTGTCACCTTCATGACACCTTCTGTGTCCTGCTTCTATCTAATTGTCCTCTAGTGAGCCCTACAATGAGCCTGCCCAACCTGCTTCAGGGAGGGCATGGCCATCTCTCCAGCTCACTCCTTCCCTGCCATTTGCTAGGTCAGTGTTGTCTCCTGGGCTGAATGGTTCAAGTATTAATTTATTATAATATTTATTCATTCAACAAAAGTGTATCAAGCTCCATACATGATAATAAAGGTAGCAGACCTTTTCTTTTTTCACATATTCCTATTTTTCCTTGAGTTTCTTAAATTCTACTGAATCTGGGAAAGCAAACATTGTTATACATTTCATCTAACACCCTTCAAATAATACTGGATAATTAATTTTTGTGCAAAATTAAACCTAGCAGGCATTTTTAATTGAAGTATAATTTACATGGCACCAAACTCTGACTCACGTTGTTTCATTGGCTCTAAGTACGATGTCCTCATAAAATTAAACAAAACAAAACTGAATGATTAACAGAGTTCTCCATTTTTGATTCAGACATTTGACCCTGTTTAGGTCTGAAGCTTTATACAGACACAATAAGAATTGAATAATAATAAGTACATTTCACCCAGGTGTTATTTGGGGGTTGTATGTGTTTACCAAAATGGAAAAAAAAAAAAAAACCAACAAACTGCACAAAACATATTGAAAAGTCCATGAGGAATCTGACTTATCTTAAAGTGCACACATTTGCAGAAAAATAAAGTTTCGAAAAGCAATGTATGTTGAAGTTAGGACAAATACCTAATGCATGCAGGGCTTAAAACCTAGATGTTGGGTTGAGAGGTGCAGCAAACCACCATGGCGCATATATATCTATGTAACAAACTTGCACATTCTGCACATGTATCCTGGAATATAAAGTTAAAAAAAAAAAAAGGGCCGGGCACAGTGGCACACGCCTGTAATCCCAGCACTTTGGGAGGCCGAGGCGGGCAGATCACCTGAGGTCAGGAGTTTGAGACCAGCCTGGCCAACATGGTGAAACCCCATCTCTACTCAAAGTACAAAAATTAGCTGGGCGTGGTGACGGGCACCTATAATCCCAGCTACTCAGGAGGCTAAGACAGGAGAATCACTTGAACCCGGGAGGCAGAGGTTGCAATGAGCCGAGATCGTGCCACTGCACTCCAGCCTGGGAGACAAGAGCAAGACTCTGCCTCAAAAAAAAAAAAAAAAAGGAAACAACAACAACAAAACAATGTATGTTAAAGTGAATGGAAAAGAGATTAAGATCCTTGTTGAGTCAAAAAAAATTATAGCTTTTTATGTAACTCACAGTCAAAAACAATGCTGAATATTCCTTACTTCTGTCTTTCTGACTTCAACCCTCAACAGAACGAGTCTTATCATTTTAATATTAGTATGTTAACAGTAATAACGATAATGTCATTAAGTTATATACAATTATAAGCACTATTAAGTTTTAGCTTGATTTTCTTTTCAGGTAATTTTTAACAACCAATGTTTCTATTTGCAAAGTAATGCACAGATGTGAGTAATTGATATATTATTTGTAGTAACACTCTCCTTTGTGAGACAAGTACTCTAATTAAAATCAAGCAGATAGCCTGAAATCACGCTAGCTCCAGCAAAATGAGCACTTTGGAAAATGCATCCCAAATGAGAAAATGAGATTTCCTTGAGTCTGGTGTCTTTTGTGCCTCTGTGCAAAAACACCACGTAGCTTAGGACATTGAACAGAGATGTTACACTACTTCCCTGTTCTCCAGGCTAAAAATAAGCAGTATTTAAATTTCCCACTAAATCATTCTGCTTAAAGCTTAAAATATAAAATGCAGCATCTTCTCTTAATGAACTCTTAAGGTTAAAGAATTAATGTGAACTGAGCCCCTATGAAGCATGTTATTTTATTTATTCCTTTAACACTTTGGGGTAGACACTGGTGTCCCTGTTTCACTGGTGAGGGAATCAGAGCTCCAAGAAGTTAGGTCAGTTGTCCAAGGTTGTGGAGGCAGAGATGCTATTCAAACCTATGTCTGTTGACTCCCAAACCCATGCGTGTTTCACTATATATTACTTACTCTCTCCTGTTTGCGTTTGAGTTGATAGGACAGAAAATCACTCTGTCATCCATAGTTGCTGCCAGGTGTTTCCACTGGCAGGGGCTGAGGACAGCCTTACAACCTCCTCTCTTGAGAGGTTCTTTCCAAAGTGCCAGTTCAGAAAATAAGGATCACAAGAGTGGAAATAAGCAGCCCCGGACAGGCACAGGAACAGTGGAAGAGAGGTAGTAGAGACCCATTTACAACACTGTCCGAGCAGTGCAGTTGGAAGCTGGTTGGAAAACCATTAGGGGGCTTTAGAATAGGGGCAGATGAAGAAAGGGCAGGGGGGACTGGGAGAGAGAAGAGGAGTGAGGCAGGTAATACAGAATTGAGGGAGGGAGAAAATGGCTTGAAGGTGAAGAGGTTAAGTGGTTAGAGAAGGGAGAGTGGATGAGGATTATCAGAAGGCACAAGTAGGGCTTTGTGGTGAGAGCAGAGGGTGGAGGGCAAGGCACAGATGAGACGGGAAGGAACTTTGCCTAAAGAACGAATGAAAGAATAAGCGCAGTTTTATCTTCATTAGAAGTGGAAGTTTGTCTTATGTGACAGGTTGTTCCAACCCATTGTGTTGGGCAAAGATATTGGATTATCTCAACTGTTTACCATTAGAAATGTGTAGATTCTTGGGGCCACTTTATAGCAAATGCTCCCTAATATGTCCGAGCTTGTGGAATTCATTGTATGCAGTGGTGTGGTGAGGTGAAAACAGCATGTATTGAAAGCTCCCTAACTTCTGATCAATTAACCAGAATTCTCCCAATTTAAGAGCATACAGAGATAAAAAATAATTTTTCAAAGTGTAGACAACTTATCTCTGGGGGCCAACTCTATGTGATTCATAGATTTCCTGGGGATGAATTATACTTTAAAATATAACAGAGTCATCACCAGGTCCTAAAAGTCCTGTTTAAGTTTGTTGGAAATGTTGGGAAACTTCCTTAGATACCCAAAGGCCACATTGAGTTCACAGCTCATTTCATGGAGGTTTGCAAACCTTTCAGCAATGCTGAATTGGATTTCAGTTGAATTGCATGCGAACGTGGGCCAAGTTTCAAGGGAACATTGGGTATTTCTTTCAGGTAGAAGCCAGGTGAAACTCAAAGGGTCCAAACTGGGTTTTGCTTTGAGTTTCCTTTTGGTTCTGCTTGAACTTGACACTCAAAGTGAAACTCAGGAGATCTGTACTTCTTGCAAACTCGGGCTCAAAGGGAGGTTTTTGGAAGCAGAACTTGCATGCTGAAAATGCTGAGCTAACAGTACAAATTGGTGCTTCACCTTGCTCTGCTTAAACCTCTGAAGAGGGTTTCATCTGGAAAAAGAAGTTTTCTTGTAGTATGTACACAGTTCAGTAAAGCGTTGCAAGAGGACTTTGGGCTTGCCGATAGATTGCCTGCAACAAATTCCTATAATGCCAGATTGCCAACTAGAGTCCTCTAAGTAGCCTATGGAATGGATTAACCAAGTTCCTATATCACATCCTTGAATTTACATTAAAGCCATCTTGTTTAATTCAAATGAAATCTGAATGTATTACCTGGATAGTTGACCACAGTGACATGAAAATATTATCTTATTTGTGAAAATGAATAACTGGAAAGAAAATCCTGAGTTTCCTCCCCTCACCCCGCCTCCATTAAACACATCCATAAAGACCAACATATGACTGTCGTTAAAAGGTAAAGGCACAATAAGCATATAGATGACCCAATTTCCAAGATATTTTAAAAGATATTCTTCTGACCTGAATAGGGGTGGGTGCTAGGGCAGAGGGAATCTAATTTAGTTTTGGCAAACAAGCCTGAATACTAAATTAAACTTAACAGAAATGAGGGGCTTTTCGAGAAAGGAAACAGGCTGGCAGAATGTTGGCATATCAACAAAAGGAAATCACACAAAGAGAAAAGGATTAGTCAAAATAAAGATCAAATGAAGATCAAAAATAAATTGGCTTCAACCCAGGAAACATTTGTTACATTTTACAAGCAGGTCTTTCCTTCCCCCGTGTGAAGAACAGAGGAACCACCTGATCTTCCCTTAAAGGTCACTGAGCACTCTACATGCCTGTGATGAAATGCTCCTGGAGCCCCTGAGAAAGGCCAGCACAGGTGCGGTATTGGAAAAAAAAAAAAAACTTCCTATTCCTGTAACGATAAACGACATAAAGCCAATCATTATTGGTAAGCAGATTCTAAGGAAGTGATGGACCAAGTATTTACGCTTCCCAAGTACTTGCACAGTAGCTGCTTTAACATAATGAACAAACAATATCTATCTCACTATCTGATCTTTCTATATGTTAGGCATTCTGAAAGATAGTGAACTTTTTCAGTCTCAAAGGATCTTGTCTGATGCATCATTATAACCAAGGTCACATAATTTGTGGGGGCCTGTGCAAAATGAAAATGCAGGATTCCTTGTTCCAAAAGCAGGAAAAAGTGCAGTAAAAGGTACTAAATGTAAGACTTTTTCTTTTCTTCTAGGGCCTCTTTCTCTACTTACAATGTTTTTTATTTTCTAATTAATGTTATTCTATGTAAAGAAAAATTAAAACTTGAAATCATTAGCATGAATTTTACTGCTCATTTTTATTTTGTGCATGGCTAGTCTTACAAGCAAACGTAAGAGCATTGCCTTAGTATTGCGGAATTACCGAAATTGAGCAATTCGTAGTTTGTAGTTCACACATACATACGCATTTCATTCTTACCAGAAAGGTGGAAATGCTTCACAAAATTAACTCAACTGTTTTCATTTCACTCCTTGATATGCATATATTGTGGCAACACTCTCTACCTTCAGCTTACTGATGAGTAAGGAAGCCTTGAAAGAAAAGGAACTATGGGTTGCCCTATCTGTCCCTAACACAGAGGATTTATAGAAGGCTTTGCTGGAGAAAGTTACATCTGGAGACAGTAGAAGCAAAGTATAGATGTGAGAATTTCAGGATAATAGTCTGGTAAAGGGCAGGATTACTGCATGAGATTTAATACACTTTATCACAACTGATGGTTTTATTTTTTTCTTGTTTTTGTATCTTTTGGATTCTCTATAATTAATTGACACATTTTCTAAGTGAGGTGTTCAGACTCATCATGAGAATTAGATCACCTCCACCAAGTGCCAGTGTCATTCAGAAACTTCCATCTTAGGTCAGAGATTATAAATCCAGTCCTGACTAAGCCATTCACACAAACATTCACAATATGTAGGCAGTCCCAATATCTTTTCTAAAACAATGTCTAAAAATAAATGCTACAAACAATACAATATTTTAGACTCCACGGAGGAGCTGAAAATGGAATGGTGCTGGACATCGAAATGTTATTTAATTCTGAAAGGTGATTTTCTGTGAAATCAAACTCTGAGGTCCTTGTGATACTATAATTATCCTACCCGTTTAAAGAACAAGGAGGTCCCAATTGTAGGAAACCATTAGCTTTTGTGTTTTTGTGTGCTTTGTACTTTTTTTAAATAGATGAAGACATACAAATAAGATTTTAATATATCCTTAAAAAGAGTGCTGTATATTAACTTCTGAATTTGAAATGCATTTACTCTTCATGTTGTTTTATTATTTTACAAATAAACACACACAAATTATTTACAAACACATGCACTCATTTTACTGGTATATGCAAGTAAGTTATCGATATATAAACTTAAGGAGCTGTTATACAAGGATGGGTAAATTAGGTGAGTGTGAGCAGGAAGGGAAACAAATTCTCAAGGTGTATACTGCAGTGTCTCTTCAAATTACTTGGTGGTCTTGGACAGCTGTGGCATGCAAGGATCTGATAGATGGGTGGAGCATCAAGCCATGAAGCCTGAGCCATCTCTTGGGGAAAAGCCTGAGCAGAACCCGAAGAAATGATGAGCCACACATTTTTATCGGAGGCATAAGTCAGAGAGCCAGTGCAGAAAAACACCATTTTTTCTTAAACCATTCAATTATAGCTAAATAGACTATCTTTTAAAACAAAAATGAAAAAGAAAAGAGGAGAAGGAAGGCTGATCCGCTAAGTATGTGAGATCATGTTTATACTCAGGGTATGGGCCCAGTCAGTGTTGTACCCTTGATGGCTACAGATATTCCTCTAAATCATAACCTCAGAGCTGTGCTTCATTAGTCATATGAAGAATCACAGAAGAAAATGTGGGTTAGTTTGTGCAAACGAAACACGACTCCAGGAAAAAACAGCGCAACGTGCGTGCCCTGGAGACCACGGTTCAGAAATATTTCACACAAGGGAAAAACATTTTATAAACAGCAAATGCCACATGCTTTTGAGTGTCTGAATAGTAGAAGTGGCTTTTCACTCTCATTCGGTATCCCTTGTGACCAAGCATCTGGTCCCTACCTACATATAGCAATGACCACAAATCCTATATTTAGTAGATCTATACTTACTTGTCACTTAGAAAAATAAATTGCCCATTTGAATTTTTGTTTATTATGATCTAGAACTCACATGGATTATCTGCTTTACTTTTGCCCTTACAAGTCTGAAGGGAAAAAAAAGTTTAATTTTGATAGACATTTTTGGACTAGACTTCTGGGAGTATTTTATATTTTGTGATCCTCTTTTTCTTTTTGTAAATTTCTTTATGGGAAAGACAAGGTTCAAAAAGCAAGTGGTTGTGGTCTGTTTTCTTAGACTTGCCTGGCAGTGCCTACTCATTTCTTCACGGCTGGACCTAAATGCCAATGATAATGGCACAGGCGTAAGTGACAGAGCAAGGGAAATGTCAACCAGATTAATTTGAATCAGCCCAAGGCTGCCTTTATTCCTGGATTTTTTCACTGATATGTTTTTTAAATATTAGAAAGCAAAGTTGAGCAAATACACCCATTTTATTTTTAATTTTTTTATTTCAATAGGTTTTGGAGGAACAGGTGGTGTTTGGTTACATGAATAAGTTCTTTAGTGGTGATTTCTGAGATTTTCGTGCACCCATCACCTAAGCAGTATACACTGTACCCAATGTATAGTCTTTTATCCCTTGCCACCCACTACACTTTCCCCCAATACCCCAAAGTCCAGTGTATCATTCTTATGCTTTTGTATCCTCATAGCTTAGCTCCCACATACGAGTGAGAACATACGATATTCGGTTTTCCATTCCTGAGATACCTCACTTAGAATAATAGTCTCCAATTCCATCCAGGTTGCTGTGAATGTCATTATTTTGTTCCTTTTTATGGCTAAGTCATATTCCATTATATATATATATATCACATTTTCTTTATCCACCTGTTGATTGATGGGCACTTGAGTTGGTTCTATATTTTTGCAATTGCGAATTGTGCTGCTGTAAACATGCATGTGCATGTGGGGTTTTTTTTGTATAATGACTTCTCTTCCTCTGGGTAGATACCTAGTAGTGGAGTTGCTGGATCAAACAGTAGATCTATTTTTAGTTCTTTAAAAAATCTCCACACTGTTTTCCATAGTGGTTGTACTAGTTTACATTCCCACCAACAGTGTGAAAGTGTTCCCTTTTCACCACATCCATGCCAACATATACTCTTTTTTGATTTTTTGATTATGACCACTTTTGCAGGAGTGAGGTGGCATCACATTGTGGTTTTGATTTGCATTTCCCTGATCATTAGCGATGTTGAGCAATTTTCCATATGCTTGTTGGTCATTTGTATATCTTCTTTTGAGAATTGTCTATTCATGTCCTTGGCCCACTTCTTGATGGGATTGTTCATTTTTTTTCTTGCTGATTTCTTTGAGTTCTTTGTAGATTCTGGATATTAGTCTTTTGTCAGATGTATAGATTGTGAAGATTTTCTCCCACTCTGTGGGTTGTCTGTTAACTCTGCTGATTATTTCTTTTGCTGTGCAGAAGCCTTTTAGTTTAACTACGTCCCATCTATTTATCTTTGTTTTTATTGCATTTGCTTTTGGGTTCTGGGTCATGAACGCTTTGCCTAAGCCAAAGACTAGAAGGGTTTTTCCAATGTTATCTTCTAAAGTATTTATGGTTTCTGGTCTTAGATTTAAGTCTTTGATCCATCTTGAGTTGATTTTGGTAAAAGGTGAGAAATGAAGATCCAGTTTCATTCTACATGTGGCTTGCCAATTATCCCAGCACCATTTGTTGAATAGCGTGTCCTTTCCCCACTTTATATTGTGTTTGCTTTGTCGAAGATCAGTAGGCTGTAAGTATTTGGCTTTATTTCTGGGTTCTCTATACTGTTCCATTGGTCTGTGTGCCTATTTTTATACTAGTACCATGCTATTTTGGTGAGTGCAGCCTTATAGTATAGTTTGAAGTCAGGTAACATGATGCCTCCAGATTTGTTCTTTTTGCCTAGTCTGAGCAAATACTTTCTTTTTTTTGAGACGGAGTTTTACTCTCGCTGCCCAGGCTGGAGTGCAATGGCACAATCTTGGCTCACTGCAACCTCCACCTCCCAGGTTCAAGCGATTCTCCTGTCTCAGCCTCCCAAGTAGCTGGAATTACAAGCATGCGCCACCAAGCCTGGCTAATTTTGTATTTTTAGCAGAGATGGGGTTTCACCATGTTGGTCAGGCTGGTCTCAAACTCCTCACCTCAGGTGATCCACCCGCCTCGGCCTCCCAAAGTGCTGGGATTACAGGCATGAGCCACTGTGCCCAGCCTGCATTTTAAATATTATCATGAAAATAGTTTTGACCTCATGGACCCCAGACCACACTTTGAGAGTCACTGCTGTGAAGTGGTTATTTCCATATCTGATTGATATTAATACCAGTACGGGTAGCATACTATACACTTCATCCTCACCTTGCCTATTTTCCACTTAACCATGTATTCTGAAGATCTTTCCACACAAATATAAGGAAAGCTTCCTCACTTGCTTTTGTAATAGCCTGCTTTTCCATTGTCTGCATTGACTATAACTGAGTTTAGCAGTTCTCTTCTGAATTCTGCCTGTCCCATTTAATTTTTTTCTATAATAAATAATAATGTAGTGGACAGCCTTGTAAATACAGAATTTTATATACAGGCCAGTGTATTTGTGAGAAAACACTGCAGAAGTAGGGTGCAGCTTGCAGTTTCTTATATCTGGCCAAATTGCCCTTTATGGTGGTTGCTCTGCTTTGCACACCTACCCTGAATAGGACTTCTCCCCCAACTTGCTGGTGGAAACTTTGCAAATCTGTCAGGCGAACAATGTTATCTTAGTGTAGTTTTAATGTGTGTTTCTCTTGTTATAAACAAGGTTGGACATTTTTTTCATATGTTAGGGCCATCTGTATTTTCTTTTCTGTGAACAATAGTTTTTCTTTCAGGTTTTTTTTTTTTCTTCTCAATTTCTAGCGGCTTTTAAAGTATTAGGGATGGTATGGAGGGGCTTTTAGAGTATTGCTTCTGCTACGAATTTCAAATGCTTTATCTCAATTTGTCATTTGTCTGTACAGTTGTTTGTGGTGTCTTTTGCCATGTTGCATTTTTCCATTTTTATGCAGTCTACTTGATCAGTCTTTTTTTTTTTTTTTTTTAATTCTTGGCTTCCAGATTTTGAGACTTGGTTTAGAAAGGCTTTTTAGTTGTAAAGAAATGTATAAATATTTTCTTCTTTTATCTTTATCTTCTTGTATCATAGTGTACATTAAATTGTTGACACATGTGTAGAGTACCTTGATATATATTTAAAAGATGAATCCAATTTAGTATTTTTCCATATCTTATCCACTTTCCCCACACCATATATTTATTGAAAACCCCATCTTTTCCACACTGAATTGAGAAGGAACATTTATTATGTAATAAATTTCTAATTATATTTGGTTTCAGTAGCATATGAACAAAAAACACAAACCTCGTAAAGTAGTAGGATTTATTCCAGCAATGCAAGAATCATTCAGCATTAGAAAATGCAGTTATGCGCCAGGTGTGGTGGCTTACGCCTGTAATCCCAGCACTTTGGGAGGCTGATGTGGGTGGATCACTTGAAGTCAGGAGTTTGAGATCAGCCTGGCCAACATGGTAAAACCCCGTCTCTACTTAAAACACAAAAATTAGCTGGGCATGGTGGCGCACACCTGTAATCCTAGCTACTAGGGAGGCTGAGGCAGGAGAATCGCTTGAGCCTGGGAGATGGAGGTTGCAGTGAGCCAAGATCGCGCCACTGCACTGCAGCCTGGGTGACAGAGTGAGACTCCATCTCAAAAAACAACAACAACAACAAAAAGAAAATGCAGTTATATAGCTCATTAGATTAAAAGATATCACACCCACCATGTTGATAAATGTCAGTAGTAGAATCGAATTGACTGAGAGACCAAAGACACTTCCTGATAAATCAAAAAAATTTACTTATCTAGAAGTTGCAGAAGGAAGTCAGCGTGATCAGGATATACAGCAAAGAAGCCAGCAGCCTTCTTCAGTAACAGACAGAGGTCACTGGCAGATGTGCAATTGCAGATAGCAAATCTGAAAGAGTAAGAGTCATATGAAAACTCCTAAAATTTCAACTGACCCCCTCCAAACCCAGCCTTATATTCATAAGACTGTGGCAATTCTCCTACAGACCAGAGTGGACAAGCGCAGCGAACTGTATCATCAGAATTCAATGCAGCATCAGTCTCAATGGAACCCAATACATACTAGACTACCTGGCATGGTGCAGACAGTGTGGCATATTTAGTATACTCATCCCCTCAGCTTCTTCAAGCTGCACATCCTGTACCAATTGTTTTCCCGAACTTAGATCTGTGAAAGAAGAAAAAGTGCCAGTTATAAACCTCTTTGGGAATAACGTTTACAACCTCGTAGAAAAGCTATTAAGACCAAATCTATAAAAAGAAAATATATATAATTATCTCAACAGATATGAAAAATAACATTTACTGGTAAACAATCAAGAACTCATAAAGATAGAAATCTTAATAGCCTAGGACTTTACCAAGAACCAGTAGCAAGCATCCTTTTGGTGAAATATCAGAAGAATTCCTACAAATACAAGGATTTTTGCAAAACTACCACCATTAAATATGTACTGAAGATCCTGAAAAATACTCTGAGAGAAAGAAATTAAAAATATGAATATTGAAAGGGAAGGGATAAAAGTGCCAGTTACAGGAGATAGGATCACCTATACAGATATTAAAAAACTCAATAGATGAACTATAATAACAATATAAGGGTCCATTAAGGTGGCCAGATACAAGATTAACATACAAAAATAAAGTGCTCTATATACCAGATATAAGAAAACATAAAAGGGAAAAAGCCCCATTTACAGTAGCAACAATGAAAAATGAGATACTTAGTAATAATTATAATAATAAATTTTAATACACCTATAACCAAAAAAATCAAACTTTTCTTAAGGTTGTCAAAGAAGACTTCAAAAAAATGTAGAGATAAGCCATGTTCTTAGATGGGAAGACTGGATATTGTAAAAAAAATTTAATTATATAATTAATGTATAAGTTTAATGCAATCATAACTAAAATATTATCAAAATGTTTAATAAGGTTTAATTCAGAAATTCCTCCAGAAGATAATTAAAAAATTCACGGAGAAATTATGCAAAAATACGTAATAAATGATGGGGGAAAATCACAATCACTGGACCTTGCATTACTATAGAGGAAAACATAAGCTTTACTAATGAAAATAATATGATATGGGCATTGAAGTGGACATAAAAAGAGAAAATAATTGGTAACCAAGAATTCAACCTTACTTGTATAGAAATATGGTAATTTAAATCTAAGGGAGAAAGGTAATAAATGTTATTGGGAAATTTAGAAAATGATTTGGAAAAGAACAAATTGAATAAGACATGGTTCCTCCGCTAAAGAAGTAAAGGGTTTAGTCAACGCATACCACATTTCCTCATTTTCTTATCTCTCGTGACACGCACACTATTTTCGGGAGGAAACCAAGGACTTTTTTCCCAATCTCTTTTCTTTATTCCCAAGAAAATTAGTAGTTCCAAGACCATGGAGACAGTAAGCTTAATGATGCATATTTGAGGTGGATTTTTCTGCACCTTATTAAACAAATGCTGCTTATTTTTGCTTTTTATAAAGACTCTGATTTATTGTTTCTAGTATTTGATAAAAAGAAAATGTTTTATTGCTATTTGAGATCTTTTACAAATAATGATGATATAAACTTAGATGCAAGTCGGCCTTTCTGAGGAAGTTTTTAAATAAAGTTTGAATATGAGGAGTACATTCAAAGATCTTTTTTTTTCCCTCTATATTTCTCTGTTGAATTCCTTTTTTATTCTAGAACTTGTTGGAGGAAAGAAACAGAGGCCTTTCTCGTAGTAGTAAAAGAATTCATCTTTTTATCTGTAAGAATGAAAATAAAAGGAAAAATTCTGATTGTCTGTAATATAGATGTGTTGTCACTTAGACACACAAATAGCTTAGTCAAGGCAGTTTCAGAAATGATCTTCCCGGCAGGGCGCGGTGGTTCACGCCTGTAATCCCAGCACTTTGGGAGGCCAAGGTGGGTGGATCACCTGAGGTCAGGAGTTCAAGACCAGCCTGACCAACATGGTGAAACCCTGTCTCTACTAAAAATACAAAAAATTACCCAGACATGGTGGTGGGCACCTGTAATCCCAGCTACTTGAGAGGCTGAGGCAGGAGAATCGCTTGAACCCAGGAGGTGGAGGTTGCAGTGAGCCGAGATCACACCACTGCACTCCAGCCTGGGTGACAAGAGCAAAAAACTCCACCCCCCCACCCCCCTCCCAAAAAAAAGGAAATGATCTTCCCCTATTAAATGATTAACAGTGTGTTTAAAGTGTATTACTAGCTAGGACTTTATTATTATTATCAGTAGAAATTCTACTCTCTACAAAAGCTGTCAAATGGTATTTATCATTGTAACTTCTCTCTCCATTTCTACTTCCAACTTAGTGCTGTATCTATAAGAACAGAGGTAGATATCCATGCAGGTGGAGACTATTCACCTATGTGTGTTATAACTTCAGTTTCTAAACAAGAAGTTATGCTTGCAGTCTCAGAGTGATCTTCAGTTTGGTCTTCAATTGGAATCTTAACTTGAGAACTAGACTTGTTGGACTGCTTTCTGTACAAAACAGAAAGTTGACTAAAGTTAGCAAAACCAGAGAGATTACAACCTAGGAAAAATATATCAAGTTTGCGGCTGAATAAGATTAAGAAAAATAAGAGGAGATTCTATTGATTAATATTTTTTCATGATGAAACTATGTGCCTACACCTTTTAGTAGCGAAGGAAGATTTTGAGGAGAAAAAGGAAGCATCATTGTCCTTCTATTAACTTGGTGACTTGTTGGCTGTCTTTCCTAGCAAGCCTTGATATTCAATCCAAATAGGAATCCTTGGGCCAGGTGCGGTGGCTCACTTCTGTAATCCCAGCATTTTCGGAGGCTGAGGTGGGCGGATTGCCTAAGGTCAGGAGTTCGAGACCAGTCTGGCCAACATGGTGAAAACTTGTCTCTACTAAAAATACAAAAATTAGCCCAATGTGGTGATGGGTGCCTGTAATCCCAGCTACTTGGGAAGTTGAGGCAGGAGAATCACTTGAACCCAGGAGGCGGAGGTTGCAGTGAGCCGAGATCACGCCACTTCACTCAAGCCTGCATGACAGAGTGAGATTCCGTCTCAAAACTCCTTAGTTATTCCAGGCAGAGGGTAATTTTCTCTTACCCCTGCATTTTGCAAACTACTAAAGAGAGTGCTGCCCCTCAAATATCTTCCTCTGCAAATCCTAGACTATAGTCTGACAAGGTCTCCTACCCTCACTGCTGCTCCTTTTACCCTCAACTCCCCAACTTACTCCCTTCAATCTAAGCCTGGGAATGGCCCCGTGAGGTCCGCTGGCTTCCTGTTGTTAGATCCCAGCCAGGGCAGCTGCCGAGCATCCCATACGTGGCGTGACCATGAAGCTTTCTGGGGCTTCTCCTTTCCCCTTCACCAGAACTGCTGCCCCGAGGCCCGTGTTTGCGATGGACAAAACTGCCCTTTGTCATTGTCACAATGGGTGCTCTTTTCCAGAGGTGTAGAGATGACTCCTCTGCTTTCCTGCTTTTAGTCGGATGACAGAGAACAGAAAAGAAAAATCCGTCTCAAGGTCACACACTTTAAACTTCTCTGCTCTCTTCTCACAGATGGAATAGAGAATTGAAGTCGGTTTTTTCTTTTATTCCACTCTGCACCATGAAAATTTAACGTTTTCAGGATGTAGCTCTCCTGGTGGAAATGCTTCTTGTTCTTCCTGGAACAAGGAATTGAATTGAAAAGGTGTCTATAGAACATTCTACAGATACCTTACAATGCAATAGGGGGAAACCTCAACTCTGTCTCCTGATTCCTCGCCCCCATTTTCAACGAGCACGATAGTCCAACCTCCTAGCAAAAGAGGAATAAACTTTCACCATGGTGATCCCTGGCCTATGGTCTTAGCCTCCCAGGGCACAAGTAAATCCCCTGTGTGATTGTTTGGTTTAACCTGTGTATATTCTGCTGCTTATGTTAATGTGCATTTTATGTCATTATTGGTCTTTTTTTTTTTAACCCTGCACCAGTTACATGCCATAAATTAACACAGATTTTAGGAGTTCATTAATATTTCTTGAATATCTTCTGTCTGTCAAGAACTATAGTGTCACCTTCTGATGTGAAGGACTATGTGTAGTTCTTTAAGGTAGAGATTCAAAGAAAAGAAATGAAAAGGAAAGAAAAAGAAAAAAAATGAAGAGTGGTGATCATTGGGTTGGCCAACATTGTTCGTCTTTGTTTCTCATTCTGCCTGTCTTCTTCATATGAGCTACCTCCCAGTTACTACCTCCCCACAGCAGCTTGTCCCAGATGGCAGTAGCAGAAAGGGAGCCGGAATTACTCAACTCTGAAAGGCTTTCTCAATGTATGGATGAATGGATGGGTGATCATGTGTTTGCTTTACTATTTTTGGTGTTTTAGAGTGAAGAACAGAAACAATATGGCAATCACCAATTTTGACTGGCAACATCACAGATCAAATTGCTTCTCTGCTCAAAAGCCTCCACTTTCTTTCTATCTATCTTGCAATATAATATAACACCATAATATAATAAAACAACACGTTCTTATTGTGGTCTACAAAGCCCTACAGGATCTCACTGCTACCCAATATTCTGACTTCACCAGCTGCCATTTTTTTCTTTCTCCCTATAATCTAGCCAGTAACATTAGCCTCCTTACTCTTTTCTAAACATGCTGGGACACTCTTATCTGAGGGCCTTCGAACTTACTCTTCTCTCTGGATCTCCCTGTCCCCAGATACTTACTAGGTTATCTCCCTCACTTACTCAGTTCTCTGCTCATGTATCACTTTACAAAGAGTCTTTCCCCAGCCACGCTTTCTAAACTGGTTTCCTTCTTACCCCCATCACTCTCTATTCCCATAACCAGCTTTACTTTTTTATAGTACTTACCATCTTTTGCTATATGTTTGTTTATCATTTGTCTCCCCCAGCCAGAATATATAGACTTCATGAGCTTGGATTTTTGTCTATGGCCTATATCCCAACACTTAGAATAATACCTGGGACAAAGTAGGTATTCAAACATAGCAGATGCTGTCATATCCTCCTAGGTTCCTTGGATTCTGTCATTCAAGTGTGCTCTGGCCAACTTCAAACTGCCTGTATCTGCATCTCCAAGCTCCAGGACGCTTTCTAGAAATGATATATAAGACCATTCTACCTATTCTATGCATCACACTTCAGGATTTACAACCATCACTACCACAGAGCAGCCCTCAATCAATGATTCTCATCATTTGATGCATAAATACTACAGCTGCCTTGCTCTTCAATGGAGGAGAATGGGAGTAAGGAAAAGCGGGGAGGGGAGTTGTTCTGAGACTTTGGTAGCTGTCCTAATAATACACCTGTGTTGGCTGCCTTCTTTCCCTGCATCATTTCCCCCTCCCCTGCTGGTTTTTACTTCTCAAGTAAATAATTCACTCTCAAATTCTTATCTCAAGGTCTGTTTGGGGCAATTAGAAAATAAATATTTGTTATTGTTGAATGAAATATTCATAGCAGATTCTGGATACATGTGTAGAAAAAAGCTGGATGGGGGCAGTTAGGGCATAGTTTCACAGATGACGGAAAGTTGGCTGAGCAGCAAGGGGAAGGCGCTATCACCAATCAGGAGGAGACAAGTTGGTTGCATTAATAGGACTTCCAGGATGATGTTGGGAAAAAAAGGAAAAGAAATAAAAGATACATTAAGGTGAAAATGAAAATGACTCCTTGGCAGCATCTGAGAATCAGTATCTGCAGTTGAGTCCTAGAAATGGCTGAACACAGAAACAAGCACACAAAATGCCAGCTTCATGGGTGTGAAACCTGTGCAGCTGCACAGACCGCACGCTCAGAATGACCCTGTGTTTGCCTTAATGCTCTGCTGTTGCCATCTTGAAATTCTTGATAATTTTTGAACAAGGGGCCCCACATTTTAATTTTGTACTGGGCCTCACAGATTACGTAAGCAAGCCTAAGTTCATTCCGTAGTTTCTCACTGCAGTTTAGGAAAAGTCAAGAACTATAGTTCAGGAAGAATAATAGAATATTAAGGATTTAGAATGAGAGAAATAAGACTTAAAGAGCTGGCTCACTAAGAAATTCTCAGGGTCTTCCCACAGTCTACTTTAGTTAAGAGTGCTCATTTCCTGTCTCAGATGCAGCCACATTGGAAACAGAAATAAGTTATTTAGTAATATTTCATGGCACTAATTACTTAGCACAAATATGAAAACATTTGATATATATGTGTGTGTGTGTATACATATGTATGAACTATATAGTTTATAGTTTGTTTTGTTCAGAGGAAAAAATACAGTTGATGCTAACTAGAAAAAGACTGATGAATGGCAGGGCGGGGTGGCTCCCACCTGTAATCCCAGCACTTTGGGAGGTTGAGGCGGGGGGATAATCTGAGGTCAGGAGCTCGATACCAGTCTGGCCAACATGGTGAAACCCCCCGTCTCTACTAGAAGTACAAAAATTAGACGGGGGTGGTGGTGTGTACCCGTAATCCCAGCTACTCGGGAGGCTGAGGCAGGAGAATCACTAGAACCCAGGAGGTGGAGGTTGCAGTGAGCTGAGATTGCGCCATTGCACTCCAGCTTGGGCAATAAGAGTGAAACTCCATCTCAAAAAAAAAAAAAAGAACAAAAACAGAAAAACACTGATGGAATGCTAGCCAAAAAGTCATATTTGTCATCATAGTCGACCTGTAATGTTCTGTTTTTGTGGCATGTGCCCTATTAGCTGCTAGTGGCTTTTTAATTGATCATTCATCTGGCTGTATAATTGGGAGGCTGCCAGGAATCTTTGATGTTTCCTGTCTGAAAAAATGGCATATAAAATGCTGTTTTAAAATATGCCATTCTACTTATTTCCACTTAAAATAGAGGAGATTGAAAACAGTACATGTAAATACCAAAAAGATGTCTTCTGATATTAAAAAATAAAAAAAGTATTTGAGAAAAAAATTAATGATCCCCCTTGTGGGAAATTTTGAAGCTTGTGGATTTTTAAGCAGGGAGGCAAATAAGTAAAGCATCGCAGCATTTTTCACTAACTAAAAACAGATGTCATGTGATAATGGGTGTTACATCTGCAGCTGACACCCACTTCAAAGAACAGGTGCCTCTAGTTGTTTAAAAAAAAAAGAGAGAGAGAGGGCCGCTCTTATAGCAGTCTACAGCAGGCTTCAGGAAGTGATGAGGGGGGGCCATGGAAAGACCAGCCCCTTGGACGCTCTGGGTCACTACGTCATGGTGGTACATCTGGGCACTTAGGTCCTCAGTGACCTTTCTCCCAGGTAAGACTTCAATGTCAGAGGTTAAACTGCTAGATGATTACATTTATTTAAAAGTTATTACTTTAAATGCAGTAGAATGAAGTGAGGGCTTTCCTTTACATCATATACAAAAATTAACTCAAAATGGATGAAAGATCTAAACACAAGAGCTAAAACTATAAAATTCTTAGATGCATACATGGGGGAAAAACTTCATGACGTTGAATTTGGCAGTTATTTTAAGATACGACACTAAAAGTACAGTCTAAAAAAGAAAAAATAGATAAATTGGATTTCATCAAGATTAAAAATTGTTGTGCATCAATGAATACAATCAGCAGAGTGAAAAGGCAACTCACACAATGCAGGAAACATTTGCAAATCATATCTCATATAAGAGATTAACATCCAGAATATATAAAGAACTACAACTCAACAATAACAACAAAACCAACTCAATTCAAAAATAGGCAAAGGACTTGAATAGCTATTTCTAAAAGGAAGATATACAAAGGACAATAAACATATGAAAAGAGGCTCAATACTGCTAATCACCAGATAAATGCAAATCAAAACCACAATGAGATATTACATCACACCTATTAGAATGCTCATTGTATATATTTTGTAAAGTGTTGGAGAAGAAGTGGAGAAATTGAAACCCTTGTGCATTGCTTATGGAAATGTAAAAGGGTGCAGCTGCTTTGGAAAAATGGTGTGACAATTTCTCAAAAAAATTAAATATAGAATTACCATATGACCCAGCAATTCCACTTCTAGATCTATACCCAAAAGAATTGAAAGCAGGAACTAGAACAGATATTTGTACACCAATATTCAGAGTAATCAAAAGGTAGAAATAAACCAAATGTTCATGAACAAATGGATAAACATATGGATAAACAAAATGTGTATACATACAGTGAAAAATTATTCCATCTTAAAAAGAAATAAAATTAATACATGCTACAACATGGACGAACTTTGAAAACATTGTGCTAAGTGAAATAAGCCAGATGCAAAAGGGCAAATAGTGAATGATTCCATTTATATGAGGGATCTAGAACACGCAAATCCATAGAGACAAAAAGAATAGTGGTTAATAAGGGCTGCAGAGGGAGATCTGGGGAGTTACTGTTTAATGGATACAGAGTTTCATTTTGGGAAACTCTGATGAAAAAGTTCTGAGATGGTTAATGATCATGGCTGCAAAATATGAATGTACTTAATGCCACAGAACTGTACACTTAATCGAGACCAGCCTGGCCAACATGGTGAAACCCCGTCGCTACTAAAAATACAAAAATTAGCTGGGTGTGGTGGCACGTGCCTGTAGTCCAAGCTACTTGGGAGGCTGAGGCAGGAGAATCGCTTGAACCTGGGAGGCAGAGGTTTCAGTGAGCTGAGATCGTGCCACTGCACTCCAGCCTGGTGACACAGTGAGACGCCGTCTCAAAAAAAACAAGGTTAAAATGGTAAATTTAGTCTTTTCCTCTTGTTTATACTGAATTTAACTGGAAATTGAATTAAAGCTTAGTTCAAAATTCTGCTTTCTATAATATAGTGTGGCTTGTTCTCCCTAACTCTATTTTAACTTACCTCTGAGACATATTTGTTCTTTCCCTTATGAGCTAATGTTTGAGGATAGTTTCATTCTTTCAATCCACTTTTCTGTGGTGTAGGGACAAAGAGATGAAGGAAGAGAAAGAGAGTAAGCTTAATCTGGGCTGGTGCAGTCCTGGCTGACAAATCTTGTTCTGCAGGGTCCTTTGGGGATGTTAAATGTCCTGTCCTATGGCCTACCCCAATCAGCCAGAGGTAGATCCCATCCATGGGCTCACAATGCAAGACAGCCTGGCAATCTGTGAGATGGCAAGTCCTTGCAGCCTTTTGTCTCAATCTGGGTTCTAAGATAATTTTAGGAGCTGCTACTCTTGAGGAATTTTTCATGACTTTTCCCACCGCTATCAAGAGACACCCTTGACCCAGTGCGGTGGCTCACGCCTGTAATCCCAGCACTTTGGAAGGCCAAAGTGGGTGGATCACCTGAGGTTAGGAGCTCGAGACCAGCCTGGCCAACGTGGTGAAACCCCACCTCTACTAATAATACAAAATTAGCCAGGTGTGGCAGTGGCCACCTATAATCGTAGCTACTCAGGAGGCTGAGGCAGGAAAATTGCTTGAACCCGGGAGGTGGAGGTTGCAGTGAGCCAAGATTGCCCCATTACACTCCAGCCTGGCCAAAAAGAGCAAAACTCTGTCTCAAAAAAACAAAACAAAACAAAAAACAGAAACAAAAGAGAGACACCCGTACTTAGCACACTCTACAAAATTTTTAGCTCATCTTTTTTTACTCCTCTCTGTTTGTGTCTGGGAAGAATTAGAAGCTGTGCAATGCCATGCTGTGCCCCATTAAAATCTTTTTTTCTCTCCTGTTCACCACTTAATCTAATTTTTATAATCCAAATTTATCCACTCTTCCTAGTTTTGTTGCTTGGAAGGGAGATTCAGTGATCCTGCTTTATTCCACAAATTTTCTCCCAGAAGTCTTTTTTAAAAAATATCTCCACAGTAAAGATTCCTGGATGACCTATACTGACATGACTCAATCAGTCTTGATTAATTATAAAAGTTTTGATATTTTAAGTTGAACAAGTGTTGCGATAATTAAAGACCAATGCCAGACTGCAATGAAATTATGACTACAGTTAAATAGGTAGCATAGGCTGGGCGCGGTGGCTCATACCTGTAATCCCAGCACTTTTGGAGGCCGTGGCGGGTGGATCACTTGAGGTCAGGGGTTCAAGACCAGCCTGGTCAATATGGTGAAACCCTGTCTCTACTAAAAGTACAAAAATTAGCCAGGCGTGGTGGTGCACACCTGTAATCCCAGCTACTTGGGAGGCTGAGGCAGGAGAATCGCTTGAACTTGGCAGGCAGAGGTTGCAGTGAGCCAAGATCACACCACTGTACTCCAGCCTGGGTGACAGAGGGAGACTCCATCTCCAAAAAAAAAAAAGGTAGCGTAATCTTGGAGGAAACAAAACAAAAACCTAGAATCACAGGATTGGAAATGACCCTTTAAGGACATATGTTGATGATATACTGTCTCCGGGTGGACACTCGGCTGGTAGGGTGTTTGCAATTTGCCCTTGAGAGATTGGATATATATAACACCAAACACACACTCACACACACACACACACACACACACACACACACACACACACACGTACACCTCAACAATAAAACCAATATATACCAAGGGACAGTCTAATCTCAGTTCTCAGTGAAAAAGAGAACGCCAAGGTCTGAAGGGAATAGCCTTTCTGTCATGGAGGGAACGTTAGCAGCACCTTGAATGTTATCTGGACATAACTTGTGTGTCTCTTTCATGAGTTTTGAGTTAAAAAAATTATTCTTGCTTCACAAGCTGCACTATTTTAAACACAGCATGATTTTGGGACAACATAGGTCACACTTTCAGAAATACTGTGTGGGAAAATTAATGAAACTTTATGACTAACAAAGAATGCATCCAATGCCTTGTTTTCATGTCCCTCTTCATCTAAATGACTCTATCCTACAATTAAAGACATGGAGAAAACAATCCCTGGCTGTCTCTAGTATCATGTTCTGTAATTTACAACCCTGTTTCCTTTTACCAGTCACAATTATTGCAATTTTAAGCATCTTTATGGAAGAACAATCTCTATTTAAGTCACTAATGGACAAATAGTGGATTTTAGCTATAAAAGTGTATGTCAGAATGACTGTTAAATTTACTTGGAAGAAAAACTGAGTGAAACTTGCTAAGAAAATGAAAAGCAATGGGAGACATTGTCCTATAAATTTTTAGAAAGGAATATAAAGCCATCATAATTAAAACACTGTGAATCTGGTACAAGTATGAACAGAGCAATAGTACAAAAAGCCCATAAACAGACATGACTAGAAAGAAGAATGAAGTATATGAACAAAATGGCATTTCTAATCAATGGGGAAAGGATAGTTATTCGATAGTGTTTTGATGAATGGCTAATCATTTGAGGGCAAAATATAAAATATATTATTTATATCCTATACAGGTGTCTCTCTAACTCAAACAATGCCCCAAAACAGATTCCAGAGATATCATGTTCTCAAATGTTAAAACTAAAACCTTTGAGTACCAGAGAATAATTGTTAATATTTTTACAATATTCAGGTAGAGTGAGAATTTCTAAGTTTGGTGCCAAAGGTAGCAGATTAGTTTACATAAAGCTTAAAACTTTGAGAGCTGTTTTATGTTAAAACATGAAAAATTAAGAATCTGCCCATGTGTAGTAGCTCACACCTGTAATCATGCTTTAGGAGACTGAGGCAGGTGGATTGCCTGAGCTCAGGAGTTCGAGAGCAACCTGAGCAACACGGTGAAACATCGTATCTACTAAAACACAAAAAATTAGTCGGGTGTGGTTGCATGCGCCTGTAATCTCAGCTACCCAGGAGGCTGAGGCACGAGAATTGCTTGAACCCTGGAAGCGGAGGTTGCAGTGAGATGAGATTGTGCCACTGCACTCCAGCCTGGGTGACACAGCAAGACTCTGTCTCCAAAAAAAAAAAAGCAAAGACAAACAAAAATAAATTAGTAAAAAATAAAAATCAAAAGAAAAAAGACTGATAAAGACATTGCTACATGTATAACAAAGGAGTACTACATAACAATCCACAGAAATGAATAATGAAAAATGCCCAGTATAAAAATGATGAAGTATATGAAAAGGTGTTTCACAAAAGAAAGTAAAATAAAAGATAAATATATTTTAAAATTTGAGTATCATTAGTAACAAAAGAAATACAGAGTTTTAAAAACCTGGCAAGATACCATTTAAAGTAAAACAATAACAAATGGACTAAGATTGTTTTCAGTAATACTATTTATTGTTACAAGGTTAATTCACTGCCAGAAGCACTTTGGCAAGCATTAAAAACATTTGTTCAAGTGATTCCACTTTCAGAACTTATCCCAAGATTTTAACTATATCTGTGCACAGAAATACAGCAGGGTTGCTTGTGAAAAAACTGTAAATAACCATATGTTCAGTTAATTACATTATTGTATATCCATACAATACCGCCTTTTAAGGTGATGTTGTACAAAATATCTAATGACATGAAAAATGTCTATTGTAGAAGCAGAACACAAATTACAAATATTGCATATAATCCAATATAATTCCATTATTTCTTCTCCCACCCCAAACCCACCCCAGGCTTATGCTTTTCTCAGTGATGGTATTTCTGGAGACTTCTATTTTACTCTTTTTTTTCTTTGTATTTTCTGAATTTTCTACCATAAACTCTTATAAGAGAAAAATGTTAATTTTTTCAATAGTAAATGCCAGAAGTTTTTGCCAGTAAGTGTCTTCTGAGGGAACCGCCCTGATAACATTTTGTGGTTTTGATATAGTAACATCTGCTGTCCAGAGTGAATTTAATCCTGATGTTGTGTCAGTAGAGTTTCTTAATCGGGAAAACCAAATTGCTTTGTTCTTCTGCAACATCACAAAATTATTTTCACAACCGAGCCTAAAACCAGAACTTAAAAATGATATGCACTGAAACCATGATGGTGCCATTAAATGGATGTAAAAGTTATTCAATTTGCTCCGGTTACCATAGAGGAGAAGAATAACAATGAGTGTCTGGACGGGCTAGATTAGAAATCTGGAGAACTAGGTTGCAGTTCCATTTGTTCCATCAGTTAGAGGTGTGCTTTGGGGCTAATGAGAATCATCGCCATAAAAATGATCGCATGCATTATTATTATTAATCATGTGGTTACTATATATTACTTTCTGTAGTTCTTTGTTGTATTATCCCGAATCTTCACAACTTCTTTCTCAGGCTATTTAATATCCCTATTTTACTAATAAAGAACTGGGCTTCGGAGAGCTTGTTGACTTACTCAAGATTACCCAGCTTGTAAGTTGCAGAGCAAGGTGTGATGACATTTTCAGTTTGTATAGTTCACTAAAGCTCTGATTGCCCCAGTAAACATCAATTAAAGGCAGCGGCTTTTGTTTACTTTGGAAGCATTGGTCTAATGGTGTGGCTCACAAAGAAAGGCTCACTATTCTGACCAAAAATTTTTCACTGCTGCCATAATTCTATTCAGGAAATAATTAATAAATGCCTCTAAATACAACATACTATGTTAGTTATGGCAAGATACACCATTGTTGAAAATAGTCCACTCTTTAGAAGCTTAAAATCCAGAATTCTGGATATGAATCCTAAGTGCTTCACATACTAGCTGTGTGGACCTTGGCTTTAACTTCACTGTGCCCCAGCTTCCTTATCTGTAAAATGGGAAGAGGATTAATAACCATCTCAAAACTTACTACAAGGATTAAAAGAATTATATGTATGGTGCTGAGACTGATATTTGGTGTTCTTAAGTACTGATATGTGCTAATGAAACAATATATAAATATATAACCAATCTAGTGGCTAATTAGATAATGTTGATAGCATTCACTGATAGAACTACTAGTCTACTTCAAAGTTTATACATGTGTAATTTCTTTTAGCCACATTTCTCATGAGCGATGGCCCTGCGTATATATTGAACTAACTTATGTCTTTTATTACCTGGTCCTCCTCTTTGTTACATTATCTGAAAAATGCAATCGGTAACATTTCTAAACTCACTACTTCATTGGCTAGGTTAAATGATAGAAGACATTTAAAAGCACTTTATATGAAAAAATATATAAATATATGTATATTATTAGTAGTAGATCATTTAATTTTCTACTCAGTAGCTTTCTGTAGGCACAGAGATTGAAGAGGAAAGAAAAGGACTAAAATCATAATTAGGTTCAAATCTAGAATTAACTTTTAATAACACAATAGTGTCCTCAGTGTGTGAGACACTGTTTCTTTTAAGTATGGTCCAGACATGCAAGATGATGTGAATAGACGTTTTACTAAAATTTTACAGAATTCTGAGTAGTTATTGTTTTAGCACTTTCATATGCATGAACACTAGCCTTTCAATGACTTTGTAACATCATACAAAGTTCTGATTATGTGTCCCTGTCTAGGTTGGCAAATACAAAGAATATATTGAGACATTTATAAAGGCAGAAAAGACGGTCCTATTTCATAAATAAAAGAGAGAATTATTAAACAAATATTTAAAAAAAGAGGGGTAAGTCACTTGGTTAAGCGCATGGTGTAAATTAGCAGCAATGCTAATTAAATAATGAAATTCTTGGCAAAGTACAGTTTTGTGCCAAGTCAGATGAGATTGTTAAAATATATATGCACAAACACATACTTAATCTCTTAATTTCACTCATTTTATATGACTTCATTGTAATTTGAAAGTAGCTCATTGAACAGCAAGCTGTGTGTGCCAAGTACTATGCTAGAAGCCTAGAATTACAAAAGCAAGGACCAGGCAAGGGAAGCAATCTGGTGTTTGGAGGCTAGGCTTTTGCTATTTCTTTAGAGTATATTAAATTTTTTCCTAATTCAGAAATTGTTAGCATTTTAAAACATAAACCCAATTATTTAATGGAGAGTTCAGTTGTATCCAACCTACCTATCAGATGAATTCACCCATTAAAGAACAGGTATAGTAGTGAGAATAGCTGAAGTGGTTAGTGTCTCAGGAGATTCTCAGCCCCAGGCCAGGCCATTTTCACTTAGAATATAACCATAATCATGCACATGTCAAAACTCATTTACTGTAAAATTGATATTGGTTTTGAAATCAGTTAATACTCATTTAAGTAAAGGCAGTGAAAATATCGCAAAGACTTTTCCCTCCCACCTTTTACTTCTCTCTCTTCCTTTGCTTACCTTCACAGGCTCAGTGTTGGAAAAACATTGAAATAGCATTGTTTAGCAATATCTTTTACAATTCTATTTTACAGTTGATGAGAAATTTTAAAAATCTTATTCTTTCAAAAAGTGATCTAGAATGGAAACTCAAAAGACATCCTGTATTACAAAAATGTAACCAAGTCTAATGTTAGACCTGAAAAGCTCAGAGTATTTAATCTTATTTAACAATGGAATAAAAATCCAACAAAGCCTCAAGGGTTTTAAAAAATTGTTTTTGGAAATAAGAAAAGCTTAATTTAAGCAGTAAAGATAATTATCATGCTTAAAACAAATAAGTAGCAGTGAATCACCAAGACCCATTTTACTATGAGTCATAATGATATGTGGTCAGAGTCTTCAGTAGGTATACCTTTTTTTCTTTCTTCTTCTTCTTCTTTTTTTTTTTTTTTAAGAATACCCTTTGGTGGTTTTCTTCTTCCTCCAGATTTTTCATAATTTGGCATTGCTTTCTGGGGCTGAGACTTTTCATCTCTAGAAGATTCAGTACCCTATAAATAAAGTTCTTGTGGTTCACATGGTACAACAGGGCTGATCATATAGATGAGTCCCCTTCGGTGTCACCTACTCAGCTTCTTTCCCCACCCCATCCTGTCTCATGTGCAGACACATAAAATGTTCAGTTGATAAACAGGATGGCTTAAGGTAAAAGGTGAGAAGGAAAAAAAGGATAATATGAAGTGTTTTGAGGGTACAGGTATTATAACTGTTTTTTTTTTTTTGAGATAAGCTGTCACTCTGTTGCTCAGGCTGGAGTGTAGTGGCACGATCATGGCTCACTGCAGCCTTCAACTCCTAGGTTCAATCAATCCTCCTGCCTCAGCCTCCCAAAGTGTGGGATTACAGGCATGACCCACTGCACCCGGCTGAGATATTACATCTTCATATGCCCCTCTTGTGACTAGCACATTTACTCTGTCTCTAATAGGAGATCAGTAAAGATCTGTCAACAACGAGAATGAATGAATGAATGAGGGGTCCTCGAGAATGGTTTGCAGCCTCTTTTACTGCATCTGGGAAAGCAACTGAATTGAAAGAAAGTTATATATAAGGACATTGGAATAATAATAACATCTATTATAGTACTTTATAATAGCTATAAAACACTTTCACATGGTTTATCTCATTTGAACCTCACAAAACCCTTGTTAAGGAGGCAGATGTTATTATACATGGAAAAGATGACGATGTTTTCCTTCAATATATCACTTACAAAGCACCAGCCTGTGGGAGTGTTTGTCCCCTGGATAGCATATCATTAGTTGTGGTCACTGTGGTGAGCAACAAACCATTTTAAAGATTAGAACTGCACCAGTCTAAGGATGAAATAATTAATGCAACGAGTAGTCTTTATGTACACATGGACAGACTGGCGAGGAATGGGATGCGATAGAAGCTTATAAACTATTATGTAAATAACAGACATTTAATGAGAACTTACTGTATGCCAGGCACTTTGATAGGTCCCTTTTCGTACATTTTCCCCATTTAACGAATGAGGAAATTGAGACTCTTAGAGATTGAGTGACTTGCCCAAGGCCACAGAGTAAGTATATGCCAGGGGCAGAATTCTAATATCCAAAAAGTATAATAAAAGTTCCTATGTTGGCCAGGTGTGGTCACGCCTGTGATCCCAGCACTTCGAGAGGCTGAGGTGGGAGGACTGCTTGAGCCCAGGAGTTTGAGACCAGCCTGGGCAACGGAGTGAGACCTTGTGCCTAAAAAAAAAAAAAAAAAGTTCCTATCTTAAAGAGCTTGAAGGAAAAATCATGAATAACACACATCAGCAGATAAATATAGATGTGGCACAGAACAAACTCAATTGTTCAAATTAAAAATTCAAGCAGTGCACACTGCATGAGCTAAAGTGGTTGTTAAGTTCTTGAGAGAGGTCAAAAACTTAAACTTACCCTTGAAAGGTGAATAGGATTTGGACAGGTTGCGTGGAAGGGGAAGGTGTTTCAGGCAAAGTGAAATGCATCAGCAATTTGCAATACAAGTATGAGCATAACATAGTCAAGGGACAATATAAAGGGAAGATTTCCATGGTCATTCGCAATCACAATCTTGTATGATTTAGGGCATGGAGTTAGATATGTCAAAAAATTCAGAGAGATATTAGACGTGTTCTACAGAGAGTTAGAGGGGGATCAGTGGGGGCCATTGAAAACTGAGTATGTTGATAAAAGTTCCATGGAGGATCTAAATCTAGAGCTCAATTCAAATGAAATTTTAGACCTCACCTATGCATAGAGGGGAAAGAGAGACTGGGAGAATGCTCTTGGTAAAGTATGCTGGGTTTATGGTGTGTTTTGGTAGAAAACAACATTGCTATGGGCCTTGGATACCCGGCTAAGGAGTCTGTACTTTTTCACCCAAAATTTAGAAGCTTGGGGTTGCCTGTCATGGAGGACAGACATGGGTAAGTCTTTATTCTAGAAAAATTAGCCATGTGGCTCTTGATAAGGCTGACTGAAGGAGAGGAGAAACAGCAGCCAGAGTTAGAACCATTAGGAGGCTATTAAGGTAATTGAGCATTAGCATGTGGAATGGGCTATGAAAAAGAAAAAGAGAGACAGAAAAGTGTGGGCTGGGCATGGTGGCTCACGCCTGTAACCCAGCACTTTGGGAAGCTGAGGCAGGTGAATCACTTGAGGTCAGGTGTTTGAGACCAACCTGGCCAACACGGTGAAACCCCATCTCTACTACAAATACAAATACAAAAATTAGCCAGGCATGGTGGCACATGCCTATAATCCCAGCTACTCAGGAGGCTGAGGCAGGAGAATTGCTTGAACCCAGGAGGCAGAGGCTACAGTGAGCCAAGATCGTGCCACTGTACTCCAGCCTGGATGACAGAGCAAGACTCTATCTCAAAAAATAAAAATATAAATATAAAAATAAAGGAAAGTGTGGGGACCTACTGATGTGGATTGAGGAGGGGAGAGCAAAGACAAAGAGGGCACCAAGGTTCTAGTCTGGTGACTAGATGCCTAAGGATAGCTGGGTCACCTGCCTAATACTCTGCAGTGTTCAAAGCTCTCTTTTTTCATGATATGATTACACCCTTCACTCTTATGATAATGGACCTGTAGGCTGGCTATCATTCCTCCTGTCGATGAAAGAAGAAACTGAGAGGTCAAGCCAGAGCTCCTAAGTACCTGGCATGAAAAGGCAGTGAGCATAGGGAGTTGGTAGGGAGTGGTATGGGGATTGCTGTGAACTGGAGAGCCTAATTCTTATCTTCCATTTTTCGTAGATTCTATTGTTCACGTTTTAATTAATTAATTAGAGATGTGGCCTCACTATGTTGTCCAGGCTGGTCTTGAACTCCTGGGCTCCAGTGATCCTCCTGCCTCAGCCTTTGTTCACATTTTAATTTTTTTGCAATTGGGGTGCATCTTATAACCCTATAGTCATTGCCAGTGAGGTGGCGATCATAATGAAGTTATTATCATAGCTGTTTGTATTATGGTTGATTCAATTTAATGACATGCATTATTGACACTACATGTGATGATTTACTTGCCATATAAGATGTCTTTTAAAAGAGCATGTATTGAAAGTAAAGGTAAGTGTGTACAAAGAAAGGCATGTAAACAAACCTGTGGGATATACATTTGATATTTAACCACATTCATTTTCTATTGCCTCTTTATAACAAATTTATTCAAATGTAGTGGCTTAAAATAGCACAAATGTATTATCTTACAGTTTCATAGGTCAGAAGTCTGATGGAGGTTTCACTGGGCTAAAATAAAGATGTTGATGGGCTGTGTTCCTTTCTGGAGGCCCTAGGGGAGCATATGTTTCCTTGCTGTTTCCAGCTTCTAGAGGCTGCCCACATTCCATGGCCCCTTTCCTCCATCTTCAAAGCCAGCAACAGCAGGTAGAAGACTCACATCGCATCTATGGAACCCTTCTGCTGTCTACACATCTCCCTCTGACTCTGACCTGGGAAAGGTTCTCAAGTTTAATGACTCATGTGAGTGGGATGGGTCCACCTAGATAATCCAGGATAATCTTGCCATCTCCAGGTCCTTAACCTTAATTACATCTGCAAACTCACTTTTCCCATGTAAATTAACACATTTCCAGGTTCCAGGGATTGGGAATCGGTCACCTATTGAGGCCATTATTCTGCTCACCACAGTGTTAAAACAAAAATTCATCTTTTGAACAAAGACCACAGCAAAGCAACAATTGATAATCTATGGGTCCCCAAAAAGGAAGTTATCACAGAGTAGGTACAACTATGTTCAATGTTATTACTGAGATGTATGTGGAAGATTTTACCAAAAACCAACCAGTGCAACTAAAGTGAAGGGGATTTTGCCCAGTTCTCAGAATGGATATAAGATATTTCCAGTCCAAGAGGATTTACTGATAGAGACTTAGGATATGAGAGGGATAATGATTTTCTAGACTGCTTAAAATCTAAGCTACATAACTTCTCTCTATTTTAGTGTCTGAATTAGTTCAGCCTAGTTAAGTACTGATGTTTTTCAACTTGGCTTTGTTAGAACTAGAATCTGTCCTCTTTTTGCCCCTTGACCTCTTTCTATGATAAAAGTGAAAGAATAAGACAAGCGTTACAAGTCAGAGTATGTGTTATTCCTGAGCAAGAGTATGTTAGTGACAATTTCCAGTGTGGGTGGATTTGAGGTTCTGGAGGACGAATGAATATTTTCCAGTTTGCTTTTCTATCAACATCAAAGACTCTATCATCACATCTGCCCCACACTGCTTCAGTCTTGTGCCTATTATATAGTATGTTCTCGACCTTAAGATTTTTTACAGAGGTTTTGTTTCATATATCTAAGTTTGTAGTTAATTAAATGAAGACTTTGCTAGAGGCTTTAGTGTGTGTCAGCGCACGGAATTTAATCCTCAGAGTGCATCCAGGAGACACATATCCCATTACTGGGAGCTGGGCCTCATTTGTTCCTGGCAGTATCCCCCAGGCTAACACTCAGCTAGACTTAGCTTCATATGGTATTGGCCATATCCAACAACATCACATCCTCTTCATGTTAGCCCAAGATTTGCTAACATGGAGGCTCTGGGAAGCCCCAAACGCTTTGGTGGATGTTTTTAGGTTGGTGCAAAAGTAATTGCCTCCCAAGGCAAATGCTTTTAAGCAAACAAGTCATGTAGATAACAGGTTTTTGGTACTTTTATTTAGCAAAAATCAATAGTGTTAATTTTTAGTTATGTTTGCATGAAAGTTGTGAGAAAAGCTAATCATCTTTTATATCTAAATCCCCAGCCCCTTTGGATTTTATCAGCAGTTGTAATTGTCCAATAAATATTAGAACAAATACATGACTTAAAAATAAAATACCAGGCATGGCAAAAAACCTAAAGAGAAGTGACTGGCTAGATTTGGCATAAATAAATAAATATCATGAAGCAGAACTTGTTTATGCAAATTTCCAATTCCCCTTCCAGTGCCTCTGCTCCCATCCACTGGGGCCCACCAAGCCTATTTCTGCTGGTTTTTATTCTCACTTATAGTGAAGGTGTTGGCTGATAAAGGATTAAAGTGGCAGCTGTCCATGGAGAATATTCACTTTCACAGTGGCTTTAATGTCCTGATAAGATTTAGAAAAATCAAAGAATAGCACCCCTAATGGTAGAATCTCAGGAGTACACCCTAGGGCAAAAAAATTCCTATTTGAAGCCTTCAGGTCTTCATTTTGTGGTGACTTTTTAGGGTGATGTTTTTGCTACCCATTCAGGTCAAGACAATGGTTTAGAGAGTAAATGTTATCATTTCACTTATCAATAAGATTCTAAAATGAGAACCCATGTCCCCAGGTTATTTTTTCTCCAGAGTTCAAATGTGAAACCATGTTCCGTCAAACAGGATCTTAACTGTAATTTCAATCTTATGCAGATTAAAAAATTAACATTCCATTCCCAGTGATGTTGGCTTTTCCTGGTGAATCATTTGTATGTGACTTTATTTCATGGGGTCTCTAATTACATGCCTCCAGAAGACACAAGGTATCGTAGGCTGCTCTTGTGGCTACAGTTATGACAAATCATGGGAGTGATGCAATAGTTCAGAGTATCTGTGGGGTGTGAGGCAGTGTATGCTAGTGCTGCTTCAAATTGGCTCATGATTGCTGATTGTGTGCATTTCTTCCCAACTCAGGTCCAATAACTTCATACCGGTAGTCTGAAATTGGATATGGGGAGAGTATTTGCACCAAGGAATTTGGCAAACAATACCAGTCAGGGTTATTGATTGATTGACTGACTAATTTCAAGAGAGCTGGCTTACCAGTTCACCACTGGTGTGGGTAATCTATGTCTCCCAAAGAAAGAAATATGCACTTTATTCCTAATTAATATTTACTCATTTTATCCTAGCTGACCCTAAATCAGGTCAGCTGAACTGTTACCTCAGGAGCATGTAAGATTGCAGACAACATAAAGACCTGCATTTGTTGATAAATACATGAGTGCCTTCTAGGTGCTGTGGATATAGTACTGACTAAAGTCAGACACAGTACTTGCCCTCATGGTGCTTACAGCTTGCTGGAGGAGACAAATGTTAATAAAAGAATGCCATAAATACTGTAAAATTCAGCCATGGTTAAGAGCCGTGAAAGACAGAGATGTCATATTACCAGAGTGTGTAAAAGGAGGATCTGACTCAGGGAAGTAAGGGAAGGCTTTTGTAAGAAAGTGATGTTTGCCTGAGATTTAAAGGAACAGCAGGATTAAAATAGACAAAGCTAGCAGGTGCTTAGTACCTGACACACAGTAGGTGCTCATTAAAGATAAATGGTGGGTAAATTATGTTCCGCTCATGCACTGGAATCTCTGTTGAACTTTGATAGCAATTTCCTGGGAAACATGGGTTTCTTTCTATTAAAACACACCACTCCGGGATGACAGCTACGATCTCTTACAAACTGGTTTTCAGGGACCGTTAACACCTGCTCACTGGAAGAACTCCAGTTCTGTGTGAGATCATGTGATAGGAGACCCGTGGCCTTTAGCTACACATCAACCACACAAGTAGCTGTGGTTTGCAGAGTTAAAAAAAAAAGTTATTTTCCTTTTGAAGCCCAGAAACTGCCAGCCTCTGGAGTTGTTGTGACGCTGCCTTCATGTCTGGATGTTTGTTCCCTTGTGTACAGTGACTCATGTTCCATCTTGTCCCTTTGCCATATGGTTTACAGAGGTAATATTCCCTCAAGGAAACAAAAACACAACAACACAATCATCTCTAAGATAGTGGAACTTAGGTTTTGAATGCAATTGTACGTAGAATATGAGAACATTTTGCTTAGAGAAATCAAACATATCTGTAATATACAGTAAAGGTGCTTCTTTGGGGGTGGTGAGAGTGCAGGCGGATGTGGAAAGGAAGGCAGGACACAAGTGTGATTTGGTGAGAGCTGTTGGTGGATATGCCAACTGGGACCTATGGTGGGAGAACCTCGCTGCCTCAAGCACAAATGCACAAAGCTCACACTAGGGGGCTCAGGGTTCTAGGATTTATGGGTTGGGAAGGGGAAGGGGAAGGGTGTCTTCCACCATCTGGCACTCTGTGGTCCAGCTGTGTTAATCCAACCATTACTGTCCTCATGTTTAGCCCACAGCATCAACAGCTCTTTCTTTTTCATTGAATTTCATAAAGGGATATGAAAGTTTTTAATGTCAAAGTTTTGATTCCTATAACCATGTCATCCCCATAGAAGCCAAAGTCTTTCCACATAGTCATCATAAATACCCTGGCCTGGTACTTTACCTCTGTCCACATAATGAGCAGAAAGGGGTCCTCCTAATGTATATTGAATGTATAATATGTACCAAGTATTACAGTTCACCCATCATCCTGTAATCCTTCAGCAAAGCGATGAAGGAGGTGTCATCTCTATTTTATAAATAAAGAAACTGAATTGTAGTGATATTAAGTAGCTCCACTTACCCAGTAAGTGGAGAGCTTGGGGATTTGTGTCTACGTATATCTGCTTTCTTTCTACTATGCTGAAGTGTGTTTTTGTCTCTCTGGGTTTTTTGTTTGTTTGTGTTTTATTGTTTTTCTTTTCCTTTTTTTTCTTTCTTTTTTCTTTTTTTTTCTTTTTTTTTTTGCCATGGTCTAGTCATGGTGGATAAGAATTTGGAAAAAAAATTGTTTAGCTGCTTTTTTGAAACCTCGGACTAATTTTCCCTAGTTTCAACAATGAAGCAAACTCAGTAATAGTGAGTGATGGAGTTCAGAATAAACTTTCTTATCTTCTTCCAAATGTGACTGAAATTAAGTAAAAAGAGGTGCCATTGTTTTTAACACATCACTTAAATGTAAAGGATTCTGAGGGTCTGGAATGTTTAAGTGAAAGTTACCCGTGCTGAATTTCTACTGATGGAATCTTTTAAACAGAGCTGCTAAAAATGACTTATGGTGATTATCGTTGAGACTTCAAAATCCCGAGTGTATAACCACAACAGTAGTCACAGACACAAGGTGTGTAATATAGAAACACAAAGTTCAGAGGCTTTACCAAATTCATAATAAATTTAGAACCCAGTCAATCTAGAGGAAATTAGTATATAAACAAAAATAGAAAACACGTAAGAGAACAACGTTGTATGAAAGCAAAGTGAAAGCTGTTGAATTTGTCTTTCTATGGTATGCTTAAATACACAGAAACACTTTAATGCATCTGCCCAGATTAGTTGATCTTGATCTGTTCATCCCTAAAGTCAATCTGTGGCAGCACATCAGTCTCTCTGTCAGCAGCCATGGGTAACTTTGGCAAGAGGTGTGCTGGGGATGTCAAGTGGCCATTCCAGACACCCTTGCCAAGGGGCTTTCCTGCTGGCCTCAAGGAAAGATACAGTACATTTCCTGGAATTGATTAGAAATCCCTAGGCTGAGGCCAGGAGCTTAATTTTTAAAATATTCCAGACATCGCAATAAACACAAACCTACTGTTGTTGCTTTTTTCCCCCAATATTTGACTGCAGATTTGGTTGGTGCATGTCTTGTTATGTAGATCATCTACCTAAAAAATTCTTCTAAGAGCTTACCTTCACAGGCAATTTGACTTAATTTTTACAGTAATTTTAAAGCCTAACTTGTCTAGTTGAGAGGGAGGGGGAGTTCCAGGCTTGACTCAGATATGTACCAATGTTGCTATTTTAATAAATGAGCTGTAATCACTATCCTCTGCCTGTTATTTACCCTGGATAGTCTTTGCTTTGATAACCCAAAGTCAATCACATAAACTCTTTTTCTTTCTTAGGATTTTCTTGGTGAATTATTTCCAATATATACAATTTTTAGGAAAAAAGTGCCTTTAAGGCACCCTGCATACATGATTTCATTCTCAACAAGGTTGGGTAAAGCCAAAGTTAAATTTCAGAATCTAACTATGTATCTGTCAATCTATATTTATTTATTTTTGTTATTCTTCACTAAATTATGGTTTCCTATCTGTGACTAATACTGTAAATGCTACTTCTAATTTGATTGTTTTTATGGCTGTGATATCATACACAAAATATATTGACTTTTAGTAAATATTTGAGACTATTATTTATGGATAAGGGTTGAGTTGTAAATAAAACCTATAATGCAGGTTAAACAACATTAAGGAAATGTTCATTTTAAATCTTTATACTTATTGAAATTATTTGGTTATACTAATCAAATGTATGAAAACACTCAATATAATTATTATTGTAGATTTCCTTCACAGCAGAAACAAGCTATTACTTTTGGTGATTAGACTGAAGGATTACTTTGAGAGACTGAGGCGGGAGGATTGCTTGAGGCCAGGAGTTTGAGACCAGCTGGCCAACATGGTGAAACCTTGTTTCTACCAAAAATACAAAAATTACCTGGGTGTGGTGCCTCATGCCTGTAGTCCCAGCTACTCAGGAGACTGAGGTGGGAGGATAATTTGAGGCCGGGAGGTGGAGGTTGCAGTGAGCCAAGCTCCAGCCTGGGCAACAGAGCCAGACCCTGTCTCAAAAAACAAAAACAAAAAAAAAAAAGACATTTCAGGCAAGGGGATATTAGGTAAATAAATTAAAAAGGGTTTTATTATAATTATAGAGTTTTTTTAATAAAAAAGAACTAAATAATCAGCCTGTTTTCCCCATTACATGAGGTGAGTTCCCAAGTCTGCAATACAAGCTCAAAGGTCTCATTCAAAGACTTCTCACTGCTCTGCCTTCCCTCTTCATCTGATGCTTCAAACGATTCTTTGTAAGAGCATAAGTCATATAATCTGCAGTTAATGACTATGCAAAAGTGGCTTATGTTTTGAGTTCTTTTATGTCTTTGTATTTTTTTCTCTCTCCTAGGTCCTACAGATAGTAGTTGTTCCAAGAATTTGCTATAAATCATTCCTCTCGTATGTCAAGTCATGCTTGATTCACGGTATGCTGTTAATGGCCTTGCAGAAGATCTGACCATTATACCCCTTTACTTTATTCCTTTACTTTTACTACAAATGTATTTGTGCATTTCTCCAAAGAGCAATAAAGTCTTTATAGCAATAAAATAGGCACTTACTGTGATACACAGTGATACAATGAATAATTTCAGATCACATCCAATGTTAAAAGTATTTATGAAAATAATGTGGTACAAATAGGCAGAAATCATGGTAATCTCATGATTTGTCAGAATAATGTTTTCTTTTTGTTTATTTTGTTTTTCAAAGAAGTAACAATGGCAGAGACATAGCCATCAGAGTTTTAAAAAGATAAGTAGAAGGATAAATAAAAATTGCTGTATTTGAGTGAGTTCTATTGAATAAGTTATGGAAATCTTCTGGCAATTGAAGAAAAAAAATTGAGCGGCTGTAACTGCATGCACATTATGCAAATTTGAAAGGAGCAACGGCTTGTTTTGCAGACTGTGGATACCTTTCTCACAGCAAGACAAAGCTTTAGAAGGAATAAAGAAAGTTCCACTGAACAGTAATAGATCTTTAAACCTTTTTAGTTTTCAGCAATACATAACCATATCTAAAAATGAAATATTATTTTGTACTATATAGTCCTTTACTGAAATGGGTTATTTCTACTAGTCTGATAAACCCATTCAAGCCAGCTGAAACCAAGGGTGGATGTACCACCACTTAAGCACTCACCTATTATTGATCATTCACTTCATTTCCAGGTTTCTGTCATTACAAATGAGGACTGCAATCAACATCTTTGCACATATATCCTTATGCTGGCTATAAAATAGATTCCTAGCAGTGAGATTGCTGAGCTGAAACTAAATGTGTTTTTTCACTTAAATTTTAATAGATGCTATCAAAATGCTTTCCAAAAAGGTTGTTAATAGTTCACATTTCCAAATACTATGTCTCTGCCTCCCACCAGTGGAAGCATTCATACTTTCACATTTTAGTCTTACCTGACAGGGTAAAATGAAATCTAGGGAAAAAAATGCTAGAATTAATAAGCAAATGTATCAAGGTTGCAGGATATAAGGTTAATATACAAAAATCAATTCTGTCTTTACATTAGCAATACACAAGTAGAAAATAAACCGATTATAATAGCATAAATAGTATGAGATACTTGGAGATAAACTTAACAGTATATATGTAAGGCCTGTATAATGAAATGAAAACTACAAAAAAATTTTCCTCAGATCAATCTATAGAACCGATACAATCCCAAACACAGTATTTACTTGATGATAGTGACCAGATTTAAATCGTTGAAAACAATTTCTCATAATCAGATTGTACCAGAATGCTAAAACATAGTGCTTAATTTGCCCTACAAGTTAGTAGCCAAATATGAATACTAAACAGTGTTTGATACAATGCAAACTAAGTTGATTGTTCAAAATACCTAAACTTTTCTGTTAAAAGTAGGGTGGTCTTATATCAAAGTTGGCCAGGGAGAGTCTATGTCATCTGTCCTGATAGAAATAATGTCCTCAAACTACTTTGATTTGAATGATGAACTATATGGTCACCATAGCTAATAGGAACTCAGTACTTAGTTTCATAGCCTTAAACCAGAAAGTTAAATGGAATTTAATAACTACCTGCTTTTGTGTTTAATTGGTATATTCTTGTGTAACATTACAATCCTTCTTTTTTTGTTATATGTTTTTATTTTCTTAATTGTTGCCCTGGGGATCATAATTAGCATATAAATTTAAATAATTTATTTCAATTACTAGTGATTTATTTAAATGGAATACAAAAATTTTGCTCTAATATATCTTTTTTCCTCCCCCCTCCATTGTGCTATTATTGTCATAAAAATTACATCTTTTTTTTTTTTTTTTTGAGATGGAGTCTTACTCTGTTGCCCAGGCGGGAGGGCAGTGGCATGATCTCGGCTCACTGTAACCTCCATCTCCTGGGTTCAAGCCATTCTCCTGCCTCAGCCTCCCAAGTAGCTGGGATTACAGGCATGTGCCACCATGCCCAGCCAATTTTTGTATTTTCAGTAGAGATAGGGTTTTGCCATGTTGGCCAGGCTGGTCTTGAATTCCTGACCCCAGGTGATCCACCCATCTCGGCCTCCCAAAGTGCTGGGATTACAGGTGTGAGTCACCCTGCGTGGCTACAAATTACATCTTTATAGATTATAAGAGCATCAGCACACTATAAAATTGTTGCTTTACACAGTTGTCTTTTAAATCCAATAGAAGAAAAGAGTTACCCTCAAAATGCATATATACTGTCTTTTATATTAATCTATGTAGTTTCCTTCTTGTGGATTTTCTTCATGTGGATTTGAGTTACTATCTAGTGTTCTTTCATTTCAATTTACATGTCTACCTTTAGTATTTTTTGTATTTTGTTTATGTTGTAATGTCTCCATTTCTTCGTTTTTAAAGGATAGTTTGACTGGATATAAAATTCTTGGTTGACAATTTTTTTCTTTCAGTGTTTTGAATATGGCATCATACCATCCTCTGGTCTTCATGATTTCTGATGAGAAATCAAAATACTACTGTTTTTAGGGATCTCTTCTACATGTTGAGTCACTTGTCTCTTGTGTTTTCAAGACTGTGTCTTTGTCTTTTGACTTTATGACAGTGTATATGTAGGTGTTGATCTCTTTGAATTTATCCTAGAGTTTAAGCTTCTTGAATGTGGGGATTAATGTTTTTCATCAAATTTTGGAATTTTTTGACAATTATTTTTTCAAATATTCTTTCAGCTTCTTTCTGTCTCCTCTCCCACTGGTATTTCCATTATGTTTACTTAGTATAATTGATACTCAATTGTGCTAAGTACAATTAAGGTTATTGGGGCTCTGTTGATTTTTCTTCATTCTTTTTTCTTTTTGTTTCTTAGGTTGGATACTCTCAATTGACCTATCTTCAAGTTTACTGATTCTTTTTTTTGCCAGTATAAATCTGCTAGAGCCCCTCTAGTGAAATTTTCATTGTACTTATAGTACTTTATAACTCTAGAGTTTCTATTTGGTTCATTTAAAAATAATTTCTACCATTTAATTGATTTTTTTAAAATGTGATGAAACATCATTCTCAGCCAGGAGCAGTGGCTCATGCCTATAATCCCAGCACTTTGGAAGGCTGAGGTGGGCAGATCACTTGAGCCCAGGAGTTTGAGACCAGCCTGGGCAACATAGTGAGACACTGTCTCCACTAAAAATACAAAAATTAGCTGGACATGGTGGCATGCACCTGTAGTCCCAGCTACTCAGGAGACTAAGGTGGGAGGATCGTTTGAGCCTGGGAGGTGGAGGCTGCAGTGAGCCAAGATTGGCCACTGCACTCCAGCCTGGGTGACAGAGCAAGACCTTGTCTCAAAAAAAAAAAAAAAAAAAAAAAAACAAAGAAAGAGAGAGAAGGAAAGAGAGACAGAGAGAGAAAGAGAGAGAGAAAGAAACGGAAAGAAAGAAACATCATTCTCATACTTTCCCTTAATTTTTTACCTATGGTTTCCTTTAGTCCTTTGAACATATTTGCAATAGCTGATTTAAAGTCTTTATTTAGGTAGTCTACTGTCTGTGTTTCCTCAGAGATAGTTTTTATTGACTACTATTTTCCTGTGTATTAACCATGTGTTCCTGTTTGTGTGTCTTGTGATATTTTTTGGTCAAAACGGCATTTAAAATATTACATTGTGGCAACTCTGGTAATCAGAGTCCCTCCCTTTTAAGGGTTTGCTGTTGTTGCTGCTGTTTCTTTGTTTAATGACTTTCCAAACTAATTCTGTAAAGTCTTTTGTTGTTGTTGTTTGTGGCCACTAAGCTCTGCTTGTTTAGCTTAGTGGTCAGCTAGTGATTAATCCAGGATTTCCTTAATGCCTTGAATAGTATATCTACTATACTTTGCTGAAAAGCTATGCTATGTGTGTGTGTGCAGGCACGTGTGTATGCACACATCTGTGTGTGTGTCGAGGCTCACTTTTGACTCTAATAGAGAATTTTTATTATGTAAAAAAGGAATTCTTTTTTATACTACGTATCTTCTGTTTCTTAAATTAAAAGCAATGTAAAAATCCCTGAAACATCTTTAAACAACAAAACCCAACACTGGTTCCCTCAAGTCTTTGCATTGTGTTTGTTTTCCAATTTAAAAAAATGACTATCTTGCTGTGCTCAGACATTCTAAGAACCATGTGGCAATGCTTACAAACACCTTCTTTTCACAGTAAAATACTGCTGTTCACAGAAATAAATGTGTTAGGCTTACATTAGATTTAGAGTGTAAATAATTGAGCCGGCAGAAGTCTTGAACAGACTGCTTAAATATCATTGTTATTATAAAAAGTGTTACAGTGAGTCCACACTTTCAACAATTCATTATAATACTGCAATGTGCACTCCAGCATATGGAGTGGCAGTGTCTCAGAACATTTTGAAATATTCTGTTGTTTTCTATGTCTTTTTGTGTATACCCCAAAGCATGATTAAACATTTAATGATCTTTAGAATTAAACTTCTAAAGATACAAACTATGAAAAGCATTCATAAAGGAGTATTTAATCTAAGATTTAAAGGTTTTAAGGGGAATTCATGGTTAGAATTTGGTGGCATAGCTTCTATGTTTCTTTTTAGAGATCTTAGCGCACCACTTTTCATAGCAGAACACATGATTAGTGTATGAAAGCTGCTGACTTTTGTGGTTCCCTACCTGAGAAAGTAAGTGGGAGAACAGCCTCCCAAAAAATAGGAGATATTGTGAATACAAGCACAATATTAAGTTAAATATTAAATTAGTATTATTATATTAAATTAAATACTAAATTCATCTCAATACTTGTGACTTGTATTTCCCTTATTTCACATAATTTGCAATATTTAATTCATTTAGCACATATTTTAGCAGAATCAAAATTTCATCCTAGGATTATGTATTATTATTATTATGTGTTTCTTTTTGTTTGTTTTGTTTTGTTTTGTTTTTGAGATGGAGTCTCGCTCTGTCACCCAGGCTGGAGTGCAGTAGTACAATCTCGGCTCACTGTGACCTCCACCACCCAGGTTCAAGTGATTCTTGTGCTTCGGCCTCCAGAGTAGCTGGGAAATACAGGTGTGCACCACCACGCCCAGCTAGTTTTTGTATTTTTAGTGGAGACATACCTGAGACTGGTTAATTTATGAAGAAGAGAGGTTTAATTGACTCACAGTTCTGCATGGCCGGGGAAGCTCAGGAAACTCACAATCATGGGGGAAGGCGAAGCAGGCACCTTCTTCACAAGGCAGCCAGAGGGAGTGAGTATGAGAGCGCAGGAAAAACTACCATTTATAAAACCATCAGATCTCGTGAGAACTCACTATCACGAGAACAGCATGGGGGAACCACCCCCATGATCCTATCATCTCCCACTAGGTTCCTTCCTCAACACATGGTGATTACAGGGATTACAATTCAAGATGAGATTCGGGTGGGGACACAGCCAAACCATGTGGCACAGCATACCACATGCTATGCTCTTTATTCTCCAATCTTTCTCCCTATGTACTTGGTCACCTATTTCCTCCCCCTTGAGTCACTAAAATCTATTTCCTCATCTTTGGGCTGAAACAAAGAAACAAGCAGATAGATAACCAATCAAAATAAATAAATATATCAACTTATACAGATTGACTTCTCTTGGGCCATCTTACAGCCTCAGTAAATGTGCTTAGATATTCGTGAACCACAGTAGTGGACATAGTCTAGGCTCACACAGATTTCCTGTATACATAGTGTACCAGTCAGGCAGCACACCCACCTTAAGGTCTGAGTCTCAGGTCCATAAACCTCTCCCTCTGATCTTCCAGGCATCAGCACCAGCCCTGCGGTGGTTCCTCTTCAGAGGCCTGAGTCCTGGCTGTGCTTGGTCCTTCTTCTGGGCTTCTAGGTTCTGACAAGACCCATGTCTTTCTTTTTGCCCTAGAGTGGTAGCTTCTTCCTGGGGTGACTTATCTCTGTGTTACCTTAGTGTTCCCTTTTTGCTTTAGTTCTCTAACACCTGATCAGTCTTTCATCCATTACATTAAATGGTCTCGTTATGTTAAATGATCAATCTTTCATTCATTATACTAAATTCATTGTATTTCATTCATTATATTAAACTAGTGTAGTTTCTATTTTTTTGACTGGGTCCTGGTGGTATCATTGTAGTGGCACCATGAGGATGGCTCTGGGAGTGCTGAGAAAGGCAGGAGACATGGCCTCTGCCAGGCTGAGACTTTTGCTGAAATAACACTGTGGAACAAACAGGAAGATGCAAATCCTTTCTTCAACCTGGCTTTCCTGCCTGCCTCCAGCATCTTTTTTTTTTTTTTTTTTTAAGAGATGGAGTCTCGCTCTGTCGCTCCCGCTGGAGTGCAGTGGTGCGCTCTCGGCTCACTGCAAGCTCTACCTCCTGGGTTCATGCCCTTCTCCTGCCTCAGCCTCCTGAGTAGCTGGGACTACAGGCGCCTGCCACCGTGCCCGGCTAATTTTTGTATTTTCAGTAGAGACGGGGTTTCACCGTGTTAGACAGGGTGGTCTCAATCTCCTGACCTCGTGATCCGCCCGCCTCAGCCTCCAAAGTGCTGGGATTACAGGTGTGAGCCACCGCACCTGGCACCTCCAGCATCTTCTATTGGCCAAGCCTAGCAGGGAGTTGGAGGACAAAAGAGAAAAGCTCTTTACAGAGGCTTAGCCCCAGCATCACAAAACAGAGTAGAAAGGGTGGGTTTGGACACACACAGTTTTGACCACGGCTTTTAATTATTAGTGATCCCAACTGGACTTTTGACTAATCTTGGGGATTCAATGATACGACGTTAGGTGCTAGGAAGAGAGGCATTTCACAGAATCCAAAGTATTCATTGTTTTTGTCCTGAATATGTATATGGAGATGTACTTAGTTATTTCTTGACTAATAGTGAAAAAGAAAGTTTGAACATATGCCCATAGTTTTCAAATTAACTTGATGTTTATATAATCTGAAACTAGGAATCTAAAACTAGCAATCAGAAATTAATAAAGATGGAGTTATAGAACTTAGTTGTAAGATATAGTGGAAAGAGACTTGAAAGTGCATATGGACTGTAAACAGCAGGCACAAAATTGTAACACTTGAGTCACAATACTATCATTTTTTTCCTTTGCTTTAATAAGTATATTCTTCTCCAGAGACTCAGGAATTAAAACACAAACAAACAAACAAAGGATATTCTATTTTACTCTACCAATTTATTAAAGTATTTAATTTTTTCTTTGTATACTATATATTAAGACACAATATACTTATAGATATTAAACAACACCTTTTCATTCATTTATTCACTCATTAAATATTGACTGAGCACGTACTATGGGCCCAGGAATGTGCAAGGTATTTGAGTTACGGTAGCAAACAAAAGCAAGATGGTTTCCGTCTTTAAATCTCCAAAGATAGACATTAAGCAAGTAATGTACTAAAATTCTTGGGTGCTATGATATGGAAAAATGGCCACTTTATAGCTAGTATATTTATCCAAGTCTATGGAGTTGGAAAATGCCTTCCTGAAGGAGTGAGGTTTCAGTTGAAACCTGAAGGAGGGATAGGAGTTAAGCAGGTGATGGAAAGTGGGATGGAGGAGTGAAGAGGGATGTGGGACAGTTGTGAGTAAAGGAGGAGTTAGGAGAAGGAAGAGTGAAGAAGAGTATTCCAGGTACAGCATAGGCCATATTCAGTGATAATATTATTTTCTCTAGACTGTAGGCTCCTTTTGTATTATTATATTTTTCCTTTCCATTATTTTTATATTATTTTTCCTTTTGCGGTTTTGTGTCTCTGGTTTCCAATGAAAGACTTGTCACATAGCAGGTGTTCAATAAATATATAAAAACTGTATGAGTGAATGTATTTTTCCTTTTCCTAAAATATTGAAACTCATTGATTTTCTTGGCAACAGTGATTTCATCTAGTAGGTATTCATACTGGTAGGTCTAGATATTTTGGTTTTAGGAAGCTCAGTTTAAAATCCAAAGATCTGGCCGGGCATGGTGGCTCACACCTGTAATCCCAGCACTTTAGGAGACAAAAGGCTGGCAGATCACTTGAGGCCGGGAGTTTGAGACCAGCCTTGCCAACATAGCGAAACCCATCTCTACTAAAAATACAAAGAACTAGTAGCTGGGTGTGGTGGCATGTGCCTGTAGTCCCAGCTACTGGGGAGGCTGAGGCAGGAAGATCCCTTGAACCTGGAGGCAGAGGCTGCAGTAAGCTGAGATCTCACCACTGCACTCCAGCACTCCAGCCTGGGTGACAGAGCGAGACTCTGCCTCCAAAAAAAAAAAAAAAAAAAAAAAGCCAAAAATATGCCTGTAATCTTAGCACTTTGAGAGGCCATGACAGGAGCCCAGGAGTTCAAGGTTACAGTGAGCCATGGTCATGCCACTGCACTCCAGCCTGGGTGACAGAGCAAGACCTCAGCTAAAAAACAAGAACAAAAGACCAGGTGCGGTGGCTCACGCCTGTAATCCCAGCACTCTGGGAGGCTGAGGCAGGCAGACCACGAGGTCGGGATTCAAGACCAGCCTGGCCAACATAGCGAAACCCCGTCTCTACTAAAAACACAAAAATTAGCCGGGCATGGTGGCAGGTGCCTGTAATCCCAGCTACTCGGGAGGCTGAGGCAGGAGAATCGCTTGAACCCAGGAGGCGGAGGTTGCAGTGAGCCAAGATTGTGCCATTGCACTCCAGCCTGGGCAACAAGAGCAAGACTCTGTCTCAAAAACAAACAAACAAGCAAACAAAATGAACAACAACAACAAAAATACACCAAAGATTCTACCCCCTAAAAAGAAATATTGCATAGAGTCATATTTAGTCAATAATAGAACATTTTGAGACAACACTAATATGTGAAGTTTCACTGAGCCAGGTCCAGGACCTCTAAAGGAGAAATCAGATGTTGTCATGTTTTAGCTTTGCCTAAAACATTCAAATACAAAATATCAATATTGTTTGCTCGGTTCTCTAAAATGGAAGTAGAAAGCATTCATTTAATTCATTTAATACTTTTATGTTCATATTTTAAGTGGCCATGAGGAAAGGAAAGCTATTTACTGGTCTATACATGAAGTTTTCTAACAAAATTCTTAAAAATGTGAGATATGAAATGTTATTCCATGAATATAATAATAAAATAGCATATGAGTTATTTCACTATTCCATAGTCAAATTCCTAACTAAACAAATAAGCACAAACATATAATAATCAATAATTAATGAAACAAAAAGCACTAAAAAGCAAAACAAAATAAGGGCTTTAGATAAATTGCTAACTTCTTAACTAGAGTACATAGTGCAAAGGAAGGAAGAAACAAAGGGAGGGAAGGAGGGGGTAAGAAAGAGAAAGAAGGAGGAAGGAAGGGAGGGAGGGAAGGAAGGAAAACTTCTATTCCTGCCACCTAGTGTCATGAAAAAGTCACGCCAAGGTCAACCACAAGTGAGAAAAGTCAGGTGAAGAGCAATTAATTATCCATTTACAAAGTAAGAATAGAGATCCTAATTTAGTATTCAGTAATTTTTTTAAAAAATTAGGTCCTGGGACTAGTAGGAGTACCCTAACCAATATATAATTGAATACTCTTGTTTAATTATATATGCATGGATCTGGTCTCTGAGATAAGGAGGAGCTGGTTAAATTAATTAGGAAAATGTGGCCTTTTAGGGCCAGACTTTCAAATTTTTAAAAATGTTTCTACCTTAGAATTGCTTAATTAGATTTCAAAGGAACAGTTTCTCATGTTTGAAATTGAACATAGTTAAATTAAAATAATAAAGCATTAAAGAGTTTACAAAAATAAACTTTACTTTCAATTACAGGATATTGAATTTAGCCAGTGGTTTCTAGAAGTAAAGCCATATTATAAATTTACTCACAAATAACTAAATAGAGTCTCTGAGGCAAAAAAATAAGAGAAAACTAGGAAATGATGGGGAGCTAGAACACAACTTCTGTAAGTAAAGAGACAGCCCTCCCTTCTCACTGGTGTACAAAAATGCCTCTAATATTTGAAATAAGTAAGAGGTATAGTCCCAATTTCAAGAGTTATATTCCCAATTTCATTTGAGAATGAGCCAGGATGATATGTATAATCTTAATTTTAAAATAATGATAACAGCCAAAGTAAGTACATTTTTTTTAAGATTTACTACTTTCTCAGGCAAATTGGCAGTTTGTCTCTTCGTACTCATGTCTTAAAGTCTAAAAAAACTCATTAGACCTTTTTTTCCTGTAACTTAAAAAAAAAAAGTTTCTTCTTTTCATTTTGTGGTTAATGTTGTCTGATTATCAAGACTTTGCATACTTTTAACACCCACCAGCCCCATCATATTATTTTTCTCTGGCTGAGGTCTGAGTGACAAGTACATTGATACAACTGAATCATCCTTCTGCAGGCATGTCTTTGTTATCAGATTAGTTTTCAAGTAGATTTATGCATTTAAAAAGTATGTCCGTTGGAACAAGATTAGTCTTCGCAAGATATGACATTTATCCTAGCAATAGGTGATAGATTTCTATACTTTAGACATGTGAACCAAACTACATAGTAAGCTGACATATTGTTAAGTAGTTCTTTTCTTCTTGGCTATCAGATCAAGTCACCAAAATGAAGCTGAAAGAGTGTTGTCATGAAAGTTTATTGGATTAGGGCCAAATTTCTGCCCTCTTATGAGGCCAGGTGATGCCAGGGTTTTCCAACAACCAAACCAAGTTAAGTCTTGCCTTAATATAAAGAGAATTCAGAAAAACTGACAAAGGAGAGGTGAAGTAAAGAAGCAAGCAAAAGTTGATGTTTTCTTGGATTTCTGTGGTGAGCCTAAAAAGCATTCCAAAGAGAACCATATAAAATACAAGAAAAGTTGAAAAGATGCATCCCATCAATGTAATTTTAGAGAAGATGTTATATTGCTATATAAAAATAATCCTATTATATTTGTTAATCATGATCCTTCATAAATATATATTAATAATATAATAAAGATCCAAAGTGTTACTGCTGGGAAAAATGCTAACAACCAAAAGTTAAAGAGCCTTTTTTGAGGGATATAAAGAGTTTGTAGGCATTTAAAAATCTAAGAATCACATTATACCACATAGTATAATAGTGTAAACAACTCCAGACATGTTTTATTAGTTTTTAAGGAAGTGGAGTGAAGTATGACTTCCTTCAATTAAACAGTAGAGGATTTAGGTAGATAGAATGAAACTATTTGACTTGGAGTTTAACCAAAATGTAGGAGTATTAGCACACCTTCCCACTGAAGTACTGTATGATCTTTTAAAGTACAGGTGTGTAAAGGGCCCCGGTTTTATTTTATTTTCCAGAAAAGGATTCCCTTTTTCTTGATGGAGAAGTAACATTGTACAAAAACATGATGTGGAAACTCTGCAGGGCTTTTGGAAAGCTCTCCTTTACCTTCACAACAGCTTCTCACATCTCCCTTTCCACCCATTTTTCCCAACTTCTTGTCTTCCTCTCTCTCCCCCATCATATATCTCATTGGCATAAATTACACAGAAACAAATGGTCAGGGATTTAGCCCACATCCTTGTCATTTCCCACCTCGATTGCTTCAAACTCATTGGATGCTGTCTACCGTTAGCAAGGGCACTTTTAACAATCATTAACCACAATCCTCTAGGAGGACAAACCAACTTTCTATTTGTACTTTTCTGGTTAATCTGTCAACTTCCTGTTGCGTATCAAGCCCCTTGACTCAATATATGAAAAGGGAGAAATTTGGAGCATGGATATGACCTCTTTTAGTGGTTGACATTTTTTTCTCACTTGGCTTATGGACACTCTTGAGAGACCTAACCCTCATCCTGAAGGTCAAAATGCTTTACTATGCCTGGCTAAATTTCTTTACTGATCTTGTCTTTTCCTATTTCATATTCTCTTTTCTGTTTAATTTCCCATTTATATCCTATTATTTTCCCAGTGCAGAGTTTTCTTTCACTCTCTATTTTATGCTCAAGATGTTTTCCTGCCTTAACTTACTATTTAATTAAAAATAGAATCACAGGCTAGAGTTGAATGAACTCTTAAAAGAACATCTGGTCCAATGTCTTTTCAAATAAAAAAAAAATCTTAAAATTTTCTCAACAGGATGCTTCTCATAATGGGAAATTCATTGAGACACTTCATTCCATTGCTGAAAAGCTTTCTGTATGCCGGGCGCGGTGGCTCAGGCCTCTAATCCCAGCACTTTGGGAGGCCGAGGCAGGTGGATCAAGAGGTGAGGAGAGCGAGACCATCCTGGCTAACACAGTGAAACCCCGTCTCTACTAAAAAATACAAAAAAATAGCCGGGCGTGGTGGCGGGCGCCTGTAGTCCCAGCTACTTGGGAGCCTGAGGCAGGAGAATGGCGTGAACCCGGGAGGCGGAGCTTGCAGTGAGCCAAGATCGCGCCACTGCACTGCAGCCTGGGCGACAGAGCGAGACTCCGTCTCAAAAACAAACAAACAAAAAGCTTTGTGTGCATTTCCCTCAAATTCAACTGAGACTTTTGTCTTTATAAATCCCACTCTTCTAGGACAACACAAAATAAAGTTATTCTAAAATCTATAGAATAGTTCTTAGAATTGCTACGTGATGGCTTAGACTGCTATTTGATGATAGCAGTCACGTCATCCTTTAGCCTTCTACTCTCTAATATAATTAGCTCCAAGATATTCAATGTTTTTTTCTATAACATGGTATTCATCATCTTACATCATCTTGGTCCTTAACTGTCAGTCTTCATGCCACTGTGTGTAACCATCTGATTCTCATGGTTCTCCATCTTAGTCCACTTGGGTTGCTAAAACAAAAATACCACAGACTGGATGACCTAAACAACAGGCATTTATTTCTCATAGTTGTGAAGGCTGAAGGAGAACAATATCATGATGCCAGCAGATTTGGTGTCTCATGAGGGCTCACTTCCTAGTTCATCTCTCTGTGTCTTCATATGTCAGAAAGAGGGCCAGAGAGCTGTCTGGGATCTCTTTGGTAATGATATTAATCCCATTTATGAGGGCTCCAAACAAATGAATTAATTACTTTCCAAAGGCTCCACTTTCTAATGCCATCACACTGGGGATTAGGATTTTAACATGAATTTTTGGGTGACAAACTCAATCTATAACATTTCCTTTCATCCATTTTCCAGTACACATTTATTTCACCTTTAACATTTATTTGGCTATGGCTATGGTTTGAATGTATCCCCCAAAAGTTCATGTGTTGGAAATCTAATTTCTCTCTTCATGAATGGATTAATGAATTAATGTCACTATCATGGGAGTGGGTTTCTTATACAAGTGAGCTCTCTGGCTCTCTTGCTCTTGCCCTCTTACCAAGCGATGTCCTCTGTCATGTTATGATGCAGCAAGAGGGCCCTCGCCAAATGCTGGTGCTATGCTCTTGGACTTCCTAGTCTCTAGAACCATGAGCTAAATAAACTTATTTTGTTTATAAATTGCCCAGTCTATGGTATTCTGTTATAGCAACAGAAAGTGGACTAAGATAGTTATTTAAAATAACTGTTGCATTTTATCTAATGTCCAAATTTGAACATATTGCTTATAAACAACTTTGAAACGGATACTGTGTTGTCCTTTACATTTCATTTGTATAATATATAGTAAAAGACAGAGAAAAATGGGCAACATTTTCAATTCTAAAATAATTATTAAAATAAATATGAAGATAAATGTTTCAAACACCTTTTTACACGTGGAAATCAGAATGTATGATATAGTTTATTATTTGCTGCAATCTATAAAAATTTCCTTATAAAGAGGTGATGCAAGCAT